>NC_000008.11:119464222-120714222 GCF_000001405.40 Homo sapiens | reverse complement strand
GGGCAAAAGAGAGTGTTTCAGAAATACAGGTGGAAGGCACTCTTGGTGTCTGTGCTGAGCAGAAAAATAAATTCTGGTCTGGTAGACTAAATCCAACTCAGCTTGACCAAACAAGCCAAATTTACATGTTTCTGGTATGGGATGACCTTAAACATACAAAGAATGTGATATGGCAGACACTAATTAATGAACCCCTTACTCCAAATACACTCTAGCCTATGACAGTCTTAGATATTCCTCTTCCTGGCTCTAACACTCTCTTGTTCCTGGGCTTCCTCTTTTAAATAATAATTGTGAGTATTTTTATAGAGCCCTTTACAGGTAATAATGTACATTATCTCTTTTAATGCCTACATCCAATTATTATTAATGGGAATGAACTGTAATTACACACCACAACATAAGTGAATCTTAAACATGTTACACAGTGTGAAAGAAGCAGCCAGACATACACAAAAAAGTACATATTGTATGATTCAATTTTTTTCTTTTTGAGATGGAGTCTCTCTCTGTTGCCCAGGCTGGAGTGCAGTGGCACAGTCTTGGCTCACTGCAAGCTTCGCCTCCCAGGTTCAAGCGATTCTTCTGCCTCAGCCTCCCAAGTAGCTGGGACTACAGGCACATGCCACTGTGCCCAGCTAATTTTTGTATTTTTAGTAGAGATGGGGTTTCACCATATTGGCCAGGCTGGTCTTGAACTCCTGACCTCGCAATCCACCCACCTTGACCTCCCAAAGTCCTGGGATTACAGGCATGAGCCACCATGCCCAGCCTGTATGATTCAATTTATAGAAAAATATAGAAAAAGCAAATCAGAAAACAGATCAGCAGCTACTTTTCTGCGGGGTGGGGGTGACTGAAAAGGTGCATGAGGGTAATGTCTAGACAGATGAAAATGAAACCTATGAAATGCATGTAATATGTGTTCATCCAGACTGAAAGATGCATGTAAGGTCTGAGTACTTCACTCTGTGAAGTTTTAGATTATGCCTGAATTTTTAAAAATATTCTATCAGGTGTATCTATAGATGAGGAGGCTGAACTTTAGAAAGATGAAATGAGTTGTCCATTCTCATGCAGCTGAAAGAGAACTGAACCTCAACCCAGATGATCGTAACTCTTTAGCTCAGGTTTTTCCACTCTAAAACAATTTCCAAGAATGACAATATTTATATTACTCCACTATGGAGTCAATGCATTTTAGATGCTTTTCTTCCTGGGAATAGAGATGGGTCTCTGAAACCACATGACGGGGTACTGGCAATAGTAACGAGGAGAAGACGGTGTCACAGGTGTGCGGCATGTGTAATGGGTAATGCTAGGGCTGGATCATAAAGCCTGACTTCAGATTCCCGCTCTGCCACTTACTGTGCAGCATAAGAAGTTGGGTGAGTCTACCTGCCTGAGATTCAGCTTCTTCATATGGAAAATAAACTGTAGTGAGGCATAAATCTGATCATTCATGGACAGTTCATAGTTGCCTATGAACTATCACTGAATGAGTGCTATGATGCTTCTTCACAGTTTTGGTTAAAGGGTAAATAAAAGCCCCTGTGGTATTAATAAGTTTACCATGTTATTACAGTGGCTTACAATGTGACATTTTCGTCTGCACTGAGCTTTTCTAAGTTGCTACATAATTAATTTATCATCATATAAAAAATGCATATAAAATTAGGACTTAATAGTGCTTCTATCCTTGACCTCCTTGTTTGGTAACAGGAATTGTTGAAAAATTTAGGATGGTGTGTACCTCATTCACTATATGAATAATGTCATATATTTCTTCTTTTTTTTTTTTTTTTTTTGAGATGGAGTCTCACACTGTCACCAGGGCTGGAGTGCAGTGGTGTGATCTCGGCTCACTGCAAGCTGCGCCTCCCAGGTTCATGCCATTCTCCTGCCTCAGCCTCCTGAGTAGCCGGGACTACAGGCACCCGCCACCACGCCTGGCTAATTTTTTTATATTTTTAGTAGAGATGGGGTTTCACCGTGTTAGCCAGGATGGTCTCGATCTCCTGACCTCATTGATCCGCCTGGCTTATCCTCCCAAAGTGCTGGGATTACAGGCGTGAGCCACCACGCCGGGCCTGTCATATATTTCTAAGTTCTGAAAGAAAATTTATTCCAAGTGTAATTCACTTATAAATCTACAATTCCATGAATTCTCAGTGTGATTCACTGAAGTATGTCTTAATGTTTGTAAATGATTGCAAACTTGGAAGGAAGCATTTCTTGGAAGTAATTAGAATATTATAGTGTGTATAATGTGGGTGGACTTTCTTAAAGCAGAAGCTTCCATTTAAAACATATTTGAATATTACTAAGGATTTAAAAAAGAAAAGAAAATGAATGTTTTCTTTTTTATATTGACAAACAATATATACTACTCTAAAGATAAAAGTTTGTTTTTTGGGTTCTGCTCCTGTTATAATTGATAGCATGTTAGACTACAAGTACTTTATTATGTTTTAGGGTCCTCAGAGCCTGCTTGAATCAGAAATCCTGCATGACTTGTAGGCTTGTCTAATGAGGTCATATACTTAAATATGAATTATCCGTTGAACAGAAAAGAAAAAGGAGTGAAGAGTTTAGACTCTGACAGAAAGTAAAACACTTGTATTTTTTCATGGAGAAATATGTTGAATTCTTTGGTGCAAAACACCTGACGGCCTGCACAGCTACTGTTTGTTTACACAGTAAACAGTCTTGCATGGAGGGAAGCGAGGAGGCCCAGGACAATGGATAATAAGAGTGTTCATCTGTAACACACAGCCAGGATTTCCCATTTAGCTAACCTAGAGCTTTGATCTCAGGGAGCTGTGAGGCCTTGAAATGTGGAGTATACTTTACCTTAGGGCAACACAATTTAGAGTGTATAAAGATTTTTTTTAATGATTTTTTAAATTATGTAATATTTAAAGGTGTTATTTACATTGAAATACTTCAAGTCCACTTTCAACCTGGAGGAAACTTAAGTTTCATACCTAGATTCAGTTAACCATATCACCATTTAAACAACAAAATGAATCATGAAGTGATTTGAGATTTTTTCAGGCTACTTGTCCCAGGCTTGTTAAAACTCTCGTTTTGTTTCCTGCCAGTGAATACCTGGGTTTCAATGTTCTACCACAGACAACACCAAAAAGTAGGGTTTTGTTTTGTTTTGGTTTTTGGTTTTTGCACAAGCCAAAAAGATTTTGTTCTGGATTCTTCTCCAAGTGCAGGTCAATATGCCCTAAAATATTTTCTGGTGATTGTTTTGAGATTCATATCAGTACCCAGGAAGAGTTGCGTTTTAACACATTTCAGAATGTGTGTTAAATATCCTTTAATATTTTTTATTGTTTTAGTCTATTTGTACTGCTGTAACAGAATACCAGAGCCTGGGTAATTTATAAAGAAAAAAAAATTTATTTCTTATGGTTCTGGAGGCTGGGAAGTCCAAGACTGAGCCAGCAATAGGTTTGGTGTCTGGGGAGGATCTCATTCCCTGCTGTCAAGAGAGCACCTTGCTTTGTCCTCCAGAGGGAATGAATGCTGTGTTCTCACATGGCAGAAGGCAGAAGGGCAAAAAGGGCCTAAGCTAGTTCCCTCCTGCCCTTTGGTAAGGCACTAATCCATTCATGAGGGCAGAACCCTCGTGACCTAATCACTTCCCAAAAGGTTCCACCTCAATACTATCATAATGAGGATGAAATTTCAACATGAATTTTGGAGGGGACGCATTCTAACCACAGCAAGTGTTACCTAATTTAATAGCAAATTTGTGCGTTACATGTTAACAGGCCCTGTGAGGCTTAGAGAGGTCAGGAAATGTTCCTCATAGCCATTTGTGCAGCTATCAGCCACATAAGCTGGATTGATCTGACTCAAAGTCTGTGATCTTTTAGCTCAACTATACTGGTACTCAAATAAGCCAATAAGCTTCCTGTTGTTTAGTTTGAGTTTTCCCTTCACAACACCCACAACCTCCGCCCCCTTCTTCCCTGCTCCAAGATTAGATCAGGGAACATAGATAGTGTTTTAGAATAGGAGGAAGGGTTTAAGTCATCTGTTCAGTTCAACATCTATTTCCCTTTTGAGCTTTGATGTCTGCCTTTTGCCCTTTTGCTTGCCCCTGGGCTGTCTGCGGAAACGGAGGGGGGATAGTGAGGATATGGATAACTTGGAACATAAGAAAATGGCTCTAGGGTGTTACATACCTGCTATCTCCCTCTGTCCTTGTTCTCTAGTTTGCTTCTGGGAGGTTTGCCTTGGGCAGAAAGGGTAAAGGGAACTACTATTTATGGCATACCTTTTTTTTTTTAAATACCAGACACTTTACATATATCATCTGGTAAAATATACACAACAACCCCATGCTTTTAGTATTATTTTCTTCTTTTTCAAGAGAAGAAATCTCAGGCTTAGAGAACTGTAGCAAGTTGTCCAGATCTCAAGGCTCTTTGGGGAGAAAAGATTCTAAATCAGATCTGATTCCAAAAGGCAGACTTTCCCAACACAGTGGGAAAGAGGAAAAGCTTTGGAATCAGGCTTGAATCACAACTTTGAGGCTGTAGGGTCTTAGGTAAGTTATTTGACTTCTGTGTCTTCATCTGTAAACTGTTAATGATAACAGTATGATCTCACAAGGTGGTTGTGAAAATTAAAAGATGTAATCTATGTAAAACCCTGGACATTTAGTTAGTGCTCAATAAGTGCTAACCATTACAATTGTCATGAAACATCTCCTTCCACTGGAACTGAGATGAACCTCTGACCATTTCTCAAAGCTTCAGACTCATAATTCTGCTGTCTGTTGACCTTTATCTCTTCATGGATGTTCTGTCCACAGCTCAAACCTCACATCTCCAAAACTGAAATAGTTCACTCTCATCCCAGAAGCCTGTATTTCTTCCCATATTTTCTATCCTTTTTAATGGAATTAATTAACCAAGGTAGTTTCCCTGATTTTATAGAATAGGAAATTTAAGAACACTAGAGGATTAAATGATTTGCTAACAACTACTCAGAAAATTAGGACCCCAGCCATGATGGAAATTCAGGTATAACAAGTTCTAGGTGCTTTATCCTACACTTTCTTGCCTTCCTCCTTCCCTCCCTCTCTTTCTCCCTCCCTCCTTCCTTTCCTCCCTTCCTTCCATTTTTTCACTCTCTCACTTATTCATTCATGCATTCATTTGTTTAACATTTTTAACCTTCCAATCCTTATACATTGAATTGCTTCTTCTTGTCATTTAGCACAGCTTAGGACTTCCAGTGCAACATTATATAGAGGGGTAATGGGAGGGTATTGTTAATTCCATCCTGATTTTCAAGGAGATGCTTACAGCATTTCCTTATTCAGAATGCTTGATGTCAATTTGGTTTTATTTCTAGTGGATAGTCTTTAGGAAGTTAAGGAAGTTACCTTCTATTTCTGGTTTACTAAGGGCTTCTTTTGTTTCCTATAACTGTCTATTAAAGTTTATAAAATATAAAATGTATTTTCCTCACTTAAGTAGTCATATACTTTTCTCCTTTTATCTGTTAATATATTGAATGCCAATAATACATTTTCTAATATTGAATCAATCTTGGATTATTCACCAGTCCAAACTTGGTCATGCTGTACTACTGTCTTCTATATATATTGTTGGACTTGGTTTACTGACATTTTGTTTGGCATTTGGGATTTATGTTTATATTTAGGAAAATGGATGGGCAATTTTCCTTTTAAAAATTTTCCATGACTTCTTTTGTTATTAAAGTTATATTAGCTTCGTGGAATAATTTGGGGAGACTCTTTTTGTGTCTAGTCTCTGGAATAGTTTGATTAAGATTTGAATGAGCTGTTCTTTAACGATTTGGTAGAATTCACTAATAAGCTCTGGTTCTAGTATTTTCTTTTTAAAAATTTTCTTTAAAATTAAAGAATAAATTTTAAAATTATTTTTAAAGAATTTTCCCATTCCTTTAAGAGTTACAAGACTAACCATGCTCTCTATTTTCTTAGGTCAGTTTTGTTAAGTTTATTTTTTTCTAGGAATTTGTGCACTCCAGGTTTTCAAACTTATTACCATAAAACTGTCAAAAGTATTCTTTTATGTTTTAGAGATTATTTATTATTTTAATATATATTATATCTGATGTCATTTCCCCTTTTGTTTATAATACAAATTTTATGTCAATTTTTTTATTTTCATCAAATGTGACAGTTTGTATGTTTTTTTAGGATTTCCTATATGACCTTTAGATTTTTTCTTATGGCACATGTGGAATATTTTGATAACATCAATTCTGATGTAATTGTCACAGAGTATGTTTATTAATTTAGTCCCCTTTTCCAATATCCATAGATTTTCCCAGCATCAGTAGCAATTCATTGCTCATTAACTGCAATAATCTAGCTCATGTCTTCATGTTACTTGAAGTAGATGTATTATTACATCTGTGATTATGGTGAAAGGGATTTTCAAATTAGATTTATAAGATGTGGGATCAAATTCCAGGTCTGGTGCTTGGAATATCTATTGCAGTAAGATATTTAAACTCTATGAACCTCGATTTGCCTACCTTTTTATTGTTAAATTTTTCTATGGGTTTATTTATTGAAAGAGTTGTATCCATTCACTGATGCTCACCATCATTCCTTTCCTACCTTTTTAAAAAACAACAAAGGCCCAACTATCTTGACTGGTATGCCTCAAGTGAACCTTCTAGAGGTTTAGCCTTAAATCTTGTGAGGTTTTATTCTTCTGACTCTGATAGAACCTTAAAGCTTGCTTAGGCCTTTCCTCTGTCATCCTGATGTAATTCTTAGGAATTACTCTCCTGAGAGAGTATGAAGCAAGGCCAAGCTAAGTTTGGCCTCTTGAAGAAAATCCAGTGCAGAAGCGCAGTGAAGTCCCATTGAGCTGAGTCCTAAAGGCATTAGTTCTACGGAGCAAGATGTGTTTGTGTGTGCACATATGTTTGGGGGAGGAGGTAAAATTTGATGGGGAAAGTTGTTAGGCTTTCACTCTCTGGGTCATGGAAGTCTCAAAAAAATAGATGCATAGTCAGATTCTAAAAGGCCCTGCAACTTATGCATATTTCAGATGAGGGTGACAATAAGCATGCAATGAGGCTGTGTGCAAGGAGGTGCTATAAAGCACTTTCAAAATAGGAGGTATCCATAGCATTGTCTAGTCTGCCAGACTCTGATGTTTCAAAGAACCCGTCACCATCTACCTTACCTTCAGATGCCTCTACAAGTACTTTAGATTTGCAGCATATTCGGAGTAAGGTGGAAAAATGTCATTCCTTTCCTGACTCTACCCTTGGTAATGATATTTAGTTTACTTAATGTGGTTTCCTTTGGAAAAGCTTTATGACTCTGGGCTTCTGTCACTGAAAAATAACTGCAAATTTACTGAGCCCCAAGTTTGATTTGCAGGATGTTATTATGAAGCTACACCTGGAATAATAGAGTTTTATCTTCCAGAGATACCTGTAAGGGGCAAGAGAGAGACACACTTCCTGCTTTTGACGTAAAGTTTCATTCACATGTGATCTTCTGTCTAGCAAAGAGTAAAAACAATATTTGGAGTTGAGCATTCAGACATCCTTTCTGCCTGTTACTCACTTCCTGTCTTCAGATGTTAGAGTATAGCTGTTAAAATAGTTACTTTATTTTCCCAGGGAAGAGAAATTATTATTATTTTTGGTGGTGAGGGCAAATTGCTGGCAAATTAATCCAGGTCCTCTCAGTACTTATTAATATCTGATGAATAAACTTTAGACTACTTTTCGTGTGTATTGAATCATATTCTGTAGAAATTTTGGTATTTTAGGTTTCTATGCCTTTTCTGCCTGGCATGATTATAAAATTCTCAGAAGCAGTAACTCGTATATCCGGTTGATTATCTATCCTGCAATGTCTAGTCCCACACAATGCACAGAGTAAGTGCTTAATTTATGCGCAAGAAATGAATGAAAGAAATGATATTTTCAAGCACTTTTTATTTTGACAGTTCTGAGAGTCCGAAAAGAGACATCCTTGCAATGCATTTTCTCACTGAAATTTCATAGCAACAATAACAGCAATGACATAATAGTAATATTTAAATTTGAGTGATAAGCTTGTGCTAGATGCTGTTCTAAGGGCTTTGTATACATTTTTTGAAATTATTTAATCCTTGTAACAATCCTAAGAGATAGGTGCTGTTATTATTAGGTAAGGAAACTGAGGCACAGAGGTTACATACCTTCTTAAAGAAGTCCACCTTGTAAATGGAAGATTTGGGATTCCAACCCAGATGCTCTGACTCTAGAGCTCATATTTTAAACCACTACATTGTATTGCCTATCTAAGGAAGACATTGTTTTCCGCATTATACAGATGAGGATTCTAAGACCCAGATAGCTTAACAGATTGTCTCATTGTCACACTACTAATATGTAGCTAATAAGCATATAATAATGAAGAAATGTACAGCACAATTTTATGCTTGGTAATGTATCTGTGAATCGATCTCACTATATTGGAGTCTTTGGATTAGGCATCTCAATTAACCACATTCCAGAAATCACAGAATATGGCAACTTGAAGAGATTTTAGAAACAATCTACTCTTCCACAAAGTAGAATTATTTTCTGCAATGTGACTGGGAGATAGCTCATCCAGTTTCTGCTTGAAACGTCACTAGCATAGGGAAGTCACCACCTCCCAGTCTTTTCTTATATTGAACCCAAATCTTACCCCTGTTGATTGTATTCACTGATCATGGCTGTATTCTGCAGACATACACAAAGTGAAGTTAACCAAATCCCCAGTTATTAAGTCCTGTACATTGTTTTTCTAGGTTGAATAACTTCTAATAATTGTAGTGTACCTTTCAGTGTTTACTATCCCGTTTCTTGTAGATTTTTACTTACATTGATTCAGTGAATCCTCACAACAGTTCTATGAGTGAGTGAAAGAACAAGCATTTGGGGAAACCAAGTAATTTGCTCATGACCACAGAGCTAGGCAATAGAAGAGCTTGGAATTGGACCCCAGGGTCAGACTCCAAAGTTTATGCACGTCACTCTTTTGTGCTAATGTCTGTCATTTAATGTATGGTTTAATTATTTCCTGAGCCTTTCAACAAGCTGATCATTTGCTTTACCCTCATTTAAACATCGTCTAACCTGTTAGAACTTCAGGTATAGGCTGATCGAGGAGGCAAAGAGAAGGACTTCTCTCTCCTTTTCTGAACGGCATACTTCTATCAGTGGAGCCTAATATCCTATTACTTTCTTATGGGAATCATAGCCATGAAAATCCCTAGAATCTGTATTCTTATCAACAGCTTTTAACACAGTTCTCCCTGTCCTACATGTTACAGAGATTTTTATTTTGAATATGCAATGACAGAACTTTCTACTTTATCCCTATTATATTTCATCTTTTTATTTAGTGCCTGTGTGAAACTCTTAAAATCTCAATTTTGTCATCATAAGCATTAGGTGTCCCTCCTAGAAGCTATCTAGTAAGTTGAAGTAATAAAACCAACACCTATTATGTACCTCATCTATTAGATTCAGCCATCGCCACCTTCAGGCTTTGAAGGAGTGTGGGCCAGCTGCTTTGTAATATCTGGATGTCAAATGAGCAAGATCTCGGTAGTTCCAGCCTCTTTTTACCCTGGCTTATCTTTTTTCTTTATGAAAACACAAACACTGATATTTTATCAGTTTATGAGATGATGAAAAGAAAACACTGCAGATTAAACGTTTTTTGTTTTTTCTCTTTTTTTTTTGACACAAAGTCTCGTTCTTTTGCACAGGCTGGAGTGCAGTGGCATGATCATAGCTCACTGCAGCCTCAACTTACTGAGCTCAAGTGATCCTCCTGCTTCAGCCTCCTGAGCAGGTAGGGCTACAGGTGTGCACCACCATGCCTGGATAATTTTTTAATTTTTATTTTTGTAGAAATGAGGTCATGCTGTATTGCTCAGGCTAGTCACTAACTCCTGGCCTCAAGCAATTCTCCCACCTCATACTCCCAAAGTTCAGGAATTACAGGTGTGAGCCACCATGCTCAGCCAAAAGATGTTTTTAGAAACATGACTTCGAAAATTTTTGTCGTTGTACAAACAGGTTTCAGACATGAACATTTGCATATGTTTAGAGGCAGCATCCAGGATGCAAGAAAAAAGCATGGTAAAGTGATTGGAAGTTGAGGCTGTAGAGCTAGACACCCTCGATTCAAATCTCAGCACTGCCAATTGCTACTGTGTGACTGTGGGCAAGTCACTTCAGTTCTCCATGCCACAATTTTCTTTCTTATAAGGTAGGCGTAATAGTATGCCTACTTCATAGAATTGCTCCCTAATGAGCATACTTTACACATTTAGAGCCAGGTTCAACACGTGGTAAGTAATCAATAATTGCTAGTTGTTGTTATTGTTTTAAAGCTGGAGTTGGCAGACTACAGCCCGTGGGTCCACCCTGGCCTTCTGCCTGTTTTTGTGAATGAAGTGTTGTTGGAATGCTGCCAGACTGGTGTATTTGTATACAGCCTGTGACCTCTTTGTGCAACGATGGCAAAATGAAGTTATGACAGAGACTCTAAGGTCCACAAAGCCCTCAGCATTTTTTCTCTGGCTTTTTAAGGAAAAATCTTGCCTACCTCCATTTTACAGGATAGAGTGCAGGGTTCCTGACCCTCATCTGTGACTCTTTGGTCTTGTAACCTTAGGCAAGTGACTGATACTCTCTGGCCTCTGCTACTTGATCTGTAATAAAGATTGGTTATGAGACTGCTCCTAGAGAACAACTCTGAGAAACTGGCCACACACGGTGGCTCATGCCTGTAATCCCAGCACTTTGGGAGGCCAAGGCGGATGGATCACTTGAGGTCAGGAGTTCGAGACCAGCCTGGCCAACATGGTGCAACCTCGTATCTACTAAAAATACAAAAATCAGCCAGGTGTGGTGCTGCGCACCTATAATCCCAGCTACTCAGGAGACTGAGGCAGGAGAATCGCTTGAACCCAGGAGGCGGAGGTTGCAGTGAGCCAAGATCATGCCACTGCACTCCAGCCTGGGCGACAAAGCCAGACTCCATCTCTCAAAAAAAATTAAAAAATATGAGAAACTATGTTGTGGAGATTCTATTTGTTGTTCATTTGCTCACAATTCCATGTTTTGTAGCCAGACAGTTGTGCTAATTGCATGTCCCTGAGTTTTTATTTTTTCTGACAGTAATGAGTACTTTCTATGTACTAAACACTCTTCCAAGCCCTTTGTGTGTATTAAGTCATTTAATCCTCATAACCTTATAACAATTCTCTGAGGTAAGAATGGCTATGCATCCTCATTTTTCACATGGAAAAGTGAAGGTATCAAAAGGGTAAGGAAATTTTCCCAAGCTTACATAGTTGGCAGGTGACAGAGCTGGGATGTGAACTGTATAGTCTGGCTCCGGAGTCCAGAGTTTGTAAAGTAGTCATTCAACTTTGAGGACCTTATGGTTTTACTAGAAAGACTTATTATGCAAACAATTGCATATAAATATAAGGGTTCTTTTAAATATTTGTAAGCTGATCAGCCCAGTGCCTGGCGTGGAATAAGCCATCATCACGATGTTTATGGTCCTGATGCTGTTGATATCAGTGGAAGCTGCTACAAAGCACAGCTGGTGTTTAAGGGAGGCATGCCTGAGGTGTCAGGAGCACTTTGAAAAGGAGGTCTTACCCAGCATGAGGTTTAAAGGATGTAGGGAGTTTTCCAGAAAGGTTTCCACGTGGAGGAAACCACATGTGCAAAGAACAGAGGCAGGAGAGAACATGGCATGTTCAGCGAATTAAACAGTACTTCTCTGTGGCTTGCATGTGAACTGTGCAGAACAAGTCAGCTAAGATTAGGTCAGGAAGTAGGCAGGTGCCAGATGGTGAGTGGCTCTGTGTGAAAGGGGACGGGCTCCTGTCCTCTAGTGCATGTCACTTTCTGAGCAATGCCCTATATTGTCTGCTTGTTTAATGTCTCCACCCTGTGCCGCAACAGGCACATGTGTACTGGAATGCAAGCACCTTAAGGGTAGGGAGCCAGTCGGTCTTATTCACTGTGACTATTCCAATACTCAGGGCCCTCCCTACAGAAAGAGCTCATTAAACATTTGTTGAATTAATTAATAACTAAACCAATCAGTGTGCTCTGGATGGATAGGATTACTCATGAGATAGGATACTTTCTGTGGGTCCATTGCCTTACTTTGGCATCAATTATCTTGCTTTGTTGAAGAATCAAGGTAGGTCACATTGAATGAGTGGATTAGTCTAAAATAGGACAATTTTGAGATAATCTTTTCTTTGGAGGCGGAAGATTACTTAACAAATTCATACCTAGTTTATTTTACTCTCAACTCCACATTTTAAAACTCAATCCCCTCTCCAAGAACGTCCTATGACTTCTTCAGAACATTTTGGCCATCCTTCAAATGCTTCTTCCCTTCCAGATGTATTTATGCCAGGATTCAGCTGGCAGAATGGAAGTAAAATAAATATTGGTAACTGAATGAAAATAATGATTCTTCTAGATAATGCTGCCAAACCTAAGAAAAAGTAACTTGAGAACATAATCTCAATGTGGGCTTATATTCCTATTTGTCAGGTGCCTGTAGGTTTTGGTTAAAAAGTGAGAAGACACATCTGCTTAAGGCCTCTGTCTAGAATGTGGCACACATTTGAACAGGGCTATTTCTTGGTGATGACATAAGTAGCAAGATGAGGTAAAACACATTCTTTTTTTAATGTTGTCAGAAAAGGCAGCTTCCCAAGGAATCAGAGAATGTTTGAAGGGTAGGGACCTTATTTCCCTCCTTTGACAGGCGAAGAAAATGAGATCCAGGCAAGGGAAGTGACTTGCCCAGGGCTGGAGAGCTAGTTAGTGGCAGAGCTGGAACTGTAATCCAGGTCTCAGACTCCCAGGGCCAATTCTCCTTCCTCTGCATCATTCAGCCTCTCGAGACATTAGCTATAACTTCTGAGAAACATAGTACCTCTTTCATCATTTCTTGGTCTTTTTGAAAATATTGATGATCTCTCTCTGCATCTTTCCTCCCTAAGATGACCTGGGAAAATGCCATTGAGGGTAAATCTTATATTGCATTTTGTTGGCAATTCCCACTGTCACCAACCTGTCCCCAGCTTGAACATTTCACCAGAAGTCTGAATACCCAGGTTTCTTGCCTCCAGCTAATCCCCTTTCTCCTTAATCACATTTTTAAAACTCCACATTTGTGTTTACATCCTCTAAAGCAATGAATTTTTTTTCCTTCCTGTAATCTGGAAATTCTTTTTTTGTTGTTGTGTTTGTTGTTATTTTTAAGAAAACTTGAACACATCAGACGGACTTTCCGGCTCCTTAGAAACCAGTCTGGTAGGAGAGTTGATTGGATTTGCCTAAAGCATTTCCTCATTAGTAGCCTGTGTGCTTTTTCTTTCAAATGTCATCTGGCCAACCCAACAAAGATTTAGTTGTGGCAACTTGGAGCCTTAGCAAATTTGTACTTTACTGAATGCTCTTTTGGAATATTCACAACTGCCTGTCCTTCAAATGAAAAACACAAACATATTGAAAGTGGCTTGGTGGATTATTGGTTTGAAGAGCACCTCTGACTCCTCTCCGCCCCTTTTCTTACAACTGAAGATTGGAATTTTAATTTCTAAAGCACAGCTTTTAAATCATGATGCCCAAAAAGGACATGGTTTATTAATTAGTTCTGATTACTAGGCACCCTGAACCTGGGCCTGGCTGCTTCAAATCAGTTTCAACAGCTCTTTGCCTGAAATTACTGCCGGTAAGCACATGGAAGTATAATTATGCAGACACTAGTGGTTCAGTTCTGCCAGGTTAAACCCTCTATTATGAATACATATTATAGTGTCTTAAAAGGCATTTATTGAAATGCCATAGTTTAATAGTTCAAGCTTACAAAATCAAACTCTCTCATGTTACAGGCAATAGCCTCTTAATTGGATGTTTTCTCACAGCACATAAAAATATTGACTTAAATACACGCACACACACACAAACACACACACACACACACACACGCAATTTTTTTTCAGAGCGAGAATCAGTATTGCTTCCTGGTTGAACCTAAGGACTGTAGAGCCAGTCTACCCGGATTCACCTCATGCTTCTGCCATTTTCCAACACTGACTTTGGGCGAATGACCAAAGGGGGATGATTATAATGCCTATATTGTTGTGAGGTTCAAATGAGTTAGTACACAAAAAACACTTGGCAAAGTATATGGAACATAGTCATGTTTTTTTAATTGATTGTTCTAACACATTTCTTTGTATTTATGTGTTGTAAAATCTATTTATGCTAAGTCCTGAGAGAATAAGTCCTGAGAGAATTCCTCTGTTGTCTCCAGATATTTATTCTCTTCATTTTCCCCAGTAATAGCCACCTCTCCCTACCATTTTTAGCTAGGTGGACATAGAGCTGTCAAGAATAAAGAAAAAATTTATTTTCCACCTAGAAGTGGCCATGTGAGTAAGTTCTGGCCAATGGGTTGTGTGTTAATCCATTTTGCATCGCTATAAAGGAATACCTGGGCTTGGGTAATTTATAAAGGAAAGAGGTTTAATTGGCTCACGGTGCTGCAGGCTGGACAGGAAGCATGGCGCCACCATCTGCTTGGCTTCTGGTGATGCCCCAGGGAGCTTTTACTCATGGTGGAAAGCAAAGGGAGAGCAGCACATCATATGGCAAGAATGGGACAAAGGGAGAGAGAAGGGGGAGGTCCCAGACTCTTTTAAACAACCAGATCTCAAGTGAACCAACTGGGTGAGAACTCACTCATTACCAAGGGGATGGCGCTAAGCCATTCATGAGGGATCTGTCCTCATGATCCAATACCTCCACTAGGCCCACCTCTAACAATGGAGATTACATTTCAACATGAGATTTGGAGGGGCTAAATATTCAAACCATATCAGGTTGTAAGCAGAAATAGCGTGTCAATATCTGAAAAGTGGCCTTAAAGCAAGAAGGATGGTGTGTTTTTCACTTCTTCGTCTTTCCTACTAATGGGAATTTGGTTGTGATGGCTGGAACTCAGCAGCCATATTGGATCATTAGACAGCACACCAGGGATACAGAGCAGTCAGGAAGCAGAAGCCTGAGTCCCTGACAACTTCAGGGAGCAGAGCTGCCCTAGCAGCCCTTTTCTTTCACTCTAGACTTTTGACAAATGAATAACAAACTCCTGTATTGCTTAATACACTAATGTTGGCTGCCTATTATAGATAAATCTATTCTTAGGCAACACCTTCCCTTCCCTGAATTAGATGATATCCTAACTATTTTGATTGCCAGGTATAGAAATTTCAGGACACTAATGAACAGAGAACCATGAAGTTTTCACACACTCTATTTCCAATTAGAGCCACTGCTTTACCACACCCAAGCATGGCTACCCTGCTTTCACTCCCTGCCTGGGGCTGCTTAGTCTCAGACCTCAACTGGTGATTGGGGACAGGAGTGCTTGGCAGTACAATTATGTCTACAATTGATAGCCAAGCCTTGTAAAAATGACTTGGAGTCTCTTCCAGCAAGAAGGACCATCTTGACCATTTTATTACTTCCTCTGTACCAGAAATTATGGGTTCTTGAAGAAATCCAATGGCAATCTTCTTTTGCTTTTTTTTTTATTATACACAATAACAAACTTCTTCATTTTCTATACATATCAAAAAAAATCAGGACTCCTGGATGGACAAAGGGATTTTAAGAACGGATGTGTGGATGTTACTTATTCTCCCTCAGGATAGATATGAAAAAAACTACCAGAACCTCAGTATATCTTCCTTAGGGACAGTGACGATAGTCTTTTAGCCTCATTTAATTCCTTGAAATTGAAAATTTATTTTCTGGAGATTTCAAGACTCATTTAGGGATTTTGCTAAGATTTCCTCCCAATACTAGTGAAAAGCAGAGGTGATATCTAAAGCTCTCAGAAGAAACACAGAAAAACCTAAGCCATTACCCCATCCAAAGTATAAAGAAGAATCATACCTTATTTCTATTTTTCTTGGTGGTGAAGTTCACAGGCATTGTTCAGCAAAGCCAAATTAGGTTTCTTGAATTTTTGGGTTGGTGTCTTGGCATCGGGAAAATTCTTCGGCTCTGCCATATTCGCTATACCTTACCTTTCCAAGGGCCCAGTTAAACATATTTAGATTTTCTTACTTTATCCTTCACATCTGTTCATCTCTATCCCATATTTTCCATCTTTTTGTATATTTGTGCTACATTCTGTAAAATTTCTTATCTACAGCTCCCTAATTCCTTCTTCTGACATGTCTATCTATGGAAGTTTCAATTCTGGTAATATTACTAAACATTCTGTTTGGTTCTTTTTATCACTATGTTAAATCACTTTTAAAGAATTTGTGGAAGATTCTCTCAAGGTTTCATTTGTCTCTGTAAACATACTATAGCTTTGTAGTATGCGTGAGACTTACTGCCCTTAGTGCTGGTTCTTGCACATGGTACGTTGTTTCCTTGTATGCAACATTTCCTTTGATTTTTATGCCTGCTCATTGCATTTTAAAATGATTCATGGGGATTCTTTGAAGCTTAGGATGAAGTTGCCTTCCTCCAGAAAGGACTTGCATTTGATTCTTCAAGGCCTCTAGAGATTTGTCGAGCTTGAGATTTCCTTAATCCAGTTTTGAGATTTAACATAAGCACTCATATCATTTACATACTTCCCTTTTTCCTGGCTTAAACTTCTAATCATGGACCATTTCTTATTATACCTCATGGACAGCACTGTTCTTAGCACATGAAAATTGACTGATAAGTTTTGACCGAATGAGTGAAATTTTAAAATTATCACACCTACCTTATTTTTTTCTGTCTTTATTTGCAATTGGCCAGTTAAAAGGATTACTATATGCAGAATATTACTCCCAATGGGATATCCCTTCTTCAAGGCAGTGCCATGTCTTCTGTCCTTTGGAAATTCCCCTAGTGCTGTGTCACATAGGAAAGGGTTATTTGGCAAATATTTGTTTCTAGGCTAAGACTTGCTATACTCCCCATGCTTCTTCCCAGGAATGGCTAAAGCCACACATTTCTGGGATTACTCTTCCCTTATGTGGAGATTTAGAGTGTTACTTGGGTTATCTCTGACATTAACCCCTATGGCCCTGGAAATGGTGGATCTACTTCTAATCCTTTCTCTTAAGTACACCCAGTCTCACCTTCCAGGAGTTCTCTCTAAAGCTAACCTTTGATTCTGCCACTCTCTCACTCACAGATCACCACGACTATCACTACTGCCTGTAGAATAAAGCTCAAACCTATTAGCTTGTCATTTGCATCCTTCATCTAGGTGGTATGGCCAGATCTCATGAGAAAATATTATCTCTGGGAAATCAAATTCTAGCTACACCACTTACTAGCCATATAACTTTACATAAGCTAAAATTCTGAGCATCAGTGTGCTGATGTGTACAATAATACTAACCTACAAGGGATCACCTATGTCATGCTGCTAGTGTTCACTTCAATAAGAATAGCCCTACAAGGCATTTCTTTCTAGCAGGTCTGAAAGAGATAGCAATATTTTTCTTGTATAACTCGTGGACACATGGATGCTCGGTAAATAAAAGATACCTTATCCATACCTTCTCTAGACCTTAGTTTCCTTGTATATAAAATGAGACCTTAAATGGTCATTTGAAACTTAATGTGGGTAGATATGTAAAGCACCTGATTCAATACTTGGCACATCATTAAGTATATTGTAAATGTTCTTTCTCTATCCTTCTTCCAAATTGAGACCTGACTTACCTTTTCTATGGAATTGCAATAAAAATTATAAAGCAGAGCATGTTACGTAAAGGAAGGATTATTGTTCTTATCTCTACTTTTTAAAGTCCTAGCTACTCTTTAAGGCCAAGTTCAAATGGCACCTTCCCCATGAAGCATCCCTGGATTCTCACTCCTGCAACACTCATCCCTACTCCACTCAGAAGGATAATAATGCAATCAAATGAAAATCTTCAATTCATCTCAGCTAATACTTGAATTTTCTATATTTCCATGAGTATAATTCTACAATATACAAAGCTAAGCAGTGTACTAGCTTCTACTAAAATGGTTTCACAGATGAAAAAGTTTAGGATCTTCTAAAGAAGTATATTTATTCCAGCCTCGGACAGCTTCAATATGTCCCCCTAAATTTCTGCATTTGTTCATGAGTATGTCTGTGTTCCTCTTTAAATATTTTGCCCAGAAATAAATAATAGTTATTAAAATACACAGTCCATGAATAATATTTCTCCTTCTGTAACTGCAACCTGTGCTAACAGGTTTGGAGCAACCATGGAGCTCTTTTCTTCTAATTGCACTTATATTCAACTAAAACCCTGAAATCTTCCTTGAAAATATGTGTTGGTGTTAAATGACTGCTCCTCTGTCTTGTATTAATATGGCTATTTTTGATATGATTGAGTCCCTCAATAAAGGTCCATATTACATGCATCTGGGTATATTTGAACTGCTAATTAAATTTTTGTGAACCTGAACTGTCTTTCGTGCTCCTAGATCCTTTTTTTAATGGGTTCTTCCAAGGTATTTTATTCCTTTTATAAAACATAGCTCATTCTACTTTGTGCCGTAGTTTGTGTACTTTGTCTTATGTCCTATCTTAGGTGGGTTTCTGAGAAGCAGAGCATCTGTCTGGGGGATTGGGTAGTGACTTTGCAGCCTCCTGAGCTTAGCGGCTTCTGTTGGGCCAAGATTTGTGGGGCAGCTATGAGTTGTTCTCACCCAACACACAGCAACCAGGCTATAGGAAAAGGGTCCCAGATGGGACACCAACAGCATACACTGTAGTCACCCATGATTTTGTAACTCTGAGTTTGGAGTGTATTGTTCATCTCTGTAGTCTCTATAATCCTGTTGATGTCTTGCACAGGGAAGGCACTAGTTGGTGGAACCGATTCATCAAAGATCTGGAGGAAATGCCCCCTAGTTGGCTCTCATTCCAATTCACTGCCATTTGTAATAACAAACACCTGTGAGGGACTTAGCCCAATCTCCTGAGGCAGCAGTGAACCAGAGTATGTGGGTGATAGAGAGAAGAATATGCAAGTTTACATTGCATGTTCCAAGAATCTCGTTGCCCTGTTAACCCAAAAGCTGCCTAAAGACCAAATGCTCAAATTCAGAATAGGCAAAAATACTTCTTGATACCAAGGCAAATATATCAAAGAGCAGAACTTCAGTCTGCTTCACTGGGCTCTTAAGCTATTTTTGTTTTCTTAAGTTATTTTTGTTTTCTTAAGATTTATAAAAGTAATACACACATATGGTTAAACATGAAAATGATATGAAAGAGTAATAAATAAATAGTAAAAGCCTATTTCTTAATCATTATGGCTTTTATTTCCACTTCCCACAGCTAACTAGTGTTAATAATTTCTTATATTTCTACCCAGAAATAATTGTAGGCATATAAGCACATATATTTATGAATTTATATACAAAGATATTATAGTATATGCTTTGCTTTCTCCTTTTATCCCCACTAATAATAGATCTTACAGGTCTTTCCACATCAACACATCTACATCTATATATATAGAGAGAGAGAAAGAGATATATATATAAAGAATTAATGATATATATTAAGAATTAATGATATATATATCATTTTTTAAATGATATAAATGTCTTACAATTTATTTAATCTGTTCCTTTTTAATGGATATTTACATTGTTTCTACTTTTCAGCTCTTACAAATAATTTTTTTTGCTATTACACATTTTTGCCACTACAAAATGTGTTCTTATATATATTTCTTTGTATGTGTTTCCTTGACACTATTAAATTGAAAACCCTATGATTGTTTCTCAACAGAAAAATGGCATCCTGTGTAATGAATGTGGCTGCCATATTCCTTACATCTATATTGAATAACGTATCTTTTAGCCTAAGTTATACTTTCTCACTCTCTGCCCATGTTTTCAGCCTTTTTCCCAGAATGCAAAACTTAAAATCAGAAAGTGCAAAAGTTGTCACAGTTGAAAAAAGCTAGACACAATTCTCAACTGTAGGACATCATAACAGCAAGTTCTAAGATGCACAGAGCTATATAATTTAAATAATAAGATAATTACCTTGAGTGGAACAAAAATTCAAAATCTCGTTGAGAATTTAAGAAGTTCAGTATTAAGAGCTTATCCAAAGCAAGTCTATTTCAGAAACACAATCAGACTTCCCAGAAATTCAGCCGTGATGTATTAAAAGCACTTGTTGTCTTTTTCCTTGCAGTGAAGTACATGCGAGAAGCCACGCCCTATGTGAAGAAAGGATCCCCAGTATCCGAGATTGGGTGGGAAACACCTCCGCCTGAATCCCCTCGGTTAGGGGGCAGCACCTCAGACCCCCCGTCATCGCAGTCCTTCTCCTTCCACAGAGACCGGAAAAGCATCCCCCTCAAAATGTGCTACGTCACTCGGAGTATGGCCTTGGCCGACCCTGAGAACAGGTAAATAGGGTCAAAACTCTCCACTGTATCAAGCAGCTCCTCGGCCTCTCAGGCTAAATGGGGGCTTTCACGAGATTGCCCTCATGTTCTGAAAACACATCATGGCTTCCAAAGAAAAGCATGAAAGGGCCATGCTGAGAATTGTGTGTGTCTGTGTGTGAAAGAGAGAGAGAGACAGAGGAGAGAGAGAATCTATACACTGAGCACTGGTTCTGGAAAGAGTTAAAGAACTGGAATCAGCATCCTAAATGTCTTTAGGGCTCATTACCAGTCCATGTGACTTAGGCCACATTTCTTAAACCGCTTAACCTCAGTTTTGTCATCTCTAAGATGGGAATAATTGAAATAGATGCCTTGTTTGGTTGTGAGAACTAAATTAGGAAATCCATGTGATATAGTTAGGATGTTTGTCCCCTCCAAATCTCATGTTGAAATGTGATCCCCAATGTTGGAGATGGGGGTCCAGTGAGAGGTGTTTGGGTCATGGGGGCAGAACCCTCATGAATGGCTTGGTGCCCGCCCCGAGGCAGTGAGTGAGTTCTTGCTCTATTAGTTCAAGTGAGAGCTGGTTATTTGAAAGAGCATGAAATACCTCCCTGCTCTTTCTTGCTCCCTCTCTTCCCATGTAACTTGTCGGCACCCCCTGCCCCTTCCACCATGAGTGGAATCTCCCTGAAGCCCTCATCAGAAGCAGATGCCAGTGCCATGCTTCCTGTACAACTTGCAGAACCGTGAGCCAAATAAACCTCTTTCCTTAAATTACCTAGCCTCAGGTATTCCTTTAGAGCAACACAAAATAAATCAATGCACCATGTAAGGTGCTCAGTACAGGAAAACCTTCCATGAATATAAGCAATAGTAATATTTCTTATTAATGTTAGATAGTAATAAACAAATTCACCTTACTAGGCCTCAGTGCTGTCAACTGTATACTTGGAGGGTTAGATGAGAGTTGCTTTAAGGCTATTTTCTACTTTAAGCATCTCTTTATGCTCAAGAGAGCAAAAGGAGTGGCTTTGGTCCAAGTCTGGAATGCTGTTTCCCAAAGTCGGTACATGACTTTGCACGCCACAGGCTAGATATATCACCCAACCCATGGCAATTATAAGGAATGCAGCCAAGAGGAAGTAAAATTCAGGGTCCCTCATCCCCCAGAATTCTTACTTTAGTTCAGTAGAAGAGAAAACATATATTTTAGGAGGAAAATAAGAGAAATAAAGAAAGCGAGGGATCGAGCCAGCAAATGGGGAATCTTAGTGACCTTTGCATCCACATTAAAGTGCTAAAAATAGGAACCGCTCGACTGGCCCTTATTTAGAATGTGTGTGGGACAGCTGCAACCCACCCGAATAGAAAGTATTTGGCTAGGCTCAGAGTTGCTCATGGGGAAAAGCCATCGGGAATAGGGGCAGGGAGAAAGTTGCTTCCTTGGCTCCCAGCTCAATGTCTTTTTTGTTCTCATCTCAGTTAGCTCACTCTAAGGACGCTGCCAGGGCCCTTCTGGCTCTGGCCAGCTGCAGGATCTTTCTACCCCGCTCTCCCTACTCCTCCTGTATTAGTTATTTCTGTACAGGGATTGGCCAGTTGTACAAGAAAGCCAGCAAGTATCGGCAAGAGGGGTAAGAGCAGACAGACTGGGAAGGACACAGAGCTCATAGCTGGTCCACTCTCACCCTGTTCTCTGTTTTGTTCCCCACAATTTCTGCAGAGTTCCTGGGCCTGCAGTCGATATCCTGGTTACTCTAAGTCTCCTTTTCCCTGGGCTTTTACCCACCCAATCAAACAAGTCCCATCTCCCAATGATCTGATGTCAAAGTTTTCAGATGTGATGAATTCATGATGTAGTATTGAGTGCCTATCATGTGCATTATGCTAATTAATGTAGACCACAGACTGCAAAGTGGCAGCCTATGGTATACCCAGCCTACAGATATGTTTTTTTTTAAATAGTCTAAGTGTTTAAATAAATTGGAATTAGTTGCCATGTTCAATAACTGAAAAACTTCACATTTAAAAAGCCAGTTTCTGCTTTTCTAGAAAAGTGGGAAGAACTGGTGATGTTATTGGGCCCACATTGTTGCAGGCAGGGCAGTTATATACCAGAGCTCAGTAGAGTTTTCTCCTTTGATAAGGGAATGAACTCTCCTCATCATTTCTATTACCTTCTACTATGGAATACAATTAATTACCTGCCTAATCTTTGAATTTGTAACCCTGCTTAGTCCTCTTAACAGCTCTCTGAGTTTCTTTCATTGTCCCCATTCTACAGACAAAAAATTTAGACAAAAAGTGTTTATGTAAGTTCTCAACATTATATAGCTGTTATATAGTCTAGCTGGGCTTCAAACTCATGCCTATAAAATGGGTGACAGTGTCAGTTAATCATTTCCAGAAAAATCTAAACTGAGACAAAAGCTTACTGAGACATTGTAGGAGCAATTCATACACTAGGGAGAAAATTTGAATAGATGATTTCTTGGGTTTCTTCCAGAAGTAGACTTATATGCTACAACAGCACTCCCAGGTCATTTAATTATATTTTAAAGAATATTTTGGGAGACATCAGACCTTAATTTAGATATTGGAAACTTCAGTCTGTATATCAAGCCAGTAGAGGAGAATAAGTTTCAAACTTTTATATTGGTGCTCGTCAAGTCCACCATTGACGATTATACATAGGGCTTCCCCTGTGGGAGAGGGAGAGCCTGTTCTGCTGTGGTGTGAGAACCAGCAGGGCAGAATCAAACATGAGAATCCAGCTAAGCCAGATGGTTCCGAAGGGACTTCAGGTCCAGACAGGTCCCAAACTGCTTCTAACAAGAAGATTGGGGGCCTAGGTGAGGCTTGCCCATGGTAGAAGAAGAGAAGAAAATAAAAAGGAAACAAATATTTTATGAAACTCCAGGTACAGGCTGAGCAGGGTATGGTGTACCATCAGAAATGTGGAATCTGCAAAACCCAACTCTATGCTGAATGCAAGAGACACATCTAACAGAGTGATTTTAAAAGGTGAAAGATACAAGGATGGGCAAAAGCTTACAAGGTAAATGCAAACTATTAAATAACAACAGAAAGCATTGATTTTGATCTTGATATAAGACAAGGTAAAATGCAGGCTGAAAAATGTCCAAGGTAAAATGTCCATAAAGTAGCACAAGGAAGGACTGATTTATGTTGAAGGCAAGAGTTCACAAGCAACATCCAGTAGTTATGAATACATACCACATAACAAAACAGCAACTTTTATAGCGGAAACTGCAGAAGATGCAAGAAGAAATAGACAGAAACATATTCATATTAGATATTTCAACATATACCACTTTCCATCCAAGTAAGGGCAAGTAGAGGACACAGATAAATACAGTAATCCCCCCTTATTCATAGAAGGAATGTAACAGGACCCCCAATAGATGCCTGAAACCATGGATAGTACTGACTCCTCTATAACTGTGTTTTTCCTATACATACATACTATGATAAAGTTTAATTTATAAAGTAGGCACAGTAAGAGATTAACAACAATACTAATAAAATGGAACAATTATAACAATATACTGTAATAAAAGTTATATGAATATGGTCTCTCTGTCTCTCAAAATATTTTATTGTACTTATTTTGGGCTGCAGTTGACCTCAGATAACTGAAACCATGGAAAGTGGAACCATAAGTAAGGGTCGACTTACTATAATTATATGGAAGACCCAAACAACAAAATAAATAAAGTAGATCTGAATACATTGCGAACTCTTTACTCTGATAATAGAGAATACACTTACTTTTCAAGTCCACAAAGAACACTGACAAAATTAACCACAGATCAGGTCACAAAGAAAATGCAATAAGTTCCATTAGGTACAAATAATACAAACAACAGCCTCTGATGACAGTGGAATAAAACTAGAAAATCAATAACAAAACCAAACCACACAAAGCCTTTTTTTCATGGGTTTTTTAAAGCTCTCTGTAAAATAACTCTTGGGTCAAAAGGGAACTATAAACTGACATTGTTGCATTTCTTCAAAAATAAATAATAATGAAAATAATGCATCCATTAAATATGAAGAGAAGGAATGATAAAGAGAGAGTGTGGAGTGTGCAGTCAGCTAGACCCACAGTGGAATCTTAGTTCTACCCCTTATATGTGAATTTAAGCAAGAATCTCATTTAATTCAAATAACCATCATAGGTAGCGGGAACTCCTCTCTACTTTATAGACAGTGATGCTTAGCTGAGAAATGAGAGTTGAAGCAAACGGTAGATCTCGGATTCAAACCCAAGCCTAGCTGACCCCAAGCCCAATTTCTGAATCATCACACACACTGCCTCTAACTTCAGCACCTAGCAGAGCAGCTCGCCTGAACTATAAGCACCTTGGCCAGGAGTTAATGGTGTCCTGGGAGCTAAAACCTGAGAACCAATGACAAATGCCACAGCATCTTGGGGCTAATCCCCTCAGTTGGTGACACACAGGTGCCTGTAGTCTGCATTAAAAACTCTAATGTTCAATTTCTCAAATACAACAGCCATAGAACAGCAGGCAGGATTGCTGCTCTTTCTGTGAAAAAGGTCACCCAGCAGGCATTGAATCCACAAGAATATGTCAATGCTAGTGGCTGTCAGTAATTACAATATATTTTTATTATTCTACCTCTTAAATATCTCTTGTTTTTCATATTCAGCTCTTTGCCTTCACAGCCACTGCCCTGAGCCAGGCCCACATCCTTAGTCCCTGAGAGTATTTGGGTATGTTTCTTACAGGGTGTTTTGTTGCTGGTTTGCTCTTTCCCCATTTCCCACCGTCTACTCTACACCTAGCTAGCCAAGGGAATCTGAAATTTACTCCTTCTGTCAAAATGGCTCCCTGTCACCTGCACTCATATCTAAACTCCTCAGTATTACATAAAAACCCCTTTAGGCTTTAAATAGTCCGTAATTGTCCAGCTCCTCTTTACCTCATCGTTTCTGTTCCAGCATCCCTTAAATAATTTGTATACTTCCTACAATTGCCTTCCTGACAACTTCCTACTTGCCCTTTAAGCCTCAGGGTAAACAGTCTTCTCAGATATCAATGTCTTGTTATACCTTCTGTGTCAAATAATTCATTATAGCATGCTTCATAATAACTTGTGATTTTTTTCTTACATGCCTACTCAGTTCCTAAGTCATAAGGTTTTTGAGCTCTGAGACACTCCATATTTTTATTTTATTACCCCAGATATCTAGAACTTTGGCATTCAAAACTATTTTCGTTCATAAATGATAAATAGTATATTTATCTGCTCGCTTTTCATATTCTTCTCTAAAAATGTCTTTTGAAAAAATATTCCACTAAATAGTCTTGGGAATAAGGGAATAAATAAAAGCATAGTTCTCTTCTGACAGACATAGGAAGCTTAAAGAAACCAGGACAATCCATTAACCAAGTGTGTCACTGGATCGTGAGCAGCTGTGCTACAATGGGTAGTTTATGAGGCTTTAAGTCATGACCCTGTACTGCTACGTAACAGAGTCCACTGTAGATTTTCATGGTTAAATTATGGAAAGATTTACATCATCTTTCTTGGGAAACAGTGTACATCTCTATTAATGGTGCACAAATGAAACATTCACAGAAAGTGCTGTCTTGGTTTCTAATGGAAAACCTGTGCTAGGCTGCACTGTGATTCAGAGAGGTGCCATCTGTTAAGTCCTGTAAGATGCCTGGATATGTTGCTACAAGGTACCCTTAGTGATGTCACCACAATCCAGTGCTTGAGTTTCAGCCACAGAAGATCAGAAACTTGATTTAGTGGGCATAGTGTTAGCAGATCCATCTCTAAGGGGTTGACTCACATTAACCAAATAGGCAAAATTTGTTTATGATGAGCAACACAGTTGTCAAGTAGATGGAAATGCCCACGTGGGAGGATTTATATACCCTCTCATTGTGAGCAGGCTGTATTGGAAGACAAATGTGAATATGAGCAGAATGCCAGAACACTAAGTATTAATAACCCAAAACAATGTGGACTTTCAAAGAATAGTGATGCACTCTTTCTGAGTAGATAAGCTACACAAGAAATTAAATTGTCATGAAAGTGATTTGGTGAGTGTGGAATCAATAGAAGGTGTGCTAATAGACCTTAGGAAATATGTTTTAGGCAAGTAAGCTGAAAACCCTCCTTTCCAGGATGGGGAGAGCCTTGCCGAGGTAACCCTTATGTAAATTTCTGCTTTGCCAACACTCCCACTCCTTTGAGCTGTACATAAATAGCCTGAGGTTTCCCATGTGGCCCTTCCCTGCCCTTTGATGGCTAATTTATCCTCTTCAGTTAACATGGTTCTTTCTTCCTGTGAGTACGAAACAGTGGATTTGGGTTTTGCTTATCAAATTTAATCACTTTTCATTCTAGGCTCCTTGAAGTTGTTCTCATAGTACCCTGTTTTGAGTTTTAGATGTTTCCAAATACTTTAGTTACACATTCATAGACAGATGGTCTTTGGTGGCTACAAACAAGGGAGGAATCATTTTACCAGTTCAGCCTTTCTCCTCTTTTTCCCAGTGTTTGGGGGTACATTATTGCCCCCTCATGTTTTATATAGAACTCTCAAATTTATTAAACTTTGAATACTATTGAAACATTTCCTCCTTTAGTGCATCGAGAATGAAGATTTATGAGGTACTTTTTCCTGTCTTTTCTCCTCTGTAAGTCTTTGTTTGTGAAAAGTACATCTCTTTTTAAGAAGCCCACAAAATATGTATTTTCTGAATGTAGTTTCTTCATTCTTTGTTGGGCACGTCATGGTGGCTTCATAATGGAAACTATTGCCAGAATTCATGATTGTCATTAAATTTTGGAAACAGAAAAAAATATATATAAAGTATATGTATATGGTGCTGTAATAAGTGGGCATGTTTTACATATGTAAAAACAGGTCCAGATTAACTGCATGCTTGTATCAGTGAATAAAACTCTAGAGTTGCAGTTATTCTGGAAAATATGGGTTTAAATCCCAAGTCTGTTACTTATTCCCTTTAACTTTAAGTAAATTATCCAATCTCTCTGATTTTCAGGTTCCTTCTTTGCTATAGTCTTAATGTTTGTGTCCCCCCACCCCCCAAATTCACATATTGAAACCTAATCTTTAACGTAATAATGTTAAGAGATGAGACCTTTGGGAGGCAGTTAGGTCATGAGGTTAATACTTCATGAATGGGATTAGTGCCCTTTTATAAAAGAGGCTCAAGGGAGCCTGTTTTCCCCTTAGACCATGCAAGGACATATAGTAGGTACCAGCCATGAGGAACACACCTTCACCAGACATCAAATCTGTGGTGCCTTAATCTTGGACTGTCCAGTCTCCAGAATTGTGAGAAAAAAATTTATATTGTTTGTAAACTACCCAATCTAAGATATTTTTTATAGCAGCCTGAATAGACTAAGAAATTGATACAGAATTGGGGTGTTGCTATAGCAAATACCTAAAAATGTAGAAGTGGTTTTGGAACTGGGTAATGGGTAGAGGCTGGAAGAATTTTGAGGTACAATGCTGTGAAAGGAGATTTAAGGAGAATTCTGGTGAGGTCTCAGAAGAGGAGAGCTGTAGAGAAAGCCTCAGTCTTCTTCGAAATTATCTTATGTGGCCATGGTCAGAATATTGGTATAAATATGGTGGTAAAGGCAGTTCTGATTAGGTCTCAGATGGAAATGTGGAACATGGTATTGGACAATGGAGGAAAGGCCATCCTCATTATAAAGTGGCAAAGAACTTTGCTAAATTGTGTTCATGTCCTAGAGTTTTGTGGAGGGTGGAACTTATGAACAATAAAATAGAATATTTGACGGAAGAAATATCTAAGCAAAGTGTTGAGGGTGTGGCATGGCTTCTCCTGACTGCTTACAGTAAAAGGCAAGAAGAAAGAAATGATTAAAAATGGAATGTATAATCAAAAGAGATGCAACACTTAAAGATCTGGAAAATTCCCAGCCTGTTGTAAATAATGAAAAAAATGTGTTCTGGAGAGAATACAAAGAGTGTAACCTTTGATAAAGAGATTAGGATGAGTAGGTGAAATCCCAATGCTATTTATTCATCAAGACAATGGAAGAATGACCCTGAAGGCATTTGGAGATTTAAGGCTGCCAGGGCCTTGGGAACAGAACAATTTAATGACTCTGCTCTGTGCCTTGTGTTATGTTGATCCTTGGCTGCCCCAGTTGTGGCTCAAGTGGCCCCAGGCATGGCTTAGGCTGCCCTCTGGAAGGCACAGGTAGTAAAACTTGGCAGTATCTGCAAGGTGCCACTACACCAATACACAGGGTGCACAAGCAGTGAGGACATGGCTATCTCCACCTAGATTTCAAAGGACGCCGTGTGGGGCCTTGGGGCCCAGAAAGAGAACAGAGGTGGGACCACCAAAGAGAACCCCCACTAGGGCAATGTCCACTAGGGCTGTGAGGCCAGCATCATCACAGAGAGCCCCCACTAAGGCAGTGCCTAGCAGAGCCATAAGGGCAGAGCCACCTCAGGGACAAGACCTCCCACCAGTAGAGCCATCAGTGTGCAACTCCTGCCTGGGAGAGTTGCAGGCATGCAACTTCAACCCATAAGAACTGCCACATTGGCTGTGCCCATCAAAGCCATGAAGAGCAGGGCTACCTGGAGCCTGGGGAGCCCAACCCCCATCCCAGTGTGTCTGGAAGGTGGGACTTTGAGTCAAAGAAAATTATTCTGGAGAATTAAGATTCAATTTTTGCTGGGCATGGTGGCTCACACCTGTAATCCCAGCACTTTGGGATGCCAAGGCGGGTGGAGTAACTGAGGTCAGGAGTTCAAGACCAGCCTGGCCAACGTGGTGAAACTCCATCTCTACTAAAAATACAAAAAATTAGCTGGGTGTGGTGGCAGATGCCTGTAATCCCAGCTACTCGGGAGGCTGAGGCAGGAGAATTGCTTGAACCCAGGAGGCAGAGGTTGCAGTGAGCCGAGATCATGCCATTGCACTCCAGCCTGGGCAACAGAATGAGACTCAGTCTCAAAAAAAAAAAAAAAAATTCAATTTTTGCCCTGTTGGGTATAGATTTGGTCAAGACCTGTTATTCCTTTCTTTCTTCCTATTTTTCCCTTTCTCTCCTATTCTGTGCCTGTCCCACCATTGCATTTTGAAATGCATAACTTGTCTGATTTCACAGGCCTACATCTGGAGGGAAATTTGCTTCAAGATGAAGCATATCTTTGAGTCTCACTTACATGTGATTTAGACGACATTTAGAGAGACTTCAGATTTTAGACTTTTGAGTTGATGCTGGAATGAGTTAAGAATTTTGGGGGCTATTGTGATGGAATGAATGTATTTTGCATGTGAGAAAGACATGAATTTGGGCATGCTAGGGACAGAATGTTACGGTCTGAATGTTTGTGTCTCCCCAAAATTCATATGTTGAAAACTCCTCTCCATTGTAATAGTATTAAGAGATGGGGCCTGTGGAAGATGATTAGGTCATAAGGGCTCCATCCTCATGAACAGGATTAGTGCCTTTATAAAAGAGCCCAAGGGTGCCTATGTGCCCCTCCTGCTACATAAGGACACATAATAGGCACTGTGAGGCTCTAACCAGACACCAAATCTGCTAGTGTCTTGATCTTGGACTTTCCAGTCCCCAGAACTGTGATCAATAAATGTATGTTGTTTATAAGTTTCCCAGTCAGAAGTATTTTGTTATAGCAGACTAAGACATTACCTAACAGACTAAGACATTATCTATAAAATGTGGCCAATAATATAATCATGTTTGATTATTATGATTAGATGACTTAATGTTGGCATCCTCTAATTGGTGGCAGGATAACTATGGGGTAAATGTAGCTTTCAGTCAAAATATCCTCATTGCTGGGTGCAAGAAAAGGGGACTTTTTTTTCTCTCTGTACTCAGAGTCCAGGAGAGAGAACTGGAAGGTCAAGCTGTCAAGCAGAGATTATTTTGTAAGACATTCTTTCACAGACATTTTTAAGCCCTTTGAGATTTCTGGCTTTTTGTAGGGACCTCAGTTCCATTTTCCCAACTCATGGGTTCTCAATACCTTAACTATCTTTTATTTGTCAAATTCCAAGTCCTCAACTCACCCACCACTACCTGACCCACTGCAGTCACCACACCACCCTACCCACTTTCCCAGGGATGCTTTATGATTAGCTTAAATACTCACCATTCTGATTTGTAATGCCGCCCCCACCCCCTTTTTTTGACACCTGGGAGTTTCCTTTTCTTTCTTGTAAGATCAGCATTACACAAACAAGCACATTTTTCTTATTATACTTTATCTAGAAAACCCAGGTGTCAGTGGCAGAAGCATTCCTGAATTTATGTAGATCATTGTTTTGCTGGAACTGGAAACCTCCTGAAACACAGCAGTGGAATTGCTTGTAATCGGCTGTGTATATCATCAACAAAAGTCAATATTCTATTTTTTCAAGTGTAATTTAACATAAGAAGTTAAACATTTACCATTCAATTTAAAACTAAAAACAGGCCGGGTGCGGTGGCTCACGCCTGTAATCCCAGCACTTTGGGAGGCCGAGGTGGGTGGATCACGAGGTCAGGAGATTGAGACCATCCTGGCTAACGCAGTGAAACCCCGTCTCTACTAAAAATACAAAAAATTAGCCAGGCGCAGTGGCGGGCGCCTGTAGTCCCAGCTACTCGGGAGGCTGAGGCAGGAGAATGGCGTGAACCCAGGAGGCGGAGGTTGCAGTGAGCCGAGATAGCGCCACTGCAGTCTGGCCTGGGCGAAAGAGCGAGTCCCCATCTCAAAAAAAAAAAAAAAAAAACTAAAAACAAACAAAAAACTATGAGTATTATCTTTTGGATAATTTACCTCCTTCATTTGAAATTATGGACTGCCCTCTACCACCAGAACCACCATTTTGGTCATGCTTTTTCAGCTATCTATGTATCTACCTATTTGTCTATCTATCTATCTATCGTCTATCTACCTACGTACCCACCCACCTACATACATGTCAGTATTTGCTTCTCACTTAGGCAACCCATGTGAAATACTTTGTTATGGTAGAAAGGGTATACATACAAAAAGAGGTGATGTTAGCCTTAGATTCAACAGTGTGGGCACTCTGCATTTGAGAAATTTAGGAAGTAGAATACATACTGACATTTCAGCAATCGTTTTAATGGTGGTTGGGAAGGAGAAGTTCAGAGAGGTTGGGTTGAATTAGTCAGAAATTTGAAATAGGAAACAAGTACTAAATGGTTGTATTATTTTTAAGCATATATAGTGAATGAGACTAAGTAAAGAAGTACTGCCTGGTGGCACTCATAACAGACCTAACAAAATAGATCTCATACAGTCCCTTTTTAAAATTATTTTAAGTGAAATTTTAAATGTTATCAAAATGATAAGACAGATAATTTAAAACTCAAATAGATCTAAAAGATTTATTTTTTAAAGCAATGGGAATTTATTAATCTTATAATGTCTTCCTCTCTTTTTTTGTTATCTCTCTTCACATGTCTTGTTAGAAGGATGTTGAGGCTTCTAGATTGATGTTGTAAGGTTTTTTTCTCTATTGCTTACATTACCTTTTTTTTTACTTTATTTTTTAATCCTTCTCATGAATATATTTTGTTCACCTTTTACCTGTCATATTTTAGCTTTTTGTTTTCTGAATTTTTTTATAGAATTTTGTTCTTTTTTGGATGTCATATTTTCCGTTAATTCTTGGAGAATATTCTCTCTTTTTACTTTTCTTTGTGTTCTTTTTTCCTCCATTTACTGTTTTCTGTTTGTTTGTTTGTTTGTTTGTTTTTATCTTCATCTTCTTTACTGGAGGTTTTCTCAAATGTCTGGTGATCCATTGCTATCTGTTCATTTCTTGCACTGAGTAAAACATGTTGGAACCTATGTGGGGAGTGGGGAGGGGGATGTCAACTGGTGAGAATTCACATAGAGTTATTGCTTGGTGAACCAAGCCTTACCAAGAGATCCTTCCCAATTCTGCAAATATCAGTGTTTAGAAGCTTTACCTGGGTCTGTGCAGTTACTTATGGGAGAATCATTCTGTCTTTTTGAGTGTGGATTGGGGGTAGATAGTGGGAGAATACCCACTTTCCACTGTTCTGAGAGTCCCAACACTCAGCATACAGACTTCATTTAGGGCCCTCTTTTCAGGGCCATATCACCCCCTACCCTGTCTCTGGAGGTTCTGAGCCCATGCAGGTTGTGCAGAGCCAAGGGACTCACATCTGGATGGAATTCTCTTTGTGGCCCTTTAGGTTATAGCATTTTATACTCTTCCTCCACTCTGCAGAGTCAGTAACCCAGCTCCATCGCTGTCTGTCCTCCAAACATGTTGTGCCTGTCTTGTTCTCCTGTGAGTTTAGACCTCCTTTACTGTCTTTTTACTGGATCTTACAAAAGGCAGGAGATCAACATGAATAGCCAAACCACCGTTTTTCCCGAAGAGAATCCTTGCATAATTTGCATATTGGTATATAACAGAGTACACAAAAGATTCATTTTAATGAGCTTAAAAAATATTTTTCTAGTCTTGTTATTTTTAAGAAAATTTGTTTTCTTCCTAGATAAACTTCAGCATTCATCCTAATTATCATACATTTTTAATCAGTGTGAATGAATTAATGAGGTTTCACTGGCAGTGGTAAGCTAGTTAAAAAATGAATTTAAGTACCTCCAGTTTACCTTAAGAAAGAGTTGAGGAGAGGGTTCACCAAGCATGGTTCTATGACTTCATCAATACAGAGCTCTTTATGAGTTCATTTTAGCCCATGTCCGTACCTGTCAGCACCATTCCTGGAAAATTTTAGTTTCCAAAGTGCACTCTGAGAGGTTAAACTTGACCATCTGGGTGCTGAAGGATTTTTGCTAATCTTGACTCACTATATAGGTCTTGATCCTTTGTTCTTGATACATTAATTGAACTCTATTTTGTTTGCAAAAAGCTGCCCAAGGATTTTCAAGCAGAGATAATGATGCCTCTGAAAATAACTCCAATGCTATCATGCAGGCATCCTCTATTCAAGCAGGCATCACCTAGCCTGGAGATTCTACAGTGGAAATGGGGGCATCACAAAGACACCCCTGCTCTTTCTTCTTTTGACACATGTGAAATTTGGATTTCCTTAGTGGAGAATGAGTTTGGGACACAGCACTGCAGATACACTTAAAACAAGACCTGTGTGGACATATAAGGTGTGTATCTATTGGCTGATACTCCCTTTGATCCTAAACAATACTGTAACAGGAATTTTGACATTGCTAGTGTGTTGAACTAGCAATTGAGATATTGCTCCCTTTCTTAAATTTCAACTTTTCAATAGATAGTTTCAGTCGTCTTGGTTCTTTGCTGGATGTTGAGGCTGCATCAATCAATGACAGAGTCCTTGCCCTGACATAGCTTCCCATTAGGTAGGGAATATCTACAAGTAAGTTGGTAATTAAGCAAACAATATCATAGAAAGACAATGAGGAAAGTACAGGATGCTATGGAGTCTTCCTCGCAGGAAGGACACTGCATCCAAAGTTCTGTTTTTAAAGCAGGCTGGGTGTTGTCAACAGGGAGTGATGTCTATGCTTAGACTTGAATAATAAAGTAAGTGTTAGCCAGGTCAAAGGTTGAGATAGGAAGACAGGGAGGGTATTCTCAGCAAAGGAACTAGTGTAAGTACAGACACTAAGGCAAGAAAAAATATAGTTCTATAGTTCCTTGAAGAATGGGAGGTTTAGTTTGTTTGGAGCAATTCATAAGAAGAATGTGTCTATACCTACTGTGTACCCACAAACATTAAAATTCAAAAGAAAGCAAAAAAAAAAATATCTCAAGAGATGAGTCTGGAGAAGTCATCATGATGAGAGCTAAGCCACTTTATAACTTGAACTTTTTTCTAGGAGGGGTCTGAAGCCATGGAGTGATGTAGCAAAGATCTCTCTGGCTGCATAGATCAATAGGAGGCAAGACTAGAGGCTGGGAGACTAGCTAGGATGCTGTTGCAGAAATTTAGGTGAGAACTAATCCTGGCTTCTTTTATAAGGTTAGGGCAGTGATTCTGAAGAATAGTTAGATACATTTGAAAGACTTAAACAGATAGAATTGGCAGGAGTTGGTGATGAAATGGGCTTGGAGGGATGAGGAAAAAGAAGTATTCCGGAATTAATTTTGCTCAGAGCCATAGTCGGCCACACACTTGGCCACTATTAGTTAGCTTACTGCACTGGTCCTGAGTCAATGGGACTCAGGTCAGGTATGTCTTGATGGAGGGCAGAGGTAGGTGGAGGAAAGGTTTAGGCTTTTGGAGATATTGCCTAAATTGAGACTTAGAGTACGACTGCATTTTGAGAGTTTTGTGTTCCTTACTGGATTTCCAAGCTTGTTAAGGACAGCAGCATGTATGGTTTTTCTTTTGTATTTGCCAATTTTTAGAATGGTATATAGAAATCACTCACTAAACACAGAAGGATAAATGAGTGGTATCAGTCAGGAGACAGGTGTCATCCCTGAAATGTCAGCTAAAGAGCATAATGCAGGAACTATAGACAGAGGAAGGGGCTGTCTCGGGAACCAACAAGTGGTGGGGAAGCACCCAGGACCTAGCACCCAGTGGGAAGCTCTTACCCACCCTTGGGTCTGAGGAGCAAAAAGAGCAAGTTACTACCACCTGGAGAGGACTATAGCCCTGGGAGGGGAACAGTGGCCCAGCTGGGGTTGGAGGTAGGTCAGTACCCCAACCTTTTTCTTCCGCCATGGAATCCCCTTTGGGGCTTCTGGTTGGCCATGCATAATTGGAAGCCAGAGGTGAGGGAGGAGCCTGAGTGATGCCATTTAGCCCATAGAGGTTGACCTCTTGGAGCACAGAGCAAGGCAAAGAGTGGCAAATAATGAATCTGGAGGCAAAAAAAAAAAGTCACAAAATTGTATTTACATTCTGCCTCTTTGAAAATAGGTCTGATATGTATAATACAAGTGATAACTAGTTATAAGAAAATGTGGTTAATCCACATACTTCATTTCCTGACCCTGTTGGAGAAAAATGTCTTGGGCAGCCCCAAATCAGTATTTATAGCTTCCTGTTTAATAAAAGTTGTTTAATAAAAGAGTTTTGATAAAGATTTCTTTTAGCCACTGTGATATGAGCTGGATAGGGAAGTGACAATTGAGAGGCTCAGAGGAAGACAGAGTTGGTTTTGGTCAAGCTGGAAGTTGCAAAAGAGCCATGTATCAGGGAGAGAACAGGGCAGCTTAGCTCTGAAATAGGGTTGGACATTCGTTTTTTACTCTTCTCAGAAAGTGGCCAAGGTCTACAGGGACCATATTCTTCCATTATGACAAAACTGGAGACTAGAGAAGGCACCAGTAAGAATGTTGTCACAATGCCAAGCTGGTTTTAATAGTGACATATCCATAAAAAGGCAGCAGAGAGACAGACGGGATATAAGGAGAGGAAGGGGGCACATTTGAGCAGTAACTGTTCTCAGTGGAAGTCAAAACTCTAGGCTGCAAAAATGTTTTTTAACATTAATTTACTTTCATTTAAAATGCCAAATCACTTACCCTTTATGCGCACACTTTCACTTATAATGTGGTGTTTTTTTCACCCTAGAATAAAACCCTCTCCCAGATCTCTGTTATGAAACACACAATAAAGGCCAAGCAGTGCAATTTCTTTTCACTGCCTGTATTATTAAACATTCAGACAATCGGAAAATGTTTCTTCATGTTACCTGGAAACCAAACCCTAGATCCAGAAGTTAGAATTCTTGGAGCTATTTTCTCAAGCACTCCATCAATATTTTTTACCAAATCCGTTGTGCAGCCTTGAAAAGATAATTGACTTTCAGACCAGGCCAACCTGGATTTCATTACCATCTTTTCTACTTATTATCTGGGTGACTTTTGGCAATTTACTTAACTTCTTTGAATTTTTTGAATATATGAAATGAGGATGATAGTATCTCTATGAATATACTATTTTTAGAATTAAATAAGTTGACATCTGCCTAATGCCTGGGACATACTAGACACTTAGCAAATGTAAAATCCTCCAATCTCCCACTTAAAAAAAAAATCCAGCCCTACTAAGATTATCAAAGGATTCTTTCAGTATCATGAAGATGTGTTAAGAATTTTTTAGAGGGTTTTATTAAGTCCTGGGAAAGTCGTATTTTCAGTTGAAAAGTATAAAACAGCCGTTTGGGTAAACGAAAACCACATCATGATTTTATATACTTCTGTCTAATCCTGCATCTGTAGTAGCTGACAGTTTGAAGAACTAGGTCAGTTTGCAAATAGCATCCTTAGATTAATTTCTCCAGAAAACACAGAGACAGGCCTTGAATCACTAAGAAAGTGTAGAAGCTTTCCAAGGCCATGTATGGCTTTATAGAAATATTCCAATAAATTTATATGGCACAGTTCTCTGGCCTGCTGTCAGATATGTAGAAAAGAAGAGTGACAAATAAAACAAGGTGCATGAGCCAGAGTGGAAATTTGGACCAAAATATTTCTGTGGATACCAGAGCAATCCCAAGGTTCTGTTGACTTCCATATGCATCAGGTTTCCAGCCTTTACAAATCTATTATTATCTCTGTGTATAAAGTTTTTTTTTTTTTTTTGAGATAGGGTCTCACTCTGTCACCCAGACTGGAGTGCAGTGGCATGATCATAGCTCACTGCAACCTTGACCTCCTGGGCTCCAGCGATTCTCCCACTTCAGCCTCCTGAGTAGCTGGGACTGCAGGTGCACAAAACCCACCATGCCCAGCTAATTTTTGAAATTATTTGTAGTAGAGACAGGGTCTCACTATGTTGCCCAGGCTGCTCTTGAACTCCTGGCCTCAGGCAATTCTCCTACCTCAGCCTCCCAAAATGCTGATATTACAGATGTGAGCCACCATGCCCAGCTGTTTAGTTTTAATTGTGCCACCAGCAATTTAGAACATGTACCTTGGTCATTTTTTTCCTAGTTATCCAGCTATTTCTGTTGTGCTCTGTCCACCTTTTCTTTTGGAATCCTTCATAGGGTGAGAAGTACACCATTTTGAGCTTTTTTCAGCTGTGGAAGAGAAAACTAACTGCTATATACCAGCATTTAGCTAAATGAACTAATGAAAACTTCATTAAAAACCAATGCTCATAGCAGCTGAGAACTAATGAATTGCTGCTCTCATAGCAGTCTGCAAGTTGTAGTGGAAAGAGCATGTGGCTTTGTAATCAGATGGACCTAGGTTTGAATCCTGTCTCTTTGTGATCTCGAATACTTTACCTCTCTATGCCCCAGTTATTCCATATGTAAAATGGGCATAATAAGATCTACTTTTCAGAATTGCCAGTTTACATGCCTCTCAAGTGCATAACTTCTTGAATAAGATGAGTTTTACCAGGGAATATATAAAGCACTGAATGAAAAGGTATACCTTCTAGGAACATGAATTTTACTCTGAATTTTGGAAGGATAGAATTTATTGTAGAGTTCATTTTATGACAAAGTACAACATGAGACTTCAAACAAATTTATGCTTGTAGTTATTTAAGGTCAAACTTAAACTACCCATAGTCACAAGCTTACTTATTTCAACAATCAAGAGTTCTCAGAAAGTTGTTAAAAGAACTTATGTATATAACAATATTTAGCAAGTGTTATCACAGTCAGATTCAGTGAAAGATTTACTGCAAGGAAATCTGGGAAGGTGGATATATCTTTAAGCATTCTATCCTCTGTAGTACAGCAAGGTACATCACAAAGAAGATGCAATGAGGTTGAGTAAGTTCACAGTATCCATTGCACAAAGTGTTGGCTACATGGTAGAAGCTCAAGAAATGCTAATTCTCATCTCTTCTAAAGACTCAAAATAAGATTTTAAAGGAAACTCTGTGCCCTGACTATGGTTTGGGGAATTGTGGCAAAGATAGTTTACCTCCTGTGATCAGTTTTGTGGAATTCTGGAAAGAGGTTCTTGTGGCAGAGAGAGTAGTGCTCACCAAATAGTCCCTTTGTTCCCCTGCATTTCCAGGCCTTCCCACAATTATGTTGGGTCTTGTGGCTAATTTTGGCTAATGAAATATGACTGGAAGTGATGTGTGCACTTCTGGGCTGAGACAATGATAAGTATGTGTGTTCCTGGAAGTGCAAGTACAAAATGACAGAGCTTCCCTTTAGCCTGGCTTCTCCAGTGATCTAATGGAGCATGTATCCACTCTGACACATAGGACCCTTTGTGGACATACAGCATATTATTTTCATAAACTTTTGTTGTACTAAGTGACTGAGATTTCAGGAGCATTTTATACCACAGTATAAATCTATCCTATTGTAACTAATAGGATCATCATGTAAATGTACTAAGAGTTCATCAAGCTGATTAATATTTTCTGAGAAACACCAGTAATTCTCAGGAAGCTTAGCCTGTTTTGTAAATGAAATTTTTTCTTTCTCTTCCTCACTTTATATAGTTCTTAATACAGAGCCCCAAAGGCTGCCATGTTACTTTCTTTTTACTTGAAGCCATCCAAGTGAATGATTGTAACCCAGAGGTCCCAGATGAAGACCACTGGGCCTTTTCACACTTAAAACATGTGAAAAGTGTTATTTGTTACTGCAATTTTAGCTGTTGCTTTTAGAGACCTTTACTATTTGCAGCTGACTTTCTTTCCTTCTGGGTCTAAAGATACCTTTGTTCGAAAAGGAACCTTTGTCTCTGTTTGCCTCAGCAAAACTAAGTGTAACTGTAGCATAACCAAATTCTGCCACAGCTAAAATGCTAGAATGTAAGTTTGTGACATTCCTTCTGCCTTCCTAGCTTATAATTACTAGGATTTTTTTTAGACAAGGCCGCTAATTTTTGAAAAATAAAGAATAGAGACTTGAAAACACTTTGTTCTCTTTTTGCCCTCACTTCTGTACCCTTTCTGTCATATTTTCATCTGAATTAACTTCTGCTACAGTAATTCTCAACCTTCTTTTTTTCTCCAATCTTGCCATTACAGCATTGGTGTGAAAGTCCAATGAGGCAATATGTGTTAAAGCATTTCATAAACTATGATGCTATAAGAATGTAAGGAAAAAAAACAAACCGCATTGAAGACGTCCTTGCCCCATCACTAGGCCCATAAGAAACCCACAGCCTATTGCTGTTCAGCAACTGTGTGCTATGAGCTTTGCCAACTTGAGTCTCAATGCCTCAACTCCTTATATCTGTTACCATGTAGTGGTTTCACATTTCATTTTATCTTTTCTTTTTAGTAACATCTGTCTTCCTCACCAGCTCCATGAGTAAAGCAGCCTTGTTTGCTTTTGCTCTTCATTCCATCTCCCAGTGTCCAACCCAGTGACTGGCTCAGAGTAGACAGTGAATAAATACTCCCTGAAGGAATGGATAGATGGCTGGATGAACTGATGAGTGGATAAAGCAAAGGGAACACAAGGGTGACCCAGGAAATAGAGATGAGCTTCTCAGTTTTCCCATTCAGCATTCCTGCAGTCTACATGTTGCTATGGGCCAGGTCAAACAGATGTTTAGAATTTCTTCAGCAATGATTTTTTAATGGTGCCTTGGATATTCCCCAAGAACTCCCAAGTCCTGGTCCCTAAATGAAAAAAACTCTCCTTTACAATGATTGCCTCGGTCAGTATAACAGTTTGCCAAACCCATGAGGCTCTGCTTATGAGGGAAAATATTCTCCAACTATGGCCACTGTACAGCATATTTGTTTTTTTCACGATAACCAGAACTGTGACTTCTGTAGGCCTACTTGTAAGAGTTGCATAGCTTTAAGATTATCTTAGGTCGACTCCCTACTTCCATGTGGCAGATATTTTAAATTGCAGTTGCAGCCTTTCAGCTTAGAACTGCTTGTCCTGAAGACCCTTAAATTCTAAACCAGAGGGGCTGTTGGGGAGGAGAGGTTGGCATGGGGGTTGGCCTTTGGGAGGGACATTGTCCCTCCCCATCCAGGAGGCCCTGGTGCCAACCAGTCATAGTAGAGCAAGAGGCCCTGAAACAGGCACTTCTGGGAATCTGACAGTTTTTGCTGCTCCGTTGTCCATCATAGCCCAAGCAGAGAGGGTGGCTTAAAAGCACAGGAAATCAGCTGGGTGCAGCAGCTTACGCCTGTAATCCCAGCATATTGGGAAGCTGAGGTGGGCAGATCACCTGAGGTCAGGAGCTTGAGACCAGCCTGGCCAACATGGTGAAACCCTGCCTCTACTAAAACTACAAAAATTAACTGGGCATGGTGATGCATGCTTGTAATCCCAGCTACTCGGGAGGCTAAGGCAGGAGAACCGCTTGAACCCAGGAGACGGAGGTTGCAGTGAGCCGAGACCACACCACTACACTCCAGCCTGGGCGACAGAGTGAGATTTGGTCTCAAAAAAAAAAAAAAGAAAGAAAAAAGCATGGGAAAACAAAGTCTGCAGAGGCCTTTCAGGGTCCAGACTACTTTGGGGCATTTTAGCAGAGAATTGAATGCAGGCAATTGGTTCACTGTTGATGAAGGACCTGAGAATCCAGCAGGAAATGATGAGGCCACTTAGAAGTTAGCAATAACAGGAAGCTCCACCTCTCTTAGGCTACAGGGGCAAAGTAAGAGGGAAGATGCTACCAGCATCCAGGGTGCAGAGCCACTTTGCAAAAGCCAGAACCACAGTGGACCTGGCCAGCTAGTGGAGCCACAGAGAAGACACTGTTGCTGCTGGAGATTCCACACTAGGTCAAGTGGGGGACCTGAGGTACTATGGTTTTCCCTTCCTCCTGCCCTCCAGTCTCCTTCAGTGCCTCCTATTTGGCAGAAGCCATGTGACACAGAAGCCTCAGGGAATCATCCCCCTGTGATAACTGACCAAACTCAGGAAAAGTGCAAGGAATGGATTTGATGGCAAACTGTCCCAGGACAGCAACAGGAAGGCATCTGATTCTTCCCTATGTCTTTACTTCCTAGTACACAATACGTTCTCAATAAATATTACACTGAATGGATTGAATGGCTCTGATACTTAACTCTCTCAGTTATGTGAAATAAGTCACTTCGTGCCTTTGAGTGTATTTCTGGACATAAACTAGAGATAAAAATGTGTTCCCCATTCTTATCCTAACTAGTAGAGGATTCTGATCTTTGGTGTCTTTCAGGAGCTCTGTGCCATCTTGCAGAGGTTTTATTATCATTGTACAAGATTCTGATCAGTGAGTTAAATCATCCTCACCCCCAGGATTGACCTTGAAAGTCATTCTTTGGAATGGGACCATAATGTTTAATGGCTTTAATGTGATTTGTTTATTTCTTTGGTGGAGTGCAAGAAACATACAGATTTCTGGTCCCAAGTAACTTACATGTTGCTCTAGGGTATCACTTTAAAATATTTCATGATTTATTCGTTTATATTTTCAATAAGTAACACAGATGCTCCTCAACTTACATGGGGTTACATCCTGATAAGCCCATCATAAGTTGACAACATCATGAGTCAAAAATGCATTTAATACACCTACCCTACTGAACGTCATAGCTTAGCTTAGCCTGTATTAAACATGCTCAGAACACTTACATTAGCCTACAGTTGAGCAAAATCATCTAACACAGACTATTTCATAATAAAGTATTGAATATCTCATGTAATTTATTGAATGCTGTACTGAAAGTGAAAAAGCAGGGAGGTTGTTCGGGTACTTGAAGTACAGTTTCTACTGAATGCACATTGCTTTTGCACCATCATAAGTTGAAAAATCCTAAGTCGAACCACTATAAGTTGGGGACCATCTGTACATGCACTTGGTTTAATATTCAAAAGGTACAGAGGACTTGCAGTGAAAAATAAGTCTATCTTTAAGTCCTACATCCAGGCCACTTGGTTCTCCTCTCAAAGAAGCAATACTGTTGCCAGCTTTTTATGTTAAAATGTCAATTTAAGACAGTAATTATTTCCCCAATCTTCCAAATGGCAGGTATATTAGTTTTCTAGACTTCCATAACAAATTACTACAAACCAGGTGTCTTAAACAATAGAAATGTATTCTCTCATAGTTCTGGACACTAGGAGTTCAAAATCAAGGCATTGGTAGGGCCAATGTCTTGATGGCCAAAACCGCAAGGTACCACTTCGAAGCCTCTAGAGAAGAATCCTCCTTCCTTGCCTTTGCCTTCTTCTAGTGTCCTTGGTATTTCTTGGCTTGGTATTTTAATCCTTGGTATTTCTTGGCTTGTAGCTGCATCCCTGCAATCTCCGCTTCAGTCTTTACTGGCCTTCTCTGTATGTGTATATCATTGTGTGTCCTCTCCTCTTCTTATAAGAACACAGTCATTAGATTTAGAGTCCACCTAATCTATTATAATATGATTTCATCTCAACTAATTACATTGCAAAGATCTTTTTTCCAAATAAGGTTGCATTCTGAGGTTCTGGGTAGAAATGAACTTTGAGAGGACACTATTCAACCCATTATTGCAGGCCATGCTGCTTCTCAAATTCCTCTAAAAATAAGACTTATATAGGGAGATGGGGGTAATATCAGTGGATAAAAATATAGATTCCTGGCCCCATCCCAGATCCACAGGATTGGAACCTCCAAAAAAAGGGGCCTGGAAATCTGCAGTTTCAGCAGGTTTTCTAGGCAAGTGTAATCATTGGGGAAGTATGAGAAATGCTCTTTTGAAATAATCAAACAAAGGCAAACATCCCAAAGTACAAAACCTGATCCAGTGGACTTGAGGTCAGACATTTGCTCTGCCTTCTACTAATTGATAACTTTGAGCATTTTACCTAATGTCTCTGGGCTTCAGTCTTTTAATTCATAGAATGGTAGTAACAGTAATGGTACCTACATTATGGGGCTGCTAGAAATGGAAAGAACATTGTGTCCATCTACTCCGAATGATGAAGAGCTGCTAGGAGCAGACCTGAGACTCAAACCCAGAGCTTCTGAGTCCATGTCCACTATGCACTTTCCACTGAAATCTTGCCCCTCCTTTTGACTTCAAAGAGGAATTGTCCATAGGATTCATTTAAAGATCTAGGTTCCCCCAGGAGAGTTTTAATTTGATCTACTTACAAAGCTATAATATTTGCACACTTATTACAAAATACTAAGTAAATAGAGAAATAGGTTATTTGACACCTTAGTGACATCTTCTGCTTACAATCATCCTCTCACTTCCCTACCCACCAACCCCTAACATCTACTTCACAAGCCTGTGGTCATCCTTCAGTCCTCATACGGATATTACCTACTCTGAGTAGTCGTTTCTGTCTGCTTCCTTCAAGACCAGAGTTGTTGATATTGTTCTTCTGAGAAACCCTGGCTATCAATTTTCCAGCCCTTGCCGTATGAAGACGAAGGTATTAAGTGACAGAATTGGGTTTGAGCTAGCCCTTTCTGACTTCAAAGCCCATGTGTCATGGAACCATCGTATTACACTGTCTTCAAACCCCTTCCAAAGCTACCCTAACCACATTGTATGGCTTATGGGAAAGAAAGCCTATTTCCTCCACCAAACTATGAATCCTTCTTGTTATCCATGCTGAAGCACAATCCCATATTTCGTTTGTGTCCTAAAGCACATAATAGGTGCTCAACAAATGTCTGACAATAGACTAGAGGAATGTATGGATAACAAGAAAGCTAGACCTATACTTTCTAGGACATGATACATTTTTATGAGTTGAAAGGAACCTTAGAGAAAAATTTATACTAAAGTCAAATTGAGAAGGTATTCCAGGCTACAACAGTGACTTAGCATCAAAATGAGACAATGAATGATGTCTTGTCGTTTTCTAGCTTCTTGCTACTCAAAGTGTATTACAGGGACACCAGCAGCATCACATCACCTGGGGATTTGTAAGAAATGCTGAGTTTCAGACCCCACTCCAGGCCTGTGGAATCAGAATCTGCATTTTAATATGATTCATCCCATTACAGTTTAACAAGCATTTTCGGCCGGGCGCGGTGGCTCACGCCTGTAATCCCAGCACTTTGGGAGGCCAAGGCGGGTGGATCACGAGGTCAGGAGATCGAGACCATCCTGGCTAACACGGTGAAACCCCGTCTCTACTAAAAATACAAAAAATTAGCCGGGCGCGGTGGCAGGCGCCTGTAGTCCCAGCTACTCGGGAGGCTGAGGCAGGAGAATGGCGTGAACCCGGGAAGCGGAGCTTGCAGTGAGCCGAGATTGCGCCACTGCAGTCCGCAGTCCGGCCTGGGCGACAGAGCGAGACTCCGTCTCAAAAAAAAAAAAAAAAAAAACAAGCATTTTCATTTTGAATAGATCACTGAGCTTTCACCAAACTAATCTCTCATCCTTTAGTTGAATGTCCTTTTTTTGTTATTTTCTAGAGATGAAATTCAATTTCTTAGTGAATCCACATGTGTGAGGAATTTACTAAGGAGGGGATGGTGCTAGTGAAATTAATTAAATTCACTCAGTGCCTTGGAAATAAAGCTTGAACAAAGGATCAGAAAAAGTTCCTTTAGTGCAGATGGGATAACTGTTTTCTCATTTAGAATAGCGCCCACTCTGGCTCAGATCCAGGCAAAATGTCAACTGCTCCAACTCATGAAAGGTCAATGAATTGCCTCAAACATTTTATGAAATGCTCATCTCAAAGCTGGAGCCCCCATGGAGATGGTTGATGGTTGTATGCAGTCCAACCCCATGATGTCATCAGTCTTATGCCCTTGTCCCAGCCTGATTCATCCCCTCAGCTTCTAAGGTGGAGCCGTTTGAAGCTTCATTTTCTCCTATCTGAAGTTGAGCCAACTTTCTATTATGGTTATGGGAATAGAGTAATAGCATGAAACAGAGAAAGCAACAGCTCATCGGCATAAAGTATTTCTCCCCAGAGTTTCAACTTCTGCCCCTAAGTCTTTTTACTAAGGCTAATTAGAATTAGTAAAATCATTTAGTTTGAATTTCTTATTTTCTCCAGCTGTTCTTGATGCAAAATTAGTGGTGATGTTGGCAGGCGCCAGAAGAAAGGAGAGAGTACTAAAAGCATGGATAATATACAGACCCTATAATTGGTCCCTTCCAATTATCTGTATTTGTAAACTGATGCCAGGAATATAGAGAACCTTTGGGACTGATTCCTGTTTACAGACACAGTAACTGGTACATAGAAGCTGCCCAATAAATACCTTTCAACTAACCTGAAGCAAATACAATCTAATTATCTGTCACTTAGAACATCAAAGGAAATGCCATAATGCCTTCAGAATAGAGACTGTCACACTGAAAAGACAATATCTTAAAGATTTATCTGAAAAAGCATGGTAGAAGACTTCCACTGTGACCAAGATGGAGTAACGGGAACTATATTTACCCTTCTTCCTGAAACAAACAAAAAAGCAGGTAAAATGTGTGATACTGCAATGCTCAAAACCTTGGACATCAGGCAATGACTCCTGAGAGATGGGAAACAAATGAGATGCCCCTCTGAGAAGTGCCCCTGCCTTGATCTCTCAAGCCATGGCCCAGGGAGAGGGAACCGCAGGAGAGCCTGACAGACTCCCTGGGTTGGGAAGACAGAGCTGAGAGTCTGGAAGACCGAAACAGCCACTGTTCACAAGGCAGATACCAGTAAGGAGAGAACTACACAGAGAATCCTGGAGATTTTGAAAAGGGTCCTCTAGCATTTAGCTGAGAACCGATCAGTGTATGTGTATGAGGAGACTACACAGAGTTGAGGCAAAAACTACACCACAGGATGAGAAGAAATAGTGCTGAGCACTCACACAAGGCCAGAAATAATGCCTGTCCTGCCAGTGGGACTGGAAAATGTCATGATTCATGGGACATTGGGTAGAGCACACATAAGGGCCTCACCTCTATGGAAAGAATTAGCCCCAGATGGAATACCACTCCAGTCCTGCCTAACAAACCTTAATAGCAATACCTGAAAAGACCAAATGGTTTCCAAATAACTGTGTCCCAGAAAAAAAAACACTGATGAATAGTTTTAGGAATATAAAAATATCCAACCTTCAATAAGGTAAAATTCACAATGTTTGGCACCTATGAAAAAATTACCAGGGCCACACGCAGTTGTTCACTCCTGTAATCCCAGCACTTTGGAGGCCAAGGAAAGAGGATTGCTTAAGGCCAAACACCAGCCTGGGCAACAAAGCAAGAGCCCCAGCTCTACAAAAAATAAAATAAAATAAAATAATTAACCAGGTGTGATGCACATTTTAACTTGCATATTAGTCTAAGACTCTGGGAAATTTTCTCCTCCTGTATCTTTTTGTGTCCTAAACAAACTGTTTGAGTCCTGTCTATTCTTCCTCACATGTGGATTTCCAAACACTTCTCTCCATTTCCACGACCACAAAACCATTGAGGCAGGTACATTACTGGGCAGGGGAGGGGCAGCCAGGGGCCAGCTTTCACCTGTGTGAGCTGTAGTGTGGTGGCACACTAGAGCCAGCTGTAGTACCAGCTACTTAGAAGGCTGAAGTAGGAGAACTGCTTGAGCCCAGAGGCTTGAGGCTGCAGTGAACTATGATGGTGCCGCTGCAGTGAACTATGATGGTCCCACTGCAGCAAAGCCTGGGTAACAGAGCAAGACCCTGTCTCTTAAAAAAAAAAAAGAAGAGAGAGAGAGAGAGAATTACCAAACATGCAAAGAAGGAGCAAATCTGACCCATGATGTAGAGAAAAACTGATCAATTGAAACTGACCCAGAACTGACATGGATGTTAGAATTATCCAACATGGACCTTTAAATAGTTAATATAATGGTATTCCTTATGATCAAAAAGTTAAGTAAAAACATGAAATTTAAAAAAAAATTAATATCAAACTTCTGAATATGAAACTACAATGTGTGGATGGAAAACATACCAAATGGCATTCATAGCAAAAAATACCTAGTAATAGAAACTATTCCTAATGAAACATAGAAAAGATAATTTTTTAAAAATGAACAGAGAATCAATGAGCTATGCTACAAATTCAAGCAGCCTAATACACCTGTAGTTGGAGTCCACAAAGGGGAGAAGGAATCAAAAATCATTTGAAGAAATAATGGCTGAAAATTACTCAAATTTGATAAAAACTGTAAACCCCCAGGTCCACAGAAGCTCAATAAACCATACGTGCAAGAAATATGAAACTAATGACACCAAAGTACATTGTAATCACAAAGCTCAACACCAGTATTAAAAAGAAAATTTTAAAAAGCCACCGAAGAAAAAAGACACATTACACATGCAAACTAATCTATAATAAGAGGAACAAAGAGGTGGCAGCTGATTTCTCACTAGAAGCAATGCAAATGAGCAGGCATTTAAGCAACATTTTCCAAGTACTGAAATAAAAATAACTGCCAAGTTGTATTCTATACCCAGCAAAAATATCCTTCAAAAATTAAGGTGAAATGAAGACTTACTCAGACATACAAATGCTCAAAGAATGCATCACCTGCATACCTGCACTACAAGAAATACTACAGGAAGACTTCAGGCAGAGAGAAAATTACATCAAATAGAAATATGTATCTGCGGAAAGGAATAACTACATAATGTTACGATGGTAACACTTTCCTCATTGATTTGTAAATCCAATGCCATACTAATCAAAATCTCTGTGGATCTTTTAATAGAAATTGGAAAACTGATTCTAAAATTCATATAGAAATACAAGGGACTCAGAATGACCAAACAGCTTAAAAAAAGACAATACTAGAGGACAAACGCCACTTCATTCTAGTCTTTTTATAATGTTACAGCAATCAAAACAGTGGGGTATTGACAATAAGATAGACGAATTGATTGATGAAACCTAATAGGGAGTCCAGAAGTGGACTCACATATATATGGGTAATTGACTTTCAAGAGAAGTACAAAGGCAATTCAAGAAAAATAGTATTTTAAGCAAACAGTGCTATAAAAATATAAAAATTGAATATCCAAATGCAAAAAGTACTTCAATCTTTATATTACACTGTATACAAAAATTCCTTCAAATGTATCATCAACCTCAAAGTAAAGCATACAACTATAAAACTTCTAGCAGAAAACAAAACATTTTTGAATTTGAGTTTGGAAAAGGTTCTAGATAAGACACCAAAAACACAATAACTAAAGCAAAAATTGATAAATTGGATTTCATTAAAACTAAAAACCTATTATTGAGAGAATAAAAACACAAGCCAAAGATTGGGAGAACATATTTGCTAAGTGTGTATTGATAAATAACTTGTATCCAGAACATATATATTTTATTTATTTATTTATTTATTTGGAGATGGAGTCTTGCTCTATTGCCCAGGCTGGAGTGGCACGATCTCAGCTCACTGTAAACTCCGCCTCCCAGGTTCAAGCAATTCTCCTGCCTCAGCCTCCCGAGTAGCTGGAAATATAGGCACGTGCCACCAAGCCTGGCTAATTTTTGTATTTTTAGTAGAGACGGGGTTTCACTATGTTGGCCAGGCTGGTCTTGAACTCCTGACCTCAAGTGATCCACCCACCTCGGCCTCCCAAAGCACTGGGATTACAGGTGTAAGCCACCATGCCCAGCCAAGAGTCTATATATTTAAAAAATCTCTAAATTTATACTAAAAAGGCAATCAATGCAATTTTTAAAAGGACAAAAATGTATACAGACACTTGATCTTAGAAGATAGATGCATAGAAAATAAGCACAGGAAAAGGTGATCTACTTCATTAGTCAATGCACACATGCAAATTAAAACCACAGTGAGATACTGCTACATTCATATGAATCTAGCTAAAATTAAAAATGATCACTATATTAGGTATTGGCGAGGATGTGGAAGAACTCAGACCTTCATATACTTCAGTTTGAAAATGAAAAATGGTACAGTCACTCTGATACAGTTTGGCTATTCCTTAAAATGTTAAAGGCACACCTACCATATGAGCCAGCAATTCCTCTCCTAGCTATCAACCCAAGAGAAATGAAATTATGTGTCTATACAAAACCATAAATGTTCATAGCAGCATTATTTGCTGCTATTACTATAACCAAAAACTAGAAACAACCCACTTTCCCATCGAAGGGTGAATAAACAAACAGTGCTGTATCCACGTAATGGATTACTTACCCATAAAACAAATGAACTATTGATACATGCTACAACATGGATGAATCTTAAAACAATTATGCTGTGTGAAATAAGCCAGACAAAAGGAAGACATACTGTATGATTTTATTTATTAAAATTCTAGAAAATGCAAACTAATCTTATAATGAGAGAAATGGAGAAAGGACTGTCATGGGGGGTATGTATGTCTAAAATTATTGTGCACTTAAAGTATGTCCAATTTATTGCATATCAATTATGCCTCAATAAAGCTATTAGAAATGCAGTTATAGAAATAGTCTTGCAGATAAACTGGACTATTTGCTATTCCTGAACATCCTCAGCTTTCATACATTTCTGTCCTTGGTCATCATGTTCCCACAGACTGGAATACCCACTCTTCATTCTCCACCTGTCAAAATCCTGTTATTCCTTATGCCCCATGTCAAATGCTTTCATCTTCCTGAAGTATTTCCTGATCCTTACACATATCATGGCTTTCCTTCCTTGTATATGCTGTGCTTCCTGAATGGCACACCTGTTCTGCCATGTATTATAATTATTTTGGTACCATCCGCCTCACTAAGCTATACATGGCTTAGATTACATCTAATTTATCTTTGTATCCCCTGTCTTCCTATGCCTAGCAGACTCTGTAACCATGGATGGGTAATTTTTGAGTTCAGTATTTGGAGGACGCAATTTCCTAAATATACAAGCATTAATTTGGAAATAAAACTGTCATAATAGAATGCCCTCCTTCTCTGCTGTAATCGGATCTTTAGTATCTCAAGCATTCTCTCTTTTGCACTTCTGCACCCCCATTATAGCTGCAGAGACATTCTGGCTGGTCTCCTTGCCCCGTCTCTGTCTTCTCCAATCTGTCTTCCCCAGCATGATATCACTAAAATGCAAACTTGATCAGGTCACTCTGCTTGAATAATTCTGTCAATGGGTCCTCACGCTGCCTCCTGTTTGTCCCTTTGCTTTTTTGCCCACCTTTCCCCTACACTTCTAAGCCACTCAAGAACTACTTGTGGCCGGGTGCAGTGGCTCATGCCTGTAATCCCAGCACTTTGGGAGGCCGAGGCAGGCGGATCACTTGAGGTCAGGAGTTCGAGACCAGCCTGGTCAACATGGTGAAACCCCATCCCTACTAAAACTACTAAAATTAACTGGGCATGGTGGCGCATGCCTGTGATCCCAGCTACTCGGGAGGCTGAGGCAGGAGAAAAAGAACTTCTTGCACATTCCATCATGTGCAATGTACTCTCATACTTATGTCTCTTCCTCAGGCTGCTGCTCTTCTTGGGATGCTCTCCCCTTGGCCTCTACTCTTCCTTTTTGGCTTAGTTAACTTTTCCTCTTCATTCAAAAGTAAGCTTTAGGGTCATCACTGTTCTAGTCATTATACATGTAATTCAGCCCATTTCTATCTGCAGATGAGGAAACTCAGATGCAGAGAGGTAATTTCTTTCTCCAGGGCCACTTAGCTCATAGCCAGTACTTGGACCTAGGCAAACTGGCTCTGTTAACGACATTCTAACTTCTGTGCTATGCGGCCTCTCCTAGACGGCAGTCATTGGGTTCTGTATCTGCCACCACCCAAATACCCCCCCCACCAGCCCCCCCACCCCCACACACACACTTCAGCCTCTGTGGACAGTGAGCTCTTTGAAGTCCATGGCTATGTTTTCTGCCTCAGTATCTCCAGTACCTAGCAGGCTGCCTAGCAGGAAACAAACATTCAAGGAATATTTTTGAATGAATGATTCAAACATGATTAAGGTTGTTTGTACTTGCTGCACCCAAAAATCTAACCTCTTTCAGTTTATGTTTTTGTAGAAGGTACATTTAAGTCTTGCTTTCAGGCCATGCTTTCATGATAATTGATAAACACCCCTCATACAAATTGCCCAAGGGTACACTGCTGGATGTAAAGTTTAATCACTTGACTCACACATCTGGAGGGAACAAATGTTTGGAATGCTGTGAGGCAGAGGCAGACATCTGACCACCTAGGAGCTCAGAAGGTCTCCCTGGCAGCACACACAGCATTCTCCTCTCGCTCTCCACTGCCTGCTCCTCCCAACCCACCCCATGCACCTTGATGCCAAGAAGTAGAAAGTTTTGGGTTAATTTCTTTCATCTGTAACAATTTTTCTGTTCTACTATTTTAATACACATTATCTTAAAAAACAGGAACTAATGAAGTCGAAACAAAACAAGTCTAACCCCATAGTTTTGCTGCCTCACAGAGAGACTGACTTTCTTCCCAACTTGTCTGGCACCTTGGCATTTACTATAAGATGAGAAAGATTGAATTTCATGTAGTGTGACCTTTTAAAACTTGAGTTGAACATTTGCATTATTCTGATTTTTGTCCTTCTTTGCAGAATTGCATGACAATTTAAAACTTGTCTAGATAGTTTAGATATAGATTTTTTTAAATAGCAATTTTGTGGGTAGCTGATTTATTTGTTTGTGCTTGTTTAAATCAGTCAGGTAATGAAAATGATTATTGCTATCTACAAAAGAGGTGAAAGTGTCTTTGAGCAAAGGCTTCCACAGAGAAAATAATTATGAAGCTGTCATTTCCATAAAGACCTTGACAGTGAAATATCTACAAAGTACAGTGAGTGTTTAAAATACAGAAAGAGCTACTAGTCACAAATTTAGGACCAGCTCTCTGGAAAATGATTTAAAAAGTTAAAATTGCCTCCAGCACACCATGAATTTTCTACTCCTTCCCCATTCTCTGAACATACATAAACTTAGTTGTTAAGAAATCTGGACTCGCAGCCATAAAAAAGAATGAGTTCATGTCCTTTGCAGGGACATGGATGAAGCTGGAAGCCATCATCCCCAGCAAACTAACACAGGAACAGAAAACCAAACACTGCATGTTCTCACTCATAAGTGGGAGTTGAACAATGAGATCACATGGACACAGGGAGGGGGACATCACATACCATGACCTATGGGGCGTTGTGGGGAAAGGGGAGGGAGAACATTAGGACACATACCTAATGCACGTGGGGCTTAAAACCTAGATGACGGGTTGATAGGTGCAGCAAACAACCATGGCACATGTATACCTATGCAACAAACCTGTATGTTCAGCACATGTATCCTAGAACTTAAAGTAAAATAAAAATCAAAAATAATTAAAAAAAGAAATCTGGACTCTAGGCTCAATAATAGTACCTGCAAGTGTGACCTTGGGCAAATAATTTCTCTTCTCTGGAAGTTAGGCTTTTCACTTGTGAAATGAGTGATTTGTTTAAATGGCCTCGAAATTCCTTTTAGTTTATTAATTGTCTTTGGTCATTCATTCATTCATGCATTTAACTAGGATAACTTTGGTTTCTGCTTTTCCTCTGTACATGCATACTTCATTGTGTTGCACTTTGCTTTATTGTACTTTGCACATACTCTTTTTTTTTTTTAACAAATTGAAGGTTTGTGACAACCCTGCCTTGAGCAAGTCTCCAGGCACCATTTTTCCAACACATTGTGCACACTTTGTATCTCTGTGTCACATTTTTGTAATTCTCACAGTAATTCATACATTCTCATTATTTTGTATCTATTATGGTGATCTGTGACCGGTAACTTTGATGTTACTGTTGTAATTGTTTTAGGATACCACAAACTACACCCATGTAAGTCAGATAACTGAATGCATAAATGTTGTATGTATCCTGTCGGCTCCATCGATTGGCTGTTCTTCCCTTGCTCCCATCTCTCTCCCTCTCCTCAGGTCTCCGTGTTCCCTGTGACATAACAATCTTGAAATTAGGCCAGTGAATACCTCTTTGAAGGTTTCTAAGTGTTCAAGTAAAAAGAAGAGTCACACGTCTCGTCTCTCACTTGTATTCAAAAACTGGAAATGATTAAGCTTAGTGAGGAAGGCATGTCAAAAGCTGAAATAGGCTGAAAGTTAGGCTTCTTGTGCCAAACACTTAGCCAAGTTGTGAATGCAAAGGGAAAGTTTTTGAAGGAAACCAAAAGTGCTACTCCAGTGAATGCAAATGATAAGAAAGCAAAACAGCTTTTTTGCTCATATGGAAAAGGTTTTAGTGTGCTGGATAAAAGATCAAACCAACCACCACATTTCCTTAAGCTAAAGCCTAATCCAGAGCAAGGCCCTAACTGTCTTCAATTCTTTGAAGACTAAGAGAGGTGAAGATGCTGCAGAAGAAAAGTGTGAAGCTAGCAGAAGTTAGTTCATAAGGCTTAATAAGCCATCTCTGTAACATAGTGCAAGGTGAAACAAGTGCTGATGTAGGAGCTGCAGCAAATTATCCAGAAGATCTAGCTAAGGTCATTGATGAAGGTGGCTTCACTAAACAGTAGATTTTCAATGTAGATGAAACAGCCTAGAATTGGAAGAAGACACCATCTAGGACTTTCATAGCTAGAGAAGAGAAGTCATTGTCTTCACATCTTCAGAGGACAGGCTGACTCTCTTGTTAAGGGCTAATATAGTTCGTAACTTTAAGTTGAAGCTAATGGTTATTTGCCATTCTAAATATCCTAGGACCACAAGATATTATGCTGAACCTTCTCTGCCTGTGTTCTATAGATGGAAAACAAAGCCTGGGTAACTGCACATCTGTTTATAGTATGGTTTACTGAGTATTTTAAGACCACTGTTGAGACCTGCTACTCAGCAAAAAAAGATCCCTTTCAAAATATTACTGCTTATTGACACTGTAACTGGTCACCCAAGAGCTATGATGGAGATATACAAGGAGATTAATGTTGTTTTCATGTCTGCCAACATAGAATCTATTCTGTAGCCCATAGATCAAGGAGTAATTTTAACTCTTATGTCTCATTATTTAAGATGTGATCATGAGTGAAGGCATGAATCATATAGCCTTATGAAATGTATTTCTAGCACAGGAGAACTAGATACAGGCAGATATATTTCTTAAATATGTTTCATAAGGCTATAGCTGCCATAGATAGTAATTCCTGTGATGGATCTGAGCAAAGTAAATTAACAACCTTCTGGAAAGGATATACCATCCTAAATATCATTAAAAACATGTGTGATTTATGGGAGGAGGTCAAAATATCAATGTTAATGGGTGTTTGGAAGTTGATTCCAACCCTCATGGGTAACTCTGAAGACTTCAATGAAAGAAGTAATTGCAGATGTGGTAGAAATAGCAAGAGAACTAAAATTATAAGTGGGACCTGAAGATGTGACCGAATTTTTGCAATCCCATGATAAAACTTGAACAAATGCAGGCGTCGTTTCTTATGGATGAGCAAAAAAAAAGTGGCTTCTTGAGATGGAATCTATTCCTGGTGAAGATGTTGTAAAATTGGTGACATGACAAGAAAGGATTTAGAATATTACATAAAATAGCCAGGCATGATGGCTCACACCTGTAATCTCAACACTTTGGGAGGCCGAAGCAGGTGGATTGCTTGAGTTCAGGAGTTTGAGACCAGCCTGCCCAACATGGTGAAACCCTGTCTCTACTAAAAATACAAAAATTAACCAGACATGGTGGCGTGCGCCTATAGTCCCAGCTACTTAGGAGGCTAAGGCAGGAGAATCACTTAAACCCAGGGGGTGGAGGTTGCAGTGAGCCAAGATAGGGCCACTGTAATCCAGCCTGGGAGACAGAGTGAGACTTTGTCTCAGGAAAAGAAAAAAAAAAAGAATATCACATAAACTTTGTTGATAAAGCAGCAGCAAGATTTGAGAGGATTGACTCCAATTTTGATAAAAGTTCTGCAGACAGTAAAATGCTATCAAATAGCATCACATGCTGCAAAGAAATATTTTGCGAAAAGAAGAGTCAATTGATGTGGCAGACTTCCTTGTCTTATTTTAAGAAAATGACACAGCCACGCCAGCCTTCAAAACCCACCACCCTGATCAGTCAGCAGCCATCAGCATTGAGGCAAGGCCCTCCACCAGCAAAAAGATTACAACTCGCTCAAGGCTCAGATGATCATTAGCAATTTTTAGCATTAAAGTATTTTTAAGTTAAAGTGTGTACATTGTTTTCTTAGATATATTGCCATTGCATGCTTAATAGACTGCAGTATGATATAAACATAACTCTTACATGCACTGGGAAACCAAAAAAATTCCTGAGACTCATTTTATTGTGATATTCACTGTATGGTCATATTTACTTTATTGTGGTGGTCTGGAACTGAACCCATGATATCTCTGAGTTATGTCTGTATCTAGTTCTCCTGTACTAACTAAATTGCCTATGGTGTTTCCTACTTCCTGAACCCAAATTCCCTGGCTACTCTCTAGTCCCTTTATGTGATAGATTCTCTTTAAATCCTTCCTGTCCCATCCAGCTTCTATCTCCTCTTCAGCATACTCTCTTGGCCCTCTTCTCTGCTGGGTGGCAGCTACTGATAGTTCCTGTTAACAGGTTCTTGGATACTAATAGCTTGATTTACTGCCTTCTACAGGTAACACATCTTTATTTATATAGAAGCCTGAGACACAATGCTTTTATCTGTATCCTCTCCCATTTTCTCCTCCTGTACCCTCACTAAGGAAAGATTTAGTAGAAATTACAACTGAATGGATGAGTGATATTTTGGTAATGGTGAAGTACTGTTATTATGTTGAAGCACTGCTAACTTCACATACTAAATAACTGCTTTAATAATTTATTGAGAATAGAATGATGATTCTCTGCACCTAAAATAGGTACAAATGATTCTCTCACATTAGGAATTTCTTGAGTTATTTGAAAATTTAAGAAAGTGTGTGCTTGTTCAAGATTGCTTGAGTATAATCTCAGTGATTATTGAAACAATATCTGTGTTGAGTTCTCTTCACATGGCTCCTGGCATGTCTGGCAAGTACTAGGCACTAAAAAATAATTGATAAGTCAATAAATGAAAAGGAATTTTTCTCACAATTTTGTAAATGGGTCAGACAGATAAATCTTATTATTTTACATGAAACTCTGACATAATGAGAGATTGTACTTGAAAGAGAGATTATTAGATGAAAAAATCCAGGACTCAATCCAAGAGTGGGGCAATGAGGAGATAAAGTGGCCTATTTTTGGAGAGGTATAAGTCAAAATGCTTTCTAGAAATGTTAAGTAGGCAGCATGAGTGCTGCCAATTCCCATTTCCATGCCCACAGCAAACATCCATAAATGATTATGACATTTATCCTAGATGAGCCTGGAATGAGGCCTCAGATTCCTTTCAAGACATCATTTCAGGCAACCGCTACCATTTAATCAAAGTTGGCCTAGAAAATAAAACTTACATCTCATCCTAGGTTAGTGATTGCCCCAACTCCACTGAGAAAACTTGGTAACTTGCAGTCTGGCTAGCTCTTCTGAAAGGGAGATACTGCCAAGATAATACTGATAAAATTGTACACTGGGGCCTAGAGAAGAGGACAAGAGGCATCAAGGATGTTGGGTCATCCAACTTCAATTATTGGAAAGATATTGATTGCATTAAAACAAAATAACCATAGGATAAACAGACTCTTGAAGAGTAGCTTGTACATGTATATACTATAAGTCTGAGATTGTAAAAAGACATCCAAATGAAAATGGAGATATTTAACCAAACTCACAATGTTTCTTTCCAACTCTGAATCATTTTCAGTTTTTTATCGTAGTAAATAGCACTGTCATTAATTTAGTTGTCTAAGCTCAAAACCTAGGCATCACCTTGACACTTCTCTCTTCCCTGCCACCTCACAGTTTATCTATCATAACATCCTGTCAGTTTTATTTTCTATACCTTTTTCTAACTCATGTACTTTATGCCATCTCCACCACTAGATATTACATGGGACATACTAATGCTAAAAAATTATTCCGTGTTTATCTGAAACTCAATTTTAACTGGGCATCAAACATTTTTATTTGCTAACTCTGGCAACCCTAGTTTAAAATAATCTAATTCAAAAGAAGCAAAAATAGGCCCTCAGACTCTAAATGCTATGATCTAGATTGGGCTGTAGGATAGATTATTTATCAATGTAAGTACTAAGATTATAAGACAAATGCACATTTATTTGCCCTGCATAGCACCTTGTCTATTTAGATGCCTTATTATTTTTTTAAATCAGCTGAGCAAGATAAAACCACAGAATATTTTGGGAGGTATAGATGATATGCATAGTGAGAAAACAAAATATTTTCTTTAGTTTTGACATTAGCTGACTTTTCATCTAAAACTAATAATGATATCATTTCCCCAGGAAAGGTCAAAGTGCTGAAATTCTCCACATATTTTGTAAATGTATGTGTCACTGAAAAACTGAAATCTAGCCAACACAAGAGATATTGTCAGTTTCCCTCAGAGCTTAGCAGAATACTATATCATGCATGACCTGTTTTTGAAATGGGATTTTGTGAAAAATAGCAGAACACCTCTTCTGGTTTCTTTTTCATTAACTGCTCACACTTGACACATTCCTTAAATGATCTCCTTAGCCCCCATCATGGCAACCTGCTTCCTAAATCCACATTCTTAGCTGAGGATTGTAGTTTCAGGCAATAGAATCAACTCCAACTCTAGTTAAGGATATTATGGTGTTCACGGATTTCCTCAAAATTTCAAAAAAAACAGGCTCAACACCAACCACACTGTGAATGCTGCTCTAGGGAAAATACCCCTGTTGTCACCTCCTTAACAACTGTCTCACAACTCACACACTGCCTAAGCCCACACCAATGACACCTGAGATTGGCCAAGCTCTACCTAAAAGTGGGGTGCCTCCTCCTTCCTGCCTTCCAGATGATGGAGTCTATGCATGTCTATGCACATTTACTTCCTGATGTTGCCTCCTTCAGAATTGCCATTCAGTGTGAGTGGTTCTGTCCTTGAGCAACAAGGAAGGCTGGGAACTTGGATTCTGGCTTCTATCTTTGGGAAGCTCAACATGTAATTTGGAAAATTTTCCAAATACACAGGATGGGTATTCAAAAGATATTGAACAGCAACCAACATAAAATATGTTCCCTGCTTTCAAAACACCACATTTTATAACCATCCTGCTAGATGGAGCATAATGATTAAGACATGGGCTTTGGAGTTCAATGAACTTTGGTTCTAGTTCCAGTTTTACCTCTTACTAATGGGAAGAGGCAGGATGGGCTACCCCACTAAGACACCATCTTCTTATCTGTGAAATAGACACATTAATACCATTCACCTCATAGGATGGTGTGAGGATAAAATGAGAAAAGTGAACAAGTATGGTGGTGGAGTTTGCCTCTTCATGGAACAAGTACTTATCCTTATTACAAATGTGATTACTACCAATCTTTTTACCTCTTTCTTTTACATCTTGTAGTTACAACCCATTTTAGTATTTTTTAAACAATCTAATTTTTGCTTTGATGTTATCTTTTTCACATAAGAATACTTCTTTTTACTGAAGCATTTCATCAATGACATTATCGCAAAAGGTTTACAAGTATTCTTTTTTTTAAGTTTTCTAATTTTTTCCTGATTACGCTGAAAAAAACTAGAAACTACAGAAAAGCAGAAAGGTGGAAATAAAAACACCCCAAAATGTCATGATCTAGAGTTAACCACTGTTATTTATTTGTCTGTTGAGAAGTATTTTTCATCAGCCATAGGAATCACAGATTTGAGGAACTGAAGGCGACCATAATGACCATGTGGTTTGAATTCTCCTGGATTCCCCGAAGTTGCTGCAAGCCAGCAAGACTTCATCCTCCTGACTAGTTTCATCTGTGTTTTCTCCAGAGTCACTTGGAGGGGAAAGGTCACTTGAAACTTTTGTTGTCAGGTTGTGAGTTTTGTTTTATTTATTAATTTCGTAGTAGGAGGCTTCAAGTTTTATGTATTAGCCTCATGTTTCTAAACAGAGGAAGTAGAGGATGCTGGGAAATATCACTTGGCTCCATGAAAGCCTTTGAGAGAGCAAGAGGGGAAGAAAATTACTCTTTTATTGTGAGTTTTGCCAAATGATCTCTGAGAAGCTGTGATATCATTCATACGCCGTGCCAAGCTGGATCGAAACGGCTCATCTTGGCAGACATCGAGAGTGAGCGTATAATTCCTTGGGGTTGGGATGGGCTGTTATCAGAAATAGTTCCATAGGCAGTATTTACATAACTGTGGTGGAGGGTGAGAATAAACACAGCTGTGGCATTGCCCTAAATATTTCTATTCAGCAGGGAATTAAAAGAGAACTTTATCGCTGAACTACAGATAAACACAATTCATCAAGCAGTGGTCAGTTCAACTGGGGAACAAAATAGGAGTTATAAAAGACTGGCCTGCTGAAAATAGCTCCAATCAGCCATCCTGACTTTATTGCTGCTTTACTCCCTCCCTCCCTCTTTTTTCCTAGTTCCAGAAATGTAGGGCTCATCAGCCAGCAAGGAAGTTGTCTAGATTTTCTTTACCCCAAGAAGGAAGTCGAGGGTACTGTCCTTTACAGAGTGGAGACCTACCCTGGGCCAGCATGCTTTATGTATGTTCCTTACATCAGAATGGTTCCCCGTTTTCTTTCTGGGCTATAAAACTGAATGTTAGTGGGAGTAAGATTTATTGCCAAGAAGACAACTTTTTTTTTTTTTTTTTTTTTTTTTTTTTTTTGAGGCAGAGTCTCGCTCTGTCTCCCAGGCTGGAGTGCAGTGGCGCCATCTGGGCTCACTGCAAGCTCCGCTTTCCGGGTTCACGCCATTCTCCTGCCTCAGACCCCCCGAGTAGCTGGGACTACAGGCACCCACCACAATGCCCGGCTAATTTTTTGTATTTTTAGTAGAGACGGGGTTTCACCGTGTTAGCCAGGATGGTCTCGATCTCCTGACCTTGTGATCCGCCCGCCTCGGCCTCCCAAAGTGCTGGGATTACAGGCGTGAGCCACAGCACCCGGCCCTAAGAAGACAACTTTTTAACTCCAAAGTGAGCTAAAATGGACACATGATTCCACAGCTCTAAATGATCTAAATTCATCTTATGAATATCTTTAAGCGCCCATATATTTTAAATAGTAGTGCAGTCCTGGTTCTGCTATACCCAGGAAGATAGTTACATGATGTATTTGTGTAATAGTTTTCTAGGATTGGCATAACAAAGTACCACAAACTGGGTGGCTTAAAACAGTAGAAATTTATCCTCGCTCAGCTTTGTAGACCAGAAGTCTGCAATCAAAATGTCAGCAGGGTTGGTTTCTTCCAGATGTTTTCAGGGAGAAACCATTTCATACCTCTCTCCTAACTTCTCGTGGTTGCCTGCCCTCATTGGCATTCCCTGTCTTGCAGCTGCATCACTCCAAACTCTGCCTCCACCTTCACATCACCTTCTTTTCTGCATGTCTCTATGTCTTTTCTGTCTCTTATAATAGCACTCTCATTGGATTTAGGACCCACCCTAATACACTGGGTGGAATAATGAGATAATGTGATAAGGATCTCATCTGAATCCTTCCCTTAATTACATCTGCAAAGATCCTATTTCCAAATAAAGTCACATCCTGAGGTTCCCCAGGAACATGAATTTTGGAGGGATACTATTCAATGCACTGCACAGGGTGAGTTAATTGGAGGCAGAGACCATGTACTCCAGTTGCCTCTACAGCACATGACACACGCCAGACACCTCATCAGTGTTCTAGAACACTTGCTAATTAGCTGTGACAGCATTGCATGTTTCTTACTCCGTTTTGTAACCCAAGAGATTTACTGGGATTTTCTGTTTCAATATGCATGCCTTGACTCTTTACTAATAGAATTTCTAAGAGAGACCTATAGCTATAGATAATAGGAAAACATTATGTTCACTAATGTAGTTTTTTCCCCCATTTACTGAGTCAACAGAAAGTCTTAAAATGCTAAAAACATAAGTGACAACTACTAACATCAGGTCACAAAGCACTTCCATAATTATTATCTCATTTGATACTCCAGTAACCCTGTGAATGTTATCACCTTCATTATCATCATCATCACCACTTTGATCATTACCACAACCATCTCAATTTTACATGGGATGAAGAAATTTGAGGCTCAGAAAAATGAAAAGACCTATTTGAGGTCAGTGTATGAGTCAGGACTTTTGGTTGTATTTTGAAAGTAGCCCAATTTGAACTGGCTTAAGAAAAAAAAAAAAGGAATGTAGCAGACCAAGTCCTTCCCTCTCGATGGCAAGGTGGTCATCACAGATCCGTGATTCCATCCAACCCCCCAGTATTTACAATGAGGGGGAAAAAGTCTCCTTAACAATTATTCCTGGAATAGAATTTCTTTACTCTCTATCACTTTCTATTCTGGAATGTGCATTACACTGCATTCAGTAGAAACTCTGGGCCTGGATCTCTTTGGTCCAAATTGTTTCACACCTACAACCCTCAAGCCATCAAATCCCCCAGACCACTTAGAATGAGATTGAGGATAAAGCCTGTTACCAGAAAAGCAGGGTATGGAAATGGCAGACAAACAACAGATATCCATAAGAAGCATAGTTCACAAATGACAGCTTGGGCTTGAGACAAGATGGTTTTAACCAATAGTTCTATCCTATGGCCCGTCCTTCTCCTCTTCTGTTTAAATGCATTGAATACATGATAAATGCGCCTGGAACAAAATTTAAAAGATACAAAGTTATACAGTAAAAATCTCCCTTCCAATTTTGTCCTCCTGTCACTCAGTTTCCCTCCTAATTGAACTCATCTCTATACCCCTCCAGGGATAGTTATAGTTTCCACATTTACAAGCATCATATGAGTTGTTTTTACATCAGTGATATATTATTCTCACTGTTCTGTCCGGCTCTTTTTTCGCTCCACTCTGTTAGGTATTTTTGGCTCTCTGACTTTAATGACTTCAACCACCCAGGCACAATGACATTTTCACACACCACTTAGTTTTCACTCTTGAGTTTTTTCCGTTTTCCTTTTTCTCTCCTTCTCCCTACCCTCTTCTTACTGCATTTCCTCATTTTACCTCCTTCCATATGTTCATTATGTAATTGTTGAAGTTGAAACTACCTTTTTAAAAAAACACATAATACTAAACATTTGACCCTACAAAATGGTTCTTTTGGGGTATGTTATCAGCAAAAACCTACTAAAAAAATGAAACCATTCTCATCTCTTTTCACCACAGAGTCACTGATTAGCTCAGGCTATGAGAAAGCAAAGAGACTTCAACAGCTAATTGTAGCTCTAGTTACGGCCACAACTCTCATTAACTTGTGCCCCTTAACAGGAACCTCATATAGCTCTTTTTTGTTTTTAGAACAAAGAGGTAGATGGGTTAAAGGGTGACATGTTATCAGGTTTGCCCCAAATCTTTCAGTATCTTGCAAAAGACTCATGCATCTTTCCCTAAAGTTATTTTATTTTCCATTCCAGGATAGTAGAAAGAGCCTTTGTATAACCTTTTAGTTTTTCCTGGGGCTTGCATTTTTCTGCAAATCCCAGTACTCTGGAAGGGAGTTGGACTATAGCCCACCTGCCCTGGAGGACTCTCCATGCTTCATTGGACCAATACAATACAATTTTATTGTGCACAAATTTGGAAAGACTGTTCATTGTAAACTAGGAAGACTCATCAAGATGAGCATGGCACTGTGACATCTCATGCATGTTACTTCATTTCATCGTTTCAATAATCTCAATAGACAAGTATATTGAGGCATTCTACAGATAAAGAAATCGAGGCTTAGGGAGTTTAAGTAACTTACCTAATGCTTCACAGCCAATAAGTCATAAAGCCAATCTGAATCCAATAAGTCATAAAGCCAATCTGAAAGTCATAAAGCCAGTGTGCATTCCAGCATGCATCTTTTCAATTGGTGAGAATATGGGCTGCTGAAAGAACTACTGCACAGCCAGCCAGGAATGGAATGTCTTTACTCTCTATCACTTTCTCTTCTGGAACATGCATTACACTGGATCACGTTTTGGTAAAATGAGGTCAAATAACAAATTAGGTCAAAATGCGTGTATCTGAAGTTCAGTTAATGCCAGGCAATGGAGATATATAGGTATAAAATCACCCCATGACCTTGTTGAGAATCTTGAGTTGTCACCCAGGGATTTGAAGGACTTCAGGGACACCAAGTACCTATCGTTTGCCTTAGCTAGTAGAGCTCATTGATATTAAAAGAGGAATTTTGTAGACCTTTCTTCTCTCCCTTTGGGTTTTGTTGGGGGTGAGGGAAAAAAAGGGGGAAGGTAGGTTGCTGAATTCTTTTAATTACTCAGTGCACAAATAATTGACAAATAATTTGGCACTTTTTCCATGCCAAAGTTTTGTCAGATCAGCCCAACAATTCTTAGCCCACCATCATATTTAGTGGTTTCATGCTGCTCTCACGTGTTGTCAGTGAGAGGCTCATTCTCAACTCTCCTATTGTCATTGACTCCTATCTTAAGTCTAACATATGTCTCATCTTATAAGCCAGAGCCAAAGCTTAGTTAAAAAGGATGATTTCCGGGAACCAGAGCCAAGATGGCCGAATAGGAACAGCTCCGGTCTACAGCTCCCAGCGTGAGCGATGCAGAAGATGGGTGATTTCTGCATTTCCATCTGAGGTACTGGGTTCATCTCACTAGGGAGTGCCAGACAGTGGGCGCAGGTCAGTGGGTGCGTGCACCGTGCGCGAGCCGAAGCAGGGCGAGGCATTGCCTCACTTGGGAAGTGCAAGGGGTCAGGGAGTTCCCTTTCTGAGTCAAAGAAAGGGGTGATGGACAGCACCTGGAAAATCGGGTCACTCCCACCCGAATACTGCGCTTTTCCGAGGGGCTTAAAAAATGGCACACCACGAGATTATATCCCACACCTGGCTCAGAGGGTCCTACGCCCACGGAGTCTCGCTGATTGCTAGCACAGCAGTCTGAGATCCAACTGCAAGGTGGCAGCTAGGCTGGGGGAGGGGCGCCCGCCATTGCCCAGGCTTCATTAGGTAAACAAAGCAGCCGGGAAGCTCGAACTGGGTGGAGCCCACCACAGCTCAAGGAGGCCTGCCTGCCTCTGTAGGCTCCACCTCTGGGGGCAGGGCACAGACAAACAAAAAGACAGCAGTAACCTCTGCAGACTTAAATGTCCCTGTCTGACAGCTTTGAAGAGAGCAGTGGTTCTCCCAGCACGCAGCTGGAGATCTGAGAACGGGCAGACTGCCTCCTCAAGTGGGTCCCTGACCCCTGACCCCCGAGCAGCCTAACTGGGAGGCACCCCCCAGCAGGGGCACACTGACACCTCACACGGCAGGGTACTCCAACAGACCTGCAGCTGAGGGTCCTGTCTGTTAGAAGGAAAACTAACAAACAGAAAGGACATCCACACCAAAAACCCATCTGTACATCACCATCATCAAAGACCAAAAGTAGATAAAACCACAAAGATGGGGAAAAAACAGAACAGGAAAACTGGAAACTCTAAAAAGCAGAGCGCCTCTCCTCCTCCAAGGGAACGCAGTTCCTCACCAGCAGCGGAACAAAGCTGGATGGAGAATGACTTTGACGAGCTGAGAGAAGAAGGCTTCAGACGATCAAATTACTCTGAGCTACAGGAGGACATTCAAACCAAAGGCAAAGAAGTTGAAAACTTTGAAAAAAATTTAGAAGAATGTATAACTAGAATAACCAATACAGAGAAGTGCTTAAAGGAGCTGATGGAGCTGAAAACCAAGGCTCGAGAACTACGTGAAGAATGCAGAAGCCTCAGGAGCCGATGCGATCAACTGGAAGAAAGGGTATCAGCGATGGAAGATGAAATGAATGAAATGAAGCAAGAAGGGAAGTTTAGAGAAAAAAGAATAAAAAGAAATGAACAAAGCCTCCAAGAAATATGGGACTATTTGAAAAGACCAAATCTACATCTGATTGGTGTACCTGAAAGTGATGGGGAGAATGGAACCAAGTTGGAAAACACTCTGCAAGATATTATCCAGGAGAACTTCCCTAATCTAGCAAGGCAGGCCAACGTTCAGATTCAGGAAATACAGACAACGCCACAAAGATACTCCTCGAGAAGAGCAACTCCAAGACACACAATTGTCAGATTCACCAAAGTTGAAATGAAGGAAAAAATGTTAAGGGCAGCCAGAGAGAAAGGTCGGGTTACCCTCAAAGGGAAGCCCATCAGACTAACAGCAGATGTCTCGGCAGAAACCCTACAAGCCAGAAGAGAGTGGGGGCCAATATTCAACATTCTTAAAGAAAAGAATTTTCAACCCAGAATTTCATATCCAGCCAAACTAAGCTTCATAAGTGAAGGAGAAATAAAATACTTTACAAACAAGCAAATGCTGAGAGATTTTGTCACCACCAGGCCTGCCTTACAAGAGCTCCTGAAGGAAGCACTAAACATGGAAAGGAACAACCGGTACCAGCCGCTGCAAAATCATGCCAAAATGTAAAGACCATCGAGACTAGGAAGAAACTGCATCAACTAACGAGCAAAATCACCAGCTAACATCATAATGACAGGATCAAATTCACACATAACAATATTAACTTTAAATGTAAATGGACTAAATGCTCCAATTAAAAGACACAGACTGGCAAATTGGATAAAGAGTCAAGACCCATCAGTGTGCTGTATTCAGGAAACCCATCTCACGTGCAGAGACACACATAGGCTCAAAATAAAAGGATGGAGGAAGATCTACCAAGCAAATGGAAAACAAAAAAAGGCAGGGGTTGCAATCCTAGTCTCTGATAAAACAGACTTTAAACCAACAAAGATCAAAAGAGACAAAGAAGGCCATTACATAATGGTAAAGGGATCAATTCAACAAGAAGAGCTAACTATCCTAAATATATATGCACCCAATACAGGAGCACCAAGATTCATAAAGCAAGTCCTGAGTGACCTACAAAGAGACTTAGACTCCCACACATTAATAATGGGAGACTTTAACACCCCACTGTCAACATTAGACAGATCAACGAGACAGAAAGTCAACAAGGATACCCAGGAATTGAACTCAGCTCTGCACCAAGTGGACCTAATAGACATCTACAGAACTCTCCACCCCAAATCAACAGAATATACATTTTTTTCAGCACCACACCACACCTATTCCAAAATTGACCACATACTGGGAAGTAAAGCTCTCCTCAGCAAATTTAAAAGAACAGAAATTATAACAAACTATCTCTCAGACCACAGTGCAATCAAACTAGAACTCAGGATTAAGAAACTCACTCAAAACCGCTCAACTACATGGAAACTGAACAACCTGCTCCTGAATGACTACTGGGTACATAACGAAATGAAGGCAGAAATAAAGATGTTCTTTGAAACCAATGAGAACAAAGACAAAACATACCAGAATCTCTGGGACGCATTCAAAGCAGTGTGTAGAGGGAAATTTATAGCACTAAATGCCCACAAGAGAAAGCAGGAAAGATCCAAAATTGACACCCTAACATCACAATTAGAAGAACTAGAAAAGCAAGAGCAAACACATTCAAAAGCTAGCAGAAGTCAAGAAATAACTAAAATCAGAGCAGAACTGAAGGAAATAGAGACACAAAAAACCCTTCAAAAAATTAATGAATCCAGGAGCTGGTTTTTTGAAAGGATCAACAAAATTGATAGACCGCTAGCAAGACTAATAAAGAAGAAAAGAGAGAAGAATCAAATAGACGCAATAAAAAATGATAAAGGGGATATCACCATCGATCCCACAGAAATACAAGCTACCATCAGAGAATACTACAAACACCTCTACGCAAATAAACTAGAAAATCTAGAAGAAATGGATAAATTCCTGGACACATACACTCTCCCAAGACTAAACCAGGAAGAAGTTGAATCTCTGAATAGACCAATAACAGGAGCTGAAGTTGTGGCAATAATCAATAGCTTACCAACCAAAAAGAGTCCAGAACCAGATGGATTCACAGCCGAATTCTCCCAGAGGTACAAGGAGGAACTGGTACCATTCCTTCTGAAACTATTCCAATCAATAGAAAAAGAGGGAATCCTCCCTAACTCATTTTATGAGGCCAGCATCATTCTGATACCAAAGCCGGGCAGAGACACAACAAAAAAAGAGAATTTTAGACCAATATCCTTGATGAACATTAATGCAAAAATCCTCAATAAAATACTGGCAAAACGAATCCAGCAGCACATCAAAAAGCTTATCCACCATGATCAAGTGGGCTTCATCCCTGGGATGCAAGGCTGGTTCAATATATGCAAATCAATAAATGTAATCCAGCATTTAAACAGAGCCAAAGACAAAAACCACATGGTTATCTCAATAGATGCAGAAAAAGCCTTTGACAAAATTCAACAACCCTTCATGCTAAAAACTCTCAATAAATTAGGTATTGATGGGACGTATTTCAAAATAATAAGAGCTATCTATGACAAACCCACAGCCAATATCATACTGAATGGGCAAAAACTGGAAGCATTCCCTTTGAAAACTGGCACAAGACAGGGATGCCCTCTCTCACCACTCCTATTCAACATAGTGTTGGAAGTTCTGGCCAGGGCAATGAGGCAGGAGAAGGAAATAAAGGGTATTCAATTAGGAAAAGAGGAAGTCAAATTGTCCCTGTTTGCAGACGACATGATTGTATATCTAGAAAACCCCACTGTCTCAGCCCAAAATCTCCTTAAGCTGATAAGCAACTTCAGCAAAGTCTCAGGATACAAAATCAATGTGTAAAAATCACAAGCATTCTTATACACCAACAACAGACAAACAGAGAGCCAAATCATGAGTGAACTCCCATTCACAATTGCTTCAAAGAGAATAAAATACCTAGGAATCCAACTTACAAGGGATGTGAAGGACCTCTTCAAGGAGAACTACAAACCACTGCTCAAGGAAATAAAAGAGGATACAAACAAATGGAAGAACATTCCATGCTCATGGGTAGGAAGAATCAATATCGTGAAAATGGCCATACTGCCCAAGGTAATTTACAGATTCAATGCCATCCCCATCAAGCTACCAATGACTTGCTTCACAGAATTGGAAAAAACTACTTTAAAGTTCATATGGAACCAAAAAAGAGCCCGCATTGCCAAGTCAATCCTAAGCCAAAAGAACAAAGCTGGAGGCATCACACTACCTGACTTCAAACTATACTACAAGGCTACAGTAACCAAAACAGCATGGTACTGGTACCAAAACAGAGATATAGATCAATGGAACAGAACAGAGCTCTCAGAAATAATGCCGCATGTCTACAACTATCTGATCTTTGACAAACCTGAGAAAAACAAGCAATGGGGAAAGGATTCCCTATTTAATAAATGGTGCTGGGAAAACTGGCTAGCCATATGTAGAAAGCTGAAACTGGATCCCTTCCTTACACCTTATACAAAAATCAATTCAATATGGATTAAAGACTTAAACGTTAGACCTAAAACCATAAAAACCCTAGAAGAAAACCTAGGCATTACCATTCAGGACATAGGCATGGGCAAGGATTTCATGTCTAAAATACCAAAAGCAATGGCAACAAAAGCCAAAATTGACAAATGGGATCTGATTAAACTAAAGAGCTTCTGCACAGCAAAAGAAACTACCATCAGAGTGAACAGGCAACCTACAAAATGGGAGAAAATTTTCGCAACCTACTCATCTGACAAAGGGCTAATATCCAGAATCTACAATGAACTCAAACAAATTTACAAGAAAAAAACAAACAACCCCATCAAAAAGTGGGCGAAGGACATGAACAGACACTTCTCAAAAGAAGACATTCATGCAGCCAAAAAACACATGAAAAAATGCTCATCATCACTGGCCATCAGAGAAATGCAAATCAAAACAACAGTGAGATACCATCTCACACCAGTTAGAATGGCAATCATTAAAAAGTCAGGCAACAACAGGTGCTGGAGAGGATGTGGAGAAACAGGAACACTTTTACACTGTTGGTGGAACTGTAAACTAGTTCAACCATTGTGGAAGTCAGTGTGGTGATTCCTCAGGGATCTAGAACTGGAAATACCATTTGACCCAGCCATCCCATTACTGGGTATATACCCAAAGGACTATAAATCATGCTGCTATAAAGACACATGCACACGCATGTTTATTGCGACATTATTCACAATAGCAAAGACTTGGAACCAACCCAAATGTCCAACAATGATAGACTGGGTTAAGAAAATGTGGCACATATACACCATGGAATACCATGTAGCCATAAAAAATGATGAGTTCATGTCCTTTGTAGGGACATGGATGAAATTGGAAATCATCATTCTCAGTAAACTATCGCAAGAACAAAAAACCAAACATCGCATATTCTCACTCATAGGTGGGAATTGAACAATGAGATCACATGGACACAGGAAGGGGAATATCACACTCTGGGGACTGTTGTGGGGTGGGGGGAGGGGGGAGGGATAGCTTCGGGAGATATACCTAATGCTAGATGACGAGTTAGTGGGTGCAGCACACCAGCATGGCACATGTATACATATGTAACTAACCTGCACAATGTGCACATGTACCGTAAAACTTAAAGTATAATTAAAAAAAAAAAAGAATGATTTCCCTCTTTACTTGGATCTGCAAGATCATCATAGGCTACTGGTACACAGCTTCAAAAACTCTCCCTCTACATTTGCTAACAGGCTTTTTACAGGACTTTACTTCATCTGAAAGCTTCTCTATGGTGGTTTTAAGATATAGATATGTCTACAGATGCTTTGGTACTCTTCCTTGTATCCTAGTGGAGCCTAATTCTCATTTTCTTGAATGTGTATTGGACTTAGTGACTCACTTCTAACAAAAAGAATAAACCAGAACTCATGGTGTGTCTGCTGGTGGGAATGTAAACTAGTAAAACCACTATGGAAAACAGGATGGAGGTTCCTTAAAGAACTATAAGTAGAACTACCATTTGATCCAGCAATCCCATGACTGGGTCTCTACCCAGAGGAAAAGAAGTCATTATATGAAAAAGACACTTTCACATTCATGTTTATAGCAACACAATTCACAACTGCAAAAATGTGGAAACAACCTAAATGCCCATCAACCAATGAGTGGATAAAAAAATGTGATATACATACACCACAGAATACTACTCAGTCATATAAAAGAAAAAATAATGGCATTTGCAGCAACCTGGATGAAGTTGGAAACTATTATTCTAAGTGAAGTAACTCAGGAATGGAAAGCCAAATATCTCATGTTCTTATAAATGGGAACTAAGCTATGAGAATGCAAAGGCAGAAGAATGATATAATGCACTCTGGGGACTCAGGAGGAAGGGTGGGAGGGTGGTGAGAGATAAAAGACTGCACATTGGGTACAGTGTACACTGCTCGGGTGATGGGTACACCAAAATCTCAGACATCACCACTAAAGAACTTATCCATGTAACCAAAAACCACCTGTTCCCCCAAAACTATTGAAATCTAAAAATCAGAGAAACAATAACAACAAACATGGTGTGTGCCTTTGAAGACCAGATCAGAAAAGGCATAGCAGTTCCTTTTTTTCTTTGGAGGAAACAAGCTGCCATGTCAGGAGGACACTCAAGCAGCCTTTGGAAAGGCTCATATGGCAAGAAACTGAGGCTTCCTGCCAATGGCCATAAGAGGGAGCCATCTTAGAAGTGGATCCTCAACCCCAGTCAAGCCTTCAGATGCCTGCAACCCCTGTCAGCATCCTGACTGCAAATTCCTGAGCCAGAACCACTCAGCTAAGCCATTCCCAAATTCATGACCTACAGATACTGTGAGATAACAGATGTTTGGAATTTTGTTTTGTTTTGTTTTTTTGTTTTTCAGTAAGGGTCTTGCTCTGTCACCCAGGCTGGAGTGCAGTAGTGCAATCATGGCTTTTACTGCAGCCTTGACCTGGGCCCAAGCAATCCTCCCACCTCAGCCTCCTGAGTAGCTGGGACTACAGGTGTGCACCACCATGCCTGACTAATTTTTAAATTTTTTGTAGAGTTGGGGCCTCCCTACTTGCCCAGGCTGGTCTCAAACTCCTGAGCTCGAGTAATCCTCCCACTTCAGCCTCCCAAAGTGCTGGGATCACAGGCATGAGTCACTGTGGCTGGCCTGGAATTTTAAGCCATATTTTAACTGGGGGAATTTGTTAGTCAGTAGTCCATAACTAACATACTCTCCAGAAGCCACCTGTTGTATTGCCCTTCTGGGGACAACTATCAATAGGCTCAGCTCCTTAGGGGCTCCAGCTTAGCCTCAGAGAGGCCTGTGGTGGTCTTCAATCTGTATAATTTGTGGAACATTTAAAGCATAAGCCCAGGCTTCAATCTCTGGAGATTTTTACTCAGTAGGACTGGGACAGGGTCCAACCATTTATATTTAACTGAATGATTTTTTAAAAAGAAGCCTATTAAAGGATATCTGAAGAATACTTTTGGTTGAGAACCTTGCTGTTCTTTTTGATGATAAAAAGCAACAGGCCTCTCTGCTCTATGTCTTTTGTATTCTTTCTCTGAAAACTGACAGGGGAAGCTCAGTTCACCATTCCATGTCCCTCTCAGCCATTGGGAAGCCTGGCAAACAACTAAGCTCAGTCCTTTTTTTAAATGAACCTATGGCGCAGCCCTTCTCAAACTTGACTAGAGTCAGATTTTCCTGGAGGATGATTGCTGGACCCCACCCCCAGAGTTCCTAGTTAAGTAGGCCTGAGATGGGAACCTATAATTTGCATGCAAATACTGCTGGTCTGTGGCCATGCCTTGAGAATCGCTGCCAAAAAGTATGGGACCTGGTATTTCAACTTTGCCTCAGAAATTGTCCTAGATCCTCCCTACACTTCAGGTAACAACAAAAAATGAAAGCAAACAAAAATTCATCCATTTTTGCCTGAGGCAAAAGTAATCCATAGTGTTAGAAATTTGAATAGTGATTATATGAGAGGACAGGAACTGGAAAGGGTATACAAAAGGAATTTCTGGGATGACTGTAATATTCTATTTCTTGATCTGAGTGACAGTGACACGAATATATTCTCTGCAAAAATACAGTTGAGGTGGACACCTACAATTTGTGAACTTTTCCGTCTGTATGTTACACTTTTAAAGTTTACTTAAAAATTAATAATAATGATAAGCGCTGTCAAAACCTGGAGAAAATGGGCCTCTGCAACACCAACCTGTACCTCTGTTTGCAAGTCTGCTTTATCCTAGGGCCATGCTGGCAACCCAACAAAGAAAATACCCTTTTTTCTTTCTTTCATTTTTGCTGGCATCACTTTTGTTTGTGTAATACCTGTGGAGTGGCTGTTTCCCAAGATGTCGTTTCTTTGAAAACAAATGCCAGCCTTCAAAAGAAAACATTGTAAATGACGTATTTGCATGCTTTAAATTCCTAGAATAATAGATATTGATAGAATAACTTGAAAAGCCAGTTGATAACCACCATTGTTGATTAAAAATAAAGTTTTAAAGAAAGGAAAGAAAAGCAAGCTGAGATCTCATTAATGCTTTTGAGAATCCTAGTTTGTGTTCTGCTATGCAACTTTACTGAACAGTGAGAACTTTGGGAGACAATGAACTCACCCCAGATTTATTACCCATTTCTTTGAAAAGAACCTAAAAGTCATGAGATTTTTTTTTGATTGACAGTTGATTGTAATTATTAAGTCTTTGGCTATGAATGAAGAAAGAGGAAGAAAAAAAAATGCTGGCTATTGGGCCTACCAACCAAAAAAAGTCCAGGACCAGATGGATTCACAGCCGAATTCTACCAGAGGTACAAGGAGGAGTTGGTACCATTCCTTCTGAAACTATTCCAATCAATAGAAAAAGAGGGAATTCTCCCTAACTCATTTTATGAGGCTAGCATCATCCTGATACCAAAGCCTGGCAGACACAACAAAAAAAAGAATTTTAGACCAATATCCCTGATGAACAATGATGCAAAAATCCTCAATAAAATACTGGCAAACTGAATCCAGCAGCACATCAAAATTTTATCCACCATGATCAAGTGGGCTTCATCCCTGGGATGCAAGGCTGGTTCAACATACGCAAATCAATAAATGTAATCCAGCATATAAACAGAACCAAAGACAAAAACCACATGGTTATCTCAATAGATGCAGAAAAGGCCTTTGGCAAAATTCAACAGTCCTTCATGCTAAAAACTCTCAATAAATTAGGTATTGATGGGATGTATCTCAAAATAATAAGAGCTATTTATGACAAACCCACAGCCAATATCATACTGAATGGGCAAAAACTGGAAGCATTCCCTCTGAAAACTGGCACAAGACAGGGATGCCCTCTCTCATCACTCCTATTCGACATAGTGTTGGAACTTCTGGCCAGGGCAATCAGGGAGGAGAAAGAAATAAAGGGTATTCAATTAGGAAATGATGAAGTCAAATTGTCCCTGTTTGCAGATGACATGATTGTATATTTAGAAAACCCCATTGTCTCAGCCCAAAATCTCCTTAAACTGATAAGCAACTTCAGCAAAGTCTCAGGATACAAAATCAATGTGCAAAAATCACAAGCATTCTTATACACCAATAACAGACAAACAGAGAGCCAAATCATGAGTGAACTCCCATTCACAATTGCTTCAAAGAGAATAAAATACCTAGGAATCCAACTTACAAGGGATGTGAAGGACCTCTTCAAGGAGAACTACAAACCACTGCTCAAGGAAATAAAAGAGGATACAAACAAATGGAAGAACATTCCATGCTCATGGATAGGAAGAATCAATATCGTGAAAATGGCCATACTGCCCAACGTAATTTACAGATTCAATGCCATCCCCATCAAGCTACCAATGACTTTCTTCACAGAATTGAAAAAAACTACTTTAAAGTTCGTATGGAACAAAAAAGAGCCCACATTGCCAAGTCAATCCTAAGTCAAGAGAGCAAAGCTGAAGGCATCATGCTACCTGACTTCAAACTGTACTACAAGGCTATAGTAACCAAAACAGCATGGTACTGGTACTAAAACAGAGATATAGACCAATGGAACAGAACAGAGCCCTCAGAAATAATACCACACATCTACAACCATCTGATCTTTGACAAACCTGACAAAAACAAGAAATGGGGAAAGGATTCCCTATTTAATAAATGGTGCTGGAAAAACTGGCTAGCCATATGTAGAAAGCTGAAACTGGATCCCTTCCTTACACCTTATACAAAAATTAATTCAATATGGATTAAAGACTTAAATGTTAGACCTAAAACCATAAAAACCCTAGAAGAAAACCTAGGCAATAGCATTCAGGACACAGGCATGTTCATGTCTAAAACACAAAAGCAATGGCAACAAAAGCCAAAATTGACAAATGGCATCTAATTAAACTAAAGAGCTTCTGCACAGCAAAAGAAACTACCATCAGAGTGAACAGGCAACCTACAAAATGGGAGAAAATTTTTGCAATCTACTCTTCTGAAAAAGGGCTAATATCTAGAATCTACAAAGAACTCAAACAAATTTACAAGAAAAAAACAACCCCATCAAAAAGTGAGCAAAGGATATAAACAGACACTTCTCAAAAGAAGATATTTATGCAGCCAACAGACACATGAAAAAATGCTCATCATCACTGGCCATCAGAGAAATGCAAATCAAAACCACAAAGAGATACCATCTCACACCAGTTAGAATGGCGATCATTAAAAAGGTCAGGAAACAACAGGTGCTGGAGAGGATGTGGAGAAATAGGAACACTTTTATACTGTTGGTAGGACTGTAAACTAGTTCAACCATTGTGGAAGACAGTGTGGCGATTCCTCAAGGATCTAGAACTAGAAATCCATCCCATTACTGGGTATATACCCAAAGGATTATAAATCATGCTGCTATAAAGATACATGTACACGTATGTTTATTGCAGCACTATTCACAATAGCAAAGACTTGGAACCAACCCAAATGTCCATCAGTGATAGACTGGATAAAGAAAATGTGGCACATATACACCATGGAATACTATGCAGCCATAAAAAAGATGAGTTCATGTCCTTTGTAGGGACATGAATGAAGTGGAAACCATCATTCTCAGCAAACTATCACAAGGACAAAAAACCAAACACCACATGTTCTCACTCATAGGTGGGAATTGAACAATAAGAACACTTGGACACAGGAAGGGGAACATCACACACCGGGGCCTGTCGTGGGGTGAGGGGAGTGAGGAGGGGATAGCATTAGGAGATATACCTAATGTAAATGATGAGTTAATGGGTGCAGCACACCAACATGGCACATGTATACACATGTAACAAACCTGCATGTTGTGCACATGTACCCTAGAACTTGAAGTATAATAATAAAAAAAGAAAAAAAAAAGAAAATACTCATTCCTCTTTCTGTAGCATAGTCATGCCTTAACCCATCAAGATGTATGAAGTGTCCAGAGAGGCACTGAGACGGATAGTGGGAGAGTGGAGAAGACTGTGTTTTCCCGCTTCTTCCACACTGAAGATGTAGGAAAGGGCAGATTTGCGGCAGCCTATCCACCAACCATGAAAATCCAACCTTTCTTATTGATAAAAGGGATGTCTGGTAACCCAGACACACACACACAAAAATGCTGGCTATTTGACAGGAGATTCCTACTCTACCCAAAACCCCAATATCCCTGGTTCCTTTTCTTATTGAAAGGCTGCCCCACATTATTGTAGATGATAATAAGAGAACAGAATTTATCTCAGAGATTGGGGCATACATTGTTACTGTTGGTGTTAATAATGACCCAGCTGATGCAAGAAAGGAAGGACTCAAGATGGCTGAAATAAAAGTTAAGCGTATTGAAGCCAAAGAAGCTTTAGAAAATTACATTACCTTACAGGATTTTAACTCGGCATCAAAATTAAAAGAAGAAATAAGAGTATTAGAAGATGTCAAAAGAAACCTTTTGCAAGAGACAGAGCAACTTGAAATCAAAGAAGTCCATGTAGAGAAGAATGACGCAGAAACATTACAGAATGTCTTATCTTATGCTGTGAACTGTTGAAGCAGATGTCCATTTCAACAGGCATAAGTGCAGCCATGAATGGGATCATAGAATTTTTATTCTTCCTAAAATAATAAATGTTTACCCTATAGTAAGAAGCCTGGCTGTTTTATGCTTGGGAGCTGCAGACTACAGAATCAGAATTTTGCACATAACACTTTGTGTTATTATTGCAGGTTTTGCAAATTGATGATGTCACAATAAAAATAAGTACTTTAAAGTGAATCTTTGACTAACTGATAATGTTTGAGGTTGAACCACTTAAACCTAAAAAATCAAAGCCTTTTAATATGAAGGTACAGAGATAAACAGTGATTTATGAGCAACAGTCATAAAAAGTTGAAAAGGCCCTTACAGCGAAGAATGTTCTGAAACTCCTTTCTGATTTCTTAGGTAGTGAGGTATCTACACTTAGGACAGGAGCCACAGGAGGACTAGCCAAGCTGATGTTCTCTGGGCTTTTGGTCAGCAGCAGACTTTTTCCCATCTTATTTTGTTATGGTAGAATCCTGTGACTGAAGAGGATGTTCGACTTTGACATTGCCTAGGCATGCTCTCCCCCATGTTTGCTTATGCAAACAGGACTAATCAGGAATACTTTAAAGAAGTTTCTCTTCCAAGCCTGCAAACACTGGCCAATGCTCCTGCATCTTCTCCTTTAGCTGAAATTGATATCAGAAATGTTGTTCAGTTACTTATAGATTTGACAAGAACAAGTAGATTAAATCCTCAGGCCAAGAATTCCTAAGATTATCAGGCCTTAACAGTACATGACAATTTGGCTATGAAAATTTGCAATGAGATCTTAAGAAGTCCATGCTCACCAGAAATTCGGGTCTCTATAAAAGCCTTGAGTTCTACTTTTACACTGTTGGTGGGACTGTAAACTAGTTCAACCATTGTGGAAGTCAGTGTGGCGATTCCTCAGGGATCTAGAACTAGAAATACCATTTGACCCAGCCATCCCATTACTGGGTATATACCCAAAGGATTATAAATCATGCTGCTATAAAGACACATGCACACGTATGTTTATTGTGGCATTATTCACAATAGCAAAGACTTGGAACCAACCCAAATGTCCAACAATGATGGACTGGATTAAGAAAATGTGGCACATATACACCATGGAATACTATGCAGCCATAAAAAATGATGAGTTCATGTCCTTTGTAGGGACATGGATGAAATTGGAAATCATCATTCTCAGTAAACTATCGCAAGAACAAAAAACCAAACACCGCATATTCTCACTCATAGGTGGGAATTGAACAATGAGATCACATGGACACAGGAAGGGGAACATCACACTCTGGGGACTGTTGTGGGGTGGGGGGAGGGGGGAGGGATAGCATCGGGAGATATACCTAATGCTAGATGACGAGTTAGTGGGTGCAGCGCACCAGCATGGCACATGTATACATATGTAACTAACCTGCACAATGTGTACATGTACCCTAAAACTTAAAGTATAATAATAAAAAAATAAAAAAAAAGAAGAAGAAGAAAGAGGAAGCTGAGCCAGCACCCTCACCATGTGATGCCCTGTGCTGCCTGGAAACTCTGCAGAGAGTCTGCATCAGCAAGAAGGACCCCACCAGACTCAGCCCCTCAACACTGGACTTCTCAGCCTTCATAACTATAAGAAATAAATTCCTTTTTAAAATAATAAAAAAAAAAGCCTTGAGTTCTTTAGAACTCAGTAGCCATCTTGCAAAAGATCTTCTGGTTCTATTGAATGGGATTCTGGAGCAAGTAAAGGAGAGGGCATATCTGAAAGCTTTGGAGAAAATCAAGATTCGGTTAGCAAAAAGGAAATAAAGAATTTGGTGACCAGCCTGAAGCAGCAAAGGATGCCAGCTTGACTACAACTATTTTTCAAAATGAAGATGAAAAGAATAAGGAAGTACATATGACTCTTCTTAGGGATGTAAAAGCAACCCTGGCATCAAAATCTACTCAACAAAAGACTAACAGGGGACAGAGAAAAGTGATAGCTTCAACTATGATGAAGAGGAGACATCACATTGCTGAGGCTGACTCTGAAAGTGACCATGAAGTTCTAGAACCAGAATCAGAAATGAAGATGAAACTAGCAAGACAAGCCAAAACAGCAGTGCTGGAAAAAAGTAAACTTAATCTTGCACAATTTCTCAATGAATATAGAAGTTAGGAAAGATGGTGGAGGTAGAGTTCTTTAAAATTATCTTCAGTTCTTTGCTTTAATAAAGTTACCTTTGTCAAAATTTTTAAAAAGGCCTTCAAAAGAAAATATTGTAAATGAAGTATTTGTATGTTTTAAATTCCTAGAATAATGAATATTGGCAGAATAACTTGAAAAGCCAGTTAATAACCATCATTGTCAATTAAAAATAAAGTTTTCAAGAAATAGAAGAAAAACACGTTGAGCTCTCATTAATGCTCTTGAGAATGCTAGTTTGTATTCTGCTCTGCAGCTTTACTGAAGAGTGAGAACTTAGGGAGAGAATGGAAACTCTCACCTTAGATTTATTACCCATTTTTTTGAAAAGTGCCTAAGAGGCATGAGATTTTTTTCTTCTGCGCGAGGACAGTTGTCACCTAAAGAATTCCCTGTTCCATCACATAAAATTTTTGTATCTTATTGGGGAGACTGGCTTTGCAAATTCCTTAAAAAGAATACTTTCTGGCTAACACGGAGAAACCCCGTCTCTACTAAAAATACCAAAAAAATTAGCTGGGTGCGGTGGCGGGTGCCTGTGGTCCCAGCTACTCGGGAGGCTGAGGCAGGAGAATGGCGTGAACCTGGGAGGCGGAGCTTGCAGTGAGCCAAGGTCGCACCACTGCACTCCAGCCTGGGCGACAGAGCGAGACTCCGTCTCAAAAAAAAAAAAAAAAATGAATACTAATTATGGCTAAAGTTCCCCTAGTGACATCTCACTTTCCAAATCATCTCTCTTCTACAACTTAATGCTTGTGGTAAGACGGTTTAGTCACTGTAAAAGTTTGGTTTCAAATGTTAACAAGGCCAAGTTGCATTGGGTCTTCTAACTCTCAGGCCATCTGCAAAATTGTTATTTTGAAACTCAGGATCTAGGTGGGACATTACTGGGCATAGTTGTTGATGATGAGTAGTACTACACTTCACATCACTGCAGGAGACAGTGAGTGCCCCCCATAAGACATTGTCCAATCTCAAGGAGAGGCATCGTGGTATAGTATTTAAATTCACAGGCTTTTGAGCCAATTTAACATGGGTTTGAATCCCAGCATCACCAACGGTGTGGCCTTGGGTAAATTACTTCTTCCTCTCTCTCTCTCCAAAGTTCCATTTTTTCCTCTGTTAAGGGGGGTTAATAATATCAGTCATAGGGCTATTAGAAGCATTATATGTAATACTATAAAATGATTTAAAAGTTTGCCTGGCACATAGTAGATTCTCAGTGAATAATATCATGATTATTAAGAGATGAAAGGAAGTTAATAAATGGATAATTCTATTGAGCTTTGAATTTCCGAATCCCTGTATCTTTCTAATGTAAACATGAATGAATAAATGATATTTATTGCATATATACGTGAATGAATATTGGGTTTTTTTTCTTTATGCAATTAAAAAGTATCTGTCTAAAATTTACAGATACGGAGAACAGGTTAGTTGTTGCCTAGGGATTTGGGATAGTGGTGGGTGTGGGGGAACACATGACTAAAAAGGGGTAGTTGCGGGGGAGATTAAAGATCTCTGCTTTGTGGTGATGGAGTAGTTCTGCATTGTGATTGCAGTGGGGTTTATACAAATCTACACGTGAAAAAAATGGCATAGAACTATACATTCACATTGTACCTATGTCAGTTTCCTAGTTTTGATACTGTACTATAGGAGGTAAAATATAACCATTGGGAGAAACTGGTGAAGGGCATCCCAGACTTCTTTGTACTATTTGTGCAACTCCATGCTAATCTACAACTACTTCAAAATAAGAAGTTAACGACATAAAGTATCTGTTGAGAATTTCCTTCTTTTACCACAATTACAGTATACAGATCTCTCTCTCTCTGTTTCTCCAGTAATCCAATTACAGTTCTGGCCTAAGTTTTGGTGTTGGACTTTTATTTTTATTTTAATTTATTTTATTTTATTTTATTTGAGACCGAGTCTTACTCTGTCACCCAGGCTGGAGTGCAATGGCTTGATCTCGGCTCACTGCAACTTCTGCCTCCCGGGTTCAAGCAATTCTCCAGTCTCAGCCTTCCAAGTAGCTGGGGCTACAGGCACCCGCCATCATGCCCGGCTAATTTTTGTATTTTTGTAGAGACGGGGTTTCACCATGTTGGCTAGGCTGGTCTTGAACTCCTGACCTCAGGTGATCTGCCCACCTCAGCCTTCCAAAGTGCTGGGATTACAGTCATGAGCCAGCGTGGTGGGCCTGGACTTTAAATAGAATACATTTAGTGCATCTCTCTCCCCATTGTTACCTCTTCCTAGGCCAATTCATGCCTTTACACCACAGGTTTGAGGATTAAGTGGAAGCTAAATGTGCTACAGATAAAATTCCTAAAAGATGCAAAGTTTGGTCATCTTCGATTCTAAAATATTCTCAATTGATTAACACTGAGCAGCAGGATTAAGCATGTGGCTTAATTGATTAACACTGAGCAGCAGGATTAAGCATGTGGCTAGATATATTTCAATCTGTTTCCTGCCAGCAGCAGCAAGGATGTGTGAGTATATTATTAAAATCCTCTGTGAATTAAGAAGTAAAGCAAATTAGTATCAGCTCACAGTTTGGAAGTCTCCATATGATACTACTAATCAGCAAATCAGCTGAGTAACAAGAAAATCAGATAACCTTAATTTAGGTGATTTGGTGGTTGCACAGCTGTGTTCCCAATATGTAGACCAGTACTTGGGAACCCAGTAAATATGCGTGGATGAATTAATGAGTGAACGAATGGATGGCGGGACTGTTAAGGCATCCCGTTAGAAACTGACAAAGTCTAAAAGAAGGAGTAAAGAATTAATTCACCTTTGTGACCCAGATCTTGACGAAGCAGGACCTGCCAGGAAACTTTCTAACCCTTCTCTCTGTGCTCCTCTAGGCAGCTTGAAATCCACTCTCCAGATGCTAAGCACACGGTGATCCTAAGGAGCAAGGACTCAGCCACGGCCCAGGCATGGTTCAGTGCCATCCATTCCAACGTTAATGACCTGCTGACCCGAGTGATTGCTGAGGTCAGAGAGCAGCTGGGGAAAACAGGCATTGCTGGGAGCCGAGAGATTAGGCATCTTGGCTGGCTTGCAGAAAAGGTAAGGAAAATACCTTCCTCTGTAATAGTCGTCCTCCCCGAGATTCCCCCAGCGCTCATAACCACTAAAACTATCTCATCCCATAGGCTGATTCTCTCATTCACAGTCTGTGTGGATTTCTCATTCCTCTCCAGCAGGCTACAGGCCTTTACATTATACATGGGTTTTGTCTTAATCAACTTTGATTACCTGCACTTAGTCAAACATGTGGCAAATTGCACGGGGTCCAGGTTGTTGGATGGATGAATGAGTGAGTCGAGGAATAGTTTGATCCTATTTTAACATCTATGTATGAAGGGAAGGGAAAATAACTCAAACTCAGAACAGAGCTCTTGCTTTGGGAGGCAAGGAAGTCAAAATTATTGCTTAAAAAGGGTTTGTGTGGGTTTTGATGAGCCTGTTTGTTTGAATTGAGATGATTCAATTATACATTTACAAATAACAGCAAGAATTACTTGAGCAATTACTATATGCTGGCTCTTTTCTTATGTTACCTTATATTTTATTTATGCTCTTAAGCCAGCCACTCTTTAATGTCATCATTAAAGAGCACCTACTTTTGTGAGGCACAGTGCTAGGCAGGAGTGGGGAAGGGAGTGAAAAGATAATAAAGACTTAGCCTCTGTCTCAGAGAGGACAGCTGCTGTGGAAAAGACTTTGGGTCATATTAACACAGTCCCTGATTTTTTTTTCCCAAGTTATGTGATATGTTAAAGATAGTAAAACTCACTCTGTGGCCATCTCTTGGGAGTTACTCTTTCTCTCTATTTCAAAGGATCGAGCCTTTGCCATTGTCCTTACACATGATTGCTGTCCCTTGAAGTTGACCTGGAGTGCTCAGGAACACTGGACTTTGGGAATAATCTGACCTCCCAGTGACTCACTTTCTAATAGGCAGTAAATGGGAATAGGGAACGTCACAATAACACCTTTCCTGCCAAAGAACCCTGTCATCTGAGAAGGCCCAGTCAAATGGCACCCGAAATAATACTCAGGTTTTCCACCATTGTTCTTTGTTTGCAGCAGATCATGCGCGGGTCTTAGCCTAAAAATTTAACACCAAATGGGTTGTTGGGCTTGGTATTGTCCTATCTCTCAAAGATTTCAAAGAACGAAAGGGACAATGCTGGTGGTAGGAGCATCCAAATTCATAATAAACACAAACCACCCGTAGCCCTCATGAGTTTATGTGTTAGGGTTCCTGAAGAAAACAAGAGCATAAATCTGGATGGCTGATATAATTTTGAAAGTCACGTCTCTATCACTCCCCACTTTCTACTCTCTCCAAATGCATGTGTTTTTATTAGGAAAAGGCCTGATACTCAAGGATCTTTCAATTACAAGTGGCAGAAAACTCAACTCAATTTAGCTTGAGCAAAATGAGCATGCCCGGGTTCTGATAACTGCAATGTCCAAAGATAAGCTTCAGGCATGGTGGGATCCAGGGACTTAAATAATGTATTAGGTCTAAGTCTCCATCTCTTTCTTTCCCTGTCCTTTCATTAGTTTATTACCAGGCTTCCTCTCTAGTTGGCCTGAGGGTTCCAGGCTTATGTTTTCTTTGCTCCTGGTTGTCTCAGTGAAGAAAGGCCTCTTTGCCCCAATTGTTTCAATGCAAGTCCTGAGATTATAAGTCTAATTGGGTTAACTTGGATAATCCGTTCAGTCTTAGTGCTGAAATCAGCCTCACCTAAGTCATTTGCAGTGAAGATGAGGAGGGGTGGTTCTCTAATGGAAAAAATCAGGTGCTGTGCAAGAAAAAGAATGAATGGATACCAGGGAAGCAAAAGCAAACATTTACTGTAGAAGAGAAGGAGCTGATTGGGATGAAAAATGCTCTCACTTGGTTAAGTTTCTGAGTGGACTTGGAGGTATAGCACATATTTCAGGATCCTGGCAGGAGATGGATGGGAAGGTCGAAAGGGATCATTGGAAAGGATTTAATGCAGGAATAATTTATAAGGTATAGCCAAGGTTTGGGAAACCAATAAGAGATAGAGAAGAACTCCAGGGCCAACAGTAGTAAGAAGCCACTACCATCCCTTGACCAGAAAGGGCAAGGAGAAGCAGCAGTTACCTGAGACTAGGGAGGCTTGTAGCTGTAGAAAAGTGCCACCCACTACCAGCTGTGGTCTTTGGAAGAGAAATGCAGCCCCTGCCAACCCCTGCCCACTGACCCCCTGCTAGTGTCTTCCACGGGCTGAAGCTGGCTGGAAGCCAGAGGTAAGAAGCCCCACGGATGCACTCTTAAAGTGAGTCTTCCAGGGTACAGAGAAGGATGGGAAAGGTAGAGACTGGATCTGAAGGGGCAAAGGGAGGCTGGCCAACACATGCAACCCTGCATCTACCAAGTTGATGGTCTTAATTCTTGAAGGTACTTTTCTCTCATCTCTTCAATCACAAGCTATGTTTAAAATCATTACCACTATTCATGAAATTAAAAAATCTTCCAAAAGTTACTCTTTCTCACCTATAATTTGTCTCATGCCTTTTGCTTATCCCAAATTATTAGCAGACATATTATTAGACATTCTCATGGAACAGCAATAAATGTGCATATAAAGCTCTTCCTGTTTTTAGCATATGATTGTTCTTATGGTGTAATTTCAGATCATCGTTCCAGAGGTCTCCTTAAGGGTATTATGCAGAGAATCTGTAAGAGCAATAATGATCATGGATAATTATGAGAAGCAAGAATGTCTTTTATTGCCTTCATTTTCACACTTCTCAGAAGATTACCATAGATCAAGTTTAAGGGAACAAATCCAAACTAGATTTTTTTGAATAAATATTTAATACTGAATCCTGGTGTGCAGATATATGAATGGTTTTTAGCAAAATGTTATAATGAATGGCAAATCCTTAATACGATGCCTTTCTTATAGTATCACAAATATCATGAATTTGCTTGGTATTTGTAAAGACATAAAATGTGACCCTGTATATATCTAGCTGTAATTGATCTTAAATTGATGTTCTTTGTCTTTTCCTATATTGTTATATTTTGATTTTGTAAATTTGTCACAGTCACTCTGTGACAAGGTTGTACAGATTATATTTAATTTAATTTCAAATTTTTAAAAGCGGCATTTATATGAACTCAAACAATATGAAACAACAACTTCCTTTTTAAAATTCCATTTAGTGCAAATCCTAAAACCTCCTCAACACTACACAGGAGGAAAGTTTAATATTAACATTATTTTTCTTCATGAGATAGTCAGGAGACTTGAAGAATGGCTTCTGAGAAATGACAGGGATTTGAGTGACTGGAGAAATTTCCCTGCACTCCAAGAGAGGAGAAAGAAGGAAGGCCTGTGTCAGTACAGCTTGTTGGGGGAGTCAGGGGAAGACCAGAGACTGATCTAAAGTGAAGCGAGAGTTCATCCTGGAGAAAAGTGACAAGCGGACCTGACACCTCGACTGGAACTTGATTGTGGAAGATTATTTTTTTAATAGACAGGGTCTCACTATGTTGCCCAGGCTGGAACTCCTGGACTCAAGCAATCCTCCTGCCTCAGCCTCCCAAGTAACTGGGACTACAAGTGTGTGCCACTGCACCTGGCTATCAATTATGGACAATCTGCTTTCCTCTGTGAGCACTGTCACCTGTAGATGGGTCATGCACATCAATGTAAAGCCTTTCCCATGACCATATTAGCCTCAACTCTTTCTTTTTTTTTTCTTTGAGATGGAGTCTCGCTCTGTCTCCCAGGCTGGAGTGCAGTGGTGTGATGTTGGCTCACTGCAACCTCTGCCTCCGGATTCAAGCAATTCTCCTACCTCAGCCTCCCAAGTAGCTGAAATTACAGGCGCATGCCACCACACCCAGCTAATTTTTGTAGTTTTAGAAGAGATGGGGTTTTGCTCTGTTGGCCAGGATGGTCTCGAACTCCTGACCTCAGGTGATCTGGCCACGTCGGCCTCCCAAAGTCCTGGGATTACAGGCGTGAGCCACCATGCCCAGCCAGCCTCACATCTTTTAACTCCTTGCAAGCCCCCATCTGGCCCAAGATGACCCATAAATACTAACTCCTGTGAATTGTAAAATGTGTCATGCCCCAAACACATTTTTCCCAATCTTTATTTCTTAGTTCATCTAATCCTTTTACAGTTATCATTACGTTTCAGATAAGAGAAAAACAAGCTAAGTTCTAGCTCTCTTGCTACTTAGAAAAACAGTAATAAACAGGGACACAGCAGAATTGTTGAGTTATATTTTGTGCTCAGTTCATCAGGCATTCCCTTTGCTTTCCCTTGTTATCTCGGTTTGCAAACTATTTCTTGTAGATTAAATACACAAAAACACAACACAGCAAAACAAAAGCCCAGTTGGGAGCTCTGAGATGCAAGTTCAGGTATCAGCTTTATTCATTTCCATTTCGTATTCTTTCAAATGGGAACGTTTATGTAGTTGTGCCTCCCCATGGTGTTACTGGAGAAAAGGAAGTTGGTAATTCATACTTATTGTGAGCAATATGCTTCAAATAATCCAAATCCAATGAGGTAAACTTGTAGTATTTGAGTCACTTTTCTAAGATCTCTCCTCTAGTATGTGGTAGATTTAGAATTTGAGCTTCTCTTTCTAACTCCAAAGTCCAGCACTTTCCACTAAGCTGAGATAATAAACGGGCCCAGGAAACATCTGTCCTTATGAGTAATGCCTCCAACAATCCCATCTAGAGCAGTATCGCAGACCAAAAGCACAGCTTCAGAGCTAAGAGACATACCAAGGTAATTCAAATCCTTTAAAATTATGAAAATAAGGGAAATTTGTATACCTAGGCCGGGCAACACTTACCAAGATCTTCTCATCTCTCCTATCCATATCCATCCTATATCTTCAACTGCTTCCATTCTTCTCATGACTCTAAAAGAAGAAAAACAAGAAGACATTCTCTCCTTTCTGTCCTTCTCTTCCATTCTTGACTATGTCAATCAGCTGAACCTCTCTGGTTAGGTTCCTTCTTTTATCTTCCACAGAGTAATCCTCCTCCCTTCTCTTCCTTCCTAATTTTGTACTATAAAATTTCAAAGAACAGGTCCTACAGAGACTGCAATCACATTTCATAGGGCAGATTAGGGGAAGGCAATTTGTATATACCCATACACACACACACATATCCATGAATTTCAGTTATCATTATTTAATTAGATACGCCAGTCTCTCAACAAAACGGTTCAAATTTCTGCTACCAAGGCATAGTAACTGTGAGTAATTTCATAAGTACAGACCTCATTGCTAAGTCTTCAGTTCACAAATCCCACCATGTAATTAGCAGATGTACATCCTGACTGGTGACCAATCACATCGCTTCTTTCAAAATCTATGGGTGATTGGCCATGGCACCTCTGTTAATCAGTTCACACACAGACAGCAAAGGAGATAACTCCCTTTCCTCCCTGTCTCCCAGTGACAAATCCATATGACACTTCACAAGAATGGATCCTAGAAAGAGGCAGTTGTCCCACAAAGATGACAGTGCAGCAAAGGTACAAAAAGTGGTAATGCTGGAAATGAAATTTGCATCAAACATAAATGGAATGATAGCAGAAATAGCTGCCCTTAGAAATGTTCACACTGATACTGTTCAAGATAGCAACCAGAAGAACTTAGGGAAGGTAAACTTATAACCTGTAAGTGAAGACTGTAGCTGTGATGAAGGATGAAGATGCCCCAGAGGAGGTGACACTTGTGAAAACTTCACATTAAAGAAACTCTCAAAGATAGCTCACATCATTGAAAGTGCAAAGGATAAAATGTTGCTAGCTGATCCAAACTTAGAAAGGATGATGACAATTTGTCAAAGCATTAAAAAAAAAAGCTTGTTCTATATTATAAGTTAGATGAGGAGAAGACAAAAAGGTCTATTCAAACTACTCTTCACTTTAATCCTCAATTCTTCTAATGTTTTAAATTAGAGATTACTAAATAAACATTTACTCTATTTTTCATCTCCCTATGCATATATAATTGACAGTAAGGCAGTTTTTAACATTTTGATAAAAAATTTTAAAGGTCATGTAATGATCCTAATTTTTCCAACTGATTAAGATTGCTTAGTGTGGTTTCAGCTTTCACAGTCATTTTTATTACCCAGCACTACTGTGCAAAGGCAGAACTGAGAGATTTCTCAATCTGTCTACCTCCCTGTATCTATCTATTCATCCCTATCTAATTACCTATTTATCTATGTGACTATATTGATCTCTCTCTCTCTATATATATATACATACTATAGTCTATATTCTTACATAATTTGTTAGATCACCATTAATTTTCAGTTCCAACAATAGCAATTTACTCATCCCCCCCAATTCTAGGTAACTAGAACCAACCAAGTGATTTCATTCTCTAGCTACATTGCCCACCTACATTAGAAGAATCTCAGTGTGAATGTAAAATAGCCCTGGCCCTAGTAAAACAGGCTGCTATAATCAAGATCTTGACAGTGTAATTAACAGAATGATATTTTTGGAGCCTCTAAATATATCAGCCCCACCATCTGCCTTAAAAAAATTACCTAAGTCAGAATTTCTCACTGCTTCTTCCAGGGAGAAAATAGTCTCTGACCTGAGGGAACTCCCATCTGATAAGAGATAGAAATAGAACTACTGTCCAAGCTACCCTGGCTTGCATCATCCCTAAATCAAGACTATTGGTTATGGTAGAAAACACAGGCTGTTAATGCAATTAAGTGCTAATAGTCCTATTGTGTTGCTTTAAAAGAGAGTCATCAAGTTCCTGAGTGAATCACCTCTGAGATGGAGCAAGACTAAGAAAAAAATCTGGCAGCAGCTTGGGAATCTTCCCATTAGTCTTTTGCTACAAGTGTTTAAACTAAATGTGCCAGTATGAATTTCATTCAGATTGCCTCCATCATCTATTCTCTCAAATGAAACATCAGAGATTTTAAATTGGGATGAGTGAGTAGGTGGGTGGCAGAGGCAGTATGAAATATGCCCACTTTTCTGCATGCCTTCACAGTCATCTGAATTTAGTAAATTGAATTTAGTAAAGTGAATTGTTCTCACCAAAGTGGAAACATCAGAGCTGCCCATGTAAGACAGGGGGGTGTGTACATTTTATTTCTTGTAGGCTGATTCATACAACTTCATATGGGCCTGCTTCAATCTCTTTGGAGAGAACCATAGAACTTGAGATAGAAAGCCCCCTGTGCCTGGCCACATGGTGCTATGGTTTGAACGTGTCCCCCAGTGTTCATGTGTTGGAAACTTAGTCCTTAATGCAACAGAGTTGGGACCTTTAAGAGGTGATGAGGTCTTGAGAGCTTTGCCTTCATGAATGGATTAACGCCATTATCGCAGGAATGGATTAGTTATTTCAGAAGTGGGGTCCTGAGAAAAAGGATGACTTCAGCCCACTTCCTGTTAGTTCACACGCAGACAGCAGGGCTGCCTCAGGCACTAGAGGCCCCATGTCTGTCCCACTGTGCCTAGGATTTGAGACATGGAGTCAAAGGAGATCATTCTCCGTCATTAAGTCTTAATGTTGTTTTCCCTTTTGTGTTTTGGACTTAACTGGGACCAGGTACCCCTTTCTTCTTGCCTATTTCTCCCTTTTGGAACAGGAATGTCTATCCTATGCCTGTCCTATCATTGTATTTCAGAAGTAGATAACTTGTTTTGATTTCACAGACTCACAGCTGGAGGGAATTTGCCTCAGTATGAATTGTAATTTTGAGTCTCATATCTGATGTAGATGAGACTCTGAACTTTGGACTTTTGAGTTGGTGCTGGACCAAGTTAAGACTCTGGGACTATTGGGATGGAATGAATATATTTTGCATGTGAGGAGGACATGAATTTTTGGGGGAAGGCGTGGAATGCTGTGGTTTGAATATGTCCCCAAAGTTCATGTGTTAGAAACTTAGTCTACAGTGCAACAGAGTTCCATTGATGGGACCTTTAAGAGATGATTAGGTCATTGGGGCTGTGTCTTTATGAATGGATTAATGCCATTATCATGGGCGTGAGTTAGCTATTGCAGAACTGGGCTCCTGATAAAAAGGATGCTTGACCACCTTCCAGATTCTCTCATGTGCATGCTCTCTTGCCCTTGCTTCTTCTGTCATGGGATGACACAGCAAGAAGGTCCTCACCAGGTGCAGGCCCCTCATCCTTGGACTTCCCAGCCTCCAGAACTATAAGACGTAAATGTCTTTCCTTTATAAATTACCTAGTCGGGCAGGTGCGGTGGTTCATGCCTGTAATCCCAGCATGTTGGGAGGCTGAGATGGGTGGATCACTGGAGGTCAGGAGTTTGAGACCAGCCTGGCCAACATGGTGAAACCCCATGTCTACTAAAAATACAAAAATTAGCCAGGTGTGTTGGCACATGCCTGTAGTCCCAGCTAATCAAGAGGCTGAGGCAGGAGCATCACTTCAACCCCGGAGGCAGAGGTTGCAGTGAGCCAAGATTGCACCACTGCACTCCAGCCTGGGTGACAGAGCAAGACTCTGTCTCAAAAAAACAAACAAACAAACAAAAAATTACCCAGTCTACGGTACTCTGTTGCAGCAACACAAAACAGACTAATGCACGTGGCTAGCAGACTCTGTTGAACCTACTTTAATCTTATTGGGCATTGTGGATTGCCCTTTCTTTATGAAATAGATGTGTTCCAGAAGAGCTGCCTGACTTTGGTCAAAACACAATGATTTTCCTATTAATTTCTATTATTTGATTTTTCTGGTCACCTCCTCTTTGCCCCACTGGTAAGGGAGATATTCCCTACCTGAAACAGGATGAGATGGTGAACGCACTCTACTCAGCACTGGACAGATGAGATTAGCAGCAGTTTATTAGTCACATATACTCACAGCCTGGGAGAAGGACACTGCACGCCGTGCAGGACCACATTGGGGTTGCACTAGGGAGCAGAGTGACACAGCAGAAGCACTGGGAAGCATATTTTGCAGTAATAGGAGGATGAGGTGTGCCCTGGTTCCTAGGGGAGGATGTGATTGGATTCTTTGAATAATTTCACAGGCTGTTAGGGAAATAAAACCCACTAGGTTGAGGACTAGGTGCAGTGTAGCTGGTCCAGCTGATAAGAGAACTAGCTGGGTGGCAGGCATATCAATGGAACCAGGTTAACTCACCAGTAGGCTTTTGGAAACATGTGAGGCTCAAATATGTCAAGGCAACACATGAAGTTTTAAGCCTTACAATGATCATGAGGCCTTACATTGATCAATGTCTCCAAATTCTTTAGAAGCAGAGTCTGAGACGGAGATTCTTGGGGAGCAATCAACTGAGTGAGGCTCTTAGGAGAAACCTGTAAGGAAGTGAGTGAAGCAGGCTAGGCTGCAGAGGAAGGTAAACAGAAATGTAGTATTAGCTGAAATCTAGTTTCAGCCTGATCCCACTGAAGCTCAGGAGTAGGAATAGCAGCACAGAGTTCTCCCACTTTAAGCCAAGGGAGCCAGGACTTTGTACACCCATATAAGGCAGCCACTGGCTGTGGTCTCCCATAGAGGTAAAGAGTGGCCATTCCCATCAGCCAAGGGCAATTCTCTAGAGAAGGAAAAGGTTAAGCTGTGACCAGTCAACATGCACATCAGGTAAGGCTAGAGTGCACTGGCCTAACAAAGGGAATTTTGGCAGGGGACCAACAATATCTACTATAATCACTGGTGTGTTCCCATGAGGGGAGGAATTCCAGCAGGGATTCCTTTAGGTATATGGGACCTTTAGGTGGGACAGACTTAAATATAATGGCTAGTACTGTGACATGTTGAAGGTTATAGCCACCACCTAGAAGTTTACTTTTATTTACAGCTGTATTCACATTCTGATAACTCACATTGGCATTTACTTGCTCCCTTGTCCCTCACATCATGGAATAATTATTTTTTTTAATGCTTTGAAATTCTCAAACATCATTTTCAGAGTTTCTTTGCATCCTTATATGTTTGGTTTGGGCTTTTTATTACTTCTAATAGTACTGGGCTGCTATGCAATGCAAATGAACACATTTCATTTTCCATCCTGAAACTCTCTCAAGTTGGTATTTTCAGGTTTGTAAGCTGAATTCATTTTCTGGTTTAGCAAGTCAGTCAGTGTGAAGTTTTTAAAATATTGATTTTATTTATAATTAGGGTTAGAAATATAGGTGAAGCTGTAATTCTAGAATCTGATTTAAGAACATCCATATCTACATATGGGCTGCATCAAGGTGAAAACAGAGATCTTTACGGAGCTGGAGAGGCCAAGCAGGACTCTCAGAATTACGTTAGTCACTTTATCACAGTGATTCAGAGAGAGAGGCCCTAAAATATTTCTCCATGTGTTTTGGCCCCGCAGCTTGTAACCCTGCCAAGAAAAGAGGCTGCTTCTTATTTAGTTCTACAGTTCCAGTGCCTAGACAGTGTCTGGGGAATAGTAAGGGGTCAACTTAACGTTTGTTGAATGCATGAGATGGTGGACCAGTGATGTTAGCCAGAAAATGATTCCCTGTTGGCAGTAGACACTGCAACACATTTTCTCTGGGAATGAGGTACAATTCACATTATTGGTTCAAAGTGGCTTTGCTGGGGATCGGGGAGGAGGGAGGGAAACCCAGGCACTTGGTCTGAGTCAAAACGTGGAGGAGATCTCTGGAAAAATGAGAAAGAGAATGAAAGAGTGAAACCTGGGGGTGCATGAAAGGAGAAAGAAGATGGAATGATAGTTGGTTTCTGGTCACGGTGACCCATTGACCAAGCTCTCTCTTGCCCTGTGTAGAATTGACACATTCCTTCTGTTCTGAAAAGCTTCTGAAATATAACTCATAATGCCTATTACTACACTTGTTTGTTGATCTATTGTGTTGATGCGAAAGTAATTGTGATTTTTGCCATTACTTTAATTATGCAATTACTTTTGCACCAACCTACTACTTTATTTTGGCTCACAAAACATGTGGCTGTACTGTTCATTGTACTCTCTGACCTCCCTTCCCTACCCCTCCACTTTCCCATTTCTCACTTCTTGTTCTTTTATTCTCTGCTCTGTATACAAACAGACTAAATCTTCCCTGAACTAATCTTGGCATCTTCTCAGTTGCAGGTTCCCTAGACACTTTACTGCATCTTCTTTTCCCTAGTTAGCTGTCCACTTATAGGGTCACTTTCCTGCTCAGTAGCACCTCCACCAGTGGGCATGAAAGAGGGAATAAAGGCCGGGCATGGTGGCTCACGCCTATAATCCCAGAACTTTGGGAGGCCAAGGTGGGTGGATCACCTGAGGTCAGGAGTTCAAGACCACCCTGGCCAACACTGTGAAACCTCGTCTCTACTGAAAATACAAAAATTAGCCGGGCATGGTGTCGGGTGCCTGTAATCCCAGCTACTTGGGAGGCTGAGGCAGGAGAATCACTTGAACCCGGGAGGTGGAGGTTGCAGTGAGCAGAGACTGCACCACTGTACTCCAGCCTGGGGGAGGTAGAGAGAGAGGGAGAGGGAGAGAAAGAAAGAAAAAAGAAAGAAAAGAAAAGAGAGGGAAGAAGAGAGAGAGGGAGGGAGGAAGAGAGGGAAGGATGGAGGTAAGGGAGGGAGGGAGGGAGGAGGAAGATGCATTTTAACCCAGTTGGATTCTCATAAGAGGCATTGGAAAAAAGTGTGCTAGAGGATTCCATCAGTAGGCATGTTTGTGTATTTTACAAAGTTTCAGGCAGACATTCACTTTTGTGTGCCTGGATCTCTGAACACACCATAAGATAACCTGAAGTCAATAGTGTCAGTGCTGAAAACACAAGAATATCCCTGGTGTGTGTGGGGGTGGGGGTGGGGGGAGTTGTGCTGCACAGTTTAACTGGCTGTATATTAGCTGTTGAATTCAAACATCAACCATTTTGGCTAAGGTGAATTGGAGAACCTAGAAATAAAATTGGGGTCAAGTAAGTGCAATAAGAACTTATCGAATGAATATGTGGGAGGCAGGGAAGGGCAGTGAAGTACCATACTATAGAAGGAAGAGCAGGGGCTTTGCATGGAGACCTACCTGGATTTTAATCCCCAGTTTGCTACTTACTGGTTGAGTGACTTTTGACAAGTTTTTAAAAAATATTTAATCCTCACTTTTTGTGTCTATAAAAAAAAGATATTAATACCTACTGCAAAAGATAATTTATACAACTTAATTGAAATTGTTTTTGTATAATGGCTGGCACAGGGCCAGCACATAGCATCCAATAAATGTAATCCAGCAGATGAGGGCAGTCAGCTCTCTAGCTTGCATGTCTTATTAGAAAAGTAGCAGTTACTTTTGGAGTATTTTTGGAATGGAGTTTGTATAGAGGCCTCTAGAAATCTCCAAATTTGTGAATGCTACTATATGTGTGTGTGTGCACACACACACACTTTCTTCTATTAAGTGCAATAAAAATGAGTTGTACTGGACTTTTTTTACTGAAATATTGATTTACCAAATGGCTCAGAACTACTGATCCAATATTCTATTCTTTAATTTATCCCTAACTTCTATTTTCTGGCAAAGAACTATCATCTTCACAGAACTTCCATCAACACCATCGTTTGGCTTTTTAGGCCATTTTACAAAAATGTGTGTGTCTTTCATGCCTTCATGCAAGGGTAGGACAGCAGAGCCATGCTGACATGCCTAGAGAGGGGGTTATCTGGGCCTCCTCCAGGTCTGAGTGTCAGACCACACTTCAAAACTGGCCCTTAACACAATGACAAATTAGTGCAAGTCATCAGCATTCAAGGTCACACAGAGTAAAAACTGTATTAAATCATGAAGGCCAAAGATCTACCGTAAATGGTAGAGTAAAAACTGAACTTAATAAAGAATCAAAATCAATACTTAACAATAGTGCTGACAAAATTAGGGAGGCAGAATGCACTGTGTGAAATGGGGTTTCCAAAGAGAGCTTGATGGGAAAAATCAGGCTGAATAGTCTTCAAAAGGGGAAAGATTTAAAAGCTTCAAATGGATCATAGATGACCTGCTGTCTAATTTCACAAGGTCCTGAAATAAAGAACATATTACTTCATGTCTGGAAAAGAGGTCATAAGTCAGAGTTAACGTAAATCAATTCCAAGTTCCCTGAAAATGAAATCTCTCTCTTTCTCTCTCTCTGTCTCTTTCTCTCTCTCTCTCTCTCTCTATATATATATATGTATAATTTTCACCAATACCCCATTATGAATCTTGTAGAAGTAACTCCATATTTAATGAACTGTAAATTATAAGAACACCTTTCTAAAGTTTATATAAAATTGATTTTAAAAGGCAATTTTAAATTAGTATAAAAATGATCTTTCAATAAAAGCATAAAATAATGTATTCATAATTGCTGTATTTCTTTTCACTGCAAGATACCAGAAATTGAAGGAAGAAGTATTTTTAGGAATTTTAGGGTTCTTGATGGCTTTAGTAGAAACTAACCCATAGATATGGATTTTATTGTTTTCTCATTTTTCTATTTAAACTTCTAACAAACTAGAACCTTAAACATAATTGCTAGTTATTATGGTGCATTTGAAAAAGACAGGTTTCTGGAAGCTTAACCATGAACCTTGATATTTTTCTGAGAAAATGGGCCTCAGAAATGTGGAAACCAACTTCTCCCAGCTCTAGATTTTCCACCCTCTGCCCTTTTACCATATTGTTTCTCCTCCTTGCCAAGCTTCAAGGCTTTAACTTGAATAATAACTGGGTTGAAAGGTAATTTCATCCAGCGTCCAACAGCCAGAAACCAGAATGGAACTGTCACAGAAATCTATTTTTTATTTATCCCTCATCTTTTAGGGATTGAACATCTTTTTGCTTATAAATAATCAAGTGATTTTTTAAACAAACAAATATATGACTAGTCATTTTCTTATCCATTTGATAAACACTATTCAGCACCTATAATTCATTCATTCTGTAAGTAACTATTGAGCACATACAATATGCCAAGCAAGTGAAAGTAGTGGGACTATGATGGTGACACGTCAGACAAGTTCCTTGCTGCACTGGAGCTTACTTTCAGCAGGGGAGGTAGATAATTTGTAAGAAAACAAACAATTCAGATTGTGATATGTGCTGATAAAGAGAATGGGCAATATGAATGTAAGGGACAAGGAAATTAATTTTAGATAATTGTTTATAATAGGTGAGGCAGTAAGCTGGAGATACAAAGATATTCTCAGGGAACTCACAAACAAATGAGGAAGACAAACATGGAACCTAAGAATTTCAAATACAGACCTGTGCATGCTATAATTTATTTCCATATTAAATCAGTGGGGGCTCAAAGGAAGAAGTCAGCTCACTTGGACTAAGAGGTTAAGAAAGCTCTTAAACTGAATCTTAAAAATCAGGTAGAGAAAGACTTTCCGGGTTGCAGAAATAGTATGTGCAAAGGCATAAAGACGCAAAATGCATGGCCTCGTTTAAGAATAGCCATTAATCTTAGGTGGCTAGAGCACTAAATATATATATATATACATATATTCAGGTGATACTGCCTTTCTTAGCAACACCCTTAGGCAGTTGTACCTTCACTCGTTTGCTGCTGTATTGCATTTTTAGAATTCTTCTTTGGAATCGCCTTCAAAGGCAGTATATGAAAATCTACTTTACAGTCACATGGGCATCCCCCTTAGTCCAAATGTATTTTCTCTCTCTTCTTCACTTTCACCCTGTTTGGCTTAACTGATCACCTTGTACCTATTCTAAGGAGACCTCCGGTCTCAGAGCTAGGGATCTGGAGGCGAGTTCTGAGTATGGAGCAAGGTTGGACACGCTATTATGCCCACCAAGGCTGACCAACAAAACACCTCATCCAAAATGCACGAGGAAGCCCAATACCGTAAGTTCCTTTGGAAAATAATTCAACAGCATTTTTTGAGTCCCCACCACTGGGTCAGGTAGGTGTTCTATTCTACCTTAGCACTCGTTCTAGTGAGTTTTACATATCAATTCAGTCTTCACCCAGTATTTATAAATCTGTGGATTATCTTTCTTTTAAAAAATTAGACAGATGTAGCAAATTGCTTTTGTGAAATATAGCCTAGAGCTTTATGTATGATACCAAAGTGGATTTAGAAGTGAACACTCCAGTTTCTCATTCCACAAAAATATTCTTCCTTGGTGTCCCAACTCTAAGAACCACATGAGTTATAATAGCAAAATTAAATATTTGCTTGGGGCTTTATAGAGTGATTTTATATTCCTTACTGCCTTTAACATGGTAAGAGCTCACTGATTCTACACCAGGGGTGTCCAATCTTTTGGCTTTCCTGGGCCACATTAGAAGAAGAATTGTCTTGGCCCACACACAAAATACACTAACACTAACGATAGCTAATGAGCTTTTTAAAATTGCAAAAAAACTCATAATGTTTTCAACACAAATTTGTGTTGGGCCTCATTCAAAGCTGTCCCGGGCCACATGTGGCCCATGGGCCATGGGTTGGACAAGCTTGTTCTACACCATTATCTGCCAGAGCAGATGATTTGATGAGTGAGCATATGCCTGTGCACCAGGCTGCTGGCCTCGCTCTGCAGGAGCCACGTTCCCTTTCAGGAGGAGCACAGGCATCTTCAGCAATGTTGTGTGCACCTCCTCGTTGTCATGGTGCAAAGTGCTTATTGGGATTCTGCCAGAAAAGATGTGATCATTGAGAATAAAAACTACTCTTTGAATTGTGCTAATAAGAAAGCTGATCCTTGGTGTTGAAATGATTAGTTTGACCTTTAATTTTTTAAGTGGCTTTATGCAAATGGAAGTGCTGCATGCTGTGTAATTTTAAACATAATATTATATTTGTTTGGTTTTCTTTTTCAAACCAGGACTGCAAAAATCAAGCTAGGCCTGGCATGGTGGCTTATGCCTGCAATCCCAGCACTTTGGGAAGCCAAGTTGAGAGGGTCACTTGAGGCCAGGAGTTTGAGACCAGCCTGGGGCAATGTATCAAGAGCCCCCCATTTTTACAAAAAAAAAAAAAAAACTTTTTTTAGTTAGTCAGGTGTTGTGGTGTGCCCCTGTAGTTCTAGCTTACTGGGAAGGCTGAGGCAGGAAGATCACTTAAGCCCAGGAATTCAAGGCTGCAGTGAGCTATGATCACACCACTGTACCCCAGGCCATGTGAAAGAGTGAGACACTGTCTCAAAAAAAAAAAAAAAAAAATCAAGCTAATCTTAAGCACCAGTGTTGAGTCAAGTAGTCGAATCTAAAATCACCAACTGCTAGTAATCTCTTCCTCATTGGTCCACCCTTAAAGAAAAGGAAAGTTGATGATACTACCCAAAATGTACTATTAAATAATTATTCTTGAATCATTACCGACTTGGAGATGTGAGGAAGGCTTCCTTTCCTAATATTATTTTTTCACTCCTACAAGAGTTTGTTGTCCTCCAGGAAAAGGTGATAAGAGGTGTGTAGGCACTATGTGGGTGCTGAATGATGAATTACAGAGGATAATTTAGGAGGCCCCACCCTGAGGTGAATAGTTAGCTTTTAAAGAGTTACATCCAGTTAAGGAAAAAATTGGTAGGAAAGAAAGAAGAAAAGATAAAGGGAGAAGAACAGTTAGTTTTTAAAGAGCTACATCCAGTTAAGAGAGAAATTGGTAGGAAAGAAAGAAGAAAAGATAAAAGGAAGGAAAGGAAATGAAAGGAAAGGAAGAAAACTAAGGAAGGAGAAAGACATGCTGTAATCTTTTTACCTCCGTTCGATTCAAACTGGCTTATGTTATTCAGATGGCAGAAATAACGTTTGCACTTAAAGAGACTTGCTTTAAAACTTTCAGCTCTGACCTTGAGGCTGCTCACTTGGCCATCTAATGAATGGTATTTGGTTCCTGGAAATATGATAATGCCATTTGCACGTTCAGTTTCTCCTATTTTGGTGGTAAATCCAATAAATTCTTCATGTAAGCAGAAAGGCAAATTGACAACCATGAAGCCCTGTGGGTTCTGCAAAGGGATTTTTCCTCCCCTCAGTTTTTAATGAGGCCCCATATTCATCATCTTCCCCAATGGCTACTTTGAGCAAGATGTGCTCAGTGTGTGCTGTTGAGCTGATGCCAAGCTGCTGACCTTTGCATTCGGTGAGCCCTCAGCTGAGAATCTGACCTAAGATCAGACATATTGTTGGATCCGTCATGTTGATTCTTGGCTCTGATACTAATGGGCAGCTAATGAGTTCATGGTGTACATATTAACCCCGGCTCTGGCGACGCTAATGCCAGATGCACAGTGAGTTGGAGTTGTGGGGAGGGAAGCAAGATGCCCAGTGCACTAGCATCTTTTTGTTTTGTTTTTTTTGTTTTGTTTTGAGATGTAGTCTCGCTCTGTCACCACACTGGAGTGCAGTGGCGCAATCTCGGCTCACTGAAACCTCCGCTTCCTGGGCTCAAGTGATTCCCCTGCCTTAGCCTCCTGAGTAGCTGGGACTACAGGTGCGTGCCACCACACCAGGCTAATTTTTTTTTTTTTTTTTTTTTTTTTAGTAGAGGTGAGATTTCACCATGTTGGCCAGGATGGTTTCAATCTCCTGACCTCGTGATCCACCTGCCTCAGCCTCCCAAAGAGCTGGGATCATCTTAATAAACGTGAGCAATTAGAAGAGCCGTGTTGGTAGAATGCCTGTTTCATGGCTTATGGGAAGTAATATGCAATCTAGAGGTGGAAAAAACATACTGTCTTATCTCTCCTCTCAAATTAAAAAAAAATCCCTCCACCTCAGAGAGGTGCTTTACGAACTGTGAAATAGGGAGAAAAGTTGAAATGTTTGAAGAGTCCGATAATGGCTTTTATTACCAAGGGGAAACTGATGTCCAGCCCTGCTGTTGAGTAACAGTAGATTTAAGACCTCCAGGCGTGGCCATGTGGCATTGACCACAGGCACATTGGTGACATTTCAAGACAGTGCTGTGTTGTCTGTTTTCTTCAAGAGCTGGCAGGCCAGAGCTAAGGCATAGAAGGGCATGCTACTCTGGCCTTGGAAACAAGTTTTCAAAAGGCAGTGGTGTAAAGAATTTCTACCAGCACACTCTGAAAGACATAATATGCCAGAGAAGGAGTTGTGTCTAATTTGTTCCTGCACCTGAAGTGCCTACCACTGTGTTTCTGGCCACTAGTTTAAGACAGATTGGTTGAACTGGTTAAGGAGTCATGAAAATTGATTATACACTCCACCAGGCTACTAAGGATAGCTGTTTTACTTTGGACAGGGTATCTCTCTTAAATTTGTTTCAGCTGCCTCATATTACAGATGAGAAAACCGAGACACAGAAAGGATAAATAACTTTGCACTGTATTGCACTGATTTCCCTAAGAATGTATGTTATATGAGAAAGAAGGATGCCTGCTGTAATGCTGTGGATAAACAGTGTGCATGGAGCCCTAAAGAACCAATTCTCATCCTCACTGCTCTTTCTGTTTTTTCTTGGGCAAACCACTGACAGTCTCTCTGAGCTCCTGCATCCTGCCTCATAAATGGTAAATAATGCACGTGAAAGCACTGCATAAACTTTAGATCCCCATATAAAGATAAGCTCTTATTATTATTTTCCAAGACACTGCTTCCCCAACTCTGTCACTACAGTTTATATGAGAAAAAGAAAACGAAGAGTCCACAATCAAATAACTGAAAAGTGAGATGTCCTGATACAAACAAATACATTTGAATTTGTTTAATATAGTGAATCCTAAATCAATCTCACCACTCTGATACCCAACAAAGATTAATAACCACTACCGGATACATGGTAATTCTACATTTTATCCTTAAAAAGACAGAAACAAAGAATGCCATGTACTTTTTCCTGTATAAATGTCAGTAAACCTTATATTTATTCATTCACTGTCACTGAGCATCTGGTACATTATTGTAGTACATGACATTACTGTATACTAGCAGTACTGTAATGTTGATCTCCAGAGTGTTGCCTGGAGAGGAGATGGTGGGATGGTGTTAATTAAAAATGCAGATTTTGTACCCATTAACAAACCACTCTTCATACCTCACTTACCTTTCCCAGCCTCTAGTAACTACCATTCTACTATCTTTCCCAGCTTCTAGTAACTACCATTCTACTATCTACCTCCATGCAATCAACTTTTTTTTTTTTGAGATGGAGCTGCACTCTTGTTGCCCAGGCTAAAGTGCAGTGGCACAATCCCGGCTCACTGCAGCCTCCACCTCCTGGGTTCAAGCAATTCTCCTGCCTCAGCCTCCCAAGTAGCTGGGATTATAGGCGCCCACCACCATGCCTGGCTAATTTTTTGTATTCTTAGTAGACACAGGGTTTCACCATGTTGGCCAGGCTGGTTTTGAACTCCTGGCCTCAGCTGATCCACCCGCCTCAGCCTCCCAAAGTGCTGGGATTATAGATGTGAGCCACCATGCCCAGCCAAGATCAACTTTTTTAGTTCCCACATAAGAGTGAGAAAATGCAATATTTTTCTTCCTGTGCCTGACTTATTTCGCTTAACATCATGACCTCCAGTTCCATCTGAGTGACTATAGTTAACAATATATTATATATTTCAAAATAGCTAGAAGAGAAGATTTGGAATGTTCCCAACACAAAGATATGATAAATGTTTGAGGTGATGGTTATCCTAAATACCCTAATTTGATCTTTGCACATTTCATGCATGTTATCAAAATACCACGTGTGCCACAAATATGTATAATTATTCTGTATCAACAAAAAAATTATGGCCAGCTGTACTTTTGTCTCTACTAAAAATACAAAATTAGCCAGGCATGGTGGTGTGCACCTGTAATCCCAGCTACTAGGGAGGCTGAGGCAGGAAAATCGCTTGAACCCAGGAGGCGGAGGTTGCAGTGAGTTGAGATCGAGCCATTGCACTCCAGCTTGGGTGACAAGATCAAAACTCCATCTCAAAAAAATAAAATAAAAGCAGATTTGGGGACTCTACCTTAAACCCACTAATTCAGAATCACCCCAGTGGCTAGGGCTTGGAAATCTATATTTTCAGCAAGCTCCCAGGAGATTCCGATGCCTAACAGTGTTTAATAACCACCACTGTATACTGCATTGTGGAACACCACATGCTATGGAGTTAGTCCCCTTGGTTCTATGACTTACTAGCCTTGTGACCTGGGCAAGCTACTTTAATGTTTCTAAGCTCCAGTTTTCTTATCTGTGAAAGGGATGTAATAACTACTTTGCAAATATTTTGTGAAGATTAAATGATATAATACATGCAAAGTGCTTGTTATAACATCTGATATTATAAGATCTCATTCGTAGTAATGGCTACTGTTATTGTTATTATAAGGACCACTACGCAAAGTGGAAATATCAGTTAAACACGATGGCTTTCTCGAAGGCTCACTGTTCAGTGCCAGTGTTAAATTTTAGCAGCTAATTGCAGGCACCATGATGTACACTACAGGGGAGACGTGAATGAAATCAAATGGAAATTCAGTGACTCACTCTGTTTGGAGGGACTTGTGGAAGGCTCACCAGAGAAGACATGTGAGCCGATCTTGAAGTAGGTGTCTTCTAGGTAAGAACCAACCTCACCTATACACAGAAAAATAAGTAATACTGAGAGTACTTCCAGGAAACCCAAAGGAAATTTGCCACACGTCTGGCACTGCCTTTTTTTTTTTTTTTTTTTTTTTCGAGACAGAGTCTCGCTCTGTCACCCAGGCTGGAGTGCAGTGGCATGATCTTGGCTCACTGCAACCTCTGCCTCCTGGGTTCAAGCGATTCTCCTGCCTCAGCCTCCCGAGTAGCTGGGACTACAGGCACCCGCCACCACGCCCGGCTAATTTTTTCTATTTTTAGTAGTAATGGGGTTTCACCGTGTTAGCCAGGATGGTCTCGATCTCCTGACCTTGTGATCTGCCCACCTCGCCTCCCAAAGTGCTGGGATTACAGGCGTGAGCTACCGCACCTGGCCTGGCACTGCCTTCTTGATAGCTGTGTGGCATGACTTCCCATTATCTCTCGTCTCAGAGGTAATTATTCTTTCTCCAACTTAATTTTCTTCACAGACTGCTGTAAGGAATGTGGACAATATAACTCCACAAATATTTTTAAATAATTTAAAATAACAGTCCCAGTTTCCTTATTAACGATTTTTTTTCCAGAGCTTCTAATTGCTATTTGCCAACTTTTGATTTTGCTTCTTCTCCCTTTTCTCCCTCTTCTGCACTCTTGGGGGAAGGTTTAACTGGCCACCAGCTGGCCAAAAGTGACCCTGAACAGAGATCTAAGGAATCCAAAGCTTAAGGGTGGATAAGCCTAACAACCAGCATCAATTTCATATGCACTCTGTTTAGCGTTATCAAGAAAATTCAGCACATTTAGATTAGGTGCTTGCTCTAGGGTCAGACCTGCTCAGGGCTCTTATTTGGCCAGCAAGAGGTCAAGACCCACAGAACCACTGCCACCACCACCTCTGTGTCAGCAGGAAGCAATTACAGAAGACTAACCTTTGTCTGTTTTCCCCCAAATCTTTGGGGTCTTGGAATCTTGAGGGGGGAAGTGTTACAGTAGGTAGTAGTCAGGTATGAGCAGGGCAGGAGCGGGCTCCCCACCCACACACAGCAGGTGTGTTGGCTGATCATCAGGTGATGGTTAGGCCGTTGTTAATTGCCTCTCTAAAGTAATAATTGATCACAGCGGGCACCAGGGAAAAGCAGTCTCTTAACAGAGAGAAAACACCTGAAACTGATCAGCAGCTTCCCAACAAGATCTCAGGAGTAGGGAGAAGCAATGCGAGATCCCGGAAGTAGGCCGAAGTATAAAACCCCAAATCAAGAGGTAAAGCTGGGCCCTTGGTTTCTCAAGTTGCCCACTTGGCCCTCTTCCAAGTGTACTTTTCTTCCTTTCCTTACTGTTTTAAAGCTTTTTAATAAACTTCCACTCCTGCTCTGGAAAACAAACAAACAAACAAAAAACTTTAGTCCTGCTCAGTGGGCTGCAAATGCAAACCATGACCCTATCCTCCAGGTTTATAAGATGATTAATGAATGAAACAATCAGTTAAGAAGTTTCAAAATCAGGGCCGGGTGCAGTGGCTCACGCCCGTAATCCCAGCACTTTGGGAGGCTGAGGCGGGAGGATCTGAGGTCAGGAGTTCGAGACCAGACTGGCCAACGTGGTGAAACCCCGTCTCTTCTAAAAATACAAAAATTAGCTGGGCACAGTGGTATGTGCCTATAATCCGAGCTACCTGGGAGGCTGAGGCAAGAGAATCGCTTTAACCAGGGAGGCAGAGGTTGCAGTGAGCCGAGATCACGCCACTGCACTCCTGCCTGGGCAACAGAGTGAGACTATCTCAAAAAAAAAAGTTTCAAAATCAAATAGTGAATAATAAAGAAACTGTGTGTGCAAAGCAAAATAATCTTTTGCTGATTAAGCCAGTGCCTATATCTTTATGTGATTAACTAGAAAAATGTGAGATCAGGAGAATTAAGAACATTGATCTAGCCTCATGGATCCCAAAGCACAAGATTTGGGAGGAGAATATGAATTTATTAAATCTCACCTGTGGTACCCTTAGGAATTGCATGCGCACCTTTTCATGAGGCAATAGGTCTATGCTATGGTTCCCAGGAAGTGTTGGGCCACGGTCTCTTACAAAGCCTGGAAAACATCAGACAGAACAGTGGCCAACACTGCTGGAATACTTGTGTGTACCGCCATGTAATATGTAATAACAAAGTGAGACATCTCTCATTTCTCCCCCTCTCAGGCAGAAAGAGAGGTTTGACACAGTTTGTTTTTTATTTGTTTTTGTTGGTTTTTTTAAAATGTTAATTTTCTTTTAAAAAGTAATCTGTACTCATTGTAAAAACTATTTTCCATTTGTTTTTTCAATGTGATTACAAATTTTTTAAAGGTGGTTCTGCAGGGCTTGGCAGCGCTCCCCAAAGATACTCTCATATTGACAGGGCTCTCCAACACCCTCAGGTGGCAGGTTGGGAGGGAACTGCATACTTCACCAGCAGCAGCAGTCTCTTCTGATGGCTCGGGGTGTCCTGCCCCAGCCCCTGCTGCCTGGTGGCAGGATTACTGCTGGTAGGTGGTCATTTGATCCCCAGCATATGTTGACAATGAAAGAAAAACTCTAGTATGGACCTACGCCTGGTCTACTCATTGTTGTCTTCAGTTTAAGGAACACAGAACATTAACACAGGAGGGAAGGGGGCAATTCCACACTGAACTCTTTCTACCTCAGAATCTTTGGCTTGTCTAGTTTTTAAGATATTTTTTCTTGCCTGGAACTAGATTTATTACTTTTCCTTTGTTCTTTTCCTTTGTTTTATTTTCCTTTCTATGGATTTTGGAATAAGACTTACTATGCAGTCTATATCTGCTCTTTTAGTAGTCATCCTTTACTTGTTTAGACACATATGTGACCTAAAATCTAAACAGAACTAATATCTCTAATTCATTCCCCCTAAATTTAAGGATCTCAGCAGGATTTTACTGCACTCCTATCTTAACATGTTATTTTGTTCAGTGTCTTATTTATCATCTTATTTTACACTCCCCAAGGTAGCAATTACTTTTTTAAAAATCCATTTAATACTCACTTAGGTTCACACACAAGTTGGTTTCTTTGCTCACCTTTGCTTTCTATGTCCCACTACTTCCTTGGGAATTCAGTTTCCTTCTTCATAAAGTACTCCTTTTAGTAATTTTCTTTTTCAGAAGAGTCCTTTTCTTTCTTCCAAAATGTGTTCTCCTGTATTTTTCTAGTATTTTAAACAGATTTCTAGTGTCGTCTCTATCCTTTTATTGTATTATAGAAGCTGAATTAGTTTGCTAAGTCTGCCATAGCAAAGTACTGCAGACTGAGTGGGTTAAATAACAGAAATTTATTTTCTCAGTTCTGGAGGCTGAAAGTCTGAGATCAAGGTGCCAGCAGGGTTGGTTTGTTCAGAGGCCTCTCCCCCTGGCTTGTAGATGGCCGTCTTCTCTCTGTGTCTTCATCTGTTCTTCCCTCTGTGGGTGTCTGTGCCCTAATCTTTCCTTCTAATGATGACTCCAGTCATATTGGATTAAGGCCCAAACATATGACTTTATTTTACTTAAAATACCTCTTTGAAGACCCTGTGTCTATATACAGTCACATCTGAGAAACTGGGGGTTAGGACTTCTACATGTGAATTGGGGTGGGGAGCGACAATTTCACCCATAACTGTTGTTCATGTTCTTCTAATAATCCTATATGATGTGTTCATTAACTAGTTCTCATGGAGAATTTTTATCTTTTGCAATTTGAAATTTTGGACAGTGAGCTCATCTTCATTGGGTGTTTAATTTGGGAATTCTGTGTACCTGGGTCAAAGGTGGGTTCCTACAGAGCAGCTTTATCCCAAAGGATCTGCCAGGTGCTGCCACAGTTTCAAAGACGCTGTTCAATGTTTATGATAATTACCAAGCTTGCGGTTTCTTGGATCATGTAGGCAATATAAGTGCTAACCCCAGACCCTCACGAGGCAGAAGCCTGTGGTTGTAAATGATCAGAGACCTTTTATCCTATCCAAATGACAGCTGTTGGCAATAAAGCCATTTCTTTTCATCCTTTCACGAACTGTGCATTCTTTCAAGGGTCCAGACTTAAGTGTGGACATCAGTTACAACATTTCACCTTGCAGGAACCACCTGTGGAGTTCTGTAGCACTCAGCTATTCACAAGTCATGCTGAAACCTATCTGGGATTATGGAGATCTTCATTTTCCCCAAGACTTTCTACCCCAGCTGGGCCATAGCATCAACACTGCATCACTCCCTTTTTTCTTTTTCTTGCATCAGTGGCTTTCAGCTACTCATTTAAAATGATGTAAGTTAGATGTTATCCTTCATTTTTAGGTATCTGTAGTACAAGGGTTTTCAAGATAACAAGTCTTTCATTGCTGGAATGAAAAGTTAAATGGCCATTTAACATTAGAAGATATACCTAATGTTAAATGACGAGTTAATGGGTGCAGCACACCAACATGGCACATGTATACATATGTAACTAACCTGCACGTTGTGCACATGTACCCTAAAACTTAAAGTATACTTTTTTAAAAAAAGCCAGACACAAAAAAGAAAAGAAAAAAAAAGAAAAGTTAAATGGCAAGTTCATTGGGATTGCATTAAATTTATAGATTAATGTAGGTGGACGCACCAGCCTTAAAATAGTGAATATTCCCTCTCAATAACTGGATATTTGTTTAGATACTCTTTGTGTTCCTCTGTAAGATTTTTAAATTTTTCCTTGTGTGAATTTGTACTTCATTTTATTTTCTATTCACTTTTATTACCTTTGACTATTATACTTGGAATCTTTATTATTTTAACTTCTACTAAATGTTTTTTGTTTATGTAAAGGCTATAATTTCTGTATACTAATTCTGTGCCTACTTGTTGGATTCCTTTATTTATGATAATTTTCCAACTGCCTCTCTTGGCTTTTCCAGGGATACAGTCTTCTCATCTCAAGATTATGATAATTTTACCCCTCTCATCTAATATTTTATGTCTCCATTTAATTCTCTTGCTGGATTGATGTTTCTTAACAATGGTATGTAATTGTGGGGATAAAGAGTATTCTTTTATTTTCCCTAACTTAAACAGGAACGTTTCTTGTGTTGTCAAGAAACAATAATGTTTTTTGTGGTTTCTTGTTAAGCTTCACATTGGCTACCTTGCAAATTAAAGTGATGGACATTTGTATAGGTCTTTAGAATTTAAAAGCACTTTTCTCTACATGGTCATGTTTGAATTCTCACCACCACTTGATTCTGTGAGACCAAAACCAACTTGCTCAATTTTCTTTTAAAGACAACTTACTGAAAATTTTACCTCAGTGAATAATGACCTTCAATTGTACCTGCGGGTGGAAATTTTATCCACTTTTGGTTACCAAATGTAGTGATAATACCTGCCTATTCACAAACTTCCTATTGTTTGTTTCTTACTGAAACTCAAATCTTGTCTTCTTTACTAAAAAGCAAGTGAGAAGAATTTAAGAAGCTGTGTAATGATTTGGAGTGTGTGTATATACACACACACACACACACACACACATATATACACACACGCACTGACATAGTATTTTATACTGACATAAATATACAACTATATTTATAAAGTATATCATATTTATACAGGATACAGTATATATAGTATTATATATACTTTACCATTATTATATATAATTATATAATTATGTTATAAATAATTATATATTATTATATTATATATAATTATATTATATTATAATTCCATATCATATAACATATGATATATATAATTATATATATAGATACACATATCAGTATATAATTTTAGGGTAATAGCTATTACTTTAAGATGTTTGCATAAAGCACTGCAAAGCCCTAGTCTGATCTATTTATACTTACACAGTTGGTGGCATTCACTAAGGGCCACTCTGCAAGACTGTGCAGTTTGTGCATTCCACAAAGGTTCCCAGATGCAGGGACGAGTAGGGGCGAAATCTAATTGACATTCTACTTGCCAAGCCTCCCACCTTGGCAGGGTCATGGCTCACCAGAACAGGCCCCTTTTTGTCTGTAGCTAAATGTTGTACCTGCAGGGCTGCATTTTCCCAGAAGGGGGCACCTTTTCATCATTCACTTAAAGATTCCATAAGGCTGACACCACAGGCCATGGATTGCACTGACTTCCCTAAAGCATAATTCCGTGCATAGCTCACGGGAGTCAGAGCGCAACCTCACACTAATATTACACTGGGGCTTTGCCCTATCTGGACTTTGTTTTAACAAATGTGAGGTCATCATTTCAGAAGGTTCCCATTATATAAATCTCAGTTTTGAGACATATGTCATCTTCATCACCATCAACAGCAAACATCTACTGGACACCTACCAAGCAGGAGTCACTAATACACAGTAGATACAAAAAGAGGTGAACACATAACTTAGCATGGCTTCTTAAGAAACACTAACCAAAGATACGTGTCATGGCTGGGCTTGTGAACATACACTACTCTTGTCTCAAATAAACTTTCTTAAAAAGCACAGTTAGACGTGGTAATATCACTGGAAACTACAGATTCCCAGCTGTTAGCCTTGTAGCTACTTCTGGAGAGCTTGATGTCTCCATAGGAAATGGAGTAAGTAAAACCTCCTTTCAGAGACAAGCTGTGAATTATGGGAGTAGCACAATGACTCTGGAAAGCAGATAAATGTCCTGTGCATTGATGCACTGCAAAGGACTAAGCCCATTTCTTGCTGTTCCTCCAAGCCCTATAGAAAGGGGACTGCAGAGTCAGCACCACTGAATCAAATTATTAAAGTGGAAGGAAGCTTATACATCATCCACTCGGCATTCCTCGTACACAAAGGCACATTGGTGTAGGAATATGCAGTGACCAATTCAGGACCACACTCTTGGTAATGGGAGAGTGGAGATTAAAATATGACATGGACCTCTACTTGGGGATTCAGGATGCTACTACTTCTGAGATTTTTCAAGTATTTTCATTCATCCAGCAATGACTTATAAATACTATAAGTATTAATAGTCTCTGAAACATCAATGGCTTGAAGAAGCAGCACATCTTACTGGAAACAATTGCCTGGCTTTGAATTCTGGTTTATATCTTTTTACCAGGAATGGTTACTGAGCTATATAGTTCAGTCTTTAGGTCTGATGCTTCTATTTTTGGAATAGTTGTCTGTATGAATTTAAAATGCAAAAGTTGGCCAGGCATGGCGATTCACACCTGCAATCCCACCACTTTGGGAGGCCGAGGTGGGTGGATCACCTGAGGTCAGGAGTTCAAGACAAGACTGCCCAACATGGTGAAACCCCGTCTCTACTAAAAATACAAAAATTAGCTGGGCATGGTGGTGCGCACCTGTAATCCCAGCTACCTGAGAGGCTGAGGCAGAATTGCCTGAACCCGGGAGGCAGAGGTTGCAGTGAGTCGAGATCACACCACTTCACTCCAGCCTGGGAGACAGAGAGAAACTGTCTCAAAAAAAAAAAAAAAAGAAGCAAAAGCCATAGGCTTCCAAGCCATGGGCTAATTAGTGGCCTTTGATATGAACCACCTGAGAAGAATTGATATATGGAAAGGCTGCAAGAGTGGACCACTTAGCTGTGGAACCCGAAATGACATTTGATGGAGATTCAGGTATTCAGAGCACCACCATGAGCCATGAGAAAGCAGAGGACATTCATAGGCAGAGACAGATGACTATACTGACAGAGACGCCAAGGGGATATCAAAAGAAGAGATAACTAATTCTGTTTCTGATGGCTCTCCAATTCCCAGGAGGCCTGGCTCAGTTTCTCTCTTGATCTGTGCATTCCATGAGACCTTGGCATCCTCAACTTACACCTTCCTCTTTATTTGGGCCCATATCAGTCATTTTTCCTTTTCTGTAATCAGAGGATCTGGACCAATGCCACCTTTCACTCGCAGACACCTGGGTATGGAACCCTGGAAGAGCAGGATTCCTTTTGACAAAGCCTTGGCCTGACAAGTCTCTTAGTCCCTACTGAGAAGGGCTGCAGACACCTCTTCTTCATCATCCCTGGTCAAAGTGTACCTCTGGGGAGATGGAAACTTCATTCAACCACTTTCCAATTCCATTAGAAAGAGCTTTATTCCTCCCAAGATTGATTAGTGAATTGATCATGAACTGAATATTAGGTCTGAACATTTTGAGGTGACTTCTGAATGAAACTTGAATCCCACAGGACCTGTGGGTGACATAGGACCCAGCAGTTTCCCCTTCTCATCCTGAAAGCATATGGGCACAGTGTCGTGTCCTACAGATCAGTGTTGTTTCAACTTTCGCATGCATCAGAATTGCCTGGAGGACTTGTTGGAACATAGATTGCTGGACTCCCCTGCAAGAGTTTCTGATTCAGTAGGTTTGAGGTGTGATGCAAGAATTTGCATTTTTAACAAGTTCCCAGGCAATGCTGATGATTCTGGTTCTGAATTACACTTTGAGAAGCACTGCTTTAGAACAATTCTTGTCAAAAAAAGAAAGGAAAAGAAAAGTGACGAGTGTGGAAAGACAACTAAAAATCTAGGGTAGCTGGGCGCGGTGGCTCACGCCTGTAATCCCAGCACTTTGCAGAGGCCAAGGCGGGTGGATCACTTGAGGCCAGGAGTTCGAGACCAGCCTGACCAATATGGGGAAACCCCATCTCTACCAGAAATACAAAAATTACCCGGGCATGGTGGCGCACCTGTAGTCCCAGCTATTTGGGAGGCTGAGGCAGGAGAATTGCTTGAACCCGGGAGGAGAGGTTGCAGTGAGCCAAGATCGCGCCACTGCATTCCAGCCTGGGCGACAGAGCGAAACCCCGTCTCAAAAAAAGAAAAAAAAAAAAATCTAGAGACTTTTTTGAGGGGGGTGGATGATGAAAATATTCTAAAACTATATTATGGCGATAGCCCCACAAAAATAACTGAGAATAATTGAATTGTACATTTTAAATGAGATAATATGGTGGTATATAAATTACATGATAGCAAATCTGTGTAAAAGTCATCTTAACATGACTTTTAAACAGCTATTAATGTTTAAACGCTTTTTAAAAGTTTAATGACTTTGAAACAGCTTTGTTACATAGCTTATACACAGAATTGACATTTAAAATGACTTTTAAATGCTTTTTATTATATAATTTATATATATAATTTTTAAAAATTAATTTAATAGATTGCAAACAATATTTTTCTCTTAATTAAATAGAATAGAAAATATTAGATTGTGTTTATGTAGTGTATCAGGATTCTCCAGAGAAACAGGAGCAATAGGATGTGTGTGTAAGATGGAGAGGGATCTAGATAGATACATAGAAACACAGGGAAAGATAATCACATGATTATAGGGGCTGGCAAATCTGAAATCTGCAGGGTGGACTAGCTGGCTGGAAATTGTGGCAACAGATGAAGTTAAAGTCTTGAGTCCAAAGACAGTGTAGAGGCAGAATTCCTTTCTTTCGGGGGAACCTCGGTCTTTTCAGGTCTTCAACTGATTGGACAAGGCCCACACACCTGATGGAAGGTCATCTGCTTTACTCAAAGTCAATGTGATTAAGTGTTAATCACATCTAAAAAATACATTCACAGCAACACCTAGACTGATATTTGACCAAACAGTGGCATACCATAGCCTAGCTAGGTTGACACATAAAATTTACCATCACACAGAGTAAAAATAGCATTTTGTGAAAAGTTTGTTTCCATTTGCACACTCACCTGTGTGTGAACTGGCTTGTGATTTTCAATGCCTTCATTACTGTGAGTCATGGGTTAAAAAATACAAAAGCCTCTGCTTTCCATCTTCATATGCAGACAGATGACTGTACCAAAAACTTTATGAAATAAACAAAACAAACAAAAAGGCTGCTTTAGTACTTTTGGTGAAAGCATACTAAATGAAATTTAATCAAGTTTTTTGTTGTTGTTTGTTTTTGTTTTTTGTTTGTTTTGCCTCTAACTTAAAGACCTAGTAGAAAGAAAGTAGTCTCAAGGTTTCTGGAGCCTTATCTGGCTATGTGGCTCTCACCTTTATTACCGTAGACAGCCATATGCTGGTGACTGTCTGAGGGCTGTAAAGCCAAGCCCGGGATGACTGAACCAAGTGGAAAACACGTGTAGGTTGGCATGCGCGTCTTGTAGACACAATGGGATGATTAAGCCAAGCCTCACTGTTTCATTAACCTGCAACCAAGCAATTTATTTGGAGGAGGCTGTTTTGGCATGGCAGCTTCAAAGACATAAAAATATTGCCATTTCTTAACCAGTCAGGTGCAGAGCTGACAGTCCTGACCTCCCACTGCAGACACAAGCAGGGCACACAATGAGAGTCAGGGATGGAGTGAGACACAAGAGGTAGATGAAGTTGTCTCCAATACACATTACTCTGTATTTTTTGTTTTGTAAAGGACTTTAAAACTGTGTCTTTGAATTTTTTTAGCACGAAGGATATGGTGAAACTCTCAACTGGATTAGAGATGGGGTTAGGCTCAGGTACGGGGTAAGGATGTCCATGGGGTATTTTTTGGAAAACACAGTTTAAATTGTTTTTGAAGATAATTTCAAACGGTCTCATCCAAGTAAGCTGTCTCAGAATATCAGATGTTTTCATCCTCATGAGACTAACGAAATCTAAATTTTACCATCTAAATTCACCATCCTTAGGTATGTAATGCGTGCATACCTCCCCTCCCCCTATGCTGACCACTCCCCCTCCCCACTAGAGATCAGTCTGATGATGACTCCAGGAATAGCAAATCTCTTTGCTGGGGTTTGGATTATTCCGCAGAGTGAAAGTGTTCATTGTGTCTGACCCATCCAGATTCCCAGCAGCGCTAGCAGACAGCACCTCTTGACATAACTCCAGGCAGCCTAGCTGCCTTGCCTTCCTCTTTGTCTGGGTCTGCTGGGCACCAAGCTCTTTCACCTACATGAGTGTGGGGAAGTGGTGTTTTGTCCTCTGTATGAGCTGTTTGCTTTTCCTTCCCATCAGAGTCTAACCACTCCCCTGTGCTCAGGCTGAGTCAAGATGAGCAAGGCTGGGCTGGACTCTCATTGTGCCCCATCTCCTCACTCATATTTCCCAGGATGGCCCTGCCCTGTGTCTTTTGCTTGTGCTTCCTTCACCCCACAGCCCTGCAGCTGTGCCTCATCCCATTCCCTTGGGACTAAGCCCAGTTTCCCCTCTTTCTCTTGCTGCCCCATCTTATGGTCAGCCTCAAACTGAACTGCAAAACTATATGTCTGACTGTAGAGCTACCACACTATGCTGACCAAGATAGATTATAGATAAATTAAATGACAAATTGATACATGGAATAAAAGACAAGTAAGGAATTCCAGCTACCTATTGCTGAGTAATAGCTACTTCAATTAAATGCCTTTTCACTGGGGCAGCAGCTTAAAAGCAACAGCCAATTTAACATCTCTCACAATTCTGTGGGCTGACTGGGTTTAGCCGGAAAGAACTTCTGCTCCATGTTCTGTCAGCAGGACCTGCAGTCATCTGGAAACTGCACTGAGCTGTACCATCCAAGATGGTGCACACATATGGCTGATAATTGGTCCTGGTTGTCATTTGGGACCTCAGCTGGGATTGTCAACTGGAGCACCTTTGTTCTCCATGTTCTCTGTCTGTATGGCTTGGGCCTCTCTCAGCATGGTGGCTGGATCCCAGGGGCGCAGTGTTCCAAGTGCATGAAAGCAGGAGGTGCAGAATGTCTTCAAACCCAGCTTCAGAAGTTGCACAGCATCACTTCTGCTGCATCCTGTTAGTCAAAACAAGTCATGGGGCCTGCCCAGAGGAGAGAAAGAGACTCTACTTCTTGATGGATTTGTGGCCCTCCTTAAACTGCCACACAGACAGGTAAACAGATAAAGAAGAGGTGAACTGAAATATTCCAACTAAAATTTTGAGGAGCTAGATCATGTTTTCTGTGTTTCTTGTTACTTCCCGGCATTTTCTGGTTTTTAACAACAAATAAATTGCTATTTTTAAATGTAATAAGTATAGCTTATGCATAATCCAAATGCTATAAGTATAGCTTGATAAATTTTAACAAACTGTACCTATCCATGTCACTAGCATCCACATTAAGAAAGACAACTTTAGCAGCATTTTAGAAACCTTGAATAGCTATGACTTTTGCAAAGAGAAAAGCACTTAATATTTAAAGAGAAGCATCTATCATTTTAAAAAAACAGTTATTTCCAATCTTCTATTCTTTACAACTACGACATCTCTTTGACATATATAAAATAACTCTTAATTATTCTTCAAATTATAGATTTCAGGGTTCAATTGGCTAATCTCCAACAATCTCCAGCAAATGAATGGAAGTGGGATTTTCCAACAGTGAAATGGCCAGTCTGAATATTTGGTGAACTGACTGATCGTGTATATCTTTATTTAAGCATTTATCATTGTCAAAACGATATTTAATTCTTCAGATTTATTTTGAAATGAGGCATGAATAAATATAAAACCTGGATTTATAGCAAAAGCATCAAGCAGCAATTAGCTTCAGAAATATTTTAAAAAAATCTGCATGTGCACACAAGGTCATTTTGTCAACCTCACATTTTCTGGAGGTAATCATTAGGTTCTGATGAGATAGAAATCACACAATTATACAGCTCACTGTTAATACAAATTATTTGTGCGGTATTTTTATTAACTTTTAATGTGTATTTCTATTTTGTTACGGCCACTGATGAATAATCAAGGACCAAGGCTTGTTCTCACTCTTTAAATCTTGACTTAAAGTTCCCTGATGACATTCACCTTTCCTGGCCGCCTTATATAGAGGTAGCACCTTTCTTCCTGCCTGGCTTGTTTTCTACAGAGCCCTGTGGTAGCCCGAATAATGGCCTGTAAACATATCCAGATCCTAAGCCCTGGAACCTGTGAACATTGCCCCATATGGAAAAAGGGTAGTTGTACATATTGAAGACCTTGCCATGCAGACATAATCCTGCCTGCATTATTTCACTGGGTCCTACATGTAACCACATGTATCTTTATAAGAGGGAGGCCAAGGGAGACTTCACACAGAGGAGGAGCCGTGCGATGGAAGCAGAGTCAGAGAGAGAAGATGCTATGGCTCTGGCTTTGAAGATGCAGGGCTGAAAAAAAATGCAGCTCTAGAAGCTAGGAAGAGCAAAGCAAAGGGCTCTCCCCTAGAGGATCAGGAGGGAGGGCAGCCCTGAGGATGCTTTGACTTTCCCCCATTAATTCGAATTTCAGACTTTTGGCCTCCAGAACTATAAGGGAATAAATACGTATTGCTTTAAGCAACCTGGTTTATGGTAATGTGTTACAGGGGCATAGGAAATGAACATGGTGCCTGCTACAATCTGAATGCTTTGTTTGCTTCCCTGCTTTTATTCTCATCTCCCTCACTAGACTCTAAGCTCCTGGGGGTGAGACCTTGTCTGACTTCTTCACTGCTATCCACAGTTCAGTACTTAGCACAGAGTAAATGTATACTAAGTGATTCAGCCATAAATGACACTCAGGAGAAGGTTGTTTGGAGAAAGTCTGTGAATGCTAAAGGATGAAGAAAGTTTGGCCTCGCATAAAGAAGTGGGGCTGGTGTTACAGATAGGGGCTCTGTTATATGCAAATGTGCAGAGATGAGGATGAAGAAGTCATGTGGAAATGTGGAGACCCAATGAAGAAATGACCAGATAAGCCCTGAGTTCCCTTGAGAAGAATTGAGACTCTTCCTGGAGGGATGACATAAGGCCAGATTGAGGGAACTTTGAAAACCAAGAGGAAAACAATGGATTGGAATGGAAAGGGATGTGTGAGAGCCAGAAGTGGGACTTCAGGCTGGATGGCTCTGGACTTGTGTGCACATAGTTTTCCCAGTGAGCAGAATAAGCGCCAGCAAAGCATCTTCCCATCCCCAAACAGAAAAAAGTTTACTCTTGAGGAATTAATGAAGACTTTTGTAGTTGGAAAATCTACCAAGAAACTCTTAATTTCACATACAATGTATGTTCTGTTTTAAATTTGTCTTGATTTTTGTTGGAATTATATGTAAGTCACCAAAACTGCAACATTTCCAGGACTTTAGGCCTCTGAAGGATTAAGATTGTAAGTCGTTGGGGCAGCAGGATGAGCCAGAAGCCTGATTCATCCCTGGCCGGGGCCTGTGTCCTGATGCTGCCAGGGTGACTCAGTTCTAGGGGAACATATTCAGTCTGCAATGCACAGATCAGCAAATTCATTGGCTCCGCCTCCTTCCATAATGCTGCTCCCATATTCTTACTTTGTATAATTACCTGATGACTTATATCCTTATTAAGAGCTTGCCAAAATGGCAATCAATTAGCAAACACATGCATTAGGATCCTTCTTTGTGGTTTTCTTGTAAAGGATACTCATTTTTCACTAATGTGATGTCCTGCTACTCCTAAAAACTGCTGTCCTATGAAAATGCCAATTCAGCAGGAACCCTGGCTATGGAACAAGAGTGTGCAAATCACACGTGCTTATAAAAATCCATCGCATCCCTTGTAGGAGGCAGATTAATGGCTCCCTGGGGGATGTTGTGCTAGTTTCCTATAGCTGCTATAGCAAATTATCACAAACCCAGTGGCTTAAAACAGAAATTTATTCTCTCATAGACCTAGAATTCAGAAGTCCAAAATCAGCATCACTGGGCCAAAATCAAGGTGTTGGTAGGGCCACGTGCCCTCTGGATGCTCTAAAGGACAATCTATTTCTTGCATCTTCCAGCTTCTGATGGCCACTGGTATCCTTGGCTTGTGGCCACATCACTCTAGTCTCTGTTTCTATGGTCCACTGCCTTCTGCTCATCTATCTGAAATGTCCCTCTTGTGATTGCATTTAGGGCTTGTGATTGCATTTAGGGCTCATCCAGATAACTCAGGCTAGTCTCCCTATCTCGAGACCTCTGCAAAGTCTTTGCCATATAAGGTAGCACAGGTTCCAGGTATTGGGACATGAACATCATTTGTGGGGGGACCACTGTTCAGCCTACCACAGATGTCTATGCATTAAGCACCAAACCTCTGCATATGTAATTAAAGTTATGGACCTTGAAATGAACAGAGTAGTCTGGATTATCCAGATGTGCCCAGTCTCATCACATAAGCCCTTAAAAGAAAAGACGCTTTCCTGACTGTGGTCAGAGAGAGCACAGAGAAAGACACAGGAGGGATGTGAAGGAGGAGAGAGAGTTTATCCACCATTGCTGGCTTTGAAGGTGGAAGGGAGGGTGGAGAAGAGCCCAGGAATGCAGGCAACCTCTAGAAACTGGGAATGGCCCTCAGCTGATAGCAAGGAAATGGGGACCTTGGTATTATAACCAAAAAGAACTGAATTCAGCCAACAACCTAAATGAGCCAGGAAACAGATTCTCCTCTAGGGCCTCCAGACAGGAGCACAGCCATGCTGACATCTTGATTTCAGCCAGATCAGACTTCTGTCAGACTTCTGACCTGTGCAGCTATAAATCTGCATTGGGTCATGATTGGTTTGTAGCAATAGAAAATTAACACACCACTGTAAACAGTGGGTTTAATAAACAGAGGAGGTCTCAGTTTATTAAAGTTTTTGGTATCAAATAACAGACATATAGATATACTCAAAATTAATAAATGTTGATATTCTGGTCTCTGATTAGAGAAAATATCATGATAGATTTTTGGTTTAGTGAATGTCGACCTTTGTGAATGTGTGCCTTAATGTATGCATGTTATGTAGAGAGACACTGGAAAATGCTTTTTTAGCTTAAAAGGCATAGAAAAATTTAAGAAGAGAAGCTTGTGAAACCATCCACATCCCTCTGCTTTATCCCCTACCCCTGGGGGGTATGGATGTATGTGATTATACGTATGTCATTGAACATGGGCAGGGGCATTGAACGTATGTCATTGAACACACACAGAAACACATGCATGAAAAAGCAGCTCAACATATTGATCAAGAAAGTGAGTCCATTACAGGAAAGGGGTCCCAATCCAGACCCTAAGAGAGGATTCTTGGATCTCATGCAAGAAATAATTCAGGGTGAGTCCATAGAGTAAAGTGAAAGCAAGTTTATTAAGAAAGTAGAGGAATCCCAACACTTTGGGAGGCCAAGGTGGGCAGATCACCTGAGGTCGGGAGTTCGAGACCAGCCTGACCAACATGGAGAAACCCCATCTTTACTAAACACACAAAATTAGCCGGGCGTGGTAGTGCATGCCTGGAATCCCAGCTACTCGGGAGGCTGAGGCAGGAGAATTGCTTGAACCCATGAGGCAGAGGTTGCAGTGAGCTGAGATTGAGCCATTGCACTCCAGCCTGGGCAACAAGAGTGAAACACTGTCTAAAAAAAAAAAGAAATTAGAGGAATAAAAAAAAATGACCACTTCACAGACAGAGCAGCCCCTAGGGCTCCTGGTTGCCCATTTTTATGGTTATTTCTTGATGATATGCTAAACAAGGGGTGGATTATTCATGCCTCCCCCTTTTAGACCATATAGGGTAACTTCCTGATGTTGCCATGGCATTTGTAAACTGTCATGGCGCTGGTGGGAGTGTAGTAGTGAGGAATGACCAGAGGTCACTCTTGTTGCCACCTTGGTTTTGGTGGGTTTTGGCCAGCTTCTTTACTGCAAGCTGTTTTATCCACAAGGTCTTTATGACCTGTATCTTGTGCAGACCTCCTGTCTCATCCTGTGAATTAGAATGCCTTAACCATCTGGGAATGCAGCCCAGTAGGACTCAGCCTCATTTTACCCAGCTCCTATTCAAGATGGAGTTGCTCTGGTTCAAACAGCTCTGACAAGTCCACCGCAGAGACAAAGCACAGCGATGTAGCCCAGGAACCTGTGCAGTCAAGCCTCAAGGAGGACCAAGGAGAGTTAACATCTGAGGAGGTTTATTTTAGCCTCTGGGCCTTCTGCTTGACTCTTGCCTTCACTTTTTTTTGTGAATGCGTGGTAAAATATACATAACATAAAATTGACCATTTTAACTATTTTTTTTATTGTATGGTTCAATTAAGTACATTTGCATTGTTGTGCAACCATCACCACCATCCAGCCACAGCACTTTTTCATCTTCCCAAACTGAAACTCCATACCTATCAAACAGTATTCCCATTACCCTTGTCTTCTTTTGCCTTTACTTTTGCACATGAGCTATAGAAAGGGCAGACATATCCCTCTGAGGTGCTAAAACAACACACGAGGAAACTCAAAGTTTGAAATAATTCACTTGAAATCATTTGAGATTTATACATTAAGACATGAGCAGCCGGTTGCCATGGCTTTCACCTGTAATCCCAGTACTTTGGAAGGCTGAGGTGGGAGGATCGCTTGAGGCCAGGAATTCCAGACCAGCCTAAGCAACATAGCAAGACCCTGTCTCTACAAACAATAAGTATTAGTGGTTGAGTGCGGTGGCTCACACCTGTAATCCCAGCACTTTGGGAGGCCGAGGCAGGTGGATCACCTGAGGTCAGGAGTTCAAGACCAGCCTGGCCAACATGGTGAAACTCCACCTCTACTAAAAATACAAAAATTAGCTGGGCTTGGTGGCGCATGCCTGTAATCCCAGCTACTTGGGAGGCTGAGGTAAGAGAATCACTGGAACCCGGGAGGTGGAGGTTGCAGTGAGCTGAGACTGCACCATTGCACTCCAGCCTGGGCAACAAGAGAGAAACTCTGTCTCAAAACATACATACATACATACATAATAGCTCAGTGCGGTGGGATGCCCCTGTAGTGCCAGCGACTCAGGAGGCTGAGGGGGGAGGATCACTTGAGCCCAGGAGGTCAAGGCTGCAGTGACCCATGATTGCACCACCCCACTTCAGCCTGGGTGACAGAGCAAGACCCTGTCTCAAAATAAATAAATAAATAAATAAATAAAGACATGTACTGAGCTCCTTAGAAGAGATATGTTACATATATAATACATAACAAAAGTATCAAAGGCCCATAAAATCTCAAACAATACAGAATTGAATTGAGTGAAGTGAACAATGAAAGTCCCTCCTCTCTCCCCTGCCTGATGCCATTTTAAGAAAGATCCCCTGAAGAGTTTGGTATGTCCCCTCTTCCAGACAAGGACCTTTTGTATTTGTGAATTTGGGCCAGCTTTAAAAATAGAATCCCCAGATAGCTTTCCAGATGAGGTGATTTATGCAATTAGGAAAAACCTCTGTCCAATGTGCCATCTCCCCAAACAATTTTCTCATTATGCCTTTTTATGGCTGAAATCCTATCATTAACAATTCATTTCTTTGGCCTAATGATTTGTCCCTTCTTAAGATGCAAATACCGCTTATAAGACTAACTCTTAAAGCCCTAACCCTCCTGTAAGAATGAGTTTATTAAATGGACTCATTTCTTCTTTCTCCTTTATCTCATCATTTGTTTGTTTCCTTCCTTTTGTCCATCACCAACAGAGACTCTGAGTCCCATTAGGTAAAGGACTACTTGAGCCTTATTCACTGTCCAGTTCCTGGGATGGAGTGACACAGGATATACTCAATTAGTATTTGATTGGCTGCAAGACCTTGAGATAATGGACTCAGACATGAGACCCGAGGGTGCTGAGACAGAATGGAAGGCAGAAGAAATGTGGTGTGAGCATGCGAGGCTGCCACTGGATGGCTTTTCAGCTGCTGTGTACTGCCTAGGCTCAGGGCATCTTTCCTTTCGGTGCCTGCTTCAGTGGGAGTCTGTGCCGGTTGTTAAATGTTTTGAATATCGTCCCTGGCACCACGATTAAACTTTACTGACCTCATAGTTCTCTTCATGATCTACCCTGTGAATCAAAACTTTACAACTGATTTTTTTTTAAGTTTGAGAAGATGGAAAATCAAAGCAAGATAGGAGTGTCTGAGTTTTTTTGTTTTTGTTTTGTGTCCTCAAAGTTGTTTTATTCTCCCTTTTTCTTTTTAACAGCTGTGTAAACATTTAGCCAACAACAACAAAAAAAGCCATGGGAACGGGGTGTGGGGAAAGGATCATATGCAAAGGAATCTGCTGTTTGCAGAAATATTTACAGAACGCCGGCAGCGTTATTCCAGGTGTATACAGCAGATTCACCGGCCCTGTTACCTCCCCAGTGGCATTTAATTCACTTATTCAGAATTAGGAATTGCAGAGACCCCAGAGTAGGAGAAAGGGAAACTGACTCAACAGAGCTCTTATATATGCCTCATGATGAATACCAACAGTTACCACCATTTATGATATATTTCTTTATTTATTTGACGGCTTATGTAATGCCTGTCCTCTCTGCCAGCCTAAAAGCTCCATCTGAGGGAAAGCTTGTCTACTTCTGCTTGTCACAAAGTGCCTAGCTCCCAGCACAGTGTCTGGCACATAGCATGTGCTTAACAAATATTTATAGCATGAAAGAATACATATTATCTCATTTAGTTGGAATAGGCTGTTCTAATGGTACAAATGAATTTTTTAAAAAATTCTCTGCTTGGCCAGGCACAGTGGATCACACCTGCACTTTGGGAGACTGAGGTAGGAGGATTGCTGGAGGCCAGGAGTTCGAGACCAGCCTGGGCAATGTAGCAACAGCTTCACTCTACAAAAGAAAAAAAAGAAAAAAAAATTATCCTGGTGTGGTGGCACACACCTGTAGTTCCAGCTAAAGGAGGCTGAGGCAGGAGGATCCCTTGACCCCAAGAGTTTGAGGCTGCAGCATGCCGTGATCACGACACTGCACTCCAGCCTGGGTGACAGAGCTAGGCCCTCTCTCTTGGAAAAAAAAAAATTCTGCTTATTAGCTTGAAATTGGACTGCTAATTTATATTTTTAGTAGCTTTCTATCAAAGCTTTTAGCCTTTTTCATACTTTTTAATAAAATGAAATTTATTTTCATAGGTGATTTAGCTTTCTTCATGAATGGGATCAACTGTATATAATTAGTGACTATCATAATAGAAGCAGTAGGAAAAGTTTGACCCTTACTATTCCCTTTATGAGAAAGTAGTAAAAAATTAAACTGAAGTGGTCTATTTTTTATTTGTGATATCATCATCATCATCATCTTTAACTGAGCTGTCCCTTTTGCAATTTAATGAAAATGGATCTTTGTAGCCACTGAGACTGAAATGCTTGCATATCAAGGAAATCACCTTCTTTATCCTAAATCACACTCTTTGCACACAGTGAGGAAAAGAGGAGAACTGAGTTTTTATGGAACAGGATTGCATAGGACACCCAGGGGAACAAGTCTCTAAAGGACTCAGAAATTTGTTGGGGTGAGGTTAGTATGAGGCTAAAAGAAGAGATGCCAGAATAGGTGCAAAAGAAGCATTTACTGAGCCATAAAAAAGGGCAGTTGTTGATACCAGCTGCAGTACATCTACTACCCATAGCATTGTCATGGATAACGTGTTTTCTGTCCAAAACCTCATACTCCTCACATTTTGAGGTATAAAACCAGAGTTTTATGCCAGACATTCCTTCCTGGCAGAAAGCAAGGAGGTCCCGGGTCGCTATGCATCTCTGACAAATCTATCTAGAATAGCATGTACACCTTTGACCCTTAGATCTTAACATGGATAGAGGAAAAAGGTGACTATAATGAAAAAGTCACCAATTTTCAAAGGGTCAAAAGGCAGGATGAAGTAGGCTAAATCTCACAGAGCTTGGTAAATGAGGAACACATAAGAAGATGCTGAAGGAAGAAGTAAATTGTTAGATGTGAAATATGAAAAGACAAAAAGCATGTTCTTGAGGAGGAGTTTGGTGTGGCTAATTTTCAGAACTTGCTGATGATCCAAGGACAGAGGAAAATCTAGGAGGGAAGCATCTGAGAATCCACGATGCTGACTTTTAGGCTGGTTAGGGTATATGTTTTGTGTGGTACCTACTTCTGCAGATGCTCTCTCTTGGAAATGTTAATGCCTTGCAGGTATTTCATTCCAGAGAATGAAAGTGATATGTGTTAGGTTGAAGCCTATAATGAGGCAGGGCACAGTGTTTCACGTTGGTAATTCCAGCACTTTGGGAGGCCGAGGCCGGCGGATCACGAGGTCAGGAGTTCAAGACCAGCCTGGCCAACATGGTGAAACCCCGTCTCTACTAAAAATACAAAAATTAGCCAGGCACGGTGGTGCATGCCTATAATACCAGCTACTCGGGAGCCTGAGGCAGGAGAATTGCTTGAACCGGGACCCAGGAGGTGGAGGTTGCAGTGAGCCGAGATCGCGCCACTGCACTCCAGCCTAGACTACAGAGCGACTCTGTCTCAAAAAAAAAAAAAAAGAAAAGAAAAGAAAACAAAAGAAAGAAACCTATAATGAACACAGGAGAAGCAAAGATGAGACTTGTGTAAGGATATGCTGATAAGATAGCGGATGTCTTTTCATATGTGATGGGCCCTGCAAGACCAGCAGGGAGTGTGGGGATTCCAGAAAGCATTAATCATTATGGCCTGCACTTTTACAACACACATTCTTGCAAGTACTCTATATAATGTTTCCTGTGCTTCCTACTTTGCATCTGTTACTCATTTGATTGTCACAATAATCCTATGAAATAGATACTGTTATCTGCTTAAATCAGGCTGATACTAGGTACTGGCAGGAAATTGAAAGACAGAAGAAAGAAGCCTCATGATTCTTTAACTCCAGCAAGGAGCATGTTGGCCACCTATGTATCATTCATGGCAAAAGGGAATTTTGAGGGGGAAAAGTAAAGTGAGAGAGAGGAACAAAGCATGTCGCCCCACATTTTCACAGCTACTTTTCTATTTGGAAATCACACTTATATCATTTCCTATTTGATAACTACAAAGAATTTGCCAGCTGCCATAAAGACAGCTGCATGAAGCAGATTCTTTGCAGTGTAGGATGAGCCTGTCCATAGGAATGTGAACTTGGATATTGACTGAGGCTAATGGGGTGGAGGTGGAAGACTCTGATGTGTTGGAATTGTTAGAGGAGGGTGAATGTGCAAGATAAGATGGAGCTGGAAAATGGAATTTTCTGGTTGGATATATTATCACTTCTAATAATTTTGGAGTTATTTTAGGAAATAGAAGGAAAGAGTAAATTCTGGGTAGTACAATGGACTGAATGTGTCTGCATGACAATTTATATATTGAAATGCTAATCCCAATGTGGTGATATTTGGAAGCAGGGCCTCAGGGGGCATAAGGGTAATTATGTCATGAGGGCGGGTCATTAGGTTATGAGGGGTCATTAGGTCCTGACAGGAACTATCCCATCATGAATGCCCCTCTCTTAGAAGAGGCAAGAGAGCTAGCTAGCTCCTTCCACCATATGAGGATACAATGAGAATATAGCCATCTACAAACCAGGAAGGGGGCCCTCACCAGACAGCAGGTCTCCCAGTCCCTTGATTTTGTACTTACCAGACTCCAGAACTGTGAGAAATAATGTTGTTGTTTAAGCAACTCAGTCTATGGTAATTTGTTATAGCAGCCAGGATTGACTAAGATGGATGGGCAATTGGCAATTCCCATAGCAGTACAAGTGGATACAACAAAAATCATGACAGTGGTACATTAGTGACTTAGAGTTTGGAAAAATTACTGTGAGTGAAATCAAATGTTCATAAATATAACATTAGAAAGAAATGAGGAGGAGGAAATCCCTGAGCAGAGCTTATCATAGCTTGGAGGTTTACTTTGGCAGATGGACCTTTATTCAGGTCAACCGATCTCAGCGAGCATTTATGATAGTATTGTAGACACTGGCTAAATGGTTAAGTAATAAAGGGCTATAATCCAGTATCAGAATGAGTTACATGGGTCAGTGATTCCCAAAGCAGGCTGCACATCAGAGTCCTCAAAAGAGGGTGTATAAATACAGATGTGTAGTCTCAATTCCTGGATACCAGGATTCAGTGAATCAGGGATTCAAGAATCTATTTATAGCAAATACCCAGTGATACAAGGCACGGAATCCAAGGAGACTGGTCACTGGTAGAAAATGAGTGGTATATACATTATGATGGTAGTGATGGTAATCGATGCTTATGACAGATATGCTCAAACAATAGTATGCAGAAGACTTACCCAGGCCCCTCCCTATAGATCTAGATTTCTGGGAGACACCCACAGCACTTTTGAATAATTGGATCCTAGGAGGAGCAGGCTTCTGAATTTGTAACTGGCAGCGCCACTCATTCTGAAGCAGATAATCTACCAATGAAATTTTGAGAAATACCCTTGAAATACATTACCTAATTCCATCCTCCTAACAGTCTCAGAGAAGAAGTAATATCCCCATTTTACAGATGTGGAAACAGCAGCATGGAGAAGATAAGTAACTTCTTCAAGATCACAGTGAAAATAACTAAGCTGAGTTGCAAACTAGAAGTGTCAGATAAGATTTATGTCCTTACTACTAGACTCCCTCCTTGCTGCCAGGAAGTCAGAGGAAAAAAAAAAAATGGCTATTCCCAGTTGGGGCAGGTTTTACGAAGGAGTTTAAAGCAGGATAAGTGGGCTTCAGAATTTGTTTCTCACTTGGTCCTTGGAACACAGTTTTACAATTTCTCTAAAATCAATTCTTGTTTTTTTTTTTTTGTTTGGTTGGTTAGTCATAAAGCTTTGGTAGATCGCACTGAAAGCAAGCATGTTGATGTTTTGTTCATATGGTAAATGGTATTATGGTGTCTGACATTACTGAATAGCCATAATGCCAGGCCGTGAGTTTAGGAAATGTTGGTGTGATGTTGAGGCCAGACACTCCCTACATTTTAACATTTTCTTCCTTCAAAGAACTTCTGGCTTTCTTTTTTGATGGAACAATAAAATGAGAAAGTAGACAAGGAAGCCCACAAACACACCCCACCTTTTATCCTTTGGAAACAAAACACAGGATGTTGAAGCATACATTTTTTTTTCCCAAAGAGCCTGCTGTTTTTGGATTTAGCAATAATGTTATCTCCCTTTCAAAAGATAGCTTTTTTAAAAAAATTGTCAATTTCTGCATATCAGCATCCCTTTAAAGGGCATCTTTCCTGAAAGTTAAGGAAGTAAAGTCTGTAAGTCAAAGATAACTTGTTTACCAAATAGAGACTTTAACTGAAATGGCCCTTTGGAGTTAATGAAAGTAAAATAGCTTCCCCCACCACATCGAGAGGAGGCTAATTTAATTATCTGTGAGCTCACAGATTAGAAGCAGCCTTTCATCCATTTCTGGAAGCTGAGTATGGACCGCTCACACCTAATGAAGGGAAATGGGAATTGGAGCCATGGGTGAGCGAAGAAGGTCCGTGAGAGAGCACATAGATCTCAGGCCTCTGAGCTCTTCAAACAATGATGCTTAAACGGTTTACAGCATTCACTGGGGGAGCCTAAGGCACAGTTGACTAGGTGTGACTTTAGTTGCTCAGAGTTCAGCAAGAATCTGTTGAACACCACTGTACTCCAGTCATTCCACAGGGTCTAAGGATATATAAAGTATGGAACCATGATACACAAAGGACAGGCATCCCACACAAGGTGAGAATTTCCAGAGGCTGATTTTTCAAAACTAGAAGGAATTAGTAAAGGAGTGGGGAATGGGTAGTGGGTTGGGGCCAGAGGATTATTGTGGAGATCTTTATAATTTGTAAGAACTGTGCCTCAATAACTTTGAAAGGTGCTGAACTCTTAAAGCTGCCACATACAAATTTCCTCCCATAAAACATTAGTTTTCTTTTTTGTTGTTGTTGGGTTTTTTTGTTTGTTTGTCTGTTTTGTTTTGTTTTGTTTTTGAGACAGAGTCTCGCTCCGTTGCCCAGGCTGGAGTGCAGTGGTGCGATCTCGGCTCACCGCAACCTCCACCTCCTGGATTCAAGCGATTCTCCTGCCTCAACCTCCCAAGTAGCTGAAATTACAGGCACGCGCTACCACGCCCGGCTAATTTTTGTATTTTTAGTAGAGACAGGGTTTCACCATGTTGGCCAGGCTGGTCTTGAGCTCCTGGCCTCAGGTGATCCACCCGCCTCGGCCTCCCAAAGTGCTGGGATTATAGGTGTGAGCCACCATACTCAGCCATTTAGGGATTCTTAAAACTTACCTAGAGGAAAATAAAAAACAATAATGAACCTCCAGTTTCAACAATTGTCACTATTTTATCTACCTTCTTTCCCCCATTTGCCCATTTTTAGAAGAGACAAGGGAGGGATTTTAAAGCAAATTCCATATTTCCTGTCATTTCGCTCCATACGTTATTTTTCAACTTAAACTCGTTGCCAACTGAGGTAGGCAGAATAATGTTCCCCACAAGGATGTCCACATCCTAACCCCCAGAACCTGTGATGTGTTGACTTACCTGGGAAAGGGAACTCTGCAGATGCGATGAAGTTTAGGATCTTGAGATGGAGAGAGGATCCCGGATCATCCAGATGGGCCCAGTGTCATCACAAGTGTCCTTATAAGAGGGAGGCAGGAGGGTCAGAAGCAAGGGAAGGTGACGTGGTGACAGAAACAGCAGGAGAAAAGGTAACATGATGCAGAGCCAAGAGCCAAGGAATGTGGGGGACCCGGAAGCAGGAAAAGGCAAGGAAGAGGGTTCTCCCCAGGGCCTGCAGAAAGAACCAGACCTGCCAACACCAAAATTTCAGGACGTCTGACTTCCAGCACTATAGGATAGCAAATACCACCAAGTTTGTGGAAACTTCTTGCAGCACCAATAGGAAACGAATACACTAGCTTTTAAATATAGGGAAAGTTTACATAAAAACATTCGGATTCCTGGCTTCTCTTGAAACACTGGAAGATTTGGCGATGCCATGCCCACAATCATTCTTGGTAATAATTGGCTAATTCCTGAAAAGAGTTTATCTCATAAGTGAAATGGAGGTGATTTCTCTTTGTATACCTGGTCCTCTGTAATAATATGAATTTATGACTCCTTTTCTAGAAGGTTCTGTGGTTAATGTAGCTAGTGTAACACTGCTGAAGGGATGTGTTTTGTGTCCAGTGTTTTCTATCCCATGAGCTGGAAAGGTCAAGAGCCACTTAACTTCCTAGACTACAAATATCTCGAAAAGTTTGGGAGTTGCAAATGCTGTTTCACAGCCTAACTTTGGTAGTTATTCCAATGCTGTTTCATAACCCACTGTATTCATGTTATATGTTGTTAAACATATGACATGTTTGATTTTAAACTGCACAGCATATTACATTGGCTTCACTGTTTTAGAAACTTGCAAACATCTGCCCTGGGGTGAGCAAAAAACACCAGCAAAAAAAACAGGATTTGCTAAAGTAACAGAATCATGCAAACTGAATTGATAGAATGATGGAAATGTTTCACCTCCTTTAGAGAACAGACTATGTTTCATTTACTAGCCCTTCAATTGTGCAATAAAGAGTAAACATAAGGGACCAATTTTGCCCCAGCTACTTGTTATAAATAGAAAGGTCTCTTACTGGAACAACATATTAACGGTTATGACTCATTTCCACCTTAGTCTTGAATTACTTTAAGCAGATGTGAGGCTTAGGGAATAAAGAGTTTTGATTATTAAGAGGGAAATTTAGATATTTGGATCAAAATATTGACATCTGGCCTGAGTGAAGCCTCACATGCCAGGAGGCAGGAAAGAACGACAGAAAGAAGAGCTCCAAAGAGAAGCATGGCCTGCTGCACAGTTGCACTGAGCTGGGCCTGTGCACTCCAGCTGAGAGGAGACAGTCCAGCTGAGCTCCACACATGAGCCACATGAGTGGCTTTATGATTCTAACTGCCTATGCTTAGCCAGGATATAACCTCTCAGAACCACAGTTTCTTCTTCTGTAAATGGGGATAATAATAAATACCTTAAAGTGTTGCTGAAAGGATTAAGAGTGGTGAACTACAGCATAGGGCTCGAATGCCCTTGTTAGGGCTGCCATAACAAAGTACCATAAACTGGGTGGCTTACACTACAGAAATGTATAGTCTCACAGTTCTGGAGGCTAGAATTAGGAGATTAAGGTGTCAGCTGGATTGGTTCCTTCTGACGACATAAGGAAGAATATGTTCCATGCCTGTCTCCTAGTTTCAGGTCACCACCAGATTGCTGGCAATCTCTGGCATTCCTTGGCATGGAAACGTATCACCCTGGTCTCTTCCTTCATGCTCACGTGGCCTCCTCCCTGTGTACACGTCTGCGTACACCTTTCCCCTTTTATTAGCACACCAGTCAAGGTGGATTAGGGGTCCAACCTATTCCAATATGACCTCATCCCAACTTAACTGATTACATCTGCGACGACCCTATTTCCAGATCAGGTCACATTCTGAGGTACTGGGGTCAGGACTTCAACATATGAATTTGGGGGAACACAGTTTAACCCACAATAAGGCTCATCAGAGTAGACTGTCATACATGTTCACTCCCTCAGCCCTTTCCTCCCTTGATAGAGAGAATTCTTTCCCTGTCACGTAGATTTTTAAACCACCAGCTTTAAATGACTCAAAATCAAATATATTACATTTTCCCTAAACTTTTTTCTCTTAACTGCTCCTTCTAAATTACTACACTTTTTTTTTTTTTTTTTTTTTTTGAGATGGAGTTTCGCTCTGTCACCCAAGCTGGAGTACAGTGGTGCGATCTCAGCTCACTGCAACCTCTGCCTCCTGGGTTCGAGCAACTCTGCCTCAGCCTCCCAAGTAGTTGGGACTACAGGCACCCACCACCAGGCCCAACTAATTTTTGTATTTTTAGTAGAGACAGGGTTTCACAGTGTTGGCCAGGCTGGTCTCGAACTCCTGACCTCAGGTGATCTGCCCGCCTCGGCCTCCCAAAGTGCTGGGATTACAGGCATGAGCCACCGTGCGTGCCCTAATTTTTGTATTTTCGGTAGAGATAGCGTTTTGTCATGTTGGCCAGGCTGGTCTTGACCTCAAGTGATCCACCTACCTCGGTCTCCCAAGGTGTTGGGCTTACAAGCGTGAGCCACCACGCCAGACCTGCTGAGTGTTTTTAAAATCAGAAAGAGATGTTGGGTTTTGTCCTTACTTTTTAAAGTATTTTAAGTATTGATTGATTTTTAATTTGTTATTAGATAGCTACAGTAATGCTTTTTTGGATTAATCCCTGCTTAGTCATGATGTATTACCATTTAAATATAATTTCAGACTCAATTTGCTAAAATTTTGTTTAGAAAGTTTGGATCTATGTTCATGAGGCGTACTGGTTTATAGTTTTCTATTTTTGTAATATATTTGTCTTATTTTGGATCAGCGTAAGTCTAGTCTATAGAATGGGTTGGAAGTATCCCTACTCTTCCATTTTCTGAAAGAATTATATATAATTGGTATTATTTCTTAACTATTTGATAGAATTCCTCAGTGAAGTCATCTGGCCCTTCAGTATTTTGGGGAGAAACATTTTAAACTACCGATTCAGTTTCTTTAAGAGAGATAGTACTGTTCCAGTTTTGTGTGTGTGTGTGTGTGTGTGTGTGTGTGTGTGTGTGTGTGTGTGTTTTGAGACGGAGTTTCCCTCTTTCACCCAGGCTGGAGTGAAGTGTCTCGATTTTGGCTCACTGCAACCTCCACCCCCTGGGTTCAAGCAATTCTCCTGCTTCACCCTCCTGAGTAGGAGTAGCTGGGATTATAGGCACCCACCACCACGCCTGGCTAATTTTTGTATTTTTAGTTAAAGATGGGGTTTCACCATGTTGGCCAGGCTGGTGTTGACCTCCTGACCTCAGGTGATCCCCCCGACCTTGGCCTCCCCACAAAATGCTAGGATTACAGGCGTGAGCAACCATCCCCAGCTGTTCCAGTATTTCTTCTTGAATATGCTTTAGTAGTTTGTCTTTCAATGAATTTGTCAATTCTTCATACATCCCATTATCGTACATTTAATGCTATATTTATTAATATTATTATTTATAAAGAGGATCTCACTATGTTTCCCAGGCTGTTCTGAAACACCTGGCCTTAAGCAATTCTCCCACTTCAGCCTACGAAATCGCTGGGATTATAGATGAGAGAACCACACCCAGTCTTATATTTAATATCTGCAGACTATGTAGTGATGTCCCCTGTTTCATTTTTTTTAATTTTACTTTAAATTCTGGGATACATGTGCAGAACATGCTATGAACAGGTTTGTTACACAGGTATACATGTGCCATGGTGGTTTGCTGCACCTATCAACCCATTATCTAGGTTTTAAGCCCCGCATGCATTAGGTATTTGTCCTAATGCTCTCCCTCCCCTTGTCCCCCATCCCCCGACAGGCCCCAGTGTGTGATATTCCCCTCCCTGTGTCCATGTGTTCTCATTGTTCAACTCCCACTTACGAGTGAGAACATGCAGTGTTTGGTTTTCTGTTCCTGTGTTAGTTTGCTGAGAATGATGGTTTCCAGCTTCATCCATGTCCCTGCAAAGGACATGAACTCATTTCATTTCTGATATTCATAATTTGTGTCTTCTCTCTCATTTTCATGGTCAGTCTGGGTGGCTAGAGGTTTATTGATCATGATCTCAAAAAAACAGATTTTGGTTTTGTTGAACTTTCTGATGCTTTCATGTTTCCATTTTCATTGATTTCTGCACTGGTCTTTATTATTTCCTATTTTCTGCTTATTTTGATTTTAAATTTTTTTTTCTATTTCTAGTTTGTTAAGGTGAAAGCTGAGACCATTGACTTGAATCCTTTCTTCTTTTCTAATATTGGCATTAATTGCCCATTTCTTCTTAGTCCTGCTGTAGCAACATCTTGAGGATTTTGATATGTTGTGTTTTTATTTTCCATAGATCTCCATTATTGATTTCTAATTTAATTCCATTTTGGTCAAAGAACATACATTGTTTAACTTGAATACATTTAAACTTATCGAAACTAGATTTAATGCCCAGAGTACTGTCTATCTTGTTAATTCTATGTGTACTTGACATGAATGGGTGTTCTGCTATGGTTTTTTTGTTTTGTTTGTTTTTTATTTTTGTTTTTTGAGATGGAGTTTCACTCTTGTTGCCCAGGCTGGAGTGCAATGGCATGGTCTTGACTCACTGCAACTTCCACCTCCCGGGTTCAAGCAATTCTCCTGCCTCAACCTCCCAAATAGCTGGGATTACAGGCATGTGCCACCATGCCTGGCTAATTTTATATTTTTACTAGAGATTTCATCTTGTTGGCCAGGCTGGCAAAGGTTGCAGTGAGCCAAGGTGGCACCACTGCATTCCAGCCTGGAAGACAGAGCAAGACACTGTCTAAAAAAATAAATAAGTAAAAATAAAATTAAAATTAAAATGACACGCTCTTTAGTGTCCCATGATCAGACCATATTTTTCTTGCCATCCTTTTCACCTCACTTTATTTTTCATCATTATCTTAACATCCATCCACATGATACATCACTCATTCTGCTCTTCTCCTTTTTTTTGAGACAGAGTCTCACTCTGTTGCCGAGGCTGGAGTGCAATGGTGCAATCTCGGCTCACTGCAACCTCCGCCTCCCAGGTTCAAGCGATTCTCATGCCTCAGCCTCCCGAGTAGCTGGGACTACAGGTGTGCACCACCATGCCCCGCTAATTTTTGTATTTTTAGTAGAGACGAGTTTTCACCATGTTGGCCAGGCTGGTCTCAAACTCCTGGCCACAGGGGATCTGCCCACCTCGGCCTCCCAAAATGCTGGGATTACAGGCCTGAGCCACCGTGCCTGGCCTCTGCTCCCCTCTTGACACCAATCTTGAATTCAGCAGGTGATCCTGGTACTAGACAGCTTGTGAGAAGAGAGAAGTTAGTCCTAGAAAGCTGAGGCTCCCATAGAGCACTTTTCTTCTTTTTCTGGCCTTTTTTCTCATTCTCCTTTGCCTTTTCTTCCTTTTCATTCTCCTTTGCATTCAGCTCTAGATGTCCTAGATGTCTTTTTCTTTCTCTTTTTTTTTTTTTTTTTTTGAGACAGGGTCTCACTCTGTTGCCCAGGCTGGAGTGTTGTGGTGCAATCTCAGCTCACTGTGACCTCCACCTCCTGGATTAAAATGAGTCTCAGGCCTCAGCCTCTCAAGTAGCTGGGGTTACAGACGTGAGCCAGCATGCCAACCAGCTCTAGACGTCTTGTCTGACTCCTGATTCCTGGGTCCTGGGGATTGTTCAGGGCAAGCTAGAAGAGAGCTGGAGATTTGAGTGGCCTTGCTTAGCCCTGTCCCTATGTGCCTGTGGCCACATTTAAATGCTGTTTCTCTTCTTTATCAGCCTCCCTGAGAGTTGATGCAGGGATTAATTATCTAATGTTTGTAAAGCATTTAGAAGTTGATCAATGCTAATTATTATTATTACACCGATAGCTTGTCCTTTGTGCTAAACACCTAGCAACCTGAGGCGAAACAGACTTCAATTAAAAAGTTGTCGAGATAAACACGATCTGCAATACAAAAGCCATGATGGCCCTTCTTCCTTCGTGAACGTTTTCACTTTGTGTTCTCTGTCCCTTACATCTAGACCTTCCTTCCTGCTCATGGGAGCTGGGGGAAACAGTGTCTTGAGGTGAGCAACTGGGGCAGTTTACCATTTTGAGTACCCATCATGTAGGAAGTTTTATATACATTGTCTCATTTGATCCTCAAAGACACGTGCATGGGAGGCCATCCTCAGCATGTGACACATCAGTGAACAAGTGCTTAGAGCACTTAAGTAAGCTGTTCACGTCCCTCAGCTGGGAAGTGGCAAAGCCAGATTTTGAAGACATGCTGTTCGGCTCTAAAGACTGTGAGCTCTTCCTGCCATGCGTGCTCAAGTAGAAGGTGGAAAGTAAATATGTTAGGAAGAGTGAGTTGGTATGAAGCGAGAAAAAGAGACCCCCGTATTGCTTTTTGCCTCAGGAAAAGAGTGCACTGAACAAAGAGCTGTAAAGCAAGAATCCCAGTAGCTGAAGCAGTTCCAGCCTAGTAGCAGATAACTTTAAACTTTAACAGATGATTGGATTTTGAAGTTGAGGAGGTGCTAGCAATAATTTAGTCCCACCCCATCATTTGGCAGAGGAGGAAATTTTGACCCAGCAAAGGCAAGTAATTCTTGCCCAAGCTCACTCAGATCTTTAATCTGATGTGCACTCTCCTTAATAGTAAAAAATAGCTATGATTTTTAAGGATTGCCTGTTTACTGTCTGTAAGACAGCTTTGTAAATCCTATATGTGCACGAATTCATTTAATCCTTACAATTCTGCCTAAGTGACAACAGTATCATTCTTTTCTTTGGAAGAACCCACAAAAAAGGCACTGAAAGTTCTGGTAAAACTGTCCCTTTGGAAATCATGTGAAGATTCTAGGTTTTTTGTTTGTTTGTTTGTTTGTTTTCTTTTCTTTTTTGACACAGAGTCTCACTCTGTCACGCAGGCTGGAGTGCAGTGGTGCAATCTTGACTCACTGCAACTCCATCACCTGGGCTCAAGCAATTGTTGCACCTCAGCCTTCCGAGTAGCTGGGGGCTACAGGGCATGCACCACCATGCCCAGCTAATTTTTGTATTTCTAGTAGAGACAGAGTTTCCACCATGTTGGCCAGGCTGGTCTTGAATTCCCAGCCTTAAGTGATCCACCCACCTTGGTCTCCCAAAGCACTGGGAGTATAGGCATGAGCCACTGTGCCCTGCCAGATTCTAGATATTTTAGAAGAGACAAGATCAGTTTTCAAACTATATTCCAAAGATTAGTAGCAACCCCACTTAGAGGCATGGGTGGTGCTAGGATGAAGACATAAAGTCTCAGAGGGGCCAAGATCCCCACTGGGAGGCAACCCCGTATAAAGTCTCTTTCAATTGTTTGTTTGCTCTTTGTTTGTTTGTTTGTTTGTTTGTTTGTTTGTTTGTTTTGAGACAGAGTCTCGCTCTGTTGCCCAGGCTGGAGTGCAATGGCGCGATCTTGGCTCACTGCAACCTCTGCCTCCCGGGTTCAAGTGATTCTCCTGGCTCAGCTTCCTGAGTAGCTAGGATTACAGGCACCCGCCACCACACCTGGCTAATTTTTGTATTTTTAGTAGAGACGGCATTTCACCATGCTGGCCAGCCTGGTCTCAAACTCCCAACCTCAGGTGATCTGCCCACCTCGGCCTCCCAAAGTGCTGGGATTATAGGCCTGAGCTACCTCGCCCGTCCAATTCTTTTACATATTGTTCTAGGACTTGTGACTTAATCTGAACAGAGAGATCATTGAATTTAAAGAGTTTGGAAGCCACTGACCCAGATGATTTGGGAGACCTGTCTCAGATTAAGGACACTTCCATAATTGTTACCAATTACTTCTTACCACCAGCTCTGAAATTCTTGCCATTTTGTAAACCTTTCCTCTCATGCTCTGTGGAAGTGATTACAGGGACACAACTCAGCTCACCAAAGTTGTGCTTCAGAATAATTTCAGAATTGAATGTTTTATTCCCCTGTTGCCTTTCTTCACCTTCTTCATTAGAAATCTGATCAGTTCTTGAGAAACTGACTGCAGCACTCAAGGCAGGAAGCCAGGCAGAGATGGAAATCACATCTGTTTCAGGAGTCATGTGTTAACAAAATGCAGACACATCTCCAAAACTGTCGTATTCATATCAGAATACCTTTGGGTGCCAGGAAAGCTGGATTTGTAATGCACGTTGTCACTAGAACAATAGCACCAATATTTGAGCCTGACAAAAACTGGTCTTCAAAGGCTTGAAATAATGAAGCGTATGTAGCACAAGGTATGGCTTTTAAAACCCTGTTGTTCCCGAGGCAGGCAGATCATGAGGTCAGGAGATCGAGACCATCCTGGCTAACACAGTGAAATCCCATCTCTACTAAAAATACAAAAAAAAAAAAATTAGCCGGGCGTGATGGCGGGCGCCTGTAGTCCCAGCTACTTGGGAGGCTGAGGCAGGAGAATGGCGTGAACCCCAGGAGGCGGAGCTTGCAGTGAACCGAGATCGCACCACTGCACTCCAGCCTGGGCGACAAAGCAAGACTCTATCTCAAAAACAAAACAAACAAATCCCTGTTCTTCCACATGATTTTTCCCCCCTTTGGAAAGTTGTTTGTCCCCATAGGCAGCCTTCTACCTCTAAGCATTTACATTAGTATTAAAATAACAGCTCTGCATACAGGAATAGTGGAATGTGCCCACTCCAAGTATTCTCACAGCAGAGTTTACCATATCCACACAGCGCTCTTCAATAGACTGCAAAATGTTTTAGGGCTTTGGGACTATTTAAACCTACATATACCACTTGACACATGGGTGAGTTTGTGATTCCACCAGTAGAGAAGTCTGCATTATACTGTTGGTATTTACTGTTGAGTCTTATTTTCAAACTTAATATTGTTTTTGAAGAATGATGCTTAGTTGCTGTCACATTTAAATGACTGATTCTGGTCAAAGTTAATGGATTGCATCTGACTAGGTAAGTAAGCTAGTCACTTTGGGAGGATCATTTGTAGCTTCTCCAGTCCTATTTAATGAGCTGGAAAAGTAATTTACTAAATTTAATGTAGAAGTTGGAAAAAATTTATTCTGAACCCCCTTCCCCCTACCCCAAACACTTTATGCCTTGAGACCATACTTTATTCACCTTGCAGAGTCTGGTACATTGCCTTCTCTAACAATTCATTTTGATCTATTGAAGATGCTGTTGTTCTGTTGGAAAAAGTCCTTTTACAAAAGCAACAAGCTAAAGCTAGCTTTTAAAATATGCATAAAATACACAAAATGAGGAATATGTCAACAGTCATTCATGTTCCAGCATAAATAGCTTTACAGCAGCGGAGTCGGGGAGGGCACTTCTTCAGAAGCACAGTTTTTGTTTGGAATTGCTGGAAGGGAGGCATTAAAATATAAAGGTGATCATCAAGCAATGAGTTCTTCCTGGGAGAACTTTGGAAAGGATGGGAAGAAAAGGTATTGAAATTGTTAGCACCAAGCTTATTTTTGGCTTGTCTTATAATTTTTCCCAAGGAAAGTCATTGCCTTGTCATAGTGATGCCATTTCCAAAGGACACCATTTTTGACATGTTCAAAAATTGGTGTCTGACACAATTTCCCCATCCTGTGTTTTACTGAGGGCGTTACCATCTGCCAGCTACCATGCCAAACACATTACACACACTGTCTCAATCCCCACTATAGCATGATGAGGTAAGTGCTACTTTACTTAACAGGTACTTACATGATGCTTATTCTGCACTGTATTAAGCATTTCTACAAATTTTAGCTCATTTAATCTTCACAACCACCCTCTGCTATAGGTACTATTATTTCTCATTTTACAGATCCAGAAACTGAGATACAAAGAAATTAGTTGACTTGCCCAAGACCCCCACAGCTAGTAAACTGGGTAACACAAATTTGTGTTCAGGCCTGCTAGCTCCCGAGTCAGCACTCAAAACCACTGTTGTATATGATATTATCCTTATCAGTAAGGAAATAGAAGCACAGAGAATATCTTGACCAGAGTCACACAGGCAATAAATAACAGACTCAGATTTAGGCAGCCTACATGTAGGACCTACAGAACTCAAGTCGTACATCATTCTGTAAATCTTCTCTACTTTGATCACTCATTCCTCATACTAGGGTGTTAGCCTAAAGCAAGAGCTACACACATGCTTCTATCTCTATACGGATTCCACTGTGTCACTTAAGATAAAGTAATAATAAGACTAGAAAGGGAAGAAATTAGCTTTATCACTTATTTAGCTTACTGTCTAATTTTCTTTGATTCTGAATAGATTTTTGAGTTGTGACTTATTATGACAACATTAAATCTTTGATAGTTGTCAGTGTCAAAAGCAATCTTAACCTCATCTGGAGCAGTGTTTCTTTAATGAGCCAAGGGATTACCTGAAGATTTTGTTAAAATGCGGACTCTGATTCAACAGATCTGGATGGGCCTGAGACTCTAGCAAGCTCCCAAATGATGCTGATGCTACTGGAACATAGTCCATATTTTGAGTAGCAAGAATTGAGCATTCACTGAGTTTTTAAACCGAGCTTAAAGATGTATCCTAGGGCCCATCAAATGGGAAGGAGAGCATTTTTATAGACAGAGGAACATATAGGAAGTTTGGGAAGGGCAAACACCAGGCCAAGGGGATGGCTCATGAGATAAGAGCTGAGCTACACAGATTCTCCAGATTAGAAGGGTTTTCAGAGATCATCTGGTCCAATCATTACTGATGACTATCACAATCCTTTCACATTCCTGTCAGGTCATCTCAACCCTTGAGTTAATAAATTATGGGTGGTGAATGGAACTGGACATTCAACAGAACCAGAGAAGTTTCAAGATGATGCCTGAATCACAGAACCAATCTAAGAGCAAAAGACTAGGGAAAGAGGCTGTGATATCTCACTCTGTCTGGGTAGACATTTGCCACCATAGTACATTTTTCAGAGCCTTTAGATATTTATTCAAAAACTTTTTAGACCTTACCATTTCATAATAAAAAAAAATGCTACTGTACCAGTGAATCAGCTGGAAGTACTTATTCCCCCAGGCATTTGCCTCCCACTATAAAATAAAGATTCAGTGCTGACTGGCAGGTGAGAAACAGTGACAGATGTGTGGCAGCTGGGCTGCTTCTTGGCTGTCCTGACTATACATTTCAGGGCCCTTGAGACAACAGATATTTTCAAGGATCAGGAAGCATGGGATAAAGACAAGGTTCTTTCCATTTTGATTTTGCAACCAAACCAAAAGACACTCAATGTATTGCTGAGTCCTCTGATTAGGGGGATGCCAACTTCTCATAATCATCCTTTCCTCAGGCTGTCATTTGACAGTTCTCTGCTTTCTTTTTCAGGTGCCAGGGGAGAGCAAGAAACAGTGGAAACCAGCCCTGGTTGTGCTGACTGAGAAAGACCTTTTAATCTATGACAGCATGCCACGGAGGAAGGAAGCCTGGTTCAGCCCAGTTCACACATACCCTCTTCTTGCCACCAGGTAGCCATGGCCTTGTGTTTGGTATGATGTGTTTGCAGGTGGATTCTATTTAATGAATTACAATTAGCTCAATACGTTATATTACTGCTCACTATTGCAGCAGGGGCTGAGAGCTCCTTAAGAATATAGCCACACATTTTTAGCCACATAGATTAATGATCATTTATGGCCAAACATGAAGCAACAACACAGAGACAAAGAACAAAATACCGTCCATCATCAAGAAACAGTGACATCTGCGAGATGGTCCTCATCTAGCCGCCTTCCTGGGTCTCCATCTCATTCCCTTTGAAATGAACTGGACATATGTGTTTATAGTCTTGAAGTCCAAGTAGAATCACCAAGCAAGGGTCTTCACTTAGTGGCACAAAAGAATGTTATGTGGGAATGCTCCACTGTGCTTTTTAAGGCTTGTTCAGCAGGAAATCTCATAACAAGTTATTTCTCAGTTCCATGACGCTTCCTGTGGAAGGGTGGCTGCCAGGCTCGGTTTTTCAGGTCCTTCAGTGCACATTTATTATTCATGTGAAATATGTCTTTAAAAAGCACTTCATCACGGTATTGACATACAAAGTTATGTACATATTTAATGTATACAATTTGATAAATTTGGAGATAAATATACACCTATGAAACCATCATCATAGTCTATACCATAAACATACTCATCACCTCCAAAAATTTCCTCCTTCCTCTATATTTTATTTTTTGTGATAACAACATGTAACATAAGATCTACCCTCTTAGCAACGTTTTAGGTATATAATACCATGTTGTTAGCTATAGGCGCTATGCTGTACAGTAGATCTCTAGAACTTATTCAACTTGCATGACAAAAATTTCGTGCCCTTTGGCCAACACATCCCCATTTCCCTCTCCCCGCTGGAAACCACCATTCTACTCTCTGCTTTAAGAGCTTCGTCATTTTAGATTCCTCATATAAATGGGATCCTGTAGTGTTTGTCCTTGTGTGTCTGGCATATTTCACTTAGCATAATGTTCTTCAGGTTCATTCATGTTGTCAAATATGGGAGAATTTCTTTTTTAAGGCTGAATAATATTGAATTATATGTAAATACCACACTTTCTTTATCCGTTCATCTATAGACGGACCTTTAGAGGCATCACACTTCCTGATTTCAAACTGTATTACAAGCCTATAATAATCAAAACCTTATGATACTGGCATAAAAACACGGAGACCAGTAGAACAGATTGGAGAGCCCAAAAATAAATTCACCCATTTGTGGTCATCTGATTGTTGACAAGGGTGCCAAGAATACACAATGGAGAAAGGATATTCTCTTCAATAAATGGTGCTGGGAAAACTGGATATTCATATGCAAAACAATGAACCCTATTTTACACCATACACAAAAATAAACTCAAAATGGATAAAAGACTTAAAGGTAAGATCTGAAACTGTAAAACTTCCAGAAGAAAACATAGGGAAAAATATTCTTGACATTGGCCTTGGCAATGATTTATTGTATATGACACCTATAGCACAGGCAACAAAAGCAAAAATAAATAAATAAATGGAACTACATCAAACTGGAAAGCTTCTGCATAGCAAAGGAAACAATCAACAAAATGGAAAGGCAACTTACAAAATGGGAGACCTCATATCTAATTAAAGGTTAATATCCAAAATATATAAAGATTTACATTTCAATAGCAAAAAAAGAAAACTGATTCAAAAAGAACCTGAATAGACATTTCTCCAAAGAAGACATACAGATGTCCAAAAGGTGTTTAATGTCACTAATGATCTGAGAAATGCAATTCAAAACCACAGTGAGGATGTGCTTAGGATGTGTGTTAGGATGGCTATTGTCAAAAAGACAAATGATAATGAGTGTTGTTTATCATTTGATAAATGTGAACCCTTGTACACTGTTGTTAGGAATGTAAAATGGAGAAAAGGAAATCCTTGTATACTGTTGATAGGAATGTAAAATGGTGCAGCCACTCTGGAAAACAGTATGGAGATTTCTCCAAAAATTAAAAACAGAATTCTAATGTGAGCTAGCAATCCCACTTCTGGGTCTATATCCAAGAGAACTGAAATTAAGGTCTTAAAGAGGTAGTTACGCTCCCATGTTCATTGCAACATTATTCACAGCAACCAAGACATGAAATACAGCTTGATTTTTAATTATTTATTTTTGAGACAGAGTTTCACTCTTGTCACCCAGTCTGGAGTGCAATGGTGCTATCTTGGCGCACTGCAACCTCTGCCTCCCGGGTTCAAGTGATTCTCCTACCTCAGCCTCCTGAGTAGCTGGGATTATAGGCGCCCACCACCACGCCCGGCTAATTTTTGTTTGTTTGTTTGTTTTGTTCGTTTTGTTTTTTTAGTAGAGACAGGGTTTCACCATGTTGGCCAAGCTGGTCTTGAACTCCTGACCTCAGGTGATCTTCCTCCCTCGGCCTCCCATAGTGCTGGGATTATGGACGTTCTTCTCAACCACTGCACCTGGCCTGAAATAGTTTTAATGTGTTGTATCCTTGTCCCCCTCTTTGAAAGCTTATATCCCAAAAACAGAAATGAATCAAACTCAAGTCTTGCTTTCAAGTAGCTGACATTTCCCAGGCCTGACTTCTCTTGCCAGCTCTTTTTGTTTGTGCTTTATGACAGTGAGCTGTTTGTATTCCTTCTACACCTGTTTCTTTACCTGCAAGCTAGGCATGATAAAGTCATATTTGTGTCCTTCCTGGCACAGTGCCTGGCAATATTGTGCCCTTGAATGTCTGTTGAATGAATTATTGAACAATGTGAGACAAACTCTGGAAGAAGTTTGGTCCAAGAGACAAAGCGTAGTGGACAGAGGTTTTGGAGCATCTGACCTGAGCAAGATGTAGACAGAAATAAGGTGGGCTCTTCATCTAGGAAGGACTGAGCTGCCAAACAGGTTATGGTCAAGGGTCAGCTGGCTGCAAGGAGGAGAATGAGACCCAGTAGCAGAGCAAGAATTAACACAAGATTAAAATGCCAGTAGTGAATAGAGCTGAAATTCCAGAAAAATCCTTCTTACTTCCAGTCATGATTGATAATGAAGACCAGCAGCGGGGGTGGGGCCGGGGAGGTGGGGAGCTAAAGATGGAAATTATTGGCTCCAGAGGTGAATAGAGGAGGTTTTCAGGGGTGAGGAACCAGGCCTAGATCACCTTTAAAAAATAAAATTTAAAAGTAATTTAATATTTGAAGCTTTCAAGCTTCAAAATGTTTGGCAGAATGGCTACTAAAGTAAAATACAGCTTTGTAATAAAACTGCAGTAATCATGGCCGGGTATGCTGGCTCATGCCTGTAATCCCAGCACTCTGGGAGGCCGAGGAGGGCAGATCACCTGAAATCAGGAGTTCGAGACCAGCCTGACCAACATGGCAAAACCCCATCTCTACTAAAAATACAAAAATTAGCCTGGTGTGGTGGCACACAACTGTGGTTCCCAGCTGCTCAGGAGGCTGAGCCAGGAGAATCACTAGAGCCTGGAAGGCAGAGGTTGCAGTGAGCTGAGATCACACCACTGCACTCCAGCCTGGGTGACAGAGTGGGACTCTGTCTCAAAAAAAAAAAAAAAAAAAAAAAAAAAAAAAAAAAACCCTCAATAGTCAGAATGTAAACATCCTTAACTGCACACAAAGACTCAGGCTGTGCCTTGGGGTCCATGAGAATTCGGCCCAATCGCTATTGCTTTCTGTACTTTGCATCCACAGTCCTCATCCGTGAACATTATCTTCAGATTCTGAGACATTCCCGCAACAGAAACCAAAGAAAGATTAGACCACAGTCACTGGATTCCAGTTACTAAGAAGCAAAGTTGGACCCAAGCATCTTGAAATGATTCTCAGAAACAAAAGTTGAAATAAGGTAGTTTCTGCAACTCTCAGGCAACATGAAAATAAAATTTACCCTCGTACATAGCCTTGTTCTCACAGTTTCTGGGCATTATGAACAATGGGGACTGCTTTTTCATTCATTCATTCATTCATCAGTCAACATTTATAAATCATCTACTATGTGCCAGGAGTTATAATTGGGACAAGGGATAAAGAGGTGAAAAAAATTCAAACTTGTGAACCTAGCATTATCTGGAACAAAGTGTGTTGATGTGCAGGAACACATAAGGAACCATTTGCAGTAAAGACAACAAAAAATGCCAAACTCTGCCTGGACAGTGGTGGAGGACTCCTTGCAGTAGAAGTCATGTTGAATTGAAGCCTGAGGGAAAACTCACCAGAGGAACAAGGGAAGGGAGCCCAGAGAGGGGCATGAGCATTCCAGACTTAGGGAAGATCCAAGCACAGAGCTCGTGCACTGCTGCATGGCCCAGTTAGAGCACCACATACGGCCCTGGGGAATGAGGGGAAATGAATCAGATACTCACTAAGTACCCAGCACTTGACACAAGTTACCACTTACAACGTGTGTATCCATTCTGCAAGGCCGGTATTAGTGTGCCCATTTTGCAGATTAGGTACCTGAGGCTCAAAAGAGTTCAGGAATCACCCCAGGTGGTGTAGCTTCTGAGAGATGGAGGTGGGATTCCAGTTCCGGGACTGTGTGTCACTTGCATACCTGTGCCTTGGTACCACAGGGGGTTGACACAGAGGTGGGAGATGGGGAGGAAGACTTTTCACTAGCGTATCCTTTTCTACCTTTTGAAATTGGAACCATGGGGAACAGCAGGAGTCTTTGGGGATGATAAGAGTCATGGATGTGATCTGGGTAGATATTTTTATATTTGGTGTCAAATAACAAATGTCCAAGGAGTGACTGCTGAATCCAATTTTGCAGTGATCCTGATTCCATTGTAAAGAAAAATAAATAAATAAAAATAAAACCAAATTTCTGTGAGGACACAAAGTACTTAGCTACAGGAAGAGATAAGTTGCTCCCCAGGAGTCTCCCCTCTTTTGGTTTTTTCTCAGCTTTCCTATCCTGTAACCAGGTTTAGCCCTGGGACTTCAACCCCCTGGTAAGATGAGGAGACTGAGAAAGGCTCTGCCTTTGGTCTGGTTCTTCAGAAGCAGAGAAGGCAACAAGGACTGAAGTGGCAGTGAGTTCTTAAGCAAATGCTCCCAGGAGAAGCCTGGAAAGGAGGAGGGGAAGGACAAAAAGAGAGAGGAGCCAAGGAGGCTAGGATTTCAGGCAAAGTCTCAGCCTCAGCCTGACCTTACAGGGGTCTTGAGAGCTAGACTGCTTAGCATGGTAGCCACTAGCCAGATGTGGCTACTTAAAGTAATTAAATTTAAGTGAAATTAACAATTCAGATCCTCACCCTCCTTAGCCATATTTCAAGGGTCCAATAGCCACCTGTGGCTAGTGACTACCATTTCGAACAGCACAGATCTAGAACATCCCCATCACCACCAAAATTCTATCAGACAGCACTTTCCTAGAGCATGTAAATGACTCCTTCCAAGTTTGTCCCGACTCAGGCAAGTGACTGGAGCTGTACATTCCTACAGCAGTCCATGGACAGCTGAGGCTGCCTGGAGGGATGTCGTCTCGCAGGCTCTTCAGGCTTCTGCACAAGCAGGAAAGTCCTAAGTGTGATTCCTTAAAAGCAAAGGCCCAGAAGGAGAGATGGATGTGCAGAAACAGTAAATGGGAACTGAAGAGGTTTGAGTGGAGCACTGAAAGTGTCTGCTACAGGTTCACAAGTGACAGGGGTGCCAGGTCTGAACTGAGAGTAAAGCAGATGAATAGCCTAAACCCATAAGCCTGCATCCAATATGCAAACAGGAAATGGAAACCTCTTCAGTGCATCACTGTGATCATTTAGAATAGAAGATGCGGGCTGGGCACAGTAGCTCACACCTGTAATCCTGGCATTTTGGGAGGCCGAGGTAGGCAGATCACCTGAAGTCAGGGGTTCGAGGCCAGCTGGCCAACATGGTGAAACCCCGTCTCTACTAAAAATACAAAAATTAGCCAGGCATGGTGGTGGGTGCCTGTCATCCCAGCTACTCTGGAGGCTTTGGCATGAGAATCGCTTGAACCTGGGAGGCGGCATTGCAGTGAGCCGAGATCGCGCCACTGCACTCCAGCCTGGGCAACAGAGCAAGACTCTATCTCAAAAACAAACAAGCAAACAAAACAGAAGATGTAGTAAAAAGAAAAAAATCAGTGTCTATGATGCAACCATAAAGCAGACCCAGTTGTAATAGTTGTCCCCTCAACTCACTGTCCCTCTCCCAAATTACCCAGCTTAACCACTGAACTGCAAGAGGAAATCTTATTCTGTGTGGATATTAACCCTATGAGGAATGATACAATTAGGCCTGTAAGGATTGCCCTGGTCTCTGGCTGGTAGCCCATGAGGCAGAGTATGTCCGGGATCTTAGGTGGCACTGGCTATTCATTCTCACTCTATCCTCTCGAAGTAGTAGGTGAGCTTTTGCCTGCTCCTGGGCGGCAGCCTGGAAATGGCAGAGCTGGGAGTTTGCATTCTAGTCTTCCTTCCTCCAGAAGAGTGCTTAACCCCAGCCTCATCACCCCAGCTCCCTCTGTCAGAATCCCTATCTGTGAAACACTCACTGGAATGCCATTGTCTCCAAAGCCAAAGGAAAATATACTTTGGTAAAATAGATTTTTAACTGACCTTTTGGCTTGAGCATCAGCTACCAGAGCATCAGTCCTGATCAACTTCTCTCCAAGACCCTGTGGATGTACCTAGAAAAAGACTTTTAGAAAGCAAACAATGGGAAAAAAATGTCCCCTGCCTTCTCTGTGGGATGATGCCAGGGAGATGTAGCCCCTTTGCAGCTCCAGGCTGAGCTTCCCAATGAATTGCAGTAGGAGGCAGGGTCCACCCCAGCTGAAATAGAAACTCTTATCTCCTTGTGGATAAAGGTGGCTCTCTGAGGTGGGAAGCTGGGCTGATGCTGTTGGTTTCTGGCGGGTTGTGGGGGATGGTCCATGCCAGAAATGGTAGCATTCAAAGGGAAACAGAATCCTTCCATTGCAGAGGTTACCCCAGCACTTCCATTGACTGCTTTTTTAGCCACTTATCTAAGTTCAACAAGTGACTCTTTCATTTACTTCCGATGCATTCTATACAGCCATATACAGCACCGTGTCCTTTATATATGACCACATAAGTATGTAATCTGTCTAGTAGTATTATTTGTCTTTGTATATTTCTAAAGAAGAGGATCCATTCCTGTTTTTAAAAATTTATTTTAAAAATCTTGTATTGAGGTCTAATTTATAAATAGTAATATGCACAAATCATAAAGGTATGGTGTAATTTTTACTTATGGATATAGAGCTATGTTTTTAAAAAATTTATTATACTGTGTCTACTAACTAATCACCTTGGGTAATATTATCAAGAAGGCCATGGTAATATTATTTTCAAAATAGATCAAGCTGGGCTGTAATCCCAGGACTTTGGGAGGCTGAGGTGGGAGGATTGCTTGAGCCCAGAAGTTCAAGACTAGCCTGGGCAACATGGAGGATCCGTCTCTACAAAAAATAAAAAACAATTAGCCATGCATGGTGGTGCACACCTGTAGTCCCAGTGACTTAAGAGGCTGAAGTGGGAGAATTGCTTGATCCCAGGAGATCAAGGTTGCAATGAGCTATGATGGCACCACTGTACTCCAGCGCCTGGGTCCAGAGCAAGACCCTGTCTCTTTAAAAAAAAAAAAAAAAAAGGAGCTCAACCCTGTAATGAAGTAGTGGCTGGCCCTTATTTGGCATAGATCAAGGCTACGTGCTTTAGGTGGATTCTATTAGGGTTTGCAAACCTTGCCCAATATGAGAATTACCTGGCTGTTTATTAAGATTCAGGTCTTCAGAACCCTGCCTTAGATATTCTGGCTTAGGCTGGGGTTGGGGATCAGGAGAATGTGCTTTTAACAAACATCAGGAAAATGTTTCTCAGGGTTACCGCATTCAACCCTCACAACCCCATAAGGTTAAGGTTTTATTCCTATTTCACAGATCAGTTAACTGAGGAACTGAGTAGTTAAGTTACTTACCACAGTCATGCAACAGTAACAGTAAGAGATGGACCTGAGATTCTGTTTCTACCTTTTGATTCTTATCCACTATTCTATGCAGCTTCCTAAGAGCATGTCCTTATTTCCTAGAGTTTCCATGGCTCTTAGAATTGGCTGAGTGTATCATATATAAAAGTTTTCTTTCCTGACAAATAAATCATGCAACAGGTGGCCTCTTATTCCAGCTAACAATCAAGGGAATTGTTACCCCTAATCATGCAAAGTGAGGACAGAGTTGTGGATAGAATCAGAGACCTAGAGTTTCTGGCTTGCCCAGCAGCGGGAACACCATCTGGGACTGTTAAACAAGCAAATGTTCAACTCCACCCCAGACCAACTGAATCAGAAACTCTGGGGATGGGACCCGGTCCATCTTTGATTTTAACAAGCCTCCAGGTGTTTCTGACACAGGCTACAGTTTGAGAACTATTGATTTAGAAGATTGTGTGCTGCTGCCTCCCATCTTCTCAGGGGTTTGTGGTGTGTCCGAGTCCATTTGGGGCTGCTATAACAAAATACCTTAGCCTGGGTAATTTATAAATAATAGAAATGTTCTCACAGTTCTGGAGACTGGGAAGTCCAAGATCAAGGTGCCAGCAGATTTGCTGTCTGGTGAAGTCGTGTTCTCGGTTCCATAGATGGAGCCTGTTGCTGTGTTCTCACGTGGGTGGAAGGGCAAAAAGGGACTAACAGACTCCCCAAGCCTCCCCCACCCTTTTTTTTTTTTTTTTTTTTTTTTGAGACAGAGTCTTGCTCTTGTCGCCCAGGCTAGAGTGCAATGGCGCAATCTCAGCTCACTGCATCCTCCACCTCCCGGGTTCAAGTGATTCTCCTGCCTTAGCCTCCCAAGTAGCTAGGACTACAGGCACCCATGACCACACTTGGCTAATTTTTGTATTTTTAATAAAGACACTGGCTAATTTTTGTATTTAATAGGGACACCACAACCTGTCTCTATTCTGTATTTAATAGAGACACCGGCTAATTTTGTATTTAACACAGACACCACATCTGGCTAATTTTTGTATTTTAATAGGCCACCATGTTGGCCAGGCTGGTCTCGAACTCCTGACCTCAGGTGATCCGCCTTCCTCAGCCTCCCAAAGTGCTGAGATTACAGGCGTGAGCCACCACACCTGGCTCCCCAAGTCCTTTTATAAGGCACTAATCCTATCCATGAGAGTGGGGCCCTCATAACCTAGTCACCTCCTTAAAGGTCCTACCTCTTAATACGTTTGCATTGGAGCTTCAGTTTCAACATGAATTTTGGGGGGACACAGACGTTCAAACCACAGCATGGTGGGTGGGGAACTCCACAGCAACTATGTGGTTCTTCTTACCCCGTGGTTCTTCAGAAGCGCTGTTTGGCCACAAGCTGTGATGACCACCAGTGGATCAGTTCTAAGGCTGTCCTGGGTCCCGGCCCTCACAGAGTGATCAACAGCTCCTAAAATGTGATGTGCTGCTGCCCTTCCTTTTCACTTAGATGACCTTCTAGCATTTTCCCTGGTATTTTGCATTCTTTCCTAGCTTTATTTTCATGGCTGCATAGTGTCCATCACACGAATGCTCCAGAGCGTGGGTTCTGGAAACTGACAACCTGGCTCCGAATCCCAGCCTTGCTACTTACCAAGCCTTGGAGCCTTGGGCGAGTTTTGTAATCTCTTTTTGCCTCAAGTCCTTCATCAGTAATATGTGCCCAATATCTATACGTGCCTAATAGGGTTGTTATAAGGATTACACTAGATCATGTAAACTGCTTAGAATAGTGCTTGACACATGGCAAGTGCTAAATAAATTTAGTATTTTCTAATTTGTTAACCCCTCTTCTATTTTCGGGTTTATAAATACATTGGCTACATTTTTAAAACAACTCCATCACACTGAAAATTTGTAACCAACTAAAATTCACAGGTCATCATTATACCACCTGCTAAAAAAAAACTTTTAAAATCCATCCTGTTAGCAGAAACTAAAAAATTAAGAAATAAGCCAACAAAATGTCTCCAAAAATATCTCCTTAATAAATGGAAGACCATTGGATTTGCTGGTAGAGAGAGAAAACAATGTTTCATCATATCAGATTTGACAGACCTGGGTGCACACTGCAGTTTTGCCCAGGCAAGCCTCAGTTTATGACCACAAGCAAGTGACGTCTTCTCTCTGATCTGTTTCCACATCTAAAAAATAGAATCATAGGCTGGGCGCAGTGGCTCACACCTGTAATCCCAGCACTTTGGGAGGCCGAGGCGGGTGGATCACCTGAGGTCAGGAGTTCGAGACCAGCCTGACCAACGTGGTGAAACCCCATCTCTACTAAAAATACAAAAAAATTAGCCAGGCATGGAGGCTCACACCTGTAATCCCAGCTACTTGGGAGGCTGAGGCAGGAGAATCACCTGAACCTGGGAGGCGGAGGTTGCAGTGAGCCGATATCACGCCATTGCACTCCAACCTGGGCAACAAGAGCAAAACTCTGTCTCAAAAAAAAAAAAAAAAAAAAACCAGAATAATAGTATCTATTGCAGGGCAGTTATGAAAATTAAAATATGATGAATGTATTAGCCATAACAAAATACTATAGACTGGGTGGCTTCAACAACAGGTATTTATTTTCTCACAATTCTAGAGGCTGGAAGCCCCAGATTAAGTGCCAGCATGATCAGTTTCTGGTGAGGACCATCTTCCTGGGACGGCTGCCCTATTTTAATGTTCTCAAATGACCTGTACTTTCTGCGTGCATGGAGGGAGAATGCAAGCTCTCTATTGTCTCTTAGCATTTTGAGGACGCTAATCCTATCATATCAGGGCCCCACATTTAGCTTTAACCAGCTCATCTTAGGCCCTATCTCAAATACAGTCACCTTGGAGGTTAGGGCTTCAACACATGAATTGGGTGGAAAGAGGCACAATGCCATTCAATGACCTATGTACATAATTCTTTTTTTTTTTTTTTGTTTGAGACAGAGTTTTGCTCTTATTGCCCAGGTTGGAGTGCAATGGCATAATATCTGCTCACTGCAACCTCCGCCTCCCAGGTTCAGGTGATTCTCCTGCCTCAGCCTCCCAAGTAGCTGAGATTACAGGTGTAAGCCTCCATGCCTGGCTAATTTTTTTGTATTTTTAGTAGAATGGGGTTTCACCATGTTGGTCAGACTGGTCTCGAACTGACCTCAAATGATCCACTCGCCTTGGCCTCCCAAAGTGCTGAGATTACAGACGTGAGCCACCATGCCCGGCCAGCCTTATTTTTCATAAACACACGTAGTAGGGCCAGGTGACTGTCAGTCCCCTTCTCTTCCCTGTAGCAGAGCTAGGGAGCTTCGTTCAGCACAAGAGGGAATGGCCAGGACTATAGCCAGTAGGAAACAGTTTTCTTCTAAATCAAGTTATGCCCTCAAAGAGTTCATAGTTGATGCATTTCTTTGCTTGGATTTTTCTTTTTAGGCCCAGGCACATCTAATTTATATTTTTCTGGAGGATGAAAATTTGATTGTGTTTCATAGAAGTGGCACCAGAAATGCTCACAACATGTTCCTGGTGTCGACTGCCATGCAGAGATGTTTACGAGCAGTCATCTCTCCTCTTCCACTGCCAAACTTCAATGGTGCCCCTATGAGTCCATTGGTGGTACAGTTTATAGCAGTGCGCTCAGGAAGTTTGCAAACAAGTTGTAATTTTAGCAATTCTCATTCCTCAGCTTTTTATGAGTCCTTGGGAGAACATTTTTTGCTTAGCCAAAGTTTATTTGATATTGCTGAACATTAAAAAAAAAAAAGGTATGCTCACTTGTATGGAGTAAGAGTGTTGGTTTTTTTGGTCACTGTCATCATAATTGGCAAATGAGATGGGTCTACAGAGAGTGAGGATTAAGGTCACATTATTTCTGGAGTTATAGAGGAGGTTTAACCCAGAAATTCTGCATACCCAGTCCCAGTGGCTGGTGGGGAGTTTCGGGAACACAGAGCTTGTAAAAAGGGCGACACTGCTCTGAGCCCAGTTTATTGTCCCATGGGCCTGAGGGAAGGGTGTGGGGTTGCCTTGAAAGGGGAATTGAAGAATGTGCACTTCTCTACTCCCAGATGGCTTGGGAACCAGGCATGCTGAATATTTCTGCTAAACCTGATGGGTAATCCTTGGTGCCTAAGCAACTAACCCGTTTCTTTTTCTTTTTCTTTTTCTTTTTCTTTTTTTGAGCGGTAGCAAGGGTTATTGTGAAGAGTGAAAGAACAAAGCTTCCACAGCGTGGAAGGGTGGATGGGGACCCAACCAGGTTGCCCACAATTAACCCGTTTCTAAGTGCTAAAAGTAGTAGCTGCCTCAGGCCAGCCTCAGAAATTTTAGGAATTCTTTTCACTAGAAAGTTTGGCCAATTGCATTTGTCAAACATTAAATTACAATCAGCCTGTGGTTTCCATGCTAACCCTGGGAGGCATCCTCACTGGTAGAAAATGTGGGGCATATTCTATGGGCATTGCCTGGGGTGACATGAAGAAATTTACATGCCCAATAATCTACATGCTGTCAAACTGAAAAGTGTGGGGTTTGCCTTCCACACCCAGCCATCCCATTTGTCCCCATATACCTAGTGATCTTCCAGTGTCTGGTCTCTGGCCCTCCCTTCTGCTAACCAGGAGCCCCTCAGGAGTGGTGGGTGGGATATAAGAAGAGTGAGGAGGTCCATGGACTTTGAAATCAGACAAACCAGGTATTGAATCCTGAGACTTCTACTTGCAATGCGCTCTTGGGCAAAATACCAGTCTCTCAGAATCAGAGTCTCCTCATCTGAACAAAGGGGGCGGTAGTATCTTCCATTTTATACAGTGATTGATAGGACTGATTGAGATAGCATATGTAAATATTAAGCATATGACTGAAACATAAGTGATTGATAAATGTTAGCAATTGTTAAAGACCAGAGAAAATAATTGAAATTAAAGTAAGTACTTTGACATATTTGACTCTGCATTTTATCTGGGAATCCCAGTGTCTTAAATCACAGTAATCGAGCTCTAAGGACTGAGGTTAATGAACTTGTTGGCTGTTTGGATGGGTTTGGGGAGGGTAGGATGGAGTCGGGAGACTGGAACTCCTTGGCACACACAACAGAGCTATCTCTAAATGCTATTTGTAACAGCTCCACAGACAGGAGGCCTGCAGATGCCTTCCTCTTTGGGGTAGGAATGTTCATTTCAGTTAGAGAAACTTGATAGGCTCCTATTAGTGGCCAACATAGTAGCCAGGGCTGATGGTAGGAGAATATCTGGAGGCGGTATGAAATAGAGGAAAAGCCGAGTGTTATAAGAGCTGATTGTTCAGGTTATTTGTTCATGGTTTCAATTTTCCATTAAAATAGGACTGATTTTAGTCATTACCATACATGGAGACATTTCTAAAGATCTTTTTATACTGTGTATTCTACACACACAATGGGACATACGTTGAACTAATTAAAGCACAGTTAGACAAGAGAATATATGAGTTAATTAAAAGATTCAAAAAATTATTTAAAAAGTATAGCTCCAAGACTGCTAAATAATTAAAAAAAAGTTAACTTCAAAGGAAAAATTTCCCAAGATGTTGGACTGTCATGACGTGAGAATATCCATCAGATTATAAGTCTTGTTTACCTCTGGAGAAGAGCAGCACAGGGATAAATTAAACCCATGGATGACCTGAAGTCTGCATTGTAATCTTTCCTTTCAAGTTTCTTTTTTTTCTTTTTTTCTTTTTTTTTTTTTTTTTTTTTGAGATGGAGTTTCACTCTGTCACCCAGGCTGGAGTGCAGTGGTGCAATCTCGGCTCACTCCAACCTCCGCCTCCTGGGTTCAAGCGATCCTCAGCCTCCTAAGTAGTTGGGATTACAGGCATGTGCTACCATGCCCGTCTAATTTTTGTATTTTAGTAGAGATGGGGTTTCACCATGTTGGTCAGGCTGGTCTTGAACTCCTGACCTCAAGTGATCCATTCATCTCAGCCTCCCCAAATGCTGGGATTACAGGCATGAGCCACTGCGCCCAGCCTCTTTCCCTTCTGTTTCCTTCCCCACCTATAGATGGTGAGCTGGAGCTTGGCCCTTTTTTTGTGTGATAGAAAGAGTATGGACTCTGTAGTCATATAGCCGTGGGTTCAAATTCTCGACACTAACTGTGGGATCCTAAGCAGTTATTTCACTGCAATAGAACCATGGATTCCTTGTTTATAAAGTGCAGCTCATAATACCACTTTCAAAGAAGCGTTGCGGCAATTAAACAAGATAATGCATCCACACAACCTTTCACCTGGTGAACATCCGCTTTTCTCTGTCCATAATACTACTGGCAGATGGTCGTGGCAGGTCACAAGGGCACAAAGAAAGGTATGGAGGACAGTCACTTGTCTCCAGAAATCTACCTGGATAATGCCACTGAATAGTCAGGAATTGACTCCAAGCTGTTTTGCTGCTTATTCACCTGTACTAAGTTGTTCGTTTCTTATAGTCAATATCCCTCAATATCAACTTTCTGAGACATGGGATCTTGCCTTTCACTACCATATTCAGATTAAAGGAGTTTATTTATTTATTTATTATTTATTTATTTATTTTGAGACGAAGTCTCGCTCTGTCGCCCAGGCTGGAGTGCAATGGCGCAATCTCGGCTCACTGCAACCTCTGCCTCCAGGGTTCAAGCGATTCTCCTACCTCAGCCTCCCGAGTAGCTGAGATCACAGGTGCCCGCCACCAAGCCTGACTAATTTTTGTATTTTTAGTAGAGACAGGGTTTCGCCATGTTGGCCAGGCTGGTCTCGAACTCCTGACTTCAGGTGATCTGCCTGACTCGGCCTCCCAAAGTGATGGGATTACACGCATGAGCCACCGCACCCGGCCCAGATGAAAGGAGGTTAGAAGATATAAATGAGGCAATTGATTGGCTACTCCTAGCTGGGGGAAATGATGCAGGGAGTTAGAGAGTGTTCCTGGGAAACCCCTCTCACCTGACAATTTGGTACTTGTTAGTGATTCTTTGACCCTCATTTCTTTCCTGAAGGGTCTCTTGACGCCCAGACTCCATTAGGGGTGGCCAGTGGATGAAAGTATTTGAGCTCGCCAGAACCATGTAAGCAATCTGGCCAGTTGTTTTTTTTTTCTTTTTTTTGTGGCTTGCATTGTGGCATCTGCTGGGAGATGCTAATTACAGCAATTAAGTAAAATGAGGATGTAATATTGCTTAGCAACCCAGTTACCTAATATGTAATTTTACTAATTTGGCTGAATCTGTGTGCTGTAACTGTTTGTGTTTTAATTAAGGATATTAATAATAATGCTTTTGTATGGAACATTTTATGCAACATTCTCTGATACTTCTCCAGAATTAAATTAATGCAAAAGCATTTCTTGAAAGACAGGTTTTTGGGGATTTTTTGTTTTGTTCAAAACTAGTCAGGCTAAGGGGGCATATTTGAAGATCCAGAAACAATATGCAATCTGATACCTCAGTAGTCAGTGGAGAGAGAAACACTTGGCCTGATGTCCTGCAGGAATGAGTTCCCCAATGTCATAAAGATTTGACCCACAAGTGGTCCTATCATGCAGCCAGTTTAAGCCTCATGGAATTCATCACATTGGGCATTTAAAGTAATTTAAAGACATTTTATAAATTATTTTTATCTTGCTTAGGGACGCATTTATGTACAAGTCTTCAAATTGGATCCATGCTGACCATGAATGTAAAATCTTAACAACTTTCACTTTTTCAAAAAATAGGCAACTTCTATCCCCCAGACCAAAAGAAGGTAACTCTACCTCCCTAAACAACCAAGTTACTACCGAAAACACCAGTCACTAAAGATAGATTCAAAAGAAGAAGCAGGAAATGGATGTTAGGCTGTTCTCATAAAACATCTAATCTCAGCTACCTTTCAAGATCACTTTTTTTCAGGGCTGAATTAATCTGGAAATTAGCATGTAGTGGACATAAACCCAAGTTCTTTGGATTTAGCATTAGTTACTGCTTTGTTTGGTTGAAGGGCTGAGAGTGGGAGAGGAGTCATGTAGTAGTCATTAATCACAAACTTCTTGGGAAATTGTTCTCTTTATATTCTAGTTATTCATTTAGTCATTCATTTAACAGATACTGAGTGCCTGCTATGTGCCTAGAACTGTTCTAGGTGCTAGGAATACAGCAGGGAATAATCAAATAAAAATTTCTACCTTGATCAAACTTATGTTCTAATGACAATAATGACTATTACTATGTATTCTGTGCCAAACACTGCTCCATGCAATATTCATTTATTAATTTATTTAATTTTCACAACACCACCATGAGGTGACCATATTATTATCCCCAGTTTGCAGTTGAGGAAGCTAAGGCATGGAGAGTTTAAGAAACTTGCCAAGGTCACATAATGAGTAGTAGAGCTGGGATTTGAATCCAGGTATCTGAATTTCTGCTTTACCTCCTCCTACCTATGGCTTCATTCTGTTGCCCCTCTCTGATATTATACGGTCCTATTTATTTTTTCACTTATTCACACCCCTGGCTAATAGGAAATGTAAAATCTTTCTGGGATTTGTAGCTTTGCTTCCAACCATGGGAATGTGTTTCTGAATTTTGTAACTAATCAATTTTGTGAAGAACAAAGCATGTCCTTGGGTTTCTCAAGCAGTTTCAGATAATACTTAGAAACTGGGTGTGAATTCAGCTTCAAATTCAGCTTCAAACCCCGTCCCAGGGTGCCAGTATTTTCTTCTGGCTGGGTAAGAAAGTTATCTTCTCTTGGGAGACAGCATTTTCTTGGTTACTATAGTATAGTTCTTGCCACATATAAGAGACAGATGGTCATATTTTTAAGGATACACACATAGCTTAAAATGTAAATTAATTGAAATATAAATAATAGCAATTTCAGAGTCCCCCTGAGACTGCAGATCAAGACAGATCATTGGGAAGAATCTTGGAAGGAATGTAAAAAGACTGTTCCTGGCAGAATGGGAAAAAGCCAGGCAGACAGGTTTTAGCCTTACCTTTTCAAATGTCCAAATGACGATTTGTGAAATCTCAATGTCCAGCTGACATTTACTTGGTATTTAGTTCCCAGAATCTGGCTACAGTAATGTGTTTCCAAGTATGATCTACAAATAAAGAGCACATTAGGAGGCCAATTCACTGGCCCTGAATGTCAGAATATTTCAGAATTGTGTTGTGTTGTGTGTTTGTGTATGTGTATACTTTCCTTTGCAAAACTGAATTCACATGTTAAAAACCTTTTGAAAAACATGTATTCATGCAGTTACCCAGCCAACATTTATTGAACACCTACCATGTGCTAGATTCCAGGGAGTTAAAGAGAGAGGAGACCAGGCTCCTACCCTGAAAGACAGCAAGGTCTAGTAAGAGAGATCAGGTGGTGATTATGAAACAGTAAGGTAAATGGATTGATAATGATGTGTGGGAATACAGAGGAGGGATGCCTATCTCCAGAAAGAGATCAAAGAGGAGATCAGATGGCAAATGGTCTTGAGCTCCAGTAGATCACTTTGCTGGCAACAGAAGTTTGTTTTCCCCAACATCTATCTTCTTACCCAGGAGCTGTCAACTCTGATACATAAGCAACAACCCCTACAGAGTAAGCACCCAAGAACCTCTGTTGGCTGCCAGCTTAGGCAACCTCAGACTTGCTGGAAGGGCACTTACTTCATCTTGGCTTCCAAGAAGCAAGACATCTGCTCCAAGTATGGTTTTCTCGCCTAGATTAGCCAAGGTCCAGAGATGGCTTTGATGGAAACACGGGCTTTTGAGGGGAGAATATTCTTAACATCCCTGGGGAAGTCAATATCTAACCCATGCTTGAACACTTCCACAGATAATGCAAACATTTATGCTTACCCTTTCCTCTTTTCCATTCCTCACACAAAATCTTCTCTTTTCCAGACAAACTCATGTTGTCTTTGGCATTGTTAGGAAACCTTTCCGTATATAGACCCTCAATTTCCAATCTAAATGACTATTTCTTTTGAATACTGTTTTGACTCCCTGTATAAACTTCCTCTCCTTTGCAGTAGACATGGCCCTTTGGGAATCCTGGTGTTACTTAACTTAGAACTCAAGTATTGGGTTCTTAAGATCTTAAAGGCCTTATGCAATATGACTGTAGCTTATCTGGAGTCTAATATGCCTGTGAGCCATCAGAGTGGAGATGATCAGTAAGCAGGCTGTTAGATAGACAGTATCCAACATTGTATATCCAGTATTATTTATTGGCTGGGAGTTGGTAATATGCCAATGCAAATTAATCTCAAGAGAAAGATTTCACAGAGCATTTATAAATTGAATTATTCCACTAGTTTTCTCTATTTCTTTCTGGAGGCGCTACTCCTATTGCCCTGCTGGCTCACATAACAAAAGAGAAAGGATCTTAATCTTATCTTGTCTGATGGCCTTGACTCATCTTTGCAATACCATAATATGTACAGCAATCAGCTGTCTGTTCAGTCACTATAAGGTAGTATAGTGATGAATGTCCACATTCCTATGTTTCATCCCCAACTTATTATTGTTGATAATCAGAAGCAATTCATTGGGAATGATATAAAGAATAAGTGAAATCTATTATTTCCAACACCTTAATAGGAATGAAATAACAAATATGTTGATAAATGTGAGATTCCTTCTTTGTCTTTGTGCCATAATCACTGATCTCCATTTTGCTTTTCCTGAAAGTTCAGATTCCCTCTCTGGAGGAAGATCTTTATAATGATCGGGTTGCTCCAGTGAGGAGGAATAATTCTCCACCCATCCACCCTACCAGGCTCATGTTCTTTGCTTGTCATCTACCAGAAGCGGGTTCCGACTCTCTTCCATAATCCAGCAATGAGTCTCCCCAAAACTGGAGCTTAACTTGGAGTAAACAGGCCATGGGAATTAGGAGGGGAGACAGTATTTCTCCTTTTAAGCTGTGTCTCCTTGAGGCTTAATCCATGCCTATTCTGTTCACACCGTACCTAGACTTGGGTTTGTGTAGAGTAGGTGCTTATTAGTCTACTAGAGGGGCCATAACAAAATACCACAGACTGGGTGGTGCCAACAACAGACATTTAGTTTTCACAGTTCTGGAGGCTGGAAGTCCAAGATCACGGTGCTGTCAGGATTGATTTCTGGTGAGGACTGTCTTCCTGGCTTGCGGATGGCTGCCCTCTTTCTGTGTCCTCACGTGGTCTTTCCTCTGTGAGTGCACGGGAGGGGGAGAGATTTTTGGCTTCTCTTCCTCTTCTTATAAGAACACGGTTCCGTTGGATTAATGCCCCACTCTTAGGACCCCCTCAGTTAACCTTTATTACCTCCTTGTAGGTCCTATTGCTATAGGGGTTAAGAAGGAATTATTTAGGCAGATAGCAAGGGCATGGGAGTCCTCAGTAAGGCTGTTCTTTTTAATGAAAAGCTGCCCCAAATCATTTTCTAACAAAGAGCAGCCTGTAAGTTGAACTGCAGACATAAACAAGCAAGCTGGGAGCTTTCAGGGGTGAATGCCGGCAGGAACTACGGACTAGACATTTTCAAGATGGCGGCTCTATCTTCCCTTCTCTGCCGGCCACGTGTACAGCAAGAAGCAGACAAGATGGCACAGATCAACTGGAAAGTCCATTTGCATAAGAAGATTAGGGTAGGGCAAGCAGCCCTTCCCTGCAGTATGTAAAAGTCATACCTGATGGAACCAATCTGTGAGTCCTGCCTAAATCAGACACCGCCTTCTCAAACCGGACTATAAAATTCAGCACATTGGCTGCCAACCGGTCCTTTCTGCTCGGAGACCCCTGTCTCTATAGAAGAAGCTGTTTCCCTTTCTCTTCTACCTATTAAACCTCCACTCCTAAACTCCTAGTGTATGTCCGTGTTCTAAATTTTCCTGGCGCGGGACAACCCCGGATATTCCTGGCGGGGATATACCCCAGGCAAGGTAGCCACTTCACCATTTCCAAATACTGTCATATTGGGCTTTGACATATGCATCTTATGAGGACACAATTCAGTCCATAACAGTGCTCCATAAATATTTGTTGAGTATATCACTTGGTGAATGAAGAAATCTTTATTGATTGATTGAATGAATGAATGAATTAGCGAGTGATTTTTGGTGTTCTTTTGTAAGGAAGGGAGAAAGGACTTGAACAAAGCAAGAAGCTTCTCTGTGACCTCTGAGAGTACCCCTGAGTCCAAAAAGATCCTATAACTTCAACTGGCGGGTCTCAGCATCTTTGCTATCTGCTTTGCTGGAGGCCAGTGTGTCAGTGTAAGGGATTAATGAGGCCACAGGTATAGGTTTCATCCCACGTGGATCAGTTAACTTTATTCTGAGAAGGGCTACTCCATAGCTATAGCCTGCGGGCATTAGGTGTTAGACTCGAAACACTTCTAATATTAAACAATGAAATAAATGTGTTTCTCATGCATTTAAGAAAGGTGAATAAAAACAAGTAAAATAATTATTTACCCAATTTTTGGTGACTCAGTGACAGCAGTCGTAGTGGTGGTGGTTTCATTAAAGAATTAATGTTTGCCGAGTGAAAACTATAAGGAGCACCCCCCGCCCACCACGCAGGTCAAAACCAATCACAGATGAGGCAGGCTCGCTGAGCGCTTTCAGTCAGCGCTCATTGTCCTACGTCTGGATGATTATTGTAGATGTCATGATTTTTTATACTAATTTGTATGCATTTCTTCACTCATTTTCCAACTCACTTATTCCAGTTCAGAGTCAAGGGTGGCCAGACGGAGCCTGTCCCAGCAGCTCAGGGCACAAAGCGGGAACCAACCCTAGACAGACGCTCACACCCACATTCACACTTACCCCAGGACCATGTAGAAACGCCTTGTCACCGAACGGGAACATCTTTGGGATGCAGGAGGAAACTGGAGATCCCAGAGAAAACTCAGGCACTCATGGGGAGAATGTGCCAACTCCACACAGGCAGTGGACCTCCCCGGGAATCGATTTCTTTTCTCACTAATGTCATAATAAAATGATGTTGAATGGAATGAAAATATTTAAGGACCTGATGTATATGTTTCTTATAGAATTTTTTTTTTCTTTGAGACGGAGTCTCGCTCTGTTCCCCAGGCTGGAGTCCAGTGGCACAATCTCAACTCACTGCAACCTCTGCCTCCTGGGTTCAAGCGATTCTCCTGCCTCAGCCTCCCGAGTAGCTGGGACTACAGGCACGTGCCACCACAACCGGCTAAGTTTTATATTTTTAGTAGAGACGTGGTTTCACCATATTAGTCAGGCTGGTCTCAAACGCCTAACTTCACGTGACCACCTGCCTCATCTTCCCAAAGTGCTGAGATTACATGCTTCAGCCACCCTGTCCAGCCTCTTAGAGAAAATTTTAAGAATTTTTTAAAAAGAAGAAATAAAATCAGCCATAAAATTGCTCTACATTTTAATGGTTTTGTTTTCAAGCTTTTCTTTAACATCCTTGAGTTACATTTACAGAGCTTTTCCAGAATATAGATGCATTTTCCCACATTTACACATAGTACTTATAATTTCAAGGTGTGTAATGCTGTATCCAGAGGACATGCACACACATGGATACAGCAGATAGCTCATGTATTTCACTTGAGTTTTATCTGGGAAAAGTATCCTTTTATTACAGCATACCCACCAGGTAGTGAAAAGACAATTTGCTTTATCTCAGAGTTTACATACAGTACTATACGTTTCATTAAGCCAATATCATCATATCCAAAAGGACACATAATTCAACATGTCTGCTGTTCCTCAGATGGCAAATCAAGGTTCTTTAATATAAATGTTAGAGAATTTACACTTGGTTAGTTGAAAAATCAATTTTCCTCTTCTCTGTTTTTATTAATCAATGAGAATTTTATGATGAGATGAATAATACAGAACACCAACAGTCCTTCCTGTAAAACAGGAGTCCCCAAGACCCAGGCCATGGACCTGTAGCGGTCTGTGGCCTGTTAGGAATGGGACTGCACAGCAGGAGGTGAGCAGCTAGCAAGCAAAGCTTCATCTGTATTTACAGCGCTCCCCATTGCTCGCATTACCGCCTGAGCTCTGCCTCCTGTCAGATCAGCTGCAGCGTTAGATTCTCGCAAGAGTTCTAACTCTATTGCTCCTTATGAGAATCTAATGCCTGATGATTCTCATAAGGCATCATCACCCCCAGATGGGACCATCTAGTTGCAGTAAAACAAGCGCAGGGCTCCCACTGATTCTACATTATGGTGAGTTGTATAATTATTTCATTATATATTACAATGTAATAATAATAGCAATAAAGTGCACAATAAATGTAATGCGCTTGAATCATCCCAAAACCATCTCCCACCAATCCCCAATTCCCCATCTCATCCCAAAAGGTGGGGAAACCAGTCCCTGGTGCCAAAAAGATTGGCACTGCTGCTCTAAAAGCTTCCTTTGGCCGGGTGCAGCGGCTCATGCCTGTAATCCCAGCACTTTGGGAGGCCAAGGCAGGCAGGAGTTCAAGACCAGCCTGGCCAACATGGCAAAACCCCATCTCTACTAAAAATACAAAAATTAACAGGGTGTGGTGGTGCACACCTGTAATCCCAGCTACTCGGGAGGCTGAGACAGAGAATCGCTTGAACCCAGGAGGTGGAGGTTGCAGTGAGCTGAGATCACACCACTGCACTCCAGCCTGGGTGACTCTGTCTAAATAAATAAATAAAAGCCTTCTTCATTATTACTTCTCGAACACACTGGACTTCCCCATTAAGCTCTCCCTGTTCAGGGTATTGGTCAGCTTGGTTCCAGGTTTTCTTAGACCTCATTCCTTTCTCTTAGTAATTCCATTCCTCATACCCTGAGCTACCAAATGTGTATTTTCTAACAAATTGCATTTTCCCAGTTATTATTTACTTCAATTTTATAGTCTCTCTGGAGAAAAATAAATATTGGTAGGAAATTCACAGAAACTCCTAAGATTCTCCATGAGAGTGGCATATCTTTTTCTCACTTTGCTTCTGCCTCTACAATATATTTATGCTGGCTCTGGATCGTGACAGAGTTGATGTCCTCTGGATGGAAATTTAGGGTATGGAAAATGAGAGCATGTTAGGCCAGGGAAGGAGGAAGGGAACCAGTTTTTATTGAATGCTGACTATAATGTACTAAATACTGAACAAAGTGCTCTGTATATTTTACTATATTTAATCCTAATCCTATGGGGTAGGTATTATATTTTTAAAATGAGGAAACTAAGGGTAGGTGTAAGAATGGAGCACAAACCATATGCTAGTTTCTGTGATAGGTACAGTGCATTGGTTGTTTAATCTTCACAACACAACCTTACTTTTTTTTTTTTTTTTTTTTTTTTGAGATGGAGTCTCACTCTGTCGCTCAGGCTGGAGTGCAGTGGTGCGATCTTGGCTCACTGCAACCTCTGCCTCCCGGGTTCAAGCAATTCTCCTGCTTCAGCCTCCCAAGTAGCTGGGATTACAGGCACATGCCAGCATGCCCAGCTGATTTTTTGCATTTTTAGTAGAGATAGGGTTTCACTGTGTTAGCCAGGATGGTCACGACCTTACTTTTTAAGAAGTAGTGATTCTTAAAAAGTTTAACAAATGTCAGACAAAATGGGGTTCTAATACAGCTTTGTATGCCTCCCAAACCATGTCCTTTTTCAGTTTAACATGCAGTCTGACAGCTGTGCTCAACTGATACAGATGTTAAAATTTTAAAAAGGCAGGGTGAGCTATTTAATTTCTGGATTCAGAGTACAGAGTGCTCACCATTACACCATGGCACCTCACATGACCTATTTAATTTCTTTTTTTTTTTTTTTTTTGAGATGGAGTCTCACTGTGTCACCCAGTCTGGAGTGCAGTGGCACGATCTTGGCTCACTGCAACCTCCGCCTCCCAGGTTCAAGCAGTTTTCTGCCTCAGCCTCCCAAGTAGCTGGAATTACAGGTGCGTGCCACCATGTCCAGATAATTTTTGTATTTTTAGTACAGACGTTGGTTTCACCATCTTGGCCAGGCTGTCTTGAACTCCTGACCTCGTGATACATCCACCTCGGCCTCCCAAAGTGCTGGGATTACAGGAGTGAGCCACCGCGCCTGGCCGAGCTATTTAATTTCTTAAAGTAATTAAAGCTTAAACACTTTCAAGTCTAAAAACTTTTTTTTGAAACACAAACACTTTTGAGCAAATAAGAAAACACAGTATACATTTTTGCTCCTTGTAGATACCTTTTCTTAATGAATTTTTACCTTACCCTTACTCCCTTTAAAGCCTATGCTAGGCTTCAGAGAAATGCTTTCTGTTTTCTTTAGCCTCACTTGCATTTGAATCCTCTAGCAGCTTCTCAGTGACTCTTGCTCACTTATTATAAAATGCCCTCCTCCCTCCTGAATGAATTGAGCTTAATCTCTACATGTTAAATCCCCTTGTGTGGGCACCCATGCCAGCAGTCATTTCCCTTCACACTGTCCTAGACTCTACTCTCAATGAGATTCACAGAACTTCCATATCTCTCTTTTTTTTTTTTTTTTTTTTAAAGACAGAGTCTCGCACTGTTGCCCAGGCTGGAGTGCAGTGGTGCAATCTCAGCTCACTGCAATCTCTGCCTCCCAGATTCAGGCCATTCTCCTGCTTCAGCCTGCCGAGTAGCTGGGACTACAGGTGCATGCCACCATGCCAGGCTAATTTTTGTATTTTTAGTAGAGACGGGGTTTCCGCATGTTGGCCAGGCTGGTCTCAAACTTCTGACCTCAGGTGATCTGCCCGCCTTGGCCTCCCAAAGTGCTGGGATTACAGGTGTGAGGCACCATGCCTGGCCTTCCATATCTTTAATGACTCTTCCAACCTAAAGGCTTTTCAAATACACTTTTTCTTTGAGTTGGCATTGCAAACCGCCCCTCTTGCCTAATTTTAACTTTGTAAGTAAAAGAAAGCTCCTCCAAGTTATACAACAAGCTTGTTGCCAGAAATTCAACAGGTAATAATATGCTTTATTCTACTGATAATTTTGTTCCTACAGTATTTAGGTTTATAAGAGAACATAAGCTTTTGTATTTCCTCTGTGCAATTTTTATCTAGGGGTAACAAGCCTTTTGCCTAAGAAAATAACTCTTGTATCCACCATATGCTTAGACACCTGGCATTTCTCTAGTAAATTGTAAAGTGTTGCTTTCTGGATTAAAAGATAAGATTGAAAATGCAAATACCCTAGAAAGAAGTCACATTTACTAAATTAGACTTATGCTACCCTGCAAATGGTTGATATAAAAGTCTCTCCCAAAAGGAGATTGAGATATCGAGGAGTAGGAGAGACATGAAAGATCCCAGTGTTTAAAAGCAATGAATGAGAAGTAGGACCTAGCCCCTGCTCCGAAGGTGGCCCTCAGAGCACTTTGATTCTTCTTCTTTCAAGTCTGGCCTTTCAGAAAATATTTACTATGGAAGTCACATTTTATGCTGAGTGTAAGTTCAAAAGTCAGTGTGAAAATCTTGTGTGGTAAAAATCTCTCTTGAAAATCTCCCCTAAAGTGCAGTTCCATACCACTTCTCAAGAAGTCCAGCATTGCCAGTTCTTCCTTGAGCTTTATCAGATACACCACTGGCTATTGCTTCAACTGAGTTTCAGCTTGTTTGTTTGCATTTAGGGGCTACGTGCATGAAAAATTCCATACCCAGAAGTACATTCAATGCAGCCAGATGTTCAAACTACAAGAGACACAGGGGAGTGAAGCCTAACCCAGGAAATAATAGATTCTCAGTCTTATTTCATGCTTGTGCTGGGACATATAGATGCTCAGGAAAGGAATATTCAGAGAGAATTTTACACAGTATTTAAATTCTTTTCTCCGTCACATTTATTTATTTTTCTTATAGTTGAATTTGCACAAATTAAAGTCATGTTATTGAACTCCCTTGCATATTTGTCCAGATGCCCAGCTCTTGGGTGCTATCTTAACCTCATTGGAGAGGAGATGGCAGAAGAGCAGGGTATAGTGGAGCCCTTTGATTCCAGACCAGAAAAATGAGAGCAGATCACCAATTTGGGTCTTATACAAGGTGATATGCCAGGTGAATAAACTAGTCTCCATTTTGATGATGTCTCTCTCTCTCTCTCTCCAGGCTGGTCCATTCAGGTCCAGGAAAGGGATCACCCCAGGCTGGTGTGGATCTGTCCTTTGCAACGCGAACTGGTACCAGGCAAGGGATTGAAACACATCTCTTCAGAGCAGAGACCAGCAGGGACCTCTCCCACTGGACAAGGAGCATAGTACAGGGTTGCCACAATTCTGCTGAACTCATTGCTGAAATCAGCACTGGTGAGTACTGCAGTGAGCTACCAAGGACACATTGTTACGGGAAGATGAACCCTCTACTCCACCGGGGCCTTAAAGTAGTTTTCATCACTGGCCTCTGGGGATAGTTAAAATTCCAGAAGCAAATTTAAATTCTTCTAAATTAAGGAGGTCTATACCCTACTAAAATGTAACCTAAGGCTTTGATTATAGAAAGACTTATCCTACCTTCATTCAAGAAAAGTTGGTAAGTTGGATAGTCAGTTACAGTTTTCCTACCTGTAACCTCTGGGTGGCTTCCTGGAGGAATGAACTTTGAGGCATGAATGAGTAGTGCTCTTGGTTACAAACAACAGAAACTGATTCCGAGTAATCTATCACAGAATAAAATTATTGGAAATATATTAGGCAGTTAATAGGATTGATCAGAAAACAGGTGTGTGAGTCTTTTAGGCCTGCTATAAAGAAATGCCTGAGGCTGGGTAATTTATAAAGAAAAGAGGTTTACTTTGGCTCCCAGTTCTGCAGACTGTACAGGAAGCATGGTCCTGGCATCTGCTTCTGGTGAGGACCTCAGGAAGCTTCCAATTATGATGGAAGGCAAATGGGATATCACATGGCAATAGGAGAGGGGAGAGAGATAGAGAGGAGAGGAAAGTGCCGCACTATTTTAAACAACCAGGTCTCTCATGAATTCAAAGCAAGGGCTCACTCATTACTGAAAGGAGGAGGGAACCAAGCTATTCATGAAGGATCCGCCCCCAAGACCCAAACACCTTCCACCAAGCCCCACCTCCATACTGGGGATTACATTTCAACATGAGATTTGGAGGGGATAAAACATCCAAACTATATCAACTAGAGACCCAGGGCAGTAAAAAAGAGCAGGAGCCAAAGGCATTGAGCTGGGGATAAGCGGAGCAAAGGGACAGTTCTGGGAAGAGTGACCAGTGCCCCTGCCCTGGTGTGAATGAAGAGGCAGAGGCAGAATGGAAGTGCTGAGTGAGCACAGGCCACATTCACACAGAGCTCTTAGAAAGGGCAAGTCGGTGGTAGAAATGGGAGATGTGTGTAGAAGGAAGAACCCTTCTATAGTACAGTATGTATTAAGGACCTGCTATATGCCAGTCATTTAATGTGTCAGTAGTTTCATACTTTGAAAAACAAAGTTGTTTTTTTTTTTTTTTTTTTTTGAGACAGTGTTTTGCTCTTGTCACCTGGGCTGGAGTACAATAGCGTGATCTCACTGCGACCTCCATCTCACGGATTCAAGCAATTCTCCTGCCTCAGCCTCCTGAGTAGCTGGAATTACAGGCACATGCCACCATGCCCAGCTAATTTTTGTATTTTTTAGTAGAGATGGGGTTTTACCATGTTGGCCAGGCTGGTCTCGAACTCCTGACCTCAAGTGATCTATGTGCCTTGACTTCCCAAAGTGCTGGGATTACAGGCATGAGCCACCTCACCCATCCTGAAAAACAAACTTTTTATGGGTCCTAAAATCAATTAATTGATTCAGGCAAGACCAGCATTTTAAAAATGAAATAAAGTAGAATAGAATAATGGGTGTAAATATTGTTTCATTGTTTTGAAGAACTTTTGATTGCACTGTGTGTGTACCCCATGTGTGTCACAATACTTTGCCTATCTCATCCAATCCTTCCATTTCCCTTGTCAACCTGACAAATCAGGAAGCAAATTCTCAAAAAAGGTCAAATAACTTGCACGAGATCACACAACTAATAAATGACAGATCTGACTTCAACTCTAGGTTGTGTCACTCTGAAGTCCACTCTTTGTCCACTGTAGTTTCTACAGAGACAAGGAACTTCCCACAGTTATGCCACTGATCCAACAAAAATCAGTTCTGCTCAGGCTGCTGTGATCAATAACTTTCATGCCACTCTCCAAAACATACAGAGAGAAATGATGATAGACATCCAAACTTACATATATAGGTATATAGATAGATAATTTAAAATTTTTAATTGGGCAAAGATTAAATAAGGGACTGGAAACCCGGTGTGGTGGCTCACGCCTGTAATTCCAGCACTTTGGGAGGCTGAGGTGGATGGATCAGCTGAGGTGAGGAGTTCGAGATCAGCCCGGCCAACATGGTGAAACCCCGTCTCTACTAAAAATACAAAAATTAGCCAGGTGCCGTGGCATGTGCCTGTAATCCCAGCTACTTGGGAGGCAGGAAAATCGCTTGAACCCAGGAGGCAGAGGTTGCAGTGAGCCAAAATCATGCCACTGCACTCCAGACTGAGTGAAAAGAGTGAGACTGCATCTCAAAACAAAACAAAACAAAAAAAAGAGAATGGAAAAGTAATATCAAATCTTAGGTAACATTACTAGGTAAACGCATACCATGCAATCTTACACATTTGCTAAGTTGTACTCCATCCATATTTAACCCGGTGTTTTTCATCACTCAGGAAACTATACAATTAACAATGTCTGTAATGTTATTGTTCTTGATCCTGAAATCTAAGACAAATTCTTTCTGGTTCTGAGCTCTAAGGCCAACCTCTTCCAGGTCTCCTGCGGACATTCATCAAAGGGCATCAGGTGTCATAGTGGCTAGTACCCTCAACAAAAGTCTTCCAGTAAATCTAACTTTGAGTTTCATATAATAGTTGCTGTTTTCCCTTTTCTATTATGCTTTCTTGCCTATTCTTTCATTTCTCTCTGTCTCTGAGGAAGCAGTACAAAGTTATAGTCACAAGTAGGGGCTTTAAAGTCAGATAGGCCTGGATTCAAATTCCAGTTCTATTTCTTTCATAATCACTTACTGAATGTGTTAGTTTCCTCATCTACAAAAAGGAGAAAGTAATAAGACCTACCTCATAGGTTTAATAGGAATAACAGTACCTAGTACCTACCCCAGGGTTGTTGTCAATAAGTACGATTATTAGTTGTTGTTCTTGTAATTATTATCCCTAGACCTGTGCTGCCCAATATGCTAGCTTTAATCAGAGGTGGTGATTTAAATTAATTAAAATTTAATTAGTTCCTCAGTCGTGCTTGCCACATTTTAAGTGTTCAGCAGCCACATGGGCCTAACGCCTACTTCGCTGGGCAGTGGACAGTACAGATCTAGAACATTTCCATCACAGTAGAAAGCCCTGTTGTACGGCTCTGCTTTAGAGGAACAGGATTTCCCACAAGACATCTTAAGAACCATGCTTCCAAGCTTTAGCTGCACTGGAAACAATGATAACAATTTTATTTTGTTTCATTTTTAAAAGCCTCAATTTGCTAACCCCCAGTCCCACCTCTAGAGATTCATAGTCAGCAGTTCTAGGGTGGGGCCTGAGAATTTGCATTTAACAAGATTCCAGGTGGTTCTGATGCTGCTGGCCCATGGGAACACTCTTTGAGTCGTATAACGCCAGGGTGCAACTTCCTGGTCACCCAGGAGTACTCTTTTTTTGTTTTGAAACGGAGTTTTACTCTTGTTGCCCAGGCTGGAGTGCAATGGCATGATCTCGGCTCCCTGCAACCTCCGCCTCCCAGGTTCAAGGGATTCTCTTGCCTCAGCCTCCTGAGTTGCTGGGATTACAGATGCCTGCCACCATGCCTGGCTAATTTTTGTATTTTTAGTAGAGATGGGGTTTCACCGTGTTGGTCACGCTGGTCTCAAACGCCTGACCTCAAGTGATCCACCCACCTCGGCCTCCCAAAGTGCTGGGATTACAGGCATGAGCCACTGCATCTGGTCCCACCCAGTAGTATTCTGAAAGATGTGGCATGTGTTAACATGTAGTAGGGTTTTTCCAAATTTCCTCTGTTTATGCAATCATGAAAAATGAGATGTTTTGCAGAACTTCTATTGCAACATATCCAAGATAATCAGTGCCTTTTTGTAATTATCCTGAAACTAATTAGTGTCCTCAAATGTTTCCCATCATTGTTGAAGTCTTGTAGGAGTATCTTGGAAGCTTTTATTTTTGATGCCTACTCTGAATGGCAAAAAAAAAAAAAAAAAAAAAGTTTTGAATTTGAGAGTTGGAAGAAGCTTGAGCCACCTGAATACTAAGTTTAATAAGGTTACATGTGTAATAACAGAGAAGTTCAGACCCTGTGCAACCATTTGGGGAGTGTTGTAGGAAAGAATGAAGATGCTCAAAGGGATTTGGCTTAATTTACATTCTACAAATTTTGTAAAATCTTTCTCTAATAAGCTGAACTCTGCTTTGACAAGAAAACACGAGCTATTGATAGACTAATCAGTGGAGAATAGGAAATAATTCTGTGAAGTGAGCTAGCTGGGTGGTGGAGAAGTAAGTATGGAAATGACCCAAAGTGTGATCCAGTTATAATTTGAAAGATGCCTGCAGAGAGTTGGGGAAAGAGGTCTATGTTTTAATCAGGGCTTCAATTAACTTGATAATGTATTCAATTTATTCTGTATAGGTTGAGAACATATTCAGATAACCGATTCCATCCTATGTAGAATGGGATCACAAATACCCCAAATACTATTTGAGGTCAACCAGAGTATTTGAGGTCAGATACTCCAAAAATACCATTTGAAGTCAACTAGAATTAAAAGTAATCACAATCAGTTAATTCAGAATATCTGAAGGTATAGCTTTAACATTTATTTAAACATTGGGGAAAAGAACATCATTTTTACAGCCCATTCACCCACATGGTCTGCGGGTTGTAGAAATGAAGAGTATCAAAATGGAGTCAGTCATGGGACACATGCCTGTAATCCCAGCTACTCAGGAGACTGAGGCGGAAGGATCCTTTGAGCCCCAAGTTTGAGACCAACCTGGGTAACATAGCGTAGACCCCTGTCTCAAAAAAAAAAAAAATGGAGGGGTCAAGACAGGGAGGCAGTGCTATCAGCACAATCTCTATGCTACTGTCCTTAGACATCCTTGAATGGGAGGGCTGGCGGAGGGCAGGGTTCAGGGACTGTGCGCAGAAGGAGTTATAGACCTGTTAGATGAAAAGATCAGCCCTAGTTACAAGTCGAAAGATATCTGCAAGTCAGTCTGGAGAAGGGGCATATGTTTTAATCAGAGCTTCGATTAACAGCCACCGCATTCTGTGAACAATAGAAATCTCTATTTCTTCCCGGAAACTTTGGAGGCCTCCCCGCCTACTGTCATTATTCATGAGGTAGGAAAGCTGAGCGACTCTGTGCCCAGCTCTCTCCCCACATCCCTCCTTGTCCTGAGTGCCAGAGCATGAGAAGGGACACAGGACAGAGTGGAAAGAATTTGAATTTTGAAAGCCAAACAACCCGGGTAGTGATGTGTTCACCTCTCTGAGCTTTCCTTTTTCCACCTATAATATTGGGCCGTGTTCCAGCTTCAGAAGTGTGTGGTTTATAAAGCTGAGTGGAGTAAATGATGATGTACAGCAAGTTCTGAATCAATAAAGCTCTTGCTCTTATGCCTCCAAGCCCCATCCCCAGCAGTGAGTGTGCTGGTTTCCCTACATAACTTTTAGATGTAGATCAAAACCTGAGCCAATTTACTTGTCAGGTCTGTTAAATGTGGTGTTTTGTGAAGCAAAAAAATCCAATCTGATCCTTAATAACCTTTTTCAGAACTCTTTGATCAAGAGTTTTAAACATTCACAAGTCTTCCTAAATAGGAATTAGGATGCTGTGGCAGTCCCCTTGCCCAGCTCATAAGCTTAAAGAGCAGGACTCTTTTCCTAAACATAGTGAGAATCCCAGATAAAAGCTGGCACCGCACCTGCTCAAGAGGTTTTTGCTTTGTTTCTTTGGATGGGAGGGCACCATGTGGATACCACCCATGAGATTCCTGGATGCCGCACTCAGGGTGCTCCTCATGGAAGATGCCACATCTGAGGTCTGTCAGCAACAGCAGCTTTTCCAGGATCCAAAATCATCAGCAAAATTAAAAGAGCACCCCTCTCAATTTCTAAAAAGAGATTTTTTATACTATTAAAAAATAGACTATTTTTAAACTACTCATTCCTGACTTATGTATTTACGTTAGTTAATTTTGATGTCATGGGTGTATGCTGTCTTCTTTCACCAAGTGGTAGATATAATTGTGTGTGTGTGCGTGTGTGTGTGTGTGTGTGGATGATAAGGTTGGTGATTCAAAGGTGGCTTTATTTATTTAAAAAAAAATTTTTTTTGAGACAGAGTCTTGCTCTGTCGCCCAGGCTGGAGTACAGTGGAGCAATCTCGACTCACTGCAACCTCTGCCTCCCAAGTTCAAGCCATTCTCCTGCCTCAGCCTCCAGAGTAGCTGGGAATACAGGCACACACCACCATGTCTGGCTAATATTTGTATTTTTAGTAGAGATGGGGTTGCACCATATTGGCCAGGCTGGTCTCGAACTCCTGACCTCAAGTGATCTGCCCACCTCAGCCTCCAAAAGCTGGGATTACAGGTGTGAGCCAGCATGCCCACTGGCCTTATTTAAATCAAAGTTCTGTTTTTTCTGGCTTGAGACAAGGCCCACAGGGCCATTGGAAGGCAAGTACACCTATAGAGCTGTGTGTTGTTAGATGGCTGGATAAGGACTAGAACCCAGATAACATTCAGTAGATCCTAGAAAAAGGAATTTCTTTCCATTATTTTTCCTTAGTTCTATGGGGCTTTTAAAATTACAACACCAAAATAAATCCAAACAGAATATTTTCATGAACAATGACTATATTTTTATTTTAGCAAGAAATTCGTAGCTGATCGCTGGGACTGAGGAGGCAAGAAGTGAGTGATTGGGAAAATGGATTGATTGCCATGGTTCATACTTGTCTCTTTTTCTCTCTCTTTCTCTCTCAGCTTGCACCTACAAAAACCAGGAGTGCCGTTTGACCATACATTATGAGAATGGATTTTCTATTACCACTGAACCACAGGAGGGTGCCTTTCCCAAGACCATCATACAGTCTCCTTATGAAAAGCTCAAAATGTCTTCAGATGATGGAATCAGGATGCTGTATTTAGATTTTGGAGGCAAAGATGGAGAGATTGTAAGTGTACTTTTCTTTAGACAGTGTGATTTCATATATTAATATTTCATTATGCAACATAATGCTGCCTTACTCTTATTCGGCATTTGACTGCTAATGATGTGCTTGCAAGCCCATGTTTTATTTGATCCTTGAAAAACGGTGATTAGGTTCAATTATTTCAAACTTCTGTTCTTCAGTCTCATTTTCCATTAGAAGACTACATAAATATTTGAGTCAAAGGAAAGAATCCTTTACAAAGTTAGATTAAATTCTTATCAAATAGGGTCTCACCAGCTTAAAAAACGTACCCTGCAGTTTTGAAAAGTATCAAGCGTCTCATATAACCTTGGCATTGTGCTAGACGTTAGGGATGCAGCAAAGTAAAAGACATGGTCCCTACCGTCAGGGAAGTCTCCGAGGAGAGGACAGAGAGCAAAGAGACAGGAGGGGCCAGATGAGGAGCAGAGCAAAAGGGCAGCAGGAAAATGAAAAGAAACTGATCAACTCCACTGGAGTGGAGAGAGGGCCAGAGGAGGGCACAGAAGCATGGAACTGACGTCAAACAATATGCAACAAAATTAGCAAATTTATCCGTTAAAGTAACATACGTCTCGTCTCAATGCAAGTAGTCCATGTGTTGAAATTCATAATTTCCTGAGATGGTTTCTGCCTGCCATAATGAAAAAGTATATGACTTCACTTGCACAGAAGGGTGAGAATTGCACATTCTTATGCTCTCTAGCAAGTGTCATCCTTGGCATTTCAGGAAAACATAGCATCTCATTTAAGCTGTCAAATGTAGAACTTCAAAGAGGCCTTTGATTTCGTAATGACTAATCTCTGTTTAGGTCTTCCCTAGCCACTGGCTTACTCAATGGATTTGTTGGCTTTCAGGAAGGAAAGGGCAGAACACACCTAACAGACCCTAGGGACTTTTTATCTCTCAGAATTGCAGCCCCACTCTTCTAAATGATGCCATACTTCTGGCACCAAGACAGTACCAGGTTTCTTGCCATGAGCGCCACAGGCAGCCACGATGGAGGCCATTCCTCGTGGCTGACACTTGGTTTGCTGACATTCACTTTCTGAGAGTTATTTCTAGCCAAGCATTTTTCTAACTTTCAAAATGGATCTACAGAATTTTTATCAAATTTTGTTTGTATGTTTCAATCAGTAGGTTCAGTGTGAGGCATCCACTTGGAAATAAAGTAGTGACTCGAAAGTCCATTTTACTAAGACTATTTCTAATTCAGTTGCTGCTGTATCAATCACCCATCATGTACTTTTTCCTAAAGGTGACTACTCTCTAGCAAAGTGGAAAAGAACAAGAATCAGTCTCCTGCTTTATCCTTGGCTTAAAAATTCAAGGCTATTTTTGCCCATGAGGAAAATCACTTATGTCTAAATTTCAGCCTTTCTGCCTATAATTACAGCCTGACTTGGAAGATTTAGGAAGAACTGATTTTTACTGCCAGTACATTTAGTTGACGAGCTCAAATTCAGACACAGCCTCCTTCTCCTCTACCCCCTATGTCTGTTTAAGCAATCCTGGAGGTGGGCCACAGACCTTCCCAGTGTGGAGGGGGAAGGGACCAGAGATGAGCTGTAGGAAATGCAATAAACTGAGGGTCAAGACCTGGGTTCTCTTTCTGAGTCTGCAACAAACTCACCAACTCTGTTGGGGAAGTCCTTTCGTTTCTTTCTATCTCAGTCTCCCCATCCATAAAATACACGGATTGAAGTAGCTAATCTTTAATGTCCCTTTTTCAAAAGTTTCCTTCTGTGTTAGTGACATAGAATGTTGTGGTTAAGCCCTGGCTCTGGCATTAGACAGACTTGCATTTGAGTCCACACTTTTTATTTACTGTAAGATCTATATTTCAGAAAGTTTCATAACTTCCCTGAATCTTAGTTTCCCTATACAAAAAAATGGAGATAATAACAATAGCTTCTTCATTGGGATGCTGTAAGAGAGAATTAAATAAGATAGTGGATAGAAGATATTTAGTACAGTACCTGGCTCATAATGAGTACCACCTTAACTTTGGTAGCTATAATATGCTCGGGTTGTTCTGATTCTCCAACAGTGTCATCATCAGAACAAAACTGGGGACAGCAGAAGAGAATTGAGAACAACTCTCCCAATTTCCCTAAATTAGGTCAGGTGATAAAATTCAACTTCTGAAGGACTCTCCTGCTCAGACTGTAAGTCTTGCATGTGCCAGGTTCTCAAGGAACACATCAAGAAGCATAAGACTTCAGATGGTGCCTTCCCAGAGATGTGGCATACGTGCTTAAACAGTTCAAGACTAGAGGATGGTGACAACACAGCTGCTTAGCATGCGTTCTGTGTTTTACAGTTTACGAGGAGGTTTTACATATAGTAGCTCCTTTAACCCTCTAATGACTCTGTGAATTAGTAGGACTGAGAAGAATTTTAAGAGACTTATCCAAGATGGTACGTCTAAAAAGCGTCAGAACCAGGATTCAAACCTAATCTTCAGATGTGAAATTTAGTACTGCTTCATACTGTGTCAAATCCAACATGAATAAATATCACTATTGTGGTACCAAAAATAAATGGCTTAGACAGTCAAGAAGGGCAACATCAATATTTATGGTGTTGGTATATCTAAATTTCACAGGAACTATTTCGGAAAAAAGATATATGAGATGTAAGGAATAAGTTCAAAGAGTTGTTCCTTTATCTCATTGAGGGGCAGTGATTTTAGAGCATAATTGCTCCAGTCAACATTTAAAAGAAGGAAGTGCATATAGATTCGTTTGATGTGCAAATCACCCATCTACATCAAGCATTAATTTAAAATCGCTCATGCTCTCTTCTTTTTAAATTTCAGCAACTGGACCTTCATTCCTGCCCCAAGCCAATTGTTTTCATCATTCATTCCTTCCTGTCAGCTAAGATTACAAGACTGGGCTTGGTGGCCTGAAGACAGGGGTGACTTGCCTTTGAGAAAAGAAGGGCTGCAATGCCACCAGAGAACGTGATGTCAGACACCATCTGTAGTGAGCAGCGCACCAGATGTAGCGTGCTACAGTCAGCTTTAGCTCTCAAGAGTCGTATGTAACTGTCCCAGACTCCTCTGTCAGTTTCAGCAACTACAAGGGATACCCTGCGAAAGTACCATGAGAAATATCAGAGTAAAACTTTCTAGAACAGTACAAGGTTAAAGAGGTGAGGTGACGGGAAATACACAGCATAGCTTTGAAATAATGACAACCAAGGACATGACCATTAGAACAGCATGTGCAGATCTTAATCATCCCAGTTCCTAGGCAACTTGTTCACCAGGTACGCAAGGGCCGAATAGTTGAGAAATGGACATTCTTACCTACTCCTCCTAGCCCCCTATCCCCAGTAACAGTGATCCCTTTTCTTATTGTGATTTATTTCCTAATTCTTGCTGAGTTGACTTTCCCTTGTAGGAAAAGAAAAATATTTCAAATAGAAACCCACCTTTTATTTAAGTATGAAGCAGCTGTTACTTTTTAAAAAATGAATTATCTTTCAATGGTGTAGAATGATTCCAAAGTGTCTCCATTAGCATATACTGAGCAGGAATTAAATAAAGCATCAGATACTGATCTGAGCTGTAAGCTGGTAGAATCTGAGCCAAAGTAGACTGCTTAAATTGATAAGCTTTGCTAAAGAGTTGTATGCACAAAGGATGATTAATTCTGGGACTATACTCACACCAAGGTCTGCTGTCTTATAGCCAAGAATTACAGCTTTATTTATAGAGAGTGAATTATGGGTATTTTTTCAGAAAATATTGTCATCTGATATACACATAAAACAACTCACATTGTTGGAGTTAACTAATTATCCCCATTTCATGGTTTTCAGTGGCAACTTACTGACCCTTGTTTTTGCCTGTGCTTGTATGCATGCATTTTCAAGCAAGTAATAAAGCAGCCTCATTTAATTCTGGATAATGCTGGGTTTTACATATAGACTGAATGCTATAATCAAATCTATTGACAGTATCTGCAGTTCTTTCAGAATTCCAGGGAAATAATATAACGACCTGATATCTTTCTACAGGAATATTTTCAGACATTATATAGCACATTACTGATTTAATGCTTTTACTTTTATCTTTCAAAACAAATTCACTAAAAATAACACCTATTGATTTTGAAGTCACTTTTCTCAAACCTTGAAAATGAGCTCTAGGATCTCTATAAACATTTCTAACACTTTTCCTGTAGTTTACATAGACAGACATCTGTTGTTAGACCTGTGTGTTTTTAAAGAATCATATGTTAACAAATACCCATGCAAAGAGCTTCAAAAAGTGAAACCGTGTTAAAGGAACACAATTTTTCTCACTCAGACATATTTGTTTATTGAATTGCAAAGTTTTATTTTAAATCAGCATTTCCCCAAAGAATATATCATATGACGCTAGTTCCAAGGGGCTTGACTGAGTGGTGTTTTGCTGGGGGGAGACAGGGGTTTGTTAATACACTTTACTAAATACTGAGCTGAAAAATGTTAAATAGATTTCACGATTGCCTCCTTGAAGATTTTAAAGTTCATTGTGGTTCTTCAAGGCGAAATCCGGTGAACCATTCCTCACACTTACCTACAGGACTCTTTTCTAATGGAGCATCTTGTGAAGCTAGTGGGTTTTTTTGTTGTTGTTATTTGTTTTTTTTTTTTAATGCTTTAGAAAACACAGCTTTAGGATATTGACTTTTTGTTTATTTCTATTTTCAAATGCTGAAAAGTCAAGTCCCAGTTTGAATACCATAGAAAAGCTTTGATGCATTTGTAAATTATATTGCACTCTTTCACTATATATTTTCAAAATCACTGGAATGTTGTTATACAAGAGAATTATAATTGTGTATTGTAAATAACATATTAAAATACATATATTAATGCCAATAGTTAAATTCAACAATATGTAATCTAAGGTGCTCGGTTCTACATGAAGTATGAGTTAACTGCTCATAATTAAGTTGCCAAGATTCTATTATATATTTATAGACAAATTAAAATGATCATAATTACAAATATGATTTCTTTATCACTTAAGCTTTGGGCTGATTAATATCTGTGTGGGGGTCAATGGAAACTACATTCTCTACATTTATAAACATTTAATTTAATTATTTATATTTTAGGAAAATATATTTGAATAAAATTAATGCATTTTCTAGAGTAAATTAAAATGTTATTAGCAAGAAATAGAAAATTTGACTAAGATAATTGTGTATATGAATCATTTTTCCCCCAAGTTAAAATGTATCATAATAGAGAGGCTCTAATGAATCAATTTCCAATACTCATTTCTTTCTTATTTTGAATTCAAGTTACAATGACTTTACACTGTAGATTTTAATCTTGTCTGATGTGTGCTGGTGTGTATGACACAAACTCATAAGTCTGGATCATGCTTGGGTACAGTCAATGAATCAACCGAGTCACTTTGAGGAATTTGTTTTTGTCCAATTTGCTCTGTGCTCAATCCCATGAATTATTAAATTTACAATGTTTGTCCCCAAATGAAAACCAATATAAATGAATGATGTTTTAATCTGTACTTTATGGGAAGTTGCCTATTTGTCAGTAGATGTGGTTAAGTGAGTCCTCTGGTGCAGTGACATCCTTTTAAGCCATCTCATAGGGATTTAAAGAAGGCCAATAGGAATATAGATATTGGTTTTTCTTTCTCTGACTTGAACTAAGTAGGAGAAACCAAACCATAAACCTATTACAAACTACCCAGGCAGAGGCATTTACTTAATTCATCAACTAGTGCAATTAAAACCCTGAAAACACATGATCCTTGTTGACTCTGCTTGGTTGAAGCAGGAAAGAATGGTCTTGATGGTCAGAAAGTTTTAAAATTAATGGGCAGGGCCTTTCTGGACCCTGTTTTCCAAACACGTTAGATATTCCGTCTTGAGGGGATTGGAGTAGGCTACAGTGAGGGGGTAATTTTTGGATGTATCTGGACTTTTAAAAAATGTGCCTATATTTATAGCACCATGAATATTATGTAAAATTTATATATGAATTAAATAAATATTCACCTCTGATTTCCAGTGCAGAAGTTTATATTATATTCTAAATATATAATAGGGTGACCTGGACAGTGGTTTTACAATACTCATAGAAGAGCATGGGACTATGAAGACAAGTCTTACTATTCTCTTCCATGAAGTGCTGATGGATAAACGAGATGCCACCAGCAACATGTTTGTGTGTTCACTTATTTTTGGTTTTCTGAACTCATTTAAAAATATACGGGTTTGGCCAGGCACGGTGGCTCGCACCTGTATTCCCAGGACTTTGGGAGGCCGAGGCGGGCAGATCACCTGAGGTCAGGAGTTCGAGAGCAGCCTGGCCAACGTGACGAAACCGTGTCTCTCCTAAAAATGCAAAAATTAGCCGGGCCTGGTGGCAGGTGCCTGTAATCCCAGCTACTCAGGAGGCTGAGGCAGGAGAATTGCTTGAACCCAGGAAGCAGAGGTTGCAGTGAGCCGAGATCATGCCATTGCACTCCAGCCTGGGTGACAAGAGCAAGACTCCATCTCGAAAAAAAAAAAAAAGTTTTTTTTTTTCCCCATTGCAGCAAAGTTTAACAGATCCCTAGAATATTAATATTGTCCCCAAATTATGAAGTTGAATATAGTTTCAGGATGGGTCTTCACCTAGGGCTTAGGGCTCCCATTTTTAACTAATTTTTCATGGGATTTGATACATACACCAAGCTCCAAATACACAAATTATCTATTGTACTAGAATTTGGTTTTGTTTAAATTGCTTGTAATAAATGTCATGGACTGGGGTTTCAAAGTCTTTTTACTAGTTGAAACTTTAGTAATATTAAGATTAAATTTAGAACTATAGAATCACAATTTTGAAGAGATCTTAGAGGCTATCAACCATATTTTAGCCCAAAGTTTATTATTTATTTCTTTTTTTTTTTTAAAGGAATGAAGGGTTTTATTGAAAACAAAAGTACACTCCACAATGTGGGCCTGAGCATAGGGGGTCAAAGGCCCTGTTACAGAGTTTTTGTGAGTTTAAATACCCTCTACTTGGGGTACGCCCTATGTAAATGAAGAGGATGAAGTAAAGTTACAAAGTCATTTACTCGGTGTACACCCTATGGAGAGGCTATTTCCTGTTATAGCTGAAGTGTGAATCAGCCTTATGTTCCCTGACTCCAGACTCTATTTTCCTGCCTCATCTCTCCACTTAGAGATGTGATCCTCATAAATCTTTACGGGAGGCAGAGGGACCGATGGTCTTTTTTTCCGTAACTGTTTCATGCTGACTTAAGGCATAGTCTCTATCTATTGGGGATCACGGAACCCTCGCACTGCTCTGTCTAGTGGAGGCAGGGTAGTTTCTTGATGGCCAGGGGTGATGTCTTCACCTGGAACTGGCTGGAGCCTTTGTTGCCTGATCACCTGAAGCTTGATGGTCTCTTAGGGGTTCCAATGGGTGCACAGTTCCAAAAGTGTGGCGGGACCCTTCTCAGTTGCAAGACCATGAACCCAAAGTTCAAGGTCCTGAAGTTTTGTTGTAGTGTGGATGGCAAGGACAGTCTTTCTCTGAGGTTTCCAGAAGATTCGAACTGTAAAAAGCTTTCTTTTTTTTTTTTGAGACGTAGTCTCACTTTGTCACCCAGGCTAGAGTGCAGTGGCATGATCTCAGCTCACTGCAACCTCCACCTCCCAGGTTCAAGGGATTCTCCTGCCTCAGCCTCCTGAGTAGCTGGGATTACAGGCGCCTGCCACCAGGCCTGGCTAATTTTTGTAATTGTTAGTAGAGACAAGGTTTCACCATGTTAGCCAGGCTGGTCTCAAACTCCTGACCTCAGGTGATCCACCTGCCTCTGCCTCCCAAAGTGCTGGGATTACAGGTGTGAGCCACTGCGCACAGCCGTAAAAAGCTTTCTTTACCCTATTATTTCAACAGTACTAACTTAAGGTATATGATTTGCTAGTAATATAGCAACATTGTATACACATATAAAAATGAATATAAACCAATTAAAACTTTTTAAATATAAACCAATTAAAGCTTTTTAAAGTTTGTAGCACTTAAAGTCATCCCACACATACACCATGGCCCAGGTACTACATCTTTGGAAACACTGACCTTGTATAATATTCCATAAAACTCAGGAATCTTTTCCTGAACATCTCTTGAAATTATTCATCCAGCCTGAAATTGAAAATTTCCAGATATGAGCGGGAATTACCTCATCTTCCCAGGCAGGTCATTCCGCTGCTGGATGGGTAGAGATGTTTGAAAGTTCTTACATTGTTAGAGCCAAAACTTCTGGCTGGATGTGGTGGCTCACGACTATAATCCCAATGCTTTGGGAGGCTAAGGTCAGAGGATCACTTGAGGCCAGGAGTTCAAGAGTTCGAGACCAGCCTGGACAAAATAGCGAGACTGCATCTTTAAAACAAAACAAAACAAAACAAATTTCTGTCTGCCTAACTTTCAGTCATGACCCTGGTTCTACCCTAGAAAATATTGGAAGTCCAATTTCCTGTCCACGTGAATATCCTATATAAAAAGACAAGTCAAGGCTGGACGCTACTAAGTAATGTAAAGTGATCTGAAAATGGCTTTCAATAGGGCATTTAAAATTCTTCATTTTCATCTTTAAAGAACTACAGTTACCAAGATTAAAACCTTCTACAATACTTAGTGGTGAAATATCTGGCAATAATTGAGAGAGCAATTTGGCAATATCCATACAAATTTAAAAAGACATGTACCTCTTGACTTGTGGGAATTTATTCTAGAGATGTAACTGTATGAGTGCACAAAGGCTAATGTCTAACGATCATCTCTGCAGCGTTGCTTGCAACAAGACCATTGAAAAAGTCAGTGTGACCATCACTAGCTAAATAAATCCTGGTACAGAGGTATGCTTGAATATTCTGCAACTGTTACAAAGAATGGTCGATCTTTAAGTGCTAATATGGGCAAAATCTCTAAGTGCTAGCTCTGTGAGGTGCATATCTCCCGTTTTTTGTTTGTTTTCAATGGTTCTCCAGAATAGTCAAACTACACCCTCCACACACTCCATGGGGGCATTTTGGAAATCTGTGGTAATGCTCTTTGGTTGTCACAATAATTGGGGGAAGGGGGAACATTATTGGCATTTAATGAAGAAGACCCAGAGTTGGTAGATATAATGCTGATGACAGCCCTACATCCAATGGAACCATTTCCCACACAATTTTTGAGTGTCCTGGGTTATTTGTGTTGGTGAAAAACCTGTTTGATAATCCGAGTCTAGACCTTGACTACCTTTTATATATGAAAACATTTTGACAGATTCAATATATTCTGATTTTCTAGATATGCAACTACCATGTATATGAAAGATTGTGTTTCATTTTGCTCAGGGCATTATCAAAAGGTATTAATATTTTACAAAAACAAGTCTGTGTGGTACCTGAGTTACAAACAACTGACTCAGTACCACTTCAGTCATGGCTAATTGGTGTAAAAGTCAAACATTTGACTACTTCATTTTGTCTTTTAGTGTAATCATACTCCAGCATCTCCATATTGAAATGCATACTGTTTTATTATAATTACTTTGCTTTTCCAAAAATTTTACCTTATGGTTAAGAGATAGCAATTTTTAAGAGCCTAAGTATGTATAGGTTAGATTACTGTATAGGACACATCCTACGTATATCCTCAGATTCCTTCAGTGCCATCATGGCGTCTCCTAAACTTCCAGCTGTTTACCCAACCTTAGGCACCACCATAGCTGGATCTGCTTGACCTAACTGTTTAGCCACTTAGAGCCAACCAATTGCTTGCCTGGAAATGTTGCCTCCCCTCCCATCTCTGTTTGGTGGCTGCCAGGCAGCCAGGCAGAGGAGACACATACTTCAATTTCTGAGTTCTATCATCAGTTCCAGACTTGGATGGACAGCACACTGCAGGGCACAGGAGCTGGATTCCAGAGCAGCTGCTGGGTAATAACCTGAGCAAGGCAGAACTATAGGGGATTTAAATCTTTGTGGGGCCAAACAGGAGTCAGTAACAAGGAGAAGCCGAGCAAATAAATAATCCTCTTCTTCCTCTTTTTTTTTTTTTGAGACCATAGTCTCACTCTGTCACCCAGGCTGGAGTGCAGTGGTGCAATCTCAGCTCACTGCACCCTTCCACCTCTTGGGTTCAAGCTATTCTCCTGCTCGGCCTCCCAAGTAGCTGGGATTACAGGCACACGCCACCACCCGCCCCCTCCTAATTTTTGTGTGTGTGTTTTTTTAATAGACACGGGGTTTCACCATGTTGGCCAGGCTGATCTCAAACTCCTGACCTCAAGTGATTTGCCTCCCTCGGCCTCCCAAAGTGATGAGATTACAGGCGTGAGCCACCACACCCGGCCTCTTCTTCCTCTTTTTATGTACTTATGTGAGGCATGATTTCTCTGTACACCCTCTATCCTGAGAGACATCCCATGTGACTGAGAAGATGCCTACTTAGTGGTTGGCTGTGTCTCTCTGGGCCTCATGAAGCACTAATGTCACCTTGCCTTGCTTTCCTGCCTTCCCTGCCTTTTTCCCCCTTTTTCATCATCTCCATGTCTCCCAAATAAAGCATTAGCACAAATCCTTGCCTCAGATTTTGTTTTCTAGGAAACTTGGCCTAAGACCATTATTTATGAATTCCACCTTGTGACGGCAAAGGAGACATTAAAAGTACTGCTTATAGAAGGGGTGTTTGGGCCTGATAAGTTGAGAAACAATGGACACATATAATATGCTTGTACATGTATTAAAATGTCTGGAAGGATACATTTAAAAAATGTAAAAAGGCTTCTTACTATCAGTTACTGCTGAGAAATGGGACTAGGGATGATGGGTATGACCTTAATACCCTTCTAGATTACATGAACTTCTTAAATGTGCATTTCAAAATTCCCTTTTAAAAAAGGTTCTTTTTTTATGGCTAATGTTCTGATATGGTGAATAATATATTTAGCCTGTCTATAAAATCCTGAATAATAGAACTATTTGAATGTGTGACCAGAAATCAATTATCATGTCACCTACAGTCCTCTAAATTACACTAAATTTGATTTCACTGGGGGAAGCAAGTCTAATACCTCATTAAAATGACTAAACCATGTCCAAGGAGAGTATGGAATCACATTTGAATGATAACAGAAAAGCCGCAGGAACCTCTCTTTTGGCCTTTTATTCTCTATTATTTTTTTCCTTGTACATAAATGAGGCTTTTTCTTGGAAGAGTGTAAGAGTCCATAGAGGGAACATTGCTCAGACAGTGTCACAGCAAGAAGAGCTGGGCAGAGGTGGGAGATGGTGAAAAATAAGAAAGCCCTATGGAGACAAGAGGCAGGATAGGAAACTGACACACAATCAGACCATCCATTGCCTGTTGGCAGCATGGTCAGGAAAAGGCATCCCATGGACAAAGCCCCTCCTGCTGACTCTGATCTCAGAGGTGGAGACGCTCCTGCTCTCATGCTTGGCCTCATGGCTGTGATTCTGCCTTGGCTTGGACCAGGGCCTGGGAATGTTGAAAGAAAACGTTCTTCTCAAGAAACAAAGCCAGTGATATTTTCAGCAACTTTCCTGTATAATTCTTTGGATGAATAAAGCCTATTTACTCCCAAGAACTCAAAGGCAGTTCCAGGAAACACTAAGAATAATGCTTCATTAATGAATTGTAGCTCCCCTGCTTCCTAATTCTCAGCCGCACAAGAGAGTAAGGAACTTCTTCCTCTGCAAGTTTCTGGGTCTCATGAAAAAGGGAAACGCAGTCCAAAAAGTAAGCAATTTCATTTATCTTCAACTACGGCCTTCAAACTAAGGCCTTAAAAAATGAAGTTTTTGAAACTTTCTTTCTTGCACTTGGCCTCTCAATGAATTTTTGGATGTGAGTGGAAGTTAATGCTTATGTACAATAAGCTACCTCACAATCTAGTGGCTTAGAACACTGCAACATATTATTTCTCATTATTCTGAGGGTTGGCTGGGCAGCTCTTTACTGTTTTGCCTGGGCTCACTCATGTGGCCGTATTTGTCTGGAGCATGCACTAGGCTGGAAGATCCCAGATGCCTCACTCACATGCCTGCCAGCTGGTGTGGCTGTCAGGGAACCTCTGTTCTCTTCCATATGGCCTCTCACCTTCTAATAGGCTAGACCAGTTCTCTTATGTGGCTCCCTTATATGCAGGACAAGGTTCTACAAGAGCAAAAGAGAAGCTATAAGGTCCTCAAGGCCTAGGTTCCAGCTCACAGCATGTCATTTATGCCACATTCTACTGGTCAAAGAAAGTCACATTGCCAGCTCAGATGCAAGGACTAGGGGAACAGATTCCATCTCTTGGTGGGAGGAGCTCAAAGCTTTGTGGCTATATTTGACCATATTCTACCCTTTGGACACAATTATTTTCATTTGTTCCACATGAAAAATAATTAATACAGCCTGAAGTCCAATATTTCATGACCATTGGGTAGGGATAACTCTCTTAGGGTGTGGCTTCTTAAAATCTACAATATTGTGACCTACAAAAACCAAGTTAACTGCCTTCCATACATCCGAAATACAATGGTGAGGCAGAGATAGGATAACTGCAAGAGATGGGACTAGTCACTAGTTCACAGTAATTCTGAAATCCAGCTAGGAAGGGACGACTTTATTCGAGATCTTCTGTATGTGGTTTTGCTTAAAGTTGCAGTTTCCAAGAACCTATCAATGACTTGAGGATTTACTGTAGTCCAAGGATGCAGCTGATGAGTTTTCTTATCCTGCTTCCTGTCCATTGAAATTTGGAGGCCTCTTTTCAGTTTGATACAAATTTCTTACCATTTTACGAGATTTCTGGTGCCAAGAAAAGTCAATGGGGAAAGAATAGTCTTTTCACTAAATAGTGCTGGAACAACAGGATATCTGTATGCAAAGGAATGAAGCTGTATCCCTTCACAAAATTAAGTCTATACAAAAATTAAGTCAAAATGGGTCATAGACCTAAATTCAGGAACTAAACAATAAAGTAAAAAACTCACAGAATGGGAGTAAATATTTGCAAATTGTATATCTGATTGGAAACTAGAATCCAGAATATATAAAGAAGTCTTACAATTCAACAAAAGACAAATAACCCAAATAAAAAATGGTCAAAAGATCTGAGTGAACATTTCTTCAAATAAGATATGTAAGCAGCCAGAAAACACATGAAAAGATGCTTAACATCATTAGCTATCAGGTAAATGCAAATCAAAACCACAATGAGATACTACTTCATATCATTGTCTTGTGAAAAAAGACAAATAACGAGTGTTGGCAAGATGTGGAGAAACCAGAACCCTCATCCATTGCTGGTGGGAATGTCAAGTGGTATAGCTACTTTGGAAAACAGTCTGTCATTTTCTCAAAAACTTAACCGTGGAGTCACCATATATCCCAGCAATTCCCCTCTTAGGCGTATAAACCCAAGATAACAGAAAATATTTGCCCATGTGCAAAACTTGAACACAAATATCCATGGCAGCACTATTAATAATACCAAAAAAAGGAATCAACCCAAATGCCCATCAACTAATAAATGGATAAACAAAATGTAGCAGATTCATACATTATTCAGCTATAAAAAGGGATGAAGAACTGATACATGTTACAACATGAACCTTGAAAACCTTATGCTAAGGGAAAGAAGCCAGACACAAAAGGCCATATATTGTACATACCGTATGAGTCAATTTATATGAAATATCCTAGAATAGGCAAATCCATAGGGACAGAAAGCAGATTAATGACCAATGTCCTCACCACACACACACATACACACACACACACACCAATGTGTGATGTGGTAATCGTCAGATTGTGGTAATCGTTTCACAATGTATATGTATATCAAATAATCATGTTGTACACCTTGAATATGTACAATTTTTATTTGTTAATTATACCTCAATAAAGCTGAAGAAAAAAATGTAGATTAGTGGTTGCTAGGGAATGATGGAAAGAAAAATAATAAATACTGCCAACAGATACGGGGTTTCCATTTGGAGTGATGAAATGTTCTGGAATTAGATGTGGGTGATGATTGCACACTTTGTGAATGGACTAAAACCACTGAATTATACACTTTAAAGGACGAATTCTAGTGTATATGATTACATTTCAACTAAAAGAGACTTTGTGGGCTTTCTGTGTACCAAGTTATAGTCTACTGATGAAAGCCATACCCACCATTCTTTTCATGACAGGTCTCTCTTTATTGACAGTGTCGGGTGCTGTGAAACACTACCCTTTAGATTCTTAAAAGCTCTTTTGTCTAGCTGAGAGGGTCTACTTTTAAATCATTAAGTATTTTAAATGTCTTAATAAAGGATTATATAGCCACACCTCTGGCTTGATTCTTTTTCTGAGGCTATTTCTGACTTAGAAAATTTTTTGCCACTGGGGATACTGAAAGTGGAAAATCATTTTATTTTCCAACCCAGAATATCCTAAGCCCTTCATATCTCCTCTAAATTCTGCCAGAAAATGGAACATTTCTTGAATTTGTTTATCTATCTTTTCCTATACCTTATCATATTCAGCTAAACAAACAAATAAATGGCCATTGATACTTCCAACATTGTCTGGGAATATCCCTAATTAGATCCATGAGTTCATTAGGAAGAATTTCTCTTTTCTGGGTTATTTAGGCAACAGTTTGCTAAATGTACCACTACTATGTAACACATCTGAGCTACTTGGGCCCAGTGACTCCCTGTTTCCCAAACAAATGGCCTCAAATGGTTGAGGTGGTTAATGTTTATAATTCCAGCACTTTGGGAGGCTGAGGCAGTAGGATCACTTGAGGCCAGGAGTTCAAGACCAGCCTAGGCAACATATCAAGACCACATCTCTACAAAAAAAAAAAAAAAAATTCCAGGCAAGGCAGTGCTTGCCTATAATCCCAGCTACTCAGGAAGCTACTTGGGATTGTTTGAGCCAGGGAGGTCAAGGCTGCAGTGAGCTGTGATCCTGCCACTGCACTCCAGCCTAGGCAACAGAGCAAGACCCTCTTCCAACCCCACCCACCAATAAAAAGAGATTTCCAAATGCATCATATAGTCATCAAGACATGGTAAAGTCTGTTTCAAAATTGTATTCATTCTAGTTGGTGTTTAGAGGCATCTTATTATGGTTTTAATTTGCATTCCTTTGATGACTGATGATGTTGAGCATCTTTTCACGTGCTTATTGCCATTCCTATATCCTCTTTCATGAAATGTTTTTTTCAAATATTTTGCCCATTTAAAAAATTTGGGTTATGTCTTATCATTAAGCTGTTAAGAGTGTCTCACATATTCTAGATAAAAGTCCTTTGTCAGATATATGCATTGCAAATAATTTCTCCCAGTCTGTGGGTTACATTTTCACTCTCCTAGTGGTGCCTTTCCAAGAGGAGCTTTTAGATTTTGAAGTAAAATTTATTTTTTTTTAATTTTATGGTTTGTACTTTTTGTGTCCTTTCTAAGAATCCTTGTTTTATTCCAAGAGTGATGAAGATTTTTCTGTGTTTTCCTGTGTAGGTTTTATGGTTTTGGATTTTAAATATAAAATTATGATCCATATCACATTAATAGTTGCAAATGGTAGGAGGTTATGGTTGAAGGTAACTTATTTTTCCATATGGATGGATATCCCCTTATTCAAGTTCAATTTTTTAAAAGACCTTTTTTACTTCAATGAAAAGTTTGATATATAGGTATACCTATAAGCTTTTCTTCTGTTCCACTGACCTATATGCTTATTCTAATTCCAATAGCAAATTGTCTTCATTACTGTAACTTTATAGTAAGTCTTAAAGTGAAGAAACAAGTCTCCCAACTTTGTTCTTTTGTTACAAAGTTATTTGGCTATCCTATGTCCTTTTAATAAGTGATTACATCAGTTTAGTTTTTTCATTTATACTTTTGCTTTCAATCAGGTTAACTGATGTAATTTACATATGCTAAATTTCAAACAACATTACAAAAGTTTATCCAGCATGTTCACAAAAAGAAATATTTTAAATGGTATCAGGCTTACAGGTTATCTTCAAACTTGTTTTCATGTATATTATTAAGTACGGCAGAAAACCAGGATCCTTGGAAGAAAGGAATAAAAACAAATAAAAAAATGGATACACCAACACTTGCAGAGATCCTATGTTTGGAGAAGCAGTGTGGTTCAACAAATGTAAGTTCTCATTCTGGCTCTGTAATTGCTGAGCTATGTGATCCTGGATATGACACTTAATCTTGCTATACTTCAATTTCTTACCTATAAAATGGGAAATAGCTACTTAATATGGCTTCAGTGAGATCATGTAAAATGATTAAGATAATGTCTGTCATATAGTGCTTAATAAATGTTGGCCATGATTATCATCTTTTCATGATCCCTGTGAAGTCAGCATTGTTTACCCCATTTTTAGAAGAGCAAATGGACGTTATGAGAGTTTTTCTTTCCTATGACCATTACTCTGTTCCCAGGAATGTTTTCAAATTGCCTGATCTAATCTGTTGTACTTTAAAACCAACTGGCTCCTCTCATGTTATAAATGTTTATTAGTCTGATTAAATAAATTTACATTTAAAAACGCCTATTGGTACAGCATTTTTTTTTTTCCTTTTGAGATAGGGTCGCGATCTTTCTCACAGGTTGGAGAACAGTGGCGAAATCATGGCTCACTGCAGCCTTGACCTTCTAGGATCAAGCAATCCTCCCACTTCAGCCTCCTAAGTAGCTTAAGACCCCTCCTACATAGCTACAGGTACGTGCCACCATGTGCAGCTAATTAAATTTTTTTAGAGATGGGGTCTCACTATGTTGCCAAGGCTGGTCTCAAACTCCTAGCCTCAACCAATCCTCCTTTCTCAACCTCCCAAAGTGCTGGGATTACAGGTATGAGCCACTATGCCCAGCCATGGTACAGCATTTCAAAAGACAATTTTGCTAACCTAATAGAGTATTCAAATATTGGCTCACTCTTGCAATTCCTATGAGAGTGAACAATTCAGACAAAAAGGAGCATTTCAAATCAGCAATTCCACGGAACCCTAGAAATGCTTTTTGAAAGCATTCACTTTGAATTCAACATAGACAAGCAAAGCATATGTGATAAGCAAATTTCTTTAATTGGAAGAAACTATAAAGATGGTAGATTTGATTACATAAAAACGAAAAATTTCAGAACACTATAAACAAAAAGACAAAGGGCCAATATCCTTAATATATAAGAATATGTATGAACAAGTAAGAAAAAGTCAAAAACAGTTCAAAAGAAAAATGGGCAAAAGCTAGAAATAAACAGTTACAGAGATGCCAACATGTTTTAAAAAAATTCACCCTTACTATTTTCAGTCATCAAAAAGGGAAATGGGGACTCTGCCGGTGGGAGTTCATATTGGTCTTTCAGGAGGGCAATTTAAAAACATTTACAAAAAAGCTTAAGACCCAAAAATTCCCCTCCTAAAAAAGCATACTAGGAAAATAGTGACATACTGGGAAGATTCATTAAAGTGTTATGTGTTACAGGGAAAAACAGAATCTTTATGTCCAATAATGGGTGATTAAACAAACTGTGGTTCATTTGCATTAGGCAGTTATTAAAATAATGACATAAAATTCACAACATATTGTTATGTGAAAAGCAGGTTATTAATTAATACACACATACACACATATGCATAACAACATATTATATGATTCCAATTTTGAAAGTATTTAAAAATAATTACATATATTTTTAAAATACAGCAGTTATGTCTAGACAGTAGGGGGGAATGTGGTAATTTTTTTTCATTCTTCCTTGTATTTTCTGCATTTTCCAAATTTTCTACCATGGGAAAAGACAATTTTTTTCCTGGGAGACTGTACTTAGTGTCATTTTCATTATGTCTTATTTTCACAATTTATCTTGTTTCTTCATTTTTGATACCAAATGAACATTAATAGCCCCAACAATGGTGGCTCTAGGGCTGAGGCCTGTTTGCATTTTTTTTGCCAATACGCTCTAAATTGGGAGCAGTCCAATAAACTATGTTGTTGGAACACATGGGAAAAGCCACTGGCAATATCTTACTTAAGTCTAAGAAATGTAAGGCAGGCCTAACTTAGTACACCTAACAACAAAGACATGAAATCCAAAAAGTAAAAAAAAAAAATTCTGTTTATTGTAATAATTAAATAAGAGTAAACATTTTAAAACATATAAAAATAACTTTAAAATATAGTAACACTTTACAAAATATGTATCTAATTAAAAATACATTAACATAGCATCCCTCAAACTATACAAATATAGAATATATATTCATGAAATTCTTTAGAAATATAACATCTATTCTTTGAATAAAGCTTAAAATTTGTTTATAATTTTCAAACTAAGAAAAGAAGTAGTGAATAATAGCTCCATCCAATTTATAATTGTCTTAAAGAGAATGATTATGTATCATTTCTTGCTTGTCTTTTCTAATACCCAGTCAATCACCTAGGGGGAGAAAAAATATGATTACAGAAGATTTCTCTTGAAAACACAAGTAATAGAAAAATATATTGTAAAAACTTCAAAAGAACATGGTAGAAAATTTCAAATAAAAAGGAAGATACTGAAATCTTATACTTAAATACACATTTTATTTTCTAATGGAAGAACATTTTTGTTGGACTTCCAATACTGAGTACAATAATGTTCTCACTGGATGAAATGAAGATTCTGCTCCATTTTCTCACCTTTATATGAAAATATGTTTCAAATGGTCAATCAAATAAACTAAACTAAACTTTGAAAACAGCTAACCAAAATGGATTGGTTTTTCCAGCTAATTTATTTTTTCTTTTGCTTTCTTAGTGTCACTTTAGAAACTCTTTTGCTGACAGAGCAATCTACTAAATACTATGAAATACTCAGCCTAAATAAGCCTATGAAGTTTCTTAAAGAGTTTTCATAGGGACAGAGTTGAAAAAGACCAGTAACTGATTACTGCTGCATATATAATGGCATCAGAGCAACCCTGAAATAAAATACCAATTTAATTGAATATAGTTTCTTGGGAATAATTTCTTTACCTGTACAGCATTGTTGTTTGCTGTTTTCTTCATTTCTTCAAATAGACCCCTTGAAGTTTTAAGATCCTAAACATAATAAAATACAGCATTTTACAATCTGCACATTAAATTACAAAGAACAACTCATTATTATTAAATACACTTGAGATTATTCTAAATCATTCTACACGTATTAATGTGATTAGGGACAGACTACAACAACAAAAAAAATCTAAGTACTAGATTATAATTTAGTTCCATTCTGAAATATCAAAATACTCTAACCAAAATACATACACATATACATAAGTCCATCTCACTCTCCTCTCCTATTCCCAATAGAGCTGACCTAAAATAACTTCCACCCTCCACCGTGAGCATCCACTAATGCTGCATTACTCTCCCATCCTCCACCGTGAGCATCCACTAATGCTGCATTACTCTCCCATCCTCCACCGTGAGCATCCACTAATGCTGCATTACTCTCCCATCCTCCACCGTGAGCATCCACTAATGCTGCATTACTCTCCCATCCTCCACCGTGAGCATCCACTAATGCTGCATTACTCTCCCACCCTCCACCGTGAGCATCCACTAATGCTGCATTACTCTCCCACCCTCCACCGTGAGCATCCACTAATGCTGCATTACTCTCCCACCCTCCACCGTGAGCATCCACTAATGCTGCATTACTCTCCCATCCTCCACCGTGAGCATCCACTAATGCTGCATTACTCTCCCACCCTCCACCGTGAGCATCCACTAATGCTGCATTACTCTCCCACCCTCCACCGTGAGCATCCACTAATGCTGCATTACTCTCCCACCCTCCACCGTGAGCATCCACTAATGCTGCATTACTCTCCCATCCTCCACCGTGAGCATCCACTAATGCTGCATTACTCCAGAAACAAACATATGGTTTGTATTTATTTATCAGGTAAAAGATATTTTTTCTTCATTTTGGCTATTTGACTCCATCATAAAGAAGAATGACATACAAAAGGAAGCTGATGTCTCACTTTTAAAAATTTAGTGATTATTACAAAGTAAAAGAAATGGAATTGTATTTAAAAAGATAAGAAGCAGTTATCTGTTGTACTTCCAAGTTACGCTCCATAAAGGCAGCCACTTTCAATTCTTTCAGGTTTTTCCCTTATTTATACCTTAATGTTTCTAACTACTATGCTTATGTTGCTACTTGGTGATTAAACACTTTTAGACACTGACTACTGATGTTAGGGAGAACTGATGTTAGGGAGAACGTCATGGATGGATTCAGGTCTCGTACACAAAACCTTCCTTCTCTTCCTTTGAAGAACAGTTGTACCACAATTTTTGATTGTAAATAGGCAGTGTTTACACTATTGTATCTATGTAAATACTTTCAATTGTGTGCTAATTAATGTATTATGGTTATAATTTATCTTTCTTCCAATATTCTATTTATCCTGTTAACTACCTGTTAGCTTTTTTCATTTGCTCAGCTTTCCATGTATATAATTCTGGGTTTTTCACTCCTAAATACTGGCAATAAATGGGCTAAATGTACAGCAAAGTTTTTTCAAGCCCTGAAGTATACAGGATAATCTCTCAGTTCAGCTTCCTTTCTGCTTTTGGTCTTTTTAATTAAATTTTTTAAACCTGGAGATCTTTCTCCCATAGCCTCCTCTAATTTGTTCTAGTTGCTGCCTAGGCCTGGTCCTATTAGGACTTGTCTTTTCCATTTTAGATTAGTTTTTGTTTTGTTTCTTGATTTAGTCCCTTGTTCTGTTGAACTTCATCTTCTAGCAGATTCCTCAAAAGGGTAAAATAAATTCTTTTTCAGATATTCCATGTTTGAATGTATCTTCATTAAATCCTCATACCTGACTGCATTCCAGACTGGGTATAGAATACTAGGTAAGTCACCTTCCCTCAGAAGTTTCTTTTCTTTTTTCTTTTTTCTTTTTTTAATTCTAGAAATGCACATCCCTCAGAATTTGAAGATACTTTTCTACTATCTTCTAGCATACAGTGTTACTGTGGAGAAGTCCAATGCCATTCTGATTATTGATTCACTATATATAAACTAGATTATTTCCTGGGAAGCTTTTAGAAAATGTTCTCTCCATGCTAAGAGGTGTGAAATTCCATAATTATGTGACTCGTTGAAGAATTTTCATTCATTGGCTTGGACAAGCTAGGACGCTTGTGTCCACTCCTGGAAAACTTTGTTATATTTTTGAACAAGTTTCTCTCTTCTAAACTTTGAGAACAAAGGAGAGAAAATTGTTCAAAAAATACAAAATTCATATTATTAGCATTTTGGATCTTCTGTATTAATCCTCCAATTTTCTTAGCCTGGATTTAATGTTTTTGTCATTTGATTCTAATTTCTGGTAAATTTTTTTCATCTCAACTGTTCAGCCTTTCTATTTAATTGACTTTATCATATTTTTAAAGTTATGGAGCTTTCATGTTTTATGCTTTTTTTGGAAACAGCATCCTGTTCTAGTTTTATGGATGCGATTATCTTCTTTCTATGAGAATTATAGTTTTTATGAAGTTTTCTTCAACTTCCTGCTTCTTCAGAGTTCCCTTTATTCCTATATGTTTTGGCATCAATTGTGTTAGAAGCTTTCCTCAAAGCCTGCTAATCCATGGCTGTCTAGTCATATTTAAAAGTGAGACACTAAAAATCTGACTGGAAACTCTGTGCAGAGATTGTCACTGGTTTCTTTTCAAGGTAGAGTGACAAGATGGCCAGTTAGCTTTTCCACTGCAGCTTCCAATATTTTCCCCAGCGACTATTTCCTACAGTGTCACTGAGGTGGGTGGAAAAACCTATGCATGATAGACCTTGTAGTGAACATTTGGGGAGAAGAGCATGCAAAGCAAGTTGGACAATCTCCAGGTCACTTTGTAGATCTTTATTTAAACTTCCCTGCTTTCTACATGGACCCTCGCCCCTGCTTTCCATGATAGCTGGTGTCTTCAAATCCTGAGCACCTCAGCTTCTGTGGAATTAACATGCTTCTCACTAGTATTCCACTAGGCACCCAATTAAATTGTAACTCTTTTCACTCTGTTACACCACACTTCCATGTGCTTTTTTGTTATTGTTCAATATGTATTAAAAACATTTCCAGTTTTTTCTTGTCCTTTCTCTTGGATATGTGATAGATCTGCAGTTTTAACCAGAAACCCACAGATAACTGTGATTCAGGTCAGAAACTCCTAAGGCTGGACATAATCTAACATTGTCTAAGTTTTAGAAAACCATCGTCTTGAGTGACTGACCTGTCCAATGTCTTACAACTAGCTGATAATGGATCCAAAATTAGAAACTAGGTGTTTTGATATTTAGTCCAGTAGCCTTTTTACTACACAGTCATCCCTTGGTCTCTGCGAAGGATGATTCCATGATCCCACTGAGAATACCAAAATCCACTGACAGTCGAGTCCCTTATATAAAATGGTGTAGTATTTGCATATATCCTATGCACATTTTCCCATATACTTTTTAAAAAGTCTGTACATGTTCAGTACAGATGCAGCATCCTTTTTTTTTTTTTTTCAGAACATTTTCAATTTGCAGTTAACCCATGGATGCAGAACCCATGGATATAGAACCCACAGATATGGAGGGCCAACTGTATTAAAAAATTAATAATTAAACATGTTATGAAGCTTATTACCTGTAAGTCAAATGCACATTAGGGGAAATAGGATATTGGTTAAAATGTAGCTTTCTATATATGAGAACTCAAATCAAATCAAATATAAAGTATTTTGGCTTCAATTTTTCTATCTCCATCATTTAATAAATCTGGCAGCAAGTATACGCTCTCAGTATAAAAAATACTCAAACTTTTTTTTATGTCAAACAGGAACATTAGAACATGAACTAAATTTTGCCATTAGTAGAGAAGATACCGTACCTTTAGATAGAACTTAGAGATTTCAAAGAGACGCTGGCTGCATGCAGTGAAACATTCATGAGTCTCGGTAATACTGTGTTTCTTCAGGGTTTCAGTAACTACTTCTTTCAGTATCTTGAACAGAACATAACATATGACGAATATTTCTTGGAAAAGGCACAAACCTATTATTTCAGCTTTAGAGTTCAATCCTGTGAATTACACATTCATTTTGCTGTGCTAAAAGACAGACAGGTTCATTAAGACAAAATGATTGAGAAAAAAAAGATCTAACATTTACATGGTCAGAAGTGTCACAGGAATAATATGTTAGCAGGAAATGACTACAGTGTCTTAAGAAAGGAACTCAAATCATGAGTTCTGAATTGAAATCTGAGTGTTAAAGTTACACACAGCAGGGATATGTAAGTGTATATTTATTTTTTATTATGGGAAATTTCAAGCATAGAAAAGTAGAGAATATTTGACACGCACAGAATATTTTATAACAAATTTCTATCTTGATATATCTTTTAACCAGCTTCAAGTATGATTAATCTGTGGCTAATCTTGTTTCAATTATATCCCCACCTACTTTCCTATCATCCTTCTTACACCAGTAAATTCTAGACATCGTTTCATTTCATTCATAAAATTTTTTAGACATATATTTTAAAGTAATCAAATTTAAAAAGTCTTCCTATGTAGAACTAAGAAAAATGGGAAATAAATCTTTACCCGTGTGTGTTTCTGTGATCTTGATTCCTTAATTTGCCTTGATGTTTTTGATTCATGCATACTTTTTTGACCTGAACTGGTCTTTGTAGCAAGTTTTGGAGTTTCACAGCTAGGAATTGGAACCAATGGACAAGTCACTGGTAAGGACCGTTCTGTTTGTGGCTTTCTGGATGTCACATGATGATGATAGTGATTACTATTACCAGTTGTCTGAGAAAGAAGAGACTCTGAACTTTCAGATTTCACAAGTCTATATAGCAGGGGAAAAAAATCAAGAACGTAGATTAAGCGAATCAACATCGAAGTTCATTTTCTGTCTTAAATATTACAACTATATCCATTAAGTGAATCAACATCGAAGTTCATTTTCTGTCTTACCAGTGTGTTACCACTATATTATACCACTGTTATTACATAATAGATAATATATAACATAATATATTACATAATATATAACACTATACCACTATGTTATAGTGTTACCACTATATCCATTATAACATAAATTCAAGAAAAGCAAACAAAATTTATTGCTATTACTGCCTTAAGTAAGCAATAAACATCATATTATAAAGTTGTTCCTTAGTTCTTCAGATGAGTAACTAACACATAGAAGGTAATGAATAGCAAACTAGGATTTTGGCTAATAGAGAAAGCAACAAACAATATTGTTATACTCTCTCCCATCCCTCCAATTTACAATTTCTCAAATAAATCAGCTATGCATGCCAAGAGTGCTGCTATTTATAGATTTAATACTAATCTGTTAAATATTTATACTTTTCTGTTAAGATAATTTGAACAGAAACACCACAACCTGTATCTTTTTATACCCATGGAACTCCCTTGCAAAATAAGTCATAGTGTTAAAACAAATACAAATAAACTATAAAACTGGTTCATACTTCAATCTTCCTAAAATGTTTACATTTGTTCCTGACAAGGCCCAAATTTTTCCCTTTACAAGATAGGGTCTTATAGCCCTCAATTCTGCTGACCCAGAAGCCACAGTATACATTCCTTTTAGGAACACATATATTTTTATTAGCCATAGGTCAGAAATAAGAAATATGGCTATAAATATAGTACCCCAAATGTAACTGCTGCTTTTTAATTTTATCAGGTATAAAAAGTACCATGAATTTATAAAGTCCTCATAAAAATGACTGAGTTCTTCCATATCAGGGTAACCTTATTCTAACTTTCTTAACTATTCAAAAAAAGATCTGAAAGTTATGTTTTCATATAGTTCATACTTTTTGCAAGGTTTAAATACAATAAGAATTCAAGCCTTGCTTTAGATGCCAAGAACCTAAGTTTGACAAAGGTTCTAAAGATAACATAAATTCAATAAAAATTAGTGTTCACTACATAAACTTCTAACTTCTGATCAAGTATCTGGATATTTCATTTAGTTAGCAAACTAACGCATCCAGAAAAGTTTCATATATTCTATCATTATGCAGTGTTTAAAGCTATATTTTATATGTAACAGGTGTTTTAAAAATGGTACCTCATGGAATCTCTTGCTCAAGGGAACAATGCAGGCAGGAAACTGAGGGGAAAGGAAAGGAAGAGCTAATGGGAGAACTCCCATCCCCAAACAGTCTCTTCAACAGGGCAGCTCAGCAGCTTAATCTATGGGGTGAAATCTCCACTGTTCCATGGCTTAAAAACTTTACAATCCATTGTGCTAATGGACTGTATATTAGCATATAAAGCAAGAAACTGTGTTTTTTTCCCAAATCATTTATTTTTATAACTTATAAGCAAAATTATCAACAGCTCATAAAACAAACTTCTTGCCATGAAGAAATTAACCTGAAAGACTAATATAAAATAAAATAAAAATCCTCGAGACTAAAATACTTTCTGTCAATATACTATTTATGTGCATGTAATATATCACCTTTTTCTGGGATAAAGGCAATTCAGATCTTTAGATCTCCGTTTCAATCGGGATACTTCAGTTCGAAGTTCATTTTGTAAAACTTCTCCGTCAGGGACACTTCCAGGATCTGACGAAACTACAGGAGATGGAAGAGGGCTCAACACAGTAGGTACTGGAAAACTTTCTCTGGTGCAGGTAGTTTGAGTTTCATAACGAATAAGACGAGACTGAAGTTCAGAAAATCCTCCATCTCTTTCCAAAGCTTTTCGGTCATCCAAGCAATATCTAAAATGAGTGAAAGAGCATTAAAATGTAAACCTCCATGAGAGCAACAGACTTTCCCCTTTCAATGAGAAAATAGCAGGACATTTACTTTAAGAGTTCTTGTTTAATTTCCTAATAATTGCTGGAAGGTTGAGTGGCTGGCCTATTTCCCTCCCAAGTTCAGTTTTCTTCTAGTTTGCTATATGATATGGCAAAAGATTAAAAAATGTCTTTCACTTGTGTTTCTCTTTCACTTGTGTTTCTGGGCAACAGATTAAGTTAATCCTTTGGCTTATTTTCAAAATAATACAGTTGCTGTTTTAATGCTTTTTAAAACTCTACCAACCCCTGATTTCTCAGTATGGCTGATATATGACAACATGAACTGCTGACTTCTGTTAGAAAGGGCAAGTTTATTCTCAACACAAAGATTAAAAGGGTATAAAGGCATTCTAAACTGGCTCACCAAACAGCTTAGAACATTTAGAATTTTTTCTTTGAAACTCAGTTCCCACCTTATTAACTAATTGACAGATTTTCCTTCAAACACTTCGGCTGTCTGTGCATGTGGTTTCTAGCTGAATCTGATTCAGGGCATCAATGAAATGTCAGCTCAGTGAATGCTTCTGGACTCAAAGAAATCCTAGGTTGTTAAGTACAACAAACAAGGATATCAGGAAGATCACCTAGGAGCTGTGTGACCTTGGACAACTCTTCACTTTCTTCCTTATCTACAACAGCATTAAAAAAACACAAATGGCTTCACATATGTGATGGTAGCACTGTACAAATTAAAACCTTTCTCTGTGACCTGTCATTTTTACCTGCAAAATTCTAAGATACTGCCTAAAATCAGATTTTTGTATCCAAAAGATTTAGTTCAACTCCCAAGGAGTGTTATCATTTCCTGAACATCTGACTGCTTGATGGAGGTTTTAAGAACCTTATCTTTCCCTTGTGACACTTACATATTTGATACAGACTTACGGAGTCAGAGTCCATGGATTTAAATCCAGGCTCCTCTACTTATTAGCTGTGAGAACTTGGCCAAATTACTTAATTTTATCTATGATTCTGTTGCTTCATCTGCAAAATGAGAATTATAGTACTTATCTGAAAAAGCTATTGTGATAATTTCTTGAATTGTACACATAAACACTTAGAATCAGTGCCTGAAACATGCAAACAGGGCAGTCAAGAAATGTATGTTACTATTATTGTTATCATCATCATTAGATTTATTTTCTACCACAGTAAAGCTGGCAGTATGCTGACAATATGTAGCACAGCCAGAATGTAAACCCAGGTTGGTGACTTCAGAGCCTGACTTTAACCATTTTGGTATACTATCTCTATGTAAAGTGTAAGAATCATCTTACTCCTGTTCAACACATGGCTGAGCATTAGAACCATCTGAAGAGCTTTCAAGAAATACTACTTGCTCAGTGTTTCTGATTTAATTGGTCTAGGGTAATACTCTGTCTTTGACAGTTTTAAAAATCTGCCTGGGTGATTCTTAAAAAACTACTCAAATCCATAGAAACAGAGTAGAATAGTGGTTATGGGGATGGGGAAGGTTATGGAAAGATGTAGATTAAAGGGTACAAAGTTGCAGAGTTATGTAGGATGAATAAATCTAGAAATCTAGCATACAGTACAAGGACTATAGTTAATCATATGTACTGTATATTGAAAATTTGCTAAGAGACTAGACTTTGGGTGCTCTTGGCACACAAAACAAGAGGTAACTATGTGAGATGATGGTTATGTTAGTTTGCCTGGCTACAGTGATCATTTCACTATACATACGTACATCAAAACATCTTATTATATTAAAATTAATTATATTTAAATATTAAAAATACACACTTTTTAAAAAGTCTACTTAGATGATTCTAAATTATAACTAGGACTGAAAAATCTCTGATCTACTCAGTTTAATTTAACCGGTGACAAAATTGATCTCTAAATCTGAATGTGAGTTGGTGGCAGAGTAGGGAGTAGAACCTAGGTCTTGGCATCTCTCTAGCTAATATTCTTTCTCTAGTCTGTTGCTTAAGAAACATATTTCATTAAAAACCAGAAGCAACCCTAAGGGTTACTGATGAGTCCGACTTCTATCATGGGTAATTGGTAGAATCTAGAGTAAAATTGGAAATGTGAATTTCAAGAGTCTGGCAAGAGGCAATATAATGCCTGATGAGCTTGAATACAGAAAATTTTTGAGAGAAAAGATGCATATTTTGATTCTAAGATGAATATTTCTTTCTACCTTAAGATTTTATTTCTAAGATGCAGATTTTTTTCTTCCGGTTTTAACATCTCTTGATCACAGCTGTTCATAGTGTCATAGCTTCAACTGAATTATGCACACTGTACATGTTGATGTTAATTGCCATTTAAAATATCTTTAAAATGATTATACTATGATTTGCCATCGGAACAAAAATTTACTTTGTAAATTAGAGAAAAGAAACAGAGAGGCAAGGGGCAGGGTGTATATTTGATATTAGTGAAGTAAAAATTTATTGTTGGATGAATGACCACAATTCCATATTTTCTTACAAAACAATAAGCAAATGCTTTATGGGTCCTAACAAAGAAAAACACCCATAAGACAATGAAGCTGTTTTTGTTTTGTAACTAAGAAATACACAAAATACTGCCTATCACAAACCAACCAATACCAATTAAGGCAGAAGGAACTGCCAAATCTCTTGGAATAGATGAAGGAAGTTTCAAAGCAATGAGAGCCTGGTGTGATCAAATGATTGTCAGAGTATGACAGCAGAGTTTAATTAGCTGTTTAATAAAACAGTGTATTTTACAATTAATGGCATCTTAAATTCCAGGATAGGGTAAATAAGTGAAAAAACAAACAAGCCAACAGTGGTTAATATTTTAACTTGCCTTAAAAAACATTGTTTTGCTCCCATGCCATTAACACATTCTTTCCAAATATTCCTTTGTATCAGAGAAAGAGCTCCAGGGTTCTAAAGGCCCACAATAACGTAAGAGAACTTTCTTTGTAGTTTCATATTTACTTTAAAATGTTACTTGACTTTGTTTCTACACCATAATCTATGTTGAACATAAATCGGTTCTCATACTATACACCCAAATCTTCTTGAAAAAAACATGTTTCTGAATTCATGGTGCTCACCTCCTACAACTTTGTCAGCCTAGTCTCAATGTCCCCAGTTTAATGAGCATAAATTTACAGTAAAAAAAAGTGAGTCACAGATAGATTTGTTTATTTGTTTATGGGAGTAGGTAGGTAGTGGAGAAGAGAAATACTTTTTACAGTGAATCAGAATTTCATAACATTGTATGTGTATAAGTTAATAAAGCTCTGTGTAGATTTAAGCCCTTCAGGACACAGTACTCAAATAAATCTTAATTTAATATTTTGATAAATGATCATGAAGAACATATCCTTGACAAATTTTATAAATTTGTATATATCAAGATTTCTTCTATAGTAAATTAAAAACAGCAGAAAAAAAAGAGTAGCGAGATGGAGACACAGAATAAACAAAACTAAATTAAAATTTTGGGAGAAATAATCTAAATAAGATTATATGATGGACACTTTAGTCAGCAGTTAAAATGTAATTATTGTAGCTTATTTTATTCAAATCAGTGCTTCAGTGTGTTTATAGGGCTGAAGAAGAGAAAAACAGATGTGTCCTGGGGTATTCTGGCCATGTAGCAAAGCAAATGTTAATACTAGCACATTTTCTCAACAGTGAACGCTACTTTTCATAATAATAATATAAACACTGTTGACTGGTTTCAACTTTCACATTCAAATTAAATACAAAATACCTAAAATTTTTAATTAGTTTCCTTTAACAGATTAACAGATTAACAGGTCCTAAAATTCTTATCAAACAAAGTGGGGGAGATACTGCTTTATAGCTGATGGAATAAGAAGGAGAAGTTTAAATGTGTATATATTTAAAAACATGAAAGTAAATAGCGGAGAGCTCAACTTGAGAAGAAGAACCAAATCTTCATAGCAGAGTCAATATTTTATATTGTGACAGTTAAAAATATTGACATAAGGGTATTTTTTAAAATGAGAGATAACCACCAGGGAAACTAAACCAAACAAATAATATATATATTGTTTTTTTCTAAAAACTGGGATGCAGTTAGGTAGTAATAAGGAAAGGAATTGTTGGTTTTCATTATAAACTTTTCTATAATGTTTAATTTCTAAGTCTTTAATAAAATCAGAAGGGGGAAAACAGAAAAATATATCCTATTAATCAAATGTTTATATAGTAGAACAAGATGTTCCCACTTAAATTTAATGAACTTAGTATAAATGAAAAGTAAAATTTTGGGGTGGGTGCGGTGGCTCATGCCTGTAATCCCAGAACTTTTTGAGGCTGAGGCAGGTGGATCACCTGAGGTTAGGAGTTCAAGACCGCCTGGCCAACATGGCTAAACCCTGTCTCTACTAAAAATATAAAAATTAGCCAGGCGTGGTGGTGCATGCCTGTAATCCCAGTTACCTGGGAGGCTGAGGCATGAGAATCACTTGAACCCGGGAAACGGAGGTTGCAGTGAGCCAAGATTGTGCCACTGCACTCAGCCTGGGTGAAAAAGTGAGACTGTCTAGAAAAGAAAAAAGAGAAGTAAAATTTTGTAATCAATCCACAGAAGGGTATATGGCTAAAAATATAGTTTAAGTAAAAGCTTCAGCTAAATTTAAGGCTATTTGGGAAACATCCCTACCTTTTTCATGTTAAAGGGAGAATAATAATCCTCTCAAACAAGGAATCCTTTAGTCAAATAGCAGAACTAAAAACATGGATCGGGTGGCATATCTTATCTTTTTATAATTTAGTAGCTATCTCCGAGTTGCCGATCTGTTGTTCACAAAACAATTTAAAAATCTTATCTTACCATTTAGATTCAAATTAGCATTTCATACAGGATTTCTTTTAGAAATAAATCACTATTGAATGTTATACTTCATACTGCTAATTTCAAAGTCTTCAAATTCTTTTTTTTTTTTTTTTTCTTGAGACAGGGTCTCATTCTGTCACCCAGCAGGAGTGCAGTGGCATGTTCATGGCTCACTGCAGCCTCAATCTCCCAATATCAATCGATCCTCCTGCCTCAGCATCCTGAGTAGCTAGGACTACAGGCACACACATACACCACTATGCCCAGCTAATTTTTATATTTTTTTTGTAGAGACAGGGTTTCACCATGTTGCCCAGGCTGGTCTCAAACTCCTGGGCTCAAGCGATCCACCTGCCTCAGCTTCTCAAAGTGTTGGGATTACAGGCGTTAGCCACCGTGTCTGGCCTCAAATCCTTATTTCAAGTATTTTTCACACAGACAGATATTTAATGTTGCTGGATGTATCGATATTTCATTCCTTGTTATAGTTGAATAGTATTGCTTTATATAAATATACCATAGTTTATCTATTTTCCTATTGATATCCTCCTAGGCTCTTTCCAGTTTGAGGATATTGAGAATTAAACTATTATGTGCATACTTGTATAAGTCTTCCTCTTGGAAAAATATCTAGTATTGAAATGCTGGGCCCTATCTAACAATTTCTGAGCAACTACAATGTAATTGGTGACCAGGAAATATTAATGTGACCCATAGTGTGAATATACATTTATAACATAGGGACCAAAACAATTTTGATTAAAATATATAGTAACTAATAATAGGATGCTTAAATGCTATTAAGCTGATTAATCATCAAATAACTTCTTCAACAGAAGACAAATTATTTTTGTATGCACTACTTTGCTTTTTGAGGTTTTTGACATATCCTCTTGGTCTCTGTCTCAATTTATATCATTTTATTAAAGTCACTCTTCACACAAGACAGGCTGTATCAACAACATACAGAAGAGTAAAGTACAAATAAAAACTTACTCAATTCCATGATAATGACATACTGAGGCTTTCTCAAAAGGTAAGACCTGAAGTTTCCCAGGACTAAGTTCTGGTGTCAAAACAAAAGTCTTTTCCCTGAAACAAAAAATTTTTCATTTGTATTCAAAGTTTATTTACTGACAAAAAGAAAGTTAAAGAAAGTATCTAATGAAACAAATCTGACTTTTTCCTCTACAATTGGAATTTTATATGGGACAAAGGTTAAGGCACACCAGAAAGTATAATAAGGAAATGAAGCAAGGTTAGGCCTTGGCTTTCATTACTTAAATTTTCTGTACCTCAATAAGTTATGATGTTATTTATTGCACAAAACTATTCTGAGAAATGGGTAAAACAAAAATGCAATATGATTTATAATGGAAATTCAAGAGGCAGTATTATTTCTTTCTTTTTTTGGGGGGGCGGTGGGGACGGAGTCTCACTCTGTCGTCCAGGCTGGGGTGTAGTGGTGTAATCTCAGCTCACTGCAACTTCTGCCTCCCAGGTTCAAGCGATTCTCCTGCCTCAGCTTCCCGAGTAGCTAGAATTACAGGCACCCGCTCCCATGTCCAACTAATTTTTGTATTTTTAGTAGAGACAGGGTTTCACCATGTTGGCCAGGCTGGTCTCAAACTCCTGACCTCAAGTGATCCGCCGGCCTCAGCCTCCCAAAGTGTTAGGATTACTGGCATGAGCCACTGCGTCCAGCCAAGAGGCAGCCTTATTTCTGGAAGATTTTCCTTGGTAGAGTAAACTAATGTTTAGGCATTTAGTTAAATCCTTTTCTGCAGGGGAATAATTAAAGTCAACTTGAATCTTTGGTAACAATAAAAGTATTTACTTCCTACTAAAACACGTGGGACCCAGATCTTTCTTTGCTTGAGAATGTAGTCACTGGCACCTACTTTAAGAGTCAGCAACTTTTTAAATATCAGAGGGTATAGAGACTAACTGCTGAGTTCAGTTCTTTTTCTGAAGTAGGTTTTCAATCAACTGGCATGTTAGAACTAATCATATGTCGAGTTTACATAAAATATTCATGTTCAAGCCTTTCCACACCTAGAACTACAGCGATATATCAAAATCTGGGAAAGAAGAGGGTCACTGCAATTAGATTAAGCTCTCTGGATTATTCCGATAGGTGCCGTCCTTCTCTGAGCTGGAAACCACTGTTGTAATGTAATGGATCATGGTCCTGAAGCTCAGAAGTTCAGGAAATGGGGAAATTATGCAACAGTGGTCTTTAAATAGTTACTAGGTAAAATGAAATACCAGGGGCTTGAGTTCAGAAGAGTTGGAAATGGTATGTAGAAGGGTAAGTAAATAGTAGAGTACTAAGAATAAATTTGCTATCACATTTTCCCCCCTATGGCATTGGTAATGAAAACTGTCCTGCCACTGAAAATTATCTAGGGTACTATGATAAGCATTCGAAATTATTACATTAAAATGTAAAATTCATGCCAATTAATGAATCCTAAAAAGCAGACATTATATTCAAATGCATCCATTTAAATTATTCCACAAAAAGTAACATTAGTAAATTACAATGACCCCAGTATTTCGATGATTATTAAAATAATTTTGTAAAATGGAAATCTTTATCTAGCATTTTACTTCTTTCCTTTACCATATTGTCTCTCATTTCTCATATCAATCGCCCTCAGCAACCTTACCTATTTTTGTTTAATTTCACTCACAAGTTTTTCTTTCTAAAATAAACATGTTGATAAATATGTGTTTTGTCAATGTTTATTATTTCCTTGGTATATACATAGGAGTCATGTTTGTACTTTGTTTAACACAGTATTTTGGATGGCTTCTTGTGCAGGTAAACATTTAATAAGAGCATATAGGTTCCTGATTTATTACCATGAAAACTCATCCTTCAACTCTAATGTTAACAGAAGATACATTTGATAGCCATGCAGTTCTTTACTAACATTGAAGAATCACATCAAATTTTCCTAAATAAATCACCTACAATTAGTTTCCAGAAAGAACTAACTTTATCTCCCCTACAATGCATCTAGAAAGACATTCTGTAAAAAGAGTACAACTTACATAAATAATTCAGTTTAGGCAAACCAACTGACTCTGCCAGTTTGTGCTTAATGATTTGAAAGGACAGTAATCCAATAACTAAATAGATGAAAACATGTATATTTCTTTACTTTCTTGATTCCCACAACAAAAGGTTATCAATCTTTCAAAGTTATGGGAAAAAAATTACTCCAAAATTATATAATTTTTATGTCATTAAAATCATTAAGTCATTAAGACTCTCAAATTTTCAGTTGCTCTTTATCTCTCTCTAGTGAACATGCACATAAAGCAATAATGTTCCAGCAATATTTCTGAGATATAACTGCCTTCAAATAACTCCTTTGCAAAATTCACCTTTAAAGGCAATATTTATACAGTATAATTCCGATTAAGCTTATAAAAGTGATCAAAGTGATCTACAATTTTTAAGGTCTTTTGGAAGGTTTTCAAAGTAATGAATTAACAATTAAAAAGACATTAGAGTAATTAGTAAATTATTCAATTCTCACAGGTATTTGATGTCACAATTTTACAGTCAATTTTGTCAAAGTCAGCAACATGCAGCATTTATTAACTAGTAACTTAGTGAAAACTGTCTTGGAAGTCAAATTAGTTGTAATTTATTCACGTAGACACTGAATTCTTACTTGGCAATGTCATAGTTTCCAAAGCATTTTTATTACATTTTCCTGTTCTTCAGGTGAAAGGCCATGCTTTTTGCTACTATTAGGCATGCCTGACAATGCTCATGCTGAGTAGTGGCAATATCAACACTACAGTAACACAGAAAAGAGAACTAAAAAAAAAATTTTGTAAGTCAAATTCCTATTTTTTTTAGAAAGCATTGTCCTTTGCATACCAAATAGAAGTTACTGACTTCTACAGGGAATATGGTGAGTTTGCTTTTCTTATTCCTGTTTCTCTTATATTCAATACCACAAAACAGTAGGATATTTTGATAAGGTAAAAAGTGAAGATTAAGGCCAACAGACAAACATTGGGATCAAACTTATAAATTTTCCCTGAGTAGCATAGGACATCAATTAATAAGGAAATGAGACACAATTTTATTTAAAAGTAATTTTTAAAAAGTTAACTGGAAATTATAAGTTTATAACCTACCCCTTTTGAATCGGTAAAGGTTGAAGATCTCCAATGGGTAATCCATCTGAGGTAAAGTACTTCAGCAATTCTTTAGCATCCAACAATGTGATTGAGTCCCGAGGACCCTCTTTGTGGCCCAGCAACTGTTCAGATGAATGAGGTAATGAACCAGTTCTGGGAAAATAATGTTATGCAGATTTATTAAAAGTGGATTCAATCCAGAGAGAAGCCAGAGTCAAAAAAAAAAAAAAGCACAGTCGGGAAAAGAAGATGTGAGCAGAAACCAGAAAAACACACCAGCAACATGGGAGAATTAAACATTTAGGACAGACAATAAAGTAAAATATTTGCAAATAACTTAGTTTCTAACTATGTTTTAAAAAATCTTTAGGTCACAATAAAACTTGCAGTTATCATGTCAAGAAGTAGTATTTTAACTACTTAAAAGAAACATAATTACATTATCTATTAATGATGGCCTATTATTCAGTGGTGTGAAGTTACCAATTCTATAAAACTTAAATCTAAATTCTCTTGTATGTTCTGAAACCCCACAATACTATAAATTTTTGAGGGAAGTGACTGAATGTTCCAATTTTCCATGAACTGGAAAGATTACTTGAAGCACAACCGTGAAATGAGACAATAATCAGAAATCTCCCCAAAGTCTCTTGTAGCCATGATGATGACATTATGAATAAGCACTGAATCATTATTATATACCTGAAATACATGCAGGACTTTATATTTTTCAAACTACTTTACATATAATATATTCTTAATCCTCACAAGTTTCCTTGAAAAAGATGGAATAGGTCTTATCTCAAAATGAAATAATAACTAAAAATAAGTACTTTGTAAAGTGAAAATCGGCATGCCAAGCTTAAAAAGCAATCATTATTCCGACTTGTCAAGTAAAGATGCTAACATACAAAAGGTTACATTACAGACGCAGGGTGATACAGCTATTTAAAATGATAGAACCAGACTAACTCCAAATTAGTTATTATTTCTACTCTATGACCCTATAAATGAAAAAAAACTCACAGAAAGTTTTAAATACCGGCAAGTGAAAAGCACTGTAGTTTCAGTTAGATGTTTCCAGTTAGAGGTTTCAGTTAGAGGTTTCACTATGCACTGAATCAGATCACCTTAGCTCTGTTACCATAGCATAAATAAAATATTTCAATGTCTGCACAGAAAATTAATTTCCTAACTTCATATTAACTCAACTATTTCCTGATTATTACTCAAATTAAGCATAATTACTGATAATTACATGATTAAAATGTTGACATTACAGTTTTAAACATATTTCTGTATATTAAGGGTCAATAAAATACTGACAGTGCCTCTTTCCTCTTCCTATTCCTTTGTTTTTAAACTGAAAATATTAATCTAATAAAAACAGTCAACAAAACACTCAAATTCTCTCCGGACTTCATACTCCAGCAGGGTGGGAGCTATACAATGATTTTAATTTGTAAAGATACAGTGCCTGTCTCAGTGTCAGTGGTGATGGCCCAGAATAAAGCCCCTGTAATTTAGTGCTGGGTGAAGCACCAATGCTTCCTGCCTGCTGATACCCTAAAGTATGCCCTAAAGTGAAGCCTGACAAACATTCTCTACCCCGGCTCTCCCTTCTCCTAACATTAATATAAGTGAGAGACGTGGGGAACAGGACTAAACCTATGGAAAGAAAATACATGCCAACTACCTATAGAAAGCAACAGGGCCCTATATTCCTAGTTATGAAGAGACAATCAAGGACAACCAGACACTGGAGAAAAATTACACATAAGAGAAAAACACCAGAAGAACAAATAAAACAGCTGCAAATGGAAATGAGATAATTCAAGAAACAGATAAAACAAATTTAAAGAAAATTCTAATTAATATCCTTACAGTATCATCTCAAGTCTTATTAATAAAAGAATAGGTTGCTAGAAAAAATACAGCAGAAGAACAAGAGCAAACTATTAGAAATTTAAAATATGACTACCAAAAATTTTAACAGAAAAGATGAAACCAAAGGTAAAGGAAATTCCCCAGAACATAGAGCAGAAAAGTTAGAGATAGAATATTAAGAAAAAAATCAAATTAAAAAACATCAATCCAGAATGTTTAATATTAATTAAAATAGGTATTTCAGAGAGAAAGAAAAAAAGAAAATGAAGGGAAGAATAGTATTGAAGAAATAATAAGATATTTCTCAGAGCCACAAAAAGACAAAAGACTTGAATCTAAAACATCTCATACCATGGCCTCTTGTAATTTCAGAACATTAAAGAAAATAGAAAATTGTAAAAGTTTTAGAGACAAAATAAAATACTTATTGAGGAACAAAAATCGATGTGGCATCAGACTTCTCTTTAATATATGAAATCCAAGAAAATACAGAACTAATCTAAAATGTAATCAAAAGAAATACCAGGATAACAAATATGCAGGTAGAGTCAGCCAAGTTAGAGTAGGAACTCAGAGAGAAGAAAAATAAAATTAAGACTTGTATACTGCAAATAGCATAAGGTTTAGAGATAGAAGATAAAAAGGGAAGAAAAATAAGGGTGTTAATTACTCATCTTTCCCAGTGGGAAGTTATAAGATATCATCTAAAATTGGTAGGCAAGAAATTGAGGTTCTCTCATGGGGAACCTGTCCTTTTCTCACTCTTCTTTCTTGTCTTCTCCTGCCTAACCTATAAACACCAGGGATTCTTAAGGAGTGGTCTTAGCCTCCATTTCTTTTTGCCTCATAGTCTCACCATGTAACTCATCAACCATCATGTATTTGGAAATCCCTACTGATGATAACTCCAAATTGAGTGAGTTCCAGATATCCCCACAGTCCACTTGTTATTTCCACTTGGATAGATCAAACGTATCATCCCTAAAGAAGAATTCTTGACTTTTTCTCCCCAAAGCTGTCCTCACCCTAAGTTTCCACCCATCTACCCCAGAAGAACACCACTCACTCGACTGAAGCCAGAAATCTAAATGATCTTCAACATTTCCTTTCCCTCTATTCCACATCTAATGCATCATAGGAAGCTTTTCACCAGCTTACCACTAACGTTATCTCCCAAATTTATTTCCACTACTACTGCTCTAGTTTGAAATTACAGTCATCTCTCACTTAGCCTACAGATAGAGCCATCTGTCTCTCTGCTCTAATCTCTCCCTCCTGCAATTTATTTGCCGTAAGAAAGCAAAATTTTTGCAAAATCATATCCCATCACTCTTTCATATGAAATCCTCCCACCAATGCACTTAAAATGAAATCTGAACTGTGTATGAGGACCTATTTGGTCCTGTGTGACTGAATGTACTTCACCCATTTATCCGTTAGGTCTCAGCTCAAATGTAACGTCCTCTAAGAGGTCTCCCTGACCATCCACCTCATCTAAGTGAGTACTACCACTTCCCTCCCCACAACAAATAAAATTTTTCTCCCCCAGTCTTTTTATTTCATTCATTACACACAGAATAATTTACAACTATTACATTTACTTGTCTGGTTACTTGTTTTGATTGCTGCTGTCATTAAAAGCTAAGCTCTAGATGAGAGGGGCAGTGCACAGCTTGTTATTCCTCATATTCCCAGCGCCTGACACATGGTTGGTACTCAATAAATGCCTGTTTCATGTGTATGAAACAAAGCTATAGCAAGTAATAAAATACTACCCATGGAGAAGCTAAAAATAAAAATGTGATTTGTAATATTTCGGAGAAAAGTAATGTAAGAGAGCTTAGCTTCTCCTCTTTTATTTCATCATTTAACAATTATGTACTAAGGGCCTACTATGTACTGAACCAAAATAACAAAAACAAAATAAAACAAAAAATCCTGCCTCATACAGTTCATTCATAGGCACTGTATAAACATATATGAATGTAAAACAGGAAAAGATCAAAGTGGTTCAAATGAGGCAAGTACTTCTACTTTGTTTTACATGTTCTTGTAGTAAGATTTTCTTATATCTTCATATACTGTGTATGTCTATGGAAGATGGTCTGAAAGGCTATATACCAAAATGTTCACTGTGATGACACAGACCTAGAAAGTACAAGTGCAGGGCAGAGCAAGATGAGCCCTTCCCTTTTAATTGATATACTACTCTAGTGATTAACTATCTATTCACAGTAAGTATGTATTTCTTTTATAATAAAACAATAAACTGCTTAAATCTCATAAACATAATTTAACTATTTTAAAAAATTCATTCAAATTACTGAGCTATCACATGCTTTACTACAGATTCAAATATTACCTCATTTTTTGTTTAGTTTTTTCAAAAGTTTCCAAATTTTGAAGAACATGCCTTTCTGGCCATTCCAGAGGATTGGTTTCCATTAGACTTGAGGAATTAGGTTCCACTGGACTAAAATCTAAAGTGAAAGAAATACACATAAGTCTGAAAAGTATTATCATACTGAATTTTGCTAATAAAAATGTGTATTTACAGACACATACATACGTGTGTGTGTATGTGTGTCTATAAAGGCATACTTACCTTAGGCATTTATTAAAGACCTCTCTGATGGCCTAAACTGTACAAAAGGCCATAGAAATGTTTGTTGCAAATAAAAATAAAATATCACTTCATAATAAATGTCATAAGCTAAAATTCACAAAATTGAATTAGCACTATTTAGGACTCCTATGGAATAAAAGCATAACTTTGCTATTTTGGGTGAAAACAGTTCTAAATGAAAAGAAGATAACTCTGTAGAGAATATATTGGATATTCTGTGTGATTTTCATACTAGAAATAGGAATTAGCACAAATAGACCAAAAAATTACATTGTTTAAAAAGAGATTACCTTATTCTCAAAACTACAATAATAATAGATAAGTTATGATGTTCTGATGTTCTCTCGCAGAAACCAAGATGGTTAAACATACACACCTTCAAATCACTAACATGCAGTGTTATTTTCTACTAATCAAATATTATGTGTAAGAGTGTGCTTATCTTTCTAGATAATACACTGCAGTGAACTATATTGAGATTGCTGTTAATATTGGGATTTTCAATGAAAACCTAAAGGGACAGTTTCTGTTCTTATTAGAAATTATTATAAATAGTATTAATATATTCAAACTGTTTTAACACTGGCAAAATTACTAACTGTGCTACTTTTTGGATTGCAAAACTATCTGGTTTTAGAATTGTTTTGAACATTGTTCTAATAAACTCATTGAAAATTATTAACATTAGCTATTTGATTAACTATCAACATTAACAAAAATATTCATTTTATATTTTTGAGAGGACTGAGAAAGTAATGATTTGGTAAAGGAATTTTTTTTTTTTTTTCTTTTTCCAGAGACAAGAGTCTCACTCTGTCGCCCAGGCTGGAGTGCAGTGGTGTGATCTCAGCTCACTGCAACCTCTGCCTCCTGGGTTCAAGCAATTCTCCTGCCTCAGGCTCCCAAGTAGCTGGGATTACAGGTACATGCCACTATGCCCAGCTTATTTTTGTATTTTTATTTTATTTTTATTTATTTATGTTTTTGAGACGGAGTCTCGCTGTCGCCCAGGCTGGAGTGCACTGGCCCAATCTCCGCTCACTGCAAGCTCCGCCTCCCAGGTTCACGCCATTCTCCTGGCTCAGCCTCCCGAGTAGCTGGGACTACAGGTGCCCGCCACCACGCCCGGCTAATTTTTTTTTTTTTTTTTTTTTTGAGATGGAGTTTCACTCTGTCACCCAGGCTGGAGTGCAGTGGCGCAATCTCGGCTCACTGCAAGCTCCGCCTCCCAGGTTCACGCCATTCTCCTGCCTCAGCCTCCAGAGTAGCTGGGACTACAGGCACGCACCACCACGCCCGGCTAATTTTTTGTATTTTCAGTAGGGACGGGGTTTCACCATGTTGGCCAGGATGGTCTCGATCTCCTGACCTCGTGATCCACCCACCTCGGCCTCCCAAAGTGCTGGGATTACAGGTGTGAGCCACCGCGCCTGGCCTATTTTTGTATTTTTAGTAGAGAAAAGGGTTCACCATGTTGGCCAGGTTGGTCTCGAACATCTGGCCTCAAGTGATCCATCCACCTTGGCCTCCCAAAGTGCTGGGATTATAGGCGTGAGCCACCACGCCTGGCCTGTTAAAGGAATTTTTAAACAAGAAACATAAATGAAAATTAATGCAAACTGCATCTTATTTTCCTTTTACTTATTAAACTATTTAACCTTGAATAGTTTAAAATATTTTCAATACCTATATTGAACTGCCCTATCTAACCATCCAAATACAACACTTCACATTTTTTAGTAAAGGTGGTGAAATGCTATTTTAAAAAGTAATGAGCTTTATAATAAAATAACATGCTGCTGAATGTTCATGCGGCTTTCCACTAAAAGCATAAAGAAAAAAATCACTTGCATTTCTGCACAGCTTCATGCCATGAGTTCATAAAAGAATATAAGCAATCTTAAATAACAGTAAACATTAAATTGTTCCTAAATATTACAATATAATATACAACCTAAAAAATAAATTACATAGGCTAAATATTAAGAAATAGGTGGGAAAACATTCATATGTCTCATGTCTTTTGTGGAATCATTTAATACAATTCTTACAATAAAATAAAACACATTTCATTTATGTGGCAGTCAAAACGCTGGGCTATGCTGACAGCCAAAAAGCACAAAGGCTCTCTGAGAAACCAAGAACACTGCTTTAAAAAAAAAATCATTTTACAGGAAACACAGAAATAGAACAATAGAACCAACACAACAGGGAAATAGGGAAAACTGACCTATAAAATCACAAATCACAGCAAACAAAAAGAGATGACATTATGTGGTTAATGAATTGAGGCCATTATAACCTTACATACTTAAATATGAATAAATCACAAAGAAAATGTTATATTGCAAATTAATAAAGCAAGAATTATAAATAAATGCCAGAAGATCCTTTTTAAGTGTTTGAAGTAATAAAATAACGATCTGATAGAATTACCTGGAAAACTTACTTATGCAGTGTGTTGATGTGTCCAATGGGCCCATGCAAAGGAGACAGTTATTGTAGTTATTGTATTATGAGTTCAGATATCACATTTGACTTTGTCAAAGTCTTTAGCAACTTTGTGACAATGTGTAAATAAATCGTTATATTAGCCATTTTCTACATACTGTCTTGTCACTTGTTATACATGCTAGAGTTTTTACCAAAAAATAAGCAGATTAAATAACTTTATTAATTATTAATAACTCCTAATATGCATGCTTGCAAATGAGTCGTCAGAATATGATATCTAATTGGCCTTAGTGTTTCTTTCATTATGTAATTTACAAGTAGATGTATTTCTTCAAATCAAAGCAACAAAAGATGTTAAAAATCACAACTTCATTCTTAGGAGTCATGTTCAAATGCATAGCCTGTCTAATTTCAGTTCAGTTTCTAAAAATCTTCCAAGTTTCTTTCATTTATTCAATAAATGCAATCTTAAAATGTGATCCAATAATTTGAAAAAAAAATTACAGGGAGAAAGTATAACATAAAACAACTGAAACTGGGGAAGGTCTGGGAAAGCCTCTTTGAGAAAGTTACATTTAAATCAAGATCTGAAGAACGATCGTCAGTTAATCAGCTAAAGGCTGGAAGAAAAGAATTCCAGGCAAAGGACACTGCAGAAAGAAAGAAATGTAACATGTCCAAGGAAAGAAAGGACTTCCTGTGGTAAAAAGGAAACAGAAATGTACTGGTACTAGAATAAGTATGAAGCCAGATACCATTTAAGGTTTTTACAAACCATATGAAGGATGATGCATTCTATGTGCAATTAGAAGCAATCAAGAAGGTCTGGGCAAAGGAGTGACATAATCTGACTGTAGATTGTGTTCATCCTTTGCTCAAACCTTTTTGATTTTAAGATGAGCTCTCCTGCAGCTCAGTGTGTCAAGTATCCTTTGTACAGGTAACCCTAAGATACATACCCTTAAACTTATATAAAAGCCCTAGCAATTATTTGAGCCCTTCCTATCTTTCAACCCTTATCTCCCATACACATCCTCTGGTAAGCCAATCTCTCTCTTGATCTCAGTTTGCCTTTTCTTACCTCCATGACCCTGAATATGGTGCTTCTACCTGGCAAATCTTATCTTCCCTCTATCCAGATCTTATGCATCATTCAAGACCTACATCAACTTCCTTGGCTCCTAATCAGCCTTCATGACTATTCTACCCTACTTGTAGTTCTCTCCTCAAAATTCATATTTATTTAACCAGCACTTACTTTATACTAGGCAACTGCCTAAGCAATTTAGGAATAATTAATTTAATCTTCATAACTACCTATGTCATCCCTAATTTAAAGATAAAGAAGCAGAGGCACAAAGATCAGAAAACATGCCCAAGGTCACACAGCAAGTAAGCTGCTAGTCTTGCTCCAGAGTCCATGCTATAACCATGGAGCTATGGTCTCTCACTTATTGAACACATGCCCCATTTACAAGTAATCTAAAAATGTCTCCAGCACCTTTCAGATAACTCTGTATGCTATTTAACTTGGGTACTGATATGCGATGGTGATGATAATGATAAAACAAATAACATCTTTTTTGGTACTTGTGTTCTAAGTGTTTTACAGGTATCAACTCATTCAATCCTCACAATAACCTACTAATCCTCACAATAATCCTAGTAAGTGGGTTATATTATTATTCCCATTTTAAACATGACGAAACAGGCAAAGAGTTGAATAACTTGCCTAAAGACATTTGGTTAGCAAGTAACAAAAGTGAGATTTGAACCCTGACCATTTAGCTCCACAGCCTGTGTCCTTAAACAAGGTTATTCAAATTCATCACAACACTGGAACTCAGGAAAGCGGAAAGAAATACAACTAAATAACGAAATGATTTCCAGCTGTCTCAGTGAAGTCTGACTGTTCCTCCCCTATTGAATGTTAAATATGCATCATCTTATCATATGGACTTTTACCTCTATTAAATTTACTATGTAGATTTTGCTTTCCACACTTTATGGAAATGTAGCTTAATAGAAATTCACACATTTCAGCAGCTTAGTAAGACTAAAGAGAGGCATCATCTTAAAGTGCTTCTTCCTCTGCCCAAAAACAATTACACTGAACATACTTAATGAAAAAAGTTACTAGAAAATTTATAATGTTTAAATAATGAGTAATACAGTTCATCACATATACATACATACTTGTATCTATATAAGTATCTATTATTATTTAAATTTGTGAAATACATTTTGATTTGACCAATACATTTTATAAGTTTTAATAATAAATGTCATAGTTGCCACACACACACGAACTAAAATTTAAAGTAATAAAAAACTTACCATTTAATATATTGAAGGTTTTAATTTTGTCCATCTTTCTTAGAATCATTTTAGGAATCACAGCATCAAAATAATCTAAAAAGTGTTTCCTTGTGAGTACTAACAGACTTTTGAGTTCAGCAACAGAAACTGTTTCAGGCTGCTTTGCCAACTTTCGTCTTTCTATAAGACAAATCAATACAATTGACTTATTTTGTATTCTCTGGAGCTCATCTACTAGTCTTTTGTGGAAAATATTTTCAGAAGTAAAACAAGTGAATTTCTCTAGTAAATCAACATTCCTGTTTTCAGGATTGTAGGCCTTCTTTCACTTTAATCCTATTTGTAGATAATGGGAGAATTTCCAGTTATGTGAGATAAACAGAAGTAATTCATTGATACTATAAGTTGATAACAGATAAAGGCAGGTTTACTAAAGCCTTCAGAAATATATTGCAGAGCATTAAAATGGTCTTATGTTCATGGTTATGTAGAAATAAAACCTGTTAGACTTTCAGTTAAATATGGTAGCTTGGCCACTTCTGTTTCTTCTTCTCAAAACCTAAAATCACAGCAAAGAAATAAAAAGGGAGAACAAAAGAAGGAATGATAAATAATGACATTTTTCAACAAATTTTGGAAGACATAAATGACCGAGTGGTAACGGAGTCTGCAAAGCAGAGGAAGAGCCACCTTGGATGCCTGTAGAGAGGCACTACCGAGGAGTATAAGAGCTGGTGGTGAGATGCTGGACTGAAACAGGACTGGATATAGCACAAGAAGTCAGAACTGCAGGTCCTTCCCCTATGCAAGCTATTCCTATTAGATAGGCAACACTGCTTGCATTTTTTTTTCTTTTTTTTTTTTTGTATGGAACATCAGGTATACGAAAAGATAGTATTGAGGCTGGTGTTAAAACCAAGGGATTAAGGAAAAATCTATTCATTGAAAGGTTGGACTCCAAGCTTTGATACCAGAAAGTGAACATCCACAAATGCCCCACTGGAAATATCAGAGGATTCTCCTTTGGTTAAACTGAATGCTGTCAGAGAAAAGAACTCTAGATAGCAAGGGGTGGAGTTAGGGGTAGAAGCTCATGAACAAAATGTTGAATTGTCACTTCACCATACTATAGTGAAGCTTGACAGATATTACTTTAGAAGTAAGCATACAAAACTTCCATTTCAAAATAGGATGGAAACAAAAGAATCTCCAGACATTTAAGGAAAGGTGTTGAGGGGGAGAGGCAGCTCTTTATTTCCCTGTGCAAAGATTTGATTCAGTTAACACTTTCAGCTCCCCTCTTCCTTCCCATCACTCACTGAGCTAGTCATGAACAAAGCATGCTCTGATAGATTCTTCTGACTTTCATCTGAGTGAGCAAGTCTTCAGGATGTATTTTCTCTGCAGACTTCTGCTGCAGGGTTGGTCTGCAGTTGCCTAGCTCTGACAGCCATTCAGTGGCAAAATTCGATGCTGGGTGTATGTATAAGAAGGCCAACTTGGCCATAGATCTAAAAAGCCATATCCTTTAGTACAGCTTTCATCTATAATTTCTCTCCATCTGTATATTTCTTACACTTATTTTTCAGTTGGTTCAAATGTTGGGGGGGAGAAGTGGGTATTATTCATTGGAATCCCAAACTAAAAAGCATCCAAAAGAGAGACTAAGGCAAACAAACAGAAAAAAGGGAGTCCAGCAGAAACAAAAGCATTGTAGAAAGCTAAACAAAGTTTGCTATAATTTTCTCATAGACAAATGAGAAGATACTGCACCCATGAAATAAGTACAGGATGCTTTGATAAAGAAAAAAAAATCAATGAACAAAAAATGACTCTAAAATTAAGCACACGAAACATCAAATTTCAAAAATTCCATAGAAGAGCTGTAAAATAAAATGGAAGATATCCCCCCAAAACTAGAACAAAAACATAGTAATATGAAACTAGGAATGGAAATCAGGCATTCTGTCCAGAAAAGTCAATATCTAGTAAGAGCTCCAGAGCTCCAGAGAGAGAAAGAGAGAGAGAGAATGGGAGGAAGAAAATTATTAAAAAGATAAAAAAAAATTCAGATTTCAAGATATGACTCTCCCATTTAAATTGCCAATCAACTACACAGTTCAATAAATGGGGCTGGTGGGGAAGATGGGAAAGATAAACACAGTGTGACTCAGAGTAAACCTTCTAGAGACAATGATTCTGGAGACAAAGTTTCCAGAAAGTGGGTAAAAACCAAACAAACCAAAATTAGATTACCACAAAGAATAGGAATTATATTTGACTTCGCAACAGAAACATAGCAAAGCAGAAGACAATGAAGTAGTATCATTGAAATTCCGAGGGAAAATGATTTTTAACCTAGAATTTTATTAGTGAAGTAAATAAATTTTCAGACATGCAAGAACTCAAAAAATTTATGCTCCATGAACTTTTGTTCAAAAAGTGACTGGAAGAAGTGCACCAACCAAACAAAGGCATAATCCAAGAAAAAGGAGAATAAGGGGTCTAGGAAAAAGAACATTCTGAAAGAAGAAAAGAGGAAAGGGAAATCTTCAAGATATTAGCAAGATATAAGCAATCAGTCCATAGTCGAGCAAAATATGAAACACTCCAGGAAAGAAAACAATAGAGAAATAAAAAGGAACTGATGTATTTGAATACACAATGAATGTTAATGATAGGAGTGCAGCAGAAATGTTGGAGCCTCTGGAAAAACATAACAATGTTCTGTCTATACAGAAGAGTAGGCAAATTTAAAATAAGGTGATTATCAACCATAAGAGAAACAAAGAATTATATAAGAGAGATCTGATCATCATCATTTATTACATGGCTCAACAGTAAACTTATTTATAAAATTATAATAATATTAAAGCCAACCACTGATTTAACCAAAATTCATGACTTCACTTGAAGAAGCAGAAAGAGAAAGTGAGGATTATGTGGGAAAGTGAAGTTTTTATCTTCCATAGTTAGATGTTAAGATAATGCCTGAAACTAGTAAATCAAGAAATAGCAGCATACGTACATTATTTGTATAGGGGTCCACCTGGAAGAGCTGAGGATAGCTGTCTATAAACACAGGGACTGAAAGATGGGGAGGCATGGGTAGTGCATTGCTGTTTGCCACTTGAAGCTTTTTCAGTATCACTTGATTTTTCAAACTATATCCATGTATCACTTTGATAAAAATAGTCCATTTTAAAACACTTCTAGACTAGTAACATTTTCTTCCACAATAAAATACTAACCTAGAAGTTCATAGAGAATTCAACAAAACGCACATTTATTAATTTTAAGAGCTTACTGCCTAAAAAGCACTGTACTGTGTCCTTAGACACAGAGGATTAAAGCATTATTACATTACACTACCTGAGGTCAGCACATAAATAATGCAAGGGAGTAGAATAAGAAGGAGGCAACCAATGTCGAGGTTCTACTTTAGAACATCAGCTTCATGATACAAGCCTCTGTAAAATCCTGCATCACCAATGTGGACATTGGTAGGGTCCTTCCAAATCTGACCCAAGATAACTAACATTCCTTCCACAATCAAGAATATTAGTAACAGTAAAATGAGAGCTGTAATATATTCTGCCTCTATTACATCCTCTTAGTGAGAAAATCATAAGGTTCATTGTCTTTTTGTGCACAATCTGCTGGGAGCCATTCTAAGACAAAAAGTTACCGATGGTTTGGTTTTATCTGGAAGATGTACGCAGTAATCTGCTTCAGAAATTAGCCCCTATGTTTTTATTAATGTTAAAAATATACTCAAATCTGGCCGGGTGTGTTGGCTCACTCCTGTAATCCCAGCACTTTGGGAGGCCGAAGCGGGTGGATCACCTGAGGTCCAGAGTTCGAGACCAGCCTGGCCAACATGAAGAAACTTCATCTCTACTAAAAATACAAAAATTAGCCTGGCGTGGTGGTACATGCCTGTAATGCTAGCTACTTGGGAGGCTGAAGAACAAGAATCACTTGAACTTGGGAGGTGGAAGTTGCAGTGGGCCAAGATCATGCCACTGCACTCCAGCCTGGGTGACAGAGCAAAATTCTGTCTCAAAAAAAAAAAAATTATATATATACACCCCCACACACACATACACACACACACTCAAATCTGAACCTGAACCTGACCTATATTTATTAAACCTGTCAATTATATTACAATTTGAAGAAGAGAGTAAGAATCCATATTGACCTTAATGATTAAGAAATGGAGACAGAAAACAGATAAAGTTTACAAGTTATGAGCAGGATAATTTACCTAGGTAAAACATAGTCTTCACACAAATGAGTTTGCATATAAGTGGCAGATAAATATTTGAGAGAAAAACATTGGACTAAAGTCTAAAAATGAGTTAGCATAAGAATGCTATTTTCCTAAGAAAGCTAGTAATAACTAAGGATTTATTAAAGAAAAATGTAGAAGCAGAACATCCAAAGGAATCAGCAGGTCAAGCATAAGCTTTGCACTGTGTTTTATAAATTTAACAAAGATGTAGGGAGCTCAGAGTAGAGACTGCAATACTGGAGCAAAATGATAATACTGCTGTTTTCATACTTATCTTGCATCATACTGAACAGTCTTTTATTTAAAAATTGTTCAGCATTCTTCAGCCTTTTCTTGAAAAATCAGTGAAACAAGATTTTTAATATTTCCAAATACAAAAAGTCATAAATTACCAACAAATTTGGTAAAATATAAGTCACAAGCTTACAAATTTTAAATATCATTCTAATTAAATAGTATTAGATGTAATTTTCAAAATAAAATTAATGAAAATAAACTAATTTTAAAAAATAAGCCCTAACAAATTTTATTTCGTGTTATTTTAAAAAACAAAGTGCCTCAATAGTGTTATTAGTGAGTACATTTTTGAGTAAATTTTTGTGCAAATTTTTCTAGCTATTCTTTCTAATTTAGTATTAGAGAAATAGTGGAAAAAGAGTAACAAGCCTACCCCATGTTTTGTTGATAATTTGAGGAAATCTTTTTGAACAAATTTTGTTTTTCTGTAAACACTATAATCTCTGTATGGATATTGAACCACTATTTTTTTTTCCAAAGAGAGCTGTTCCCATTATATTCTTTACTTTTTATCATGTACAAATAAGTTAACTGCATTACTTTAAGTACTTTTATATTCACACTTCACTTATTTGCAAATCACTGAAGTAGACACTTAAGACATGCTTACATTGGAAACTTTCTTTTGCTGTCGTTTGCCTCTGCAAATGCCTCTGCAAATGCCTTTTGAGACACAGGCATTCTAAACAGATGCATCTTTGTCTCCAAGTTTTTAATCCAGTATTAACTCTCTGGGTAGAGAAGAGATTTGTTCAGTAAGTATTTTCATCATAAATAGATTAACTGGATCATTTATCTGAATCAAGATTTAATGCTTCTGATCGCAAATTGGCCATTTCATGGACATACCCAGAGCCAGTGTCTCTAGCAGCAACTAGCTCTAAGGTTGTCTTCAGTTTCAGGTTCCCACCTTACTCTTTGCCCAGTCTAGTGGCATCCCTGCGATTTTTTATTTTTTTAATTTTTTTTATTTTTAGCATTTCTGTACTCTCTCCTGCCCTCTCACCAACTCTGTTGAACTTTTCACTCACACCTCTAGGCAGCAACCTAGTTATAGCTGTCATATTTCCCTTCCCACACAACCAGGAGGGATGGCCCTTTTGGGGTTAAGTCTTCTCCTTTCACAAAGAAGAGATGCACCAGCTTTAGAGAGGTCCCTGCTCTTCTGATAGTTTTTGTGTTTGGAAAGGTGAGGAACAGAGGTGAAGATGAATCAATGGAGATGTTGAAGGAACTGAGTTATAAAAAGCTGCCAGAGGCATATGGCAAGGAAATCAGGGCCTGACGGGTTTTTGGCAGGAATAGAGCAAAGTTAAAAAATGAATAATACAGCTGGCTGATGTCTGAAATAAACATTTTATAACCATAACAATACTGGTATTTCAGTATATATGTGTGTGTATGTATTTATGTATTTGTTGGTTATAGCATGTACTACACTTTATTAAAAATGATTTGCCTTTCTAATTACACCTTCCTTGAGCAAACATCATTTTCGTGGTTAAAAAAAACAACACACCAATGGTTAGAGGAGCTCAAGACTAAACAATTACCCTGGATTTTTACAATTGAAAAAGTTTGCAATCTTTACATGAATAATTGAGACCAACTATTCTAAAATTATCTTCTATTGAATAGGTAGGCTACTGAATTCACAATTTTTAAATACGTTTTTAAAGAAAAGAATGATAGTTCTTATTTTATAATATATGTAATATATAATTCGAATAACTTTTTTTCTACATACAACTAAGGAGAACTCACAATTTGAATCAATTTCTTAGAAATTACATAACCATAAATAAGTTCAATTAGGCAACAAATGAATGCTTAAAATTTGTATTAAAAAATAAGACTGATAGCCAAATTAACTGTAAAAGAGAAAAAATGTGAAATTATGACTCTTTTCTGAATAAGATAAATCTATGCCAATGTCACTTAGTACATGAAATGTTCTTACTTATTATTGATGATCATTATTAAACTCTAAGAATCAATGCTCAAGGTAACACATTAATTTCCCTAAGACTTGCATTTTTTCCTATTTGTAGCACCCAACTTCCGCTACAAAAATATATAAAAAGATATTTTATCAAGAGTTATACATAGAAAAATAAAACTTACATACCTTCTCTAGCATACAATTAAAAACAAATTTTGAAATACAAAATTTGCCTGTTGAAATACTTTTACAAATGTTAACAGTGATGTACAAATAAACAGAAATATTCTGAATCTAGTGAAAATATCTCTTCTACTCTACATCATTGCTTTCAAAAATAGTTCTATAATTAAGTAGCATAACTAAAAGATAAACTATATATGAAAAAGTGTGCAAATAAAGGTAGCTTATGTCCAAACAAGTCAACATTTTTAGGGTAGGATAAAATACACAAATTGTTACTTACTTAGGCATTCTTCCAAAGCTAAAACTTGAACATTAGCTAACTGTTTCTCTCTCTGTACAATCTGCTCCCCAGAAAAATGTGGAAGTGATAATAAGTCAAAAGGAAAACCTGAGAAATAAGAAAAAAAAAAGGTCAACATTAATGATGCCCTTTGCCAACAATTAGTACTCAGTTCCTGGGAAATGTGTTATAGCAAGGATTTAACAAAAAATAAAAGTCAATCACTCACCTCTCTCGACCTTACATATTTCAAAGTAAATAATAATAATAATTAAGCAGCAGAAAATAAGCATACTCAATTATTTTGCATTTTAAACATTGACCTGATTTTTAAATTGAGGGAATTTAGATAGCAAAGTAGAATTCCCTGAATCACATTTTCTTCTACCTGATCAGAAATCACAGATAGGGAATGGTAGCTAGTCTGTAAAGATACCCCCAAAAGCCATTGAATGAACCACATCTCCTGTTATTCCTTTTTGTGCAGTCCCCTCCACAATGAATCCAACCTAGATAAATGTGCTGGATGGTCCCATGATAGCCTTAGCCGTGTCTCTCTCCCCATTCTTCATGCCCATTTTACTCAGAATAACTGCAGAATGCACTGGAAATGTACTATCTTGAAATAGGGAGGAACTGCCCAGGATAGCTTGGGTTTTTTTCCTCTGTCCCCTAAAAGCAGGATGTCCTTCAAAGCGTTGCCCAATGAGTCACATGGCCCCTGAAATATAGAAGCCAGGTCAGGCTGCCTTTTGGGGTCCCTTAGCTGTGGTGCAAATGGCGTACATGCAGTCAAGACACCATCTGCCCTGGGAAGCTTTCGTGAGCCTTGGGGGCCTGGCTCACAACAGATCCTAGGCTTCTTTTGTTCCTTGCTGCCTATCTGTAAGTAATAAATCTGCTTCATATAACTTGCATGTGAGTGTGTTCTGTCACACCGGACTAGGACAAATTGGTAACCAGTACATGGTGGACCTAAATAGTAGCCCATGGGGCAACATAAAGATGTATTTGGACTCCCGTTACTGGTGGCTGGCATAGTGATGATCTTCCCTATTCTCCACGCTGTGGCAGTCCTCCCTTAAGACTGCTAATTATTGGACATGCTTCACACTATGTAACAAATAATGTAACGTAAACGTGACACTGAATGACTTCTAGCTAGGAAACAGAAAGCCTTGTAGCTTCACAGAACAATTGCTCTAAGTCAGCAACCATATAAGAAGTCAGCCTAGGCCGGGCGCAGTGGATCACGCCTGTAATCCCAGCACTTTGGGAGGCCGAGGCAGGCAGATCACGAGGTCAAGAGATCGAGACCATCCTGTCCAACATGGTGAAACCCTGTCTCTACTAAAAATACACAAATTAGCTGGGCATGGTGGTGCACACCTGTAGTCCCAGCTACTTGGGAGGCTGAGGCAGGAGAATTGCTCGAACCTGGGAGGCAGAGGTTGCAGTGAGCGAAGATTGCACCACTGCACTCTAGCCTGGTGACAGAGGAAGACTCTGTCTCAAAAAAAAAAAAAGAAGTCAGTCTGCCCTAACACCATGATATTGTAAGGAAGCCCAAGCTAGCTGTGAGGAAAGCGCCTGTGAAGAGAAAATCAGACCTCATCTGTTCCAGTCATCCTAGCCCAGGCACCAAACATGGGTGTGAAGAAACTATCTTAGACATCAAGTCCTGTGGAATCTTCAAATGACTGGAGCCACAGTTGTATGTGACTGTAATCATATGGAGGACCTCAAAATAGAAACATCCAACTGAGCTCATTCAACCCACAGGACCACGAGAGATAATAATAAACTCCTATTTTTAAGCCAAATTTGGGGTAGTTTGTCATGCAGCAATCAATAACCTAAATAATAAAGCCTGGGAAGAAGAGGGAAAGATGGGCAATAAAATAGAACATGTGGCTTCAGACGATATAAATGAAAATGGGAAATATAGCAAAATATATGTATTTAAAGTGGAAAATACTAAAAATTTCATTTTTAGAATTGAAGGCTGATCTACTAAACTTTACTAGGTATAATGTAAAAGCAATTTGCTCTTTGCACATTAAATTGTAAAAATATGTCATAATATGTTTTAAATAAAAGGTAAATTAATGAAAGAGAATGGAGTTTGGCGAAAATAAATTCATTAAATGTTTAGTATTTCTTCTACTTAAAGCCACATATGCTAACCACACACACAAACAATGTAAACATGTTTTTCTACCTGAAGTTAACACTTACTCAATTTGGCTTCTTCTGTCTTTGTTTTCATCTTTCCATGAATTAAATTGAGTGCAAATGAGCCATTGATCTGGTTGGCTGAGTGAATCAATGTGGCTTTACATCTTCTATTGCCATTACCTTGTAACAAGAGATAATAGCTAGAACACTCTCCTTTCACTTCAACATCTGGAACTAAACAAAAACAATTATCTTGTTAAGTATGTGAAAATTCAGCACACAACACAACAGAACCATACATTTGATCCATAGGATATAATAAAATTTTTTGTTATTTTAAAACAAGCTGTTAATACATTCAGGGCTAGTAGTTGTTCATTTAATTGAGAAAGCTGTTAAAGCAAAAAATCATAACAATTACAAAGCATAAATCTTTTATTTTAAATTAAAAGTATGTGTACTCATTCTTTAACTTTTGATATGGCTTACCATATCTACAGTATATTTCTTAAATAACCACATCAATAATGTTTACAGCTTCCATTTCTTTAAAGAGGAATAAACTGATTCCTACAAACACCAACTTAATTGGTGGGAGCAGAAGGATACAGCTATACTTGGGAGCTGGGAAGCTTTTCGCTTCTTGCCCTTTTTGCTTCTTGCAGTGGGCATCCATAATGTATTTTACAGAGGGAATGGAGAGCATTCATTAATCTGGCATGCCAGTTATGTGAAGGTCAGTTAAGACAGCGTCTAGTATATTTTAAAAGCAAATCAAGTGAGGGTTATAGTGAAGGTTGAAGAAAAACTGTGAAGCCTTTGAGATTAAAAATAGAAGTAGAATCTTTCTTTGTTGAAGATGGTGAGTTGGACATAAACATTTATATTCACTATCTCCTGAAATTCCACTAAATGAGAATAAAGAAATCTTAAAAATAGCATAAATCTACAAGAACTAATATCTGGAAGAGACAACGACAACTAAAATTTGAAAGCAGAAAAGCATATGAACAATTGGTAACAAACTTCAATCTCTCCACTGCTAAGGAGCTGAGAAAAACAGCAGAGAAAGCCCCAAAGCAACACAATTTATACACGCGTCCTCAAGAGGCTCTGGAATGGTGACCCCAGATGGCACTGGAAGCAAAATGAAGCTGGAATAGGAACAGAGTTTGAAAGTCAACTTGAGAAACAGGCCTTCTGATCCCTTATTCTATTCAGGCAAATGACTGTCAGAAGATTAGAGGCTTATTCTCTGGAGAGGGTAAAACAAAGTGTCTTTGGCTTGAGATATATAAGGCAGAGTTAAGGGTTGATTGATTATCAGGGAATCAAAGTGAATGCTTACCACTTTAAAAAGTTATCTATGTCTCTATTTCCCTTAAGTTTATTTTAGGGGCTATGAGGATGGCAGGGTGAGAAAGTCTGTGGACCCACTCCCCAGCAATACAAGCACAACCGGTGAAATGATCCTAAGGGTATATACCAAATTAAGAAACATTTATTCAGGAAAATATACTAAGATTAGGATTGGGAAGAAGCACGTTGGACAGATTGGAGCTTCTATCCATTGAGTTGAGAATGGGTTGGGAAGAAGCAGGTTGTGGCTTAGTTTTTAAGAGTCCGAAGCACTTCAGCCGCAGCCTGCTTTTCCCCACCCATTCCCAACACAGATGGACAGAAACTCCAATCCAAGCGGCTGTGGCCAAAAAGATGGGTCTCCCTCCTCCCTCGGCTTCCAATAAAGGGTTACAGCATCTCATGGGAAGGAGCAGGCTGTCAGCAATTTCTCATCCCCTCATTCTGAGTTGAAAAGACTAAATTCCTGACGCATATGATGAGAATTCAGGGACTTCCTTTCTCCACCTAGCCCCTACTCATAAGGCAGAGGTTCTACCCCAGGATAGGAAAGCTGAGAAAATAGGCACCCAAATGTCTTCACCTCAGCGCATTCACAGGGCAGTTTCTACACTGGGAGAGGTATATAAAGAAGACCAGAAGCTACATGCCGGCCCAGCTACCGAAGTAGTGGCTCAGAGATTTTGCCCAGGGGAAGAGACCTTAAAACAGAAGGCCCTAAGCACTACCCAAAGAAACTGACTTTATCTGACTCAGATTGCGGGTAAGTTGGAGCCTAAAGGTGGTCTCAAAAACTATGGAGACTTGGTAATAAGCAAATAAAAGGAGGCTGGTAGTTCACTTAATTAAGAGAAACAAGCAAAAGATCTAGTTCATTAGAGAGAACCTGGGAATGAGACAGCTAAGAAGTGTCATCTTGGTGTCAGAATTCAAATCGAAGAATGGCCACAAAAATGAATCAAATTTAAATGGATGTGGAACAATTTAAGCCCCAGTGCATTGTCAAAAACAATAAAGCAATTAGTGAAGATGGCAATTAGTGAGGTATAAAGTAGCTACATGTGATAGCAAATGAGGCAGACAAAGAAGGTATCAGGGAAAGGCAAAGTGAGTCAGGTTGAGACCACTGGATTCCCAGGGTGAATGTGGCCACACTGAAGGCCGCACCCTCTGAAGAGTGACACCGAAGTCAAACAGACTTCATTAAAATTGCCTAGCCAACTCATACAACAAATAAATACGCAAACAAGAAAACAAACCTAATAAGGGGGGAGATAAATTATTAACCAATAGCTACAATATATTACCTAAATTGTCATCTTTATCAAGAAATTATGAGACATACAAAGAAACAGGAATGTGTAATACCTACAGAAGGGGAAAAGCAAGTGACAGAAAATACTTGTGAGAGGTCCCAGAAGTTAAATATAACAAAGACTTCAAAGCAAACATTATAAATACGTTTAAAGAACTAAAGGAAACCATGCTTAAAGAAGAAATGAAAGGTATGATGACAATGTCTCATCAAATAGAGAACATAGATGAAAAGATATAAAATAAAAACCCAATGGAAACACTGGAGTGGAAAAGTACAATAAACTTAAAAGGAGTAAAATCATTAGTCCTTTTAGACACTAATAATTCAAAGAAATTTGGGGAATTAACAAATATGTGGAAATTAAACAACACACCAACAAATAACCAATGGGTCAAATATGAAATCACAATGGAAATTTAAAAATACTCTAAGATAAATGAAAGATATAAAATTTATCAAATATAGCTGAAGTAGTATTAAAGATCTCAATCAATAAGCTAACCTTCTACCTTAAGACACTGAAAAAAAGACGAAGCCCAGCAATTCCACTCCTAGATTTATACTGAAAATAATTTTAAGCCTGTACCTTTATATTCAGAGCAGCATTATTCATAATAGCCTAAAAGTGTCAACATCCCAAATGTCCATCAACTGATGTGTGGATAAATAAAATGTGGTATATCTAAGTGATGAAATATTATTCAGCAATAAAGAGGATGATGTCCTGGCATATGCTACAGCATGTACAGCATGGATGAACTTTGAAAACATTATACTAAGTCCAAGAAGCCAGTCACTAAAAACTAGATACTATATGATTACACTTCCATGACATGTCCAGAACAGTCAAATCTATACAGACCAAAATAGATTGCTTAGGGGTAGGGAGGAGGAATGGGTGGTGGAAATGCGCAATGATTGCTAACACGTATGGGGTTTCTTTCCGGGGAGATTAAGATGCCCTAAACTTGACTGTGGTGATAGTTGCACAATTCTGTGATTATATTTTAAAAGCCACTGAATTGTAAACTTTAAAAGGGTAAAATGTATGGTATGCATTATATCTCAATAAAACTGTATTTTTAAAAATTATCTTAGGAATGTAAAGTTCTGCTCACAAAAAGAAAGTTCTTGACAGTACTTCAGTTCTTTATAGACAACCACACAGCAAATAAAAGATTCTTTTATGTAGTATATAGAATGTAATATATACACACATATATATATATACATCCCAAAATACTAAGAAAGTACTGTAATTTTATTACAATAGCTACAGTTTATTTCATAGATAGGAAGATACCGTGGGTTATAGTCTATTCCCAAAAACAATGATGAAGTAACAAAAACAATTTTTACAATTAGATAGCTAGAGTGACATTAATTCTGCTCATAAACTGCAGTTTTAGAACATGAATTTAAATAAAGGTTATTAGAAAAGAAAAACACTTGTTGTTACCAGTTTTATTAGAAATTAAGGTTTGCCAAAAGATACAGTGACCTTAATTCATTTACCATTTTAGCTGCTTGCTGATTCAACTTATATATATATCTTCAATCTATGACATTCTTTCCACATTTATTTTAAATCTCATCACCTTTATTTGCATTTTAATCACTGAAGCTTGTAATTACAACAATCTTATTTTCCTCAAAAGAAAAATATTTACTGTAAACAACTCTCTTAGCCATAATGACTCTGCAGTCATTTAAAAAATGTTGCTCCAGATTTGGCAGGTGTTAATTGAAGACTTATTAAATAACTTTTATGTAAATGCCACAGAGAGTAACAGATTTACAATTAGCGTAGTTATTCCAGCCTCATCACTCTTCCTAAAGTAATAAGGGAAAATGATTACTAAAAAAAAGTCTGTCTATTTTCAACTGTTATGTTTACTTACATTATTATTTGATAAGGTGTTGGCTTGTATGCCCCTCTCCACCAAAAGCATACGTATATTTTGGATATACTATACAGATAAAATGGGAGAAGCAGAAACTACCAAGTGTCTATTAGTTGCATCAAAGTTTACAGATAACACATAAACCACAATAAAGTCTTATGTCTTTATTAGTATTAGCAAAAAAAATTCTTATATAACAAAAATCAAGTTATATTCTTTGTCAATAAGTTTCTTAGTTGTTCTTAAAACCTTATAATACTCATTTTTAACAGCTAATATGTAAACAAAATTATAATAATCTAAAGGATAAATAATATTCCACATGATGGAAGGAAAAAATATATCCCAGGACTACGGGGGAAACAGGATATTCTGGGTAAGTGAATATTCCGACTTACTGATAGTTATTATATATGTTCATAAAGAAATGGCAAAATAATATAACCAATTATTTTAATAATCATTCCAAAAATGAAATAATAAAGCAAAATCTAGTTTCCAATGTAGGCATCTTAGGAGGCTATACTCTTTTCAACAATGAGATCACTGTTTAATTCTAGACTCAACTTTTGAAACAGCCCTTAGTGCCAGCTGGGGAGGCAGAAGAAAAAAAAAATAAATCTAATTACTTTATATTCATAAATCATCTTCAAAAATGTATTTCCTAGCCTGATACCCCACCCTATTCATCAGACTAAGCTTTGAACAATTTAGGGTAAAACTAGGCTGCCACTGAAATTGTTCAAGAAAATGACTGTGGCTCAATTTTAAAAAGAATCTAAAATAGTTAAAAAAAAAAAAAAAGATAGTACTGTCCGGGTGCGGTGGCTCATTCCTGTAATCCCAGCACTTTGGGAGGCTGAGGTGGATGGATCACGAGGTCAGGAGATCAAGACCATCCTGGCTAACACAGTGAAACCCCATCTCTACTAAAAATACAAAAAATTAGCTGGGCGTGGTGGCATGTGCCTGTAATCTTAGCTACTCGGGAGGCTGAGGCAGGAGAATCGCTTGAACCCAGGAGGTGGAGGTTGCAGTGAGCCGAGATCACGCTACTGCATTCCAGCCTGGGCAACAAAGCAAGACTCCGTCTCAAAAAAAGAAAGAAAGAAAAAAAAAAAGAAGAATAGTACTGTTGAATAGGTGTATAACTCACTACTGTGAAAATTATAAAAACACAGGATTTATAAATTCCACCATGACTATTTTAAACAATTAAGTAATATTAGGATCATAAACTATATACATTTCCTCTCAATTACTATATAATAAAATACACAATTTGAAAGCTACAATGAATAGAGAAGCCATTCAGAAGATATTTCCAGATCTTACTCATTATGAACAGCAATGATTTCTTTATTGTTCAACAGACACAGAAGCATAGAAGATTGGACCGAATAACAAAAAGCTACTGCAGAATTTAGAAAGTGTGTACCTTCATTACCAATTTGATTCAAACAAGTTTGAGATACAATAAGGAAGTAGTAGTACTCTCATTTTCTAGATAAGGAATTAAAGGCCTAAAGTAGTGATTCTCAATTTTTTTTCTGCCTCAAAGCATCTAAAGGATTCTTCAGTGACAGTGATTTCACCTCGTGTTGGGGAAAGCACCACCTAGGGCAGAGGTTCTCAATCTTGGATATACATTTGAACCACCAAGGATGCTCTAACAAACCACTGACACCCTGGGTCCACCCCAGAGATTTGGGTTGAATTATTTTCAGGTGGAGCTCAGCTTGACATTTTTAAATAACTGTCAAGGTGATTCTAATTTGCAGCTGGTGTTAAGAATCATTGAACTAGAGAGAGAAACAAAACTCTGCATTTAGATTGAAGGACCTAAATGATTCTTAGAAAAAAAGTGATTCTTTAAATAACTGTCAAAATGATTCTAATTTGTAGCTGGTGTTAAGAATCATTAAACTAGAGAGATAAACAAAACTCTGCATTTAGGTTGAAGGACCCGAATGATTCTTACAAAAAGTGATCCTTATAAAAAACAAAAACCTTTAATGATGTAAAATTACATATGTATTTACGTATGTACATATATATTAAAGTCTAACTTTAACAAATTTTGGGAAATGTAAACAACTGTGCATCCATCACTATGATCCAGTTTTGAGAAACTTCCATCACACCTTTGCAGTCAATCTCCCTTCTACCCATGGCCTCAGACAACCATTGATCTGCTTTCTGTCTCCTTCTGCCTTTTGAAGAAATTTCATATATATGATCTGACAATAAATAATCTAACCTTGTCTGACTTTATTTATAAACTTAGCACAATGTTTTTCAGGTACACTCCAAACTTTTCATGCCTTCTCATTCCTCAGTATTCCATTATATGCAAAAAAAAATGATCTCTTCACCAGATGATAAATATTTGCATAGTTTCCAAGTGTTGGCTATTACAAATAATGCTTTTATAAACACCTGCATATAAGCCTTTGTGTAAACATACGTTCTCATTTCTCCTGGGTAAATATCTAGGAATGAAAGGGCTGGGTTGTACAGCCAAGTGCAAGTTTAACTGTCAAACTGTTTTCCTTACTAGCTGTGCTATTGAACATCCCCAGCAACAATGTGTGAGATGTGAAGTTTCTCCACATCCTCATCAACATTTGATAGTCACTGTTTTCAATTACAGCCATTCTAGTGAGTGTGTTGTAGAATCACATTTTGGTTGTAATTTGCATCTCCCAAGAGACTAATGATGTTGGGCATCTTTTCGTGGAGTTTACTAGTTATTCGTGTATCTTCTTTGGTGAAATGTCTATTCAAGCATTTCACTCACTTATTAACTGGGTTGTTTTATTATATATAAAATTGGGAGAATTTTTCAAATATTATCTGTCCATTGTCAGATATACGACTGGAACTATTTTCTTTAAGTAGATTGTTTTTAAATGTTCTTAATAGTGTTTATCAAAAAGTAAGCATTTTGAACCTTGGTGAATTCTACTTTATAAATTTGTTTTCTTTTTCTAATTTATAGATTTGTTATCTATGTTATCTTACAAAAGCTTTATAATTTTAGCTCTTGAATTAAGTTATATGATCCATTTTGAGCTAATTTTCATTTAAAGTAAAAGTCTAAATACATATATAAATATATATACATAATTTTTACATATGCATATCCAATTCTTCCAGCAGTGTGTTGAAACTGTCCTTTCGCCATTGGCATCTGACTCTATTCTGTTCCATGGATCTATGTATTCTTAGCCCAATACCACAATGTCTTGATAACTGTGGCTTTATAATAAGTCATGAGATCAGGTAGCATAAGTTCTCAAATGTTGTTTTTCCTTTTCAAAATTGTTCTGGCCATTCTAGTTGCTTTGCTACTCCATATAAATTTAGGATCAGTTTGTCAATTTCTTTTCTTTTTTTTTTGAGACGGAGTCTCGCTCTGTCGCCCAGGCTGGAGTGCAGTGGCGTGATCTCGGCTCACTGCAACCTCTGCCTCCCAGGTTCAAACGATTCTCCTGCCTCAGTCTCCAGAGCAGCTGGGATTACAGGTGCCTGCCACCACGCCTGGCTAATTTTTGTTTTTGTTTTTTTTTTTTTGTAGAGACGGGGTTTCGCCATGTTGGCCAGGCTGGTCTTGAACTCCTGCAGTTTGTCAATTTCTATAGAAAGTCCTGCTGGAATTTTGATAGGCATTGGGTTCAATTTGGAGTTCTATCTTAATAATACTGAGTTTTCCAAACTCTAAATATGGTACATCTCTCCATTTACTTATATCTTCTTTAGTTACTCTCAGTAATGTTTTGGGGTTTTCAGTGTACTTCTTTTACTTCTTTTGGTAGACATTCTTCAATATTTTATTCATTAATTTCTGGTCTATTTCTTTCCTTCTACTCATTTAGATTAGGTCTTCTTGCTTACTGAGGTTGATGGTTAAATTATTGATTCTTGATCTTCCTTCCATTCTAAGATAAGCATTTCAGATATTCTTAGTACTGCTTTAGCTGTGTTCCATTCATTTTATGTTTTGTTTTTATTTTCATTCAGTTAAAACTATTTTGTAATTTCCTTTTTGATTTTTTCTTTGACCTATAGGTTATTTGGAAGTGTGTTAATTCCCAAATAGTTGAGAGATCTCTCAGGATTCTTTCTGTTGTCAATTTCTAACTTAATTCCATTGAAATTGGAGGATATCGTGTGTATTATTTCTATCCTTTTAAATTTACTGAGATTCATTTAGTGGACTAGCATGTATACGGGTCTGTCCTGAAGCATGTTTCATATGTGCTTGAAAAGAATGAGTATAAAGTTAAGTGTACAATAAAGGTTGGTAGTCAAGTTACTTGAAAGGTTTACCACTGTATTCCTAGCACCACAGTAATACCTTGCACACAGCAGGCACAGAAAAATATTTGTTGACTAAAAGAATACTTTGTCTCTGTCAGTAAAATTTCTTTCAAAATCCTATCAGTCCTTTATTTCTCAAGATGAAATTTATAGATCACTTGTACTGTGCTATTTTAACCTTATCTGTTTCAGCCCACTATTTTTTATTTGAACTTTGAGTGTAGATTCAGGAGGTACACATGCAGGTTTCTCATGAGGGTATATTGTGTGATGTTGAGGTTTGTGCTTCTATTAATCCCATCACCCAGACAGTGAACATAGTACACAACTTCTCTCCTTTGGAGTCCCCAGTGCCTACTGTTCCCATCTTTATATTTGTGTATATCCAGGGTTTAGCCTCCATTTGTGAGAAAATGTGATATTGATTTTCTGTTTCTGTGATAATTCGTTTAGGATAATGGCCTCCAGTTGCATCCACGGTGTTGCAAAGGACATGGTTCCACAGTATTCCATGGTGTACATGTACCACATTTCTTATGGCTGCACAGTATTTCATGGTGTATATGTACCATCTTTTTATGGCTGCATAGTAGTCCATGGTGTTTATGGATCATTTTTTATGGCTGCATAGTATTCCGTAGCATACGTGTACGATCTTTTTCTATGGCTGCATAGTATTCCTGGTATATATGTACCACATTTTCTTTATCCAATCCACTGTTGATGTCAGCCCACTATTTTGAAATACTTTCACCATGGTGATTTGAATGTGGAAAAGGCACATGCTTCATCATTTCAAAACATTTTATCAGTCATTATCTAGTCCCTCTAAAAATATTTTTATTAGAAGAATTGTTAGTCAACAAAACAATCAGATATGATTTTCTCCAAGAGTGCCTTTAACATGTTTCTTTTCAAAAGAATTCCAATTTTAAAAATATAAGGCAATATTGGAGTTTAGAGTTCTAAAATTATCAAACATCTAGAATTATAAAATTGTCAGATACTATTATTCTGCTACATGAGGATAAATTATTTCCACAAATATCAAGACATAAAATTGAAAAGACCAAGTTTTTTTTTTTCTTTATTATACTTTAAGTTCTGGGATACATGTACAGAATGTGCAGGTTTGTTACATAGGCATACATGTGCCATGGTGCTTTGCTGCACCCATCAAACCATCTACATTAGGTATTTCTCCTAATGCTATCCCTCCCCTAGCCCCCCATACCCTGACAGGCCCCAGTATGTGATGTTCCCCTCCCTGTGTCCATGTGTTCTCATTGTTCAACTCCCACTTATGAGTGAGAACATGTGGTGTTTGATTTTCTGTTCTTGTGTTAGTTTGATGAGAATGACGGTTTCCAGCTTCATCCATGTCCGTGCAAAGGACATGAACTCATTCTTTTTTATGGCTGCGTAGTATTCCATGGTGTATATGTGCCACATTTTCTTTATCCAGTCTATCATTGATGGGCATTTGAGTTGGTTCCAAGTCTTTGCTATTGTGAATAGTGCAGCAATAAGCATATATGTGCATGTGTCTGTATAGTAGAATGATTTATAATCCTTTGGGTATATGCCCAGTAATGGGATGGCTGGGTCAAATGGTATTTCTGGTTCTAGATCATTGAAGAATTGCCACACTGTCTTCCACAATGGTTGAACTAATTGACACTCCCACCAACAGTGTATAAGTGTTCCTATTTCTCCAGATCCTCTCCAGCATCTGTTGTTTCCTGACTTTTTAATGATCGCCATTCTAACTGGCATGGGATGGTATCTCATTGTGGTTTTGATTTGCATTTCTCTAATGACCAGTGAGGATAAGCTTTTTTTCATATGTTTATTGGCTGCATAAATGTCTTTTTCTGAGAAGTGTCTGTTCATATCCTTAGCCCAGTTTTTGATGGGGTTGTTTGCTTTTTTCTTGTAAATTTGTTTAAGTTCCTTGTAGATTCTGGATATTAGCCCTTTGTCAGATGGATAGATTGCAAAAATTTTCTCCCATTCTGTAAGTTGCCTGTTCACTCTGATGATAGTTTCTTTTGCTGTGAAGAAGCTCTTTAGTTTAATTAGATCCTATTAGTCAATTTTGGCTTTTGCTGCCATTGCTTTTAGTGTTTTACTCATGAAGTCTTTGCCCATGCCTATGTCCTGAATGGTACTGCCTAAGTTTTCTTCTAGGGTTTTTATGGTTTTAGGTCTTATGTGTAAGTCTTTAATCCATCTTGAGTTAATTTTTGTATAAGGTGTAAGGAAGGGGTCCAGTTTCAGCTTTCTGCATATGGCTAGCCAGTTTTCCCAACACCATTTATTAAATATGGAATCCTTTCCCCATTGTTTGTTTCTGTCAGGTTTGTCAAAGTTCAGATGGTTGTAGATGTGTGGCGTTATTTCTGAGGCTTCTGTTCTGTTCCATTGGTCTATATAACTGTTTTGGTACCAGCACCATGCTGTTTTGGTTACTGTAGTCTTGTAGCATAGTTTGAAGTCATGTAGCGTGATGCCTCCAGCTCTGTTCTTTTTGCTTAGGATTGTCTTGGCTATATGAGCTCTTTTTTGGTTCCATATGAAATTTAAAGTAGTTTTTCTAATTCTGTGAAGAAAGTCAGTGGTAGCTTGATGGGGATAGCATTCCATCTATAAATTACTTTGGGCAGTAAGGCCATTTTCACGGTATTGATTCTACCTATCTATGAGCATGAAATAGTCTTCCATTTGTTTGTGTCCTCTCTTATTTCCTTGAGCAGTGCTTTGTAGTTCTCCTTGAAAAGGTCCTTCACAGCCCTTGTAAGTTGTATTCCTAGGTATTTTATTCTCTTTGTAGCAATTGTGAATTGGAGTTCATTCATGATTTGGCTCTTTGTCTATTATTGGTGTATAGGAATGTTTGTAATTTTTGCACATTGATTTTGTATCTTGAGACTTTGCTGAAGTTGTTTATCAGCTTAAGGAGATTTTGGGCTGAGACGATGGAGTTTTCTAAATATACAATCATGTTGCCTGCAAACAGAGACAATTTGACTTCCTCTCTTCCTATCTGAATACCCTTTATTTCTTTCTCTTGCCTGATTACCTTGGCCAGAACTTCCAATACTATGTTGAATAGGAGTGGTGAGAGACGGCATCTTTGTCTTGTGCCAGTTTTCAAAGGGAATCCTTCCAGGTTTTGCCCATTCAGTATGATATTGGCTACGGGTTTGTCATAAATAGCTCTTATTATTTTGAGATATGTTCCATCAATACCTAGCTTATTGAGAGTTTTAGCATGAAGGGGTGTTTAAGTTTATCGAAGGCCGAAAAGACCAAGTTCTAAAAATTATTTTCAACAAAAGTATACATGATGTGACAAAAGAAATCATGCATGGCCTTTAGATACATTCAAAATTAGGTAGAAATTCTAATTCCACCCTGTGACATTAGATAAGGTTCTTGGTTTCCTTGATTACCTTATTTTTCTCAATTGTAATATAAAGGTTTTTTTAAAAACCTACTTCTCAGTATTGTTTCGAGAATTAAAGATAATGAATCCACAGCATATGGCACATAGTAGGCTTTCAATAATGGGAGATACAATTTTTTATTACTTATCTATGATTTGTTTAGGTTGCAGATGATCATTCAATTTTTTGACAATTTCATAAAATATCTCTGTAAACACGGCAAGCCAGCCATTTTTCACTATTCATCTGTCTTCTCAATAAAAGTTTTACATATAGGCATTTTTCTTTTGAAATGTAATAAGGTTGACTTAATTTCATTTTTTTGTACAGTGCTTTTGCATTTTTCCTGTATCATCATAATTTCTGGGTATTTTATTGAATACCAATTTTAAAAGGCATTCATTTACTATTATAATTAAACCATACTTCAAATTGGGCATTGTTTGTCCATTTAAGTTCAAACTATGTGAAATTGCTGATAAGTAACAATTTTTGATATATAAAAAAACATCAGATGGTTCAAATTAATACACATATTTTTTATTTCATCAAAGGATGAAACCTAGGAAACTGATAAAAATTGGAGCACAAATTTTGGTTCACACTACATGGATGGAGTCCATTCAAAGTCTTTCTTTATCTGTCTGGAGAACAGTTATTACTAACTAGAAATATATACTTCACTCATTATTTAACAAATATTTTTGAGTAACTGTTAAGCATCAGGTAGACACACATTTAGTATAATAGACAGCATGAGTACTAAGGTAAAAAGATAAAGCTAGGAAGATGAATAAGAGGTCAGGAGAAGAGTCTGTTTGTAACTTTAGATGGGCTGGCAAAAAAGGTCCTAAAAGAGAAAAATGATTTTGGAGTAAAGACCTGAAAAAATTAGGAACTAGTCATATGGCTATCTGGGGGAAAAACTAAACCTGTGACCTCTACCATAAAGTAAGCTCCATTAGGGAAAGGATTTTGTTCTATTTACTGCTTGTCCAGCATGTAAAACAGTGCCTAATATATTGTAAGTGCTCGATAAAAATATCTGTTGAAAAAGCAGATACTTAATGCATATACAAATATGTTTAAATGCTAAATACACACAAACTTGTTTTTACCATTAATACCATAACTATTGCATACCTTGCTTTTTTCATTATGTCTTGGGGATTTTTTCTAGTCAGTGACTACTAAATACAATGTTATAATAACTTCTGAATATCTATTTTCTGTGGTACAGTGTAAATTCCATTAGAGGAAGACTCAAGTCTATCTCATGGATCAGTAATCCCAAGATAACAGTACCATGCTTGATACACAATATCTGCTGTATATTCAAATAAATGAATAAAAGGTATAACTGACTAGATGAATGAATGAATAATAAAGTCACAAAGGAATAAAATCAGGGAATACTTTTAGGAAACAGTACAAAGTTAGAATGAAGATTCTGGAATATATGTGGCAACAATAGAGGACAGTTGGGCATAATTCAGTAGATTGTGGAGAAACAGAGTCATGGTGTAGGAGAATGATCTGAGAGTCTGATAGTGAGAAAGGGTATTGTTAGTGATGCTAGGAAGGGATAGGAAGTTTTCCAGGTGTGAGTTATTGAAGCTTTTACATTAACTAAAACTCAGCTTCTCTATTTTTACAAAAAAAAGTTCCATCAATGGGTAAGAATTTATCCTACAGAGAGGATTATGGGTAGAATAGAACTGAATAATCAACTGTCCAGTTTGATTTTATTTCTACTTCTAAGATTTTTTTTTTAAATACTGTTAAGTGTCAGCTTAATCAGCCCTTAATGATCCAGCCTAATCAGTAATCAACAATCTGGTTTCAAAGATTATGTGATCTGTGTCTTATTATTATTCACAAGTTACCAATATTAATGCTCAGATTTCAAGAGGAGATAATTTTAAAAAATCAAATCAAGCCACATGATATATTCTTAAAATTACAATGGAAATCAGGCCAAAAAAACCCCCACGCCTAAGTTAAGAGTAAATTACCTTAAAATCAGAAGTTCCAACATAATGGTAGTTTGAAGTTGGAGAAAGTTATGAGAGGAAAAATAAATAATGAATGGGTTGCCAGAATACACTCAAGTTTATTAAGGAGATGTTAATATTATGATTAACTGATTGCATATGTCTACATATGTCTAATCAATTTTAGACATATGTAAAGCTGAGAAATGGATCAGTATTATCCCATGACTATATGTAGAATAAGCGAAATTGACTATATTGCCACTCAGAAAATCTATTTCTGATTTTGTTTTAGCAAGTGCCAAAATTACCAAATATATATTTGTTCCCTGTGAGATGAGAAGGGTTAAAAGCTGCACTTATTCATGTATTAGTATGGTGCAGTAAGTTACAGTAATAATGTCTCCTCCTATAGGAAACTTTTCTTGAGCTCTTAAGGCTATGTTAGGTCATACACTCTGGAAGTACCTTCCATTTTGCCTTCACAGTGTTGGCCAAACAGACTTATAATTATTGTCCTAGGTACATTCCTCACTTGAGTATAAATTTCACAGCGAAAAAGACAATGAATCTACTTCCTTAAGTGTAAAAACCCAGTTTGATGCTCCTTTATTTCCCACACTTTGCACCACGCTCTGTATAAATGGTATTTTAATGCTGATGTTAACGATAACTTGCTAGGGTCTTCCAAAGACCATTTACCATATCATTTCCTAACTTTTCTCCACTTTCACCTTACATGCAGGTACAATTTGCCTCTACATCCATGGGTTTCACACTGTGGATTCAACCAACCACGAATTGAAAATATTCCAAAAAAAATTTAAAAATAACAAATTAATAACCAAGAAGAATACAAATTTAAAAAAAGAATATAGCATAACAAGTATTTACATAGCATTTACATTGTATCAGGCATTATAAGTAATCTAGAGATGATGTAAAATATACAGGAGGATGTGCAGAAGTTATATACAACTCCTACTCCATTTTATATGAGGGGTTTGAGCATCTAGGAATTTTGTTATCCACAGGGGTCCTGGAACCAATCCCCAGTGGATACTGAGGGATGACTATATTTCTAAAGACCCTATCCTTGGCTCTCTTCTCTAGCCATGTTCTTTATGTATTGTTGTTTTCAACCATTCCTAACTAACATTCTACATTCCTAACTTACAGGCACCTATGGTAGACTTTTTACATTGGTGGCTTCCTATTATTCACACCTTTGGATAGGTACTTCCCCCTTGAATTTAGACTATTCTTGTAACTAGCTCTAAATAACGGAATGTAACAGAAGTAAGACTGGGCTAGTCCTGGGATTAAGCCTTAAAAAGTCTTGGTAGTTTCAAGTTCTATATGTTTGTCCTGAGCCACCATGGAAAAATTCCAGCTAACTTGCAGGAGAGATCATCTGAGAAGACCATGTGGCAAGGAAAAGGCTCTAAGACTAAACGGAGAGAGAAAGCCAGCCAGCTCCACTGAACCCAGCCTCCAAATCATCTGCAAGTTCAAAACACCCACATCAATGACTTCTCGTGAGATCAGTAGAACTACTCTGCTGAGGGCAGCTCAGACTGCAAACTATAAGCAAATAAAATGTTTGCTCTTTCAAGCCACTAAGTTTCGGGGTGGCTTATTACGCAATAGATAAACAAAACTGCTGGAAAACTCAAAATCTAGATCTCCAGCCCTGACTATTACCTAGAGATCTGTATCTAAATTTCAAACTCTACATTTAAATTTCCACATAGATATCTTACCTACATTTGAAATTCAACATCTGCTAAAATAGAATTCAGTATCTCTCCTGTTTCTTATACAGAAAAATAGAAAATCTGTACTGTATAAGCTACTGATTTTAAAACTGTATTCCTCAAAATTCAAGGGCGCTGTGGAGTATTTCTACAGATTTCTTCATAATAGTTTCAATTACAGTTCTTAGTCCCATCACATTATGGGTCACAAAAACTATAAGCTAAAAAAAAAGTAAACAATTTTTGTTCAATTTAAAAAACACACATCAAGGCCAAAGTATGATGGAACACACTTCACCAATGTGACTTTGGGAAAGCAATTTTAACATTCTAAGCCAGAATCACCTCATGAAATACTAGGGTTTGGACTTAATCTCTGATTTTATAACAGAAATTTTCATTTGGATAAAGACATCTTGAACATACTAGAGGAACAGAGTGGAAACACAGTGTAGTGGTAAAGAGCACAAGAGCACAGATTCAAACCCTTGGAGAAGTGACAGAGCCGTAGGTTCTGCCAATTAACAGCTCTGTCACTTCTCTAAGCTCCAATTCCTTCATCTGTAAAATGGGGATAAAAATAAGTATATGGGGTTATTACAAAAATTAAATGAATCAATATTTCTAAAATAGAATACTTGGAATACTGTGTAACATACAGTTAAACTGTTAAATAAAAAACTTTAGGTCAAGTGCGGTGGCCCACGCCTGTAATCCTAGCACTCTGGGAGGCGGAGGCAGGTGAATCACTTGAGGTCAGGAGTTCGAGACCAGCCTGGCCAACATGGTGAAACCGCATCTCGACTAAAAATATAAAAATTAGCCAGGCATGGTGGTGGGTGCCTGTAATCCCATATACTTGGGAGGCTGAAGCAGGAGAATCACTTGAACCCAGGAGGTGGAGGTTGCAGTGAACCAAGATCGTGCCACCGCACTCTAGCCTGGGTGACAAAGCGAGACTCTATCTCTAAATAAATAAATAAATAACTTCTACTAATTTCTTCAAAAAATTATCACAGGTTTTTTATGTACCATATAATAAATGAACTGCTCTTTTCACAAATTTGATTCCTGAAATGTCTCTAAAAAACCCATGTTCAGTATAATTAGCTATCTAATGAACCAAGAGTTCTGCCTTTAGATCACTAGCATTTTAAATGAATATGGTTAGAGATACTTTATGTTACAGTAGGTTGCAATTAAAAATCTTAAAATGATGTGGACTCCTGGTAATCAGTAGCAATAATATGAAATCCTGTTTTCTCATATAGAAATGTTATCTTCACTTCAAATTTGATACATACATTAACTATGCTGCATCATTAAAACAACCGAAACATGTAATACTTACCACTGATTGTTTTAGGCTTTTTAGCTATATATTCCTTCCATTTTCTTGAACTGAGTTGGTTGGGAGGTGGAATCAGTATGTTACTAATGGTACATGGCAATACAAAAAGAGCACCAACCTGAATAAAACAGACCATATTTTTATTGATTGCACATTGAGATTCATTCTTGAATAGTGCCAGTTGACAATTTTCCACTCATATTTCACCAATGTAACATGCATTTAGTAATGCCCTCTCCCAAAAACTCCACTATAAAAACTAAAAAGTAAGAACAATGGCCCACCCTCTGTCAAAACAAAACAAAATAAAAGCTAAAATGCAGACAAACAAAAACAGCAAAGGCATTCAAAGCTACAGGCTTCCCTTTTCCACTGAGGTATACATCTCTGAAAAATACACAATATTTGCTTCAAGTTCAGGTTGTGGACATAATTTATTTGTATATATACAAAACAGTGTAAGGCTGAGTTCTAGCACCAAAATATTTTGTTATATTCAACCATCATCTTATAACTTCTTGACTAGATGTATTATTGTTCTAGTTTCAAAATTAAAATACATTTGAAGGCAACTCAGAAACTTTGTTCCTGGAAATCAGAGATTTAATGCTAATAGGTAAAAACTGAGGAGAAGACAATGAATTATATGCTAGAAAACATACAGCAACTTCTGACTGATTTATGAGCAAACTCTGCTTATTCATCTTTGTATTGCCAGGGCTGGGGATACAGATGCTTATTAAATATTGGTTCAACAAAATCACCATAATCTATTTAGGTAAATTCTCAGTTTATTAAGGGCTGAATAAAACAAACCACAGTTCTGAAAGCTATATTTTTCCTGTTATTTTAGAAATGCAGCTATATCAATCACATCTCAGTAAAAAGTATTTCATTTTAAAACTTTGGGAAAATTTAGGCAAAGCATTTGCCAAAGATCTTAAAGCTAGTGCAAAACCACTTTTAACTGTCCTATATTGATGGACTAGTTACATGAAATACATGATCACTAATATTTTAATGTTTTGTTGCTATTATTTTTACTTATGCATTCTTAATTCACAGATATAAAAATAAATATTAAGGTTGGTGCAAACGTAATTGTGGTTTTTGCACTGTTGAAATTTGCCGTTTGATATTGGAATATGTTCTTAAATAAGTGTGGTTATGTTATACATCATTTTAATGAGCATTTCTCGCTTTATGTTTTCTGGCTAATAACTTATTACTTGCTGTTTATGTTTATTTTAGACTATGGAAATGATGTTAGACAAAAAACAAATGTGAGTAATTTTCTTATTCGAGTTCAAAATGGGTCATAAAGCAGTGGAGACAACTTGCAACATCAACGCATTTGGCCCAGGAACTGCTAACGAACATGCAGTGCAATGGTGGTTCAAAAAGTTTTGCAAAGGAGACGAGAGCCTTGAAGATGAGTGGTATAGCGGCCGGCCATAGGAAGCTGACAAAAACCAATTGAGAGCAATGATCGAAGCTGATCCTCTTGCAACTACACAAGAAGTTGCAGAAGAACTCATTGTCGACCATTCTATGGTCATTTGGCATTTGAAGCAAATTAGAAAGCTCAATAAGGCCAGGCATGGTGGCTCATACCTGTAATCTCAGCACTTTGGGAGGCCGAGGCAAGTGGATCACCTGAGGTCAGGAGTTCGAGACCACCCTGGCCAATATGGTGTAACCTTGTCTCTACTAAAGATACAAAAATTAGCCAGGCATGGTGGCATACGCCTGTAGTCCCAGATACTTGGGAGGCTGAGGCAGGAGAATTGCTTGAACCTGGGAGGCAGAGGTTGCAATGAGCCCAGATTGAGCCACTGCACTCCAGCCTGGGCAACAGAGTGAGACTCTATCTCAAAAACAAAACAAAAAAATAAATAAATAAACCCCCAAAAGCTCAATAAGTAGGTGCCTCATAAGCTGAGCAAAAATTTAAAAAATTGTTGTTTTGAAGTGTCATCTTCCCTTATTCTACACAACAACGAACAATTTCTCGATCAGATTGTGTGATGAAAAGTGGGCGATGACTAGCCTGGTGGTTGGACCGAAAAGAAGCTCCAAAGCACTTCCCAAAGCCAAACTTGCACTAAAAAAAAGGTCATGGTCACTGTTTCCTGGTCTGCTGCCATTCTGATCCATGACAGCTTTTTGAATCCTGGTGAAACCATTACATCTAAGACTTATGCTCAGCAAATCGATGAGATGCACCAAAAACTGCAACACCTGTAGCCGGCATTGGTCAACAGAAAGGGCCCAATTCTTCTCCATGACAACGCCTGACCACACGTCACACAATGAATGCTTCAAAAGTTGAATGAACTGGGCTACAAAGTTTTGCCTCATCCATCATATTCACCTGACCTCTCACCAACTGACTGCCACTTCCTCAAGCATCTCAACAACTTTTTGCAGGGAAAATGCTTCCACAGGCAAGGCAGGATGCAGAAAACGCTTTCCAAGAGTTCGTAGAATTCCAAAGCATGGATTTTTATACTACAGGAATAAAAAAACTTAATTATCATTGGCAAAAATGTGTTGATTGTAATGGTTTCTATTTTTATTCATAAAGATGTGTTTGAGCCTAGTTATAATGACTTAAAATTCATGGTCTGAAACCATAATTACTTTTACACCAACCTAATATGTTAGGAACAAAATAAGAAAGGTTAAAAGAAATATGCTTATTTTTCTTTATTATTATAGCCATAATCTTTTTAAAGTCAAATATATTTTATGTAGTTAAGAATTAGAAATTAAAAATAAAAATATTTAGCAATAGAAAATAATCATTAAATATAAAAAATATATCTAATTTTCTCGACACTAAATCCTAGTTCTTTCTTGCATACATAAGACTTCATAACCCAAAAAATGTGACCAGACTGTACGGTTAAAAAGGTGGACAAGGCTGTAATGTGAGTATGCCAGACTGAGTCCCAGTTATAGCTTTCTCAACATTTTAGGGATGCTAAATGCAGTTCAATGCATTACTTATAACCTAATATAAATGTGGTGGGACCCATTAGCTGAAATGGCCACACTTTTGAGACAGACTGAAATTGACTAGACATTTGCTACAAATATGAAAATAAGTATTTCTAAATCACACAAACTATAATTCCCTACAAAATAAAATTGTCAGTTGTTTATAATGCATTCTTAATACACTTAGGTGCTGATAACTTGTTCTCACCCATACACTAATCATTAGATAACCTCTGAGAGACTTGAGGATGATCTGTTCAAGCTATCATTCTATCTCCAGAATATAAACGCCAAATAACATTTCAAATCTGAGTTTCAAAATCTTTTTTTTGAGACAATCTCACCCTGTTGCCCATGCTGGAGTGCAGTGGTGTGATCTCTGCTCACTGCAACCTCTGCCTCCCTGGTTCAAGTGACTCTCCCGCCTCAGCCTCCCAAGTAGGCGCATGCCACCACGCCTGGATAATATTTTCTATTGTTTTAGTAGAGGCGGGGTTTCACCATGTTGCTCAGGCTGGTCTTGGACTCCTGACCTCAAGTGATCCACCCGCCTTGGCCTCCCAAAGTGGTGGGATTACAGGCGTGAGTCACTGCACCTGGCCTGAGTTTCAAAATCTTGATTAAATCTTTTCAGTAGGTCCTCTCCAACAAGCAGTCATTGTGGAAATCATGTTTCTAGCTTGCAAATTCCTCTCTCTGAAGAAATATTTCCCAGCCAGAAGATTAGTGAACATCATAACTCCCTAACAATCCTATCTTGTCTTTTCCTAATCTAGCTTAATTATTAGTAAAATAAGCTTTACTCCAAGAAGTTTTTACTTATATTCTGGGGCTAATCATAGTTACATAGATAAATAATTTGTTTAAGCTAAGATGCTGACTGAAGATCACACAAAGCAATAGAATTTAAGCACCATGAAAGTTTCTTGAGAAAGGGCCTGTCCATCTTATTCTATCCAATATTACAAACAAGCATCTGGCAGATAGCAGCAGTAAAAACATTTTTAAAAAAATTAATTGTTTAATAAATGAAACCCAAGGTATTTATTTATTTATTTTTTGAGACGGAGTCTCGCTCTGTTGCCCAGGCTCGAGTACAGTGGCGTGATCTTGGCTCATTGCAACCTCCACCTCCTGGGTACAAGTGATTCTCCTGCCTCAGCCTCCCGCATAGCTGGGACTACAGGCAAGCGCCTCCTTGCCCGGCTAATTTTTTGTATTTTTAGTAGAGATGGGGTTTCACCATGTTGGCCAGGCTGGTCTCAAACTCTTGACCTCAGGTGATCCACCTGCCTCGGCCTCCCAAAGTGCTGGAATTAAAGGCGTGAGCCACCGCGCCCAGCTGAAACCCAAGTTATAAAGCACTAGATTTCAAAGAACTGGTATGTAATTAAACACTTTTTCAAAAATGTGAAAAATGACCAGGTGCAGTGGCTCACACCTGTAAAGCCAGCACTTTGGGAGGCCGAGGTGGGTGGGTCACTTGAGGTCAGGAGTTCAAGACCAGCCTGGCCAACATGACGAAACCCTGTCTCCACTAAATATACAAAAAAAAATTAGCCAACCATGGTGGTGTATGCTTGTAGTTCTAGGTAGTTGAGTGGCTGAGCCGGGAGAATTGCTTGAACCCGGGAGACGGAGGTTGCAGTGAGCCAAGATCACACCATTGCACTCCAGCCTGGGCAATAGAGCGAGACTCCGTCTAAAAAAAAAAAAAAAAAAAGAGTAAAAAACAAATCATAACTCAATGTTTAAGAAAAATAAATTACTTCATATTTAGATTTGTTTTCTAAGTTACATAATATATGGCTTCAAAAATAATCCCTTTTGCTGCATTGAACTGGGAACATAGTTATAAAGTCTCTATTTCTTACTAATAAAGTATGTTGTAATATTTTACAATCATGGTTTGAGAAGAAAAAATGATAATCTAATACAACAAATTTAAAACAAAACAACTGAAAATATATTATTAAACATTAATAGTTTAGGGTGCTTCTAGGATTAGTGTTGCCTATCTTCAATAACTAGATGGACTAATGCTTATGTTACACCTGTGTTAAACTATAGGTACAGATCTCATTTTGACTTGAAATAGTCTCTATAAATTAGCCAGGCATGGTGGCACATGCCTGTAATCCCAGCTACTTGGGAGGCTGAGGCAGGAGAATCACTTGAACCCGGGAGGCAGAGGTTGCGGTGAGCTGAGATCGCGCCACTGCTCTCCAGCCTGGGTGACAGAGCGAGACTCCGTCTCAAAAAAAAAAAAAAAAAAAAAAGTCTCTATAAGATTTCTACAAATTTCTCTGTAAAATTTCTATAAATTTCATCATACCTTCAAATTACTTAGAGAATATCTAATATCTAGCGCTTTATACTTTTAAGGAAACTGCTTCACATATGTGTGTCCATCATTTGGGCCACATAAACTTCAAAGACAATAAAAAATTAGTTAGCAACCATCATTTATATCATACTTGGTAGTTTATAAAATACATTTCAATTTGGTTTTTATTACAACTCTGAAATAGGTAACAGAGGGATTATTATTTCCAGTTTACAATATTAAGAGCTGTAAGCCAGTGAGTGGCATAGCTATGGCTTAAAGTCAAGTTTTCTAAAAAACATGCTCTTCTATTTAAGACTTTCTACTATACCATCTATATTCCTTTCCTCCCTTATTTGGCAATATAGATAATTAATGATAAATAACAATTTTCTCAATCCATACAAGGAAGCATCTCCAAAAAATTAGGTGACTGGACAGGGATATACAGAGAGCTACTTGGCTACCTGGATTAAAATAGAAGCAGGGTATTTTTTATTCTCAGTGCACTTAAAAAATATATACTAATTCATAAGCTGTCTCTGCAAATAGTTTGGAGAAATGTATGGCCTTATTAATCTCTATCTAAACTAGGGTCTCTTGACTTATTCCCTATCTCAGGCTGTTTATTTCTTCATAATTCTTATTATGTCTGTAGTTATTTATTTTCTGTTGGTCCCCTAAAATGTAAGTTCCACAAATACAGAAGCTTCTTCTGTACACTTCATTACTGGGTTCCCGAAATCTAGTATAGTACCTCATACACAGTAGAATATATGTTGGATAAATGATAAAAGATAAATTTTAAAATTTCAAAATTTAGTAAATTAGTTATTCTTAGAGGATGAAAGCCAGGTTAATATTGGTAAAGGCCACTTCATCAAATAAATACTTTGTCGTCCTATTCAAAGGACTATTAAATTTATGGAAAAAGAGGCCAGAAGCCAAAATTTTAAGTTACTATATAGTCAAATATACATCTTAAGGTCAAAATCATTTTTCCTTTACTATATCGATTTTCTATAGGAATTATAACCAAGACTTGATTTTAGCACCATAGGGAAACTGTTATAATTATAATAATCACTTTCTCCCTGCAGGACTATTTGCTAGTCTACTTGTTATTAAAACAATAAGAAAATGTAATGTAAGTACTGCCAATAAAGATTTTGTGCATTAAAAATTGTTTTCACAGAAACATAACAGTTGAATAAATAACTAGAAAAAAAGCAAACTTTCACTTTTTCCTATTAGAAACTGAATTTGATTTCAAATAGATGAGTCCACTTAAAATTCTTTATATTGTAATTTTTTTAAAGTTAAAAATATACCAATTTTACATCATTATATATACAAAATAACTGTTAAAGTAGCCATAAATCTCCTAAACATCATCAGAATTTAGAAAGAAAAATTGAAAACTCCCAAATGACAATTTAGTAGAACTTTAGCTTTTTCCACTTTCATCCCCTGCCCTACAATGAGAAAAAGAATGCAAGTATATGAATGTCTTCTCATAAAATTGAAATCGCATGTTGAAGAAGTAGGTTAACAATAACATGTTATAAAATTTTAAAACTTTAAAGCAATTACCAGTCATAAAGCTTATTTCTGAAAATATCTCCTAAAAACAAAATGTCACTTATGTTTGCAGAGTACTTTTACAGTTATTATGAAAAGTCCAAAGTATCTTAATATGAGTTAGGACCAAAATTATCCTATATTACATTAAAGAAACCAAGTCATCAAGCAAACAGATTAATAAGTTACATTCCCTTTTCTTACACATCCTTAAATGGCAAGTATAAAAACAAACAAACAAAAAACCCCCAAGAAACCCTCAATACCTTGCTACACAGAGAAGAAATCTGCTCCAACAGCAACACAGAATTCTGTTTGGTACTGTTTGTCAATCCTCTGTACTAAGGAGTTAAAGAAATGATGTAATGGTACCCATGAAACAATGTACTCCTTAAAATAAGTTTCATTATTTCAATTCTTCCACAGTTGCTTAAATTCATCTATTAAAAAATTTAACTGTAGCAGTTAACAATTACGCCTTTCCCTAAGGATAAGTATTTTTCCAATTATTTGTTTGATTCTGAAAATATGCTAAGAAACAGTGCTACTATATAGAGCATTACTATAAACTATAAGAACAAGAAATTTATAAAAACTGTAGCTCCTAAATAAAAATTCAAAAACACTATGCTAGTGTTTCATTTCCAGCCAATAACAATTTCTTTTTATATAAAATGTTCTGTTCTTAGGTGTATTTCTAAACATGCTTATATATTTTTAAAAGAGAGTTTAAAATATGTTGAATATATTTGCAGATACATGTGATACCATTTATATTTACTTAAATACATAAAATGATACATCAGCTGACTGATTCTTAGGTTTCTTCATGCTGATGGCAGGAGAAACATTTAAACATTTTTTAAGTTTATAAATTACTTGTTTTATTTTCCACAGATTCCTAACATTTCTCCCTCCTCTCTACACCATATACCAGGAAGTCCTCTGCCTATTCTAAAAGCATAAATACAGTATTTGAGGGAAGATTTTTTTTTTCAAGTTGTAGAACTTTTCTTAACATAATGGTAGCAAAAAGTATACTGAATATTATGTAAAAACACGGCCAAACATCTAAGTGTTGGGTGGTACCATGAAAACAGTTTACAGTGCACTTTGCAAACCTTTTTAATGCAGCAACTTTTTGCAAGTGACATTTTATATGGAAACCCAATATTTAGGGTAGAACAGGTGCTGCTCTGGTTGCAGTAGGAGGGGGCCAAGAGCCATGCCCACTCAACTTATCTTTCAATCCCATTATCTGAAGAACTCAGTCCTCGACTTTCCTTGGAAGATAGTTTGAAAACCATTGGTCTAAGACAAGAATCTAATATAAGATAAAAACATCAAATAGCTTCTGACCTACAAGCTGCTAACAGATGAGGACAGAGAAAAGAAGTATTAATAATAGATTATATCTGAAAGTAACGTCTAGTTATACTGCCAGGTAGCATGCTGGCTAAATGGTTCTCAACAGTAATGTATAATGGATAAAAAATTTTTTAAACTACCTATTATGCTTTTTACTACAATGTACATTACCACTCCAACTACCCGAACCTGAATTCCTTTTCCTCTGCGAAAATGGCTCACCTCATGTTATCTCAACTAGTGACACCAGTTTCAACATAGGGAATCAACTACACTCTCTGGCCTTCTCACTTTCTCCGCATGTAATAAATAAATCATAATACCGTGTTGATTTTACATCTTTAACACATCGTGTACTTTTCCTGGCTCTCCATTCCAAATGCCACTTGTTTAGTTCGAGCTTTGCTCAGGTTTCCAAAATCCTACCAGCATGATCTAAAATTTACTTTTCATTAAGCTATGTCTGGCTTATAATCCTTGTATGATTCCTCATTATCTTTAGGATAGAATTTAACCCCAATCATGATACGTAAGGTCTTTTAGGACCTGATTAATCTGAAAAGGCTCTCCAATCTGATCACTTAGCAACTGCCCTCAACACCCCCAAGCCAAAAAACCACTACTCTTTAATGATTCTAGACTACAAACAGTTCTCAGCTGGGTAACGTTCTCCTACACCTTTGTATATGTTATCTTTTCTGCAGCAAAGAACTTTCAATAAGAAAATAATGAGTATTTTGATTTAGGCTGACATAATCCAAAGTCATTCATCTGACAATATTGAGTGCTTACTCTATGCTATGATATATTGCAGTTACAGACTTCTTCAGCAGAAACATATTGAGTAAAACACAGAAGTCATGGAGATGTATTCCTGGATTTCAGGAAAAGGGAAATTATTTCCAAAAAGCATTAAAACTATAAAAAATAATAGTAAAGTTAACAAAAGCACATAAAATATATACGTGGTGGTGTCTGGGCAGTGGGTGGGAAGGACAAAGTTGCAGTTAATGCTAGGCTAGGTGTGAGAGTAGATCAGTCCTGTGCTCAAGCAGAGAACATTATAATTGCATTAAAGAAGCAAGGCTCAATCACTTCTGTATTATTTCCATAGCCCTATCCATAGAAAAGTCTCAACAATACTGAACAAAAATAAAGATGCTTGCATAGGGAGGAAGATTTCTGATAAAATAGGTATAGGATCCAGGTGGTGGGAAAAGCAAGAACTTCCTTCCCCAGCAACTCCAAAAATAAGGAGTCCAGCAGCCTACTTGAACATCAACATTAAAACAGTGAATATAATGAAAAAGATATACCTAACATGTATATTTACCTGACAATACCAGAACATTCTACCTGACACAGAAAATGTAATCTAAAATGAACATGTAAATGAAAGGATACAACTCAAATTCAATATCCGACATATAGCAGGAGGGTAGATCTGATAATTTTATCATCTGCACAAATTCTAAAGCAGGGCCATAATAATGGAAAACCTAGAAAAGAAATTAAAATTGTGTAATATTTAAATACCATAAACAAAAGTAAACAAATTAGTGATTAAGGGTTTAAAACTTTAAAATGGATCTTAAAAAGCAACTTTTTACACATTAAGCATGCCTAGCATTTAATCCTCTATAGCAGACCAGAATTTCTTCAATTTCAATTCTACCTTTCAGGGTACAGAAACAGACATGGAGATCACTTAGTAACCAGGAAGAGCTTTCACAGGAGAAAATAAGTATGGGAAGAGGTAAGCAACAGAGGACAAGCGTTCTCAACTTTTGCTGTTTATCTTCAACGAGACAGACAGGTGATACAATAGGCTATAGTGTTGAAGAAACAAATTAGCAACCTACCTCTGCAGGTGGAATCTGCAGACTAAAAAAGTGAAAGAAAAGACACTCCAGGATGAACTTAGGCTGAGTGGTACACTGACATTTAGAAAAAAAAAATTCTAGTGAAAAGACTAAATAAATTACAGAGAGAGATAGTGAAGCCAGCATGTGCTAATTAACATAGAAAGCTCCATTCAGAAAAAATAAAATTTCGGTACTGTATTTCTTGGGTAAAGCCTAAAACCAAATTAGAGTTTGTTACTGAAGGGAGGCTATTTCAGTAGTTGGAGCCACGGTGCTTCACATGAAAGGCAAAGAAAAGAGCACACTTCTTGAAGAGGTTACACAAAGTTTTAGACTTGTAAAAAGCAGAGTAATTTCACCATACATGATTAAGTGTATATATATCTATAATCATAAACATATGTGTTTATACAGTGTGTGTGTCTATACATATACAGAGAGAGAATATGAATTTTACATTATTGAAGAAGTTGTACCCTAAGATTCTCTTCAACAGTAGCAAAAATTTGGACACATTATTCATACTTGAAGAAAAGTTGAGGTCATGAATCTTACGATTCTAATTTTTAGAAAAGAATTTAATATTCCTGTGAAAGATGGCCATAGTAAGTTACTTAAAGTAAGCAATTCTAAACAAATATTGAGAAATGAGTTCAAATCAAATGATACCCTCTTTTTGTACCACCCTTTGATTAGAAAATATTAACCATCAATTTGACATCCTTTAACTTCATGCCCACTGTTTTCCATGTTCTTAAATTAGTTCTTTTAAAGTGAATTCTAAGGTACCTTCATATAAATATCTCTTCTTAGGTTATTTTTCCAATGTTAAAAAGCCAACTAAGCCTTTTCCTAGTTATTATATTTTATAATTACTTGCATTTTAAGAATAAATGTATAGGAGATACAGGGCAAGAACTGATACTTCTTACACTATAAGTTAAGCATATGTCAGGTACTATGTCACATATTAAACTCTCACCTCATTTAATCCTCATAACTTTGTAAGATAAGTGTGTTACTATTGCCTCCACTTCACAAATGAGTTAATCAATCTACCCAAGGTTATAAACAACTTATAGGTGACACAGTTAGGTTCCAAACCCAGGTTTACCTAACATCAAAACATATCCTCTTTTCTCTATGTCATATTCTCTCCAAACTGAGTCTTAGAAAGGTCACATAGTAAAGTCCAAACCAAAGGTGGTTTCAGGACTATACACATTTAGTAGCATTACATTTTTTTAAACATCTAAAACAATGACACTTTCACCAAAATTTAATGTTGATGACATAGTATAACTTAAGTACTTAATTATATTAAAAATTATGCTAGTGAGCACACTTAAGCACATATATTAGTAATATTAAGTCAAGATTCAAACATATTTTATAGGAACAAAAATACACATGAATGATCACACAAAAAAATTAAACACGATTACCTTTGGCAAAATATTCTTATCCTTTGATGGTATGATCTTTTTGGCAAGGAAGTCAGTATTTAAATTAGAAGTACTAAAATTCTTAAGTGTGACTCCCTTTAAACAAAATTCAGGAAAACTAATTTCAAATCCAAACTGAAAAGAGACCAAGAAAACACAGTTACAAGTATCATGAATAATGCTATAAAGATTAATACATCTTATTACAATGTAAAAGTTGAGGGGAAATCCATGTATAAATTTATTTTTGATTCCTCAGCTCAAAAGTGTGCTTCTCACATTTAGGTACACATCCTGTTTTAACTTAGACATCAATTTTTCAGGTTTTCATGAAAAGCTCTCGTTGGTCCTTCACCAGCTGGCAAGAGTATGTTAAGCTCATTCTATGCAGCCACAGGACCAAACAACCTCTTTTGCATTGTTCAATATCTGGCTTCCTACCAGTCTGTAAGTTATGCAAAGACAGAAGCTGTCTGTCTTGTTCCTTTTTTTTTTTTTTTTTGGCTTTGAGATGGAGTTTCACTCTTGTGGCCCAGGCTGGAGTGCAGTGGCGCAATCTTGCCTAACTGCAATCTCCACCTCCTGGGTTCAAGTGATTCTCCTGCCTCAGCCTCCTGAGTAGTTGGGATTACAGGGACCTGCCACCATGCCCAGCTAATTTTTTGTATTTTTAGTAGAGATGGGGTTTTACCATGTTGGCCAGGCTGGTCTTGAACTCCTGACCTCGGGTGATCCACCTGCCTCAGCCTCCCAAAGTGCTGGGATTACAGGTGTGAGCCACCGCACCTGGCTCTATCTTATTCTTTACTAGATCCTTAGCACAGTGTCTCACATAGTTTGTCTTTGATAAATGTTGCTGATAAGATCAATTGCTGCAGAAGTAGTAATAGTAAGGATGCTAATAATAGTAATGGTAGGCACAACAACAGTGATAGCTAATGCTTACTGAGTGGTTACTCTGTGCTTTAAATAATTTAATTCTCACAAAAATCTATGCGATAGGAACTATTATCATCATCTTACAGATGAAGACAACTGCAGCACCAAGAGGCTAAGTGTTGCACAACATGCTACGTTAAACTAGAAAGAAAAAAGAGTTGGGATTTGATTGTAGGCAATATAACTCTAGAATCTATGTCCTTAATCACCATGATGCCTCTTGACTAAAAAGCTGTTCTCTACCAAAAAAAGTGATTTCAAGTTTTAAATGCATCCAGTGGAGATACGAACATTTAATTTCCTATTCAAGAGAATAAAAGAATCACATGAAAAGAACTCTGCCATTATCTCTCTGTATGTAAGCATGCAGTTTCAGAAAACATACAAAAGCAATTCTAGCAAACTGTATCTTCCACTCTTCCACTTGGCTATGTGGGGTTTTTTTGGGTTTTTTTTTTTTTTCTTGAGACGGAGTCTCACTCTGTCACGCAGGCTGGAGTGCAGTGGCGCGATCTCAGCTCACTGAAACCTCCGCCTCCCGGGTTCACACCATTCTCCTGCCTCATTCTCCTGCCTCAAGAGTCCCAGCCTCTTGAGTAGCTGGGACTACAGGCACCTGCCACCACGCCCGGCTAATTTTTTACATTTTTAGTAGAGACGAGGTTTTACCGTGTTAGCCAGGATGGTCTCGATCTCCTGACCTCGTGATCTGCCCGCCTTGGCCTCCCAAAGTGCTGAGATTATAGGCGTGAGCCACCCACTGCGCCCAGCCTATGTGGGATTTCTTTATACTAAAACATTTGCAGAGAAAGTTCACCTGCAGATTTAACCTGTCTGAGATTAGGATGAGCAAACATGCAAATCAACAAGACAAATCCAGCCACATTGATTCCTGTTGTCTAATCAGAGATTTTATTAAACCATTATTAAGGGTGAATTAAAAAGGAAGAAAAATTTCTAGTAACTAGTGTAACAAAACTTTAGAGGAACTCAAAAGTCTACTCATGCTCCCATGCTACCCTAAATAAACATTAAGAAACTTTCTTAGTTTAGTTTTGCCTATCTACAAAAATACATAAATTACTATGAACACTTATTTCAAAATGGACATAACTTACAAAACCCACAAACATTCTTTCATAGTAAGAGACGTCAAAATGAAATAGAAATTTCATAGAAATTCAGGATTAGAAGAGTCCACCTAATACAACATTCTCATCTTATAATTGAGAAATCTGGGGTCCAGTAAGGTTAAAAAAATTTGTTCAAAATCTGAGGGCTGGTTAATAAACAGCAAAGATCACCTAAGGTAGTATTATGGGAAGACAATATGCTCTAAGTAGTTTTTTCTAGTAGTTTACACATGCAATAAAATAAAGCAGTTTGGATAAACAACATGAACTCGATTAAAAATTCTATATTTTAAAAGAACATTACATTCTGGAAACAGCACTTGAATATAATCACATTATTATGTGATTAAATTAAAGTTAATTAAAATCAAATAAAAATTCAGTTCATTGGTGGAACTACTCACATATAAAGTGCTCAGTAGCAATAAGTGGTTTGTAGGCTAGTGTATTAGCACAGATATAGAACATTTAATTATTGCAGAAAGTTCTACTTAGTGCTATTCTAGAATATCTTTATAAGGTACATTTTCATTAAGATTTATTTAAATATCTGTGTTGTAAATAAAATTGAAAGGCCTACTTGGCAAACTGTGAATAATCCATTTACCTTTCTTTCCCATATCTGTATTTTCCCCCTCCATAATTCCTTTGAGTCAATAACATTTCTGAGATCTTCTAAAGATACAACATTAGCAGAAAGGTATTCTGCAATTTTCTGACAGTTTCTATAAAAAAAAGATTACAACAATTAAACACAGGGTTTTATATTTCACTGATTTAATCATTATAGTTAACTACAAGCCTAAGAGGCAAAATTGCAAAATTTATATTGCTGTATTTTTCCTATTAATATGAAACACCCATTAAGTCAGTCTCTAAGTGCATTGCTGACACATGTTCATTTAGTCCCAACATCCTCACAAATTTAGAGTAATTATCTTTAGTACTAAGGATGAAGAAATAGACTTTCCTCTTACTATTGGCTTAAAGGTGTCAGATGTACATAAACACACACACAGGCACAATGTCACTTCCTTATCTTCAAAAAGAGAACTGCTCTCCTATATTGTTCCCATACATCTTTGCATGGAATTCTGTAACGCACTTACCACAGACTTTCTTGACTGTTAGCATTCCTGTTTCTCCCTGCACTTCAATGAAAAAGATCATGTCTTCTCACTTTCTTAACTTACAAGCATCTATTGCTATGCTTGCCATAAAGGTATTGCTCAATAAACATTCGTTGAATGAAAACAAATCATGAAGTTATTAAATCCAACTGAATGTTTAAGGATCAAAATTGTAATATACAATTAATCCTTGCTAGAATATCATAAAACACAACAGTGTATATTTATTCCTACATTGGCACATAACAGAAAACCAAATACAACATGACAAATCCAGTGTATCTATGTTCAAAAGCACACAGTGTGCTTATAGAATTAATCCTCAATAATGGTTGTAAAACAGCATCAATAATATTTACTAAAAACTTAAATATCTCAGAAACATAAATATAAAATATGAAACATCTAGATTCTTCTCAATACACAAATTTGCAATCATGGTATAACATAGAATTTTATGTTGTCATATTAAAATAATTTTCAAACGCTGAGTCTGAAAAGAGAATAGTATGTTAATTGTGAAAACAGACAAGGCAGACAATAATCAAATATGAACAAAGAAGCTTACATTTCACAATGATTTCCTGCTATAGTGATCTTTGCTGAATACCATTCTCTCAAATGTTTTAATGCTCCTACAGTAGGTAAATAGTCTTTCAATTTAGGAGGATCTTTGTCAGAAAGCAACAGTATTATATCTACCATTGCTCTACCTAGAAAGAGAAAAAGGCATTTTTGTAATTTTTAAAAAGTTAGATCTGAAATGTCTCAAAATAGTACCCTGAAGAACTGAATTTTATGTTTATTTAGAAAAATTAGTTTTATATTTATTTAGAAGACAAAGGAAGCTTTTAGTTTTAATTTCTGAAATTCTCCAAAACAATATACGCCCTTAGGAATTCAAACTTTTTAAATGTTCATCATTTATTGAAAGCCATGTTATCTTGAAATAGCTAGCATATACTAGAAAACAATAAACTATATCATAATTACTTGCCAATTCTGCAGCAGTGGTTAATTACACACATCACTCTCATGATCATCAATGCTATTGTACTCAACAGAGAAAAAAAAAACCTGTGCAATTTCATTATATTTTTCTAAACATAATTTTGTTATCCAAAAGAGAATGAATAAGTGCAAAACTGTAATGTTCAAATAAATGATGTCTCTTTTATAAAGGACAATAAAACACTCTGAAAACCAATTATACTGACATCATCATTGGATCCTGAGAAAAAATAACTTCACAAAACTTTAAATTTTATAAAATTATACATTTCCTGAAGGACTACAAAAATCAAAATGAAACAAACTGGAGATAAATTTGATAATGAAAGTATTCTAATTTGCCAAAACAACTATGTAATATTTCAGTGCATACTTTGACCTCAACACATTTCATTTTAAAAGTTGATACGTTTGTCAACTCATTCAGTTATTTTTCTATGTGGGGCTTTTTGTACTAATATATGATCTCCTTGAATATAGAGATCTGGCTGACTATAAGCTAAAAGCTCCTTTATGTTAATCACAGATGCTTTATTCATCATGGTACACTTGGCTCCTAGTACAAATATTTACTTACTAATGACCTTCAATAAAGCATTCAGAAAAGAATACTCTTCAAAGTATTTGCGGATACCAACTGTACCAAATATTAGATGACAGCTACTTGATTAACACAAAGGAAAAAAGAAAAAAACCAGTTTTAGGAATATTATGATACAGTATGTCACAGGTATTCTTTCCACTATGGGGAAAAAAATAGGTTCTATAAAAAAATGCTGAGGAAACACTTTCTTTTATGGTATGACATTCCATTTGACAATGCATATAGTAACTTCACCATAAAAGAATGTTATCCAAATCATCAAGGCTAAATAATCTCCTTTTTAAAGAGCTGTTTATAGGATTAGTCTTCTATAGAACATACTCTGAAAAGCAACAGTCTGTAGCAGGAAGATTCTTCTTCAGCAATAACTAAAGAAACAGAGATAGTTATTTAATGTCCAAAGTTCTAATTTTTGCCTAACTAAATGAAAACAATGAAAAGAACTGCTACATCTCGGTAATGTACTCCCATGGATACATTCTGTATCAACTTCAATTAAAAATTGTTTTGCATTTTTTAATTTAAAGATTAGAGTGAGAACACTAACATAAAGAACAAATTTATCATTTATTCATAAAGTGTAATAAGATAAGATACAAATTATTGAAAGCAGTCATAAAATATTACCAGGAGCAGGAAGCTTGTCTGACAGCTGATGCAAATTTTCTGCAGCTTCTTCATAGAGACTAAAATAAAAGGGTAAGTTAGGGAAAGAAAACCCCATAAATATATTTATATATAATCATAATAGGTAATATTAACTAAAAAGATTGTTGTACAGACACTGTTAAACATGTTAGATGTATAATCTCATTTGATCTTTATGACAATTCCAGGAGGTACTACTATAATACTATTATCTCAACTGTAAATAACTTCCCTAAAGTTACATAATTAGTATGTATGGAAGCTAGGATTCAAACCCTGAGTACAAGTTCTTACCCACACCCCAAAAACAATCAAAAAAAAGGAAATAAAACTCCCTAAATTATAACTAGCATATTAAATATAAATCATAACTAACAGACCAAACTTTTTTTGGAACCTTTTATTTATTTATTTATTTTTGGTTTTTGGGTTTCTTTTGAGACAGGGTCTGACTCTGTCACGCAGGCTGGAGTGCAGTGGCATGATCACAGCTCACTGCAGCCTCAATCCCCCAGGTTCAGGAGGTCCTCCCACCTCAGCCTCCTGCATAGCTGGGATAGCTGGGACTACAAGCACACACCACCATGCCTGGCTAATGTAGAGACGGGGTTCTGCCATGTTGCCCAAGCTGGTCTCAAACTCCTGGGCTCAGGTTATCCGTCTGCCTCAGCCTCCCAAAGTGCTGGCATTACAGGCATGAGCCACTGCACCCAGCCATTTTTCTGAATCTTAAAAGTAAGAAAATGCTAAGTGTTTAATAAAAAAGGACATGATTTTTCTCTGAATGGTATTTAACAGTCTTGACTAAAGAATATGACGCCCTCTTCAGATTCTTCAAAACTTATTAGTTTTATCTATATGATGCAATTTTTTTCTCAAAAAAGTTTATTATATAGCATAAAGGTACTTAAATCCTTTACTATAAACCCACCGTCTTAGAAACTTAAGGCATCTTATGTAAACTCTAGTTTTCAGGCTCCCCCTTGTGGAAATAATTATTAGGTCACTTATCAGAAACTTTTATACTTGCCTTTTCTTTTTTTTTTTTTTTTTTTGAGACGGAGTGTTGCTCTGTCGCTCAGGCTGGAGTACAGTGGCAGAATCTCAGCTCACTGCAACCTCCGCCTCCCGGGTTCAAGCAATTCTCCAGCCTCAGGCTCCCGAGTAGCTGAGATTACAGACACCTGCCACCACGCCCGGCTAATTTTTTCTATTTTCAGTAGAAAAGGGGTTTCACCATGTTAGCCAGGCTGGTCTTGAACTCCTGACCTTGTGACCCACCCGCCTCGGCCTCCCAAAGTGCTGGGATTACAGGCGTGAGCCACTGTGCCTGGCTATACTTGTCTTTAACAGTGGTAGGAAAACATATGGGATGATAAGAGTTTTTAAGGGTAAATGAAAGCACCTAAGAAATTATCTAAAAGTACTTCAATACTTTATGGATGAGAAAACAAACGACCAGAGAAGTTACGTGACTGGCCTAAGATTGTGTAAATAAAGTCTACCTCTACTAATCCCTGGTTCAATGATATTTCTCTGGTTTGGAAAGGTCTCCTTTTATTAATCAGTACAAACAAATATGATCTGGAAAAAGGAAAATGAAAATTTTTAAGTCTACAGCTACTTACAGATATAATATGTGAATACTAAAATAAGAGCAGTTTTGTCATGAAATGTTATGAAAGACTAAAATAAAAGGTATTAACTATAAGAGGTGGGATATTTCATCAAGAGAAAAATTATTATCACAACTTATGTCACCTGGATCAACTTACATATTGTACCACAATTGAAAAAAACCTAAAAGTGAACTCAATCATGTACATATAATCCTCACAAACTCTATGGATTTTAAAAGGTACCTGAAATGCTGCAAATACACATAAATTAAAGAAGTCACATATTTCAGCCTCAAATAGCAAAATGAAAATGATACTTTGGTATGAATGCTAGCTATTAACATTAAATAACATTTCTATTCAAGCTTTTAAAATACATTATTGGCCAGGCACGGTGGCTCACAGCTGTACTCCCAGCAGTTTGGGAGGCCAAGGCAGGCAGATTGCTTGAGCTCAGGAATTCGAGGTCAGCCTGAACAACATGGCGAAATGATATTTCTACAAAAAAAAATACAAAAATTAGCTGGGTGTGGTGGTGCACACCTGTAGTTCCAGCTACTCTGGAAGCTGAGGTCGGAGGATCGCTTGAGCCCAGGTCTAGGCTGTAGCAAGCCGTGACTGCACCACTGCACTGCAGCCTGGGTGACACAGCAAGACCCTGTTTCAAAAATAAAATAAAATATTAGGCAGAATTTATCTTCAAGAAAGGAACATGTTTATTAAAATATCACTTTTTATGATTCTTGACATTATGTAAGCTTAAGAAACATGCATTTTAAAGAATTTTATTCAAATAAAAGGCCCAAATTGAGAGTCAAAAATTTCAATTAACTAGAGTTTCTTCAGTAAAGATGCTAAAATATATAATCTTCATTCTCATGGATTAAAATAACTGTCTAATATTAAGTATTTTAATGATAATACAAAAACCATATAAGCATACTCAGCCAAGGATAATGATTCCCTGCTATTACTGTCTTCTTCTTCAAAACACTCAACAGCACCCAAACATTCTTCGATATTCGTTTGAAGAACATCTTCAATTTTATCTTTTTCTGTATCAAAATGTATCTCTTGCCAATCAGAACTACAAAACTAACAAATCAAAAGATTGTATTAAATAATGGATCATGAAATTATTTATATTAGTAAAGACATTCATTAGTAGCTATCTTTAAATTTATATTACCTGATAAAATCCATATATTGCCTGCACTGCAAAGAACCACTTCTTGGAACCAGGTATACCTCCCACTGAACAGGCTTGAAAATAAAACCACATTATTATTAAAAAGGCATACCATAAATAAGCAGATGACACAGCATATATACCGTACTTACAGACCATAACTTTTGAAACATATTACATAATTATCCAACATACATATGTGGATCTTTTAAAAATCCCTACTAAAAATTCAAATACAACAATCTACCTAAAGAGCAAAATTCTTTACTCACAATAAATACTTGCCTTTCATTTGTCACAATTCAGAATTTCGTATTATTATTTTTTATTATTTTAATCATCATTTCACACAGATTACAATCAACCATAAAGATGTTGAAAATACAGCTACTCAATTACTACTGAGTAAAGCAAAACCATGTAAGTCATTTTAGTGAAAGCAATTCCCTCTCCAAAGACTATGCAGGTTGGTTCAGCCTGACTAGAGACAGAGGCGTTAAAGAGCAAACCCAGTCTAAAGATAAGGAAGATGCTCTTCTTGGAGAATGGAGTATTATATGAGGATATAAAATTAAGGGTCACCCCAGGGTATGTGTCAAGGAGTCATAAAGAATTTAGAGCTATGTATAGAAATTAGACTCAAAACAGGAAGAAGAAAGGTAACTGAGGCTTAACTAATGGAAGGAAGCTAGGTAAGATGCTAAATTCTTATTACCACTTTCTTCCAACAATCTCAGCAGAAGACTCCTTCTGCCTTAACAAAATAGAAGCTATTAGGTAATAATCCCTGTAACATCCTCTCAGGAAAGATACAACTCAACTTGTATTGCCATTAATCTTTCCTCTTTCCTCCCCTTTAACGTGTAAGAAGCACTGTCCTTCTAATTCAATGTTATCCCCCACACCTCCTCTGAGACCACTGATTCTATTATCTAGTCCACTGATCATCTTTCCTGCATTTCAGTCTGCTCCCTTCTGTCTGTTCTTTGTCATTGCCATTTAAATACACACAAGTGTTTCTCAAAGTATTTCTTTTTTAAAAAAAGGGGTCCCTTTAAATTCATCTTCACTTCACTTTCTTAGCTCTTCCTCAAAGATAAACTTCTGAAGGTACTGTCCACACCTGACTGTCTCCATTTCCTCATCAACTTTTCCACTTCCTTCCAAATGCATTTCAATCTGTTTTTTGTCTCCAATATGCCACTGAAAGAACACTCACCAAAGTCACCAATAACTGACTTGTTACTAAATCTAGCGGTTTTTAGTTCTGTTGTTATTTGACCTCTCAGCATAAGAGAAGAATCAAAGATGACACATTTTACTACTTTCTCTTTAAAACACTTGGCTTCTGTGGCACCCATCCTTCTGGCTGCTCCTTATTCTTTTTAAAAACTGGTGTTCAGTTCTTCTAAATACTGGGATTCAGTTTGAGGCTTTCTGTTCTCCCTACTATCCGTAAGCAATCCCATCCTTTCTCATGCCTTCACCTGACATCTGTACATTGGTTCTATAATTTGTATTAATTGGTGCAAAAATAATTGGGTTTTTTTGCCATTATTTTTGCACCAACCTAATATCTCCAGCCCTCTCCTACATCTTGAGTTCCCGACACAAATATCCAACTTTTATAAAACATTTTTACTTTATTTTTACATTTTATTTTAGTAAACATGTAAAACATTTTTACATTTTTACTTCTTACTTTGCATCTTACAGGCAACTATTAACAGGTTCCAAACTGAACACGTCATATTCCCTCCAAATCTGGTTCTTTCTCACTAAATGCCACCATCATGCCATTACCCACACCAGAAACCTAATGTCATCCTTGATTCTTTTCTCATCCTTTCCTTCTTCTACATCATACCAATTCAACGCTAAGGTAGGTGAATTCTACCCCCATAATTTCCTTCAGATCTATCCACTTTCCTCCACCCTGGCTGCCTCTCCCATTCCTCATTTGGTCTTCTACAGAATCCCCCAGTACAGAAATAGCTATACTTTTCTCTAATCCATCTACTATACTGCAGGGAGAATACCTCAAAAGCACAGATCTGATCATGTCTCCTCCTTAATTAAAGCTTTTAATGGCTGCTGATTACCATTAGGAAAAAATCCAAACACCCTGACACTATTTACAAAATCCTCTAAATAGCCATGCCTACCTCTCCACCCTTATCCCAATTATAATCATATTGTACTTTCCGTCCCTCAAACTTGCCATATTACTGAAATCAATAATCCTAGTATGGCAGGAAATTCAGCGCAGGCAGTTTCCATTTGCATGGTTCTGATATGCACAAATTCCAGTTACTGTAGCTTAAACAACACCAGTTCCCCAACAACCTGGTTCAAATTTCAGTTACCATGGTATATTCACTAACTATAACTGCATAGTTTAAGACTTCATTGCAAGCTTCTCAGTCTACAAAACCACTGTATACATAAAAGATGTGTGTCATGATCAGTAACCAATCATGTTACTACTTTTAAAGTACGTCATTGATTGGTCACTGTGCAAGTGCCATTCAGTTCACACACAGGTAGCAAAGGATGTAATTGTGTTGCCTTCTGGTTTCCCAGTGTAAACCCATGTGATATTTTATAAAAATGGATAAATGGATGAGGGAATTTTTTAAAAAGAGAGAGATAAAGAAACACCAAAGAAACAAAAAGTGCTAACACTGAAAGCAATCTTCAAAGCTAATGTAAATAGAGTTCTAAAAATAGCTGCTGTGACAAACACCTTTTGATCAAAAAGGTGAAGATGTCCCAGAGAAAATGAGGCTAGCAAAAACCTTAATATTAAAGGAACTCAGAGATATTTCACAACATTGAAAGTCCAGGTCGGGCACAGTGGCTCACATCTGTAATCCCGGCACTTTGGGAGGCCAAAACAGGTGGATTACTTGAGCCCAGGTGTTCAAGACCAGCCTGGGCAACATAATGAAACCCTGTCTCTACAAAAAGTTAAAAAATTAGCCAGGTGTGGTGGCTCATGCCTATAGTCCCTGCTACTCAGGAGGCTAAGGTAGGAGGATAGTGACACTTGAGCCGGGGAGGTTGAGGCTGCAGTGAAGCATGATTGAGCCACTGGACTCCAGCCTGAGCAACAAAGTGGGACCCTGTCTCAAAAAAAGAAAAAAAAAATCGAAGAATAAAACATTGGAAGTTGATACAACTGGAATATGATAATTCGCCAATAAAAGATGTTCATTCTGTATCATAAGTTACGTGATGATGTGAAGGTGGCAAGCACTGCTCAAACTACTCTTGGTAAGGTTTTTACAAAGAAATAAAACACTTTAATTCTCAATGTACCTAAGGTTTTAAAATTACAGGGTACAAAATAAATTTTATTTTTACTATTTTTTTATTTCCATAAAATTTTATAACAGTAAGAGAATTTTTAATGTTTTGACAAAAGATATTAAAGGTCATGGGACAATTCTAATTTTTCTCATTGATTATATTAGGATTGCTTTGCACAATCAATTATAAAGAACAACACTATCATACAAAACAAGGACCGTGTGTATAAGAAACCCTAAACACGCAAGGGGGAAGTAAAATTTATCATGAGAACCCCTGGAATACTCCCAAGAGCTCTTTTACATATACATTTGAGGTACAAATCAAAGAAAATCTTTCCTGCAATAATAGTGGTATTGACTAAAATTATACCAACTTGAAAATTAATGAGTATTACTAGGCCTTGGAAAACAAGCTAGAGTAGCATACACATATTAGAAATCATTCCCCAATGGTGTTATTTGACACCGAGAGACAAGAGGTTCTCTAATGAAAGAAGAGAAAGGTGCAGATTGTACAGTCACGGGAACTACAAAATTATCAAAAGGAGCAGACCCTTCCTTGCATGGAAAGAAACTTCCTTCAGTTTTTAGGTATTGGTCTGTTTTGGCATCTCCATTTTCAGAACGTTTAAAGGACATTCTCCAGTAAAGGACAAGAAGCAGGAATAAAAGAAAAGATAACTATCAAAGTCAGTAAATGCATTTGTATAATGCCAGTAGAAGCTAAAGGAGGAAAGATTTTTACAAAGTACGGTTGGTCAAAAAAGCGAAATACTTCAAAAAGTCAAAGCAGATAAGAACTGAGAAAAGCTCATCGTGTTTAGTAATTATTAAGTACTTTTAAGAGAATCAGAACAGAAATAGGTAATTAAGAACAGAAATAAATAAATAAATAAATGGTAAGGAAATCCGTGTGGGAGCTTTACATATTTTTACTCATGATAAAATCATCCTCATAAAGCCACACTCCCCTTAGTTATACAGAACTAAGATAGGCAAGAAAATTTCATAAAAGGAGCAAAATTCAAGCTGAGAACCTAGAATAATTTTCATAACTTTACTATATTCAAGCATCTAGAAGAAAGGGGTAATTTATTTTTCAGTTTTGTACTCCCTTAGTTATCTCTGTAACTCAGTGCCTTGTACACAGTCAAGAAGTATTTCCTTGTACTCCTTAGGGTCCAAATTAATTAAGTTAATTTCCAGTACAAATGCTGTGCCAGAGAAAAGAGGAGTTTATTATACTTACCAGGGAAAGTACTATCTTCTGGATTAATTGAAGCACTAATGCTTCTTTTCAAGAGGTGATAAACATTTGCTGCTGTGAAGTCTGAAAAAGAAAAGATAGACTAACTCAAAGGGCTCTAGATTTACATAATCTAACTTAGTCCAATTTCACCATCAGAGACTCTCAAGACCAGTAGGTTGTACATAAAAGTACTAAACGCTGCTCAAGATCTGTTCAAGTTTTGATACAGAAAATCTAAAGCAATCAGAGAAAATAGAAAAGGCTCCCGATCTGTACATGCCAGTCAGTTAGCACGAATGCAAAATTCCCCTCAAAAGAATAATTTTAAAGAGAAGGGAAATTCTGTGACAATACCTTATACACAACCACATACATTTACTCCTCAAAATGCCTGTTTGATCGAAACAAATGAACACATAAAATGCAATATTGAATCTAGACGGGTGCACCAAAAAGCAGTGCAATCGCAAACAATTAAAATCATTTAAAATTCATCATTTGTTTTTAAAACTTAGGTTATATGTGGGATGTCTCCTCCCATTAGATGTAAATTGTAGGACAGCAAGATCTTTGTCCATCTTGCTCCTTTCCGTATTATTTGCATGTGAAACACAGGAGCAGAAATAATAAATGCATATATTTCCAAAAAGCAGGAAATTCCATTACTAAGGCATAGAAAATTTATTAAGTTAAACATTTACTATGCCAAGAACTTCTAAGGGCTGGAATCTTGCATCCACAAATTTGTCCCTGTTTTTCCATGAAGATGCTATTTTTGCAGCCCTCATTAACTCTATCCCAGATAGAGTCCCAGCTTCGTGGGACAACTACATATTGATCCCTCTTCAGCAGAACTTGATCACAAAACTCAAACTTCTTCCCCTCTCCACAAGCCGTTCCCGCTCTTTCTCATCCCAGCGCTTACCCGGCTGATTCTCAGTACCCTCACCCGACGACACCTCTGGCCCATGTTCTGCCTCCCTACTGGCCGCCGACGGGAATTTTCCTTCCCCCCAGATCACCAGCAGCAGGTACCGATCCATCTCCTCAGAGATCACCCCCCAACTTTAGGTCTCGGCTTCCACATCCAAACAGACGCGCGCTATGACGCATTTCCGGTTCCCTTCGTTTAGGTCGGCTGGAAATTATGTCCTCCGTCGGTTTTCCGCAGTTTTTCCACCAAGCGAGATATTTTTGGGAGTTATTCCCTAAATAACTGCATTATATGCTCCTTTCATGACGAAATTGCTGCCGTGGAGAAGACTGGAGGAAACTCGAGGAAGAGGGAGAAGCCGACAAGTGCTCGACGGGCTAGGAACTGTCCTGCTTGGGTGTTAGCGTTTCCCGCCGGGCCAGTAAGGCTGAGTGACCCGGCGTGGCTACTAGGAGAAGGACGTACGGTCCTGCTAGTAGAGGAATATGTCGAGTTTCTCTAGGGCGCCCCAGGTGAGCTCGGACTCTTATGGCTTGATGGGGTTCATTATACTGGCAGAAGGAGAGCGTTGGTTCCGGCAGATTAAGTAGTGAAGCTGGGGCGGCAGGGAAGCCGAGACCCTCGGCCAAGAGGTGACTTGGGAAAGCACAAGAGGGTCGTCAGTCTGGCAAGCACTTAATGTCGTTCGTCTGTTACTCGTCCCCTCTTCTTTTCAATCTGCCCTTTTCATGTCTTTCTTGGGGGGGCGGGGGGAAGAGGATTAGAGCAGATCGGAGAGGTAATAAGGTGGATCACATAGGGCATTGTAGGCCCTTGCAATAATTTGTTTTTTGACTGAGTAAAATGGGGACCTTTTGGAGGGTTTTGATCCACGGAGTAACAGGATCTGACCTGGTGTCAAAAGGAGCACTCTGGCTGCTGGGTCGAGAATAGACTGTTCAGAAATAGGGGTTAGTAGAGGACAGAAGCAAAGAATATGTTTGGAGGGTGTTACAGTAATCCAGGCGAGACGTGATGGTGCAGAGGCCACGCTAGAAATACTATGGAGTGTGTTGAAAGTGGTCAGGTTTTGTTTGAAGGTGGAGCCAGTAGGACTTCCTGAATATTGAGTATAGGCCAACAGCAAAAGAAGAAACAAGGATTACCCCAAGGTTTTTTGGTTTGTCCAACTGGAGGGTGTGTCATCAACTGAGATAGGGAAGGCTGAGATTGAACCAGGTTTCAGGTGGAAGAATAGGAGTTAGTTTGGGTTATATCGGTCTAAGATGACTCTCAACTCAGTGCCGCTCCAAGTATGGTTCCTTCCTTGGGCTGTTTGTTGCCTGTCTGTGATGAGATAAATACAGGAAGTAAAATAAAAATTTTAAAACCTTTTTCAGCAATCTGACATCGCCCAGCATTTGTATTTTTTTCATTAAAAATTTTTTTTTTCTAAGTATCAAACTATTAGTCTACAATGGATGGGGACAAAAACTGGCCTTTTTCTTATATGTAGACTAGTTTGAGGTTGTGATAAGTAAATTTAAAATAAGACCAGCTAGCCTCGTTCTATTTTTCCAGCATTGTTTAGCCTCTTGTGTATATGCATAGAGAAAGCATCTGGTGGAGATCTTTCTGGCCTAGAATTTTCTAAGAATTTGAATACATTGATGACGACTGTAAAAACAATGCTCTATTCCTGAGGCAACCTAAAGATACCTATTTCAGGCAACTTTTTAAAGTTGAAATTTATTCCACATCACCCATCTGTACTTTCCCAACTACATTGTTCTATTTAACTCTCCCCAGGAATTGAACTCCTGAATCGTCTTCAGTTTCCAGTTGGCCACTCAGCTTTCAATATAATGTACCTAATAATCTCTAAATGTTTTTGAAGACCTTCATAAACAGCTTCTACTTTCTTACAAGCTTCTCATTGCCCCTCCAGATTCTATTATGTGTTATACAAAAAAAAAAAAAAAAGTCATACCGTAAAGGGAAATATATCTTTGGGATATTTATAACAAAACGTAAGTCATATTGCTAACAGGAAACCAGGAAGGAATAATTACTGTGTTTGTCTTTGCAGAATGATTAGAAAAAACAACCCTTTTCCAGAAATAGAAATGAAAACAAAAATTCTTTAGCAATAGAGTTATTTTTCAAAGAAATTGTTGACATTAATTGTAGAAACGTGATGATATATGATAATAAATTTAATTACTGTATTTCCATTTTAATGATAATTATCTTTATTTTTTCCTCTTCTTTTTTTTTTTTTTCCCCCCCAAGCAATGGGCCACTTTTGCTAGAATATGGTATCTCTTAGATGGGAAAATGCAGCCACCTGGCAAACTTGCTGCTATGGCATCTATAAGACTTCAGGGATTACATAAACCTGTGTACCATGCACTGAGTAAGTATTATTTTAGACCTGTCATTAACCACTGTAGTTTTCATGCCAGAATAGAATCTTGATGAAGTTTAACAGGGCTGAGTTTAAGGGCCCTTTTTATTTTTCCTGAGGATCCTGTATTCCATTCTTGCTGAAACCATACTAGCGCCCAAAACTGAATTTGGCTTATTCACTGGAAAACCGTATGGATCAGTTTACCCGGAACAAGCCTATTTTATGCCACTGCCCAGCGAAATTATTAGTAGCCCTTCTTTTCACACTCAGAAATAACCTGATTTGCCCCATGACTTAAACTTTCACTTTTATATATGTCTTTTCACGTGATGACATCCATATAAAGAGTTTTTAAGGGAAATAATTTTGCCCTCTCTTCTAAAAAATCTTTTCCCCTAGAAAAATATATGGTGCTAGCTAGGTATGGGAAGCTTATTTTCACTAATAAGACTAATAGACTTGCTTTTCTGTATCCTTTTTCCAAAATAAAATTAAAAAGTTGTTTTCGTTCTAGAAGATTTCTGCTTACAGATAGTTTTTGATAGACTTCATTTACCCCAGCACTTCATGGCCAGATCCAGATGTCAGTTTTTAGTCCTCATACTGGTTGACTTGTCAACAGCATTTGCTGCAATTGATCACATTTTTATTTAGCTTTTATTGTGCAATATATTAAACATACAAATATGTATATATAAAAATATGTGATATTTTAAAGAAAATTAACCATAACAATTATAATGGTGAAATGAATATACTCAGCATTGGTTTGTTTCCAATTTTTTTGGCATTATGTTATATTACATTAATGTTGCTATCAATATTCTTGTGCCATTTTCTTAGCACACATGGAAGAATTTTTCCAAGGTATGCCCAAAAGACAGGAATTACTGGGTTTTAAGGTGCATAGCAACTATTGAGTCTTTATCATGCCAGTAGCATGCAAGAGTTTCCATTACTCCTCATCTTCAATAACACTTGATATGTTCGTTCTTTTTAGTTTTGACTATTCTGGTAGAAATAAAATGCTTGCTTTGTGATTTCAATTTGCATTTTCTCGATGACAAATATGGCTGGCTGAGTATCTTACCACTTATTGGCCTTTACAGCTTCCTGTCCTGTGAAATGTCTGTGCATGTCTTTTGTCAATTCTTCACTGAGTTGTTTGTCCTTTGCTTTTTTCTTACTTTTATTACAAAAGGTTTCAAACTATCAGAAAAGGTCAAAGAATAGTACAATGAATTTCTTTATACTCTCCACCTAAATACAGTTAACATTTTATCATATATTTTTTATTCAACCATTTGAAAATAAGCTGCAGATGCCATTATAATTCCCCCAAAGTACTTCAGCATGCATCTCCTAAAAATAAAGATACTCTCTATGTAACCAGAATGCCATTGACACACGTAAGAAAAGAAACAGTACTTTATTTAGATGGTCTCATGTTCAGTGCATTTTTAAATTTCTTTGGTTTTCCCAAGTATGTTTCTTACAGCTATTATTTTTTTGAACCAGGATGCAACCTAGGTTTATGTATTGTCTTTAGTTGTTATGTTCCTTTAATCTCTTAATCTAGAATAATCCTTCTTTTATTTTCTTCTCATTAACCTTTTGAGGAGTCCAGGCTAATTTTCATCTGGAGAACTTTCTTCTTGAAACACATTCTTCACTTGTTTCCCTGGATTCACTTGTTTCCCTGTTTCTTCTCCCTTTCTTAGTACCCTTGGCTATCCTCAGCCTTCTAAACTCTCAAATGCTCTTCTCACCAAAAATTGGAAGTGCGTCAGGGCCCAGTCCTTGAACCTCTTCTCATGCCTTAGATGATTGCATTTTGTCTCATGTATCTAAAAATCATCTATATGCTAATGCCTCCCAAATTTAAATCTCCAGTTTTGACTGCTTCCCTGTATTCTAGACTCACATATACACATTTCTATTAAGCAAATTCATCTGTTGTCTAGTAGACATCTCCAATGAATAAGTCCATTTGGAGATGTCTTGCTTCTTATCTACTTCACCCAAACCAACCTGTTCCTTCCCAGTTTTCCCTGTCTCAATTAATAGCATCACTGTTCTTTTTGTTGCTCTGGTTTGAAGGCTTTGCCTTATCTGTGACTCCTCTTTGTTCAACCAAAAAAATAAAAAAAGTACATATATATATACACTCACACACACACACACACATATTTAAAAATATATTAGAAAAAAGTATATCTGAACTCTGGCACGTCTCATCATCTCTCCCTCTACTCTGATTTTAAGCTGCTGTACTCCATCCTGTTTTATTCCAAAAACTGCCTCACTGTGATCTGTTTTCTTCTGCCATTGCCTCCACGTAATTCTTTCTCCGTAGATCAACTACAGTTATCTTTTCCAAATGAAATTTCTGTGTGTCCTACAAGAACCTAAATAATATGGTCCCTGTTACCTTTCTGACTTTCTTTCCTTTATTTATTTATTTATTATTATTTTATTTATTTTTTTACTATTAATTGTTTCTGTCAATCCACTCAGACCTATACTGTTCCATTAACTTGCCTGCCGAGCACATTTTTGCCTTATGCCTTTTTTTTTTTTTTGAGAGAGAGAGAGTCTCACTTTGTTGCCCAGGCTAGAGTGCAGTGGCCCAATCTTGGCTCACTGCAACCTCCGCCTCCTGGGTTCAAGCATTTCTCCTGCTTTAGCCTCCCGAGAAGCCGGGATTACAGGCATATGCCACCACACCTGACTAAGTTTGTATTTTTAGTAGAGACAGGGTTTCACCATGTTGCCAGGCTGGTCTGGAACTCCTGACCGCAGGTGATCCACCCACCTTGGCCTCCCAAAGTGCTTACAGGCGTGAGCCACCATGCCCAGCCCTTAGGCCCTTTTCACACACTGTTCCCTCTGCCTAGATATTCTTTACCAGATATCTGCATAGCTTATTTCTTCATGTCTTTCAGATTTCTGCTCAGGCATTTATATTCTGAGAGAGGCCTCGCCTGATTCCTCTGCTCACCCTTTCACTCTATATACCTTTACCTTGCTTTAAAAAAAATAGTGTTCATGTATCACCTGAAATGTTATGTAAGTATCTGTTTATTATCTACCTTCTTTCACTAGACTAAGTTCCAAGAGCACATAAAATTTTGCCGGTTTTGTACACAGCTGTATCCCCAGTACCTGTAGTAGTGCTTCACACATAGTTGGAATGTAAGAAATGTTTGTTAAGTGAATACTGGCATTTATGAATTCCAGTTGTGAAAATGAAGAAAATACTTTTAGTCAGGGCTCTGGCATTGAAGCTAAGTCAGATTTTTGGATCTATGGAGCTAAGAGGAAGAGTATTCCAAATGATTTGATTTGAGCAAGAGCAAGGATTTTCTGTAATTTCTTATACTTGCTGCTCTAACCTTTTTTCTCTACCTAATGAAAATTTCAATAAGATATCAAAATAAACCCATACTCTGAAATCTGTGAGTATAGAATATGAATCTGAGGTTTTGTCTTTTTAATCTTTGTTTTTCAAGCACCCAGTACAATGTCTGGCCCATAATAGATGCTTGCCAGAAATCATTTGTAGAATGACACTTTCAAACAGATGTTTTGTGAGTAGCCTGTTCTTGTTCCCTGTAGTTATCCTGTGAACACTGGATTAGTGAATACCGAACCATTGCTTCTGGGGGGAAATACGGAGTTAGGTTCCTCTGAACCTCTGGTCACAGCATTTTCATCAACCAATCAATACATAACCTTGTTTTATGTGTGTTTCTGTTTAAAGATATCTTAACACTGAACTTGTGACCAACAGCAGTATAATAACAAGCTTATCTAACACACATATTATCTCTATAAGGCAACAACACAGCCTTCTTGTATTTAGGAACACTAAATAGCACTCAGTATACCAAGCTTGGGGGATATTTTAAACAGTGAAGTCACTAAGAAAAAGTCCACAGATGCCAGAAACATAGCACTACATAGAAAATGAAAAGGATGCTTGTTTGTTGTATGAAAGGTGAAAGAAGGCAGAGCATCACCTTGTTCAGCCTCAGCTGGGAACATGTGCGTCAAGTAACACAAATTTATTTCCACTCTGAGCATGTCCATGAATGACTGCAAAAGCACTATGAGTATTGATTTTGGGGTAACAAATAAATTTTAACAAGTAGGCAAATTTGTAAATATGGAATCTATGAATAAAGAGATCAACTGTATTTTGAAAGTAAATAGTGATCAGGAGACTTACACTTTCACTTATAAACCTGTTTACTTTAAAAATATTTTTTGGCAGACCAGAAAAATAGTCATAGAATTACCGATTTATAGAGTTGTTTAATTCCTTAGGACTTTAGATATTTTGTTTAACCACCTCATCTCTTCATTGACAGTCGAGTAAACTAAAATCAGGATTTCATTGCTATTCAGCTATATTATAGTAGAACTGGGACTAGAACTTAGGCACCTGTTTCTTATGTAGGAAATTCCCCATTCCACTTCAGTCTGGTGATTCTTAACCACTTGTACTGAGTTTTCCTGCTGCTTTTTTCCTTAGCAATGGTATCAGCAGATAATAAATGAGATCTCTTAGGTTGTCTTTGCAGAAATGCAAATAATACAAAATTTGAGGAAAAGTGCAATTAGTAGCAGTCACCTAATTTCCATCTCCAAATATAGCACTAACTGTCCACTCAAAGTTCTGCTTCCTTATAACCAGGTCATCATTGCAAAAGCATACCTTAGATATGGATGAATAGGCATTCGGCTAGGATACCAGAAGAGCTGTTGTGGCTGCCTATTAGGTTTCTGTGAAAGTAGAAACTTACTTTTTAAAGACTGAATTGCATTTTTGTTTCACTATGTGTTTTGAGACAGGGTCTTACTCTGCCATCCAGGCTGCAGTGCAATGGAGCCATCACAGCTCAGTGCAGCCTCCACCTTCTGAGCCTCCCAGGTAGCTGGGACTATAGGCGTGTACCATCATACCCAGCTAAGTTTCTTGTAGTTTTCGTAGAGACATGGTTTCACAATGTTGCACAAGCCGGTCTTACTCCTGAGCTCAAGGGATCCACTCACCTCAGCCTCACAAAGTGCTGGAATTACAGATGTGAGCCACCTTGCCTGGGCATGTTTCAGTGTATTTAATATGTAACATATTAGCAAAACTTCTCGTGTCCAGAAGATGTCACTAAAATCAAAACTTAAATTGCAAACAATTTTCAATTTATAAATATGTTGTGTTTTAAGAGTTCATTCTAACATTTAGTGGTTTAATAAGCATTTATTGAGCAAATATTATGGGCTTATAATCACTATAAACATATTTTTTTTGAAAATTGACCTACAGTTTCCCAGAAAAATAATATTACAAATGATGATCATTGTTCTACAAATGGTTGTAAAAATTAACAAATAATGTACTGAACATAATGTATACAATATTTGAACTACCTTATTTGTCAAATGGATGTCTGTGAAGTGTTGTGGAAACCGACTTTTCATTATAAGGTTATTTTTTATGGAAAATGTGGGTTAAGGTAGAAAGGATGTGGAACTGGTAAAGGAATCCCTCCTTCTAATTAGAGCTGCCCTCTTGAATTTGGGACTTGAGAACTTTTTGAACGTGTTTCTGATAAATCAAAAAATAGGTTATATATGGTGATTAGTGGAGTATGACTTATTCTTTATGAGGATTCTACTCCTTTCACTGCCAACTGAATTAATGAATTAATATTCATTGAGGAGGACTATAGGAGTATTTAAAGGAAGCAGAGGAAAACCTTTCTTTAGCTTTGCTAAAATTAGATTATGTTAAAATATTTCTGTTCTGCATTGAATGAAACAAAAGTTGCACTCAGTTTATAAAAATTAATGCTATGAATGCTAACATACCAAACAATTCAACAGAGATCAGATTTATGATCTCTAGTATTCTGCCTTGTAAGTTTATGATGCTGTTCTTAAAGTTGCTTAGCTAACATTTTTCTCTTACTATTCAGTTAAATGTAAAAATGTATTTCAAATGTTAATATCACAGCATTTTAATTTTGCAATCTAAATTGTACATTTATACTTCACCTCACTCCTAGAATATCATCCTACAAAGCACTGAAGGAGATTTTTGCTTCAGGCTATATCTAGAATACGTATCTCCTTTGGAAGTGACTATATTGATATTGTCAATAAATTAAACAATATGCCTTGGTGCATGTTACAGTATCTATACATTCAGCAGATTTTATGGTAACCTATCTGATCATTCATCACCTTGGCTGTGCACAAGTTCAGGGATGCCAAAAATAACACTGAAGTAGCCATTTGGACATTTGTCCTTCCAAACTTAGAAACAAACATAAAGGCCAAAGCCAAACTTTGTTGTTTATCACTAATTCAGAATAGCTATTTTTCAAACATTTCTCAAACTAAATCTTCAAGGAAACCCAATAAATAAAAGCAGTACTGTCCTAGTTGAAGGAAAAAGAACCTGGATCCTTGTGCCTTGAGTCACCTTTTAGAAGCCTAAGACTGAATCACCTGCACTTTAAAAACCACTATGCTAAATCAAACAGCTTATAAGGAAGGATTCAACCCTATAAAGGGGAAGAAAACAAGCTACAGACTGGAAGAAAATATTTGCAAACCACATCATCAACAAAAGACATATCTAAACTATAAAGAACTTTCAAAACTCAACAGTAAAAAAACAAACAATCTAATTAGGCTATGGGCAGAATACATGAACAGATGGCAGATAAGTACATGAAAAGATGTTCAATATAAGTAGCCATTAGGGAAATGCAAATTAAAACCGCAGTGAGATAATACTACACAACTATCAAAATAACTAAAATAAAAAATAGTGACAACAGATGCTGATGAGGATGCATAGAAACTGGATTACTCAGCATTGCTGGTAGAAATGTAACATGGTACAGCAACTCTGGAAAAGAATATGGCAGTTTCTTCTAAAACTAAACATGAGCTTACTGTATAGCACAGCAGTTTCATTTCTCTTGGACATTATCCCAGAGAAATGAAAATTAAGTTCATGAAAAACCTGTACCAATTAATCGCTTCACCCTATTACTCTTTATCTTCCCATGTTCATCAGCTCCTGGCATATTGCATATTCATTTATTTGTTTGTTTATTGTCTGGCTTTTCAACTAGAGCATAAGATTGATTAACAAGAATTTCTTTGTAAGGAACTTAAACAAATTTACAAGCAAAAAACAACCCTATAAAAAAGTGGGCAAAGGACATACATAAAGAGACACTTCAAAAGAAGACTTACATACAGTCAACAAGCAAATGAAAAGATGCCCATATCGCTAATGATTAGAGAAGTGTAAGTCAAAACCACAATGAGATACCATCTCACACCAGTCAGAATGGCTATCATTAAAAGGTCAAAAAATAATAGACATTGGCAAGGCTGAGGAGAAAAGGGCATGCTTTTACACTGCTGGTGGGAGTGCAAATTAGTTCAGTCATTCTGGAAAGCAATTTGGTGATTTCTGAAAGAACTTAAAGCATGCAGATATGTTCATTTTAGCACTGTTCATAATAGCAAAGATACGTCATCAACCTAAGTGCCCATCAGTGGTAGACTGGATAAAGAAAATGTGGTACATATACACCATAGAATACTGTAGAGCCATTAAAAAATGAGATCATGTCCTTTGCAGCAACATGGGTGGAGCTGGAGGCCATAATCCTAAGTAAACTAACACAGGAACAGAAAACCAAATACTGCATGTTCTCACTTATAAGTGGGAGTTAAACATTGGGTACTCCTGGGCATGAAGGGAACAACAGACAACTACTTGAGGGTGGAGGGTGGGAGGAGGGTGAGGATCAAAAAACTACCTATTGTGTACTATGCTTATTGCCTAGGTGACAAAATAATCTGTATATTCAACCCCCATGACATGCAATTTACCTATATAACACACCTGTACATTTACCCCTGAACCTAAAATAAAAGTTTAAAAAAATAGAGGTTTTTCAGTTACATTCATTGCTGTATTCCCAACATCAAGAATGGTACATGGCATTAGTAAGTATGTAATACATAGCAAGTGGATTTGTTCATCAATGGAAAAGGATTATAAAGCAAATTTTAAAAGAGCTGGAGACTCTCAGCAAGCTGAATTGGTGTCTCTATCTGAATCTGCCCTTGCATGGAATCTGAGTATCTCAAACATAGTTAAAAATGAACACTAGGGATTTTTGTAAACACTTATTGTGTCTGATAACTCTATGTGAGGGATCTATAATTAAGAGTCTGCAGCAAGGATCTAGGACCAAAAAAATTATACAAATGCTAGAACAAAGTAGAGTTTGCCATTTCAGTGGCAAAAACTGCAAATAGTTTTGCACCAACCTAAATAGCATGGCTTACCTGGCCCAGACAGTAGTGTTGGAAAAACTGGTAAATAAGGCTACAAAAAGTTATCCTATACTCTAGGTCTCCTTGAATCCCTAATCAAGGAGCTGGTACATGGGGAAGTACAAAGATGGCAAATAACTGTAACCTGTGAGCAGTTTGCTGAGAAGGACTTCTGAGATCTTAGAATTTAGCAGAAAAGAATACGTGATCAATTAGTGAATGATATCATTGTCTCCTTATGGCATTTTAACTACCACTTTTTGCCATCTGGTTGTGGTAGAAATGGTAAGATCTGCCTTTGAAGTTTTACTGGAGTTGTATTTGAAACTTAACTTTACCACTTATTAGCCATATAATTTTAGCTGAGTTGAACCTCTGACTCTGTTTTCTCCGTAAACATTATTAAATAGTAAAAGTGGTAGCAGGCAGAGGGAGTACGTTAGCTTTACCTAATAAGATAGTTGTGAGACTTTAAGTGTTAAAAGTGAGTATAAAATGCCTAGCTCAGTGCTTTGCATGTAGAAGATGTTGAATAATTATTACTTCCTTTCCTCCCAGGCAATTTTGAGGAAAAATTATGACTTCATTCTGGCTTAAGGGAGAAGGTGGGCCAAAACATTGAGGCGGTGTAGGACTAAGAGCTGCCCCTGATGGTGTAACCTATCTGAGACCTTAGGTTTCCTGACATGAAGCTGTTGAGTTTTCACTTTGTCTGAATTAGTTTGAATTTATTTGGCCATTTAATTGAGCACCTAGTATTATACTGAGGAGTCAGATAAAGTTAGAAGTTTAAGGTTAGAATTTTTGTAAATAAACTCACAATTCCTATTTCTAAAAATTGCTTACTATTTTTCAACTTAATTTCTCTTCAGAACATCTCTTGATCAAGCACTAGAGCTATGATTTATTTACATTTGGTACATATATATTAAATGTGCAGTTTTAAATTAAAAATTATAAAATGAAACTATATGTATTTAACTTAATAGAAATTTAGACAGAAACAACTGTGCTATATCCAGGGTTACAGTCTTACAGTAATACTGACTTTAGTGTTAATGAAATACAGTTAAAAGCATGTATTTAATTGCTGGTTAGTTTTTGTTTAGAGTTAGTAGAGAAATGCTTCTTAGAATGAATTTACTAGAGATTTGGCATATATTATTGAGGAAGAACAATTTTTCCCAGATTAGATGTGATACCTTAGAACTGAAAGAATATGATTTTCAGTTGCTTTGTGGCAATCTGTCTAATGCCCCTTGGAAGATCTTTTTTGCTCTCTGTAGATATTTTTTGAGTGGCTCGAGATGCTTTACCTATATTTAAAACTTAACAATTTAAAAATAAATTCAGTTTTAATGGAAAGTTTAAAGATTCCATTTTTTCCTCCAAATAGATGTTATGGAAAGAGCCTACACCGGGTGTTAGGTAACTTAGCGTGTGAGCCTCTGCAAATCACTTAATCTTCTTCTGCTGTAAATGTCTGAATGTGAGCTAAAGTAATTTCAGTGTTTTTTGAGGTTGTCTGGTTATCTTCCCACCTTCTTTATTTGCTGTTCTGCTGCATTCGCCCAACTGCCTCAGTAGCCAACAGGGTGTCACTTTTAGGAACTTCAACCATTTAATTAAACATTGTCAGACTATTCTTTTCCATCTAATAACAGCAAGCTTCCCAGGTCTTTCATTCATACCTCTGAATTTCCTTTCACTCTAGTGATGAAAACCCACTTGCATTATCTTCTTTTCTTTATTCTTATCCTATATAGACTATGAACGTCTGTGAAAATTCTGCCACTCAAATTTAGGGCTCTGCATAGAATCTTATAATCTTTAGTTTTCATATATATTGTACTTGTATTTCTTATTTTTAGTACTTTTTTCTTGAGCTTCTAGAATATCTTGGTTTGTTTTTTCTATTAGTAAAATAGGTATTTTATAAATGTTTCTAATTACTTGATTTTGTTATGTATAGTCAGTTATTTGAAAATGTACATGTTAACTTTTTAGTTTGTTTTTAGATGAACAGCCAAACTTAGGGATAGAAAATGAAGCAGATACACATATTTTGATTTTCAGGTCATCTGTCCTGTCAAATATATTTACGTAGTCATAGTTGAGAGTAGCAGTTTAAATTTACTATAAACATGGTTGGAAAGAAACCTTTCCATGGTAGTTAATAAGATCAAAGCAGTCTGTTCCCTAAATTTGCAAAAAATAATAATTGTAATGTTTTACATATGTTTTCAATTTACCTGTAGGTAAAACATACTTTTTTATATCTATATACATACTGTTTTCATTTTCTTGGCTATTTTTCAGGGAAATTTTGTATCAGACATTTAAAGGCACTTAATACAAACATTTTTACTGAAGTGTAATTATTAATGGGAAAAGTCACAAGAATAACAGTAATTTGCCTTTAAAAGATGTATTGTTGTTATTGGCAACCTTATTAAATTTCTTTTACTTTGCAGTGTTGAGATTTTCCAAATGGCCAGCCAACTCTTTCTATACTTAGATGTTATATTAAAAAGTAACAGAAATCTATTCAAGGATTTTTGATGTTGCACTGTAACTTGCTTTTTATTTTTTAATATGTTGTTTGAACTTTGATAAGCTTTATAAATAACCAAGGCCACTTTTTCTTAAGGTTTTTATTTTTCTTACAAAATCTTGTTTCTTTTTAAAATGTAGGTGACTGTGGGGATCATGTTGTTATAATGAACACAAGACACATTGCATTTTCTGGAAACAAATGGGAACAAAAAGTATACTCTTCGCATACTGGGTAAGATAATGCTGTTGTCAGGGAAATTAGGTAGTTAAAATATATTACTTTAAGAATACAGTTGTTCTTACTTAAAAGAAAAAAGATATTTTTAAAAATCAGCATTTATTACTAATTTTACTCATGCCATGTATATAATTTACTCAATTTTTAAAAACCACACAACTATACCAAATATAGCTATTACCTGACAGTATTTGTTTATCCTACAAGTGTTTCATATAACCTGTGGACAAGATTATTCTCATGTTTTAGTCACTCTTTTACTTTGTATTTCTGCTTCCTGTAATTCATCTTACTGCTGTTTTCAGAACCATCCCAAACCATCTGAAAGTTAACAAGATGTTTAAGGAATGGTCACTCTTCTCTAGATAAAATCTTGTTTGTCAGTATCTCTCTTAAGTAAATACACTCACCTGGGTGTGTTCTGCTGGTTTCCAAATACAACGTGACTCTCCTCCATTTTTCAGTTAGGCAATCTTCTGTTGCAATAGAACTTTTCTTCAAGGCCATAGTATTTCTGTATTTGAGTTTACTGTCAGCTAAAACTCCTAAGTCTTTTTCAGGTATATTCCTGTTGAATCATGTCTTCTCCTTCCTGTGTGCTTTAGTTGTAATTTAATTCAATTGCAAGACCTTAAGTTTACTCCATGTTAAATTTTATCTCCAGCCTTTTAAGATCCTGATTTTATCATCTCATGTATTAGTTAACCCATAGCTTCAGGTCATGTGCACATTTAATTAAGTGTACTTTCTATACTGTTACTCAAGTTATGGTTAGAAATGTTATCTTTTATTCTTGATCAAAATCACTATTTTATTTCCAACTGCATCTTCGCCTTTGATGTTCCCATTTGTTACTTTTCATCTCTTTCCCCAAGTGCATCTTAAATATTTGGAACAACTGTTTTGCTTCCTTGAGCCAGCCTTTGCCCATTCCTCCCCTTAAAATACATTCATGAAATCTTTATATAATTTAACAAAACTGAATTTACATCCGTCTTTAGTAATTTCAGCTATTGGCAGATCTCTATGTATAAACCAAGTTCTACAAAATTGAGAGGTAATTGGGAAAGAAATATTAAAAATCAGAATAACATAATGTGATAAAAGCATAAAGGGAAGTATTGACACAAAATGCTATGGTAATTACTATAGCAATAATATGTAGTATTACTGCAAATGAAAGAAAATGACAGCACAGCCAGTAGTGAACAGCTACCATAATGTGTACGTCAGCTGGTAGTGTCCCTGTCAGTAGTGCTTTCTCACTGATAGGTGAAAATTCAAACTCCTTTACAAGTCATTGGAAACCAGTTCCCACTGCTGCTTCATAGTTCTTCTTAGACAACATATTGCTATTTCATTCCTTTCTGCCTTTGCATGTGTTGTTCCCCTGACAGTGAGGAATTCTCCTATTTATCCATTAAAAATTGACTCAGATGTCACAGTTTCTGGGATACCTTTGCTATTTCCTCATCGCTCAAAGAGTTGATTGCTTTTTGTTTCTGTTGACTCTTCACTTACACTTTGGACATACTACTTTATTATGCTCATAACACTGTATTACAATTACATATTCAAAATTTAGCTTGCTAGTTGTAAAATTTTTAGGACATACTAATTTTAGAAAATATAGAGAAGTTTAAAGAGGGAATTAAAATTCACTCCTGATCCCATGACTTACCATTTTAATATACAGTCAGCCCTCCATATCTATGGATTCCACATTGTGGAAATGTAAAATTTTCATTTTGTTTTGTTTTTTGAGATGAAGTCTTGCTCTGTCATCCTGGCTGGAGTGCAGTGGTACGATCTTGGCTCACTGCAACCTCCGCCTCCCAGGTTCAAGCAATTCTCCTGCCTCAGCCTCCTGAGTAGCTGGGACTACAGGTGTGCACCACCATGCCCAGCTAATTTTTGTATTTTTAGTAGGGACAGGGTTTCTCCATGTTGGCCAGACTGGTCTCGAACTCCTGACATCAGGTGATCTGCCTGCCTTGGCCTCCCAAAGTGCTGTGATTACAGGCGTGAGCCACTGCACCCGGCGTGTAATTTTTTTCTATTTAATTGTGTCAATACTGAACATGTACAGACGTTTTTCTTGTCATTATTCCCTAAACAATATAGTATAACAACTATTTACATAGCATTTACATTATATTGGGTATTATAAGTAATCTAGAGATGATTTGAAGTATACAAGAGGATGTGTGTAGGTTATATGCAATTACTATGCCATTTTATATCAGGGATATGAACATCCCTGGAATTTGGTATGCTCAGGAGGTCCTGGAACTAGTCCTCCACAGATGGAGAGGGATAACTGTATATACAAGTTTATATCCTTTTTCACTTAATAGAAAATTCTCAGAGAACCTTTTTGTAAGTATTATTTTTGGTTACTAAGTAGTAGTGCACAAAATGATTTACGATACTTGATCATTGTTCTGTTTTTTGAAATGAAAATTTTGGCTTTTATAAGGGGCTGATAAACATCTTTTTTTTCAATTCTTGTTTTTTGTTTTTTTTTTTTAACTTTTAAGTTCAGTTACATGTGCAGGTTTGTTACATAAGTAAACTTGTATCATGGGGGTTTGTTGTACAGGTTATTTCATCACCCAGGTATTAAGCCCAGTACCCATTAGTTATTTTCCTCTCTCTACTCCCACCCTCCACCCTCCAATAGGCCTCAGTGTGTGTTGTTCCCCTCTATGTGTACTTGTGTTTTCATCATTGAGCTTCCACTTATAAGTGAGAATATGCAGTATTTGGTTTTCTGTTCTTGTGTTAGTTTGCTTAGAATAATAGCCTCCAGCTGCATCCATGTTGCTGCAAAGGACATGATCTTGTTCTTTTTTTTATGGCTATGTAGTATTTCATGGTATATATGTACTACATTTTCTTTATCCAATCTACCTTTGATGGGCATGTAGGTTAATTCCATGTCTTTACTATAATGAATAGTGCTGCAGTGAACACACATGTGGATGTGTCTTCATAATAGAACAATTTATATTTCTTAGGGTATGTACCTAGGAATGGGATTGCTGGGTCAAATGGTATTTCTGTCTGTAGGACTTTGAGGAATCGCCACACTGTCTTCCACAGTGGTTGAACACTCCCACCAACAGTGTAAAATTCCCACCAACAGTGTAAAAGCATTCCTTTTTCTCTACAGCCTTGCCAGCATCTGTTATTTTTTGACTTTTTAATAGTAGCCATTCTCACTGGTGTGAGATGGCATCTCATTGTGGTTTTGATTTGCATTTCTCTAATGATCAGTGATTTTGAGCTTTTTTTCATGATTGTTGGCCATATGTACGTCTTCTTTTGGAAAGGGTATGTTCCTGTCCTTTGCCCACTTTTTAATGGGGTTTGTTTTTTCTTCTTGTAAATTTAAGTTCCTTATGATGCTGGATATTAGACCTTTGTCAGATGCATAGTTTGCAAAAATTTTCTCCCATTCTGTAGGTGTCTGTTTATTCTGTTAGTTTCTTTTGTTGTGCAGAAGCTCTTTAGTTTAATTACATCCCATCTGTCAATTTATGCTTTTGTTGCAATTGCAGTTTGCATCTTTGTCATGAAATCTTTGCCCATGCCTGTGTTCTTAATGATATTGCCTAGGTTGTCTTCCAGGGTTTTTATAGTTTTGGGTTTTACAGTTAAGTCTGGAATCCATCCTGAGTTAATTTTTGTATGTGGTATAAGGAAGGGGTCCAGTTTCAATCTTCTGCATATGGCTAGCCAGTTCTCCCAGCACCATTTATTGAACAGGGAATCCTTTCTCCATTGCTTTTTTGGCCAGGTTTGTCAAAGATCAAATAGTTGTAGGTGTGTGGTCTTATTTCTGGGTTTTTTTCCACTGGTGTATGTGTCTGGTTTTTTTTTTTTTTTTTTTTTATCAGTACCATGCTGTTTTGGTTACTGTAGCCCTGTAGTATAGTTTGAAGCTGGGTAGCGTGATGCCTCCAGCTTTGTTCTTTTTGTTTAGGATCGCCTTGGCTATTCAGGCTCTTTTTTGGTTTCATATGAATTTTGAAATATTTTTTTCTAGTTCTGTGAAGAGTCTCAGTGGTAGTTTAATAGGAATAGCATTGAATCTATAAATTGCTTTGGGCAGTATGGCCATTTTAACAATACTGATTCTTCCTATCCATGAGCATGGAGTGTTTTTCCGTTTGTCTGTGTCATCTCTGATTGCTTTTTATTATTAAAGTTTTTTTTCTTTTGAGATGGGGGCTCACTGTGTTGCCCAGGCTGGTCTTGAACTTGTGGGCTCAAGAAGTCCTCACACCTCAGCCTTCCACAGTACTGGGATTACAGGCATGAGCCATCATACCCAGCCTTCATCTCTGGTTTCTTTGGGCAGTAGTTTGTAGTTCTCATTATAGAGATCTTTCACCTCCCTAATTAGCTGTATTCCTAAGTATTTTATTCTTTTTGTGGCAGTTGTGAATGGGAGTACATTCCTGATTTGACTCTCCGCTTGACTGTTGCTGGTGTCTAGGAATGTTAGTGACTTTTTGCTAGTGATTTTTGCACATTGATTTTGTATCCTGTGATGTCTTTGTCCATTGATTTTTTTCATATATGTAGGATTATTTAAAATAAATCCCTGGAAGTGTAATGTGTTTTGATATCAAAGGAATGATCATTTATAGGTCTTTTGATAGGTATTTTCAATCATGAGTTTTCTAATCCATAGAAGAGCATACAAATGTTTGTTATCCCAAATCTGTGCAGGCACAGTATTATCTTTAAAAATAAGGCTGTTGTCTTTTGATATGCAGCTGAATATTTACATTTACTTAATAATGAAGTTTCAGTGTTACTTTATCACTTTCTATGGACGTTTTATCTATTAAGATTATTAATCCACTTTTGTTTTTTACTTTTAACAAAATTTTTATGTCATTTACTGTAGTTATTTAATTTTATATTATTACATGCCTTTTCCTTTGTAATTTCTTCTGTTTTCCAGTCTCAGAAATTCTTTCTTGTTCAGATTTTCATAAACATTTACTTCTAATTTTTTAGGGGTTGGTTGAATTGGGTGTGTGTGCACCTTGAACTTTCACATCTAAGTCTTTAGTCATCTAAAATACATTGGCATGAGTTAGAGATACAACTTAACAACTAGTTGTATCAACAGAATTGTTTAATTTTAAATAGGACAGGATTTTGTCATATTTATCTGTGTGTCCCCAGTTCCAGCATGATACACATTTAAGTGTTTATTGAATTAATTTCAATGAAAAACCCTTGGCTAGCATTTAAAACAAATGTTCTCTTACTCCATCCCATATTGGAGGAAAGAATGAGTTATTTTCTTACTAGTAAAAATCAATTGAGTGTTGCATTACTCAAGTCATCCTCCACTCAAAATTTTACATTAGCTTTCCAAATACGTCAGAATAAAGTCCAGACTTCTGAAATATATTGTAAATGGTATGTTTTAGAATTTGCCATCTCAATTTTCAAACTAGAAAGATCATCTTTCAGCATAGAAATTGTAAAATATTTTTTTCCATGGAGAGAAAGAATGCAGGAATAGAAGTCTAGACAGGCATTTCTTTTTCTAAAACTGAAATTCCATGAAAAAAGAGAATATCAATTTTAAAACTACCCATCTTTCTCAGCAAACTTCTAACTTTGACAAGTTTTATTCCTAAAATGTGTTTTCTTAAATCATCTTTAAAATATTTTCAAATTTTATTGAAGGGAACATATGGAAAAAATCACCTTTAGGTAATCTTAAGGTTTTTTGCAGATTCCACACTGACTTTCCAATTTCTTCCCCCTTTCTTGAAAATCGTTTGGACTTCATCTGTTTAGGAAAATAGAACCTTACATCTATATATGTATTATTTTTGTTTTAAATTTCCCAATCCCTTTCACAAATATTTTTTCATTTGACCCAGAAATCTTTTGAGGTAGATAGCATTATTTATTCATATGAGTAAAATTATATGCAGAGAGGTAAAATGAGTTGCCTGATATTACACTGGGAGTCACTGACAAAACCTAGATTCCATACCTGCATCTAGGGTATCTGGAAGCTAAGCTGCCTCCAGTACTATTCAATGTATATTTTGTAATTGCCACTTTTTTTCATTTTATAAAGAATAATCGATCTGAACACAATGAAATATTATATTACTTAGAGCCAATATGTAGCACTTAGAGACCTTTACAAACTGCTAAGAAGAAACATGATTACTGGCTGTCTAGAGTATGAACTTAATTCAGAACCAAGTGGACTACCAACATTTTCCCCAGACCTAACCCGTAGTTTATACGGTTTATCTAATTTGGTAAGGAACATGAAATAGTCTGGCTTGTTTCTATTTCTTTGTTAAATCAAGTAGTAATAAATACCCCATAATGAGTGAGTGAATTAATAACTTACAATTCAGATAGAAATATACTTATGCCAATAAATTTTTCCAAGAAGTAGAACTTTTTATGATATAATGGTAGTTGACCATTTAAGAGAATAGCATTTCAAAAAGCGTAGATTACTACTTAATTTTGAAAACACTAATGAAAAGCAGTTTCGAGAAACAATTTATTAAAATAGTTTTCTTATAAAAGAATGATCAGTTTAAGAATACAGTATCAGCCTATGCCCAGTTTTAATGTCTTTTCTCCTTTTAACAGCTACCCAGGTGGATTTAGACAAGTAACAGCTGCTCAGCTTCACCTGAGGGATCCAGTGGCAGTAAGTTTCTTGTATTTTTTATTAATCATCTTTGGAAAGACCAATTCAGATACTGTTTTGTCAGTCTCCCTTCTCATTATTTTAATATAGTTAGCATTCAAGGATATAAATTCTTCACTTTAGCTGTATCACACACGTTTTGATAAGTATTATTTTTAATATTCAACTCTATGTATTTTCTAATTGCTATGTATTATGTTTTGCATTTAGTCGAAGAATTCTGATGTTTTTCTTTTTAATTTTTGATACCTGCATAATCACCTAGTATATGATGAGTTTGCTGAAATGTCTTGGAAAGGAGAGAGATATATGTATGTATGTGTGTACATATATTTTCAAACATGCTAAGTGTGTTCTTCTTATATTCTAACTTTTTTGTTAACTCGAGTATTATCTGAGTTTATTTTTGTTTATTAACATCTCAATTGTAGATTAATTTCTTCTTACAGGTCTGTCCATTTTATTCTGGAAAAAATAGTAAAGTTCTTAAAAACAAAACTACTTTCATTTTATTTTATTATTTATTTATTTATTTTTCTGGAGACAAGGTCTCACTCTGTCACCCAGGCTAGAGCACAGTGGCACAATGATAGCTCACTGCAGCCTCAAACTCCTGGGCTCAAGGGATCTTCCCACCTCAGCCTCTCAAGCAGCTGGGACTACAGGTACACACCACCACACCCTGCTAAAACTTTTTATTTTTTGTGGAGACCAGGTTTTCCTATGTTGCCCAAGCTTGTCTCAAACTCATGGGCTCAAGCCATCCTCCCACCTCGGCCTCCCAAGTGCTGGGATTACAGGCGAGAGCCACCACACTCAGACTTTACTCTGTTTTTAATTTATGTTTTTAAAGACAGGATCTTGCTATGTTGCCCAGGCTGGACTCAAATTCCTGGGCTCAAGCAATCTTCCTATTTTGGCCTCCCAAACACCTGGGACTATAGGCACCCTGCTTGTTTATGTTTTATTTATTTTTTATTTTTTTTCCTGTCAATTTTTGCCTTATATATTTTGAAGGTTTAGTGTTAGATGAATTTAAGATTGGAATTGGAATCTTTCTAAACAATTGATCAGGGTCAATATGTACTGATCCTCTTAATCTCCAATAATGCTTTTTACCTTGAGGTCTATTTGTTCTGACATTAATATAGCTACATTAGCTGACTTTTGATTAGTGTTTGCCTCATATATTTCATTTTTTACACTTTACTAAGTTATTCTGTTATAGATGTTTTTATTGTAAACATCATGTAACTAGATTTTTTTTTCTCTCCTTTCTTGCTGCCTTTTGGATTGGTTGAATTGATTTATTATAGCTCTAAGGTTCATCAGTATTTTTACCTTACTTCCAAATCAATGAAAGCCCTTAGAAGATTTTTAACTACCACCCTCCCTCCCAATCTACAAGCTTTCTTTGTTCAGGTTTTTAAAAAAACTCTTCCAATTGAACATTCTTGTTATTGTTTTATTCTGTTACTGATTTTTTTAAATTTTCTTTTCTTACAATCCCTTCTTGTGACTCAGCCTGCCTTCTGGTATCAATTTCCTTTTCCTTGAAGTACTTCTTGCTGGCATTCTTCAAGCCACATTCTCTTAATACTGAACTCACCTTTTTTGTCTACAACTGTTTTCTTTATTTTGTGCTTTCATTCTTGAAAGATAGTTTTGCTATATGTGGAATTCTAAGATAACAATTATTCCATTATTTTTCCCTCAGCTTTTTGAAGCTATTATTCAATTGGAATTTAGCTTGTATTATTGCTTTTATGAATCAGATGTCGATTTAATTGTTTCTTTATGTGTACTCTTGTCTTTTTTTTCTGGATACCTTTAAGACCTTTTCATTGTCTTTGGTTTTCATATCTTCCTACTACAGTCTTATTTATTTGGTTTGAGTACTGGTGTCTTCAGTTCTGGAAATGTGTTAGCTCTTAAATCTTCTAATATTGGGTCTCTTTATTCTCTGTTTCTTCCCTTTGGAAATCTGGTTATAATAAGAGTAGACAGTTGCATTTGATTGTACATGATTCAGTACCTCTCTTTCATACTTCATGTCTCACTGTCTCTGTGGGGCATTCTCAGTAATTTCTTCAGATCTGTGTTCCAGTTCTGTATCTTTTCACCTGTGTCTAATCTGATTGACCTTTTTCTGAGGTGCTAATTTCAATTATCATTTTTCCCTTTCTTAAAGTTTTATTATTTGGTTCTTTTACAAATTTGTTGATCAGTTTCAATAGTCTTCTGTTTATCATGTTTTGGTTCACTCTTATATTTCTTTATGCATACTAAACATAATTCTTAGAGTTTAGATCTGATTCTAATATTTGTGGCCTTTGTAGGTCCGCAATTTATAATATCTGCTCAGTGTACTTACTTGGTAGGCTCATGTACCTTGAAACTTCATCTCCAGGAATTCTTTAAGACCTGTGTTAAAAATGACTTTCCTCAAAAAAGATTCACTTAGCTTATGGCTAAGTGAATTGGGCTATAACAACCTAAGTTTTTTGAGCTGAACTTTAGACTTACAGGATTTTGATCCCCACAAGAAGGATGAATTTGGGGCCTCAAAGCCTTGTGAGGTCAGCTTTGTTTCATACTTTAAAAAATATTTTTATAAACAATATTAATTAACTTCACGAATTAACTAAATTTTTAATTACTTTTAATTTTAACTACATAAATATATAAGTTTATATATATTTATATGTTTATATATGTTTATATATATGTTTATATATATATTTCCATATATTAAATGACCTCTCAGAAACATAAAGTCTTAACACTAATAGAAAACAGATGGAAAATTTATATGGTTCATTAATGTTTATTTCTTTGTGTATTATACTGGGAGAAGTTCTAATTCATACATTAGTCACCAATATTGCTAAAGGCAAAGTCTCCTGTTGTTTTTTCTTTTAGCTATTGATAGACCTAAACTTTCAACTTTACTCATAGGTTAGATAGCATGTTTTTCCTATTAGAGACTATTTTATCTTTTTGCTGCAATACATTAATAAATTAGCAAAGTGCTAGACCTAAAAATATCATTTTTTGTTTCCCTAAAATAATAAAAATAAATATCTATTGTCAGGATACAACCATTTGTTTGGTATAATACTGCCTAAAATTTTCTTGGTAAGGTTGGGGGGAAGGATATTTTATTATAATAAGACCTGACATACCATTTAAAAGTTTCATGATTTACTATTTATTTTGTATTGTTTATATCTGTTTTATAAAACTGTGCTCAGAATTTGCTTCTTAGGAAATATTTAATTTTTTTTTCATAACTAGTGTGTTTTTAAGCCTTACAGGTCAAAATATTATATTTTGAATATTAATATGCTTTGTATATAATAGCATTAAAAGTTATAAGGCTCCTGATAATATATATCACAGCTGTTAACAATAAATTATACTTTTAATACTTCATAAATATTTTAAATGTTAAAATGAAAGTTTCTATTTTATGTTAACTGTACACTAGGAGGCAGTATAGTATAACTTTCATGTTAAAAATTTGGTCTTAGGTAACTTTTGTAGAAATTGTTTCAAATTATTGTTTATGAGCAATAATTGAAATGGATTGTAAAATGTTTGAGGAAGGCTTAGGAAATATTTCAGAGTTAAATCCATTTGGATTATTACCTCATTAAAGGATTTTAATTTTTTAAGTCTTAATTTTTACTATGTTTTGAAAAAGAATGGCTCGTCAAGGAAGAGATTTATTATTTACTTTTAATTCAAATCCTAAGTTTTTGTCTGGAATAGTAGGCCTCTGCCAGTAGACATAATTTGCTTATCAGTTCTTACTGTGTGTGGCCTATCGGAGAATTTGTTTCACAATGCAGCTTTCTGATTATTAGTACAGTATTGGAATACTATTTGTGAAATATCTTAATTAATATTTAATAGTTAAATAGGTAATAGTTTGTTAAATATTTAAAATTTTTCATAATGATGTAGATTATTCTAATTTCAAATAAATATATCGATTTAGCCCTTTCCTTATGTTCTTTTTCTCTCTGTTGTATGTTTTAGCTTCTTTAAGAGGTTCTATGTCCTTATATTTTCTTCTAACATGGTTCCTCTATTTGATTTTTCCCCTTCCTATAAATAATAAGTTACTTCTATGGCACAAATGGCACGTACCCTGGGATATAGATTATATGAGGAAGGTCTTTGATATTTACTAACTTTATCTTATTCTATTTTTTTTACTTTCTGAATTTCTTAAAACTTATACTTAATGTCTGTACAGCTAGAATTACTTTTTTGCATGTACATGTTGTTTCACCTTTGTTTACGTACATTTGTATGTCTGTCTTTTTTCTTCCCTGTTAGCTTATAATCTTTTCACATTTTCTAGCCTTTTTAAATTTGAGTGTGGAGTTTGCATTTTCTAATAGGGCAGATTTTTAAAATACCAACTTAGTAATTCAAATAAATACAACTAAATTTTTTAGAAACATGAAAATCAAATGCCGTGTAACACTATTAATACAATAAAATGCCTTTATGATAATATTCAGAGGATATAATTACTTGCTTATCCAGAAAAGATAGTCTTAACATTGTCAGTTTCAATTTACAACTTTTAAAACATTGAACAATTTCAGTGCTAATAACTAAATCAGTGCTGTCTAGTAGAAATTTTTGCCGTGATGGAAATGTTCTGTGTCTGCACTGTCAAACATGGTAGCCACTAGCTACATGTCAACCGACCACTTGAAATGTGGCTTTCATGACTAAGGAACTAAATTTTTAATTGCTTTTAATTTTAACAACATAAATATATATATATTTATATATATTTTATATATATTTATATATGTTTATATATATGTTTATATATATTTACATACATTAAATGACCTCAAAAACATAAAGTCTTAACACTAATAGAAAATAGATGGAAAATGTATATGGTAACCCATTAGCTTTTGCATGTAATGAGGCTTTGTGGTCTGATTTGATGAGAGAATAAAAGAGGAAGGCCTCTTAACAAAGTAACCCTATTCTAACATGTATTGTTTTAGTGGGTTTAGCTTTAACACACATCAAATTATATTGAAATATGAGTGCAAATGATAATTATTCTATCTAAAATTGGCACATATACGGGTTACTTTTAATCTTTTTTCTTTTTCTAAATAAACAATAAATGGAGCCAAAAGAAAATAGTAATGTACAAAGTAATAAAAGTTTCTTTTCTGTTGCTTCCACATATCCACTTAGGTCTATTTCTTTCCTATATTCGTGTTGAATCTAAACCCCTCATTTTCATCATCATCTCTAATTATGTTTGCTTTCTTACTATCGCAAGTCACAATTTTCTTATTGTGTCCTATGTATATCTTTCAGATTGTAAAACTAGCTATTTATGGCATGCTGCCAAAAAACCTTCACAGAAGAACAATGATGGAAAGGTTGCATCTTTTTCCAGATGAGGTAAGTCAGTGGTCATTGGTAACAATGCTTTTCCAAAATTTTCAATTAAATGTTTCATTTTCTTTTTAAATAAATGCCACAGACTTATTTTCAAAAATTTTATGTCAACTTCTGAAATATTTTTGTATTTTTAAATGAATATGTATGTATAAAAAATGATAATTCTATTAATATTTTAAAATGTAAAATGAACCATCATTGGACTAAAAATTAAAAGTAAGTTTTTAAAAAAAATTTTAATCACTGCTTGCTTTTGAACAAGGAGCTATGATCAGAAACCCTGTTAAATTGAGGTACTTGTTGATAATTTCATTCACTATGAAAAAGTGTTAATTTAGTTCACTTTTTATGTGACCAGTAGCAAAACTTCTGTGAATCATGGATAAATAGCTTAACTTTGGTTGCTATTGTTTCCCATGATTTAACTTTAGAATACTTGTTCATACTCATAGTTGATTCAGCTAAAAATTACTTGGAAAAGAGTGTAAACATTTTTATTTATTAGTATTATATTGTTTTAAGTACTTAACTTTTCTCCTTAATATGATGTAATGAAATATTAAAGCTTCTATAATAAAATAATATTTTATCAAGTCAGACTGCCTGGCTTTGAATCTGTGCCCCATTATTTACTGACTGCATGGACTTGGGCTCGTTACTTATCTCTGTTTTCTAATCTGTGAAGTTGACATAATAATAGTATCTATTTTACAAGATTGTTGTAAGGATTAAATAAAATACACTTGTAGATTGCTTAGAACAGAAACTGGCACAATAAGTGCTAGATGCTATCATTACCATGGTTATAATTGTCCTTCTTGTTCCTTCTGAAGGAATACTGTAGAAATTTATTCCAAAATATCAAGTTATAACGATTTTTCAAGCTATTTATGTGCTCTTACTGTTTAAGCTTTAAACAATACATGAATAGTTATTAATAATGAGTAAGTTATTCATGCTTTATCAAAATGATTGATTTATTGTCTTCGCTATAAGTGAATAAGTAGAATAATTTCCCACTATTCACTTTACCTCTAAGGTAGCATGTATGGGAGCAGTATCATCATCCAAGGATCACTTCATGATGAAATTGCAAGAATTTAAGAACTCCTATTTCTGATTGTATTGTCACTTTCTTTAGAAACCATAATTTCTAAAAGACACAAAAATAATATTTATTTCATTTACAAGATACGTTTGAGTGTAGATATTTTAAGTATTCACGATAGTTCCGTTAAATAGGAAATTATTTCATTTCAGACTATAAAATAAATGAGCCTAGTTCCCAAAAGTGAATTGGTAAGTATTCAGAAGCTTGACAGTACATTTTATCAAGCCGATGGGGGAAACAGGCACACTTATACATTGTTGGTGGTAGCACAACATGGTGCATCTCATCTGGAATCCTGGGAATTAATTAGGTAACATATAATGAAAATACATACATCAGGAGATTGATCCTTGATCCAGCAATCTCATTTATAAAAATACACCTTCAAGATACACATGCACATGATTATTTTCACTGTATTCAATAATGGTACAATAAGAAAAACAAATAATGCTTATTCATAGGAAATAAATTATCGAGTATTGTGCAATTTTTTAAAAAAAGAATGACAGATATTTTTGTGACTTGGTAAGTTGTACTTTCCAGGATATATTGTTAAGTGAAAACAAACAAGGTAAAAAAGAATGTAGATGGCATACTACATTTGTATGCATATATACCTATGTATGTTTACATACACACAAGCATATATTTATGTGCGCTACTTTTTGCGTAAAGCACGGGAAGAGAAAGTTGCAACTACTAGACTATGGGTACAAAGGAATAGGGAAAGAATGAGATTTTTTTCAGAGACTATCTTTAAATTTATTTTTTATGTTAATCATGCTAAAATTTTATATATTAGAAAAATAAAATGACAGCAACAGTAGAAGTGAGCACAACTAGTTCCCAAATCTTGTTTTCCACATGCTATTCCCTACCAAAAGGAACTTAGTTCTTGGAGAACTGATTGATTCACGATCTGGAGCAGAGAGAGAACTAAATTATTATAGGGTATACACATGCAAAAGACTATTATTTCTGCATGATTTATAATAGTGAAATAATAGAAAGTAACAGAAAATAAGGCAATACTCAAAAACTAATGGAGCAATATCAAGGGAACATGGAGCCAGCTTTAGGTGGTGCCCACTGACCAAATACAGGACTGTGTGAGCCTCAAAACACATGGTAATAATAAGGGATTACACTGAATAAGAAAACAAAAATCTATACGGCTACAGTGACCATCCAAAAATTATTTTTAATTTATTATGATGTCCCTTCTTTCTGAGGATAGAAAAGCCCTCTATAGAAGAATATCATATAAAAAATATGGAAGGAATACTGAACTAGAAAAGCCATCATTACCAGCGTATTCTGTGGCCACTGGGTAAAAGGTTATTGTGGAGCAGGATATTTATAGTTTCCAAATACCACAATACAGAGTATTTATTATTTGTAAAGGGCATCTTTTCAATTATTTGTGATGGGAATCTTCCCATTGCTTTTACATTAATAAAATCTGGTGGACACCACCGTAACCATGAGATCAAATCTTTGGTCACTGTGGGAAAAACTGACATCAGGTGCCTCCTGCTATGAAGCACTGAACACTCAACATAAACTATATGGCCTCTTGTCAGTAATGCTTAACCTGAATGTAATCATGGAACAACAATAGTATAAATCCAAATAAAAGGAAATTCTGCAACATAACTGGCCTGGACTCTTGAAATATTAAAGAAAAGGCAAGGAAACTTACGATAAAAGGAGACTAGACTACAGAGTAAACAACATAATATAGTAACTAAATGCATGTGATTCTTGACCTGATCCTGAATTGGGAAAAGTTACATATGACAATATTAGACCTATTTGGGAAATTTGAATATGTACTGTATATTAGATAAAAAGTATTTCATCAATGTTAATTTTCCTGAACATAAAATTTAATGTTCTATAGGGAGACTAGGAGATACATGCTGAAATATTTAGTTTGAAGTTTTTGCAAATTACTCTAAAATGGTTCATCCAAAAAGTGTTTGTATATAGACAGACCAAAAGAGAAAGCAAACATGTCATGCTAACAGTTGGGGAACTTAGGTAAAGATTAGATTAATGTTCATTATATTGTCACAACTTTTGTGTAAATTTAAATTTTTCTAAAGTAAAAAGTTGCAAAAAAAGTGATCACTTGACCCCTGTTTCTGTTTGTTGCTCTGGTTCTTTCCCTCATTTCCCCTTAGGTTAACCACCTCTGTGTGAAGGGAACTCTTTATTTTTATTTATTTATTTATTTATTTTGAGACGGAGTCTCGCTCTGTCACCCAGGCTGGAGTGCAGTGGCACAATCTGGGCTCACTGCAAGCTCCGCCTCCTAGGTTCACGCCATTCTCCTGCCTCAGCCTCCCAAGTAGCTGGGACTACAGGCACCCGCCACCACGCCCGGCTAATTTTTTGTATTTTTAGTAGAGACGGGGTTTCACCGTGTTAGCCAGGATGGTCTCGATCTCCTGACCTCGTGATCCACCCGCCTCTGCCTCCCAAAGTGCTGGGATTACAGACGTGAGCCACCGTGCCCGGCCAAAGAGAACTCTTAAATCTCCATAAACACATTTAGTTAGCATTCATGGGTTACCTTCTCTGTATGCACATTAAAGGAGGTACTTCTCCCTCTTCCTGGTTTCATGTGTAATACCTAATCAAAAACTTTGATTCCTCATTTTGCATTGATTTTAACCATTCAGCAAAATCCTCTAATAGTAAAGAAATTTGGCTCATTGTATTCAAAATTCTATTCCATTCAGCAAACATTAGCTAGGAAGCCACTGTGTTCCACATGCTCTACGCTGAATGAGCACTTAGCAGCTTTTTGAAATTGTCTTTACAACTGATCTAGGGAATTTTATACTGGCTTTCCAAAGAAGTATGAAATATTTATACATCTTTGGAAATATCTGACAGGTAGGCGCCTTCAATAAGTAAAAAATAAGTATCACCAACAATCTTTTATATGTCCAGGCATCCTCTGCTTGCCCTGACTCTGTAATTATTGTGCAGATTTGAATATACTGAGAAAGTGATAACAATAGGAGAAAGGATGTTAAATATTGTTAAATGCTTTTCAGTGAAGAAGCACATTATCAAGAGTATCTATTGTGTTTTCTGTATGTTGATAGTGACCCAGCCTATCCAAACCACAATTTTTAAAATTCATTTAAATTGCCTAAAATATTATAAATATTTTGCTATATTGGGTTTTAGAACAAGCTTACAGGACAGTAGAGCTCTGTGATCCTAAAGTTATAAAATTTTATCCTGATTCTTAAGACAACATGTCTTAAGACAACATGTCTTAAGAATTGATCAAAGTGCTGCCTTATTTGATGCCATGTCCTTGGCCAGATATTGGATTCCCACTTGTAATAGTGCGCTCTGCAGAGAGCTGTAATTTACTGTGTGATAATCCTTTTATCGAAAATTCCTGTACACATACTATAATGAGAAGAGGGAATTATATCTACTCTCCTTATAAGAATGCCTATAAGACACTTCCATACTGATATCTTACCGTTATTTAAAAAGAGTTCCCAAAATCAATTTATCATCCAGTCTCAATACAGTTCATTCTCCCAGCTGCCTTATTTCTGCATCATGAGTACAATATAAATGTTCATTCTTTTGGTTACCCACACTCTTCATTTTATCATTCCTCCTTAGTCTGTCTAATTCCAATGCTTTCTTCTTTTAAAATGTCTTAGATATGTGCTTTACTCTTTAGTGTGCCTTTCAGTATCTAAACTCAAACTTTAAAAAATCTTACCTTGATTACTGAAACAGCCACTTAACTCTTCTTGTCTCCAGCTTTTCTCCACTGCAGTTCATTGTGTCTACTGTTGGCAGGTCAATCTTCCAACTCTTCATTTTTCTGAATATTGGATACATAGTAGGGGGAAAGTGGTCCTGGTCAGGGGAATACAATTAATAAAGATATCATGATTTGAGTCTAGAGCAACACATGAAAGGTTGAGGAGGTTGATTAGACAGAAACCATGGTTGTGTCTGTGGAGAGTGACATTGGAGAGGTGGACTAGTGGTAACGACACTGTCTAGCTAAGCAAATTTAGCAAAGGAGTTAGAGCTTTATCCTGAAAAATTTTAAGCTGAGAGGTGACTTTTTAAAAATTATAAGCCTTTAGAAGGCTTGATCTTTTTATTTTCCTTTATATGGCCAGCACCTGGCACAATTTTTGGTTCTTAGAAGTTCAATAAATGTTTCTTAGATAAATAAATGACTCAAAGATTTTCATTTTCAAATTTTTTTCTGGCCACAGTTGGAGCACTGATTGAAAGGTAGTGGCACTAAACCCGGTAGACCCAGTACATATACTTGTCAGATGAGAAAGCATGAGAATGAGCCATAGCAGTGTCTTTTTGCAATTGAAAAGAGGGAAATAAACAGCACATTTTAAAAAATAGGTATCTTATTATAATGGGATTACTTGTATTATTAACCTAATGTACTTTTGGGGAATTTTTATAAGGTTTTTATTTTAAAGATTTTATGTTTTCCTTATTCTACGAGCATTCTTTTGCTTATTTTTTTAACACTTATGAAGTATTAGTAATTTATTGCTAAGAAAGATATTTTAAGAAAATTAAGTCTAAATTTTTTTTTAATGTAGTATATTCCAGAAGATATTCTTAAGAATTTAGTAGAGGAGCTTCCTCAACCACGAAAAATACCTAAACGTCTAGATGAGTACACACAAGAAGAAATAGACGCCTTCCCAAGATTGTGGACTCCGTAAGTGTTTCCCTTCTTCTTGTTTTTTTTTCTTTTGATATCCTCTGTTTCCTCAACCATATGATTAAATAAGATCCTTGAGGGCGGGAAGAGTGAACTCATTTTTTTGCTCCCCTGGGAACTCAGCAGCTACTACCTACAAATAAACTCTAGATGTAGGTATTAGAACCAAAAATTTTTAAGCATTAAGACCTTGCTAGATAAGTGCGAGGATGTTCATAGGTTCCTATAATTATCAAGTATTTTGTTTGGGCTGATGGTAGTCTTTAGGAATGATATATGAATTGTTATTAATCTAAAACGTAATGATTCTCAGTTTTCCACATTGTTTCATAAGTTAAAAATATTATCTAATGAAAAGTCATTAATTTTGGATACTTGTTGTCTTGGTCCAAAAAGAAAAACAAAATAAAAAAATACTTTTTGCTCTCCTCTGTACAGTTTCCTCTACCTAAGGCCGTAAAGCTGCTAAGATGTAACATTCTTTCTCCCATCTAGTTGTTTCTAGGCTTTTTTGCCAGGGCTATCCAGATGATGAAGCATTTAAGTGTAACTTCCTCAGGCAGTCCTTCCTGTAATCTTTGAACCGGGTTAGGCTCTCATTATGGGTTCTCATCGTACACTTCCATTTACTGATTTACTCTAATTATATATTTGTGTGATTATCTGTTTACTATCTGTCTTTCTTGCTAGACTTCATGAGGGAGCTACATGTTTGTCTTATTTAGCACTGAGCATGGTGCTGGACAAATTAAATAGACACTCAGCCAGTATTTATTGAATAAATTAATTAAGACTTTTATCAGCTTTTATAAGTGACTTTAGGAAAGAATCTCTAGAAAATATGAAGCAAAGACCACTTTTCATTTTTTTCACAGCATTTATCACTATCTACTGTACTCTCATTTATATGTGTGTCTGTTATTTGTCTCTCTACACTCATGGCAATAATAAAAATAGCAAGCACTAATAAAGCATTTATTGTGTGCTTTACATGTATTAATCTACTAATCCTCAGAGCAATCTAGTGAGTCAGTACAATTTTTATTTTTATTTTTATTTTTTAAATGAGAAAATATGGGCACAGAGAGATAAAGCAACTTGACTAATATCACATAGTTATAAATGGTATATTAAGGATTCAAGCCTGAGTGACTAGCTGCTGGGTCATGCTCCTAACTCTGCTGGAATGCCCCTTCTTGCATTGGCATGTCAGCTTCAAGGGGGCAGGGACATTGTCTGGTTCAACATTTACATCTTAGAAATACTTAGAAACCCTTAGAAATAGTACTTGGTGCATAATGGGCACTCAGTAAGTGTTTTGGAAAGAATGAAGACATGAGCTCTTTCCCTAAAAATTAATTGTGAAATTTTCATGAATAGCTTAAGTTTTAGAAAAATCCAAACCAAGGTTCAAATCTTGCCTCTATAGTAGCTGACTCTATAACCTTAAGTAAGTCATCTTTCATTTTGAGCCTTAGTTTCTTCATCTCAACTCAGTTTCTTCAGTTGTAAATTAGAGCCACTCCATACTTCTGAGAATTGCTGGAAGGAGTAAGTGAGCAACTTAGCACACTTGAAGTGTTGACTAAGTTTTTAATAGGAGAATTTTTTTGCTATTGCAAATTCTATACCATTTTAACATGCTTGCTAGTGTAGAGTTTTATTGTAAATGTACTTAAGTTGATGTAGTTTGAAAATATTCAGCTTTGATAAGTTATATACTAAAAACATTTTAAGTTGTCCTTGAAGTTTTGACAGGTTACCTTCCTATAACAGTTCTGTAAATATGTATCTGATTTTCTTACAGAAACACCATCATAAATGAATTTATATTCCTGACCAAGAGGGGTGTGGTACTCTTTTTTTTAAAATTAGAAATAATAAAGTTGCTGTTAAATCATGTATGTGCAAATACATATTATACACTTGAAGTCATATTTCATGAATATTCTAAAGTGTATTCTAAATCAGTTAAACTGGCACCACACTAATATAATAATTCACAAATTATATTTAGTGTTATTATAGTCAGAGTACTGACCAAAATTTTCATTCTGCTGAATGATTTCTGCTTTCTTTTGAAACAAATTAGAAAGTGCCTGAGTGCCTTCATTTTATTAATAGAATTAGAAAGGGCTTTTCTATAGCTATTTTTAAGGAGATTTTTAGAGAAACTTAGAGCCACTAGATGCATTTTTTAGTTACTACTCTGGGAATAGATTTTCCTGCCCTCTCTCTTCATTCCAGATTTCCCTGAGGCAGGAATATGCATTAGACACTAGGTTTTCCTTTATGCTTTATTAAGGTTGTGATTTTTTCCTCATAAATAGTCACACGCATATGTTAACTTGTATTTTCAAAATAGTAAAATAGGTATACGTTTACTGAAACGTATGGATAGTATAGGTGTACTAGTCATTTAATATAAATCATTCTGTATTTCTTTCTCCCTGCACATTTGAGCTGACATCAAGTCCAGTTAGTCTTTATTACGTGAAAAGTGTGTGACCAGGAAAAATATAGTCATTTTTGGATTAACCAAAAGCTTATCTAAGAAATAGATGATCATTTACTTCAAGGCTCTTGAGTAGAACTTTCTACAATGATGAAAACAACTCTCAGCCAGGCATGGTGGCTCATGCCTATAATCCTAGCACTTTGGGAGGCCAAGGCAGGAGTACCTCTTGAGTTCAGGAGTTCAAGACCGGCCTGGGCAAGATGGCAAGACCCTGTCTCTACAAAAACAAAAAACAAAAAAATTAGCCAGGTGTGTTAGCACACACCTGTAGTCCCAGCTACTTGGTAGTCTGAGGCAGGAGGATCTCTTGAGCCCAGGAGTTTGCAGCTGCAGTGAGCCATGATCATGCCACTGCACTCCAGCCTGAACAACAGAGCAAGACTTGTCGAGAGAAGGGGAGGGAGAGGGAGTGGGAGAGGGAGGAGAGGGAGAGGGAAGCCTGGCGCGGTGGATCACCTAAGGTTGGTAGTTCAAGACCAGCCTGGCCAACATGGTGAAACCCCATCTCTAATAAAAATACAAAAAAAACTAGCCGGATATGGTGGTGGGCACCTGTAATCCCAGCTACTCTGGAGGCTGAGGCAGGAGAATTGCTTGAACCCGGGAGGCGGAGGTTGCCGAGATCGCACCATTGCACTCCAGCCTGCGTGACAAGAGCAAAACTCCATCTCAAAAAAAAAAGAGAGAGAAAGGAAGGAAGGAGGGAGGGATGGAGGGAGGGAGGTAACTCTCTATTCGAGCTTCAAATACATTAGCTACTGTTGACGTGTGGCTCTTGAGCCCTTGCACTGTGGCTAATGTGACTAAGGAACTGAATTTTTTATTTGATGTAATTTTAGTAAATAAAATTACGTGTTAGTGAATAAAATTACGCTACCTTCATATGGCTAGTGTCTACATTATTGGACTATGCTATTTTAGTTATTGGACTATGCCATTTTATAAAGTTCTATTAAATATTATATACTTTAGAATTAGAATTAAAATATTTGATATGCCATGCAGTTCAATTCATGGAACATGAGGTTTTTATTATTAAAGGATTGCCTTTATTAGAAAAAAATTTTTTTCTCCTTTTGGAGAGGACCTTGCTTAAGATATGCTTTTGTTCTACCCAACATAGCTAAGCCAAGAATATAATTTTCCTTTGGAATGTAGTAACTGGAATTTGTTTAAGATAAATCTGATGGTGAATCTGCAGAGACTTGACTGAAACAAATGTACCTGCATTGCGCCACAAGTATATAGCCACAAAAATAGCTTGCTCTGGTGTTTGCTGCCCTAGTAATAAAACTTAAAATATGTTCATAATATTAGAATGTACATCTTATAATTTGAACTATTATTAATATTTGGTTAAATATAAGTTTATTAACTTTTCTATTAGAGACTAAAAGCTTCTGAGCAGCAGAAACAATTATCAAAGAGCTTTGAACCCAGTAGATGATTAACAAAATTGCTTTAATCTTAATTAAAAGCTAGCATTGTTGGGATTTTATTTAAATTATTTTAAATCATCTTCAAAGATTATATTCTTTCAGGCCTAGTTTCAGCATACATTAGGTTTTCTTTTGCTAGTTGTTGTTCAGTCATTAGTTATTGTCATTTTTAAGCTATGGTAGGAGATAAGGAATGAAATTGATATTTATGACAAAACTATACTTTTTTAAAACTAAAAGCCATTTTATATATACTATGGGTACTATTGCCCATTCATCTCACTTCTTAAGTTAGTGGATATTCTTGGTGTATTAGTATATTTTACATAAATCATGGATACATAAATTTTGTGAAAATATGTTAGGAAGTTTATTTTATATTTCTTGACTGTACAAAGCAGATATGTATTTGCAATGTGCAAATGGTGACTGTGGGGTTTATACTTAGATTTTTTTTCTTTTTTCTTTAAAGGAAAAAAATAGCACTATCTTTTCTTCACAATTCTGTTGCTTAAGATTGTAGCTTTAAAATGGTCAATTTATTTTAATACTATCAATTGTTACATGATTATTGCAGTTTTGCCAACACATTTCACAACCCCAATAATCATGGAAATTAATCATGCTCATTGTAAGGGAAATGTTTCAAAATGTAGTCTACAAATAAAACTTGGATCATTTTAAACTTTATTTTCAAGTTTTGCAAAATGATGCAGGAGAGCTTTTCCTAAGGAAAACTACGTATGTGAAAAAATTCAACTTGAATTGCTTTGCATTATTTTTCCTTACATGTTAATTCAGTAAGAAATGCTTGTTTTAAGCAAAACTCTCACCTTTGTAGAGAAGCTAACCATGGAAAGCTTCAGCATCAATACATGCTTGAACACAGGTTTTTATAACAGAAACCTGTGTTCCTGGTGTTTCAGTACTCTAGAGTGTGCTATTAGAAATGTGCCTGCAAAGGAGAGATGGATGGTAAGGATGAAGACAAGGAAGTATGAGGACAACCATTACTGATGCAGAACTGTCTCTTCGAAAGTAGGATGAGGATTAGGGAGTTCAATATGTGATCCATTCAGCTCTGTAAAAGAAAAGCTGGATTCCAGATGCTGGGAACATTAGCACTGCATTGGTGAGCATCCTCTTCAGTCTATAGCTCTAGAAGAGAGCACGGATTTAAGCTTAGTGCATATTCTCTGATATGAAAGCTGTTAATCCTAAAAACTACCCATTTTCAGATTTACTTAATACTCAGAAAAAGATTATTTTTACCTATGCCTTTATAAAACATGCTTCAGATCAGAGACTTAAAGACAATGTAGAAGGATTTTTACCTTTTCTAATCCATAAGTTGCTGGGATCTGGACAGCTTTAAGATTTTCCATAATTTTCTTCTAGTCTAGTCATGTGGCATTTTCTCCACACAATTTAACTTAATTTGCTGCTCTTCACAGTCAGCAGTTACTAGCTGGACTTGTGGACTAAGGTTACTTTCCAACTTTCCTACCTATTTCAACCAGTTCAGCATTGACTTCAATGATAGACTTCAGTCTTTCCAGTCCTGGGTTTTGCTCAAATTAGGCATTCTAAGCTGTACTGTTCTTTTGGATGTGAATAGATCAGGACTGGCTAGTAAAATAAAAAAGTAGTCTCTATTTAAACAACAAAACCCAAATCATTTATAAGTCCTAGCTGATACAGATTTTGACTAAAAAAGTGCAGTTGAATGTAATGGCAATTTCTGTTCATTTTAATTGAAAAAATCATTTGGCAAAAATTTTCAACAATCTTACAGGTTTAGTTTATTTAAAAGTATGTTGATCTGTAGGTCTGGATCTGAAAGGGAAGAAACAAAAAAGAATAATCAAGAAAGGATTTAAAAAAACATTTTATTTAAATGTATGTTGAGCTTTTTCGGATCAGGATGGTGCTACAGTGCCTAGGAAAATTAGTATTAAGGCACCATTACTTTACCTCTCAGTATAGCTAGCATCTTTAAAGAATATGTGATGTCACCAGATTTCCTGAAATGGTTTATTCTAAATAATTTCATTCATTCAATGGAAGTGACTTAAAACTCAAACTGACCTTTTATCGCTTTTAAGATTAGTTCACCATCCAAATATTATTTTAGTCTTTTAAATGTTTCATAGAATAAGCATTATACTAAGAAATATTATGTAAGAGTGAAAAGACATAAAACCTATTGAAGAAAAAAATTTTTTTGAGATTTATTACACTTAAGCTACACTCAATTTCCTGGACTTACAGCTGAAATAGGGAATTTTTTTACTTGAAAAATAAATTATTCTTAGTAGGACCAATAATGTATTTTTTGTTTTGTTTTGTTTTGTTTTGTTTTGTTTTGTTTTGTTTTGTTTTAGATGGAGTTTTGCTCTTTTTGCCCAGGCTGGGGTGGTGAAATGGCGCGATCTCGGCTCACTGCAACCTCTGCCTCCCGGGTTCAAGCAATTCTCCTGCCTCATCCTCCCAAGTAGCTGGGATTACAGGAGCCCGCCACCACGCCCAGCTAATTTTTTGTATTTTTTGTAGAGACTGGGTTTCACCATGTTGGCCAGGATGGTCTCGATCTCTTGACCTCATGATCTGCCCACCTCGGCCTCCCAAAGTGCTGGGAAGTAGGACCAATAATGTTAAGTGTCACTTATCTTAATGTAGCATAAACCATGTGCTTCATAACTTGATGTTTTGTTTCATTCACAACCAAGTAAATTTTTCCTACCATTTTATAATACAAACTAAAATCTCCGAAAAGTTTTTTCCTAATGTTAAGAGGTGAGAAATTACTCCATTTTCAAGATAATATAAATGTTTTGACTTCTGTCATTTCTGAATTCTGAATTTGAATCTGCTTTTTTGATATGTGCTTATTTCATCCTAATGAGTAGCAGTATTTTGCTTGTTTCATCTAATGAGTAGCAGGCAGTGTTTTGCATAGGGATGCGTATGGTAAAGAATTTGCTATAGGAAACAGAATGATGTGGCATGTGGTGTGATTTTAACTGTTTTTGAGCAGTCACAAGCACCAGAGAATATTTTCTACAACTCAGATGAGGCTTTTTAAAGTTCTGTTTTCTCACTCAAAATGTAATACTATTTTCGAAAGTTACTTTGTATAAAGGCAGTTTTTGCTAGTGACAAGTATCTGCAAAATAGATAGTTGTTACAGAACATTTGATAGCTATGGAAAGTTTAGCACAATTTAGAGAATGAATTAAGGAAAGTTTTATGTTAGCTATTTCTTAGATGATTCATTAATCTCCCAAGTATATTTTAAGCACATAAATGAAAATTTAAAACTTTCGTCTTTCACTTCAAAGATCAAAGCTTGTGTGTGTTTCATATATTTTTATATATAAGTATACTATATATAAATTGTATATAAAATATATATCATAGCTGTATTAGATAACAATTACACACACACACACACACACACACACACACACACACATGCACACATATATAATCCACTGTTAGAAACTGCTTTATAAAGATGAGGACTGGGTCCTGCTCACTACTTTATTCCCGGCGCCCACAGCAGGACCTGACCAGTCAATTTGTTGAATAAATGAATGCATGAATGGAATCATATCCTCCCTGAAAGGGAAATTGATGTTCAGTTCATGAAGTGTGATAAATTCATGTTTTGGGTTTTGCTCCTTACTTAAATCTTGTCTAACTATAACTAAAATAGACATTTTTCTTAACAGGCCTTACTTTAATGCAACTCTAATATATACAATTTTGGATACTTTGTATTACATGTCTAAAGAACAATCATGGTAATTTCATTAAAATACAACTTATATTTCTGTCAAGGAGTAAATTTGTATAATTTATATGAAAAAAATTGACAGGTGTTAGCTTTCAGAAATGGCATTTGAAATATCCCTCTAAAGATTTCCTGTGATTATTTTAGAATACTGTTATTATTTACAAATATATTAACCTTATATAACATTAACGCACATTTTAAAACTACATAATTTGTTATTTCCAATGAAACAGTGACAAAGAAGTAGGGCTAATGTACAATATACATTCACCTATCATCCCTCTTTTAAAAGATTAAGCCGTTTCATTTAAGTTTCAAATATTTAAGCATTCATAGTATGAAAAGTAATGTGCTAGATGCCACCCTTCTTGTTTTTAAAAACTATTTAATCTAGTGAAGAGATTAGGTCACCTCAGCACAAAATAGGGTATGTAAGCAACATAATCTGAGAATTCAATTCTAGTTTGCATGTTACCATATATGGGTTACCAACTTTTAAAGAACCTAAATACATTTGCTGAGTACTAAAGCTGCTTGAACTACAGTTTGGGAGAAAAGAACCAGGAAAGATACTGTGTATCAAATGGAGTCATCTCTAGTTTAGGAAGAAGTATGTGTGTTACCTTCTGTTAGATAGTATTAGTAATTTCTTACTGAAGGTGCTCCTCTGTCTTATAAATAGCTCTGTCTTTGGTCTAAGGGGAACCCATGCTAATTAGAATGTGGTCCATAAACCAGCAATGCATCAAGTGGGAACTTGTTAGGATTGCCAAATCGTGAGCCCCTCCACAGAATAAGTGAAATCAGGACCTGCATTCTCATAAGAATCCAAGCAATTTGTATGCCTGCTGAAGTTTGAGAAACACAGACATAAATAGCCCTCTCCTCCCCTTTCTTATATTACCTTGAATTTCGTTGTTTTAGTGGAAAGGAATAAGCAATACAGAAAAGTTGTGTGTATGCTTGTTTTCATTTCTGTTTGAGACAGAGAGAAGTAAAACCATATTTAGTGTAAAAACCTCTCTTTTCCCCACAGGGGAACCTCCTGAAAAATGTGTATCATTAATTGCCTCCAGTATGAGTTGATGTTTCCAGCTGTGCCACTATCTTAACTATCTAGTCTTTGGCCATGATACTGCTTTTCCCCCTTTGGAAGCAAATTAACCATCTGGAAAATATCCCGATTATTTAAAGATGAATTTGCACATGAAGTGGCATTTTCAAGGGGGTCACTGTACTCTGTACTGTGCTCAGATATACTAGGCATCCACTGTGTATCAGGCATTACCGTGGCTGCTGGGAGTATAAGATAATCATATCAGGGCCCTGCCTTCAAAGGACTGGCAGCCTAAGAGGCATCATATAGAATAAAATGGTGCTTGCAAGCACCGGAGTCAAATTGTTTACACTCAGATCCCTGCCATCTACCTCCTAGCTGTGTATCCTTAGCCAAGTTACTGAGCTACTCTGAGCCTAAGTTTTGTCACTGTAGAATGAAACTAATAACAGTGTCTTTCTTACAAAGTAGTTGTGAGGATAAAATAATTCATGTGAAGTCTTTATTATACTTTGTGGCATCTAATGAGCACTCAGCATGTGTTATTTACAAGGAAGAGCCAGTATGATTAGAGAAACATTGTAGTAGAAGCATGCATTAAGCTTTCTGGCAATCCTAGAGAAAGGAGCCCAGTCTGTGTTAGAAAGGAATTGTTGTGAAGAGCTTGACAGAAAATGTAACGTTTGAGGTGGATTTTGAAAGATTAGTCATGGTTGCCAGGCAGAGAAAAGACAAAGAGGAAATTTGCTTTGAGGTCAATGTCCACATTCCTTTATGTGGTGGATTATACCATTCAATTTTACTTCTAAATTCCACTGAAAGGTGGTATTGTCATTTCATTTCAATTAAATAAATTAACCTTTTGTGTGGAAACAACTGGTGACTGTGACTAAACACATTTAATTCTATTGAGTGGAGTTGCAGACTTCTTGTGGGGCATTAACTTAGATTTCTTTCCAATTGCATTACCACCACCTCTTTTGTAATTATATGAACCAGCTGGATAGGATAATAAATTGTTTCTTAAAATGTACTGGTGTCTCTTTACTAAGAACTGCTTTGCGTATATTGAGTCACATACCAAAGGAGAAAAGGGTATATTCTGGAGCCGCGTGTAGCTGTCATCAGATTGTTATTTCCCAGACTTTGGATGCAGTTTTTATGTTTGGATAGAGATTTCACAAACAAAGTGACAAAACTCTGCAGTTTATCTTCTTATTGTTATAGATGGCTGATATGGCAAAGCATACCTGGCTAGTTTCCCAGATCAGTGCCTTTGTTGCTCAGAGTTTAATAATAAACAATTTAAAATTCTAGTAGAGTTATTTTACTCAGCTGGTAGACTGTCAGTCTTCTTAGGTAGGCTATGGGGTATCCTGTGAGTATTCAGTTTCAGAAAACATTTATAAATTTATAAATATAGAAAAGGACTAGTAGATTAAGTTGTTTTTGGGCAAACAAAGTCATCTACTTTTTAAAGGAACTCAAACTATTACATATTTTTACAGGTGTTTTCAAAATATTTATTTTCTTGAACATTTATTTTAAGTTCCAGGGTACACGTGCAGGTTGTACAGGTTTGTTACACAGGTAAACATGTGCCATGGTAGTTTGCTGCACAGATCAACCCATCTCCAGCATCCATTCGCTATTCTTCCTGACGGTCTCCCTCCCCCAACCCCTCCTAACAGGCTGCATTGTGCGTTGTTCCCCCCAACCCCATGTGTCCATGTATTCTCATCTTTCAGCTCCCATACGTGAGAACATGTGGTGTTTGGGTTTCCGTTCCTACATTAGTTTGCTGAGGATAATGGCTTCCAGCTCCATCCATGTTCCTGCAAAGGACGTGATCTCATTTCTTTTTATGGCTGCATAGTATTCCATGGTGTATATATACCACATTTTCTTTATCCAGTCTGGGAATTTGGGTTGATTCCATGTCTTTGCTATTGTGAATAGTGCTGCAATGAACATACACATGCGTTTGTCTTTATAATAGAATGATTTATATTCCTTTGGGTATATACCCAGAAATGGAATTGCTGGGTCAAATGGTATTTCTACCTCTAGATCTTTGAGGAATTGCCACACTGTCTTTCACAATGGTTGAACTAATTTACCCTCCCACCAACAGTGTAAAAGTGTTCTTTTTCTCCACAACTTTGCCAGCATCTGTTGTTTCTGGACTTTTTAATAATTTCCATTCTGACTGGCATGAGATGGTATCTCAGTTGTGGTTTTGATTTGCATTTCTCTAATGATCAGTGATGTTGAGCTTTTTTTCATATGTTTGTTGGCCTCATGAATGTCTTCTTTTAAGAAGTGTCTGTTCATGTCCTTTGCCTGCCTGCTTTTTAATGGGGTTATTTTTTCTTCTAAATTTGCCTAAGTTCATTGTAGATGCTGGATATTAGACCTTTGTCAGATGGATAGATTACAAACATTTTCTCCCATTCTGTGAGTTGCCTGTTGACTCTGATGCTAGTTTATTTTGCTGTACAGACGCTCTTTAGTTTAATTAGATCCCATTTGTCAATTTATGCTTTTGTTGTAATTGCTTTTGAAATTTTTGTCATGAAATCTGCCCATGCCTATGTCCTGAATGGTATTGCCCAGATTTTCTTCTAGGGTTTTATAGTTTGGGGTTTTACATTTAAGTCTTTAATTCACCTTGAGTTAAATTTTGTATTAGGTGTAAGGAAGGGGTCCAGTTTCAGTTTTCCACATATGGCTAGCCAGTTTTCCCAGCACCATTTATTGAGTAGAAAATCCTTTCCCCATTGCTTGTTTTTGTGAGGTCTGTCGAAGATCAGATAGTTGTAGGCATGTGGTCTTATTTCTGAGTTCTCAATTCTGTTCCATTGGTCTATGTGTCTGTTCTTGTACCAGTACCACACGATTTTGGTTACTGTAGCTTTGTAGTATAGTTTGAAGTTGGGTAGCGAAGTGCCTTCAGCTTTGTTCTTTTTGCTTAGGATTGTCTTGGCTATTTGGGCTCTTTATTGGTTCCATATGAATTTTAAAATAGTTTATTCTAATTCTGTGAAGAATGTCAATGGTAGCTTAATGGGAATAGCATTGAATCTGTAAATTACTTTGGGCAGTATGGACATTTTCACAATACTGATTCTTCCTATCCATGAGCATGGAATGTTTTTCCCATTTGTTTGTGTCCTCTCTGATTTCCTTGAGCAGTGGTTTGCAGTTCTCCTTGAAGAGGTCCTTAATTTCCCTTGTTAGCTGTATTCCTAGGTATTTTATTCTTTTGTAGCAATTGTGAATGGGAGTTGATTTATGATTTGGCTCTCTGCTTGCATGTTGTTGGTGTATAGGAATGCTAGCAATTTTTGCACATTGATTTTGTATCCTGAGACTTTGCTGAAGTTGCTTATCAGCTTAAGAAGCTTTTGGGATGAAACGATGGGATTTTCTAGATATAGGGTCATGTCATCTGCAAACAGAGGTAATTTGACTTCTCTCCCTATTTGAATACCTTTTATTTATTTCTCTTGCCTGATTGCCCTGGCCAGAGCTTCCAGTACTGTGTTGAACAGGGGTGGTGAAAAAGGGCATCCTTGTCATTTGCTGGTTTTCAAGGGTAATGCTTCCAGCTTTTCGCCATTCAGTATGATATTGGCTGTAGGTTTGTCACATATGGCCCTTACTATTTTGAGGCATGTTCCTTCAATACCTAGTTTATTGAGAGTTTTTAACATGAAAGGATGTTGAATTTTATCAAAGGCTTTTTCTGTGTCTGTTGAGCTGATCATATGGTTATGTCTTTCGTTCTTTTTATGTTGATGAATTACATTTATTGATCTGCATATGTTGAACCAACCTTGCATCCTGGGGATGAACCTGACTTGATTGTGGTGGATAAGCTTTTTGATGTGCTGCTGGATTCAGTTTGCCAGTGTTTTATTGAGGATTTTTGCATCGATGTTCATCAGGCATATTGGCCTGAAGTTTTCTTTATGTTGTTGTACCTCTGCTAGATTTTGGTATTAGGATTATGCTGGCCTCATAAAATAAGTTAGGGAGGAGTCCCTTCTTTTGAATTTTTTAGAATAGTTTCAGTAGCCATGGTACCAGCTCTTCTTTATACCTCTGGTAAAATTCAGCTCTAAATCTGTCTGGTTGTGGGTTTGTTTTTTGGTTGGTGAGCTATTTATTACTGATTCGATTTCAGAATTATGGGTCTATTCAGGGATTTAATTTCTTCTTGGGTCAGTCTTTGGAGGGTTTTTGTATCTAGGAATTTATCCATTTCTTCCAGATTTTCTACTTTATGTGTATAGAGCTGTTTATAGTATCCTTGCATGGTGGTTTGTATTTGTGTGGGATCAGTAGTGATACCCCCTTATCATTTCTGATTGTGTCTGATTCTCCTCTCTCTTCTCCTTTATTAGTCTAACTAGCAGTCTATTTTTTTTATTTATTTATTTATTTATTTATTTATTTATTTATTTATTTATTTTCCAAAAAACCAGCTCCTGGATTCATTGATTTTTTTTTGAAGGATTTTTCTTGTCTCTGTCTCCTTCAGTTCTACTCTGATCTTGGTTATTTCTTGTCTTCTGCTAGCTGTGTTTGCTCTTGGTACTCTAGTTCTTTTTGTTGCAATATCAGGTTGTTAATTTGAGATCTAAGTAGCTTTTTGTCGTGGGCATTTAGTGCTACAAATTTCCCTCTTAACACTGCTTTAGCTGCGTCTCAGAGATTCTGATATGTTGTCTCTTCATTCTCATTAGTTTCAAAGAACTCCTTGATTTCTGCCTTAATTTCATTATTGACCCAGGAGTCATTCAGGAGCAGATTGTTCGGTTTCCATATAGTTGTGTGGTTTTGAGTGAATTTCTTAGCCTTGAGTTCTAATTTGATTGCACTGTGATCTGAGAGACTGTTATGATTTCAGTTCTTTGCATTTGCTGAGAAGTGTTTTACCTTACTGTGATCAGTTTTAGAGTAAATGCCATGTGGCAATGAGAAGAATGTATGTTCTGTTGTTTTGGGGTGCAGAGTTCTGTAGATATCTATCAGTTCTGTTTGATCCAGAGCTGAGTTCAGGTCCTGAATATCTTTGTTAATTTTCTGTCCCAATGATCTGTCAAATATTGTCAGTGGGGCATTAAAGTCTCCCACAATTATCATGTGGGAGTCTAAGTCTCTTTATAGGTCTCTAAGAACTTGCTTTATGAATCTGCGTACTCCTGAATTAGGTGCATATATATTTAGGATAGTTAACTCTTGAATTGAACCCTTTACCATTATGCAATGCCCTTCTGTCTTTTTTAATTTTGGTTGGTTTAAAGTCTGTTTTGTAAGAAATTAGGATTGTAGCCCCTGCTTTTTTCTGTTTTCCATTTGCTTGGTAAATTTTCCTCCATCCCTTTATTTCGAGCCTATGTGTGTCTTTGTTCATGAGATGGGTCCCTTGAAGACAGCATACTGATGGGTCTCAACTCTTTATCCGGTTTGCCATTCTGTGTCTTTTAATTGGGTCATTTAGCCTATTTACATTTAAGGTTAATATTGTTATGTATGAATTTGATCCTGTCATGATGCTAGCTGGTTATTTTGCAGACTTGTTTATGTGGTTGCTTCATAGCATCACTGGTCTGTGTACTTTAGTGTGTTTTTGTAGTGGCTGGTAATGGTTGTTCCTTTCCATATTTAATGCTTTCTTCAGGAGCTCTTGCAAGGCAGGCCTGGTGGTGACGAATTCCCTCAGTATTTGTTTGTCTGAAAAAGATCTTATTTCTTCTTCACTTATGAAGCTTGGTTTGGCCAGACATGAAATTCTGGGTTGGAATTTCTTTTCTTTAAGAATGTTGAAAATTGGCCCCCAATCTCTTCTGGCTGGTAGGGTTTCTACTGAGAGGTCCACTGTTAGTCTGACTGGTTTCTCTTCGTAGGTGACCTGGCCTTTCTCTCTGGCTGTCCTTAACATTTTTTCTTTTATTTTGACCTTGGAGAATCTGAAGATTATGTGTCTTGAAGTTGCTTTTCTCATGGAGTACCTTACTGGGGTTCTCCGGATTTCCTGAATTTGAGTTTTGGCCTGTCTTGCTAGGTTGGGGAAGTTCTCCTGGATGATAATCTTGAAGTATGTTTTCCAACTTGGTTCTGTTTTCCTTGTCTTTTTCAGGTACCCCAATTAGTCATAGGTTTTTACATAGTCCCATATTTCTTGGAGGTTTTGTTCATTCCTTTTCATTCTGTGTGTGTGTGTGTGTGTTTGTGTGTGTGTGTGTATTATTGTCTGCCTGTCTTATTTGAGAAAGATACTTGGTCTATTCTGCTATTAATACTTGTGATTGCATTATGTATTTCTCATGTTGTATTTTTCAGCTCCATCAGGTCAGTAATGCTCCTCTCTAAACTGGCTATTCTGGCTGTTGGCTCCTGTATTGTTTTATCATGATTCTTAACTTATTTGCATTGGGTTACAGCATGCTCCTTTAGCTCAGTGAAGTTCATTATTACTCACCTTCTGAAGCCTACTTCTGTCAGTTCAGCCATCTCAACTTCAGCCCAGTTCTGTGCCCTTGCTGGAGAGGTGTTGCTGTCATTTGGAGGAGAAGCAGCACTCTGGCTTTTAGAGTTTTCCAGGTTTTTGCATTGATTCTTTCTCATCTTTGTGGGCTTATCTGTCTTAGATTTTTGAGGTGGCTTACCTTTCAGTGGGGTTTTGTGGGGTCTTTTTTGTTGATGTTGTTGTTGTTACTTTGTTTGTTTGTTGTTTTTCTTTTAACAGTCAGACCACTTTTCCGTAGGACTGTTGCAGTTTGCTGGGGGATTGCTCCAGACCCTAGTTGTTTCAGTTTTTACCTTACCTGGAGGTATCACCAGTTAAGGCTGCAAAACAGCAATGATGGTAGCCTGTTCCTTCCTTTGGGAGCTCTGTCCTAGAGGGGTACTGACCTGTTGCCAGCCCAGACACTCCTGTAGGAGTTGTCTAGAGACCCCTGTTGGGAGGTCTCACCCAGTCAGGAGAGACAGGATCAGGGACCTGCTTAAAGCAGTCTGGCTGCTTTTTGGTAGAGTAGGTGTGCTGCACTGTGGGGATCCCATCCCCATCCGGACTGCTTCAACTGTCCAGAGCCAACAGTCTGGAAAGGCTGTGTCGACTGAACTGCTTAGATGTTGGCCACCCCTCCCGCCAGGGGCTCCATCCCTGGGAGGGATCAGAGATCTGTCTGTATAACCCTGGCTGGAGTTCCTGAAATTCCTGGAGTTGCTGGTGCTCACTGGCACCAACTGGTGAGGAGGGATGGATCGGGGTCCCACTTAAAGAAAAAGTCTGGCCACAATCTGGCACAGCAGCTATGCTGCATTATGGTAGACTCCTCCTTGTCTAGACTGCCTGGACTCCCTGGAGCTGGCAGGCTGGAATGGCTGTGTCAAATGAACTGCAGAAACAGGGGCCGTCTCTCCCCAGGGCTCTATCCCAGGGAGAGATCAGAGTCCTGTTCATATAACCCTGGCTAGAGTTGTTGAAATTCCTGCAGGGAGGCACCACCCAGTGAGGAGGGATGGATTAGGGTCCCACTTAAAGAAGCAGTGTGGCTGTGATCTGGCACAGCAGCTGTGTTGCATTGTGGGCGACTCCTCCTTGTCCAGTGGACTCCTTGGAGCTGGCAGACTAGAATGGCTGAGTCGACCTAACCACAGAAATGGCAGCTGCCCCTCCCCCCAGGAACTTGTCCATCTCAGGCAGTCTCCAGCCTGTTGCACTGGTTGGCTGGATTTCCAATCCAGTGAGGCTTAACTTGTGAGATGCCATGGAAGTGGGGCCCGCAGAACAACACCGCTTGGCTCCCTGGATTCAGCTCCCTTCCTTGGAGAATTTATGGATGGATCTCCTGCCTTACCGGGATTCCTGGGGCTAGAGTCTATTAAACTCCTGGGTCTCTGTGTGAGCCTGAGCAACTGCTCTGCCAAGACTCTGCACAGCTCTGTGTATTGGACCCAAGGCCCTGGTGGTGTGGGCTCACGAGGGTATCTCCTGATCCACAGGCTGCAAAGATCCGTGAGAGAAACGTGGTTTCCCAGGTGGGGGTCACACAATCACTCACTGCTTCCCGTGGCTGGGAGTGGGGGTTTCTTTGGCTCCATGCCACTCCCAGGTGGGCAGTCACTCCATCCTGATTTCCTTAGTTCTTTCTCCATGGGTCGAGTTGTCCGCCTAGTCAGTCCCAATGTGAAAACCTGGATATTTCAGTTGAAGGTGCTGAATTCACTTGCCATTTTCATTCCTCTGGGAGAACTGCAGACCACAGCTGCTTCTAATCAGTCATCTTTGCCAAAATATCTGTTTAGTTTGTTACCAACTTCCTTCAGAAAATTCCATATGGAAACCCAACACCTACAAATACACTTTTGAAAAGATAACAGGACAAATTGTTTGCATTTTATAATTTCCTATGTTTAATTTTGTCTATTGTTATAATTTAATACTTCTGAAAAATTTTTTTAATTGACTAATGAAAGCAGCTCTCAGGTGTGGTTAATCTTATAATTGCATAAATAAGGAAAACCAGTTATGTTTGTAAATAAATATTAAAGGACTGATGTTTATACACTTATTTTGTATATGGATCATAATGAAAATTAAATTTAGCATATGATAATATAAATAGGAAAAATCACTTACTCAAAATTTGCATTTGTACTATAAATCCATGTCTTCGTATGATTTTTAAACTCTTAAAGATTATAGTAATCTTTTCAATAAGGACTTTATAAAAGTTTAAAAATGGAACAGAGAAATTGAATTCAAATTATTAAGTTACTAAATACATTCTTATATAGGCACAAGGTGGCTTATATTTATACTTTCAAAAAGACTTTGGAGTTGTCACTTAACTGTTCTACTTTATAAAGATTTGATGTTAATGTTTTTTTTTCACCAAAAATTTAGATATAGTGTTTGTAGCTATTTCTTGGTGAACAGTTATTTTTATTTTAAATTGGAAAAATAATCCTCATCAGTCAGGAGAAAACAAAATAATGATTCATGAAGAAATATGTTGATTTTTTCTTTCAGACCTGAAGATTATCGGCTATAAGAGAATAAGAATTGCAGAAAATAACAGTGAAGTGATTGAAACTTTCTTCTGATGAGTTTCTCTAACCTACAGGATGGAGTAAAACAACTGCTACAGTTCAGCACCTGTTTTATGTGCCGAATCACTGTGGGGAAAGGTCAGGAAGGTATAGTCCTTCAATAGGAAATTGTAATTAAAATATAATTTTATAGAACCATTTTTATGTAATCTGATTTGAATGTTATAGTTGATAATAATAAAATCACTTACTTGGTTGACTATTTAGTGTTGCATTTAATGATAAAAAACAGACCCTGTGTATAGAATTGCAGTTACACATTCCAAAAATGCCTCTCCATGCAGATTTTCTCAAGTTTGCAGGTCACTATTCTTGTCCCTTGTGAACAAGCTCTACCTTCACTTTTCATTTCAGTGGCTTTTTTTATCTAACTTGTCATCCATCTAAATTCATATTTGCAGCTTAGTAGGGTAAAGTTTGCCCTGAAATATTTATAAACTGCTATCTTTTTCTGTGTCCCATATAGCCTCTTGGCCCCACAATGACACCAGAATACATAATGCCTGTCTGCTCGTTAGAAATCCCTCTTCCCTGCCAGTGATTCTGTTTGTAGACTCTCCACACTGTTTTCCCATATCTGTCCTGTTGGCTTCCATTCATCTCTGTACTGGCACTTAGATTGGGGTGCTGGGATGACTATTGCTTGTAAAATATGCTCTCTAGAAATTAAGATACTGAGCCACTGCATTTGAGCATTTTCATGGTGGTATTTTTTCATCTCTTGCCATAGCCAATCAAGGAATGAATTTCAGACCAACTTTCCCATTCATTCAGCAAACATATATTCAGTACTGCTATATACCAGGCACAGTGCTAGGTCCTGGGAAAACAGAAATCATACAAGTTGCCCCCAACACTTCCGTGCCCCATCAAAGAGTCTATTGTAGGATGGGAAGGAAGTATAGATAGATCTGTAAACAAGTAAAACTGGTTGTCAAATGTGCTAATACAACTGTGTGAATTATGATGTAAACATGTTTATTTAATAACTGCATTAAATATGACATAAGCACCTACTATGTGCCAGGCACAACCACTTTATATGAATTATTTAATTAATACATACTGTAATGGAGGTACTGTTATCCTCCCAATTTAAAGGGGACACAGTGAAGCAGCAATAAATTAAGTAATTTGGCTAAGGTAAAATCAGGATTTGCATCCAGGCAGTTGGACTTGAAAGCCCATGGACTTACCCACTGCTAGATGAGAAAAGGTGAATATGTTTCTGTATTACAAATTCTTTAACAAAGCACGTATAACCCGGCACAGGTTAACAACTACCATTCAAAAGGAAGTCTCAGTTACATTTTAAGGTGTTGGACCAAAAAGAACCTGCCCGTCTTACTTTTGATGGAGTAATTTTAGGGGAGTGAGCCAATATGAAATAAGTCTCCAGTTCCTGATACATCAGCTTTAATAGGAATTTTTGCCCAGTGTATACCAAGCACCTAGAACAGTGCTGGCACATGTTTGTTGGATGGTGGAAGGACCACTGAAGAAAGGTCCTTATTTTTAACAAAACTTGAGTGTTTGAGCAAGTAAGATCATAGAGACATGGTCTATAAGAATATTGAGCCAAATCATTATAATATGAAGTATTCAATAAGAATATTGAGAATAATCACCATAAACCTCACTCTCACTTGCTGTGCATGAGAGGAAGGGTTGCCTGATTCTGCTGATGCATGTAGACCTAAACAGAGGCTATATTGGTGGACTGAATTGCTCCTACTGCTTGCTGTTAGGAGACAACTCCATTTTGCATTCAGAGAAAACTGAAACAGAAAAGTTTATTTTAAAACTTATTTTTTTTTAGAGAGGCTTTGAGCCAAGATAGTGCAACAGTTTAGAAGCAGAAACTATTACACCTCCCACTGCCTAACAATTTGCCATTGTCTGAGAGTTTAACTGCCTGATCTGTACATACCCTGAGAGAATACAACCTCAAGTAGCCAAATAAAAATCACAATTCACTGTATGGGACTCAGTAGTCCAAGGGAGGAAGATAAGCTGGACCCTAGAATAGCAGCTCCTATCAAAGTAAAATGAATAGAAGAAACAGAAGAGGACTTTTTAAAAATAATACAAATTCTTATATAAAAAGAAGGAAAGTCAAATTATTCCAAACATTGGAAAGAAGAAGAACGCTATGTTTTCTGTTACCATATGTATCCTCAATGTGCAAATTAGTGCAGATAAATAAGGAATCCCCAAAACCAAAATCATATTTGTTCATAAGCCATTCTTCACCAGGTAACTATGCATTGCACTATTGGATAATATCAGTAAATGTGAAAGACACCATCCAACTGAGCATAATGACCTGGGAAGAATATACAATATACCTTATCTCTCTTACCCCATTTTACTCAAGTCCATTGCCCTATGGGAAATATCCTGCTGCGTTTATGTACTTTCTCAGTAAAACATGAGTAAGTGTCCTATTATAAGTGATAGGAAAGGAAAAGACTTACATATTGCAGTTTTACAATAAGAGAATGTGATACTGCAACAGCCACTGGGCCTAAAGTAATCACATTGATGAACATAGCAGATAACACTGAAGACAAACAAAAGCTTAATATTAACATCCCAATAATCATCTGCTTTCCAGAGAACTAAAAACTGACAAGCACTTGCAGTGAGTTGAAGATAACTTACAAACCTGATGCAGCATGAGCACACTTTGTGTCATCCAATTTCAGCTGGGGCCACACAACTTCAGTATAAGAGGGGATAATTAACAAAACAAAAAAGGTATTTCTGCTTAAAGGCAGTTAGAAGACATGAAAAACAAGATAATAGGCCACAGCCATCTTTCTTTAACCCATTTCATTAAAAAAACTATGATTTGTATGTCTTCTTTTGAGAAACAACTATTCAGGTCTTTTGCCCATTTTTTAATAGAGTTATTTGTTTTCTTGTTTCTTGGTTGCTTATATATTTTGAATCTTATCCCCTTGTACAATGTATGGTTTACAAATATTTTCTCCCAATCTGTGGGTTGCTTTTTTGCTCTGTTAACTATTTCCTTTGCTGTGCATAAGCTTTTTAGTTTAATGCAATCTCATTTGTCTATTTTTGCTTTCATTGCCTGTGCTTTGGGGAACAATCCAAGAAATCACTACCCAGACCAATGTCCTGGAGGTTTCTCCCTATGTTTTCGCCTGTTAGTTTTATAGTTTTAGGTCTTAACATTTAAATCTTTATTCTGAGTTGATTCTTGTATAAGGGGTGAAGATAAGGGTTTATTTTTATTTTCCTGCATGAAGATATGCATTTTTTCCAACACAGCTTATTGAAGAGACTGCCCTTTTCCCCATTGTCTGTACCTGGCACCCTTTTTGAAAATCAATTGACCATAGGTGTGTGGGTTTATTTCTGAGCTCTCTATTCTATTCATTGGTCAATGTGTCTATTTTTATGCCAGTGTCATGCTGTTTTGATTACTATAGCTTTGTAGTATATTTTTAAATCCAGCTGTGTGATGCCTCCAGCTTTGTTCTTTTTGGTCAATGCTGTCTTGGCTATTTGGATCTTGTGGCCCTATTCAAATTTTAAGATTGTGTTTTCTGTTTCTGTGAAGAATGACATTGGAATTTTGATAGGGATTGCACTGAATCTGTAGATCACTTTGTGTAGTATGGACATTTAATGATATTCTGGTTTTTTTTTCCAAGATGGCAGATTGGAGGCATCATTAGCATGCCTCTCCTGCTTGGAAAGACAAAACAGCATGTAGATACTCACACTGTGAACTTTTTTTTCAAAAAGCAATGCAGGAACTTAACAGGAAAACTGAAATCCACAGTTTCTTTTAAAGATGTGGCAGGATGCAGCCTACACCATAAGCCAGAAGAAAACTTTGTCCCTAGAGTGTGAGAAGGAGAAAGGCTGCCTCCAGCATATACACCCCCACCGGGAAATCTAGAAATCCAGGCCACGGGGGAAGGCCTTAACCCTACACCGTGCTAGAACTGATTTAGGGAGCAGGGAGGAATATAAAAGTAGGAACAGCAGCAGGAAGAACCTTGCATGCATTCCCAGTCTCCACTGCAAACCAAGGGAAGCCATTCTTTATTCTGCCTCACAGGGGACCTCATGGAGGTCTGCCTACTCAGGCAGTGGTCACAGATGGAAAGAAGCTCGCAAGTGAATTTTGTGATACAACTTCTAGTGAGGGGGAACACCCTTAGCCAGAAGCAGTTGGGACAGGGGGATGGGGGCTGGGAAGCAAATGAGAAGTTTGATGCAGCCATAAATGTAGGAGCTGTGTGGGTGGACTGGGAGGGGTATGGCCCAAAAGCCACGTTTGCTATTTCTGCAGTGAAGGCTTATGGCCTGGGGCAGTTTTTAGTTCTGAGTGTAGACAGCCTGGAACTTAGCTCACTGCTGCTAGCAGAAAACTGCAGGTGTGAGATCTGCCTTGCCAAGTGCGTGGAAGCTGGGTGCTCCTTACTCCTTGCACAAACTTCTGTGCAACAGAGGCAGCTATGCTCCTCTTTGAAACCTTGCCCCAGTGGCCAGAAAACTAACCCACAACTTCCACAGGGGCTGCTGCTTGCCTGTCATGCAGAGTCAGAGCATAGACCTCCCTAACTCAGCCCCCACCTGGCTTTGTCCCTCCACCCTCCCTGGTAGCTTAACACAAAGGACAGAAATTTTTGGAAGCTTAATGGCCTTGCCCATTACCTGAGAAACCAGAGTACCTTCCCTGGGTAACATGAGGCAAGCACAAATCCCATCATTACCACTGCAGCTGGTATTCTTTTGCAAGTGTCACCTCCTGGCTGGAAGCCAACTGACACAGTTCTTTATAGCATCTCCAGGTGGAACAACACAGTACCCAGAAAGGAGAAAACTTGGGCGTGACCTCAGCTATCACCATTGCCTGCACCACCCTGGTTAACCAGGGGGTCTTGAGTCTGTCCATGTGACCAGTTCATTACTGCTACAACCAGCATTTGAGAACACCAATACATGGAGGCTACCTGTAACCAAGGAATCTAAGAGTTTGCATCACTCCCCTGCCACCCCCATCAGAACTGGTGGTGGTACCCACTGCTGGGAGACTTGAGGACAGATCACATCTCTGGATCCCTTGCAAACATTCCCCAGCACCATCCTGGAGTGTGGAAGACCCAGAGGAGCAATAGCATTCACGTTAGTCTCTGGCTCTCAGGGATTCCTACTCCTAGAGGAAGAGGAAGTACAACACATAAAGGGAAAACCCTGTGGGACAAAAAAACCCAGACAGCAGGCCTTGAGTCCCAGATCTTTCCACTGGTGGGAAGTTTCTTTCAGCAGAGGCACAGTTGCAGTACTGAGCTCAGCAGGGAAAGTGTGTAGCTCTACCCCAATGATTAGGCAGCTCTGGTGCTTGTGAAGGGTCTTGGAGATTTATTTTCCCCCTCATCCACCATTGCTGACACAGCTGGGGCTTTTCCCATGGGACCTCGGCAGGGATGCACCTATAGACAGACTTACTGGAACACTTTGGGTGACTGCATCCCACAGGAGGAGCGCCCTCCAGGTGTAGGCTTGCAAGAGAGGTAGAGTCACAATTTCTCTCTACTTGGAACATCAGTATTCCTGCAGATGAAAAAAGGTGCCTGTCTGATCTGAATATCCAGAACACTGAGTCAGAAGTTAGTCTGAGAGGAGGATAGCTTTCCTGCGGGCCTGGCAGGGGGAGCTGAGGTGGCTCTTGTCCTTCCCTCTGATAAGACCTCAGTGTGTCTTCCTGAGAGTTCACCCAGCCACCTCTGTTGAGGCTAGGACACCATTAGGTATTACATTTACCCACCTGCTATAGCCAAAGCCAGTTTTTACCCATGGACACCTCCCCTATTGGCCTGAAGCCTATTCAACTATTGAACTATTCAACCCAGTAAATAAAATACTGGGTAATAAGTAAATAGTGCACACCATGAGGGAATGAGATGTTTCAAGAGACCTCTGCCGTTCCAACCCTATAGGATACCGTGAACTTGGTGACACAGCAAGCACATTGCTACTGCAACCAGCATCTGAGAAAGCCATCATACAAAGACTCTGTAACTGAGGGACTTATACAGAATCTTCACCTGTGAAAGCACCAAGAACAAGAACTGAAAGAGGCTGCAATAAACTACAAACATTAAAGTCACATCCTTGAGGGGGAAAAAAGAAATTAACAAAAAACATAGTCAAATCAAACACAAATTCAAGAATAATGAGAAGAAATCATCTACCCAAATGAGGAAGAATGAGACAAGTAATTCTGGTAATACGACAAAACAGGGTTCTATAACACCCCCAAAATATCACACTATCCCTCCAGGAATGAATCTAAACAAAGATGAAACCATTGAGATACCAGATAAAGAATTCAAAATGGTTATTAAGCTATTCAAGGAGATATAAGAGAAAGGTGAAAAATAACAGAAAGAAAATTTCAAAACAATTGAGGATGTGAACAAAAAATTTTCTAAAGAGATAGATATCCTAAAGAAAAGCCAATCAATTTCTGGAAATGAAAGACACACTTAGGGAATTATATAATAAAATGCAGTGGAGCGTTTCAACCAGGGAGGCGGAAGTTGCAGTGAGCCAAGATCGCACCATTGCACTCTAGCCTGGGTGACGAGAGAAACCCCATCTCAAAAAAAAAAAAAAAAAAAAAGGACTTAACTACACTCTAGAACAAAAGGACCTAACATATATTTACAGAACATCAGAACATTCTACCCAAGAACTGCAGAATATACATTCTTCTCATCATCACTTGGAGCATTCTCCAAGAGAGACCATATGATAGGCCACAAAACAAGTCTCAATAAATTTTTAAAAATCAGAATCACAGTAAGTGTCTTCTGAGATTACAGTGGAATAAAACTAGAAAACAGCTTTAAAATAAAACCCCAAAACAACAAATAACGTGGAATTTAAACAATCTGCTCGTGAATGATTTTTGGGTTAACAATAAAATTGAGATGGAAATTTAAAAATGCTTTGAAGTAAATGATAGTAGTGACACAACTTATCAAAACCTCTGGGATACAGCAAAAGCAGTGCTAAGAGGAAAATTTATATTGCTAAATGCATACAGCAAATTTTTCTGAAAAATCACAAACTGACAGCCCAATGTCACACCTCAAGTAACTAGAGAAACAAGAACAAACCAAACCCAAAGCTGGCAGAAGAGAAGAAATAACGAAGATGAGAACAGAACTAAATGAAACTGAAACAAAAAATACAAAAGATTAATGAAAGAAAAACTTGATCCTTTGAAAAGATAAACAAAATTGATAGACCATTAGCTAGATTAACCAAGAAAAGAAGAGAGAAGGTTCCAATGAGCTCAATTAGAAATGAACCTGGAGAGTTTCATTTTGAGACTATTGTGAACACTTCTATGCACATAAACTAGATAACCTAGAGGAAATGGATAAATTCCTGGAAACATACAAGCCTCCTAGATTAAGCAGGAAGAAATAGAAACCCCAAACAGCCCAATAACAAGCAGAGAGATTGAATCAGCAATAATAATAATAAGAAGAAAAAGCTAGCAGAAAAAAAGCCCAGGGCCAGAAGGATTCACAGATGAATTCTATCAGACATTCAAAGAATTGGTACCAATCCTACTGAAACTATTTCAAAAGATCGAGAAAGAGGGAATCATTCCTAAATTATTCTATGAAGATAGTAACCAATACCAAAACTGGGAAAGGATATAACAATAACAACAACAATGAAAACTACAGACCAATATGCCTGATGAACATAGATGCAAAAATCTTCAACAAAATACTAGCTAACCAAATCCAACAGCACATCAGAAAGATAACACACCACTATCAAGTGGGTTTCACTCCAGGGATGCAGGTCAATAAATGTGATACATCACATAAAGAGAATCAGTAACAAAAACCATGTGACCATGTCAGTAGATGCAGAAAGAGGCATTTGATAAAATCCAGCATCTTTTTATGATTAAAAAAAACGCTCAACTAACTAGGCATAGAAGGGACTTACTCAAATTAATAAAAGCCATATACAAGAAACCCACAGCCAACATCATACAAAATGGAGAAAAGTTGAAAGCATTCCCCCTGAGAACTGGAACAAAACAAGGATGCCCATTTTACATCTGTTCAACATAGTACAGGAAGTCCTAGCCAGAGCAATCAGGCAAGAGAAAGAAATAAAGGGCATCTAAATTGGAAAAGAGGAAGTCAAACTATTGCTGTTCGTTGATGATATGATCGTATATTTAGAAAACCCTAAAGAGTCCTCAAAAAAACTCCTAGATTTAATAAAAGAATTCAGTCCAGGCGTGGTGGCTCACATCTTTAATCTGAGCACTTTAGGAGGCTGAAGGAGGTGGATTGCCTGAGTTCAAGAGTTTGTGACCAGCTTGGGCAACATGACAAGACCCCATCTCTACAAAAAATACAAAAATTATCCAGGTGTGGTGGTGCCTGCCTGTAGTCCTAACTAGTTGGAAGGCTGAGGTGGGAGAATTGCTTGAGCCCAGGAAGGTCAAGGCTGCAGTGAGCCATGTTTGTGCCACTGTACTCCAGCCTGGGTGACAGAGTGAGACCCTGCTGCAAAATAAATAAATAAAAGAATTCAATAAAGTCTCAGGTTACAAAATCAATGTACACAAATCAGTAGAACTGCTATACACAAACAACAGCCAAGCTGCAAACTCAATCCCTTTTACAATACTGCAAAAATATTAAAATACCTAGGAATGTATTTAACCAAGGAGATGAAAGACCTCTTCAAGGAGAACTACAAAACATTGCTGAGAGATAACAGAGATGACAGAAACAAATGGAAACACATCCCATGCTCATGGATTGAAAAAATCTATATCATGAAAATAACCATACTGCCCAAAGCATTCTACAGATTCAATGCAATTCCTATCAAAATACCAACAACACTTTTCACAGAATTAGAAAAAACAATGCTGAAATTCAAAAGAAACTGAAAAAGAGCCCAAATAGCCAAAGCAGTCCTAAGCCGAAAGAACAAATCTGGAGACATCACATTATCTGACTTCAAATTATACTGTAAGGCTATAGTTACCAAAACAGCATGGTACTGGTATAAAATTAGGCACATGAACCAATGATACAGAATAGAGAACCCAGAAGTAAAACCAAATATTTACATCCAACTGACTTTCAACAAAACATACAAAAGCATAAGCTAGGGAAAGGACACCTTATTTAATAAATGGTGCTGGGAAAACTGGATAGCCACATGTAGAAGAATGAAACTAGATCCCTCTTTCTCATCTTATACAAAAATTAACTCATGATGGATTAAAACCTTAAATCTAAGACCTGAAACCATAAAAACATTTTTCCGAGGTTATCTCCTGGATAACCTCGGAAAACCTCTTTGGGATATTGGCCTCGGTAAAGAATTCATGACTAAAACCCCAAAAGCAAGTGCAACAAAATCAAAAATAAATAAATGGGACCTGATTAAACTAAAAATATTCTACACAGCAAAATAAATAATCATCAGAGTAAACAGACAACCCACAGAATGAGAAAAAATATTTGCAAACTATGCATCTGACAAAGGACTAGTATCTGGAATCTACAAGGAACCAAACGAATCGGCAAGAAAACAACAATCCCATCTAAAAGTGGACAAATGACATGAGCAGACATTTCTCAAAAGAAGATATACAAATGGCCAACAAACATATGAAAAAATGTTCAACATCACTAATCATCAGGGAAATACAAATTAAAACCACAGTGAGACACCACCTTACCCCTGCACGAATGGCCATTATTAAAAAGTGAAAAAACAATAGATGTTGGTGTGGATGTGGTAAAAAGGGAATGCTTATACACTGCTAGTGAGAATGTAAATTAGAACAATATCTATGGAAAACTATATCGAGATTCCTTAAAGAACTAAAAGTGGAGCTACCATTTGATCCAGCAGTCCCGTATACACACACACACACACACACACACACACACACGCACATATATATACACACACACAACTACATTTTATATAATTGAATACTACTTAGCCATAAAAAGGAACAAAATAATGTCTTTTGCAGCACCTTGGATGGAACTGGAGGCCATTATTCTAAGTGAAGTAACTCAGGAATGGAAAACCAAATACCATATGTTCTCACTTATAGTTGGGAGCTAAGCTATGAGTATGCAAAAGCATACAGGGTGAATAATAGACTTTGGCAACTCAGAAGGGTGAAGGTGGGAGGGGAGTGAGGGATTTTAAAAAACTGTATATTATGGACAGCGTACACTACTCGGGTGGCAGGTGCACTAAAGTCTCAGAATTCACCACTATGTAATTCATCCATGTAACCAAAAACCACATATACCCCAAAAGCTATTGAAATAAATATTTAAAAACAAAAAAACAAACTAAAAAATAAAATTAAAATATTAAAATTCTTCCAATTCATGAACATAGGGTATCTTTTCATTTGTTTGTGTCATCTTTCACTTCCTGAGTTAAATTCATCCTATTTTTTACACTATCGTAAATTAATTGGTTTTTTAAATTTTCTTTTTCAGGTAGGGCATCGTTAGTTTATAGAAACACTAGTGATTTTTATATGTTGATTTTGTATCCTGCAACTTTACTGAATTCATTTGTCAGTTCTTACAGTGTTTTGATGAAGTCTTTAGGAATTTCTATACATAAGATTATGAAATACATGATGAAAAAGAGTTTCACTTCTTTCATTTCTATTTGGATGCCTTTTCTTTTTCTTGCTTAATTGCTCTGGCTAGGAAAGACAGTACTGTGTTGAACAGAAGTGATAAAAATGGGCATCATTGCCTTGTTCATGATCTTAGAGGAAAAGCCTTCTGACATGGGCCTGGAAGACATTATTCTAAGTGAAATAAGCCAGGCGCAGAAAGTTGAATACTGTGTGACCTCACTTATATATAGAAGTTTAAAAAGTCAAACTCATAGAAGTAGACAATAAAGTAGTGGTTACTAGAGGCTGGTCCGGAGGCAAGAGTGTATAGGGAAAGAGAGATGTTGGTTAAAATGTACAGAGTTTCAATTAGATAGAATAAGTTCTCATGGTCTATTGCACAGCATGATGACTATAGTTAATGTATACTTCAAAACAGCTAACAGAGGATTTTGAACGTTCTCACCAGAAAGAAATGATAAATATTTGAAGTGATGGATATGCAAATTAGCCCCATTTGATCATTCCACAAAGTATACATTTATTGAAACACCACACTGTACCCCATAAATATATATAATTATTATTTGCCAGTTAAAAACTATGATCTTTCTTCCACAAAGGTAGAAATTTCCCATAGTTCACGAGGCTACTCCTTATAGTTCAAAGCCACAATCCTTCACTATAAATACCTGCACCAAGCAAATTTCATATCCTGTCAAAATTGTGTCCTATATTTACTGTAGTATTCCTTTATTTATTAGGAATTTGCGATGTTTAGAATTGTGGTAGCTTTATAAGACTACAAGTTTTGATGTTTCTGCCCCAATTCCATCTTTTCCCGTAAGCCCTGTTATTTTTGGAACTCAAAATTCCATTACACAGGCATTATTTTTAGAAATGCATATATCACATTACAGGACAAACAACTGTACTCACTGTAATTATTGGTTCAGCACATCCTTCTGCCGCTCTGACTCCTCTCCAGAGTCCTAACGGGTCACATTTCCCCAACCCCAGCAACAGAGCCACATGGGAAATACTATACTAATAAGTCTGGTGCAAACCCTTTGTCATGCCTGGATTGGAGTAGGGAGCACCTCACTGTAATGCCTCTTGAGTGGGCATAGTGACACTATTGGCAGATTCTGTTCTTATCTCCAGGCATAGAATATCTCAGAGGTTCCATTAAGACCTAGCAGGTGGGCCAAGATAAAGCTGGGTTTTAAACTAGGTCTCTACAATCATCCTTTGCCCAGGTTTCCATCATTTCCTGATCCTAATCCTTACTCTTAATTAGCAAGATAACTACCAAGAACTATAACAGGTGAGATTTATAAAAGTCTCTTCATTTAGGCAAACTGGGCCATGTGCCAGCAGTAATGAACTAATGCTGCCGTCTTTAAAACTGATTGAAGAGCAAAGCTTCCGTTTACTTGTAAGGTTTAATGTGGATAAAGGAAGCTTTAAAAACATTCATGTAAATTGTAGTTTTTACCAGATTTCTACTATAGTTCCTCTCCTTTATCGCTAATTCCCTCCAAGCACGATCTAGACTCTGTCACTATGCATATGGCTTATCTTTTTTCTGTGCTGCCATTGACTAATTTGTTTTCCTACCTTCTCTTGGAAAAGAGGGTCAGTACCACATTCAGCCAAGAAAAACATTAAATGTGCAGGCCTCTTCTAGCTAAAAATTTCCCCGTGGAACACGTAGCAAGGTTTGAGTCTACAAAGCCTAGAAGCCCCAGGAGAGATTGTACTGCCAATCTCTACAACGTGGAGTTTGAATTGGATAGAACTCTGTTTAAGAAAGTCTGATCTTTCCAAGACAGATATTAAGGCTCCATTTCAACTTAAATACAAGGTCTTGCAGAGAAATGGTATTTCTCCCACTCTGTCCAAAATTCTAAAGTAAGAGTTGAGTAGTTTTGCAGCATCACTACTGCTCAGGTCTTCACCTTGGAAGAATGTGAATCTGAGATTGGCTACCAATATAACAGACAGTCAACTCCACCTGAAAGCCAACTTTTACTAGACTAGCTGCCCGGGAGGGTAGGATATATTTTCCACATGAAGATGGCATCAACAGGACCTCTGAAAGACACACACATTTCTATTAGTGCCATTTGGTTCATGAGAAACTCCTTGATTTCAAACAAATCTGGACCTCAAAACTAAACTCCACATTCACTTTTCAATTCCAAAGTTAATACCTATTAAAATCTTGCAAACGCTGGCTACTAGAAGACCATTCCGTTTGTGGTTGGACACCTGTGCTTTATAGATGCTCTAGCTCATCAACGAAAATTATTTAGAATCAATACTTTGAAATTACGATGTCATTTGGCGTCTTCTTTGGCAATCACAAAATTAAAAAGACTGGTTATTTGGAGGAAATTCTGAATGTGAAGCATCTTTTACTTTTTGGCAAATTCACATTGTCCAAAGAAAATATTTGTATGACTTGTGAGAAGAGTATTACCAGTTATTTTACTACTGGTGCACTGTTAGCAGCATGATGTATATGCAGAGCCAGTAAATCATGGGCAAATATGAATATGTGTATTCTTCAGAAAATTTGATCCAGAAGTCTAAACCTTGGGAGCAGTGATTAAACAGCCAACTCTGCAGTCTATATTAACAAGGGGTCAGCTGCTATTATGTATTTCATTCATTTAGCTAATAGTTATGTCCCAGAAACTATTCTAGATGCTTGATATATATATATATATATATATATATATATATATATATATATATATAAAAAATATATATATATGAATAAAACAAATTTTTCTGCTGTCATGGAGGTACATTCTAGTGAAGGGAGGTGGATAACAAACATAACCTGTAAGTTATATTAAATATAAGTTATATATAAGTTATATTAGTAAATGTTAAGTGTGAGATTTCTCAGCTATTATTACCACAGTAATTCTCCATAACACCACCCCAAAATTATATATATATATATATTTTGCTTGTGTGTGACAGATGGCTAAAAATCAGTTGATTTCCATAGCTGGCCTCAACTGGGCTTGCCTCCAAACTGGAGGTTGGGTCCAGGTCTAATCCACATGTCCCTGGCTATCCTTGGGCCATTGGCTACCTGAGGCATGTTCTCAGGGTGAAAGGCAAAAACACAAGAAAGTAAGCCTAACTGTGCAAGCATATTTTAGCCCTCTGCTTGTGTTGTGTACATTAACATTCTATAGGCCAAGGTAAGTCAAAGTCAAGAGCTTGGGAGGCATTTACATAGCATGGAAGAGGCTGCCAGTATTTATTCAATGGCCTACAGTTCAATATATTACCTGGATCCCAGTACCTCTCTAATTCCATCTCCTACAATTCTCCATCTGCCCCTTCTTTGCCATACTAATCTTTGCTGTTCCTGGAACAGCCTGGGTATCCTCCCATCATGGGGGCCATGCTCTTCCCTTTTCCTCTGCCTAGAATGTTCTTCTTTGATATATGGTCATGTGCCACATGATGACATATTGGTCAAAGACAGACACCCTGTAAGATGGTGGTCCTATAATATTATAATACCCCATCTTTATGGTACCTTTTCTACATTTAGACATGTTTAGATGCCACTGTGTTACAATTGCCTGCGGTATTCAGTAACAGGTTTGTAGCCTAGGACCAATAGGCTATACCATAGCCTAGATGTGTAGTAGGCTGGACCGCCTAGGTTTGTTTAAGTACACTGTATGTTTATGCAGGACAAAATTGCCTAACAAAGCATATCTCAGAATGTATCCCCATCATGAAGTGATGCATGACAGTATAGACTCATGGCTTACTTCCTCATCTCCTTCAAGTCTTTGCTTGAATCCTACCCTGACCACCTCATTTAAAACTAGAGCCCTCACCTTCTCACCCTCAACTCTCCCAATCCTCTTACCTTTATTTTTCCATAACACCTACATCTTGCCTATACAGTATACCATTTACTTACTTACTGGGTTTATTGTTTATTTTCTGTCATTCCCACTAGAGTACAAGCTCAAGCTGGTGTTTCAAGACCCCAAAGCATTCCAGAAATATATAGCTACTGCTCCATAAATACGTTCCCATAGTTCAAATGTACATGATAAATTGGGCAATTGTAATAAGCTCCTAGACGGTTCTCTTGAACTTTAATTTCTACTCTGTTGTTACAGATCCCTTCTGCTTACTATGACATTACCCAGAGCCACGGCGGACAGTGGTGAGAGTGCAGCAGACTCACTGGCACTGGCAGGTGCTCATGTCTCATGCATATGCAAGGAGCTTCTGGGTTCTGTCTCAGGGTACTCATGCCAAGACAGCCTCCGAGATTGAAAGTTAACACCCTGAGAAACAAGGCTCAACCACAAGGATTCAGGAATCAGTGAAGGAAAGCTTCAACCTCCCATCCTCTAGGGGACAGTTCTAAGAAGGATCTTCTCACTTCTCAGAAGTCAAGGTAGAATTGAATCCCCACTGCCTATAGCTGCTGCTGATAATGCACCTTTAGGTTGGCTTTTCCTTGTTCCCTGTCTCATTTGTGCTGCTCCCTCACTGCTATTTCCTTTAGTCACTTTTCAAATAAACTGTCTTCCCTGAAATCCTTGTTTCATGTCTTAATTTCAAAAGAACCAAGCTGAGCCAGGCTCTAGTTCATGCACATGTTGAAGCTAGGCAGATATTTCTAACATAGAGGTCTCCTCATGTCATTCTCAAACCAAAATACTTAGTTATTCCCATCACCTGGTCTAAAATCCACATACCTTAGCAAGACCTATAAGGGTCTCTAAGATTTTTCTAATCTCACCTTTCCATCCTCATCTCCATCCACTCCTATTTTTGGACTTTACATTCCAGTCTGTCTTAAACACTGGTGATTCCCAAACAATTATGCTCTCAGTCTCCATGCCTTTTTTTTTTTAATACTTAGAACAACTTCATCTAGCTCCCCTCCATCCAGTCTATTTCTACCATGTCTCATACATCTCAGTTCTTCCAGGCATCCTTAAGTATTTCTTCTCCCTTATTATCTCTATTCACTGTGCATAAGCCCATTATAATTATTTCCTTATTGTGTTATAATTGCTAGCCCCTCCATTACCAGTTGAGCCTATTGAGAGCAGAGAATGTGTCTTGTTGTTGTTGCTGTTGTTGTTGTTGTTGTTGTTGTTGCATACACCCAGCACAGTGCCTGGCTCATGGAGACATCTACAAGACTGCTTGGCACACAGTAGATACATAGTAAATGTTTGTTGCATGAGTGAGGGCAGCTTTATTAGTTACAGTCGTGCTAGCTAATATAACCCACACACACTTCTGAGTTGTTACATAATAAAAGTTTATTCCTTGTTTATGTAACAATACAATGCAGGTGTTCCTGATCAGTCACTGGCCTTCCACAAAATCATTCAGGGACCCAAACACCTTCCATCCTATGGCCCTACCCTCCTATAAGACCTTGGAGTCCTCAGCATTCAGGAGGCAAGTGGGAAGCAGCAGGCAGAGAAGACATCCACACTTCCTAACCTCCGTGAGTCAGAAGTCACAGAGTTCATTGGTAAGAACTTGTCATGTAGCCATACTGAGGGACTCTGAGAAATGAGAATCTAATTTGTACCAAGAAGAAGAGAAAATAAATTTGGTTCTAGCTAGCCAGTCTTTGACACAGCAGGCAATAAGAAATTATCTGTGAACTAGATAGAATTGTCTGTTTGCTGACACCAGATTTAGGGAGACGAGAACTCCAGATTTTAATGAGTTAAAGAAATAATGCATCAACAACTACAAACCAATATAGGTCCCTAACCTATAATAAAATAAAGTAATAAAGCAGGTGATTGTTTCCAAACACATCTGATTTTGCTGCACTCAGTTCTTGCTTTGATAGGCATAAATTTTTTTAATGAGTAAATGTTAAGATTCAGAAATCGTATACAAGCCACAGTCTTTCTAGTCACCAGAAAGGTCTTTGTTCACTATCTAGAAATATGAAAGCAGAAACCATCAACCTTGATATGGTTTGGCTGTGTCCCCACCCAAATCTCATCTTGAATTGTAGCTCCCATAATTCTCATGTGTCATGGGAGGAACCTGGTGGGAGGTAATTGAATCATAGGGGAGGGTCTTTCCCAGGCTGTTCTCGTGATAGTGAATAAGTCTCACGAGATCTGACGGTTTTGTAAAGGGGAATTCCCCTGCACACTCTCTTGCCTGCCACCATGTATGATGTGCTTTGCTTCTCCTTTGCCTTCTGACATGATTGTGAGGCCTCTACAGCTATGTGGACTGTGAGTCCATTAAACTTTTTTCCTTTATAAATTACCCAGTCTCGAGTATGTCTTTATTAGCAATGTGAGAACAGACTAATACAAGCCTATTTCCACGCTGCCAACCTCCTGGGTGGATGGGCTGTTGAGTTAATGGTAACTTTTATTCCATTTCAATGCTCCTCTTATTGAAAGCTATCTGCAGCCATGCAAGTGTAGCTCCAGTTCCTTCAGAAATCACCCATGGATATAGACAATAGTTAGATATCTAGGAAGAAAAGTAAACTGCCCCAAAGCTGAAAAATGCAAACAAATTGTTACTGCTACCTGGACAGTCAGCTTTTGAATTGTATCCATCTTTTTAAGCATTTCTGTTACTCACAGCCTCTAGAGTTGTGGCTCTCTGCTGGTTTGATAAAACAGTCACACATGAAAGTGAATCCAGAGATGACGCTTGTTGGCAACTCTCCAAGAATAACAAGCAAGCAGCCAGTGACAAGGGAGATTTAGTTAGCAGCAATTCTATGTATGGTGTCCAAATCTGATAACTAGAGTGTCTGTAAAAAGAACTTTATTTGTGGAGTTCAGTCCCTTCAGCCTCCATATTTTCCAGTTCAAAGGTGTAATCGAAACAGATATATGGAAAAAAAACACAGGTAAAGTGAAAATATGTCAATTTTTGAAAAGTCAAGTTATCTCCAACACACCTATTTAGTAATTAAACACATTCAAACAATACTGGTTTCTCATCATGAAAGTGGAGCTGGTTAACAATTTTGTGACATAATTATTAGGGCATAACCAGGACACAGTTTTATCAGGATTCACTGAATTTAGGCCAGATGACAGGACACCCAAAAATGGATGTCTTCAATAATTATACCTTTCTTTTCTGTCTTATTCAGTTACTTTTACTTTGTTAGCATACAGAATTTTAGATTTTACAATATATATTTTTACTACTCTAGATTTCATTATAAAACTTACTTTGTTAGGTTAATATAGTTGAATTTTATGACATTATTCATGAATTTTTAAAAATCAATAAGATAAAATGAAATTAAACAAAGAAACAAACAACAAAATGTAGTTTTTATGCCAGCATATACTTTTTGTTACATAGTAAGATGCAGAGAAAAATTAAACCATGAGTAGCATTTATGCATTGATAAATGCTACTTAAACAAGAAAATCATTCCAACACTCCCAATAATGAATTTACTCTATTGCCCATTATTCTGCTTTCAAAATTATCATTGCCTACCATCTTTCTAACTGTCAATGACTCATTTTTATTCATTCATTCCAGATCATTAATAATAATGATGATACTTAAAGGGCAATAGATTATTTGTAAAGCAGAATTTTATTCTAAAATCTTTTATGATTTTCTAATAAAGTCTTAAGCTTCTGAGAGCACATACTTGTTGCAAAATATTTTTCAAACAATATAAAACTTTTAAGCATTAACATTTAAGTAAAATTTACTTAATTTTTGTTGATAATAGAGTTATTCTAAAGAGTATAGATATAACCAGGACTTTGTGGCAAAGGAGTTTTCTAAACTCTGAGCTTGTCTAGCACAAATGAACACTTTCCATTAATGTTTCTGATGCCACATCAAATTAGAGTGAAAAGTTGTGTTTTTTTTTTAAACCAAATATTTTGGTTCATACTTGGAAACCTCCATTCTGCATTTGAACAGCGCTTCTTGTTGGGGACAGGCCCAAAGGGATTAATCCTTGTCTTGCTGTCACAGCTTAATTAGACATCCAAAATCATTCCTTTCTGTTTCATCCTTCTTAAGTTCCTATCTGCTACTAATAATGTACTTACTCAGAAAAAAAAAAGACAAAAAAGAAAAACCTCAAAGCCAACATGTCATTCTCAAATCATTCTCTCTCCTCTTCTCAAATTTATCTCTCCCTTAATGGACTTACCATTCAACCAATCTCCCAAACTTGAAATCATGAAGCCGTTCGTTCTTTCCTTCCTCATGTCACTACCCTAGATCCCATCAGTCATCAAGTTCTGCCCAGAATCTTTCCTCAACAGTCCTCAAAGCTGGTGCTTCCTACTCTTTGTCCACTGCAGTGCTGTGGTCCAGGCTGTCACCATCTGAACGACTGCAGCAGGCAGCACAGTACATATGCGGGAGGTTGCGTGAAATTTGGGAACAAACCAATGGTTAGAATCCCTGCTTTGCCTCTTCTGTGCATGTATGTGACCTTGGGTGTGTTACTTACCTTCCATGTTTCAACATTTGCAAAAAAGAAAAGAAGAAAAGGTAATACCTACCTTAATTTGTAAAAATCAACTTCCTATGAAGCGCCCAGAACAGAAGCTAACATATAGGAAGTCTTCATTAAATGTCTTTTTCTTTCCTCAATCTTTTCCCACCCCAGTCTATCTTGTACATTCTATAAAAATTGTACCCCAAAATAATAACTCTAATCAGGTCACTCATCTGCTTAAAGATATCCACTGCCCCTGTTCCCTCAGATAAAAATCTCAACATCGGATAGAAGATCTTCCACAATCTGCTCCAAGCCATCTTTCCTGCTTCAACTGAGAGCAGAAAATTAGGGAGCTCCTGTGTCACTCTATTCATCTCTTCCTTTCCAGCACCCCAACACATGGCTGAACTCATGGACCCCAGATCCTAATTAAAAGTTTGATGGATGGATGCATGCATGCATGGAGAGATGGATGAATACATGAACACATGAATGAATAAATTTATCAGAAGACAAGACTTACATACTTCCCTTACATTATGGAACATTTACTAGATCTGAATTTGAAAGCTATAGAAGCTTATCATTCACTTCCAGGCGTTATTCCTGTCTCCCAAATTTTCTGCCTTATACTGATAGAAAAGTTTTCCTGCTATAAGCAGAGTATGTGATTTGGCCCAGAATATAGATGAAACTGCGCTAGGATGAAATGCTTCTTAATAGAATTCTACAAACATTTGTTGAGCAGCTGTCAAGAGTCAAGCATGCTCTGATCAGTCTGAGACCCCTTAAAGAATGCACATCGTATGGGAGAAGAGAGGTCAAAGAGTTAGCTGGTAAAGGGGGCTGCGGTGTCATAGTTGTCAAGATGGTCATGGTGGAGTTTAGTAAAGGTTTGACACAGGAAGAGGAGCCTCAGGTGTCTACAAAGTTGAGTATGAGTTTAAGCAGGTCATTTAAACTAAGGTGGGGCAGAGAAGAAGGACTTTCCATGTGGAAGATAAAGCATGTCAAAGATGTAGAAACAAGAGAGAACAGGCACAAGTTCATTATGGCTCTAGTTTGGAAAGTATTTTGTTAAGATACCTATTTAAATATACTTCCTCAAAAATAAAATATAAATGACCAAGTTGGAGAGAATTTGTTGACACAAAAATGAAAAAAAGGATAACGGAAAACAAGAAATTCCCCCAGATAAGCCCACTCATTTTCCCTACCCCCACCCCATAGTCTGTAGCCTTTAAATACACCCTACATGCTGATGACTCCTAAATGTATCTCTAGCACTGCTTTTTCTCCCAAGCTCCAACTTGCCTGTTAGACACCTAATGCTCAGTTTATCTTGTAAACTGAACTCTTAAGCTTCATTGCCCCAAATCTGTAATTCCCAACAGGATAAATATTATCTCTATCCACCCAGTTGCTTATGCCAGAAACGTGAGTTATCCTGTTTTCCTTTCCTCGCCTCCATTTCCAGTTGATTAATAAGCCCCGTTATTTCCGCTATCTTAGGTCAGTTCTCCATTATCTACCACTGGTTCATTACAATGGTGTAACTAATGTTTTCTCATCTGCTATGATCCCCTCCAACTCATTCTCCACCATGCAACCAGAATGCTCTCAAAATAGTGTTTCTGGAGCTGTGGCTTACTGATCACTGAGGTGCTTGGTTGAAAAATAAGAAAATGCACCTATCTAGTTCTCAACTCAGACAACTGACACAGAATCCTTGGGCATTCTTCAGAGTTCACGGGTCTGCACTTTAAGGAGCCCTACCTCTACCCCTTTTTGCCGTTAAAATTGAAGCATCCCCAATATGTAAGGCAGAGAAATCTAGAGGTTAGGAGTGGATATCTTGAGCTAGAGCTTCTGTGAATCCTAACTGTGCGTCTTTGGGCAAGTAATTTAACGTTTTGTGCTTTCCTCTCTTTACTGGGAAAATCAGGATGATAGTGAACTAGCTCTTGGGTTGTTGGGAGGTTCAAATGAGTTAAAACATAAGTGGTAGCTTTTATTGTTTCTTGCCAATATTTCGGGTTCTCTTCTGCCTCCTAGCACATGGGAAGGCTGTACTTCTCCACCCCATTGAATGTGGTCATGTGATTTACTTAGGCCAAAGATCCATGAGTGAAAATAATGTGTGTCACTTCTGAAGGAAGCGTGGGGCAATGAGTCTCCATGTTCTCTCTCCTTTTGCCTTGGTGATCACGGGAGTGCACGTTGACATGGAAGTGTCCAAGGCAGAAGTAGTGTGGAACACTGAGCCCAGATGTGGCAGACAGCTGCCCTGCTCTCTTGGGTGAGCAAGAAGTAAATGTTTATTGTGCTAAGTTCCTGAGATGTTAGGAATTATTACCACTGTATAGCCTAGCCCAACCTAAATGATACAACTTTGAAGCTCCTGGGATAGGCTTGGCCTTAAGTAACTGCACAGTGACAACTTCAGAACATAAACGCAGCAGTGTGGTTCCATGAAACAGCAATTTTCCCTTTACTTACTTAAAACAGACACTTGATCATGTCATTCCTCTGTTCGCAACTCCTCAGTTGCTTCTAATGAAATTTATTAATAAAATAAAATGCAAATCACTAACTTCTCACATACAGTCCCCCTTGCTTTGGTCTTCAGCCTTATTTTGTTCACTCTTCCACTCACTCTCCTGCCAACTGGTCTGCTTACAATTCCCTGAACACGGCACCTACCTTGCTGACAAAGGGCCCTTGTACTTGACAAACCGTGGGCTTGAATTCATCTCCCACACCTTTTATCTTCATGTCCCTACTTAAACGTCAGCCCCTCAGAGAGGGCCCCTCCCACCCAAATGGAAGCAGATGTTCCTTTATTCCTCCTTTCTTATTCCTGTCTTAGGACCTTATCTGTGTCTTTCATATTCATCATGATTGATAATTAATTTTTCTATGGCCATACCACCCTGAACGCATCTGATGTTGTCTGATAATTAATTTTGCTTATGTGTTCACGTTTCCTGTCTTTTTCCAGCAACAGAAAGGATGCCCCAAGAGGACAGAGCCCACATCTCTTTTGGTGATGGTTTTATCCCCAGAACGAAAACACTCCCTGGTTCACAGTAATATTTGATATGGAAAGATGGGGTGGGGCAGAAGAGGTAAAAAAATTAAAAAAAAAAGAGGAAGAGTTGTTCTAAAATTAAATTGGGGTCTTTTGGAATATAAAATACTACCCTAAAATGACTATTCCCAAAAGAAATGGAGAGTTTGTAACAAATGTGATGAGAATTCTGAAGAGTAATGTATTTTTCATGAAATGATTTATTACTTTTAGAAAACAGTATAAACTTACAAACTATAAATTAAGATATAAGTATATTTCTGCCAAAGTAAGTCAAGAAAAATGCACTTCAGAATCAGCTTTTATTACAGGCAATGTATTGTAAACTCGAACATCCAGAATCTGAGTTACACTTATTATTTTTAACATTTTACTCAATAAAAATCTGATATACTGGGTCCAAGTGATGACACATTCCAAATTAATGTAACTTTCTTGCAGCTTAAATAAACAAATTTAGATCACCAAGTGAAATCAAAGCCAAGTGTATTTGCACAACTCAAGAATGATGTGAATGGATTAGAATCTCTCATAGTGTATACTTCGCCATTTATACACAAACTTTGAGAGTCTTCTGAGTGACATGGTATTTAACTTTGTTTCCAAGGGCCAAATACTAAAATGTATAGAATATCCTACTCTATACTCACTATTAAATGTCATGGACTAGGAAATCTGAGACACAGAATAAGAAGCAACTGATTACACACCCTAGTCATTTAAGTTGGAAGAGTTCTCTTAGGTGACTCTGGGTCAGGCCATCTTGATGAGCCTTAGACAAGTTTTCCTTCCCATAAATCCTGCTTTCTCAGGCAGAATCATATACCATAACTGAAAGGAAATGGCTGCTGATTATCTGCTCATTATCTTCTTTCATTCCCTGCAAAGACACCAAAAAAACTGATTTGTTTAGAACCGCCCCCCGCCCCTGCCCCACCCCACCAAAGGCACACAAGTAGATTGTTTGAATCCTTCAGATGAAGTCTGAAGATGAATCATCTGAAGAATCCTTCAGATGAAGATGAAAGGAGATCTTTCATCTCCAAAGATCAGGAGATTATGAGAAGGACAGAAAGAGAACCTGGTGATCAGACAGACACCATCCTTCGTGTTAGCCTTTTCCTGATCCAGAAAGAATCCAGCTTCTAGTTGTAAATGATCCCATCCCTACTTTCTAAAGTTAGCTGTTACTAGGGAGATGTTACAGAGAAGGAGCACGTATTAAATTTATGGTTCTCTTTTGTTTCTATTTCAACTAGCACATAATAGAATTCAAATCTTTCTCAAATACCTAGATTTTTCCTTTGTGAGCAAAAGACAAAGTATGGTTTAAGGGTTAGAGTCTATTAGATTCAACCTCATTTCTGCTCTGCCTTCTAGGGGTTTTTAGGCTTTCCTCAATATCAGAAGATAGGTGGGCTCCTCAGTCAACTATTGATAAACATTTATTTAGCAGAGGTCATGCATTTGCAGGGTCTTTGCTGCCTGCTAGATTATAAATGAACAATAAAATGTCGCTAATCTCTTAGTCCCAAGTTAACTGCTTCTTCTGTTTTCTACTGCACTCAGAATGAATGAATGAGTGAGTGAGTAAACGAATGAATGAAAGTTTGAATGCTTACCTAAAGGAAGACAACTGTTGTCTTTCTGGTGGACACTCAGTTAAGACTACAAAAGCTTAAGGTGATACTTAGAAATGCAGGAAAAAGAATCCACATACATTGTTTTAAAGTTTTATTTGCTTACAAAAGAAAATGGAAATAGGTTTGCGAAAACTTATCTGCATGTACAAAGTAATCCCCGTAGATAAGGAGAGGCAACCCCTGGAACACACTGCTGGATAAATCGTTCATTAAAATTATATCTCTTTGCATCAGAGCTGGTGGAAAATCATTATTTCACATGAGTTAAAACCACTGAAAAACTAAATCTGTTTCTTAAACTACCAAATTCAGAAAGCTTAAATCCAAATGCTGATTTTTGGATACACATGAAACCAGTTACCAAGTGATCTCAGAGTTGGACAGATCAATTAAACAAGAGGTAGTTTCTCCAATATTGTCCCTTTTTTTCTTATCAGCAAGGTTATTCCTACAGCAAGTAGGAGTAAGTGACATATTCTTTGAACCTCTTTGAATTCTTTTCCTGCTAGGGACATATTTCCCTCAAACACAATCATATCTGTTTGTTCATTTTAGGACTTGAGAGAGAAGATTCCAGAGTTCAATTTATTTTTCCCAATTCCTCTTTGAGCTCTCTTCTCTGGAAAAACAAATTATCTGACATGCCATTAAGACACCAAAGGGAAATCATTGCTACCATGTCATAGATTAAGGGAACTTTTTAAAAATATATATTTTTTGTTAATAATAATAATAATATTAACATTATCCAAGGAGGAGATTTAGGCTGCTGAAATGAGCCCTGCCCCCCAAAAGTAGCATACAAACCACATAACAACATTTTCTCAAACAAGATTCCTTAAGAGTTCTTGCAGTTGGTCTTCAAATTTCTCCTGAGGCTATCAGACTCCAGGGCCCCACAGTTCCATGGCTTCCAGCTCATCTTGGACAGGGGTGAACTCTGGCTGATCTGGATGGGGAGCTAAAGAGGAAAAGTGGGGGTGGGGACTTGCTGCACCCAGGAATCATAAATTGATATTCTCCCCTCACCTGGGTCCTTAGAGACACAGAGATATCCTGCTGGGTAAAAAGCAGTGGATGTCTTAATCCACCACGCCCCTTGTACCTTCCCCATAAGGTTTCAGACAGTTAGTAAATAGACGAAGGGAAAGATACATTACAGAAATTGTTAGAAAACTAGAATCATAACCAACCATTTAAATATTATGTTTTATTTACAGAAGAAACCCTGAAAACTCAGCAAAATTATAAAAGAAATAGAAATTTTTTTAAAAAATCTCATGTTAGAAGTCCATCACCAGGGAAGAGCAGGGAGGGGAGGTGATCAGGGGAGGAAGGGAGAGTAGGGTGGTCAAGGAGAAAGATGCCCATCCATCCTGTGTGGGGAGAGGAAGGAGGAAGAGGCACAGTTAAGTAACTTTATTATGAAGCTGTCACACAGGGGAGTCTGGGATAAATTCTTGGCACACGATCATATACCTCTATCCAGGCTGACATGGAGCAGTCAGTGTCTATTAAAATAGACATATATGATTTGGTTAAGTTCCGATGTTATCACTCCATCATGTTTGGAGCAGAGTGGGCAAGAGGTTTGAAAGTGGGAAGGCAGGGATGCAGAAGAAGCAGGGAAGCAGAGTGTCCATTGTTAGGGGCAGGGGCTTGGTGGTGGTGGTGGTTGACAGGACAGTTCTGTATCCACAGCTAAATGTCTGGGGCCAATGGAACCAGAGTGGAGGATTTCCACTTCAGTGCTGGTAATCATTGTAGGGGATCAGATCTTAATAAGGATAGGAGTATTTGAGAGAACAGGGAGGGAAAAGATGAACAGAGAAAAACACATCAGCAAAACTTTGTTGACCAATTCCTGTGATAACTAAGGTTAAATTTCTACTGAAGCAGAAAATTTTAAACCCATTAACTAGTAAGTTCATGGCCCCACAGCAGTCCCTCAGCCTCTCCCTTGATGCTTCCAAGAGTGACTATGTCAGAAAAGGGGCCATTGCACAGCACGCCAGCATGCACACTGCAGATGTTTTAGGAAGCATATTCTTTTAGTCCAGTAGCTAGTGATAAGACAAGGACAGCATGATTTTTGTTTCCTCTCACAACTATTCTTGGTCACCTAAAATGTGGTGCTTAAATGCACCTAAATGCAAGTGGTATGCATGATTTCATTGAAAATAATCTAAGGAGCCCTCTTAATTACGGGAGAAGTTCTAAGTTTGACATTTCCCCAAACCAAGAGTAAAATTTTATGGGACGTCTTGGCCACATCACAGCTGTCACATAAGAATGGAGACTCCAAAAGAATGTTCAACCATGTCCTCCAAATGTGCTAAATACAAAGTCAGAGGCCAAGTCTATGTAGGTCATCACTGGGAAGCAAGGAAGACTTAGATGTGCTGTTATTTTGAATTTGCTCTTAAGGTTTTTAAGGGAGTAGCCTCTATAGCAATTTGCACTTTATAGAAAATGTCTCGGGATAATTTAAGGAAGTGAGGCATTCAAGCTCTGCTTCCCATTCATAACCAATTTAACTTTTTTCATAGCACTATCTTCCCATTTTGGTACTAAGCATACTAAAACATTGATCAAAGCCCACAAGCGGGGCTTTTTGTGACACTTACCTCTCACACCATAGGCAGAACATGATGAGGGGTCACAATATCCAGGCTGGCCAGAAGGACCTTGGGGTCCAGGAACCCCCAGATGACCTGGTGGGCCTCTTGGTCCAGGAGAGCCAGGGGGCCCAGGGCTGCCAGGCCGACTCTCCCCTGAAGGTCCTAAGAAGTACCCACAGATGAAAACCGTTGGTCTTTTGCCACAACAGGGTGAGTTTTGAGACAACCAAGAAGTAAACTAACTCTTAGAAGAAGCAACTTTTAGGACAATTAGGACAACCTCTTTCTACTCATTGAGTTCTTTTTTGTAGACTGGATTCCCTAGGCAGAGGGTCATAGTGTAATCACTTATCCTCCTGGAGGTCAATGCTCTCAATCAGCTCAGGAAACTGGCAAGCAAAATGCATCTTTTCTATTTCCTCTTGGATGTTAAAGGGAAAGGAACCTTCCATTATCAACCTTATTTTCTTTTTGGAGCTTTTGTTTCCCAATGCAGTTCCTTATGAATCCAATCTATGGGCGTGCACACACACAGACACAAACATGAACACACTCAGAGCTCAACCTCATCATCTAGTTAGAATAGCCATGCAATTCAGTACCAGTTTATGGCCCCAGATAATTAAAGCTCAACCTCATCAACAGTTAGAATAGCCATGTAATTCAGTACTGGTTTATGGCCCTAGATAATTAAAGTAAATTTGTATGAGTGTGAAATTGTCCTGGAGGGGACCAATGACAAGTTTGACATTCGACCCAATATACTAATCCAAAATTTCTTTAAGCTAGTTTACATTAATTGAGAATTCAGACTGAGTAAAAATAGGAGGATTAAAACTGTTGTGAATTGAAGAAATTTGTCAGCATGTTTTTTTTTTTTTTTTTGGCTTGTATGCTTGTTTTTAGGTCCGGGTTCCAACAGTGTTGAAAAGGCATTCTTCAACTATAATGGAATTTCTCAACTAGAACTGAAATGAAAAGTAGGAACAAGTATCACCTTCTATTTGAATAGCGTGGTGGCTCTCATATATTCAGCTCCTCAATCAGCACTCACCAACCACCCATTCTGTGTAATGTGTAATGTTATATCAGTTCCTCACATTGTCTCTAATAACAGAAATATTTACACTCAAAATGAATTGCATTAGGAACCTCTCTCAGAAAAAGTATTTTCCAAAATCCTTACTAGATTGGAAAGAAAAATCTGTAAAGCACTTTACTTAATGTGGCTAAGACTGACATTATAAATATATATTATAATAAGATTGCAAATTATAATAATTCTAATATCAAGCCTGATCATCTGGAGACCATTCTAAAAGCATATAATACACAAAACTCAAAACTTTTACAGAACTCATTCAGTAAGATTACCATGGCAGGAAATACTAGTGCTCACCAAATAGCCCTGTATTTCTCTAAATTTTGTGTCTGCCTTGCAGTTCAGTTGGGGCTAGGTGATTAGTTCCAGACAATAAAATGTGAATGGAAGTGACATCTCATTCTGTTTAGGAAGTTGAGACCGGTGTGCCTTCTTTTTTTTTTTTCGAGACAGGGTCTCCCTCTGTCACCCAGGCTGGAGGGCAGTGGCACCATCACGGTTCACTGTAGCCTCAACCTCCAGAGCTCATGTGATCCTCTGTTTCAGCCTCTCAAGTAGCTGGGACTACAAGCACATGCCACCACGCCTGGTTAAATTTTTGTATTTTTTTTTTTTTGGTAGAAATGGGGTTTCGTCACATTGCCCAGGCTGGTCTCAAACTCTTGGCCTCAAGTGATCCTCTTGCCTCAGCTTCCCAAAACGCTGGGCTTACAGGAGTGAGCCACCGCACCCAGCCCGATGTGCCTTCTTTTTCTTTCTCTTGGAGGCTACATGATTCACCATGGAGGTCATGGGTTCTGAGATGGAAGAGAGCTACCTTATTCATATGAAACTTTGTGTGATTGTGAAATAAAGCTTTATTGTGTAAATCCACTAAGCATTTGGGATGTATTTGTTACTATAGCATAGTCTGTCCTATCGCAACTCACACAAACAATAAGATCCCAGAATATGCTCTAACTTTTTGGTCTTGTATATTGGGAGGATCCTTATTAACAAAGAAGCCTCCCAATAAAACAAGTAAGAAATACAGCCATTTAAGTTACATACTAGGATGTAAGATGACCATTTTCCTCACTTGCAATGCCAAGTGAATATAAAAATATACATTTGCAGTCTCTTGTTAGGAAGGAAGATTTACCTGCTGGTCCAGGGGGGCCTCTTGGACCTTGGGTTCCAACGCCTGGATTTCCTTTTTCTCCTTTGATACCAGTTAGACCTGTTTAAAATAATTTTTAAAAATGTTTAAAGTTCTTTTTAAAAGAAAATCTTGGTAGTTCCATTTTTCTGGAGTTCGAAAGTGCTTCTCTGATGAAGACAATTAAGTGGGTTCGTTTGGGGTTATGAGTACCATGGGACTTTTAAATTACATTCTGACATTGGTAGTATATGTAGAATCACATGTTGAAGTCTGGTTCTGTATTTGAGTGTGTGGTCTGTATTTGCTATTCTGCCAGTCTCTCTTTCTCCTTCCTACTGAAGTCACACAGCCTGCCAAGAACTGGTCCTTGTCTTTGCACGCACCAGGCCACTGGACTTATGCAGCTGGCACTCCACAAGTAACACAATAGAAATCACAAGTGAACACGTCTAACATTTTCCTTTTGGTCCACTCTGTAATGTGTCTGCAAAAGGCATGAATTGTAATTAGGCAGCAACATTCTGAAGAGCGTGAGTTTCCATTAAAACTTGGAAGCTTCAGAAAAGCCTGTGTTTGATTTGGCTGATTCAGCCCCATAAAAATCTAAATCTATTCATGTTTCTTTTCCATGGAGCAGACCTCTTATAATTTACAGTGCTATTAACAAACTATACATTTTCACAGGCAAACAACAAAGAAACATATACTCTGACACCTCATTATCTAAACAGGTCCTATCACAAGATCACTTGAAAGGTGAGAGCGCCTATATTGAGGCCCAAGATACGGTTGCATTAGACTGGGGTCTGGGTTACCCTGGCTTACATCATAGAAGATCTTTGCTGTCTGTTTTTTTGTGTACAACAATGCTTTGAAATAGCAGCATGCAGAACAGCATCTCTGTTTAATTATACCTACTGAGAAATTATGTTGAATTGGCAAAGCCTAGAAGGAAACATCAATAAGTGAAAAATGGCCAATTTGACAGGTAGCAGGCATGGAAAGGCCTTGCAATTTTTTAAAATTGCAAATAACTATTTGTTTACTTTAAATATAATGCATATTCACTGTCAACAAATTAGATGTAACAAGCAAGATGCTAGCACTTGAAAATAATCACTTTTAACATCTTAGTTTATAACTTCCAGAAAGAAAAGTGTTGATGTAGTATTTGTTCTGGAAATCACTGGTAAAGAAGACTCCGGTGAGGAACTAACAGGTTTTGGTTTTTTGTTTTTACACTGCACATATAATGGTTGTTCCTAACCTGCAGCTTTGGTATCTTTTGTGCTCCCCGTAATGATCTCTTGCAGTCAAGACATAGCCTGGCATCTCTTTTAAAAAGCTCTTCTTCTTTACTAGGAGTCATCCAGGTTGGTCTACTCATTGCTAGAATTCCCAAACACCCAATCCTATTGCATGTCACCTTGATGGTGCTATCTGAGCTTACAAAAGACCAGTATCTCCATGACAGCCCAGGGCACAAACCACCATGCCTGTGACTTTCTGTTCAGTGCCTGGTTCTTCTCTTAGGAGCCCATAAGGAAAACAATGATTTCTCAAAAGTAAAAATACCATCTCATCTGAGTTTTAAAAGCACACAGCTAACTCTGACTCACCAATATTTAATGCTCAATTGCTAATCAAGTTGTTCAGACAGAAAACCGTGCTGTGGAAGCCTACTGGGCATTAGTTTAGTAGCTAATCGGAGTTTGTAGTTTTTAGCTGAGAGGCACTACTTCACTTGTCAGTGCTTATGCCCCAATGTGCATCCGGGAATTTAGCCGAGAATCCATCCTCTTCTGTTTGAACTGGAGTCACTTTGCCAACAGGGAACAACTAATTTTGAAAGAACTAGAACATAATAAAATATACTGATGACTAACACCAGGCTGTTCCTGATTAAGAGCGTGGTGACTCAGTGGCCTCTCACGACCTCACGGTGCAGGATCATCTTTAACAGGATGGCTCCTAATGCTTAATTCTCCACAAGAAGACATGGATCAGGCAGAAGAGGATATCTGGGAAAGTATTCTTGGGACTAATCCCCTAATAATAGTTTCCTGACTTGTTTTTTGCTTATTCATAAAGAAAGCACGAGGTGGAGAAGATTGGGAATAGAAAATCTGGTTGTTTTAATTTTCTCATTATACAGAGAAAAATAAATGGAATCAGATATTATCTGTAACATATGTCGAGGTAAGAAGAGAGAACTAGCCTCACAAAAAATATTAAAAAAAAATTCCAGCCCTTGAAATGCCTTAGAAAACAAAAAGGAAAATGCCTAAAGACACAATTATATATTAACAAGGAATTTTAGCTTTTATTCTTTTTTTCTTTCTTTTCTTTTCTTTTTTTTTTTAAGACAGAGTCTCACTCACTCTGTCATCTAGGCTGGAGTGTAGTGGCATAATCTCAGCTCACTGCAACCTCCGCCTCCTGGGTTCAGGCGATTCTCCTGCCTCAGCCTCCTGAGTGTCTGTGATTACAGGTGTGTGACACGACGCTTGGCTAATTTTTATATTTTTAGTAGAGACAACGTTTCACCATTTTGGCCAGGCTGGTCTCGAACTCCTGACCTCAAATGATCCGCCCACCTTAACCTTCCAAAGTGCTGGGATTACAGATGTGAGCCACCATGCCTGGCTGATTTTATTATTCTTCAAGTTATTATATTACAAACTACATTTAGGTGAATACATTAATATTTGTCCACATATCCACTTGTGGTTCGCATACTGAAGGAATGTTCATGTCCATGACAACTGAACTTGGTTGTAGGCCATTTTCTGGAGTGAAGCAACCTTGTTAAAAATCAGTATTTAAGTACCTTAGATGAGGATTGAGATCAAAGGCTAAGCGTAGAGACTTCAGATCTCTAAAAATAGATCTGGATATATTTTTGATAAGCCTGGTAGGACCTAATTAAAAGGAGGGAAATCAAGTGTCCTAAAACATCAGCCTGTGACTATCCATGAGATGCCTGAGGGCAGTGGAGCCTGGGTATAAAGTCATTTTTTTATAGACAAAACCCAGTCATGGCCCATCGTAGATCTCTTTTGCACAGAACCAAGGTGGGGCCACCTGGTGCTGAGATGGGGTCACCAGTGCTAAGTGCCACTGTCCTTTCCACAAAAACACCGAGACTCAGGAGACTCATGGGACTCCCAAATGCTAATTTCCTTCTTTTGAAATGCCCTTTAACTTGTCTGTCTCCATAACTTGTCCTCATTCTTTAAGACCCAACTCAGAATTTCTCTATAACCATAGCAGGTAGAACCATGACAGACTCAAGAGGGCAAGGCATATTTATCTTATTCCACGGCTATATCCCCAATGTATAAATATCATGTCTTCCACATAATATATAACACAAATACTTGTTGAGTGAACTAACAAATGAAAGAACAAATGAGTGAATGAATTCTTTGCTTTCTTAGTAACTGCGATCCTTTGGTACTGCGCATTCCACTGCATTACCTATTCTCATGCCCACATGGCCCCAAAACTATAGGCCTCTTGACTGCTGGAGCTGTGCCTTACTTATCTCTCTAGCATCAGTCCATGGCCACTCTTAGGTGGCCCAATAAATACTGGAAGACTAAATGAATTCAATGCCTAGACTAATATTCAACAGTCCATTATTATTATTTTTTAATTTATTTTACTTTTAAGTTCTGGGCTACATGGGCAGAACGTGCAGGTTTGCTACACAGGTAAATGTGTGCCATGGTGGTTTGCTGCACCTATCAACACATCACCTAGGTTTTAAGCCCCACACACATTAGCTATTTGTCCTGATGCTCTTCCTCCCCTTGCCCCTCCTCCCAACAGGTCCCAGTATGTGTTGTTCCCCTCCCTGTGTCCCTGTGTTCTCATTGCTCCCACTTATGAGTGAGAATATGTGGTGTTTGGTTTTCTGTTCCTGTGTTAGATTGCTGAGGATGATGGCTTCTAGCTTCATCCATGTCTCTGCAAAGTACATGATCTCATTCCTTTTTATGGTTGCATAGTGTTCCATGGTGTATATGTACCACATTTGCTTTAGTCTATCATTGATGGCCATTTGGGTTGGTTCCATGTCTTTGCTGTTGTGAATAGTTCAGCTGCCCATTATAAGCAAGCATACCTTTGAAAAATCAACAGACAAAATTCCTTAGGCTGAAGCTTCATTTTTATACTCCTTGGTTAGGTGAACACTGCTTTTTCTAACAAGTTCCTTGTGTGGTGGTGATATCAACTACTAGTGCCTTTTAGAGATGAATATAATTGGCTCCAATGAAGTTTGAGGTACTGCAATTTTTAAAATGAGCACAGCTCATATAAATTAGATCTAACTTAGCAAAAATATGATTTAGCCAAGGTTAAAATACCCTTAGTTTTCTGTAGAGTAACCAAAATAATATTTAGGATCATCAGAAAGAAGTCCCCTCCCTCCATCTCCTCCTACTCCTTCTCTCTCTCTTTTTCTAATGACTATCTTTTAGAGCAGTTTTGGGTTCACAGTAAAACTGAGTAAAAGATACAGAGATTTCTCATATACACCCTGCTCCCACAGATGCATAGCCTTGCTCATTGTACAACATCCTCCATCAGAGTGGTACATTTGTCATATTCATTCATTCTTCAGAGTCTCATTAGAAACCACTTCAGGTTGCCTGATTCTCCCTCACCACTAACCTAACACTGACTCGTCAATATTTTTGTTTTCTGGCCCACAAAATCAGGGACTTGCTTGTTTTAGATCTTCATTCTATTCCAAGTGCCAGTCACACATTAAGCACTCAAGAAATATCTGTTAAAGCAATGGATGAATGAATGGAATACAAAATTTGATTGCAGACTTTGACAAACCAAAAATGTGCCTGAGAGTGTATCAGCACTGCCTATAAATTATCTCACTAGGTTTCGGATGCCAGCTGCTTCACATGAACAAACTCATGTTGTTTTCACATGAGCCAAGAGGGCAGGCACTGCTATTAACCCTGAAAGAGAGCTGAATCCTGAGAGGGTAACTCACTTGTCCTTAGCTAGGAAACAACAGAGCCAAAATCTCAACCCAGGCAGATTGGCACAGAAGCCTCTGTGCTCAACCACTGCACTCCCTGCCTCTCCATCCTAAGCTGGACCCGAAGGCTCTTTCTTGTCTTGCTTGCTATAGTTATGGCTTCCCAAACCTCCTGCCAAATGTGTCTGCACACTCTCTCTGGCCTCACACTCAGCAGTCAGCCCTGTGTTTATCACCACATTTCCTCAGATGCTTTCCTCAATTTGTATACTTGCTGTGTGCCCTGAGCAAGATTTGGAATTCATTTTAAGAGGATTTATCCTGCTCACACTAACATGTCCAGGGGCTGGCCCTTGGTTGTCTGTTTCCTATTTTCTTTGGCCTGTTGGCCTCTGAGTTGGGAGATTTTATTCATTTTTATGGCCCCCCCGACCACACCACGCACTCCAGCCTGGAGTCTCTGCTGTTTGTGGAGCACAGTCACTCCTTCCTCATCCCCAGACATTCTGAGGAACTCCCAGGATTTATGCCCACGAAGCTATGCAAGGCCTGGGGAAAGCTTCCATTGTAATTGTACCAAAAAGTCACAGAGATTATAGATCAAGGCTTTCTGTGTTATTATATTGCCTGTTGCCTGGGATATACTGGTGATGGATTGCAAGTACAGTCTGTTCTTCACTCAATGTTTGTGTGAATGCCTACTAAGAGCAAGGTACTGGACCTAGCACCTAGTTACAAGAAGGCAGATTAATTGGAGTTAATTCAATAAGTACTGTATGCATTTTGTTAAGCTCTGCTATTTCTGCATGTCTGGTCTGTAGGACTAGTACCAGTTTCTGGGGCTCCATGCTTTATGCTAAGATGGACAGGAATGGAAAACACGTAGTTGTTTTATATGTAAATGAGCCTTGCAAATGATTGCCAAAGGTCCCTCTTCCTATTGTCTTTTTCATATAACAACTGGCCATCTACTGTGCCTTTATAATTCAGAGCTCAGCCAGGGAAATACAAACCACTCTAGATCTTTCAGAGAGAGGAAATTTGGAATTTAATACAGACACTTGGTAACATGGATGATGGAAAAGCTTAGAAACCAAGCAAAGATGTAACTTACAAATTGGCAAGAACATGGAGCCACTATTACCTGTAGGAGAGTAGAGACAATGAGAAAAAAAAAATGTGACTGGAGCCCAGAGCCTAGTGGCTTCTGGTAGGATCTAGAAACAGAAGGGGAGATTGTCTACTAGAAGCAGGGGTGCAGAGGGGTGGTGGCTACAACTGGAGTTGCAGAGGAGGCAGGGGTGGGGTTTGCCCTTCTTTGTACCCTCCAATCTTCCTCAATGCTTTCCATTGGGCTGACCTTGCCAAAGAGCAGAGGGCAAAGGGGTCTGGACACCTAGCACCACGAAGCTAAAGCCTGGAGAAGGCGAACAACATAAACTGCCTAGCCCAGTCCCAACATCAGCCACTGGGAATCCGGAGTCAAAAGCACCCCTCCTGCATGTAGCAGGTCGTCATGGAGTAGGAAACACAGATAGGTAACAAGTAGTTATAATGCAATGTGAAAACAGCTACAGCAGAATATGAGAGCACAGAACTGAGGCACCTGTGGGGACTGCAGAAGGCTTTCCAATATGGCTGAGCCCAAAATGACGTCTTGAAGAACAGGCATTATCTGCTAAAGAAGTGACAGATGGGCACGGTGGCAGACGAACATGCATGCGCAAAGGCTTGCAGGTGAGAGACAACAGAGCATGCCTGGGGGGCCAGAAATGGTTTGGTATGGCTTTGGCAGTTTCAGGTTGTTTCACAGGCAATAGAATATAAGGCTAGTCTAGGCCAGGGCATGACAAGCTTTGTGTGCCAGACTATGGAGAGATACTAACTTGTAAAGGCCACCTTCAGTACCTCCTACTTAATTTTATGTTCGGACTTCATATTCTTTTTCTTCAAGAGGAACCCCAAGTCGTAAGCTTCAGGTTCCACAAAACCTGTATCTGCTCCTTCTGGGTGCTACAAGGCAATACATTGGTTAAGGCAGCCTGGAGTCCTGTAGAGCCTAGCTCCACTGGTAAACCCTGTGCTATTTCCACAGAAAAGCCAGAGGAAAACAGGTTGAATCATTAAGTGGGGCCACTCAATGGTCAAAGGAATCCACTAACCAGAGCAAGATCAAGGCAAAGGAGTTAGCACTTCAGGTCTTTCTATTAGTCTCTATCAGTCAAGACAGTATAGGTAGAGGGTCCTTTGGTATTTTGACCACAGACTCACCTAAATTTGGGCAGCGAGAGGGAGGAAGTGCAGTAGGAAGGAAAGAGGAGAAGTAGGAAGAGTGGAAGTTAAAAAGAGAAGGGCGGAGAGAGAGAGAGAGAAGATGAGGTGCAAAGCTCATCAGTGCACACCAGCCTACTGTAGTCTGCAGGTTGACCATTCACAACTGCAGGTGAGTGGCAGGAGAAAATAGGCATTAAATCAGGCATCAGGAATCCGGGCTTTTTGTTCACCCAGTTTTGCCGCTGACACTATGACCTCACTGGTACATAAGAATGTTAGATCAAATGCCAATCTATTACTTTCTGCTACAAAATTTTGATCATTCCTCCTTAAGAGCTATTATATTATTTCCACTATTGGCTATTAAGAAAATTATAAATTATTCAAAATTAGTGGGAAAAGGAGCCAATTTCTATGGCTTAAAAATGAACATTTCAGGTTTAGCATGAATAGTCAACCAGTTGATAATATTTAAATTGGAGCTTGGTCTTCATTCCTTGCAGAACTGGAAAATGATATGATGCTCTCCACTGTTGGAAAAGTGAGCTGTGTCCAGGCATTGGGATAAGGTCAGGGTCTACAGAATTTAAAATAAAATGTGTTATGACCAACAGCACTTCATGCTCAGCATGAAAGACCCATTACTATATTCTCACTCATAAGTGGGAGTTGAATAATGAGAACACATGGAAACACGGAGGGGAACATCACACACCGGGGGCTGTCAGGGGGTTGGGGGAAAGGGGACGGAGAGCATTAGGACAAATATCTAATGCATGCGGGGATTAAAACCTAGATGACGGGTCGATAGGTGCAGCAAACCACCATGGCACATGTATACCTGTGTAACAAACCTGCACGTTCAGCACATGTATCCCAAAAGTTAACATAAAAAAAAAAACGATAAACACATCCAAAATCAAGGATACTCATTATGTTTTTCCAAACTAGCAAAGAAGTTCAGGAAAGTCAAACTACTTCACTATATTTACATAGTAATTTAATGCCAAAGTCAAATCTAGAACAATGAAAATGGAAAGGATTAATGAATATATCTTTTCTCTGCATGTTTTCACCTTCCTCTAAAAATATATTTTGATAATTAACTTATTACAGTCATGGCTTTGAAAGCCATGTCAAAAAATTCACCAAAAATGTTTTATCACAGCTAATACAAACAACTTTAGTTTTATCATATAAACTACATTATATTTCCATTTTACTTATGTTCAAGGCTTGAAAATTTAGAAAATGATGAAATACATTCCTACATTTTTAAAAAAGGAGTTTCTTTCTCTCTCTCTCTTTTATTATCTAGTATAACCAAATCTCCTTCTTAGAAAACTTGCCATGATTTTCTGGCTAAATTACACGATGACGACTTGAAAGGAAATGCTTACATTGTTCACGTGGCAGTAATCTGCTGTCACCATGATGTCTCAGGATTGAGGCACAATATCCACATGGGCTTTTGTTTTTATCAGGGCTCAAGGTGTGAATGAGAAATGGCAGTCAAAAAGCTAGCCAAGAGGTTATCAACACTATAAACTAGTTATGACTTATGAAATAACTATTGTATTTCATGTATTATGAGGAATAAAAGAAAAATGTACATTAAAATTTGTTTTGGGGGACAATGTAGCCTCATTGTAAGAAAGGATGAACAGAGAGAAATCAATAAGGGCCAATTCAAGAAAGCATACTCTATCTGGGTATTGAATGACATGTGTCACACACTAATGCGGTGGGATTAATCAGCCATTGATTTATCAAATATCTGTTCAAACTGACTAATAGACTTTTCAATTAAGGTTTTAAAATTTTTTTATCTACAGAAACAATGATATTAGCTTCCATGGCAAAAACAAGACAAAACACTAGTTATAGCTTATTATTACTGTAACAGTCATATTTTACTAATTATAAAGGGTGGGAACATAATTTAATGGTAATTTTAATTTGTCAATGGCTTTTTTTCTCTCGTTCTTTGTGTTTGGTTTGAAAATGGATTTTGTTCTAATTATGACTAATTTCAGAAACAGGAACACAAAAGGTATTAGTAGTCTTCAAAAACATTTTTCCCAATAATTGCTACTGTTTTTAAAGGTGCCCACAGCTGCATCTTGCGTTTCCCTCTGAAAACCTACATCTGACATTTGGATGATTTAAAAGAATACAGGAGAGAAAAACAAACATAAGTGGTGAAAACAGGCAGGGTAAGCCAACTCTTCACAAGAGCCCTTCATTATTCAGCACTGTAGACGTCATACTGCTTGGCAATCATTTCGTGGATGAGAGCATCACCCTCTTCGCAATGCACAGCCAGAAGGACTTGTTTTAATTTAGAAGAGTGTGATGGTTTAAACAGACACTGACAAAATCTTTAAAATGCCTCCCTCCAAAGTGTACAGCCGAATTCCTCTCTACTTGAGTGTGGGCCAGGCTTAGTGACTCCCTTCTAACAAATAGAATATGGTGAAAGTAAAAGCTTGGGCTTCTGAGACTAGATGTCAAAATCATAATGGGAACTCCTCTGCTCTCTCTCTTGGATCAGTGGCTCTGAGGAAAGCAGCCTCTATGCGTTGAAAATGAATTCTCAACCATGCCCCACGAAGAGCTCCACAGTGAGGAACTGAGCCCTCCTGCCAATCATCAGCCAGGGCTGGAGACTCCTGCCAACAGTCCTGTGATGGCACCATCTTGGAAACAGATGCACCAGCTCCAGTCGAGCCTTCAGATGACTGGCCTCCTAAATGACATATTGACTGCAACTTTATGCAAGACTCTTAGCCAACAGGACCCACGTAAAACTCAAATCCCTGACCCACAAAAATGGACATCATATATATTTGTTGCTTTAAGCCACTAAGTTTTAAAGTAATTTGTTACACAGCAATAGCTCACTAATACATAAGAGTTTCTTTCTGCAGCCATGATCACTGTAAAGAGTCGCTTTGTAATAAAAAAAATCAATAAAAGATGATGCAAAGAAGAAAAAGAAGAGCAATCCTTGTCAATGCCTTAAAATGACTACACCATTAGGAAAACACAATCCACTAGACCTTCAGATAAAGGTCTTGTTCTGAAGGGCATTCAAATTGAACTTAACCAGATGAGTCCTGGGTGGAAAAAAGAAAGAGAAAACTATCTGTATTCATCTTTCAAGAAATGAGAGGCAGGGGATGGTGAATCAAAGAAGGAAGAAGGCAACATGTATTTCAGCAGATTTTTTTTTTTTTGAGAAAGAGTCTTGCTCTGTTCACCTGGCTGGAGTGCTCTGTACTCCTGGCTGGAGTACAGGATATGTTATCCTGTACTTTTTCATAGCACTAATTACAACTGAAATTAAATGATTGATATGTTGTTTGCTTAATATCCATCTCCCATAACAGTAAGGTGCCATGAAAGTCAGGAAATATATACCCTGTTTACCACCATGTCATCAATGCCCAGCACAAGCTGGAAGTGTAGTAGATGCTCAGTAAGTACCACTGAATGAATGAATGGAGTTTCAGAGATTAAGTTTTAAGCTTAAGTAGTCAAGATCACATAGCTAGTTAAGTGGCGAAGCCAGCAAGCACAGGCATTCTGGAATCATACATATCTGGATCTGAATTCTAGACCCCTATTGTTCCACTGTGTGACCTTGGACAATTAACAATCTAGCAGAGCCTCAGTTTCCTCACCTAACATGGAACTAATCCTGATCTCATAAGATTTTTATGAGCATCACATAACATGCTTAGCAATTGACACATAGTTGCTTAATAAATGCTGGCACCCGTTCTTCTCAAAGACCACAGTGACTGACATCTTCCTTTACATTCTGAAACCATTTATATTCTATATAACTCACTTAGCATTTACCATCTTCCAGTTTGTACCCTCAGCAATCTTTCATATTCCTTCCTTATCCAAACCAGGTCTTCCACTTTACCCAAATGAGGTAGTGTGTACAGGACTGAGCGCAACACTTGGCAGATGCAATTGGAGCCTAATAAGTAAAAGCTATAAATAATAGTATTATCTATCTGCCAAACTGAAAAACCTTACATAAACACTGCATTTAATATTTGCTGACTTATTCTATAAGATAAACCAGATATAAATTCCAGCTGTCCAGCTATACAATCTAAAATGAAAATCTTTAGATGGTTAGGTTAGTTAGATGATCAGATGGTTTCTCTGATTCAAAAATTTCGGGAGGATTATGGAAACTAAAGGAGTTGCATAAAGACTGAAATCAGGCTGGGTGCGGTGGATCATGCCTGTAATCCCAGCACTTTGTGAGGCCGAGGCGGGGTGGGGGGGTTGTCAGTTGAGGTTAGGAGTTCGAGACTAGCCTGGCCTACATGGTGAAACCCCGTCTCTACTAAAAATACAAAAATTAACCAGGTGTGGTGGTGCCTGCCTGTAGTCCCAGCTACTTGGGAAGCTGAGGCAGGAGAATTGCTTGAACCCGGGGGGCGGAGGTTGCAGTGAGCCAAGATCCGAGATCACACCACTGCAATCCAGTCTGGGGGACAAAGCAAGACCCTGTCTCCAAGAGAAAAAAAAAAAAAGACTGAAATTAGGGGAATTTTCTAATTCTTTTCAACTGAATAAAGAAACTTAATTTTGTGAACTATAAACCAACAAACTTATTGTTGACTTGTTTAATATATGGCTCAAGATACCAGTGTAGAGAATGAACATTTAAATAAATTGAGTAAACAAAAACAGATGAATCATCTGGGAATGATATGCACAGAGCAGAAAAAGAAAACGATCTGTAATTGAGGAAATCTGGTTTGGAATCACCCAAAAATGTGACTCAAGAGTGAGTTGACGTCAGAAAAGCAATTGACAAATAGTAGTCAATCACTGGATTGTCCAGTCAAGCACTGGATTGTCACGGTTCAGTGATCAAAAGAGGAACCTCAGAACTGGTCCTCTCTTCTGAATTTTAGGATAATGAGAAGCCAGGTTATACAGAACCATTTACATGAAGACAGTACAGGGTTTAATGGGGAGAGGTAACCAACTAGCATCCCATGGAAAAATAGCTTTTCTTTGACATAAATTAACAGAGAAGAACAAGTGACAAGGAAAAGCAGGTGAGAAATCGGGCTGCTTAATATAAAGCATGATGTTATGCAAATGAGGCCTCTTCAATGCTAAGTGCCAATAATTAGAAAAATCTAAGTGGGATTTCAAGCTTCAGATAGAAAACTTGAACAACATTAGCCACTGGATCCCTTAGAATCCTTAAATTTTAAGAATTCTCTATTACAATCTGTGTAAGAGGATAGCTAAAAACTGTTCCACACAAACTTACGAAAAAGACTTTAAGTTAAAGGAGACAAAGGGTTACTGAAGAGAGAGACAATCAGATGGAGCAAAAGTGCAATCTTCTTTTAGATAATAAGAAAAGTCATGAAAAGCCATGTACATCACATTGCGAACATGAAAGGAAAATCCATAATTTTTCTTCTGCTCTCTAAAAATGCATATTCTTTGCCATTTCTCTGACAAAGATGGGGTTAATCAAAGACATTGTATGGGGATAGTGTTTTTCTTTTTTTTTTTTTTTTTAATTATACTTTAAGTTTTAGGGTACATGTGCACATTGTGCAGGTTAGTTACATATGTATACATGTGCCATGCTGGTGCGCTGCACCCACTAACTCGTCATCTAGCATTAGGTATATCTCCCAATGCTATCCCTCCCCCCTCCCCCCACCCCACAACAGTCCCCAGAGTGTGATATTCCCCTTCCTGTGTCCATGTGATCTCATTGTTCAATTCCCACCTATGAGTGAGAATATGCGGTGTTTGGTTTTTTGTTCTTGTGATAGTTTACTGAGAATGATGATTTCCAATTTCATCCATGTCCCTACAAAGGACATGAACTCATCATTTTTTATGGCTGCATAGTATTCCATGGTGTATATGTGCCACATTTTCTTAATCCAGTCTATCATTGTTGGACATTTGGGTTGGTTCCAAGTCTTTGCTATTGTGAATAATGCCGCAATAAACATACATGTGCATGTGTCTTTATAGCAGCATGATTTATAGTCCTTTGGGTATATACCCAGTAATGGGATGGCTGGGTCAAATGGTATCTCCAGTTCTAGATTCCTGAGGAATCGCCACACCGAATTCCACAATGGTTGAACTAGTTTACAGTTCCACCAACAGTGTAAAAGTGTTCCTATTTCTCCACATCCTCTCCAGCACCTGTTGTTTCCTGACTTTTTAATGATTACCATTCTAACTGGTGTGAGATGGTATCTCATTGTGGTTTTGATTTGCATTTCTCTGATGGCCAGTGATGATGAGCATTTTTTCATGTGTTTTTTGGCTGCATAAATGTCTTCTTTTGAGAGGTGTCTGTTCATGTCCTTCGCCCACTTTTTGATGGGGTGGTTTGTTTTTTTCTTGTAAATTTGTTTGAGTTCATTGTAGATTCTGGATATTAGCCCTTTGTCAGATGAGTAGGTTGCGAAAATTTTCTCCCATTTTGTAGGTTGCCTGTTCACTCTGATGGTAGTTTCTTTTGCTGTGCAGAAGCTCTTTAGTTTAATTAGATCCCATTTGTCAATTTTGGCTTTTGTTGCCATTGCTTTTGGTGTTTTGGACATGAAGTCCTTGCCCATGCCTATGTCCTGAATGGTAATGCCTAGGTTTTCTTCTAGGGTTTTTATGGTTTTAGGTCTAACGTTTAAGTCTTTAATCCATCTTGAATTGATTTTTGTATAAGGTGTAAGGAAGGGATCCAGTTTCAGCTTTCTACATATGGCTAGCCAGTTTTCCCAGCACCATTTATTAAATAGGGAATCCTTTCCCCATTGCTTGTTTTTCTCAGGTTTGTCAAAGATCAGATAGTTGTAGGTATGCGGCGTTATTTCTGAGGGCTCTGTTCTGTTCCATTGATCTATAGCTCTGTTTTGGTACCAGTACCATGCTGTTTTGGTTACTGTAGCCTTGTAGTATAGTTTGAAGTCAGGTAGTGTGATGCCTCCAGCTTTGTTCTTTTGGCTTAGGATTGACTTGGCGATGCGGGCTCTTTTTTGGTTCCATATGAACTTTAAAGTAGTTTTTTCCAATTCTGTGAAGAAAGTCATTGGTAGCTTGATGGGGATGGCATTGAATCTGTAAATTACCTTGGGCAGTATGGCCATTTTCACGATATTGATTCTTCCTACCCATGAGCATGGAATGTTCTTCCATTTGTTTGTATCCTCTTTTATTTCCTTGAGCAGTGGTTTGTAGTTCTCCTTGAAGAGGTCCTTCACATCCCTTGTAAGTTGGATTCCTAGGTATTTTATTCTCTTTGAAGCAATTGTGAATGGGAGTTCACTCATGATTTGGCTCTCTGTTTGTCTGTTGTTGGTGTATAAGAATGCTTGTGATTTTTGTACATTGATTTTGTATCCTGAGACTTTGCTGAAGTTGCTTATCAGCTTAAGGAGATTTTGGGCTGAGACAATGGGGTTTTCTAGATATACAATCATGTCGTCTGCAAACAGGGACAATTTGACTTCCTCTTTTCCTAATTGAATACCCTTTATTTCCTTCTCCTGCCTCATTGCCCTGGCCAGAACTTCCAACACTATGTTGAATAGGAGTGGTGAGAGAGGGCATCCCTGTCTTGTGCCAGTTTTCAAAGGGAATGCTTCCAGTTTTTGCCCATTCAGTATGATGTTGGCTGTGGGTTTGTCATAGATAGCTCTTATTATTTTGAAATATGTCCCATCAATACCTAATTTATTGAGAGTTTTTAGCATGAAGGGTTGTTGAATTTTGTCAAAGGCTTTTTCTGCATCTATTGAGATAATCATGTGGTTTTTGTCTTTGGCTCTGTTTATATGCTGGATTACATTTATTGATTTGCGTATATTGAACCAGCCTTGCATCCCAGGGATGAAGCCCACTTGATCATGGTGGATAAGCTTTTTGATGTGCTGCCGGATTCGTTTTGCCAGTATTTTATTGAGGATTTTTGCATCAATGTTCATCAAGGATATTGGTCTAAAATTCTCTTTTTTGGTTGTGTCTCTGCCCGGCTTTGGTATCAGAATGATGCCGGCCTCATAAAATGAGTTAGGGAGGATTCCCTCTTTTTCTATTGATTGGAATAGTTTCAGAAGGAATGGTACCAGTTCCTCCTTGTACCTCTGGTAGAATTCGGCTGTGAATCCATCTGGTCCTGGACTCTTTTTGGTTGGTAAACTATTGATTATTGCCACAATTTCAGCTCCTGTTATTGGTCTATTCAGAGATTCAACTTCTTCCTGGTTTAGTCTTGGGAGAGTGTATGTGTCGAGGAATTTATCCATTTCTTCTAGATTTTCTAGTTTATTTGCATAGAGGTGTTGGTAGTATTCTCTGATGGTAGTTTGTATTTCTGTGGGATCGGTGGTGATATCCCCTTTATCATTTTTTATTGTGTCTATTTGATTCTTCTCTCTTTTTTTCTTTATTAGTCTTGCTAGCGGTCTATCAATTTTGTTGATCCTTTCAAAAAACCAGCTCCTGGATTCATTGATTTTTTGAAGGGTTTTTTGTGTCTCTATTTCCTTCAGTTCTGCTCTGATTTTAGTTATGTCTTGCCTTCTGCTAGCTTTTGAATGTGTTTGCTCTTGCTTTTCTAGTTCTTTTAATTGTGATGTTAGGGTGTCAATTTTGGATCTTTCCTGCTTTCTCTTGTGGGCATTTAGTGCTATAAATTTCCCTCTACACACTGCTTTGAATGCATCCCAGAGATTCTGGTATGTTGTGTCTTTGTTCTTGTTGGTTTCAAAGAACATCTTTATTTCTGCCTTCATTTCGTTATGTACCCAGTAGTCATTCAGGAGCAGGTTGTTCAGTTTCCATGTAGTTGAGTGGCTTTGAGTGAGATTCTTAATCCTGAGTTCTAGTTTGATTGCACTGTGGTCTGAGAGATAGTTTGTTGTAATTTCTGTTCTTTTACATTTGCTGAGGAGAGTTTTACTTCCAACTATGTGGTCAATTTTGGAATAGGTGTGGTGTGGTGCTGAAAAAAATGTATATTCTGTTGATTTGGGGTGGAGAGTTCTGTAGATGTCTATTAGGTCCGCTTGGTGCAGAGCTGAGTTCAATTCCTGGGTATCCTTGTGAACTTTCTGTCTCGTTGATCTGTCTAATGTTGACAGTGGGGTGTTAAAGTCTCCCATTATTAATGTGTGGGAGTCTAAGTCTCTTTGTAGGTCACTCAGGACTTGCTTTATGAATCTGGGTGCTCCTGTATTGGGTGCATATATATTTAGGATAGTTAGCTCTTCTTGTTGAATTGATCCCTTTACCATTATGTAATGGCCTTCTTTGTCTCTTTTGATCTTTGATGGTTTAAAGTCTGTTTTATCAGAGACTAGGATTGCAACCCCTGCCTTTTTTTGTTTTCCATTGGCTTGGTAGATCTTCCTCCATCCTTTTATTTTGAGCCTATGTATGTCTCTGCACGTGAGATGGGTTTCCTGAATACAGCACACTGATGGGTCTTGACTCTTTATCCAATTTGCCAGTCTGTGTCTTTTAATTGGAGCATTTAGTCCATTTACATTTAAAGTTAATATTGTTATGTGTGAACTTGATCCTGTCATTATGATGTTAGCTGGTGATTTTGCTCGTTAGTTGATGCAGTTTCTTCCTAGTCTTGATGGTCTTTACATTTTGGCATGATTTTGCAGCGGCTGGTACCGGTTGTTCCTTTCCATGTTTATTGCTTCCTTCAGGAGCTCTTTTAGGGCAGGCATGGTGGTGACAAAATCTCTCAGCATTTGCTTGTCTGTAAAGTATTTTCTTTCTCCTTCACTTAGGAAGCTTAGTTTGGCTGGATATGAAATTCTGGGTTGAAAATTCTTTTCTTTAAGAATGTTGAATATTGGCCCCCACTCTCTTCTGGCTTGTAGGGTTTCTGCCGAGAGATCCGCTGTTAGTCTGATGGGCTTCCCTTTGAGTGTAACCCGACCTTTCTCTCTGGCTGCCCTTAACATTTTTTCCTTCATTTCAACTTTGGTGAATCTGACAATTATGTGTCTTGGAGTTGCTCTTCTCGAGGAGTATCTTTGTAGCGTTCTCTGTATTTCCTGAATCTGAACATTGGCCTGCCTTGCTAGATTGGGGAAGTTCTCCTGGATAATATCCTGCAGAGTGTTTTCCAACTTGGTTCCATTCTCCCCATCACTTTCAGGTAAACCAATCAGATGTAGATTTGGTCTTTTCACATAGTCCCATATTTCTTGGAGGCTTTGCTCATTTCTTTTTATTCTTTTTTCTCTAAACTTCCCTTCTCGCTTCATTTCATTCATTTCATCTTCCATTGCTGATACCCTTTCTTCCAGTTGATCGCATCGGCTCCCGAGGCTTCTGCATTCTTCACGTAGTTCTCGAGCCTTGGTTTTCAGCTCCATCAGCTCCTTTAAGCACTTCTCTGTATTGGTTATTCTAGTTATACATTTTTCTAAATTTTTTTCAAAGTTTTCAACTTCTTTGCCTTTGGTTTGAATGTCCTCCCGTAGCTCAGAGTAATTTGATCGTCTGAAGCCTTCTTCTCTCAGCTCGTCAAAGTCATTCTCCACCCAGCTTTGTTCTGTTGCTGGTGAGGAGCTGCGTTCCCTTGGAGGAGGAGAGGCACTCTGATTTTCAGAGCTTCCAGTTTTTCTGTTCTGTTTTTTCCCCATCTTTGTGGTTTTATCTACTTTTGGTCTTTGATGATGGTGATGTACAGATGGGTTTTTGGTGTGGATGTCCTTTCTGTTTGTTAGTTTTCCTTCTAACAGACAGGACCCTCAGCTGCAGGTCTGTTGGAATACCCTGCCATGTGAGGTTTCAGTGTGCCCCTGCTGGGGGGTGCCTCCCAGTTAGCCTGCTCGGGGTCAGGGGTCAGGGACCCACTTGAGGAGGCAGTCTGCCGGTTCTCAGATCTCCAGCTGCGTGCTGGGAGAACCACTGCTCCCTTCAAAGCTGTCAGACAGGGACATTAGGGTATAGTGTTTTTCAAACTAAGGTAATGAAACCCAAGGTCTCTCCTCGTTCTTTTAACAAAAGAAGAAAACAGGGAATAACAGGAAGGGTAAAAATAATTTCTTTTGTCCCAGTTATATACATTTGCATGCATGCATATGCATAAGCAATATTGCATCATGATGTCAAATGTATTTTTTACTGTGTATCACATTTTTAAAAGTTTGAAAAACTAGAATAGAAAAGTTAGAGTGGGCACTTCTGATGAAAAACTATCCAAACTGAATGGAGTTGTGAATTTAAAAAAACAAAATTTTTTTCCATAGGTTATTGGGGAACAGGTGGTGTTTGGTTACATAAGTTCATTAGTGGGGATTTGTGAGATTTTTGTGCACCCATCACCTGAGCAGTATACACTATACCCTATTTGTAGACTTTTATCCCTCACCCACTTCCCACCCTTTCCCCCTGAGTCCCCAAAGTCCATTGTATCATTCTTATGCCTTTGCATCCTCATAGCTTAGCTCCTACTTATGAGTGAGAATATATGGTGTTTGGTTTTCCATTCCTGAGTCAATTCACTTAGAATGCTCGTCTCCAATCTCATCTGGGTTACTGTGAATGCCATTAATTCATTCCTTTTTATGGCTGAGTAGTATTCAATCATATACATATATATATATATATATGCTTTATATATGCTTCATATATATACATATATATATGCTTTATATATGCTTCATATATATACATATATATATGCTTTATATATGCTTCATATATATACATATATATATGCTTTATATATGCTTCATATATATATATACACCACAGTTTCTTTATCCACTCATTGATTGATGGGCATTTGGGTTGGTTCCACGTTTTTGCACTTGCGAATTGTGCTGCTATAAACATGCATATGCAAATATCTTTTTTGTATAATGACTTCTTTTCCTCTGGGTAGATACCCAGTAGTGAATTTTTTTAGGAAGACTCCTATGAGGCTCATAGGAAGCCTAAGCAGAAAGTGAGCCTCATTTCAGTGTTCATGCCAGAATGCTCAACAGCCATATTTCTCATAATCTTGCTTTTGTAGTTCATTATGTGCTACATACACTGCCTGGTAATAGTACTTATTTTTACTCATTACAATATTGTGTCCTTATAACATTATTTTATCCAGAATGATGATAATCATATTTTATACAGCAGAAAAAAACAACACAGTCTCTGGCTCTTATTTCAAGTCTTGATGTTGGCTGACTTTGAGCCTTTTTGGCCTTACTTCAATATCTTCATATGCTTCCTTTTATAGAAAATGAGAAGAGAAAAGATAGCTGAAGACTTCAGTTTTTAAATTTTATTGTTTTGACTTAGTGGAAAGACAGGCCTTTCCTCTCTTTATCTTTCCTGGATATTTGGATCCCAAACATCACTGCCTACCTTGCAGCAGCAAATCCAAGCTGCAGCTGAAATAACTTTGCCGGGAATGAGGAGCCCCTTGGATGCTGGCCTATAAGCCCTGACCTATAACAGTCATCGCAAAATCACACCCTTCAAGTGGTCATCAACTAAAATCACCTTTCCCCATGCTCAAAGGGCATTTCTCACTTTCTGTCTTACTGTCATCTTTTATGCATTTGTGAAATATAGGATTCTGCTTGTCTACTGTACTCTTTAGAATATATATCAATATGTATGTAAGAAAATTACATCATGGAAATTCATATTTCCAAAGGTCGTCTGGGCTGCCCTTTGAGAATCCTTGGGTGATTTTTCTGTGGTCTAATCATTCAAGTGTACTTGCAGAGCAGGAGAGACTCGGTCTGGCAAGAACGGGGCTAAGACTTCCAAAAAGAACAAAGACAACTTATGACTTGCTGGGAATGACTCAGGTGCTGGCTCTGTGCTCACTGAGTCACAGTTTCTCCATTATTGACAGCAGCAGAGGATGCCCTGCTGACAGAGGGGGCCACATTCCAGGCTGCCAGATCTTTGGTGTGTTGTGAGGGAATGATGCCATTTTCTATATCTGCTGATTTTGTGCCCTGACACAGGGAAAAACTTTCAGAAAGAAAAATCAGAACTGGGTCACAATTAAAGCAACAACTATCTAGTAAGTACCTATTAAGTGCAAAGCATTGTGCAAAGCAATTCAGAACCAATCCCTGCTCTCAACAACCTGGCTGTTCGCTAATGCCTGATGAGTGCTAAAACAGAAAGAAAAGACAGTAAGGGCATCAGGTGTTCATGGGGGCGGAGACATTTGGGTTCTGGGGTGATCAATAACAATTTCATGCATAAGACAGCTGAGCCTTGAACTAAGAGTAAGATGTATGGAAGACAAAGGAAGGAAAGGACATTTCCAAAGAGGGAAAACAATGTGTACAAAAGTGCAGAGGCAGAAATACACAAGGCCTGTTAGCATGAGTCAAAATAAATATGAAATAGTTTTTGTAATCTGTATTTTAAATCAAATTTTATAAAAGGAATATATCCTACCCATCCCACAAAACTAATATGCCTCACAGAGCAGATAGGTAAAAGTTAGCTTTTCCCCAGGTCTATGTTCTACAAAATGTATCTTAGAAAATACTCTGATGAGTTGTCTCTCTTTCCCATCACTTTCTTCACGGTTAACATGCAACCCTGACTTCCCACATCTCCTTTACCTGCTTCTGGAATGGAATATCTTAGTCGACTATAGATTCAGTCAAAAGAGTCTTATTATTGTATTACACCATACTTCTAAGACCTGTAGATGTGGAAGAAAAGGCTAAGTAGAATCTCTGTTTTAAGGAAACTTTAGTGGGAAAGGCAAAACATTGGCCCATGAAACTATTAAATAAAATGTTGTCTGATATAATAGGAAGATGAGCCGCAGACAGTATTTTAATTTGAAGTTTAGAGCTGACATGGTCTATACAGGAACATGTGAACCATATGCTGATACAATTCATGACTCTTCTCAGGACTGCCACTGACTATTGCCCAGTCTGGGCACCACACAAATAAAGCACCAGCAAATCACCAGAGTGAGTTCTCTGCTTGCCTTGACATTGGTGTGATGCCATGTTTGGTCAGAGGGCGGCATCATTTTCCAATTCTTCAACCTGGAAGGGGCACCCTTTTTGACTTCATCCATCTAGAGGGGTTATCTTTCTTTCATTAGCTCAAATACTCTCAGAAGTGATTTGGGGGTTCTAACCTTCCTCTTTCATATAAGTAGATATGGCTCTAGATAACCACTTGGCAGATTGCTCAATTTTCTCAATCTCAGAGATAAATAAACAAGAAACTGAAGAATAGATGGGGCAGAATTAATTTAAGTCCATTGTTTCAGACTTTATCCTTGTATAAGAACCACTATAATGTTCTGCTTCCCTGCACCCAACTCAGAGGAGTTCCTCTGAGAGAAGGGGCCCAGCTTACCTCGTTCTCCTGGGGTCCCTGGCACGCCTGCATTTCCGGGGAAGCCTGGTGTGCCTGGGGGTCCTTGTTCACCAGGGGCTCCAGGTGAGCCTGGCCTCCCAGGCTCCCCAGGAGGCCCTTGGACAGTCCGGATGGATGAGGAGTGGCTGGGAATCTGGTTGAGGATGGCAGTGTACCTGGCCATGTGACCTGAGGTATGAAGCATAAAGACAGCATTCAGTGAACTGTCACACAAGGAAAGAGAGGACCAGGGGTGTCATTTGTTAAGGCTGCAAACAATTCTGTTAGATACCCACCAAGGGAAAAATCACACCCCTTTGAAATATGTTGATTTCCAGCTTAACATTTTTTTACGTTTTACTCTGGATGATATTAAGGGCTGGACTGTTGTCAAATGGCATCTCATGTGTTTGGAATTCTGCAGCTCATGTCAGCATCTCAATAAACATCACTGAGCAGAAGTTGTAAATTTCATCTTTACCCTCAACATTTATCTGACCCCTAGACCCTCACCCAGCTGCCATTTCTCTAGCAATTACTCCCCAAGTTATTTTTCTTTTCTAAAACGCACAAAGCCTCCCCACCCTCTTGCTCACAAATCCCCAGACAAGTGCTCTGTCTCAACTCATCTCTTGGTCATCAAGCCTTTTTTTAGGAACCTTTACTTGGGTCTCAGCTGCAGAAACTCCCACTAGCTTTATATTTTTAAAAAATCTGGCACTCTCTCCCACAATCCCTTAACTCAGTTATGTATGGAAAATATATATACAGATATATGTTACTAATCAGAAGTATAAAGTACTTGATACCATGATGTCTCATTTTTCCAACATCATTAGGAGAGGAGTTTTCCCAACATAAGTGAATTTTCTAGTTTACTGTTATTTATCCATTTTGAAACATTTAAAACTAAATAAAAATAGTAACAATTTCTTCAAGGAATTCACTCTAAAATACATTCAGTGCATTCTTTCCTTAAGCATTGGATTGTCACTGTAAGTAGGGATCCGCTCCTGATGACTCAATGTTATTAGTAGGCACGTCCATTGTTGCCTGGGCAGGTGAGACATTTCCTCATTTGCTTTTTCAGTTTCTGCCTTTGACATGGGGACTGTCCATCATCATTTTCCCAGCTGTCATCACTTTGGCCTTGCATAATTTCCCATGTAACTCTTCCTAGCATAATTCTGATCAACTGTGAACTAAAAACCAGAGAAGTGAGCTTGTGAGGAATTATTTGCTAACTGATAAATCCAGTTCTGAGTGGCAGCTGAAGGAATACAATAAGGATCCCAGAGAAAACTGAAGTAGTGTAAGGCAAGATGGTTGAGGTACCAGAAATACAGCCTCTGAGTAGGCTGGGCCTGGCTTATCGAGTTGCATACAACCTTTTTGATTTCCTTCTAGTATATTGACAGGCAGGGCCTTGCTATTTTATAGACTTGTTTAAGCTTTACTGTGTAACCAATCCCTTGATGACTTCTACTTCCTAGAAGTCAATCACAAGACTCTGAGAATTCGTAAGGAGAAAAAATTGATTTTGAACCCTTGATTTTTAGGGCATGCTTTAAATAATCAGATATTTACACATGATTTTTATTCTACAGTAGAATAAGACAGCAAGTATTGTGAGATCTTTCTTGGGTAGTGGTCAGTGAGTCATAGTAAGATTTAAGCCTTAAGTTTTCTGAAAATAATGATCTGCTCATTTACATTGTACACTTGAAATCAGAAATCTAAAAAACAATTCAAGATACAGGTTATTTACAATATGTCAGTACAAAATGATTAATGTTCAATTTCTCTTTTATAATGTATTTTTAAAGATCCTATTTTGCCATTAAACTTAAACAGTTATATTTAACTGGTAAATTCTCTGTCACAGACACACACATAGTTTGGGCAATATAACAGAAAATTAAATAACGTTAAAATACAGGGAGCATGACTACTGTGTCTGAAGTTGGTATCTTCATACTCCTCTTGCCCTGATGTTTTTGCCTTAATGAAAACTCTTCCAAGCCTGTGCAGATCTCAACTCCATGCCTCCTCCAGGGTGAGATTTGGATTTATCTCAGAATTAAAGATGGAATTTTGGACTTAGCCAACAAAGCTGTCTTAGATATTGCAGGGCTTCCTGGCCTAACTCCCAAACTTTCTTGAGTTAAAATAAATATAACCCCAAGCCAATGAGGTACCCACCTGGGTAATGTCAGCCCTGGAAGTGGGGGTGCTATTGGGTGAGAGGGCTGGACAGCAGAGCTAGGCGAGAGCTGGGTGGGGTTGAGAGAGATAGTTCACCTCTGCTTGGCCTCAGATATTCCTGGAACTGAACAAATTACTGGCAAAGCGAAGGGCCCACACTAGTAACCATCTGATTAGATTACTGTGATAAAATATATAATCAGTGGGCAGAGCAGAAACGTGCAAAAGTGGTGGGATCTAAGCAAATGGGCAGGGAAATACAGTGCTATCAAAAAGCTCAAGTAAAATGAAGAAATGGGACAGGCGTCATATCAAGTTTGTTATGATGTAATTTTTGGCACAAAGCCCAAGTATAATATCATATCAAACGTCAGAGCAAGCCTGTTCATGTGTGTGTTTGTATTTTCATAAACATCTTAAGAAATAAATGAGAAGACCTTAGGCTAGCCAGAAGGTAATGGATGTGAAATGGATAAGAAGGAAATATTCATTTAAATCTTGCAAGTTAATAAAAATCAACACCATAAATTGTCTTTCTGAGGCAGCTTCTGAAGATGTAGTCTGGCAGCTTTCAAGTGCTGAACACTTGAGAAAAAATCCTACCCACCTGGAAAGATGAGAAAGGAATAGAAGATCTGATCTGGGCAGTCAAGTTAAATTTACATGGGCAAACAGGCAGTTCTTGGACCAATGACACAAAGGAATTTGGCTTTTGTACCATCGATGTAGAGCTCTAGGGTAATCTGCAGTGATCTCTTTGATGGGTCAGTGATGGTCATCTGTAAAGCTTATGTGTCTGCACAAAGACAATGCTTTAGAGTTTTCCTTAGTGGTACGCTCATGGGAAAAGAAACTCTCTTTTGGATGAGAGTTTGTTATGGGGAACATCCTCCGTAACCATTACATACTTACTCTGGATGAGCTGTTCGCATACTTGACGCGCCACTGATCTCACCATGGCTTGAGACTGCAGGTCACCCTGGATGAGAAAAAAAGCATACTCCTGACTCAGCTACAAGCCCAGCCACACTACCAGGACTTCCAGGATGTGGATCTGACTTGCCCCATTGTTCCCATCAGGGATCTTTGGCCCCTAGCAACAGGTGGGTTTGACCACCACGGTGCATGCAGAGAAGGGGTAAGCAATTTGATATTCATGGTTCAAGGTTCCTGGGAGTCCTTATTAGATTAACAAGCACTAGTAAGTATTTCTGGTCCCCTATTCTAAAAAATTTAATAGTTTTGAAACAAACCCATATATATTTAACACGTGATATATAGCTCTTTAGAGCTTATAAAATACAGCACTTTCTCGAGCAGTGGCTCATTTAATACTAATAGCAACCCAGAGGAAAGATGTTAAACCCATTTTATAGCTGAATAGCATTAAACACATGGCCCAAGATTTCACAGAGGTAATTGGATGAGCCCAAGGCCACTGCTGTTTCTGCTATAGCCAATGGCACAATTATATTAGCAGCTGCACAATTGCTGAAAGGAGAGAGACGACCCTTAAATTAAGCTGACTTCAGTTTGGGGGCCAGTTCTTTGATTCTATGCCTGCCATTGTCTTCCTGGGTGTGAACCTGGGAGCATCAAAAAGCCCAGGAGTGCCATGCTGCCACTTGTCACTTGTATAGAGTTTTTACTTTTCTGAAGCCTTTTCACATCTATTATATAACGTTCTCATCAAACCCACTTTGTAAATTATATGACGGTGATTCTCTCCATTTTATCCTTAAAGAAAAGAGCCCAAGTTCATTGACCTGGATGGTAGCAGATATGCAATTAGAAACTAGCTCTCCTGACTCCCAGCCCACAGGGATTTTATGTCTGGAAAATATGGCCACAGTCTAATGAATTGGGGAAAGGGAGAAACAGAGACTGGTACAATTGCAATGAATATTAATGGTATTAAATGATGATCCTTTATCAGGCTTATGCAATGGAAGGGGTGCAACAAGCTGGGGCCAGAAAGCAGAGCCACAGGATACTTACCCGCTCTCCTCGTTCCCCCTTTGCTCCAGGGACACCCTGTATAAATGGAAAATTGTCAAGTTACTTATGATATTGCACTTAGCTAAGAGTGATAATCATGCATCTTTTCTTATTTTATTAAGACATTTTTCTTAGCACCAGTAATTCTGCAGCAAAAATCATTACACAACAACAGAAAATAAACAGCAACCAGTACGCACACCAAACATAAAAAGCTCTGTTAAGCATTCTACCCTTTCAGCTTTTTTATGCAGAGACATGGTATATTTTGGCCACAAAATTGGAATCGTGCAGCAATAATATTGCTTTGTAACACATATTTTCACTGTGTAGGTCCTTTGCATCTTTCCACCCTAAACGCCACTCTATGTACTGTATTCTACTGAGGATCCTTCATAATTTATTTCACAAATCTCTGATGAATAGTTAAATTGTTTCAGTTTTTAAAGGAATATCTCCAAAAGGATAGAAAAGATCACCTCTCAATTTAGGAGTTCAAGTCAGAGATGAGATTAGTGAAATCCCAGAGCTTCACTCTGATTTCTGTGCAGCACGATGCCACACAATTCTCCCTAATTCTCCCCAATATGGGAGCTCACATTTATGTGACTTCTCAATTGATTTATTATTTTATTATGTGGCTTAGCTACTCTTTCACCCATAAGAAACCTTGCCGTTATTAAAGCGCATCTACTTTAAAAATGGCATTTTCAGGGTTCCTCCAAAAAAATCATACATCTAATGCAAAACACGTGTCTTCAGAAGGATTTCATATTTTGTTTCAACTCTGAGGCAATGTTCATTGAACAACATTTTTATAGTCTCGACTAAAAGGAGAGTGAATGGAATTCATTAATGGAATTTGCCACGTTGTCAGACTGTTTCCAGTTGTTATTTCAAACAGGTCCCAAGCCAAACTCGGTATCTTCTTCAAAATCTGTAGTCAGTGACCAGTTGCCCAGATTCAAACTTCTGGTTTCATCCCACAGTGTGCAGGTAAACTGGCTTCCCAGAAAAAGAAAATGCCCTGACTTGTAGTGCTTGCTGATTTTGGAGGTGTAAGTGTTTCTATCACAGCTGATTTCAAGCTACAAATGTGCTGTCACTGAAGATGGAATTGGAAAGGAAGAGAAATGCATGATTGACTCTCCAGTGCAGATATAAGCAGCCCACCCTGGCTCTATCTTCTCTCCTCTCCTCCCTTGCCCTGCTATGTCTATTCAATACACACACACACACACACACACACACTCACTCACTCACAAACATACACCACATACACACACATACACACCCACACACTTTTTTTTTTTTTTTTTTTTTGAGACGCAGTCTCCCTCTATCTCCCAGACTGGAGTGCAGTGGCACGATCTCAGCTCACTGCAGCCTCTGGCTCCTGGGTTCAAGTGATTCTCCTGCCTCAGCCTCCTGAGTAGCTGAGACTACAGGTGCGTGCCACCACATCCGGCTAATTTTTGTATTTTTAGTAGAGACGGGGTTTCACCATGGTGGCCAGGATGGTTTCAAATTCTTGAACCTCAAGTGATCTGCCCACTTCAGCCTACCAAAGTGCTGGGATTACAGGAGTGAGCCACTGCACCTGGCCAACACTTTTTTTTTTTAAACATGATGTTAGAATCTTAGTGTTGGATATATGGGTGTGGTGTTCACTCAAAATTCTTTCCATTTTGTGTGTGTTTAAAATTTTTTTATGCTAATACTTTGGAAAGAATGTAGGACATTGGACCTGCAAGCTGGGTTAACTCTCTGAGTTTCTTTGTAAGATGAGGCCACTAAATGAAGTGATCTCTGGGATTCCCTTATCAGTCTAACACGTTATTCTCTCATGATATGGTCGTTATTCAGAAGCAGGGAGCACAGGAAACAGAAATTGATGAAAAATACAAAGTCTGGGCTTCCGAGGAAAGGATTCCAACCTCTACAGAGAAAGAAGATCCTCACAAAGGATCCTTCTGAGGATGTAGTGTGGCTGAATTTCACTTCAAGTTTGAATGGCAAGCCAATTTGTGCTTCATTTCAACTACCCTGACTGTAAAAAAGACAGAAGATGGCAGGGCGCGGTGGCTCACGCCTGTAATCCCAACACTTTGGGAGGATCGCAAAGGCCTTGATCACAAGTCGGGCAGACCACGAGGTCAGGAGTTCAAGATCAGCCTGACCAATATGGTGAAACCCCATCTCTACTAAAAATACAAAAATTAGCCGGGCGTGGTGGCGCGTGCCTGTGGTGGCACACGCCTGTAGTCCCAGCTACTCGGGAGGCTGAGGCAGGAGAATCACTTGAACCTGGGAGGCGTTCCATCATAAAATTTTTTTTGCAAAAGTAAGATTTACATAGCACACCCCTGCCCCAGCCCAAATTCTTTTTGGAAATAAATGTACTGGCTGTGCCTTCTTCCCTCATTTCTTAGGCTTCACAAATGGACAGATCTCTAAAGAGACATTAGTGTTTACTGGAAGGACCAACTGGAGAAAAGAACTACCATCTTACCACTAAATAATCCTTAACGGAAACAGTTTGTCAAATATTAGAGGCAAAACAAAAAAATCAGCAAATAATAAATATTCCATATTTTAATACATTATGACACTCTAAATACTAATAGCTGATACGTAGGCTGCTTTACCATGTTCCAAGCACTGTCCTTGTTCTTAGCATGTTAACTCAGCTAAACCTTATAACAGCTCTGCAGGATTAATTCATTTAATTCTTATAACACTCCTATAAGATTAACTTATTTAGTGCTTACAATACTCCTATAAGATTAACTTATTTAGTGCTTATAATACTCCTATAAGATTAACTCATTTATTCTTTATAACAACCCTATATTATTCCTATTTTCCAGATATGGAAAATGAGGCACTAAGAGGTCTTGTCACTTGCTCAAGGCCAGGCAATAAGGAAGTGAAAAAACCAGGGACCTGAACCCAAATTGTGGGCTCCAGAATCCATGCACATCCCGAGTACACTCTACCACTCTGTTGAAAGAGAACCCTGCTTAGCAATTCTGCCAGCTCATGTCTTCTATTCCAGGGAAGATAATATTTTCTCAATTAAAATAAGCAAAACAAGCAAACATACCATGCCTAAGGACTAACTCTAGTAATTCAGAATTAGGGTGCAACTTGAGTCGTTTTTTTAAAATCTATTTTATCTTGAATAATTTTATTTCTGCACCAATACATTTTTTGACAGTTTTCTTGCTATTCTTGCTATCATTTATTAAACTGGCTTGTTTGAAAATGTCTCAAATCTAGAGACTACAATTATAGTGCAAACCTGATTGACATGGTAAATGGAGAGCATCAGCTGTTGGCACCTTTTGGTATGTAGGGACGGATGTGTTTAATTGGGCTTGAAATTCCTCAAACTCAGTCTCATGATGCTGGTTATTAAGTAGCCAAAGGATGCAGCTAGGCAGTCTCAGTGAAAGATCTTTTTAATGAAATATCTCTATGGCAAGAAATTATTTTTTATTCCAACTTCTCTGACATCGTTCCTTTGATTTTTACAAAGTAAAACAAAAACAAAATAAAAATTCCTGAGCAAGTGAAGGCCCATAACTCCACCAAAGTATGCTTTGAGGGAAAACACATATTCCCTGCAGATGTAGGCAGGAAAAAGTGGCACACTTTCCTTTAATTTTAGGAGCACTCGAAATGTAAAGAAAAGAAAATACAGCAGCTACATTCATAGATTCACCGAATTTTAGCGCTGGAAGGAAGAGGAATGATCTTGTGGTTCAAGTCCTACATATTAAAGATGTCTGTTAAACAGAGTCAAAACATCTTAGGCTGGCTTGAAACGTCTTCCATGACCTGACCCCTAATCTATAAGAATATTCTTCTAATATGCCTCTGAACATCAGCCTAACTAGAATATAAACGTACCTTCTTTTTTTTCTTTTTTCTTTTTTCTTTTTTTTTTTTTTTTTAATTTTGAGACAGAGTCTTGCTTTGTCGCCCAGGCTGGAGTGCAGTGGTATGATCTCGGCTCACTGCAACCTCTGCCTCCCGGGTTTAAGCGATTCTCGTCTTTCAGCTTCCTGAGTAGCTGGGATTACAAGCACCCACCACCACGCCCAGCTAATTTTTGTATTTCTTTTTCAGTAGAGACCAGGTTTCACCATGTTGGCCAGGGTGGTCTCAAACTCCTGACCTCAGGTGATTCACCTGCCTTGGCCTCCCAAAGTGCTGGGATTACAGGCATGAGCCACCCCACCCAGCCTTCTTTTTTTCTTTTAATAAATACATATTAAGTACTCTCTATGTGTTAGACACTGAGCTGGGGTCTAGGACTCTGCACAAGAATATGATAGAATTTCTATCCTGAAGGAATTATCCTTTTAGTGGAGAGACAAACATCAATAGTTGAAATGCAGTACCTAACAGCCTGCGAAGGGACAGGTGGCTTTACACAGGAGATGTGCAGCCTTAAAGAAGGATTTGCCGGGAGCTCACCAAGTGGTGAAAAAGAATGCAGCCCAGTAAGGCAAAAGAGCATCCCAAAGAGCATCCTGTAGGTTGTTAGCATCCCCAAAGACAAACATGTGAAATGGTATGGCATATATTTCAGGAACTTTAAATAATGTGTGACTGAACTCCAAGTGAAGGGAGGATGGTAATCCAAGTTGGAAAGGAAAGTAGGGGCCCATCCTAAAGGGCCACGAGCTCTCTGCTGAACAACTGGGCTCCTTCCTCCAGGGGTAGGGAAGAGATTGAAGCCAGACAGTGACACGAGGGAGTTGCACTAAAAGATGTTCTGGCAGCTGGGGAATGGACTAGACCAGGGCTAAAGCAGAGACCAGGGGGCCAATGAGAGCCTCTTGGGATAGTCCTTGTGAGTAGCAAGCAGGGCCTGAAATAAAACTGCAGTAGTCGTGATGGAACTAGAGAAAGAATTGAAAAATATTAAAATGTACAGAGACAGGGGTGCTCTGTGTTTGCCTTATGTTTTTCTGCAACTGCCACCTAAGTGATGCAATCTTTCTGTCTTTGTGGGTTAGGTTCCTACCCATATTCTAAGATCTCATCTAAATGCTCCTGAAGCCGCTACTCCCACCCCTCAGCTTAGGGGTCTCTCTCTTAATGGAGCTTTCAGAGCAATTTGCTTGTCTTTGCCTTAAGGCATTTCACACTTTCTGCCCTTTATTACAGCTTCTTATATAAAAACATCATTCTCTCTGGATTTCTCAAGAGTATTGAAAAATGTCTTGAGATCTTTTGTATCCCTCACAACCCCTCCCCACCATGTAATCTTACATGTATTGTGCTCATTCCCTAAATATTTTAAATGAATGAATTAGGAAACTGACATTCCAAAAGGCTAGATGATTTGTGCAACTGATGTGGCTTTCACAGCTACTTTGAGTCATGTCAGGGCTACATCAAGGACCCAGGTATCCTGACTTCTAATGCAATACTCTTTCAATGATGTAACCCTGGACCTGTCTACCTGGCTGAACACATGGCCCCAGCAGTGAGCAGCTCCTTCGTTCGTGTGCTTTATCACTCTCTAACAACTGCAGTGGAGGAACCGTACCTAAGCCAGTGCTTAAAACTTAGATCGGAATTAGGACCTCAGCAGCAGCAATGTACATTCTGCCCTAGGGAGCCGGCAGCTGAAGGCAGACTGCACAAAAGCAAGCCTTTCTGGCACCCACTGTAGGAAACATGTTGCTATTTTCAGCGGTGCAGCCTGTCCCTCTTGGTCCCTTTCCCTCATGCCTTCCTAGACAGACATCCATGGGAAATCAATCCAGGCCTTAACACCATGACACGGAGCCTGCTGTCACAGTCATGCCAGTCTGGCCGCCAGCAAGCATCTGGGAGCCAGTGGGCCCAAAAAAGTCTGGGCTGGACAGTTCAGAGAGCAACTTGCTTTTGAGAGGAAATGCCCAAGCCAGCTGTGGTATTCCTACCTGATGCTAATAGGCCAAATGGTTTCTGCCTCTGATCAAAGCACCAATGGCACAAGGGCCCCTCCTGCTGCTTTCAAGGGCCCCTTTCTGCTGATTCATAACAAAAATAACATTATGAACAAGTGTTTTATTTGTGGGAAAATTTTATTGGTATTTATGTAGATACTATATTTAGAGTCTAATCCAGAGCCACCAAAGGCCAGATCGGTGAGCAGGGTGCTATCATAGTTACTCAATGATTCCAGGTCTCTCTCTAGCTCTCCACGCCCCATGTCAACTCTCCCAAAGCTCTCAGAGCCTGCATTTCTTTCCTTCCTTCTTCCCCATTCCCTCCCTCTTGGGTCAGGATCACTCTATACCTTGCTTTTTCCTAGCCTGGGTTAGGAGAAACTAGTTCTAGGAGATGCTAGTAAGAATAAGAACCTCATGCACAAATACGTTTATTGTCTAACCAAATTAAACTAGTTTTGGGTGTTTTCTAATTTCACTTCGGGATGCCTCAAAGCCTTTCATGTCCTAAAACTTCCCATGAATTTCTGAGAAACAGATTAGGCATGCAGTTTCTGTGCATGTGGCTTACACAACTAGTTAGGGTCATGTCAGGGCCACTTCTTTGACCAGGACCCTTTACTGTCTGGCACTGTGGATGTATTCTAAAACTCTGGTTCCCAGGAGCACATTCTGGGAAGCAGGCTGAAGCCAAATACCAGACAGTATGTTTTTAAGTTTCTTTTCTGGTATGAAACAGCTTAGAATCAAACGAATAGATAAGCTTGCAGTGAAAGAATGAAGACAGGTGTGTGTGTGTGTGTGTGTGTGTGTGTGTGTGTTTTTGTGTGTGAACGCATGCATTTTTTCATGTGTTCACACATGTGGGTTTCAGTATATGTTTCTAGGTGCAGGATCATACTTTGCAACACATTTTTGAATTAAAAGAAAGATGTGTGAAGATAAAGCAATCAGATTTTCTTCTGTGACCCATTACTAGGTTGATATAAAAAGAAGAGATCTAAAAGTATTTTGTATTTTGAATGACATTGTAGTTGGAATAAAGATACAGCTGTATAAAGTGATTACTAAGGATAGCATTTATTTGAATGTGCAAATTAGGATGTGTTTGCTAAAATCAAGATGCATTTTGTATGTGCATAACCTGTATGGGTTTGTGTACCTACATATGCCTCACATGAATCATGGCCCAGAAAAGGATTCTGAGGATGAAATAATTTTATTAAAATGAGTTTCAAGAATAAGAGGAACAAGACTATCTGGGTTGCTAGACGAAGAGAGGCCACTTTCTGAATGAGAACCAACATTTCTGTTACATCTTGTTTACTATGGTAGGCAGAAAAAAAGGCCCTTCAAACTTCTTTGCCCTAATCCCCAGAACCTGTGAATATGTTACCTTATGTGGCAAAAGGCAATTTGCAAATGTGACTTAGTTAAGGATCTGGGAATTATCTAGGGAGATTATCTATGATTATCCCAGTGGCCTGAATGTAATCACATAGGTCCTGAAGAGAACCTTTCCTGGCTGTTGTCAGAGAGAAGTGACTACGGCAGAAAAAGGCCAGAGAGATGCAACATTGCTGGCTTTGAAGATGCAGGTGGACATGAGCCAAGGACTACGGGAGGCCTTTAGCAGCTAGAAAAGGCCAGGAAAGAGATTCTCTCCTCTAGCCTCCAGAAAGGAAATACCGACACCTTCCCTTTAACTCAGTGAGATCTGCGCCAGACTTCTGACCTGCGGAACTGTAAGATAACAAATTTGTGATGTTTTAAGCCACTGAGATTGTGGCAATTTGTTAAGTGGTAACAGGAATCTAATTCACTAGATGCTTCCATCCTCATCCATTGGATTTCACTGCTCCACACATTCTTAGTGTGTTTGCAGTTGTACACATCTTTGCATTTTTCAATGTTTCAGTTTATGGATGTAGACTTAGCAATTCACAGATAAATATCAGAATGCTGACTAACATCTAAACCTAGAAGGAACAACTTGCATGTCACCAGAAGATGCCAAGCATGTCTCCAGAGGCCATGTAATATGATGACCTCATTTTACAGATGAAGAAACAGGCCCAGATGTGTTCATTTGTTTTTCTTTCACCTTATCCCTTCCTCTCCCATTGATCACATTTAAACACCAACCTAAGAGACTAGAAGTACAACAATCAGAGGCAAAGAATTCTGTTCATTATGTTTTCACTTATAACACCTCTCACTTATGTGTGAGTGTGTGTTTTACTGGTAAATTCTGTCTTGTAGAATTTGGAAGAGAAAAATCTAATGTCACGTTCATTAAACCTAGAATTTCCCAAGCTTTCTATTTTTCCCTTTGGGAACCCAGCTTGATTAACACGTAGCTGTTGTACCCAATCTCTGGAGAGATGATATTGAGTTTGCTTAGCCAAATACAGAATAGCAAGCAATAGAAACATATAAGCAAAAGCATGACAGATTATTCCCTTTTAGGACCATTTATCTTCAGCCATGACATATGCATAATCTGATCTTCATCTTTATCCTAGAAGCTTTTCCAATTTCCTTTATGAATTTCCATAGAGTCCAGTGCTGAATAAACATTTCTGACTAACAGAAAGGCTGGTAAATTTAAACACATAAATAAACGTGATGACTGGGCCTACATTCTGAGCAGCTACCGCTGCATACTCACAGGTGGTCCCAGGGCGCCTTGCGGTCCCATGCTTCCTGTGATCCCTGGGACTCCAGGGGTGCCAGGAATGCCCTAGAAGAGAGGTAGGAAAATGGAACAAAGTCAGGAATCACACATTCTCATCAATGACAGCCAACTTTTAAGCAAGAGTAACAAATACACACCATGATAGCTTCCCTCCCCCTCATCACCAGGACCTCATTCCTGTTCCCAACTCCCAAAAACGGAGGGAAGACTTTTTTTTAGTCTCCTCACTATATATCAGGTGTGGTTCTTTCAAATTCAAGCCTTAGTTGTGATTTAATAAAAGCTAAGTCAATGCAGGTGATCTTCTGGCAAAATAGCTCAGAGATAGAATAATTGGGCAATATGGGTATATTATCTTTCTAAAAAGTTTTAGGGAGAGTTCTCTATCAAGGGATGAGTTGTCACACTATAGTGAAGACGGCTGCTGGTAAAAGATCTGGCAAAAGAAAACCTCTCAAAAGAAATGAAGTGCTTTAAAACAGAGTATGTCCCAGTAGTTTCTGGAAAGGCTTACTATTGGCCCTGGTGGTCCTGGAGGTCCCGAGGATCCATCCTTTCCCGGAAGGCCCTGGCGAAAAGAAACACAGCATGTCAGCAAGTGGTTGCTTTATATGGCTTTCAGAATGGGCTCATTTAGTTCCTTTTCATGTTTGGGGGTCAAGTCCTGCTGCTTGCTCTGGACTACCAAGGATTCACTGCCTTTAAACTCTTCATGGAAATTGTTTTTGGCAAGGTTTTGTGACTGTTGGCTCCATTAAATTGTCCAGTGCAAAAATTTTAGGCGTAAGAAATGCCACTTACAAACTTAAACAGGAACTTGCTTCCAAAAAGTGCTTTTACTAAACTAAGCCTAACAAATGGAAAGAGGATCCATTATTGGTCATTAAGGACCAGATGAAAAGATGAATTAGTATCTTTCATGACCTAAGAGAGTCTTGGGCAGGGAATCTCTATCAGAGGGATCTGTCTTTCATTAGGAGTACTACAATATCGGAAAGTCTGCAACTTCAGGAGTAAGCTGGAGGAGATTTGGGAGGATTTCGTGTGGCAATGATTGAGCTTTGACTACTGGACAGATTTACTGAGTGTCATCGTGGGCTTACAAATGAGCACGTGTTTGCTCCTCATTCCCTGGTGGAAGGATTTAAGGCAGAAAGCAAGTGATGTTCTTTATAAAAACATCTTCCTCAATTATAGAATATATAGGTATGTGTGTTATTTTTATGTTAAGTGTTAAAAAAACTACAAAAGCTGGGATGACTTACTCCTAAATGTTTATAGCTCTTAATTGTGAATGCTGGCCTTTCCAAAGCAGTTAATTTAAGAGAGAATCTTCAATCTGAATTTTATCATATTCATAAAATTTCGTAAAATTTTTTCCAAACACCACCTGTTACTATAGGGAGAAACTTAATTTTCACCACGGAATTGGTGTCCCATTGGAATAATTATTTTCCATCTCAAACCAACTCAAACTTCTCCTGGCATCTTTGCAGACTCTCCCAATTCCCTTTCTGACATTCTTGCCACTTTTCCAGTGAGCCATCTTTTCCACTTATTTTACCATGAAAATCCATCCTTTTTTTTTTTTTTTTTTTTTTGTGAGACAGAGTTTTGCTCTTGTTGCCCAGGCTGGAGTGCAATGGCACGATCTTGGCTCATCGCAACTTCCCCCTCCCAGGTTCAAGCAATTCTCCTGTCTCAGCCTCCGAAGTAGGTGGGATGACAGCCATGCACCACCACGACTGGCTAATTTCGTATTTTTAGTAGAGATGGGGTTTCTCCATGTTCGTCAGACTCGTCTCGAACTCCCAACCTCAGGTGATCTGCCTGCCTCGGCCTCCCAAAGTGCTGGGATTACAGGCATGAGCCACCACACCCGACAGAAAATCCATCTTTTAGGTCTGTCCAGACTCACATTATGTCTCCCTACCTCAAGGTGTCAAATAAAAGACAGCAATGATAAGGCCGAGGGAAAGGAAACGGTGTGTGAGTTGGGAGAGTGTGAGAGGTGGCACAAAGGCAGGGTGATATGGTTTGGCTGTGTCCCCACCCAAATCTCTCTTAAATTGTAGCTCCCATAATTCCCACGTCATGAGAGTGACGCAGTGGGAGGTAACTGAATCATAGGGGCTGGTCTTTCCCATGATGTTCTCATGATTGTGAACAAGTCTCACAAGATCTGATGGTTTTATAAATGGGGTTCCCCTGCACATGCTCTCTTGCCTGCCGTCATTTAAGATGTCACTTTCCTCCTCTTTTGCCTTCTGCCATGATTGTGAGGTCTCCCCAGCCATGTGAAACTGTAAGCCAATTAAACCTCTTTCCTTTATAAATTACCCAGTCTCGGGTATGTCTTTATTAGCAGCGTGAGAATAATAATACACAGGGGTAGGACGAGTGTGGAGGAGAAACACTGGTCAGCAAAGCCCTTTGCCACACTCTCAACCTCAGAATGCCAGCAAGTCAGAAACCAGATAAGGCAGGGGATGCGTGGGCTCACCAATATTTGTGGTTTTCCTTTCCTGCCTAGGCACATTGCTTAGCTGTTTTGCACCCTCTTTGCAATTATGCTGGAGCCACATGGCTGAGTTCTGGCCAATGAAAAGTGGCTAGTTTCAAGGGGCTAGTATGAGTTTTTAGCTCATAAAAATTTCCAGTGGGTGATTTTACACTTTATTTTCTCACTCTGGAGCAATCTTAAAGGCCAAATGTTGAAGATGAGAGTGTTCCAAGATGGAAAGACCCTGAGTTCCTAAATGACTGTGTGGAGCAGAGACCCCCTAACCCCCACTCCTCCACCCACCCTTGCTGACAGCTCTGGATTGTGAACAAGCAATGAACTTTCATTCTATTTCATTTTATTGCATTAAACCACTGAGATTTTAGGGTTGTTTATTAGAATTGCTGTCCAATCCTGAAATATATTAGTATTTTTATTTTTACTACTACTTATATTCTTTCACTTCACTCAAAAATATTAGTATTGATAAACCCTGATACAGATTACTTTGCACACACACATACACAGGTCCTTAGACCTGCTAACTAAACAATACAAATTAATGCTGATATAAGTTGAAATAAACTATTTTATTTTTTTTGAGACAGTCTTGCTCTGTCACCCAGGCTGGAGTGCAGTGGCACAATCATGACTCACCTCAGCCTTGACCTCCTGGATGCAAGAAATCCACCCACCTCAGCCTCCCACATGGCTGGGACTATAGGCATGTGCTACTATGCCTGGCTAATTTTTGTATGTTTTGTAGAGATGGGGTTTTGTCACATTGCTCAGGCTGGTCTCGGACTCCTAGGCTCAAGTAGTCTGCACGCCTTAACTCCCCAGAGTGCTGGGATTAAAGGCATGAGCATTGCACCCAGCCAATAAATTATGTTAAATGGAGTTTAAATGTAGCCTGTCCAAGAAGAAGGGCAAACAGCAATCAGAGTATGTGACGGATGAATAGGACATTAGAACTCATCCATTCTAACTCCTTCATATTACTAGTGAGAAAACCTGGGGCCAAGAGAGAGTTGAAAGAAAACCTAACTCATTTTTTAAAATAAGTTTATAAGTTTATAATAATATATTCTTATTTCTCAGATGAAGTTCTTAGAAAAATGGACCCTGGGCACATATTCACTAACTTAAGAAGACATTTCCAAAAAGGCATCTTTTGCTTCCTGCTTTAAAACTCTTCCAGCACTGGATAGGGAGTGAACATGCACCTATGCGTGAGCCCACAGAGGACCCGTGGCCAACACAACTGCCCAGCAACCAAAACTGCAGCATTACTGCGGAGTTCTCCCCAAGTCTCTGCTCGGCTGTGTCCAGAGGGGAAACATTCCAAAAACAAGTGAGGGGAATCTTTTTCACAGAAGGAGGCAAGCTGCAGAAAAGAAACTGCAGAAAATTGCATTGTTCCAAGGAAGAACAGCAGGAAATAACACATTTATCCCCTCTCCCAATCATGTGAGAAGGAGTTTAAAAAACAAGTCTGTCAGTGCTCTCATCTATGACCCTGGAAGGATACTCTTGTGAAGAGGTTTGAATTCACTTGATTTATGGACATCATGTGCATATCATCTGGAAGGATGACATGTTGCTCCTACATATGAGCTTAATTTGGTGAAAGGGCTAGTGCTTCAGTGTGATCAAATCAAAAGTGGAGGCTGCAGCTGGGTGTGGTGGCTCATGCCTGTAATCCCAGCATGTTGGGAGGCTGAGGCAAAAGGATCGCTTGAGCCCAGGAGTTCAAGACTAGCCTGGGCAACATAAAGACACCCCTATCTCTACCAAAAAAAAAAAAATTAAAAAAAAATTGCTCTGCCTGGTGGCTTGTGCCTGTAGTCCCAGCTACTCTGGAGGATTGCTTGAGCCCGGAAGGTTGAAACTTCAGTGAGCTGTGATCACACCACTGCACTCCAGTCTGGGTGATAGAGTGAGACCCTGTCTCAAAAAAACAAATAAAGCAGAGACTGGATAAGATGTTTGTTTGCTTTAAATTCTACCTAAACAATATCCTCAAAAGTTGGAATTTCTTCTTTCTCTTCTTCTTTCGAGGGCAGAAAATTATGTTTTATTCATCGCTATATTCCTAAAACTTTCTTAACACATTACTGACACAAAATAGGTACTGCACATGGCCAGGTGCAGTGGCTCATGCCTGTAATCTCAGCACTTTGGGAGGCCGAGGCGGGCAGATGACCTGAGGTCAGGAGTTCGAGACCAGCCTGGCCAACATGGTGAAACCCTGTCTCTACTAAAATACAAAACTTAGCCAGGCGTGGTGGCTCATGCCTGTAATCCCAGCTACTTGGGAGGCTGAGGCATGAGAATCACTTGAACCTGGGAGGTGGAGGTTGCAGTGAGCCAAGATTGCACCACTGCACTCCAGTGGGTGACAAAGCAAGACTCCATCTCAAAAAAAAAAAAAAGTATTGCACTAATAAATACTTAATTTGAATAAGATTGAGGTTCCTGCTCTACTTATCACATCGAAGAAATAAGCGTGAATCACAGGTAGAATGAGTCTGGAAATGTATAGGGTGAGGGGAATGCTGGTGTCATTCTCCTTGCTCTTGAACCCTCTGCAAGCAAGTCGAAAAGACATCAGGAGTCATCCTACTCTCAGAAGCTGAAATTTCATTTTAGTAAAAGCTTAAGGTTAGGATCCTAGAAGCAGACCCAGATCCTTGTGTATTTGACTTATTGCAGGAGGGTTCTTGGAAGAAACCTGTAAGGCAGTGAAGGAAGCAGGGTAGGGACAGGGAAGAGGTTAGGTAGAGTAGTGAGTTATCTAAACTTCTGCCTGATCCCATGGGGAGCTCTGGAGTGTGAATTACACGTCAGAGTTGACTCACATAAGAGTCTATGAACCAAATCAGTTAGTCGTTGACTGAGGGCCAAGATAACATTTCCAAGGGCAATTATCTGGAGAAGGGGACAATTATGAGTGGTTAGCAGTCAGCACCATAGCAGCTGGTGATGTAGTTCACCTGCCAAGTAAAGGGGGTCCAATCAGGGCACCAACAGCATCCACTACAATGCATTTTATTCTGGCACTTTTTTCATGGACTGTCATAAACAACTAAACACTTTTAGAGATAATGGTTCAAGAACAAATAACAAATTTGTTCAAGAACAAAGGTGGGTTTTTGTTTTTGTTTCTGTTTTTTGAGTTAGAGTCTCACTCACTCTGTCGCTCAGGCTGGAGTACAGTGGCACAATCTCGGCTCATGGCAACCTCCGCCTCCCAGGCTCAAAAAATTCTCCTGCCTCAGCCTCCTGAGTAGCTGGGATTACAGACATGCACCACCACACCCGGCTAATTTTTGTATTTTTTGTAGAGACAGGATTTCGCCATGTTGGCCAGGCTGGTCTCAAACTCCCGAACTCAAGTAATCCACCTGCCTCAGCCTCCCAAAGTGCTGGGATTACGGGCATGAACCACTGCACCCAACCAAGAACAAAGGCGTTTTTAAGTCTACTGTGAGTTATCTGCTTGCTTTATCTCAAATGAAAATTTTCTTATTATAAATTGTGATAACTAAAAGGATATTAGCCTTAACACCATTTCAAAAACACAAAGCCATTTTTTCTAAAATTTCTTCATAACCCTAGAAAATTAAAGATCTTCACATTTTCCATCTCATAAAATAGTTTTATTTTTAAACTCTTAAATGACACCAGTAAATTTGCCTTTGAAAGATTTTTTATTTGCAAGTCTTGCATTTGTCATATTACCCAGAAATACCTGTACAGGTACTACATGCTGGGGATTCTGCTAGGCTCTAGGTAGACAATGATGAACAAGACAGTCACTCTTCTAAGAGTTTACAGTTTTGAGGATAGTCAAACAATGAAAAGAAACCAACAGTGTGCTATGCTGAGAGACTATAGAGTTCCAACGGGTACATCTAGGAAGAGCACCTAACCCAGGCTTGGGGACACAGAGACATTTTCACAGAAGAGGTGGAATTTAAGTCAAGTAATCAGAATGGTTGGGTCCATGGCATGAGTCTCCCTATTCACACACCACTGCATGTTACAGCTCTCACTGGGCAAGCCAGTCAACTCTTCAAAGGGCAGGGTTCAGGCCCTTCTTCTCACATCTTCATTTCAGGGTGAGCAGCAGTAGCAGAAGCTTTTTACAGAAAGCAATAAACTTGGTGAAAGGAAAAATTTTGTAAAATAACTGCATTTTGTAGGGTAAATTAATGGGCAAATTCTAGCTTTGTCATTCAGCTTAACTATAATCAAAGCTCATTGAATGGTCTTCAACTATTAACAGCTAAAAAAGTACTTGCACGTCCCAAAACCTTTCTATATCTATAAATTTTCCATTTTACACCAAGGAGCTAATCTAAGATGTGTGTTTAGAGATTAAGCATCCTCATATAAAGCAGAACATGTGGCCAGGTGCAGTGGCTCATGGCTGTAATCCTAGCACTTTGGGAGGCCAAGGAGGGTGGATCACTGGAGGTCGGGGGTTCCGGACCAGCCTGAACAACATGGCGAAACCCCATCTCTACTAAAAATACAAAAACTAGCTGGGTGCGGTACGTTACGCCTGTAAGCCCAGATACTCAAGTGGCTGAGGCAGGAGAATCGCTTGAACCCAGGAGGTGGAGGTTGTAGTGAGCCAAGATCGCACCACTGCACTCCAGCCTGGGCAACAGAGTGAGACTCTGTCTCAAAAACAAACAAACAAACAAACAAACAAACAAACAGCAGAACACTTAATTAAGCAATGTACAATGAATATTAGGAAATAGAAGGTTAAACAATAAGCATAATATGTGAATTCACTTAGGCTGACTTTTTTAAAAAATGCATGAAATTAGTCACCCACAGACAGGGATTTTTTTAAATAACATGAATAGCTCTAGGCATTTTTCCTTTTTAATATTCCTACCTCAAAATATTAATATGCACCCATAGTCCACATTAAAAATAATTCTTGCTATAAAAACTTGAAAGGATTTTTATAATTTGTTTTTAAAAACATTTGCCTATGAGCAACTTATTAAGTTATGGTTGGCTATGATTTATCAGCAAAAGTATACCTGACCCACAATTTGCTTTCAAAATCACTAATATTTGAATAAATACTAAATTTAACCATGGCTGAAATTGGCAAACCATGTTGTTATACAGACATTTAATTAAACATTTCTTAACTTCCATTTTTGCAGTTTTCTTTTCCATACTATAGAACAAATGTATGTGCTTTTTTTCAAGTTTCTAAACATTTTTTGGTAGGCTCTTTAAAAGTTTATAGTTTCTAGGTGCTGTGCCTATGGTCTCTAAAAAAAACTGACCTGCCCACAAATAGTGTTGCAACTGAAAATCAAGTCAGAAAGGAGAATACTTGTTTCTGTAGCCAGCGGAAATACTGCTTAGAACTAGTGACTCAATTATACTATTCTTCATTCATATCTTCTTCGAAGCTGACAATGGTAGGTCATGATACTAACCTTAAGATTCCGGCCAATTGTTAAGGTTATTCAACTGATGCTACACTCTCGGTTAGAGTGGGATCTGTAAGCAGCTGGCAACAGATGAATTTGTTGAAAGGGGCCAGGCTCAAGCAGTCAGGGTTAGAGATATGCTTGAAGAAACCCTCGTTGCACAATTTCAACCCTGTGGCATGGCTCTGGACTTCTGTAAGCAGACTAGTGTGGCAGCCAGCCATAAGAAAAAAGGCTGCTTCTTGCAGCAAAAGATTAAGACCAACCACCAGATTAAGAGGCCAAGCAACTAGAAGCCACAGATTCTGTAAACACTGTCCCAGGCTACAGATCCGGGATCAATCCTTGCATTGGGTTACATGGGAAAATTTTCAGTAACACAAACATGCACACACACACATTAAAAATGTATATGTATATATGCACAGATAAACATATACATCTATTTATATATTATATGTATATATACTATTTTCATTTCATTTACTTATTCATTTATTTTTAAACTTTTTTTTTTAGGTTCAGGGTACATGAGCTGGTTTCTTATACAGGTAAATTGCATGTCACAGGGGTCTGTTGTACAGATTATTTTGCTACCCAGGTAATAAGCATAGTACCCAATAGGTAGTTTTTTGATCCTCATCCTCCTGTCTCCCTCCACCCTCAAGTAGGTCCCAGTGTCCATTGTTCCCTCCTTTGTGTCCACATGTACTCAACATTTAGCTCCCACTTATAAGTGAGAATATGTGGTATTTGGTTTTCTATTCCTGTGTTAGTTTCCTCAGGATAATGGCCTCCAGCTCCATCCATGTTGCTTAAAAGGACATTATCTCATTCTTACAGCCAAGGCAATCCTAAGCAAAAAGAACAAAGCTGGAGGCATCACACTTCATGACTTCAAACTGTATTACAGAGGTACGATAACCAAAAGAACATGGTACTTGTACAAGAACAGACACATAGACCAATGGAGCAGAAGAGAGAACTCAGAAATAAGACCACACACCAACAACTATCTGACCTTTGAGAAACCTGACAAAAAAAAGCAATGGGGAAATGACTCCCTATTCAATAAATGGTTCTGGGTTAACTGGCTAGCAATATGCAGAAGATTGAAACCGGACCCCTTCCTTATACCATATACAAATATTAACTCAAGATGGATTAAAAATTTAAATATAAAACCCAAAACTATAAAAACCCTGGAAGACAATCTAGGCAATACCATTCAGGACATAGGAGCGGGCAAAGATTTCATGACAAAGATGCCAAAAGCAATTGCAACAAAAGCAAAAATTGACAAATAGGCTCTAATTATACTAAAGAGCTTCTGTACAGCAAAAGAAACTATCAACAGACTAAAGAGACAACCTTCAGAATGGGAGACAATTTTTGCAAACTATGCATCTGACAAAGGCCTAATATCCAGCATCTCAAAGGGACTTAAACAAACTTGCAAGAAAAAAAAACAACTCCATTAAAAAGTAGGCAAAGGATATGAACAGACATTTCTCAAAAGAAGACATGCACGCAGCCAACAAACATATGAAAAAAAAGCTCAACATCACTGATCATTAAAGACAAGCAAATCAAAACCACAATGAGATGCGATCTCACACCAGTCAGAATGCCTATTATTAAAAAGTTAAAAACAAAACTAAACAAAAAGACAGATGCTGGAGAAGTTGTGGAGAAAAAGGAACACTTTTACACTATTGGTGGGAGTGTAAACTAGTTCAACCATTGTGGAAGGCAGTGCGGCGATTCCTCAAAGACCTAAAGACAGAATTACCATTCAACCTCACAATCCCATTACTGGGCATACGCCCAAAGGAATATAAACTGTTCTATTATAAAGACACATGCATGTGTGGGTGGGTTCATTGCAGCACTATTCACAATAGCAAAGACATGGAATCAACCTAAATGCCCATCAATGATAGACTGGATAAAGAAAATGTAGTACATATACACCATAGAATACTATGCAGCCATAAAAAAAAAACAAGAACATGTCCTTTGCAAGGACATGGATGGAGCTGAAGGCCATTATCCATAGCAAACTTATGCAGGAACAGAAAAACCAGATTCTGCATGTTCTCACTTACAAGTGGGAGCTAAATGATGAGAACACACAGACACATAAAAGGAAACAAACCATACTGGGGCCTATCAGTGGGTGAAGGATGGGAGGAGGGAGAAAATCAGGAAAAATAATTAATGTATACTAGGCTTAATAGCTTAATACCTGGGTGATGAAATAATCTGTACAACCAACCCTCATGTCACATGTTTACCTATGTAACAAGCCTGCATATCTTGCATATGTACCACATATACTATTTTATTTTTATTTTAAGTTCCAGAGTGCATGTGCAGGATGTGCAGGTTTGTTACATAGGTAAATGTGTGCCATGGTGGTTTGCTGCACCTATCAACCTGTCACCGAGGTATCAATCCCAGCATGCATTAGCTATTTTTCCTAATGCTCTCCTTCCCCAACCCCACCCCCCAACAGGCCCCAGTGTGTGTTTTCCCCCTCCCTGTGTCCATGTTATCTCATTGTTCAGTTCCCACTTATAAGTGAGAACATGCAGTCCACATATACTATTTTTAATATATACATATTCATTTATAATTTAAATGTGTATATATATAAATATAAACATATGTACATTTTTAGTAACCTGCAGTGATGACTTCAGTGAATTAAAACAAAAAAAAATGCCAGCAATAGTCTATCAAAGAAATCACTTTGACATCAGTAGGTCTCACACAATATACTATCTAGCAATTCCAAAACCTAGCTGGTTATCAGAATCATTAAGCTTTTAAAAACTATACATTCCTAAGTCATGCCTAAGACCTTTTGTATCCGAATCTCTGAGATTGAAGTCCAGGAATCTGTATATTAAAACACAAAACAACAACCTGATGACTTAAGTTAGGAAACTGCTGGTTTACCAATATAAAATGCAAGTGCCGACGCTGAAGGACAGTGTTAGAACCAGGGTGCAAAGCAGATGTTACTATTTGTACCATGCCTGTGTCCCAGATAAAGACAATTTCAGAAGTATCTTTTTTTTTTTTTCTGAGACAAGTCTTGTTCTGTCGCCCAGGCTGGAGTGCAGTGGTGCGATCTCGGCTCACTGCAATCTCCACCTCCTCGGTTCAAGTGATTCTCCTGCCTCAGCCTCCTGAGTAGCTGGAATTACAGGCTCGTGCCACCATGCCAAGCTATTTTTTTTTCGTATTTTTAGTAGGGACGGGGTATCACCATGTTGGCCAGGCTTGTCTTGAACGCCTGACCTTGTGATCCACCTGCCTCAGCCTCCCAAAGTGCTGGGATTATAGGCGTGAGCCACCGTGCCTGGCCCAGAAGTATCTCTAGAGTCAGTAAAAACAGGAAACTAATATGTTTTAGTAGCTGTTCTCTTCTCAGATGTGCCCAGGTGTGCCACTCTCCAGGTAAAGGTGTAAAGTGATCAAGAAACCATATTTTTATGGGTGAAGCATCAGTATCTACTTCATCAAGAAAGTAACCCACACTGGGTTCCTATTGCCCCAAAATGCTGGGCGCAACATCTTCCGTGTTGAAGTCCTGCTTATTAAATATCTCTTTTGAGAAAGATTTTCTCACAGTAACAAAATCCTGTGGTGATCTTTACTAATATAATTTTGTGGAAAGAAAGAGTGAAGTGTAGGACCCAGGCAGATGGATTAAAATCCTGGCTCTAACACTTACTAGCTGTGTGGCATTGTTTCTTCCGTTTTCTGAGCTTTAGATTCTTTGCCTGTAAAATGGGGATAACAATGACTAGCATTCGTAGTTATTCTGAGGACTAGAGAACATCATAATTGCAAAGCACCTGCACATATTCAATAAGTAATGATAGTGGTTGCTGCTATTTTTATCAAATAATCTGTTCAGTCTCAACTGCATATACCATCATCACTGTGGCTGATTGTGCAAAGGCTTTCTTGGGATATTATAAAACCCATCCAGAGCCACAAAGAAGAAAATCAAATTATTCCCTCCACTAGTTTTGTGATGGTATTTACACATCCTCTTCAGAAGGAGGAAGATGCTCAAGGGAATAATTATCATGAATCTTAGTATTTTACAAAATATTACTTAGATAAATATTTCATCACTGCTTAACATTTATGATAAAAATTAAACCCAGATAGTTGACTCAAGTTCAATTTCTCAAGTGCATTTCAAGTCTAACTCACTTTTGATGAAATGGGATATTCATCACAAATATGTCCTTTGTAGACATAAAACCTGCATAATCTAGAAGCATGCTTCTGGTGTCCTTGTGAGGTGAAATCCAAGAAAAAAAATTTTTAACTTGCTTTTAAAAAAAGAATTTTTGTATTTCTTCAGTCTTCTAAGGCATCTCGACGTGTCAAGTACAAGCCTTATAAAATATTATAAATGTCCAGGCTTGTTAAGTTTACCTTGAAAATAGTGAATACTAATATTAGCTAAAATCACATTTTTATAGAGAAATGCTTTATATGAATTAATCTCCATGACAATTCTCTGCAGTCAAATATTATTTTTTCCACTTTACCGCTGAGGAAAGTGAGGGCTTGGAAACATGAAGTAATCCATGTCTTGCCTGTTCTTCCTAGTTTTCCTGAGGACCACCCTGATGTCTAGGGTGGGGACTGAGAAAGCCACCATATATTAGAGGAGCTCAAAGATCACAGGATAGGTCCTGAAGTCACAGATACCAAGAAAAGAAGAGGAAGGAGATGACAGCAGTGACAAGATTTACAGTGCAAATGAAAGATGAGACGAAAATGCTTTCTGTTGGAATGACCTGGAATGAAAACTGAATGCCTCAATGTATTTGGCTGTGAAATATGAACTTGCACTATTGCTTTTTAAAGTGTGGTCCTGTACTCTACTGGCTGCCTAGCAAGAGGCTGCAACTTGTTCAATGAAGTTCAGTTTTTACCAGACTTGCTTATGGCCTCAGGCCCAGAGTTGAATAAAAGCTACCTCTAAGAGTCAAAGATTCCCCTTGGGAAAAGCCAGAATAAGCTAGAAACATTAGAAGAAAAGATGTTTCATCTTCTCCTTTTTATTATTTGTTAAGATCTCTCTCCTTCTAGGCTAAATTCAGGGGTACTATTGGCTTCAGCTTCAGGAAAGGGGTGCTAACCTTTCCATAAGCTTTCAGTCAAGGTGATGGCACCTGGTTTGCGCTTTAAGTTTGTGGCTGTCAATAAGAGAAGACAAAGATTTGGCCAGGTGTTGTGGCTCGTGCTTGTAATCCCAGCACCTTGGGAGGCTGAGGCAGGAGAATCGCTTGAAGCCAGGTGTTTGAGACCACCCTGGGCAACACAGCAAGACCCCCATATCTACCAAAAATAAATAAATAAATAAAATAAAAAAATTAGCCAGACATGATGGTGCAAACCCGCAGTCCCAGCTACTTGGTAGGCTGAGGTGGGAGGATCACTTGAGCCCAGGAGTTTGAGGCTGCAGTGAGTCATGATTACACCACTGTACTCCAGCCTGGGCCACAGAGGGAGACCTTATCTCTAAAAATTAAAATTAAAATAAGTAAAGAAACAAGAGAAGGCAAAAATATAAAAGGAAGAAAAATGAGCAGTAAGGAATAGCCCACCACTCCTACTGCACACCACACTCATGTACTCCTTACACTGTCCAAGGAGCTAAAAGCGCCGATTAAACATCATTGAAAATGTCTGTTGCAGCTTCCTCCTCCTTTCCCTAGAGTAGGCTTTACTCACACAGGACAGGGGAAATAAAGGCACAGTAACGTTAAGTGACTTCAGTGCTCAGAGTGGAGGAAAATAAAAAGCTTTGGCTTCCTGATTTTTTGGACAGTGGAGCCTGACTGGGGAGTTTTCTGGAAGTGTCTTCTCAGTCATTTCAGCAGTAAGTCTCATCATCCTGCGTTTGCTCTCTTTCTATGCCACGGTTGTTATTGTTGTTGTAATTATTTTTTTCCCCCAAATGCAGCTTTGCCTTTTAGGATGGCCTGAGGTGGAGCAGGAATAATTGCAAGGTGTTTGTGCTTACTCTATAAACAGCACCTCCTCTCCCACTGCCAAACCAGGGAGAGATGGCCCTCCAATGCAGCATGTCTTCTGGGGTGCTTCGTGTCCAAGGTCTGTCTCCCACCATGAAAATTGTCCTGGGCCTCCTATCTTACAATCCTGCCCAGTAATTATTAATATCTAACTGTGTTAGAACTTTACTATCCTTAAGCCCTCAGATCAGTTGACTGAACAGATCAGAGCCACCTAAATAGCCGTTTTTAATCCATCCTTCATTTCTTCTTTCCTTCTCTACTGTCTCTGAGAAGACCCTTTTGTCTTTCTGGCCCCAGGGAACAGCCATGTTCTTATCCCTTCCTTCCATCTCCTCTAGGCAAACAGTCCACAAACTGTCTCCCTCTGCCATTGAAGTTCTCTCTTCTTCTGGATTCTTCTCTGTAGGCAGTAATGAACAACTCTTTCCAGGCTGAGCACAGTACATGGCATATTATATCTGCTCAATGAAGACACGGCTGATTGATTAAAAATATGTGGTCCTTCCCTCAAGCAAGGCAGCCATGTTACACAATTTCAGGGGCACCATTATGTTTTATTCTGTGTGAATGGCATCTGCTTGTGTTGCACATTGAAATGATATTGCCTTCAAATATCTCTTCTAGAAGAATCATCACAGGAATCATACAATCTTTTCTTTAAACATGGCCCTATAAAGAATGAGTATCCTCAGAAATCTAGTTTGGAAAAGCAAGCCCACTTCCATCTAATATGTTTTCAAATTAAGAATCAGACATACTCTAAAAGTTTGACTTCCAGATTGGAAGAGAAAGGAAAATAAAATCTAATTACACATATCTTATCACTTTATTACAGCTCTAAGCCTTTTAATCCTATAGAGGAACACACATTTGGAGGGATAGCAAAATATTTATAAAAAGTCTGTGTTGGTATATTGGTGTTAAAAGAAAGAATTCCAAAACCAAATGATTCAAACACTAATTCAACATGTTTGATTTGTGAGTTCTTTGCCAAGATTGGACTTCATGCACAGATAAATAAACTCACCGAACTAAATCTTTAGAATTGCCATTTTCAGAACTTCAGGAATCACGAAGGAATCCAGGTGTGTAACCACACAGGATCTTAGCCTACGCCCTTTGCCAAAATATATAAATATTTCTAGATGCTGCTTCCACATGTACAAGAATGCTACATAAATCTAACTGTTACAGAATGCCTTCTTCAGATACATTCACCTAAACATATTTCACGGACTGACTAATTCCATTTGATGAACAGAGACTACACTGAGATTTTAGGCAAACAAAAGTTTGGTGTTAAAAAAAAGGGGGGGATGTAGAAGGCTTGCGCATCTACATTCTATAGAAAAAACAAGAACAGTTTCATTATTCTTGAACAGTATAGCTACCCTGAGCTAAAAGCAAGCCTTGTTTGAGTAGAGAAGTGGGTGCTCAAGTCAATTGTTTGCTAACCTAGTAAGTTCGACCCAAAACACCAGTGAACACCAGATGTGCTGTCCTTCATTGGATTGAATCTAAGTGGTCGCCACTCTATATAATCCAGTCTTGAGAGAAACTGTGGAGCTGCTCACATGTCTAAATCGGTGACAGTTTAAGGAAGACCAGCCTCTGTGTCCCTTGCTGAAAATTTAATGACTACCTATTGCCTTCATGTTAAAGTTCAAAATCCTTAGTTGGAAAAAATAGATGATTTAAATGAATTTGTGCTTACCTCTCTAACTTCTTCTCTTAACAATCTCCCCACACCTAAGTAAGTGTGCACATGCATTCAACACACACATACAATTACTCTAATCTTCTGCCATACTAAACGATGTACAATATTGGAAATGCTCCACCTTCCCTTGCCTCTACCTCTTTGTATATGCTCTTTCCTCTGCTTGCAATAGCTTTCCTTTCCTTGTTCACCTGGCTGACTTCTATCTTTCAGTCAAGACTCAGCCTAGATGGTACTTCCTCTGAGAAGTCTTCTTCCAGCCTCCAAGTCTAGCTTGGTTATTCATTCTTTGTGTTCTCACAGGGCTCTGCTCCCATGATAGCATGTAATAAAAGTTTCTTATTTAGTTATATTTCTTCCCAATAAACTATAAACTCTTTGAGAACAAGAACCTCAAACTTGGTTCAGTAAAACCTTATTGACTAAACAAATACCAGATGTTAGCGTATCCCTTTCCTGAATATCTTTATACTTTATTGTACTACTGTCCACTTGAACAGATGAGAAGAACCAATAATTGAATGATATTAAATAAATGGAGATTGCCATGTAAGCCATACTACAGAAAGCCATTCTATTTAAATTTTAATTCATATGGTTCTTTATTTCCTTTACATTTATGCCTCAAGGATTTGAAAGAACTGGAGAAATCTACTAAACCAATGCACACAATAAACTGTATTCAGGTCATGGGAGCACTCGGAAAGGGATGTGCTAATTTGGGAAGGTTTGATGAAAGTTCCTAGGGTTTGACGAAGTAATGAACATAGAAGATGTCAGTGAAGGGAAATAGTGCAGGATAGGTGGAAAATACATAAACAGGAGAAAACAAAAAGCAAAAACTGGCTTGACTCCCTTACATAGAAGCCTGTCAGCAATAAGAGTGACCTGGTGAAAAGGTCACTACTTTGCTAAAAACCAACCTTGGGCAAGACCTTACCCTCTGGCCTGGTGAGCCATCACGTCCTGGTGAACCAACGCCTCCTGGGATACCCTGTGTAGAACAGGGACAAAAAAGAGTCAGGTTCACAGGAATGAGTCATCTGCTCACGCAGCTTCCCTGAAATAGATGAAGGCCTCCAAACAAACCTAAGAGCATAATGGTGAACCCTTTGTAACCTAGAATTCAGACTTAGAAGTTATTCATGGGCAAAGAATGTTCCCTGTCAGAGCTCACCTGGGGAACATCAGTGTGACTCTCAAAAGGGGCTTAGGGTAAGTGAATACAGGCAGTCTTTAATATGGAAAACACTTACCAAGATCACAACTGACTTCAGAAGCTACAGCTTTTTTTTCCCCCTTGGCAAAGTTGTAGACTGAGAGCAATAGACTTAAAAAACAAAAATAATACCTGTGGACCTGGAAGGCCAGTATCTCCTTTCTCTCCTTTTTCTCCTGGCATTCCCTGAATATCCAAAAGTATACAGAGTTAAGTTCACATAGGTAAATTCTTAGCGTTTTCTTTTCCTTCTCTCATTATTTAAATAGTTTCCACAGTAAATCGCGTTTGCACTAACATCTAAACAGAATATATATATATACACTTTTTTTTTTTTTTTTTTTTTTTTAAATGGAGTCTTGCTCTTGTTGCCCAGGCTGGAGTGCAGTGACACGATCTTGGCTCACTGCAACCTCTGCCTCCTGGGTCCAAGCTATTCTCCTGCCTCAGCCTCCTGAGTAGCTGAGATTACAGATGCCTGCCACCACACCCAGCTAATTTTTGTACTTTTAGTAGAGACGGGGTTTCATCATGTTGGCCAGGCTAGTCTCAAGCTCCTGACTTCAGGTGATCTGCCTGCCTCGGCCTCCCAAAGTTTTAGGATTACAGGCATGAGCCATTGCGCCTGGCCAACAGAATATATTTCACTTTCCACATATGTTATGCCATTTATGTAAACATTCCTATGGAGCTGAACATTTATATACCAGGATAGTTTTAACATAGAATATACAGTCTAATATGGCAAGGCCAATATTGTAAATACATGCAGGGCGGCTTGAACATTTCAGTATTATTTACGGCTTGGATTTTACAATCTCATATCTATGTAGATTTGTTTTGTTTTGTTTTGGCTAGAAACATACTTAAATGGAATATAAGAAGGGAAAAGCAAACACAGAATCTGGCATGTAGTAAGACCTCAACCAATGTTTATTATTAGTAGTAATTACACAAATTGGCATGTTAATGCTTTCTAAAATGTAAAAATAACACTGTAGGAGAAACTTCTCAGCTAGGCAGACACAATCATATGTGCAGAAAGATTGCCAAAAATTGTGCTTAAAAGGATCTGGTTGCTTCAAATATGAATTAAAGAGATTGTTTTTATTCTTAAATCTAGACTCCTACAGTAAGATTAATGAAGATCAGTGAATGGAATTAAACTTTTTTTTCAATGGTACAAAATGACTTTTCAAAGAAATGCAGCTATATAAAATACATCATCTAAAAATCTAAACTCTCACTCTCCATAAACTGCACTTTGATGCCATTTGAGATAAGGATCATGAATAAATGGCTTTTATTAATTTATATCAGCAGTTACTACACATAATTAAAAAACTTAAATTTGTATAACATTTGTTACTTTCTGAATGTTATCACATCCATTAAGAATTTAGTTAGACGAGAAAAAGGGCTATACATGCTAAGCTTTGTTCTTCCTCTATAGACACAATGCTTGCGGATGGACCTACCTCCAATAAGTATGCATGTACTTATTTGTTAAAAGACCTTCATCATTGGACACAAAAATGGCTAAGGGCACAACTAGTGAAATGACACTCCATCATTGCTTTCAAAGGGACTGAGGTTCATTATTAAGACACAGAAGACAAAAGTTCATTCTTTGTAACCTCATGGAAAAGAGATAACAATAAAACCCGTCTGAATGTTTGAACACAACTCACGGGCATTCCTTGAATGGACAGACCACTTGGTCCTTGAGGTCCAGGTGGACCCTGAGGTCCTGGCAGACCAATTTCACCCCGAGGGCCATCTGGTCCCTGGAAGGCAAGAGAGAAGTATCATCCTAAAAGTAAGTTAGACTCTCTGACATCTAGAAAATATTTCTGCTTAGGACAATTATAATTTGTTTTCTTATATAGTTTTTCTTAAGATAGGAAATACTCAGGATAGCAAGACATCAAGCCTCAAATGATTTACCTTCCAGGCAAAATGTCATCAGTAAACCATAAGAGTAAACACACAGGGATCGCTGTAACTTTATTTTTATCATTACTACTTTTGCTTCTGTAAATAAGAGTGCTATGCCAATTATGTAAGTAATGAGACCCCCCACACTCCATAACAAATTTATAAGTATAAGTGCTTCAAGACCACCTTCCTAGTCTGGGAAGGTTCACACTGTCCAGATGAACTACATTCTCTCTGTCTTCGCTACTGTCAACCACCTACCTCGGGGGGACTCCTCTGCATTTATTGAGAACTTTGCACCTAGCCTCTGCTTTCTTCCTCACTTTGACGCTGCCACCACACTACACCTTCTTCAATGTCCACTGAATGACCTTCCCTCGGCTTAGTATTATTTTACTTCCTTTTTTCATTTTTTGTTTTTGAGACAGAGTCTCATTCTGTTGCCCAGGCTGGAGTGCAGTGGCTTGATCTCAGCTCACTGCAACCTCCCGCTCCCAGGTTCAAGTGATTCTCCTGCCTCAGCCTCCTGAGTAGCTAGGATTACAGGCATGCACCACCACACCTGCCTAATTTTTGTATTTTTAGTAGAGATGGGGTTTCACCATGTTGGCCAGGCTGATCTTGAACTCCTGACCTCAGGTGATCTGCCCAATTTGGCCTCCCAAAGTACTGGAACTACAGGCGTGAGCCACCACTCCCAGCCTATTTTACTTCCTTTCTTTTCAGGATCAGACATCCCTTTTACCCTTATTTCTGTAACCCTTATTTCTGTAGCTTGGATCTTGTTGCGGTTTAACTAAAACTAAACCATGTAAGAAATATTAGACCCAAAAACCTACCTATCCTCAGTCTCTTCTGTCTCGTTCTGTGACTTCAACTAAAGCTATTCTTTTATTAAATTAGGACCTCCAACATCTGTGTATCATCTTAGCTCTGAGATTGGTGAACACGTTACATGGGACAAAGAATACAGAAAAAAAGGCATTGTGGGGTAAAGTGTGGGTAGATAATGAGTGCAGACTAAGACTTGTTAAGATTTAGGTGCTTGGGATAAACCACATGGAAATGTCCAGCAGGCCAAGGAGTTAGGCAAGGTCTATGCTGGGATGGATTTTGGAGTAGTTGAAAATATATTTATAGGTGAGGTTATTAAGGAGAATGTATTGAGTGAGTGAAATAGAATGTGGATAAAAATGAGATGATAATCAGGTAGAAGGGAAAGGAAGAGAAACCTGGGGAAGAATCTGAAATGAAAAAGCCCGAGAATTAGGAAGAGGCTGAAGACGGAGTGGTATTGTGCTATAGAAACAGCCAAAGGAGGAGAAATTTTCAAACAAAGAAGTGTTTGATTGTGTTAAAAAAATTAAACTCTAATCTATGGAACTGGTAACAAGCAAGTAATTAGGAACTTTTATGAGAGAATTTTCATAGGACTCCCAGAGGAAGAGGAAGCATATGTGGGTTGAGAATTCTTTGGGAGGTGAGCGTGTGGAAGCACTGAATGATAACTATTCTTACAAGGAGCATGGCATAAGAGGAAGGGAGAGGGAGGGAGCTGGATTTTTAAAAATACGATGGAGGCAGCAAGGAGGCAATTTTTATGTATTACTTAGTATTTGTAATGGTTTAATAATAAATCATTTTAATATATAATAGTTTAATAATATATTATTTATTTATTTGAGATGGAGTCTTGCCCTGTCTTGCCCAGGCTGGAGTGCAGTGGTGTGATCTCTGCTCACGGCAGCCTCTGCCTCCCAGGTTCAAGTGATTCTCCTGTGTCAGCCTCCCGAGTAGCTGGGACTACAGGTGCCCACCACCACACCCAGCTAATTTTGTATTTTTAGTAGAGACAGGGTTTCACCATGTTGGCCAGGCTGGTCTCGAACTCCTGACCTCAAAGTGATCCACTTGCCTCGGCCTCCCAAAGTGCTGAGATTACAGGCATGATCCACCGCGCCTGGCTGAGTTTAATAATATGTTATCGAGAAATTGCAAATAGAGTAGAAGGGCAAAAACTAGGGGGTCCCATTTTATCCTATAAAATATGAGGCAAAAATGACTAGGAGAGACCAACAAGAGGTTTGCTTTGTCCTTCCAAATTCTTATTCTGTATTTGCTGCAACAAAATAAAAAATCATACATACTGGGGCCTTCCGTATGCAAGGTATCTATTCCTGCACTGTCCACATTGGTGGACATGTCAACGTCCTTTGTCCAATAAGACTTTTTCCAAAAACCACTACTCACTTGGATCTGTGATTCATCAAAATCATCATACAGAAATAACCATATCAGTAGCAACCTATGGAAATGGTAATTGGAGGAAATGGGTAGGTCTTGGGATCACCAAACATCTACGAACTCATTTATCTTCATGATTAGAACGATCATCCAGTGATCATGTTAGAAAACACTGGGGTCATGCTGATAGAGGCACTGGGAAGAGGGAACTAGAATCTATAGGAGCAGAGGGGCATTGCCTTTGGGTGAAACTGAGGAAGATCCAGTGCACCCTTGCTTGAGAAGAGGCCTCCAACTACTGCCCTTCTTACAGCACCATAAAAGATGGAACCAAGTAAGATACCTCAAGTCTGTCCCACCAAACAAAATAAACAAAAAAGGAGACATCTTATGGTCTGAATTTTGGATTGGGTAGTACCTGATTAATTGTCTTTAGCCTTCTTTCATTTACTTCTTTTTTATCCCAATATTTTCTTCTACCTTGCTTCATCTGTTTCCAATTTTATGGTAAAAAACCTTGCAATGTTCTCCTCTCCATGAATAAATGCTATGTAAATTTAATAAGAAACCATACTGAGCAGTAAGTCAAGCAAGATGGATGGAGAGGAGAACATGTGGAGCAACATGGTGAAAATGAGATGGGAGTCAAGTTACAAAGGGCCTTAAATGCCTCAGCAAAGAGGGTGAACGGTATTCTGAAGGCAACAGCATGTGACTGCAGGTTTTTGAAAAGTATGATATGATCCAGCATAGACTTTAAGGAAATTAATCTGGGGGCAGATGTGAAGAATCAATCGAAATGTTAAGCCACTTGGGACAGAAGACCAGTTAGAAGATTTGCCAAGAGCTGGAGAGAAGATGGTGAGGCCTGAACTCCATTAGTGACTGGGCTTCTGCCAGTCCTCAGGATGCCTTTGTGCAAAGTAGAAAAACGTGTTCCTTGACATGGCTTGGCATGGCTTGGTCTCTTGGCAGGTGCCTTTGAACAATGTACAACCTGAACCACCACATTTGATGACCCTGGGCAGTAAGAATGAAAAACAGAGTTGTGTGTTTGATTATATATAGTGCAGTGGAGGAGGAGGAATCCAAAACCTGAGAAATTACCTGGAAAGGACTAATACCAAATTGTGGTTCTGCATGATTCCTCTAAAGATACGTTTTTGTTGTAGGTAGAGGAAGAGAAGAATGTACAATTTCTGAGAGAACTACCTTGGAGACTAAACCACTCAGAACATTGACATTCTTATTTCTGACCCAGAAGCCTTTCTTTTCATTGAGTTATTAAATATTCTTTTTGATTAAAAGCATAGGCTTTTAAAATAAGGAAGAAGGGTTAGGCACAACTTTCATAAAACTATAAGGAACTTTAGATTGCAAGGGTGAAATAAGTCACATTTAGCTCCAAAATGATGGCTATTTATGAGAGAGAGAGAGAGATGAGACAGAGAGAGAGAGAAAACATGCGCATTACCTTTGGACCCGGTTCACCTTGCTGGCCCTTTGGTCCTCGGAGTCCTGGACCACCCTGGCAAACAGATGTTAAGTATTAGCTCAAAGACAAATCTCAAAACAGTGTATTTCATTCATTTTCCTTAATAGTATGAATTAACTCATTATTATTTTATGTAAAGGCCAACACACTGTGTAATAGTATACATTCATCATGATCCTTAACTGGAAATTTACCACCCAGCCCCAGCGCTGCAGACGATTTCATGGTTTTGGAAAACTTTCTTTGCCAAATTCTTTTTAAATATTGAAAAATGGTAAGATTTTATTTACTTAGTGGTTATAGAAGACTACCATTATGAATGACCCAAAGAATACAATGTTAATCAAAATTATATATGTTATAAAACATACATATATAACATATAAAACATAACTTTGAGATGATCCAATTAAATTGTAGAAAGCACATGAAAGTAGCAACAACCTGATTTTCTTTATTTACACAGCAAAAGGACAATTAGTTTCATCTTTCTGAAAGTTGTCATTCATATTTCCCCTCAAAACTTTTGCCATATTATCTAGACTATTATTTAATAGCAGTTTTCTTTATATAGATATATATCTACAAACATAATATGTATATATATGTGTATATATTCCCTGTATATATGTTCATATGTGTCTAAACACATGTGTGTATTTACTGAATATCTTAATTGACTATTTCACTTATTTTAAAAGCAAATACAGCATTACAGTAAATGAAAAAAAGTATCGCTTGCTAAAACTATAAGGTAATCTTAGAAATCAATACACTATAAATAATGCTATTAAATTCAGCTAGATTGGCCAGGCACAGTGGCTCATGCCTGTAATCCCAGCACTTTGGGAGGCCAAGGCGGGTGGATCACGAGGTCAGGAGATCGAGACCATCCTGGCTAACACGGTGAAACACCGTCTCTACTGAAAATACAAAAAAATTAGCCGGGCGTGGTGGCGGGTGCCTGCAGTCCCAGCTACTCAGGAGGCTGAGGCAGGAGAATGGCGTGAACCTGGGAGGCGGACCTTGCAGTGAGCTGAGATCACTGCACTCCAGCCTGGGCGGCAAAGTGAGACTCCCTCTCAAAACAAAAAAAATTTAGCTAGATTCTGTTTCTATTGAAGTCTGTGAGCCAAGAGTTCGCTCTTCGATAAAAAGGGAGATGAGTGTTAGGAGGACCATGTGGGCACTAGACAGAATTTATATTTTACCTGAGCAGAAGGATTGAAAAATCATTGAAAATGGAATAACTTTCTCCCTGTGTGATTCCAGTTTATTTCATGCCATGTCCAGGATTACTAAAAGGGATTCTGTACACTATTAGCAGAATGCTGTATCACTTAAGAAAACACTGGGTCAGGTGATCTTTAAAATTTCCTCAGCTTTTTAAAAAACCATTTACATGCACTCTTCCTTTTTATCAATTAGTTGCTCATCTTCTAGATTTTAAAAATGCAATTATAAAACGTAATTTTATTTATGTGCATCTATATCTATACAAAATACTGCCCGTGGTATTACTGTATTATTTGCTGTGTATGTTTTAAATATGTGATGTCACACTTTTTACATAGTTATGACTTCAACTTAATATGCTTTAGTGATTTTTTATTATAGCACACATAGATCTAATTCATTCTTAACTGTTGCATAGTTGTCTGAACCTTGGATATGTTAAGAGTTTGTTTAGCCATTCTTTTATTACCGGAAATTTAAGTAGTTTTATTCCCACAATTTTCAGCCATTTAAACAATGCTTCAGGCTGGGCGCACTGGCTCACGCCTGTAATCCCAGCACTTTGGGAGGCCAAGGCGGGTGGATCACTTGAAGTTAGGAGTTTGAGACCAGCCTGGCCAACATGGTGAAACCCCATCTCTATTAAAAATACAAAAGTTAGCTGAGTGTGGTGGCACAGGCCTGCAATCCCAGCTATTTGGGAGGTTGAGGCAGGAGAATCGCTTAAACCCAGGAGGCAGAGGTTGCAGTGAGCCGAGATCATGCCACTGCACCCCAGCCTAAGCGACAGCGTGAGACTCCGTCTCAAAAAATTAAAAATTAAAAAAAAATTTTTAAATGCTTCAATTAACATCCTTACATATCCCTTAAGTGAAACTGTTAGTATTTCTCAGAAGAAGATACCAAGAGTAGAATCGTTAAGTGAAAGTTGATAAATTTGCAGATATATTATCATATTGTACTCTAAACTAACTGTGCCAGTTTATTGATCTGCCAATAGTTTAAGAGGGTCCCTGTTTCCTTAAATCTTAATCAACCCTGAATATTATCAAACTTTACATTTTTATCAACCTGATTGCTGAAAATATACCTTATTCTTGTTCTAATTTTCATTTCCCTGAAAACTATTATGATTATGTATCTTTTCATAAGTTTATCTATTTGCATTTATTCTCACTGTGACTGTCTATTTATATACTTTACTCAGTTTTCCATTGGGTTACATGTCTTTTTCTCTTTAATGAGTAGAAATTCTTCATATGAAGTCATAAATTGCTTGGTGATGGAAATGCATTCTGAGAAATGTGTTGTTAGGCAATTTTGTCGTTGTGTGAACATCGTGGAGTGTACTTACACAAACTTAGATGTTATATATATTTTTATTTGTAGATATTTTCTACATGGAAGACCAAATGTCCCAGCACCATTATTGAATATCAATCATTTCTCTACTTGATCTGCAATGCCACTATCAAGTGCCATATATCAGATTTCCATATATGCTTCATTATAGTTTTTCCCCCAGTGTGTCAGAAACTATGGCTGGCTACCTAAGAGCCTTTTCTGACCCCCTTTTCCCTTTCATCCCTAGATAAAGGCCAAAAAAGACAGATACTTGTTTTCTCAGCTTTTCTTTGCAACCAGGAATCATTGTGTTAAGCAGTTTTGGCCAATTTGATCAAGAAGCAACATGGGAAGCTAGAGCAAGCACAAGTCCTTGATGAAGTCGTCTAGCAGCCTCATTTGCCTTCTTCAGACCATCTCCCTCTAAATCTTCTATTGAGCAAACAATAAATGTCCTATTGTCCTCATAGTTTACACTACTGTGTTAGCTAAATTTTCTGTTTCTCGCAGCCTAGTCTCTCCCAGTTAATATACCCAGTCTGTCACAACTTTTTAATTTTGTTTTTGCATCTTAAATGATTTGTTTTCAACTGAAGATTTTATTCAAATATATATTCAAATATATCTTCAACTGAAGATTTTATTCAAATAATAATAATCAAGACTGTTTACCTCACAGATATTCATGTCAGAGGCACCATGTCTAAAAGCCAGGGACCACTTTACACTTCTAACTTACTTTCCACCTCATCCTTAACCCTTGTCACTGGGCATATCACAAGAATTCAGCAAATACTTGTTGACGAAAACACTCATTTTTTCAATAAGAGAGGCTTAGACTTCACAAAGAGAATATGATTCTTCTATCCAGGCCTTCCTACAGATCCTTTAGTTTTATTGATACGTCATACTACTGTGTAAATTCATGAATGAGAAAACAATTAAAGAATGTTCAATCATCAAACAGAATTTATTACATATTGCTCAGGATACTATTTCTTAGTTTATTACGCTTTATTTAGAATACAAAATTTCCTTATTTGAAATTTTTGAAATATAAATTTTCAATTGCTTTTTTCTCATTTTACATCTTTCTTCCCCCTCCAATTCAAAGCTCAACCCTTCCCTTTCACATCTCTGCTGCTTCTCCCCATTAGAAAGTTTGCTGTTTAGGTCACAAATAAATATTTTATCACTTGTTCCAGTAAATTACAGATGAAAAAACTTGAAAACCCTCCTGCTATAAACATGTATTAATGCTGGCTAAAACACTACTGTAATTAAGAACTCTATTCTTAAGTACCAAGAAGAAAGAAACAATAAAAAACTATAGTATACATGTGAACTGAAACTGCCTTCAGGAAGGATGGGAAAGATGGCTGAGGCTTGCTGGAAAGTTTATGTTTTAGAGTTCACACAAGCAATAATAATAATCAAGACATCTAATTTGTGATGTTAAAAACAGTATTAAAATACTGGGTAGTAAGAGCACATAAATTATTAAGAAGATGATCTAAGTTGAAAGAATTCCAACTCATCATACTGGCAAAGTAGGATAGAAATGGTGATTATTTTAAACATTGTTAAACTAAGTATATCTGGTAGAAACTTCTGGGTTAACTATTAATAGAAAAGCTACAGAGTATACTTTCCAAACTAGTGGAGGAGAAAAAAGGAATACAAAAAAAGCAAAAATTAAAGACAAAAATAAATACAATCTCAAGCAAAAAATATATATGTAACACAAATAAAAAGCAAAAATTAAGAAATTAAGAAAAACCAAGAAAGTAAAATTAAAGTTGTGGATGTAAATCAGAATGGGTCAGTTATTACAACCAACAGAATGGACTAGACTATGAAAGAAAGATTGTAAAACTGGATTAAAAGCAAAATCTTGGCATATGCTATTTAAAGAGAAATATCTAAAATATAAATATAAAGACAATGAAATGTCGCAAATAAAAAGTGAAGAAAATATATGTTACAAATTAATATTTGTTAAGATTTGCCCATATATTTGCTATTTCTTTGGTCATAATTTCTTCTGGTATCATTTTTCTTTATTTTAAATTATGTCCTAGGCATATTCCTTAATGAGAGAATATTGGTGGTAAATTATTAGTTTTTGTTCATCTGAAATATTTTTATTTCTGACATCTGAAATGTTTTTAAAAGAGTTTTTGGCCAGGTGCGGTGGCTCACGCCTGTAATCCCAGCACTTTGGGAGGCCGAGGCAGGCAGATCACCTTAGGTTAGGAGTTTGAGACCAGCCTGACAAACATGGAGAAACCCCATCTCTACTAAAAATGCAAAAAATTAGCCTGGCATGGTGGCACATGCCTGTAATCCCAGCTACTCGGGAGGCTGAGGCAGGAGAATCACTTGAACCTGGGAGGCAGAGGTTGTGGTGAGCCGAGATTGTGCCATTGCACTCCAGCCCGGGCAACAAGAGCAAAACTCCGTCTCAAAAAAAAAAAAAAAAGTTTTCACAGTTGTACAGAGATTGCTAATTGTCCTCATATTCATTTCCACTGCTTCTTTGTAATAATACAATCCCCTGAGTTTTAACTAAACATATAACCATCCAACTAGGGACTTGATTTCTTGGAATCCTACGTAAGTAGGTATGACTAAGTGCTGGCTAATGGAATATGAGAGAAAGGGTGCTGCATATACCCTGGGTGTTATTCTTAAATGAAAACCAAATGCTGTCCTCAACCATTTTCTCCCTTTCCAACTGGCTGGAATGAGAACATGCAAGTTAGACAAATTAGAAAATTAAAAAATTAGACAAAGAGTCCAAAAGACAATATTGAAACTATATTAATATTAGACAAATCAGACTTGAAGTAAAAAGCATTACTGAAGTTAAATGGTTTCATTCACAATGATTCACGTAACAAGCCAATAGGAAGACAACAGTTCTAATATTTTGAACATTTTAACATAATCTCAGGATATATAAAAAATTAAAATTAAGCAGGGTCAAGAAGTTCTTTGAAACTAATGAGAACAAAGGTACAACATACCAGAATCTCTGGGATACAGCTAAGGCAGTGTTAAGAGAGAAATTCATAGCACTAAACACGCACATCAAAAAGTTAGAAGGATCTCAAATTAACAACCTACTATCACAACTGAGAGAATGAGAGAAGCAAGAGCAAACCAACCCCAAAACTAGCAGAAGACAAGAAATAACCAAGATCAGGGCTGAACTGAAGGAAATCAAGACATGAAAAAATATTCAAAAGACAACGAATCCAGTAGTTAGTTAGTTTTTTGAAAAAATTAATAAGATAGATAAGCCACCAGCTAGACTAATAAAGCAGAAAAGAAAGAAGATCCAAATAAATACAATTACAAATGACAAAGGGGATGTTACACTGACCCCACAGAAATAAAAGTAACCATTAGAAACTACTACAAATACCTCTATGCACACATACTAGAAAACCTAGAAGAGATGGATAAATTCCTGGACACATACACCCTCCCAAGACTAAACCAGAAAGAAATTGATTCCCTGAACAGACCAATAACAAGGTCTAAAATTGAATCCATAATAAATAGTCTAGCAACCAAAAAAAAAGCCCAGGGCCAGATGGATTCACAGTCAAATTCTACAAGATGTACAAAGAAGAGCTGGTAACATTCCTTTTGAAACTATTCCAAAAAGTTGAGGAGGAATAACTCTTCCTCAACTCATTCTATGAGGTCAGCATCATCCTGATAGCAAAACCTGGAAGAGACACAACAACAGAAAAGAAAAGTTCCAGCTAATATCCTTGATGAACATCAATTCAAAATTCTTCAACAAAATACTTGCAAACTGAATCCAGCAGCACATCAAAAAGCTAATCCACCACAGTCAAGTAGGCTTCATCCCTGGGATGCTAGGTTGGCTCAACATATGCAAATCAATAAATGTGATTCATCACGAACAGAACCAAAGACAAAAACCACGTAATTATCTCAATAGATGCAAAGAAGGCTTTTGATAAAATTCAACATCCTTCATGTTAAAAACTCTCAATAAAATAGGTATTGAAGGAACATACCTTAAAATAATAAGAGCCATATATGACAAACCTGCAGCCAACATCATACTGAATGGGCAAAAGCTGGAAGCATTTCCTATTGAAAACCAGCACAAGACAAGGATGTTCTCTCTCACCACTCCTATTTAACATAGTATTGGAAGTCCTGGCCAGTGCAATCAGGCAAGAGAAAGAAATAAAGGCATCCAAATAGGAAGACAAGGAGTCAAACTATCCCTGTTTGCAGATGACATGATTCTACATGTAGAAAACCCCATCATCTTAGCCCAAAAGCTCCTTCAGCTAATAAACAACTTTGGCAAAGTTTCAGGATATAAAATCAATGCACAAAGATCACTAACATCCCTATACACCAACAGCAGCCAAGCTAAGAGCCAAACCAAGAATGCAATCCCATCCACAATTGCCACAAAAAGCATAAAATACCTAGGAATACAGCTAACTAGGAAGCTGAAAGATCTCTACAATGAGAATTATAACACTGCTCAAAGAAATCAGAGATGACATAAACAAATGGAAAAACGTTTCATGCTCTTGGATAGGAAGTATCAATACTGTTAAAATGGCCATCCTCCCCAAAGCAATTTACAGTGTTACTGCTGCTCCTATCAAACTACCAATAACATTCTTTACAGAACTAGAAAAAAACTATTTTAAAATTCATGTGGAACCACAAAAGAGCCTGGATAGTCAAGGCAATCCTAAGCAAAAAGAACAAAGCTGGAGCATCATGTTATGCAACTTCAAACTATACTATAGGGCTATGGTAATCAAAACGGTATGGTACTGGTACAAAAACAGACACATAGACCAGGGGAATAGAATACAGAACCCAGAAAAAAGACAACATACCTATGACCATCTGATCTTCAGCAGAGCTGACAAAAACAAGCAATGGAGAAAGGATTCCCTATTCAATAATGGTACTGGGATAACTGGCTAGCCATATGCAGAAGATTGAAACTGGACCCCTTCCTTACACCATATACAAAGACTAACTCAAGATGGACTAAAGACTTAAATGTAAAATCCACAACTATAAAAACCCTGGAAGACAACCTAGGCAATACCATTTTCAGGACATAGGCACGAGCAAAGATTTCATGACAAAGAAGACATCAAAAGCAATCACAACAAAAGCAAAAATTTACAAATGGGCTCTAATTATACTAAGGTGCTTCTGCACAGCAAAAGTAACTATCAACAGAGTAAACAGACAACCTACAGAATGGAAGAAAATTTTTGCAAACTATGCATCTGACAAAGGTCTAACATCCAGCCTCTATTAGGAACTTAAACAAATTTACAAGAAAAAAACCCAAATGACCCCATTAAAAAGAGAGCAAAGGACATAAACAGACACTTTTCAAAAGAAGGACATAAACAGACACTTTTCAAAAGAAGACATACAAGTGGCCAAAAAGCATATGAAAAAAAGCTCAGTATCACTGATCATGAGAGAAATGAAAATCAAAACCACAATGAAATACCATCTCACAGCAGTCAGAATGCCTATTATTAAAACATAAAGAAATAACTGATGCTGGCAAGGTTACAGAGAAAAGGGAACACTTATACACTGTTGGTGGGAGTGTAAATTAGTTCAACCATTGTGAAAAGCAGTGTGGTGATTCCTCAAAGAGCTACAAACAGAACAACCATTCAACCCAGCAATCCTATTACTGCGTATATACCCAAAGGAATATAAACCCTTCTATCATAAAGACATATACACACGAATGTTCACTGTAGCACTATTCACAATAGCAAACACATGGAATCAACCTAAATGCCCATCAGTGACAGATTGGATAAAGAAAATGTGGTACATATACATCATGGAATACCATGCAGCTATAAAAAAGATCAAGATCATGTCTTTTGTGGGAACATGGATGGAGCAGGAGGCCATTATCCTTAGGAAACTAACACAGAAACAGAAAACCAAATACCACATGATTTCACTTATAAGTGGGAGCTAAATGATGAGAACTCATGGACACAAGGAAGGGAACAACAGACACGGGGGCCTACCTGAGGGTGGAGGATGGAAGGAGAGAAAGGAGCAGAAAAATAGCTATTGAGTACTAGACTTGGTACTTGGGTGATGAAATAATCTGTACAACAAATCCTTGTGACATGAGTTCACCTATCTATGTAACAAACCTTCGCATGTACCCCTGAACCTAAAGTAAAAGTTTAAAAAAAGAGAGAAAGTGGACAAAGCAGATGTATGCAAATCTTACAGGTACAAGTAAAGGTCCTGGTTTGAAATATTCACACCGAAAATTAACCACAGTAGCTGTAAGGGAAGATTTTGAATATAGACCAGTATGAGACATCGTATGACACAGTGGTGAGAAGCATCATCTCTAGGAGTCATGGAGACTTGGATTTGAAGCCCAGCCCAGCTCCTCCAAGCTGTGTTCTTTAATCAAGTTACTTAACATCTCTGTGTCTCACTGCATTCCTACAATTAAGTGAGTAATAGCCATTTAGTACAGTAGACAACACATATTAGACACACAAGTGATAGCTATTAATATTATTAAAGAAAATTTAAGGCTGAACTCAGCAAGACTTACTGGTGGGCCCGCTGGTCCCAGAGCCACTTCATTGGTTTCAGAACAGGAGCAGGAATGGGGAAGGTCTGGGCAAGACTCATCATCTCTCTGAAAAGAAACAAAAAAAGCACAACCATTAGCATGCCAGTTTATACAAATGGCTTTACTGGCTCAAAGAAAACAGTTTGATTTAAGATATTTTTAGATTTTCAAGTGCACATTAGAAAGGCAGAGAATATTCACTCCTGATTACAAAATCTTTTCTGTAAAGAAAAATGAATGGGTACCTCCTAGTCACTGATAATCACTATTATCAATGGGTGTTGCTAAAACCAGCTTGGGAATCCAGGTGAGGAAAGACAATCAGAAGTGAGTGCAACAAAAAAAAAATCTTGATTACTATTTAATTCTGTTGGTTGGAGTGATAGTACTCTGTGAACTAAAGGTCTTGAAAACTTTTTTATGCTACAATAATTTTTCTGTTTCAAAGGATAAAGGAAAACTTGGAGTACTCAATCAAAACAACTATATCTGTACTAAAACAAACAAAGAAAAACAAAATAAAATCAATGTTTAAACTCTTCATCAATTCCCTATGACAATTTCCACAACTGCTCACATTCTGTGGTTGAAAGTAAGAAAAACATCACAGTGTAGATCTGAGGCTCTGGAATAGGAGAACATTTTTCTTCTCTCTTAGGGAATATTGTTGTCATGTGACATTACAAAATAGATTATTAATGGAAGGCTGAATATATCTGAATGAGTTACTGGAATGCAGAGGAAGACAGAGCACCTGCTAACAGCTATTGAACAATTTGTAAATATCCCATTTAGAGCAGCAGCCAAAATGAGCTCAGCACTGGGATAAAATACTATAGAACTTCACAGAGTTCATCAGTCCCTTTGGATAGAGAAAAACCTAGTCATTATTTAAGACTTTGGGGGAAAATAAAATTAGAGCCAAATAGAGCACAGATGACAGTTAAATTGCCAAATTGAAAATAATCTGAGTCTCTACAATATTCACAACAGAAACCCAAGAAAGGTTAAGCAAATGGACTGTTACATGGTGTATATACTTTTCTCTAAATGTTGGACAACAGTAAAATATTTCAGTTCAAACCCCCTATAAACACATCTGGCCTGAAATCTGGCCAGCTAGAGTGAAACATAAAGTTAAGTATTCTGAAAGATCCCAAAATAAGGCTAACAACAGGCCACCTGTAGCCAGAGACTCAGTGATAGTTTTGCCAGTGCTGCTGACTGTTACTGCACGGTGTCTTTTTACTATGGAATTTACGCCTCTTAAATGAGACAAGTAAAAAGAAAAGGAACGAGAAAGATCCTTCCTAGAAAAAGTGGTGATCACATCTTTGCTTGATACAACAGAGGATTCCGAGTGTTTCTCCTGCCAGTTTCCCATCTACCTTCCCTTTAGCATAACATCAAGGTGTCTCTAATTTAATTTCTTCCAGAGTTTACTAGAAACTTATTTTGGTGAAGAAATAACAAGTTGCTTCCTTCTCAAATACAGACTGCCATGAATTTGGTGCTTGCAATAGATGTTGTGAGGTGTTAAGTCTTATTTATATGGTTTGGCTTTTTGATACGGTAAGTCTTACTGATACAGTTTGGCTGTGTCCCCACCCAAATCTCATCTTGATATAGTTCCCATAATCCTCACGTGTCACAGGCAGGACCCAGTGGAGTAACTTTTTCAACTCAGTAACTTTTTCTTCAGTGCATAATGTAAGCCAGGTATGAATCATAGGGGCGGTTACCTCCATGCTGTTCTTGTGATAGTGAGCACATTCTTATGAGATCTGATGGATTTATGAGGGGTTTTCCCCCACCTTCGCTCTGCACTTCTCCTTGCTGCCACCTTCTGAAGAAGGAAGTGTTTGCTTCCCCTTCCACCATGTTTGTAAGTTTCCTGAGGCCTCCACAGCCGTACAAAACTGTGAGTCAACTAAACCTTCCTTTATAAATTACCCAGTCTGGGGTATGTCTTTATTAGCAGCATGAGAACAAACTAATACGGTTATAAGGTCAAATCTCACAGACTTCATGAAGGGTTCCCCATGCTCTGGAGAATCCCAGCTTTAATTATTAAGACATGACTACTGCCCAACCATGACATGGTTGTCCGTGCCAGCTTACTTGTCCTAGGATCCTAAGATATAAATCTGTATTTTTGTATATATATATATATATATATATATATATATATATATATATAAAATATATGGGTATACACACATCCCATCAGTAAGAAATTATGCTTATATAGGAATAAAATATAAATATCATTTTTTCTTCCAATTTATGTGTATTATATTTTATATGGGCTACTGAGTTGTTAGGACATAAATATTTACACCATCACTTGGTATAAATAACTTTTAAATGTTTAGTTTTCTAGTAGCATCACATATAGGTTATGTAGATTATGACTACAGTTCTAAAATTGTACACCAAGATGCCTGGGAGCACTATATTGAGCTCACAGGGGTCCTGTGAATGTTTTAAAAATTTAAGAGAAGTACAGCAATATTCAGCACCCACTGGACTTCGTGTGAATGACAGGCTCAAGGTAGTCTGCAGTTTCAACATTAGATTTTGCAACACTTTTTTTGGATGATGCCCTAATTTACAAATATAGCTGCTATGATGAAAGGAAAGTACTATGAAAAAAGCAATGTAGAAAAAGAAGTGAGGATGGCAGTGGCCAATGTGATCCCAAGATATGAGAAATGCTGCAGGGCTCAGGTAGCACACACATCCCAACAATAAGCAATTTTGGTCATTTAAGAATAAAATATAAATATCACTTTTTTCTTTCAATGTATGTGCATTGTTATTTTATATGGCTACTGAGTTGTTAGGACATAAATATTTAGTAAGATGTTTGGACCTATTATTTCATAAATGGAACTGCAAGGTGTTTCTTTTGGCTTAGGGGTGCAAGAAAAAGCTTGAGACACTAAGGGCTTCATGAGCCATGGAATCTGGGAACATCTGGACTATGTGTAAATAGCACCCTCTGAGTTGGGCAGTTCACGCTGTATGTGATCCTAGGTTATACAGGAGAAATCTTGTTAATTTCAGACATGCCTCTTTATTAATCTCTTTCTAATTTTATCATCTCAACGAGTTGCCTATGATATGAATGTTGAGAAATAGCTTCTCATTTCCAGAAAATTAAATACAATTTAAAAAATCAATAGAAATGAAGGAAGAATTCTTACCAGGCCTGGAAGTTCACAGCATTTGTCTGTATTGGCCCATGATGTGGAGCAAACAATATCAAACATCTGTAACTGGAACTATGATTTAAAAAGAAAATTGTCATTCAATAAAATATATATAAATTATCTTTATAATGATTTTATGTTATGTATTATATAACAGAATACCAATACATTAATAATACATTACAGTAAGTAAATTAAAAAGTAACTCCAACAATGTCAAACTAATTTTTTTCCTCAAACACATAGTGATCTAAGATTTTGTCTACAATTATTCATCCACCATCTAAACCCTCTTATTTATCAAAACTTCCCCTCTCATTTCTACTTAAAGAGTAAGCTTAGCTCCTCTGTTAAACTCTTCCTTACAAAGCCCATCACAGCTGCTCCCAAATGACTCTGTAGTCACACAACACTCCATATGCCTCCTCTATAGCACACCTCCCACTACACAATTATTTACATTACCAAACTCATCTTTAGGTCACCTATCATAATATGTGGCATATAAAAAGCACTCAGGAAGGCTTATTGAATTAATTATCACTTCATTCCTTTGTACATACACTCAGTAACTTTTTCTTCAGTGCATAATATAAGCCAGATACTATGTAGACTTTTAGGATACAAACATTTTTTAAAAAATCATAGTCCTGACCTAGAAGAACTTACAGGGAGTGAGAGGGGAGCACATAAATATGGTACACAATGTGGCAAATGTCATGACAGCTTCACATTCAGTATTGTGAGAATGTAAGCTATGTGTATTCTTATTTAAGCCATTGATCATGCCATAAATATTTAGACAGGCTTGCTCCACTCATGTATGTTGGTGATAAGTCAATGTACATGTTGAAATATACAGAAACATAATTACAACATCATTAAGGGCTAACACTAGCTTAATGACCCAATCATTTTTACTATATTTCTTCCTACATTATTTTCAAATATTAAGAGTGTGCTCTATTACTGATCTGGGAGAAGGATGAAATTGTTTTCATTTTAAATCTGTAATCTTGCTTTCAGCAAGTGGTGTTTTCAGCAAAGACTGGAAACTCTTGGTGCCTTCCTTATTTTCTCCCAAATAGTACTATCCATCCTTCGCCAAACATCTTCTAGAAAAATGGTAATGCCCAAGTAGATAGTACTATTGAAACATGTTATTAAAAATGCATGCACTATCACAAAATAACTTGTTCTGACAGTAAGCAGAATGAAATCGGGCTTTCTGTCATTATACTCAAGTAATTATGCCTTATTGCAAACATTCATTCCAACTGATCAATAAAGTAACCCCTGAATTTTGAAAGCAAATCCATAAGTCAAAGCATCTTATTTTCATGATCCCATATACACCTTATTGAGCTGTTTGCAGAAATATGTGCATGGCTCACTGCTTTTTTTTTCCAGGTGGTTTAAGGTTCCCCTCCACCATCCAAGAGTATGATAACTGAGACTGTCCAGGGCAAACAAACAAACAAAAATTATGTCCAATAAAAAATTAAGTTTTTATTAGGTTGGTGCAAAAGTAATGTCAAAACTGCAATTGCTTTTGCACCACCTAATAAAATTAAAACATTTGGAAAAATACATTATAGCTTATTTTTATAAACAATTACAACAACACTAACAATAAATATTTCAAAGATCATACGGATTCTGAGAGTATGGAGCTAGACTGCCTGGGTGTCATCTCCAACTCTTCCACTGACAGACTGAGTTACTTTGAACAAATTATTTAATGTCTTGGCATCTTAGTTTTCTCATCTGTAAAGTGAGCATAATAATAGTACCTATTCATGTGGTTGTGAGGATTAAATGAGTTAGTATAGAGGAAATATTTAGAACAGTACCTGGAACATAGTTGCTATAAATAATAAATATTAGCTTTCTCATAATTGATTTGTTTAAGGAGAAGGTGTACATATAATACAAAGGCCAAAAAAGTAGAATCAAAATGACAGTGACAGTATTGAGGACAGAAATATAATAGTAGTTTGTTTCCACAATAATAATATCTATGAAATGTTTTGATTCAGAAAAATCTTAGTAAATAACAACAACAATAGCAACAAACATTTGCAGAAATGAATGCCAGGCACTATCCTAAGCACTTTGCATATATCTTTACATCTTCAGATTGCCGCTATGGGGTATGATCATAGCAAAGTCCATTCTGTGGAATAGGACCGGGGAAGAAAAAGTTTAAATAACGTAATCACATGTTGAAGGCTTAGTTCTGTTTGAGATTTAAATGGCATGCCCCATTTTCTTGTGGTTTATTTTCCAGTAAACTGATCTTTGATCTAACGTTTAAAATGCAGATAGCCCAATGAAATCTTACAATGCCATTTTGTCTTGGGACATTTATTAAATAGGTCCCATTATGACAGCATTGGATAGATTCAGCTAAGTCTGCAAATCATTTATCCATTAAGAAATTTTCCATTTCTGAGTAGAGCCCTCAGAGCAAAAACATTTTCATGAATGGAAAGACTTACTTAAAGCAAAGGCCTTTCACAAGCCCCAGTATACATCAGGATTTCTTGAAGTTTTTCAAATAAACATCTACCACCTAACCACCTATAACAGTCTAATGTCTACATTACAAACCTTTGACTGGACTTCTGCCTTATGAAATTATTGGGACTCTTAGGAGCTCAATTTATTTATTCCGGGGTTGAATGCTTACTAAGTGCTAAATGAAGCCAATATTATAATTTCAGGAATGTTACGTGGGCTGACTTTTCTTTTGCAAGTTAGATGATGTCAGCAGCTTTTTCTTTGAGTACAACAGATTTATTCATAATTGTTTGCACTTGTAATAGTTTAGATTCCTCAGCCTTTATTTAGGGACTTTTTTTTTCCAAGGCACATTTCAGGGGATTGATTAAAAGAGAAAAAAAGCCTTTGGCTTTTATTCCAAAAGCAATGACATACATATTTGTGCAAATTATACAGGAGACAGTACAAGGTGGTATGTCAAAGATCTCATATTTGAGTACCTTAAAATGCAAGATAGTGTGGCTCAAAATAAATAATACTTTAGAGAACTAATCCAAGAAGCAGCCCTTTTTTACTTTTGTAACGTTTTTGTAACTCACTGAAAATTATAAAAGATACATCTTTGCAAAAAAAAAAAAAAAAAGAGGAAGAGACACAAAACCTCCCACTTTCACTTTTCATAATCTCTTTCAAGGGAATACTTGAAATGAGCAACTACAAATGCTCATTTTTCATTGTTAGACATTTTTGCCTGGTATAGCACAAAAGGCAAGTCACTTGGGGTCAAATGTTAGCAGGAAAATAAGATTAAAATATTTCTTAGCAGTTGAGTCATTTTGATCTGTGAATGGGAATTAAAATGTACCTCTGGCTCCATTTTCCACTCAGTGCCAAATTTTATTCTCTGATTTTTTTTTCTAACATGTTTTAACTAAATTTATAATTTGAAGTAAAGCTGTACCTGAATTTATATAAATATCTAGAGAGCTTTACACTGCACAAGAATACTGGTGAAAGAGTACAGAGGAACTAAACCATTTTCTGTTTGTAATTTGATGTCTAACCTTTATTGACGCCATCACAAAACTAAGATTGTGCATTTACCACTTGTCAACTATTGAACTGATTGTTTTTAACTTGTTTTCAATCAATTTATTGAATTTAAGGGAAACCACGAAGGCACTGATTAAATTAGAAAATAAAATTCATAGCTATTGTACTTGTTGGTATTAATTAGAATTTTAAGGTATAGACACACTTGGGGGGTAGTTTTGATTACTTTGCTCTCAAGGTTGTAATTCAAATAATGGTAAATCTTTGAACCTGTCAATGTACAGATAGGACATATAGTCTCTAGTACAAACCAAACTTCCTTCTCTGCCTTTATTCTATAATTATCAGAGTCTGTCCTAATGGAAGAAGCACAGGAATGAAAGGCAGATGATCTTATAGAAGTTGGATACAGTCTCTTATTTCAGTACTCTCACTTTTTGAAAGGGGACCTGACCCTAGCTTCTTAAAGTCTCAGTTTCTCTATCTACAGAGTAGGGAAGATGCAAGTACCTCTTTCAAGGATTATTACAGGATTAAATGAAATAATCCCAGGAAAATACACACTGCCTAGCTCCTAGCAGAGATGTAATAACTATTAGCTATCATTATAATTTTAAAAGCTTAAAATAGATAATTCACATGAAAATATACTATATTTTTTAGCAATTTAACAACACTTATTTTCAAACAAGTGTTTGTAGAATCATCAACTAGTCTACTATTGATTTATATATAAAAGCTGTAACTCAGTGGCTAAAATGATAGGCAACTCCATAGCATAACTCATATGTCTCTGTTATTTGAACAGCAGGGAGCTAAATATATGCCAGTTGGATAATTACCTAAGTATTAGATTTGAAAGGTAGAAGAAAGGCACTAAGAAATATGATTGTATGCCAGAAGCTCAAAACTTTTCTAGAATCATTTCATTAGGTACCAGAAAATGCAGGAGAAACTTTTTAGGAGAAAAAAGTTTGGAAAGGAGAAGCACAGTTGTTAAGTTTCATTCCACATGTATTTAGACAGCTAAGTTAAGCCTGCTTGTTAGGTTAGCCCCAGTAGAGACTGTTACTGCCTATACAATCTTGCATTGCTGAACACCAGTTGATTTTATTAAGAACGTAATTTCTATCGAGTAGTTACTGTATCCTTAAATGCATTAATCTATCTTCCACTCAATTATGGTTTAAAAAGAATACAGTTTCTTTAAAGACTAAATGTTTAGACTTCCACCATCTGGCATTTATTGAATAATTGTTGGATTTGGCAGGGAATGGAGACCTATAAGTTACTAATCTCTCTTATATAATAATTACTCCTCCTAGAATAATCCAGAATTTGCACAACATACATTCCCTTTTGCTGGATATTAGAGTACAAATGTATATCAAGGTTAGATTGGCAGTCTGTGATTTCTAAATTTAAAATTGAAAACTGAGACTTCTCTTACCTTGTACTGAAATGATTAAGTAATATCCCTCAAAAAGCAAGTCTGAGTTTCCAATCACATTCTTGAGATCTAACTTAATACATTCATTTCAACATAATCAAATTCTTCAGTAAGTGGGCAGACTGAAAATCTAGTTAGTAATCCTTTGTAGACTTCTAGATTCAACAAATGCTATGACTTTTTTCCTACTAGCCTTACAAAGAACTCTTTAATTATTGACTTCTATAATTCTCCTTTGTCTACTACTAGTTGGAAATAACCACAGAGAGTGCTCTGTTTAATTCCATTTCTCTCATGGCCAAAAGTAAAGATTGATCACCAGTAGGCCTGAAACCTGAGGCATTTTTACTTTCAGAAAGAAATTAGTTGATATTTAGTTGGTCATATCTTTGGAGCATAATTATTACATACAGTATACGTTAAAATACAATTGTAAAACTATCATTGTGAAATATATTATAATTATAAAATAATTAGGAGAGGGTACAATATATATTATGGGACTATTGTCAACATCACACATGGAATATATGCAAAACAAAATTTTAAGAAAAGATATAATACAATTTGAACAGACAACATTCTATTTAATTTCTATCAAATGTTTCTTGAGAACTTACTCTGTTCATCAGTATTGAGTAGACACTGTGATGTAGGGTGGTTTTAAACAAAGACAATGACGCGGTTTCTATTTTGAGGCATTTATAATCTGGTTAGAGGAGTGAAATGTAGATATATGAAAGAGAAACAAAATAGTATGTGACTATCAATAATCAAGTGCTAGAAGTCTAGAAAAGGTGGGATGGAGGATGGAGAATGTGTTATAGACTTTCTTCAATAATAATAGTTGCTCTTCAGTGAACGCCTACTAACTTTCAGGAATTTTATATTCGTTATTTCTAAAATTAAGAAAATATTAATAATAGTATTATGTGATCTGGGCCCAGAATCTCATATACCTAGAATGGTTTCTCTTTCTTTGTGGTTTTTTGGTTTTTTTTTTTTTTTTTTTTTTGAGATGGAGTCTTGCTCTGTCACCCAGGCTAAAGTGCAGTGGCGCGATCTTGGTTCACTGTAACATCCGCCTCCTGGGGTCAAGCAATTCTCCTGCCTCAGCCTCCCGAGTAGGTGGGCTACAGGTGCGTGCCACCACATCCGGCTAATTTTTTGTATTTTTAGTAGAGACGGAGTTTCACCATGTTAGACAGGACGGTCTTGATCTCCTGACCTCATGATCCACCCACCTCGGCCTCCCAAAGTGCTGAAATTACAGGCGTGAGGCACTGCTCCCGGCCCGGATTCTCTTTCTTAAATTAGAGTCTATTCATTCATCATCCAAGTATCCATCTATATATCCATTTATCCATACAAGATATCCTTAGTTTGATAATTCTGTGTTTTTATAAATTCCTTCATGTACTATCATAGGAGTATCCTCCATTAAGCAGAAGATGGTGTGCTTTTTAATTATCATGAAATGCCACACATTAGGAGGAGACAAGTTTTTGAAATCATGTAAACATTCCCAAAAGTCTCTTACTGTAACTGAGAACAAGAGAGCCTTCCATAGCTTTCACATTCTCTTCCTAAACATCTAATCCATAATTCTCCAAAGCAAAGTAGAAACAAAGGAACTTTTAAAGATACTTCAACTGTAAGTGTTAAACTACTTAGCATCATCTACCTATCAAGGTCTGAAAGCTTCAGTGTCCCCCTATACATAAGGGGACACATTGCTACCATTCACTTCTATTGTTACCACAAAAATAAATGCTGCAAAATAGCAAAGTGCCCCAAAGTAAATCACTCTCCCACTTGGACTATTTCCTGTGTACTAAGTGAATGGTAGTGGAATTAGAACCATGGGTCTGTTTTATTTATTTGACATAGTATAGGATTTCATTTTTACAAAGTGATCTTCAGCTTTAAAAGTCTTGGAGAACTACCAGCTCTTGTATAACTGGCTAATTCTACAGATCTATGAAAGTGGGAGACAATAGTAATTCATAATTATCTTGATTGTTCTATTACATAAGAGAAGTGTAGATTAGAACAGTTGGGATTGTTTACAAGAATAAAATGCCTCACTATAGAATGACTCAAATTAGAGAATGCTGCTAATTAGCTGTGAATACACAGTATTAACACAAAAAACTGTGTGCACTATTCTTTTTTTTGTGGGTAATGAGTGATGGGAATGTGATTTCTTTGCCAACTGGAAGTCTCTCAGATTTAAATTCCATGTTGTAAGGTAAAAAATATATTATCTTAGAATGGTATGTTACTCAATAATCACAATAATTAAAGGGTAAACTTTACATTAGTGATAGCAAAACCTAGTTTTAAAATGCCCAAATCTAACCCAAATAAGAGGCTTATGTCAATTTCCTGTGTATAATATTCACTAATTTTGTGTGGATTTGTATTTGCTTATATAAATGAGGTTCATTTGCAGTTGTAATTCTTTTCTAAAAACCATTTATGCCCCAAACCATGTGATGAATATTTTACTATTTAAATTTTAAAATGCACTTAGAAAATAAACTAGCCTAATTCCTAATGCATATTCCATATAATACAGTGGAAGCATACTACCACAAGCTTTGAATGTACATGTCTTAATTCATTTAAAGAGGCCATTATTTATTTATCCATCCATCTATCCATCCATCCATCCATCCATTCATTCATCCATCCATTTATCCATTCATCTTTTTGTTAAACCTTTCCCCTGGAAAATAGCTAATGTACTTTAAAATAATTTCTCTCCCTTAACAATAACACAGCTTCACGGGTTTATTCACTTACCGGTGCAGAGTTTCCACCTGGTCCTCTTGATCGAACCATTTTCCCTAGCACTTCTACACCATCTGACGTGATATTAGCTGATGCGTTCATTGCCTTCTCACCCACTTGCTTGCAGTCAATAACCACTTTGACCAAAGTCTCACTGACAACAATGTGTAGCTAGGTAAAAGTAAGATGTTTTAGGAGGTAAGAAACAGAAGGAAATATCAACCAAATTTGTATAATTGTATGATTCATCATTACAAAGTATGAAAGAGAAGAGAAAGAATTCTGTCACCATGTATTTTGCCAAAAGAGAAAATTTCTACTTTTATCATCTCCATGATTTTCCCATATTCAAGTACCATCTCTATTTTTATCTATTTAACACTTCTTTCTAAAATGGCTTTGAAAGGATTCACTTTTTAAAGTCCGGCCTAACTCGAGAGCAATCGCATCTTTGAAATTACAGGACTGCTGTACTAGCCATGCCTTTTCTGAATGCACATTAAAATTAACACAAAAATATTAAAATTAAAAATCTTTGTTGATGTATCACCAACAATCATCCAAAGCACCACGAGTGGTTGGCAAACCACACTTCAAAAATATTTATTTAATTTAGGATGAGGAAAGGGGATCTAGAATCTGAGGGGGAAGAAGGAATGCTTTCTGGTGAACCCAGGTTCAAATAAAATAAAGCTGTTTAGCTTAGTGTATGGTACATTTTTCTCAAACTAGAATCTCAAGAATCTGGAGGTCCGTGATATTTTCAGGAGTTGACACATTCTTTGTAAGGACTCGTAAAATCTGTCTTATTTAGGTGATAGTCAAAGTTAGGTATATTCTAGATGAACTGGATAACTACTCTATGTCCAAGTTCTGCCATAAAATTTCAGTGCTTATATATGCATTGTAACTTACAATGGCATTAACCTCACGAGTACTACAGTACTTGTTTTTGGCAGACTGATGAGCTAAAAGAGTCAAATTAATAGGTAAATAATGATTTCACCCTAAGTAAAAGCCAAAAGAAGTTACAAATCTGTTTAAGATAAGGCATTACGGTAGTTCAAAGAAAAACCATGTTGGTCAATACAATCAAGGTTATGGGGTGAAATTAATAGGCAAATAACGGTTTTGCCCTAAGTAAAAGCCAAAAGAAGTTACAAATCTGTTTAAGGTAAGGTATCATGGTAGTTCAAAGAAAAACAATCTTGGGCAATACAATCAAAGTTATGGGAGTTATAGTAGCTAGCAGTGTATTCACATTGTAAGTACAGGTTGAATGTCAATGAAATAATGTCCTCTTTCACATTAAGATAGTGTTACTTTTAATTTTACTGGTTTTGTTCAACTTCATTTTTGTTTCATTGTTGCATACGAGCTGAAAGCACATGGACTTACACCAATTGTTATTTCATGTTTTATTTGAGTTAGATCATGATACAAATAATGTAAGTCAACAGTGGGACTCTTGAGAATCCTTTTCCTTCAAAAAGGAATTAACTATTGCCCAAGTATGGAAACATTGATGGAATAAACCCCACCACATTCCTTGCTTCTTATTAACATCTCTGTTGCAATCATTTACTAGAGTATAATTCAACTCTTATGTGTTTTTGAGCCTTAGAACACTTTCCAATATTATAGATTACAGAAATTTTCATACTGGGTGCTAGAAAACTTAGTTTCTAGTACCCCTGCCTTAAGAATTGTTAACTTGTGGGGAGTTATTCACATGCTTAATTTTTTTTTTTTTTGCTTTACAAAAGGAGATATTGAAAATTTTTCAAAGATATTTTGCTTCTTTGGTTGCACTTAAGTGCCCATTTATATAATTAAAACTTTTTGAAAGAGACCTTGGGCCCACACTTCATAGCCAAAGTGTAAAAAATAAAACTAACTGAAAATCAATGAGAAATTAAGATAAAGTATTTATTCATTTATAAGTCTATGAACAAATAGAATTCGACTTCTACAAATTGAATTTGCATTGAGATATTCTATTAATAGGTCTATTATAAAGTATTTTGTCACATGAGAAGCCTTTTTTGAATTTTTTTCCTTGTTTGGCTTTTTGGCTTTATTAACACTTAAAGTAGAGGGAAGTCTTCCTTCATATAACTTTTAAAAATTTGAAGGTTTATAAATTTTAAATCGATTTTTAATGAACCTCACTTCTTGAGTTCTTCTGGTAAGGAAATAAAGCTTAACCTTCACCTAAGACTTACAAAGGATTCTTTGGAATGAGAATTACAAGTTCATGCCTAAACCATGGGCTAAAATGACAATGTTTCTTTTAACACTCATGAAATCTCAAACGCTTTTCATCTCCCAAACAATTTTATTTTTTACTATTTTGCAATACACTCTCCATAACCAAGAAAATAAACATGCCAAGAGGAATTTGGTGAGTAAACAATGTTAAGTCCTAAGAGCTGCTAATGGGACCACTTTGAGCCATGAACTAATAAATCTCCACTGTATCTCATGTGCTTTTCAGATACCTTTTCTTCTGGTAGTACAGTCCTATTAAACAGGAAAAAAAGCAAGTTGTTTTTTTTTTTTTAGCAACTGTTCTTATGCAATTATGTGGTATGCAATTACGATATTCAAAACCACAGAAAGTAGCAAAGTTGCATAAATTAGATTGATTTGACCGCATTCTGGGCCATGAGACAGGAGCCAAGAAAATTGCTATGCAGCATCCCTTCTCTCACTTTAAAAGGGCAGTAAGGGCCTGGTTAGGAAGCAAAGCATTTTTCTACACCACCTAGTAAATGTTCTGCTCATCCTGCAGCGTAGGTGCTGCACTGCTTAACACTACAGATCAGTGGGATTATTCAAATACAAAGGAAGCAGTAGATGTTGGTAGATGTCCACCCCAATGATCACCACAGGTAAGTGTTTCTGAGAAGCAAATGTTAAGGAACATAGTTATACCACAAGTGCTGAGTTATTAAAATAATGACAAGTGGCCAGGCGCGGTGGCTCACGCCTGTAATCCCAGCACTTTGGGATGCCAAGGCAGGTGGATCACGAGGTCAGGAGATCGAGACCATCCTGGCTAATATGGTGAAATCCTGGCTCCACTAAAAATACAAAAAATTAGCCAAGCATGGTGGCAGATGCCTGTAATCCCAGCTCCTCGGGAGGCTGAGGCAGGAGAATGGCGTGAACCCGGGAGGCAGAGCTTGTAGTGAGCCAAGATCGCGCCACTGCACTCCAGCCTGGGCAACAGAGCAAGACTCCATCTCAAAATAAATAAATTAATAAATAAATAAATTAAATTAAATAATGACAAGTAAACTTAGGTTTTATAAAATTTTTCCGCAGGGTAACTGTTATGATGACAGTGATGGATTGCACTTGTATATATGTAAAAGTATTGGTGCAATCAGTTATCCCTATCTGCACATTTTAAGATGATTCAGCTGATTGTGCTTTCTTCTGCACTCATAGATAGCTAGTTGTACCAGCTAGACCAGCAATCTTTTCTACATCGCACCTAATGTAGCAAATGAGCAACTGTCCACTTGGTAATGCCATATCCTTAACTACATTTTTCCTCAAAGAGGAAAGTGCCCCCTTATTTTCGGGAGTGCCTGCCAAAAAAAAAAATGCACATTTCAGGGTCCTCTCTCAGAACTACCAAATCAGAATCTGTTAACAAGCACAGGTATTGTTAACAAGCACAAAGGAAATTCTCACTCCAGCTGAAATTTGAGATCCAAAGCCCTATGGAATTGTTTTTAAATGGCTTTGTTCAATAGCAAATAGAATAAAGAATATATGCATACAAAGCATTACTAACCTTGTGAAAGCTTCCATAAAAAATTTTCCTAATTTCAGGTCCTTCGAAAGTAACAGTTTGAAAATCCCCACTCTGGTCATAGTTGAAATATGTTAGAGTTTTCCCACCATCTATTGAAAGAAAAATAAAAATATTTTAGAAATAATTAAAGTAGGTGAATTTTGTTTTCTAAAATTCAACTCAAAACAAAACAATGCATCGATTGTTTTGAAACTGTATTTAGAATGATGTGATGAGTAAGGAAGTGTTCTACAGTCCCCAGGTTGCCGCAGACTTTTAGTTGGTTACATGAACTGATTAAGCCACTTGGTGATGACAGTGAGGCAAAGACTCCTACACATACTCTTACCTCTGTACTTCCTTGCCCAGACTCTCATTCCCATCACTCTCCTGGGAGAAACTGTCCAAAGCTGGAAGTAGAGGCAGACACAGCTGCTTTAAGTTTATCAAATCTTAAAGAATAGAAACCAGGCCCTTTGTCTCTTTTTTTTTTTTTTTTTTTTTTTTGAGATGGAGTCTCGCTCTGTCACCCAGGCTGGAGTGCAGTGGCATGATCTTGGCTCACTGCAAGCTCCACCTCCTGGGTTCACACCTTTCTCCTGCCTCAGCCTCCCAAGTAGCTGGGACTACAGGCACCCGCCACCACGCCCAGCTAATTTTTTGTATTTTTAGTAGAGACGGCTTGGTCTCGATCTCCTGACCTCATGTTCAGGATGGTCTCGATCTCCTGACCTCATGATCTGCCCACCTCAGCATCCCAAAGTGCTGGGATTACAGGCGTGAGCCACCGTGCCTGGCCGGCCCTTTGTCTTTTTAACCCACTGCAGCAACCAACTTTCCTAGGATGTGCAAATTACACCACCCAAGATATTTCATTCATTATGAACAAACAAGCAAAAATTTTTCTAATCTTAAATTATTCCTATTACAAGGAATATTTTATTATTTAAAAGATACTATGAATTAGAAAGAGAAAAGATTCTCACTCCAGCTGAAATTTGAGATCCAAAGCCCTATGGAATTTTTTTTTAAATGCCTTTGTTCAATAGCAAATAGAATAAAGAATATATGCATACAAAGCATTACTAACCTTGTGAGAGAATAATTCATATTATTCATTTATCTAATCTTTTTTCTTTCTAATTCATTCCTATGCTACAAATTAATACCTCTGTTTTCAAAAGGAGCAAGCTAGTCTTAATCATTTTAAGAAAATTCTTCATTTTCAAGTCCCAGGTATATATGAAGTTAGTAACATATACCCTTTCAATCTACAGCTTTTCCTTAGTTTTAATATCAATGCAAAATGCTTCCACAATATCATATTTAGTTGTTGATTAGTTTCCATGTACTGAAAAATCCTTTTACAAATACTAGTCGGAAATAAGCTTAATACTTTCCTTATCCGAATGTGTGACTTAGCACCTAGTAATAGCCTCCAAATTTTGGTTCCTAGGTTCATTGGAATCCTAAACTAAAACTAGATATAGAAAATTCAGTGATATTAACCAAAAAGTTGATCTGCTTAAGTGATCATCATGTACAACATCCAAGAGCTTGAGGTTGATGGTACAACATCCAAGAGCACAAGGTTAAGAAGCTTCCTTCATTGGTTCTTCCTCACGTTTCCAACCTCCAAACATTGGCATTTCCCAGCCTCCAGACTTATTCTCTGCTCTTTCTAGACTCATTTTCTAGTTGATCCCACCCAGTCTCATGGCTTGTATAGCAAAGACACACAACTTTCAAATGTACATCTCCATCCCAGAATTCTTTCTAAATATGCTGCTGTCAATCTGACATCCATTCTGGGATATCAAATATGCATCTTACTTTTATTATGTCTATGTCCAAAAAATGAACTGTGGTCCCACCCCTCCCATTGACCCTCCAAGGGCCTTGCTCTGTCTGTAGTTTTCCCTCTCCCAGTAAAAATTGTTTTTCTCTCTTCTCCTTCCTCACTACTGCATCCCAGGCTTAGTGTTGGCACAAAATAGGAACTCAAGAAATATTTGTTGAAAGAATAAGAGAATAAATGGATAAACCAACTGCTATATAATTCATTGTTTAGTATTTACACATCACATAAGATTAGTGAGTTACTCTGTAATATACACAAACAGGCAAAATGGCATGCCACATACATTACTCATACATGTATATGTGAATGTGATCTCAATAAATATACTTACTGTCTAAAATAACCCCAACCAATGGGTCAGAATTTTTATTTAAAATCTCCCAAAGAGCAAATGGCTCCTGTGGAGTGTCAGGAAGAATCCGGAATAGAAAACTGATTGTGTAGTCGGAGGGCAATCCTTCTGGGTGCAAGTACCTGAACATAGAAAGAAAACCATGTTTCATTGTATCCTTCCTCAAAAAAGTTACTCCTTTGATTATAAAGCAAATACATTTTCATTACACAAGATTTGGAAAAACAGAAAAGACCACCATTAACACCAACTAGATCACTGTTGATCTAATTTAGTAAAGAATGTGTGCATTTGTCCAATTTATATCATTTTGTCCCTTTCTTAGCACCATTTAATAGTCATTTTCCATTTCCTTAAATATTTTTAAGAGCATGATATTTCATGGCTGTACAGTCTTCTCTTGTTTGGCTATTTTATCACTTACCTAATCAGTCACTTCTCACTGAACATTTTAGTAGTGTCAAAGGTTTTCATGTAATAAACTATGTTGATCTATTATCCTTTTGTAAAACATAACTTATGACATTATCACTTTCTACTACATATTGTAGTCAATTGCATTCCCATCTGTGTTGCACCATCCAGATCCACCTTCCAAAATTAAGGGTACATTACCCCTGGTCCTGGGAGTGTTGTCTGCAGACAGGTTTCAGACACCAATCCCCCTTCAGAAATTGTCTTGGCTGAAAAAGGATGCCTCTCCCAAGGTCATGCCACCTTACTAGGAAACCTCTTTTCAATGACTGGTCATTGAGGAAGTATAAGGACCTGAACCCCTGAACCCAATGGGAGACAGATCTGAGGGGCCATACCATTTTCAGAACTCTTCTGGGTGGGTGGAGGCTTTTACTGAGATTCTTCACAGCTTGACTTCTCCCTCTTGGCTTGTCCTGTGTCCTGCTGTTCCCTTCCATGAGGGAACACCCTCATCAACTTCCCACATGCTAATCTCTCCCAGAAAATCTGCTTCCTGAAGAGCCCAACCTAAAATATCATCTTGTCTCTCTTTCTAACAACTAATGTTACTTTTACTCATTTACTTTTTAAATCTTCCTCCAAGCAAAAAAATACAACCCTTTACATATAGTAGGAACCCCATAATAGTTATTAATTGAATAAATAAATGTGCAAGTTTAGCGTGCGTTTGAAAATGAAAGTTTGGTTTGCATAGATAAAAATAAATATTCATTTATTTATATATTCATTAATTCATTTGTCCATTCAATAAGTATTTTTGAGTGCCAACTATATGCCAGACATTGTAACAGACATTTAAGATACATCAGCAAATAAACTGACAAAGGTCCTGTGATGGAAAATTTTAGGTTTCAACTTGACCGGATTAAGGAATATCTAGAAACCTGGTAAAGCATTATTTTGGAGTATATCAGTGAGGGTGTCTCCAGAGGATATTAGCGTGCGAGTCTGAGTGAGCTAGGTGGGGCAGATCTGCCTTCAATGTGGACAGACACCATCTAATTTGCTGGGGATCCAGAGATAGAAACAAGAATAAGGCTTTTTTGTTCTTGCGATAGTTTACTGAGAATGATGATTTCCAATTTCATCCATGTCCCTACAAAGGACATGAACTCATCATTTTTTATGGCTGCATAGTATTCCATGGTGTATATGTGCCACATTTTCTTAATCCAGTCTATCATTGTTGGACATTTGGGTTGGTTCCAAGTGACAAGTTAGTGGGTGCAGCGCACCAGCATGGCACATGTATACATATGTAACTAAACTGCACAATGTGCACATGTACCCTAAAACTTAAAGTATAATAAAAAAAAAGAAACAAGAATAAGGCAAATGTGTCTATAAAGTAGCTAAGTAATGCAATTTTTATATAAACCTGATTACTACTCTTCAACTTTCTAGAGTTGCTGTTGTGACTGTCTCAAAGATAAAAGCCATTTGAACCATATAGCACTATCATGAAATGGTTCAGGATCTGAGCACTGGAGCTTGATAGCTGGATATAAATTCCAACATTGCCATTTAACTATGTGAGCTCACTCAAGTCATTTAGCTTCTTTGTGTTTCTGATTCATTATCTGTAAAATTTAGATAATAATAGAATCTACTTTCATAGAGGTGTCTGGAGGTTTGAGTGAGTTAGTGTACATAAGCATTTAGAAAGATGGCTGGGAGTAGTGCTATATAAGTATCAACTTTTTTTTTTTTTTTTTAAAGACGGGGTCTTGCTCTTTCACCAAGATTGAGGTGCAGTGGCGTGATCATGGCACACTGCAGCTTCAACCTCCTGAGCTCAAGCAATCCTCCCACCTCAGTCTCCAGAGTAGCTGGGACTACAGGTGCACACTACAATGCCCAGCTAATTTTTTTATTTTTATGTTTTTGTAGAGACTCTTATTTTGTTGCCCAGGCTGCTCTCAAACTTTTGGCCTCAAGTGATCCTCCCACCTTGGCCTCCCAAAGTGTTACGATTACAGGAATGAGCCACAGCATCCAGCAATCATTTTTATATGTTGTCTCAGATCAGCAGATGTTAAAGTTCAACCCGCATTATGTGTGAGTCTGGTGTTTTTAAACAAAGAAATGTAAATATCTTCTACTCTAAATGTCGTGGAAAATCCTACCTGGGACTATTACACCATATTTCAAGTTGACATCATTTTCACAGTGAGATATAATAAACATACGATGACTTTAAAATCTTTCAACAGAAACATACCTGGTTGGCTGGGAAACCAGGGCATCTTTATGGAGTTGGTAACATGGAAACACATTGAAGGTACCAGGCTCCATAGAAACCCCTTCCACTGATGAAAAATCTTTTTCAACCAAACCAAACATTTCCATCATCTTAAATCCTAAAAAAAAAAAAAAAGTAGAAAAAGAATAAACATAAGGAATATGGCACTTTAGAATTTTAAATTTTAATATTTTTCTATTAAGGATTTAAAAACAAAAACAGAAACCCCATCCCCAATTGAGAGGCCTGTAATATATTTTGTGTTTGAAAAGATTGTGATAATGCATACCTGCAAGATCAATGCCATCCTTGTGTACCACTGGACAGGCTGGAAAACCAAACAAACAAAATAAAACTCTAATTCGGATATTTCACAAACATACTCTTTCCCTGTCCTGAGAACAGGAAACTAATACAATCTTTCCAGAAGTTGATTGTGGAGAGAATACAAATCAAATGTGACTATGGTTTTCTGTGGTTTCATGAAGATTGAAATGTGCTAAGGTCCCTTATTACAACTAAAGGACCACAGCTTCCTTCTCTCCTGGGTTCATTAAAATCAGTGGTTATCACCTGAGAGCATGTATTGGGGCACATCTCCCTTGTAATATGTTGCCCAGATGAGAATTCTTAATACATTTTACATCTTAATACATTCTTAATACATTGAAAATTATTTACTACATCTGTTTAAGCACAGTTGCTTTTAAACATAGACTGTCATCTGATTAGGGAAGGTTTTTATCATTCTAAACTCTAAACAGAGGAGGGGAGGTTTATTTCCATATGCTCAAAGCCACAAAACTTAATGTCTATATAACAAGCAGTACTGGAAGTCAATATTCTTTTCTCAGATCTAGATCGGACTCACTATTTAACCAGTGTCAAATATTTCAGCTGTTAAGCAACATGAGTAAGTACAAATTCCAAAGAACTAACTTGCTGATGCTGTTTCGCAGACAAAAGTAATTAACTCATCTTCGATTTTCTTAAAGGCGTCAAAGTCATCCACAAAGAAGACATGGCGTGCGCTGGGCTTACTGCCAATGCTAACCAACTCCGAGTAATCTGCATCGGCCACACCAATTGCAAAAATGCTATAGCCTGTGGCAGACAGAGAACAGATTTCCGATTACTTTAAATTGTACAAAACACAAATAATGTAATATAAGACACATCCAACTGTTTAAAATATGTTTATTTAGGAAGGCCCATGGGGGTGGATAATTCATTCTTTACAGTTCATCAGAGTTCTGCATGTATATATTTCATTATGTGATAATGATTCCATCATCCCCTAAAGAGATTTTCCATTTTAAAGAAACCCAAGAAGACCAAGGCCCCAAATTGTGCCTGAGACGAAGTAGTTTGCATTTGAGTAATATCTCTATGGTTGCATATTCTTAAAAGTTACTTTTAACATTTATGGTATGAAATATACTTGAAACAGAGACACTGAGCTTATCTCAGTTTTTTTTTTTTTTTTCAGAAGTAGAAGCTGAGACATTAATAGGCCTAGCAACCTAAGGTGGGCCACCATTCAATGCTTGGCAAGTAAATAGAACTACTATTTGCCATAACTTATGTAATTTAATCTTCACAGCAGTCCTGTGAGAATCTCTATTTTACAGATTAAGAGGCTGAGGAATTTCTGTAATAAGGTTCCTTCCCTGGTCCATATATATATATATACATTCAATCAATATTTTTTCTTTTTTACACAATTTTACTTTAAATTCTGGGATACACGTGCTGAAGATGCAGGTTTTTTACATAGGTATACGTGTGCCATGGTGGTTTACTGCACCTATCAACCTGTCATCTAGGTTTTAAGCCCTGCATGCATTAGGTATTTGTCTTAATGCTCTCCCTCCCTTGCCCCCCACCCCCGACAGGCCCCCGTGTGTGATGTTCCCCTCCCTGTGTCCATGTGTTCTCATTGTTCAGCTCCCACTTATGAGTGAGAACATGTGGTGTTTAGTTTTCTGTTCCTGTGTTAGTTTGCTGAGGATGATGGTTTCCAGCTTCATCCATTTCCCTGCAAAGGACATGAACTCATTCTTTTTTATGGCTGCATAGTATTCCATGGCTTATATGTGCCACATTTTCTTTATCCAGTCTGTCATCGATGGACATTTGGGTATGATTAAGAGGCTGAGGAGTTTCTGTAATAAGATTCTTTCCCTGGTCCTTTTCTTACAGTACTTAATTGCTAGAGTTCCATATAAAGGGCATCCTGTATGTAACAAAAGTGTTAGAGAAAATAACCTATTTTCTCTAACAAAGCAGTACAATTACAGATTTGTATACCAGAAAGTATTTTAAAAATTACACTGTCTAGTTAATATGAAGAAATATTTTAAAACATTTAAGTAATGCTGATATAGCCTATAAATTTGTATTTAGAAAATAACAATTCTAACATCATATTTGGTAGCCACTATTGTTTATATATCTTACCATCTAATTGCATCTCCCTGGAGATTTTGTTCACATCATCTTGTGATCTTCCATCAGTTATAACCACGATAACCTTTGGGATGCCCCTTCTTGTACCTGACTCTGCAGTGAACAAGGTATCTCGAACATACTTAATTGCTTTTCCTGAAACAAAGAAAGGCAACAGTTTGATTTCACTCCCTCCCATTTTTGTTTTTCTGGAGAAGAAAGGGTGGGAACAAAGTTCTTAAATTAATGAAAAAAAAAATCTTTAAAAAATTACTATGCCTTAAAATAAAAGGTCATTTCAGTAGTTACAAATAATGAATTACTTTGAGCCTTAGCTGGGCTTCTTTTGGTCATACCTGTTTTTGTATTTCCTCCTTTGTATGAAATGTGTTTAATTGCATCAAGAAGAGTCTCTTTGGTTTTGTAAGCATTTAGTTTAAATTCTGTTCTGGGATCATCAGTGAACTGAACCATTGCAACCTGGAGAGAGAAGGTGTATTCATTTTCACACATATGTAGACTTCCACTGGGTCAGAGAGCAACAGCACAGTGTCACCTGTAGTTTTAATTTCTTCATTATCTCATTACAAAATCTGCTTGGATTAAAATTTCTTTCATACAAGTTACATACCAAATTTGAAGACAAATTAAATACATCTTTTCTTTTTTAAAAATTTTATTTTAGATTCAGAGGGTACATTGTGTAGGTTTGTTACATGGGTAAACGGCATGTCACTGAGAGGTGGTGTACAAATGATTCTGTCCCCCAGGTAGTGAGCATAGTTCCCAATAGGCAGTTTTTCAACCTTCAGCCTCCTTCTATTCTCCCCCTACTAGTAGCCCCTAGTGTCTATTGTTCCCGTCTTTACGTCCGTGTGTACTCGATGTTTAGCTCCCACTTCTAAGTGAGAGCATGCAGTATTTGGTTTCATGTTTCTGTGTTAATTTGCACAAGATAATGGCTTCCAGAGGCACCCGTGTTGCTGCAAAGAACATGATTTTGTTCTTTTTTATGGCTGCGTAGTATTTCTTGCTGTATGTTCACCACATTTTCTTTACGCAGTCCACCATTGATGGGCATTCCATGTTTGTTACTGTGAATAGTGCTGCAATGAACATAGGAGTGCATGTGTCTCTCAGTACTTTCAGAAAGTAGTTTTTTAAAAATCTTTCAAGCTTGTAGGATTTTTGCCACCTCATTTGACAGTTTAAAAATGGCAGCCTAAGCTTGGTAACTTGACAAATGTCCGAAAATCAGAGTTAGACTCTTTACAAAGATTTCCTTATGAAGCAAACCTATGAAGTAATTACTACTATTCTACTCACTTTACACTTGAGGAAACTGAGCTGCAAAAGACAAGTTACTTGCACATCACAAGAGTGGTCACTGGCAGAGTCAACAGTTGAAGTTAGGTCTATTCTAGGTCAAAATGTATGTTCTTAACCACTACTATACAAAGCTTTCTGGCTTCAGTTCTTACAACTGGCTTTTATTCCTGTGGAACTTTTGGATCATTTTTAATTGTTTTTTATTTGTTTTTCAGAATTATGATTTAATAAGTAAAGATAGCATCTTTCGAGAGCTTTGTTTAAATGGGCCTTAAGCTGCTGCCAGTTTATCAGTCTACTGGACATGTCACCATTTTTATAAAGTCTCCTGCAATTCAAAGGGAACTTGCTTCTTTCTGACATGCCTCAGCATGTTACCTATTCTCCTCTTTTTTAATAACCTAATTTTATTTTATTTTTTTTTATTATTATACTTTAAGTTCTAGGGTACCTGTGCACAATGTGAAGGTTTGTTACATATGTATACATGTGCCATGTTGGTGTGCTGCACCCATTAACTCGTCATTTACATTAGGTATATCTCCTAATGCTATCCCTCCCCCTTACCCCCACCATGCAGCCATAAAAAAGGATGAGTTCATGTCCTTTGAAGGGACATGGATGAAACTGGAAACCAGCATTCTGAGCAAACTATCACAAGGACAGAAAACCAGACACTGCATGTTCTCACTCATAGGTGGGAATTGAACAATGAGAACACTTGGACACAGGGTGGGGAACCTATTTTTATTTACAATACTTTTGGAGTACAAGGGTATTTGGTTACATGGTTGAATTGTATAGTGGCAAGGTTTGAGATTTTAGTGCACCCATCACCCAAGTAGTGTACATTCTATCTAGTATGTAGTTTTTTTATCCTTCATCCACCTTCCACCCTCCCCACTCTGAGTCTCCAAGTCCATTATACCACCCTGTGTTCCTTTGTGTAGCTACAGCTTAGCTCTCGCTTAAAAGTGAGAACATACGGTATTTGATTTTCCATTCCTGAATTACTTCACTTAGAATAATGGCCTCCATTCAAGCTGCTGCAAAGTACATTACTTTGTTCTTTTTTATGGCTGAGTAGTATTCCATGGTGTGTGTTTGTGTAAAATATATATATAATATATTTTTTTACATATATATATAACATTGTCTTTACTCATTGGATGACAGGCACTGAAGTTGGTTCTATATCTTTGCATTTGTGAATTGTGCTAAAATAAACATATGTTTACTGGTGTCTTTTGACATAATGACTTCTTTTCCTTTGGGTAGATAGCCAGTACTGGGATTGCTGGAACCAAAGGTAAATCTACTTTTAGTTCTTTAAGAAATCTCCACACTGTTTTCCATAGAGGTTATACTAAATTACATGCCCACCAGCAGTGTATAAATATTTCCTTTTCACCACATCCACACCGACATCTATTGTTTTTTGACTTATAATAATGGCCATTCTTACAGGGGCAAGGAGGTATCTCATTGTGGTTTTAATCTGCATTTCCATGATGATTAGTGATGTTGAGCATTTTTCCATATGTTTGTGGGCCATTTGTGTATCTTCTTTTGAGAAATGTTTATTCATGCCATTTTCCCATTTTTTGATGAGATATTTGTTTTTTTCTTGCTGATTTGTGTGTGTTTCTTGTAGATTCTGGATATTAGTTCTTTGTCAGATGCATAGTTTGCAAATATTTTCTCCCATTCTTGTGTTTTCTGTTTACTCTGATGATTAGCTGTTCAGAAGGTTTTTAGTTTAATTAGGTACCATTTATTTATTTTTGTTTTTGTTGAATTTGCTTTTGGAGTCTTAGTCATAAATTCCTTGCCAGGTCAATGTCCAGAAGAGTTTTTCGCAGGTTATCTCCTAGAATTTTTATCATTTCAGGTCTTAGATTTAAGGCTTTGATCCATCTTGAGTTGATTTTTGTATAAGGTGAGAGGTAGGGATCCAGTTTCATTCTACATGTGGCTATCCAGTTTTCCCAGTGCCATTTATTAAATAGGGTGTCATTTCCCCAATTTATGTTTTTGAATGTTTTGTCCAAGATCAGTTGGTTGTATGTATTTGACTTTATTTCTGGGTTCTCTCTTCTGTTCCATTAGTTTATGTGCTTATTTTTATATCAGTATCATGCTGTTTTAGTAACTATGGTCTTGTAGTATACTTTGAAGTCAGGTAATGTGATGCCTCCAGATTTTTTTCTTTTTGTTTAGGAGTGCTTTGGCTATTTGGGCTCTTTTTGGGTTCCATATGAATTTCAGGATTTTTTTTCTAATTCTGTGAAAAACGATGTTGATATTTGTATAGGAATTGCATTGAATCTGTAGATTGCTTTGGGAAATATGATCATTTTCATAAGAATTATTTCAATCCATGAGCATGGGATGCTTCCATTTGTTTGTGTCATCTCTGATTTCTCTTAGCAGTGTTTTGTGATTCTTGTTGAAGAGAATTTCCATCTCTTTAGTTAAGTATAATATATGCCTAGGTATGTCTATTTTTTTTGCAGCTATTGTAAAAGTGATTATGTTCTTGATTTGATCCTCAGGCCTTATCTCTTATCTCAGAATTGATCGTTGGTGTATAGCAGTGCTACTGATTTGTATACATTGATTTGTAACCTAAGAGTTTACTGAATTTGTTTATCAAATCTAGGAGTCTTTTGGAGAAGTCTTTAAGTTCTCTAGGTATATGATCATATCATTGGCACACAGTAATAGTTTAACTTCTTCTTTTCCAGTTTGGATGCCCTTTATTATTTTCTCTTGCCTGATTGCTCTGGCTAGGACTTCCAGTACTATCTTGAATAGAAGCGGTGAAAATGAGTATCTTTGTCTTGTTCCAGTTCTCAGAAGGAATGCTATCAACTTTTTTCCATTCAGTATGATTTTGGCTGTGAGGTTGCTATATATAGCATTTATTATTTTGAGGTATGTCCTTTCTATTCCCAATTTGTTGAAAGTATTTATCATAAAGGGATGCTGGATTTTATTGAATGCTTTCTGCATCTATGAGATGAACATATGGTTTTTGTTATTAATTCTGTTTATGTGATGTATCACATTTATTGACTTGTGTATGTTAAGCCCTCTCTGTGTCCCTGGGATGACATCCACCTGATCACAGCGTATTATCTTCTTGATGTGTTGTTGGATTTGTTTAGCTAGTATTTTGTTGATTATTTTTGCGTCTATGTTCACAAGGGATGTTGGCATGTAATTTTCTTTTTCATTATGTCCTCTACTGGTTTTTGTATCAGGTAATACTGGCTTCACAAAAAGATTTAGTGAGAATTCCCCTTCTAATCTTTTAGAATATTAGGTTGGTGCAAAAGTAGTTGTGGTTTGCACCAACCTAATAGTTTCCATACAATTGGTACCAATTCTTCTTTGAATGTCTGGTAGTATTCATCTGTGAATCCATCTGGCCCTGGGCCTTTTTTTTTTTTTGGAAAACTGTTTTAAAATCACTGATGCAATCTCACTGCCTGTTGTTGGTCTGCTCAGGGCTTATTCTTGATTTAATCTAGGGGGGTTGTTGTTTCCAGGAATTTATCCATTTCCTTCAGATTTTGTAGTTTCTATGTATAGAGGTGTTCATAATAGTCTTGAATAATCTTTTGCATTTCTGTGGTGTTGGTTGTAATGTCTCTATTTTCATTTCTAATTGAGACTATTTGAACCTTCTCTCTTTTTTCTTGGTTAAACCAGCTAATGGTCTATCAATTTTGTTTATCTTTTCAAAGAACCAATTTTTTGTTTCATTGATCTTTTTTATTGCTTTTTGTTTCAATTTCATTTAGTTCTGCTCTGATTTTTGTTATTTCTTTTCTTCTGCTAGCTTTGGCTTTGGTTTGTTCTTGTTTCACTAGTTCCTTGAGGTGTGACATTAGGTTGCCAATTTGTGCTTTTTCAGACTTTTTGATGTAGGCATTGAGTGCTATATATTTTCCTCTTAGAACTGCTTTTACTGTATGTCAGAGGTTTTGACAACTTGTGTAAGTATTATCTTTCATTCCAAATAATTTTTAAATTTCCTTCTTGATTTTATTATTAACCCAAAAATCATTCAGGAGCAAATGGTTTAATTTCCAAGTATTTGTATACTTTTGAGGATTCCTTTTGGAGTTGATTTCTAGTTTTATTCCATTGTGGTCTGAGAAGATGCCTGATATGACTTTGATTTTTAAAAATTTATTGAGACTTGTTTTGTGGCCTATCATGGTCTAGCTTGGAAAATGTTCCATATGCTGATGTGAAGAATGTATATTCTGCACTTCTTGTATAGAATCTTCTGTAAATACATGTTAGGTCCATTTGTTCTAGAGTGTAGTTTGAGACCATTGCTTCTTTGTTGATTCTCTGTCTTGATTATCTGTCTAGTGCTGCTAGTGGAGTGTTAAAGTTCCCCACTATTATTGTGTTGTTGTCTTACTTCTTAGGTCTAGCAGTAATTGTTTTCTGAATCTGGGAGCTCCAGAGTTAAGTCCATATAAATGTAGGATTGTAATATCTTCTTGTTGGATCAATCCTTTTATCATTATATAATGACTTTCTTTGTCTTTTTTTTCTACTATTGTTGCTTTAAAGTCTGTTTTATCTGACATAAGAATTGCTACTCCTGCTTGCTTTGGGTTTCCATTTGCATGGAATATCTTCTTTTACCCCTTTACTTTGAGTTTATACAAATCCTTACATGTTAGGTGAGTCTCTTAAAGATAGCAGATATTTGGTTTGTGATTTTGTATCCATTCTTCTAATCTGCATCTTTTAAGTGGAGCACTTAGGCTATTTACATTCAACGTTAATATTGAGATGTGAGGTACAGTTCCAGTCACCATGTTGTTACCTAAGTACTTTGTTTTCTTCATTGTGTTATTGTTTTATAGGCCCTATGAGTTTTATGCTTTCAAGAGGTTATATTCTGATGTATATCAACCTTTTGTTTCCAAATTTAGAACTTCTTTTAACATTTCTTATAGGGCTGGTCTGGTAGTGACAAATTCTCTCACCATTTGTTTGCCTGAAAATGACTTTATTTTTCCTCCATTTATAAAACTTAGTTTTGCTGGATTCAGAATTCTTGGCTGACAGTTATTTTGTTTAAGGAGGCTAAAAATAGGACCCTAATCTCTCCTGTCTTGTAAGGTTTCTGCAAAATATCCATTATCCTCTTACGGTACTTCTTGTGCCCACATTTTCTTAGCCATTCTTTCACAATATATTCCAAATCCATTTGTTTCAGTGTACCTCATTGCTACCACCCTAGTCCAGGCCACCATGATCACTCTGCTGGACCATGAGAGCATCTTCCTGACTGGTCTATCTGCTTGCACTCTTATTCTTATTAGTAATTCACATGCCACAAAGCAGTTGGGGTAATCTTTTTTTCTGAAACATATCAGATCTTGGCTCTCCTTAAAACCTTCCAGTGACTTCCAGTTGCATTTATGATAATACTCAACTCCTTTGATGGTCCACAAGACTCAAGATGATCTGGCTTTTGCCTGCTTCTTCCACTTGTTCTATCCTCACACTCTCACCTACTATATTCTAGCCACAAGTTTTGGTGTATGAAGTTTCAAAACTCATTCTCACCTTGGGTCCTCTGTACTTATCATTTTCTCTGTCTGGAAATTCTATTCTCAGATCTTTAAGTCTGCATCATTCACATCTCAGTTCAAAAGGCACCTCCTCAAAGAGGTCTTTGCTTACCATACAATTTAAAATAACTGTCACACACAATTTAGAGTAATCCCCTGACATCTTTAAATCACATCACTCTGTTTTCATAGCTTACATCCCTACCTTGTGAATCTATTTGCTTGCCTGTTTATATCTGTCTCTGTCCCTTTTCTCTTGTTTTTTTTTTTAACTTTTCTTTTAGGTTTAGGGGAACATGTGCAGGTTTGTTAGAGAGATAAATTGCAAGTCATGGGATATGATGCACAGATTATTTTATCATCCAGATATTCAGCATGTTACCTGACAGGTAATTTTTCGATCCTCACTATCCTCCTACCCTCCACCCACAAGTAGGCCCTGGTGTTTGCTCTTCCCTTCTTTGTGTCTACATGTACTCGATGTTTAGCTCCCACTTATAAGTGGGAACATGCAGTATTTGGTTTTCTGTTTATGCATTAGTTTGCTTAGGATAATGGCCTCTAGCTTCATCCATGTTGCTGCAAAGGACATGAGCTCATTCTTTTTTATTGTTGCATAATATTCCATGATGTATATGTACCACATTTTCTTTATCCAGTCTACTATTGATGGGCATTTAGGTTAATATCATGTCTGCTATTGTGAATACTGCCACAATGAACATACATGTGCATGCATGTGTCTTTACAGTAGAATGATTTATATTCCTTTGGGTATATATCCAACAGTGGGATTTCTGGGTTTGGGAATTCTGTTTTAAGTTCTTTGAGAAACTGTCAAAGTGCTTTATCTAATGGCTGAATTAATTTACGTTTCTGCCAACGATGTGTAAGTGTTCCCTTTTCTCCACAATCTTGCCAGCATCTGTTATTTTTTGCCTTTTTAATAATAGCCATTCTGACTGGTATGTCTTCTGTCCTTACTTTTAAGAATATGAGCCCCACAAAATTAGAGACATTGATTGACATTCATTATGACAGTATAGTACATGGCCATAATAAATCCTTGATACATATTTTTTAAATGAATGAGTTAGTTTCATGTTCCACATGATCTATAGTAAGGTGTGACCTTAACCTTTTCCTTTCAAGATTTTAAAGTGCTTAAGGGCAGGGAAAATATTGTATGTATCATTAAAGGAGACATTCTACCCTAGTATGTAAAAATAACACCCTGACATGGACTTTCTACCTTGTTTTAGTTTGCCGAACTCAACACCTTTTAAGGATAAGCATCCTCTGGAGCTTTGCCAGGCATCAACAAGCTGCTTCCAAACACATACCTGTCTATCCTTTCATTTAAGGTTGAACCCAATCATTACAGTTCTTGACCTATAGTCCCTGACAAGTAGCTGTAATAAGAGCTGGAGAAATAATTTCTAAATACATAGAATGAATTAATTATTTATTAGCCTTACTTGGGTTCCATCTGTGCCAATCTTGTTCAGGGCTCCAACAGTGCTGTATAGAAAGCTGATGATCTTATTGAAATTTTCATCTCCAATGCTCCAGGATCCATCCACCATAAATACCAGGTCAGCCTTGGCCGCCTTACATACTGAAGACCAACAATGAATTTTGAGTCAGAGATAAGGGGAAAAGTTAGTAGTTATTAAACCAATAAGACAAATAATGGTTGCCCTCTGCTAAGTGAAGCTCTTTTTCAAAGGAAAGATATAAACTTCTTAATGTTCATATTCCAAACTCCTGCTCACTATGCTTCTTTGCTGTAATTACTCTTTTATACTCAAGGTTCTTATTCATGACTAAGAAGCTTCTATTATCCGTGTGGAAATAGAGAAAGAAAAAACTGTCCACCAACCACAGCCCAAAAGAATGAAAATGAAGGACTAGGAAAAGATGGGACTACAGGGATTCAGAGATCGAAGTATCAGCAAACACTGTCTAGTGCCAACTGATTGGAAAAAAGGACATACTATCACTCTGTGCACCCTGTCCTTTTCTTATTGAATTAGTAAGTTAATGTCAGAGAGATTCAATTTCAGCAGAAAAGCATGTGATAAAATGGAACCAGATTAATCTAATTATAATTTGATATTCACTTGGGCTGAGGCCCTAAGCAAACAAATTCTAATCTTGGTTAAAACAAATTTTTGTCTCTGTCCTTCTATAGCCCACTGATATATGTCAAGAAATGTACACTAATGCTAGCCAAGGGAAAGTATTATCAGTAGGTATTACAGATATCAACAAAGCAATCAAACAAGCAAAAAGAATTAAACAAAGCAAACTACACCAATAAAAACCTACTCTACTGAGAACATTTTTTAAAAGTTCTTTTTTGGTATCATGTGCTATTTCAGATTATCTATGCCTCTCCTCCTCTTCATTAGGGCTGATCATTGCAGTTGAATCTGTTTTATGATGAAGCAAACAATTTGCTCTTCAATAGTCTGAATCTTTTAATCTTAGGCCAATTGCACATAAATATTCTATGAGATAATGTGCCTTTCTCCTTTCTTTAAGAAAAACCTCACTTAGTTTTTATTTTATGAAGTACAACTTCATTCCCTTAAAGCTATTTATAATATAAAATAAACCATCTCCAAGTGAGCTAATACTTTAGGGGCAGTAAGGATCTGATAAGGTTGAGTTCTGCGATTTATAAAATTTTACAAATTTGTGGTTTGAACTTAAAGCTGAAAGGAATAACAAGATCTGCTAATTATGAGTTTATAAACAGGTTCTCTGTTTCCATGGAAAGATAAAAATGAAAATTAGGTTTCACTTTCAAAATGAGAGCAAATTCTATTAAAAAATACACTCAAAATGAATAGTTAGTAAATCAAAGAAAGAAAATATATCCACATGCATGAAGGAGTTACCTCTGGGGTAGAAAGCTGTGTTTTTAATGCTGTTCTTTTAAGTTTTTTCTACGTTTTAATGTTCGTTTAATAAATATTTAGTATTACTTTAATAATACAAATTTATTGGCTTTTAAATTAAATATACCCAGGACAAACAAAGCCTAAAATACACAGTGCATTCAAGTTGCAAAAGCACCATCTAAACCATCATGATGAAAATCTCAGAACCAATGTTTCTACTTTGTCAATCCTTAACCCCACAGACCCTTCCAGATCACATAAGTCTTCTATAAGCATTCATGAATGTTTACGGAATAATATCCATACTCAGCTATAAATAAAAATACTCTGATCTGATGCAGATATTACAGAGCATTCTGTAATATCTGCATCAGAAGTGCCTAATTAGTAAATTTATCAATTAGGATTCTGTTTCTAGTTCCAATAGTGAGAATAACCACAGATGTTGAGACTAAAGAAGGCTAGATATGAAGCTGGAAGAAGAAAGAATTTGGCATTCCAGGTAGAGTGAATAGCTTTCAAAGATACAGCATAAGACATGTATGGGGAGCCCTGAGTTGTACAATTTTGCTATTATATAATGTATTCTGGGAAATAATACTGCAAAGTAGATTGATTTGTGAAGACTCTGCATGCCATCCTAGGATGAATGTTGAGCTTTATTAGAGTTCTTAATTGCCTCTGTTTATTTGTGTCTTCTACTCTCTGCAGCATTTGAATCTACTGGCTTTAAGCTCTCAACAACTTATTTTTTATTGTTTCCCTGGTATGTAACAGGCACTTTAAGATGCATTGTGAATGGAAGAGCTCTTCCAATACAACCTTCTAATGTGTTCTACTTTCTCCTCTCATTCTTCTAGTCCATCCTCCCTATTTCACCAAAGTTATCATTCTTAAACATAGATTTCATCAGATCGCCCTTCCTTCTTACAAATTCTCACAACATGCCATTTCCCACAGGATAAAGCCCAAATTCCTAATTTTGTCACATTAACCACTCCATAACTCTACTGTCATTCTTTTCTCTTTCTTGCCACACTAAAGCATTTATGGTTCACTAAATCCATTAAGCAGTTGGATCACTCTTGACACCGAGTGCTATTCATCCCAATACCTGTCTCTCAAACTCATTCTTCAAAATGTAGATCAAATGCCTCTTCCTTATGAGTCATTAATCTGCAGCAGTATTAACCATTACCACTTCTGGGTGGTACATAATACAACTGCTATTTTATAACTCATAAACTTGACTGGTATTTATCTAGGCAAGCACCTATTTCTCTTTAATACTAAAAATAAGCAGAGAGCAGCAATCATGTATTATTATTGTATTTCCCATGCCTACTATAAGAGCCTTGAGAATAAATAGCAGGATTAATAAATGTTCATTATTGAAATAAAAAAATAATGATCACTACTTTGTTGAGGGCCTTTTTAAAGTTACCTTAATGGCTTAGGTAAAAGGTGATGAGGAACTGTTGTGATGAGGAAAGAAAAAACGACTGAAAGAGACACTTCAGAGGTAGGCTGGGAAACTATTACTGTATCTGAGGAACTACAAACTGGATTTTCACTTACAAATTATGTAACTATGCTTCCTTAATGAATGTTAACTGCTCTGATATTTCAAAAAAAATAGTATTAAGCAATTCTGTTAGTAAATCCACTCTTTGTGTGCAGAATTGATATTAAATGGATATCATTCAAGCCCATCATGGTTGATAAGCATTTGTATTAAGGAGAAAATTAGGTAGCACAATAAATATACTTTATTAATATCCTGGTTTGAAATGAACAGGCAAACAAAACCAACACAAATCCTAAACCTAGAATCAGATAATTATTCTATTATTCTTTTACCTTCTTTTGCTGGTGGAATGGTTGGAGGAAAAGTTGGTGGTCGTGTAGGAAGTGATTCTGTAAAGGAAAGGGAGAAAGGACATCAGTTCACCATCTCATCTGTGGGGAAGAGCGGAAGGTCATGGAGTAATAAATATTCAGGGTAGTCAATGATTTTGACAACTGTCTTCTCTGAGAATTTAATGAGTACTATAAATCAGCCGCAGCCTGTGAAAACTGACTCCATCCATCGTCTCATCCTCAGACTGAAGGCTTGAAATGCCATTTTGCCACCATTCAGTTTACCCAGCAGGAGTCAATGAAATCAAACTGTCAACTACAAAGTGGTTCTAATGTTGATTTAAGGCAGGAATCCTGCCAACCCATTTGAAAGTTCGTCTCCTGTTGCTTTCACACACACAATAAACTTCATTTCCATTCTGCCTAAGGATTCACCATCAATCCTTGCTCAATAGCACTTTTCCCTTTCCATCCTGCATCCCCCAGGATACTGGTCACCAGTGGACTCTGATTCATTCTGCTCTGCTCAGACTGCATCTGGAAATGTCTTTTGGTTTTGAGGACCAAATGTAAACATTGGCAGGCTAAAGTGTGTTTGGGTCTTTTCAGCCTGGATTATGTGGGATGAGAAGTCCACATACTCTGCAGAGGTATGGCTTGGTTAAAGGATCTGGGGACAGTTAGATCAGAGTAGTGATTATCAATTCTCATTCCAGCTCATGTGGCAAAGCATCAGGAAGTTTTGATGTCATTAGGTAAACATAAAATACGATGTTATTACGTATTCATTTCTAATTCTTATTTGACACTAAAGATTTAAGAAAAACTAAGAAAATTCTTCTCGCTATCCCAGTTTAATACTCAGGAAAACCCTCCACTAAACATAGCCATTCACAGAGGGGATGTCTAGCCTCAGGCGATACTAAGCACCAAATAGCTAGAAGGATTTGAGCTCAGGCAGACTGACTATTTGCCAAGAATTTTATAAAGGGGAGTTTAGTTTCTTCATTGTCAGGAAGGCTAAGAGGTGAGCTGTAAGGTCTCTTCCAACTTTAAGGTTCAATAAAATAAAATAATTTAAATAAAAGGATTCAACATTAAAAGAATGAGGTAACTATATATTACTAAATGGAAAAATATTCAAGATGATTATTTTGTGAAATAAACAAGTCACAGAATACCATGGCATAATCTCATTTGTGAAAAATAAAACTTACGCACACATACACACACACACACACATATATATACCTTTTTTATTTTATATATATGTGCTTTTTATTTTTCATAAATATGTATATATATGTGTGTGTGAAAAGGAAATATTTCTGAAAAGGAAGAACAAGGAAAGAGGGAGGTTGACAATGCACTTTATACATTTCTGTTTTACTATTATGGATATATATCACTGTTATTTTTAAAGGCAATTTTTGAAGCTAAAAACTCTCCAAATTTAAAAAATGAGAAATTTTTTTTGTAACTAGGATTGCAAAACTTTCTTTAAAACCCCACAAAATGTTTCTAAAGCCATTTTTTAAATTTTAAAATTTGTGGAAGTAGTCAGTCATCTTAATAATTGTGCATCTTCTTTAACATGGAAAATCAAGGCATCTCCTAAGTCTGGTCAATAAATCAAGAATGAAATCAGTAAGAGAGTATGGCAGCCAGATTAATACGATTGGGCAGAACATCTGGCTAAAGAATCTCTTGGGTAAGAAGAACCACAGTGAACTGGGGACACATGTTTATATTCTATATGTGGCATACAGATTGTCCCTGTCTTCAAGGATGTGAGGGGCTGTCATATAAAGAGGGAATAGTCTTTACCTGCATTGCTTCAGAAGGTTGAACCAGAACCAATGGGTGGAAGCTACAAGAAGACAGATGCCTCCAACATAAGGAAAACATTTACATCAAACAGAGCTATCCAAATTGGATTTAACCCTAGGTTAGCAGTTAACCAGTGCGGGGTCAAGGATAGGAGAAGCTAAAGTAGATCAGGGGTCCTAAACACAAATGTTTCTAGGGGTCAGGTGAGCAACGAATAAGCGCAAAGAACTTAGCGTGAACATTAAGGTGTGGTAGCCAACTTAAGCGCACATGCACTGTCTAAACAGACAGCATTTAGTTGGTTCCAGCAGATTGGCACCATGAAGATAGATACTTAGTGCTGCAAGATATTCTGACTTTTCAAAAACTACTTTAAAACTTAAAAAAGTATGGCTGGAGAAAACATGCCTGATAGTGAGATCTAGCCTTTAGTTTATGACCTTTAAGAAAATAATAATGGTAATGACAAAAAGTACTTGCTAGATGACATATGGGTTGAAAAGCTCTTCAATGAGTATTCTTTTATTGGTTGTTTACTGCCACCACTTGAGGCAAGAGAGTAGGTATTTAATTTTATTGATGAGTGAAAAGCTCAGAGATGCTGAATCGCCTAAAGCCATAATGCTAGAAAGGGGCAGAACAAGATCTTCAAACAAACCATTTGACTCTAAGTCTTGTGTACTATCAGGTTCCTATTAACTTCAAAACTATATGATTTACAATCCATAAGATGGAATTCTAATCAGCAATAAAAAGAAACAAACTACTGACACAATCTACAACATGGATAAACCACAAAAACATATGCTAAGTGAAAGATGCCAGATGTAAAAGACTACATATGATATATTTCCACTTATGTGAAATGTCCAGAAAAGGCAAATGTATAATAAAAGAAAGTAGATTGTCTGAGGCTCAGGGTGGGAAAGGAGATCGACTTCAAATAGCAGGAAATGTTCTTTGGGTTGATGGAAACGTCCTGAAATTGGATTGTAGGGATGCTGATACAACTCATTACATGTACTAAAAATTATTGAACTGCACACTTAAAATGGTACTTAAATTTTATGTTATATAAATTATACCTCAAAAATACATGTGGAATATGAAATACTGCATATTTAAGTGTTGTGAAATAAAGTCTTTGTATTACGTAAAAGAAGATGATTTAATTTATTATACTTTTATCCTCTCTTTTTGAAGGTTACATGTGCATGATTTCCCTCTGCAAGTGCCAGAGAGGCTGGAAGAGCTATACACAGATAGTAATCCCTTCTAAATGCCATGTACATGATAGACGGGTCACCAAGAAAGCCCATTGCCCAACACCTATTCAGACACAAATCCTCCCGGAATTTCAAGTTTAAATTCAACATACTGAGTTAAGCACACAAATGTCCCCCAGAATTCACTGCATTTCAAACCATTTTAATGTTTGTGGAGCCGGGGTCAAGAATCTTTGACTAGAAGCCATTTCAAGAAGTTGACACTCTCCTTGCTCTTTGGAACATGTAAAAAGAGCTTTGTTTTAATTTTATACTTTGCCTTTCCCTTTAGTGCATCACATCTGCAGTCAGCTTGGAAAAAGTGCAAGAGCTTCTTAGGCAAGCAGTAACTCTAGGGTCATCCAGTTGGAACATCTTGGCTCCCTTCCCATCCTCATGGCTGTGGTAATATGCCATTGTTTTAATGTCAGAGCCAAGTCGTCCTCAAACTGCATTTCACACTCCACATGCCACAAATGTTCCTTATGGATCTGGATCACAATGTAAGTCATTGTCTCAACTGCTTTACTATCGTGTGGCCTTCTAGTCTCTTGTGAAACATATATGGAGAATGGAAATAAAAAACCCATATTGATGACATCAGTGGGCCATATGCAATGAATTCTGGGGTTGAGTAAGAGGAACAAAACTTGTATTACGTATATTCCTGAACAGCAATAGCTAATATTTTTCTAAATGGGATAAGGAAACAGGATGCCTGAAATTCTGTTTGTTCATGGGGAGAGGGATCAGGAGAGAACACACATGACTTACGTGTTTTTTCCATTATGCTCACACTAGGTCCTTCAATCTCCTGGAGCTTTGTATAAACACTGATTTTATATTCAGAATCAGGCTGAAGTCCATAGAAGCAATGCCTGGTTGTCCCTCCACCCACAGTGGATTCTTGCTTTTGCCTATCTATAATAAAAACAAAACAAAACAAAAACACACACATATGAAATTTTTGAAACACAGCCATTGGCAGATGATTTGCTTCTAAAATACTTCACATGTTAGCCCACATCAGATAACTCCAGAATGAGTTATATTTGTTTGAAGTATTGTATCTTCTTCCAAAGAGTTAATATATTCACTGGTATTTTTCTATGGAAAATCACATTTTATATGTCCAAAAATGAAGTTTACTATTAAAAGACTTCTGAAATCAACTCTTTACTTAATGGAGAACTATTAATGCATGTAATTATATGCACACATCCTAACTGATCTTTTGGACAGATGCAGATGTGAGGGCATTTATTTAGTTTTTTAATCTTTGTGGGGTTTTTTTGTTTTTGTTTTTGTTTTTTTTCTGAGATGGAGTCCCACTCTGTCATCCAGGCTGGAGTGCAATGGTGCGATCTCAGCTCATTGCAACCTCTACTCCCGGGTTCAAGCAATGCGCCTGCCTCAGCCTCCTGAGTAGCTGGAACTACAGGCGTGCACCACCATGCCCAGCTAATTTGTGTATTTTTAATAGAGATGCAGTTTCACCATGTTGGCCAGGCTGGTCTCGAATTCCTGACCTTAGATGATCCACCCGCCTCAGCCTCTGAAAGTGCTGGGATTACAGGCACGAGATACCATGCCTGGCCTATTTTTTTTAAATCTGAACTCCCTTTTATTCGATATGATTTTCTGAACACAGCCCAATGTTATATAACATAAACAGATACTTCCTTTTGGCCTCATATAACTTATTACCACCCAACAGACCACCCTTCTAGGCAGTGGTCTAAAGATACAGGTATGGGTCTCAGAAGCCCTGGTCCATGGGTCCAGGTTGTCTTCAAAGCTGCCACAACAGCAGGCAAGAGCTTGCAGCAGCACTGGGACCACCAAGGAGTCCTCACCCTGCCCAGTATCTCCCTCTCAGCCTTGACTTTTAACTGATACCAGTGGTTTCCTTCAATTGCAAAAGACATTCCCAGGGAGTTCAGAGGGGCCTCTCCAAATGCCCTGCATCCACTCTGAAAATCCTTTAATTGAGGAAAAGGGACATGGTGCTTACATAGCATAGGGCCATATATGCTGTAGAGTTCAGTCTCAATTTCTGGTTCTTTTTTTATCTACCAAGGAGACATGTCATACACAGCCAATTCATATGGCACCTTCTCTGTCTTTTTCTCCACCATGACAGAGGCACAAAGAACTCTGGAGACCTGACTAACTATTGGCTCGTTTCTTTGTTCCCACATCCATAGAAAAATTGCTGTACATCTCCTGGAAGAACTAGTGCTGGCCCTTAGGTCCTGAGACTGAGGAATCTGGATTAATTATATTCATCATTTCTTGAGGGTTTATTATATCCAGGTTCTGTGCTTGCTATTTAATTATAACAACAGCAATAAAGATAATAATAGCCAACATTTAATGAGTGCTTATCATGTGCCAGGCAATATTCTAAGGAATTCATATGTATTATCTCATTTGATTCTTATAACATTTATAATTATTCCCAATTTAAAGAGAAGAAACTAAAGGTCAGAAAAGTTAATAACTTCTTCAAGTCCTTATTCTAATTAGCAGAACTGAGATTGTTTAAACTGGTAGATAATAGTTGTACATATTTTGGGGGTTTGTGTGATATTTTCATACCTCTATACAATGTACAATGATCAAATCAGGTAATTGGAATATCCATCACTTCAAACATTTATCTTTTCTTTGTGTTGGGAATATTACAATTCTTTTTTTCCAGCTATTTTGAAATATACAGTTGTTGTTAACTATTATTTCCCTAGTGTACTATCAAACACTAAAACTTACTCCTTCTACCTAACTGTATTATTCTACCCCTTGACCCACTTCTGCTCATCCCCCTGCATTCAGAACTCTAAAGCTCAGTTTCAGAGGACGTTGCTTTAATTTCCACTGATATATTCTAAGCAAATGTAAATGAAATATATAGTTTTCCAAAATGAAACCATCTGAGAGCTGTTGAGTGCATATAAAATGTACAAACATGATGGCTAGAGATTAGATGATGCTTTATCACTCCACAGAGCCTACTTGGGTGGCTTTCATTATTGAAGAGTTTCAAGTGTTTTCCTCGTAGGCACAGAGCATTGTTGTTGTTTTTACCACAATGGACAACTGATTAAGAGGAGGAATCACTGCTACCATGAAAAAACAATTATTCAAATTTCCCTCTAGATTGATCATCTTATCCATAAATTGCATTTGTTTAATCAAAGCCTCATAACGCTTTATTTCTAGGGGCTGAAAAACTAGTGTTTAAAAACTGCATTGATTAAATATATTACACATATCATTTAGTGGTTAAAAAGAACTATCCGCTCCTTCAAAATGTTATTTGCAGAGGAGTTTATGAAGAATAAACAGAATCTACAATATATAAAAGCATACCAGTTGCTTTTTCAACTGTAAAATGCAAAAATTTTACACAATTTTTGTCTATTTTATAAGCATCAAACCTAGTTAAATTGCCATCCATATTTTGATATGCATATATTGAAGCAAAGATATGTATATTATAATATGCATATATCAGAATAAACATGATATATGTTATTTTAAATTTTGTCTATGGACAAATATAGACTTTTAAAAATATAAATGAATTAAAGCTATTTGTTAAATAGAATTTTAAATTCATTTTTATATATTGTGAATATTAGTTTCAGAAGGGAACTTTATAACAGAATTTTTATTAATGTATTTGTTCAAAGTAAATAGTGTCAACTTTAATCATTTCTTGTTCCTATATTATGAAAAATGATAACATTTAAAAATTGTTAAAGTGTTTGTGAGATTATATATTATGTGAAATGGGTTTGATAGTAAGTAAAATTTAGTCAACTCAGTGTTTCGCTTTGCTTAGGTCCAAGTTTAGTCTATGGTTTCCAGGCTCTGAATCCCACAATAACTGTTTCTTTTTGACCCTTAGCTATCCCTTAGAGCCTCCTAAAAGCTTCTGTGAGCCACCTGTAATACAAACATTTCCTGAATTTTATGCGTGGATCATACTGATCTACCTCCACAAACCTTCCGGGGACTCTCCAGGAGTCAATTCTAGAAATGCACTTTTCTGTCACATTTCCTATTTCATGTAGAAACCCATGGACTTTAAAGACCCTTGAAAACAGAATATAAGTAGATCTTACTGCTAAAATAATAAATCTATAAACATTGGAAAACTGGAACAAGCACTATAAGATTAATGGCAAACAGTATCAATTTGGTTCCCAATACTAACAAAGAGGGGTTCCATGAATGGGGGTGTATCCATGTTGCTTTTGGCATGTGCAATTCAGGCCTATTGGCTTTGCCTTAAGGAAAACATTCAAACTGACCAAATGGTGACTAATTTCCTCAACCTCTCATGCCAAAAGGAGGAAGTTAATTTATTTTTTTGAAACACAGGGAAAAAATCTGTCTTTATTTGTGCACTCATTCTTAGGAAGCAACACTAAATCCATTCTCCAGATTATAAACGTATAATTATAATTATAACGCCACCAGCTTGACTTATCAAAATGTCCTACAAGTAGTTATTGAGTTCCACAAGCAAAGAATATCCAGCATCCAGGTAACTACTCTGGTAGAATTTTATGATATAAATAATTATACTCCCCATAATGTCACTGCTTCAGAAAGTTTAATTCTGATCATAGGTTTTGTTCCATATGATGCTTTCTGTGGACCTGGTCTTTGGTAAGGTAGGCTCTCCACTATGCTGCAGTTCTCTATCCTTGTCAATAAATAATACTGCAAAGCTGACATCTCAGCACCTAAATAGGGACAAGTGGAGCATCCTCTAAACCTTTATCTAAGCAGGTTACAAAGAAGTTCATCAAGTTGTGGGGATTAGGGTGGGAATAAAGTGTTTGGGCCTATGTGGCATATATTAATAAATGCATGAATTTGAAGTCAACCTTAGGTGCCAAGGCAACTCAAAAACAGCTGGAGAGAGGGATAAAATCCCATAGCATCTGCAGAACTAATGGAGGACCTCACAGGGCTCTGAATTACCCAAGGCCAACCAAAAATCTCTCACTTTGGGCTGTCCTAGAATTAACCAAAAACCTATCATTTAATTTGGCAAATGGATGACTGAGTCAAAAGCAGATTTTATTTCAGTCTTTCCTGAGAAGACTTTGTCCTTCTGGTAATCTTTTTTTTTTCTTGGCCATAAAAATGTCATAATATTTACATGGGTAAAGGACATCTGTTGCTTTTGCCTGTCTTGTATCTGAAATCTCTTTCTTTGCATCCATTCCTCCTCAGTCTTGGTCTTTATGGTTTGGGGAGGATTGAATAACACCCCCACCTCCAGCCACCACCACCAGATACAGGGGTGGAAGGCAACCAGGTCCAAACAGTCAGTTTATTTCATGCCCTTGCACTCAATGACAGATTTAGAGGCATGTGACCCAAACCAGGCCAATATGACTCAGTTCCTGGACTTCTGTTGGAACTATTGAGAAAGAGAAGCTCTCTTTTCACCAAGACTGTTAAAGCTGGAAGCTGGGAGAATGTAATTCTGGATCTGACTCACTGAGCCTGGTTGAAAATGAAGGCATAGAAGAGCAGAACACAAGAAGGAGCAAGACTTTATCTCTAGGAAATTGAACACCTAGGTCCAGATGTGCCTGAAGCCAGAGACTTTTGGACTTCTCAGTATACTAGCCAATAAATTGACCCTTCGGCTTAAGTTTATCTAGATTTCTGTGAATATTAATAAACAAGCCTGAATGATACAACGTGGCTATTCTACTCACAAAAACCTTGCAAAATTGCAGTTATTGCCTCAGTTAATAGACTTAGATGAAATAATTTCACAGAAGCTGAAGCCCAGAGAAGAAAGTTGACCAGCGGTTGTGGTTACAGTAGAGACTTCATTACTGACTTAATCTCAGAATAAAAGTGCACATGCTTAAGCTATGAAAAAATATATGGGAAAAAAACTGGAAAAAATTACCCATCAAACTGTAAGGATTTGACGGAGGCATTCAGAAAGAGGTCAACTGGGATAAAGCTTCATTCCAACACATGGGGAAATTGGGTCTCATTTATTCCTAGTATCTCCTTTGCCTGGAGTGGAAAGACTGAAATTTCTGCAGAGACCGCATATGTAGCCAATATTACAGTCAAAACACCTGAGGGTCTGAGACTCATCTGCCTGTGGAAGAATGGGCATCTTACCACAAGTCCTTTAAAGTCAGTGAATCAGAATGGTGAACACATTCCCCTATAAGATAATGAAACTCAACCTAATTCTTCTCCATTCCAAAGTAGGAAGACTATTCCTTGATCTAATTTGTATGAGTTAAACTATCCAAACACATTTCCTACTGCCACCCCCACACTCACTCCTCCATCAAACATTCCTTTTCCAGTTGTCAATTAGAATCTTTTGCTGTCCAGTTGATAAATAATATTCAGTAAGACAACTGTGTGAATGAAATGTGGCTAATTTTGTTCACAAATCTAATCTCTCAGCAACAAATGTTGATGAGAAGTACATTGAACAACACTTTTGTTCGTTCTTGTTCAATTAAGACTATAAAGGTTCAGCTGAAAAAGTTTCTGGCAGCCTGAAAATAATACTGAGGGAGTATAAGTTCACTTAACTTGAAGATAAAAAGCAACTGTGGACTCATTTACTTGCCAGCAAAGATCTTGGCTTCAGAAAGAGCTTATTGTGGTTTTAGATGACCAGTTCAGTATTATCAGACAAATCAATCATATCCTCTGATAAAACTCTCAAGGCTGCTTTGCAAATATGCTAAACTAAAAGCATTTAATTTAAAAAACTATGAATCTTATTGATTCCATTGATAAAGCCAGTTTTTATACATCGTTGTGTCAACATATATAGTGATAAATTTTTATGAAAGGCAACGAATATCCACAGGAACCCACGTTCCTTCATTTCAATTTCCTAAATCATATAAAAGGATAAATCATATAAAAGAACTGTGGGATAGTTTGGGAGGGTGATTATTACACTTAGAATTTTTTCTTAGGCTTAGCAAATACCATTAAATGCCAACCCTTCCATATTAAAGCGTGACTTAAAGAAATATAGGAAACATAACTCAAGATTTCATAGTTGTTTCTCAAATTGTTGCCTGTGCTTTATCTACTTTTGGCATCCCATAAATCATATTTAACATAACCATAAAATCCATGTGACTTATCCTCACTTTCTATCCCTCAATGTTTGTTCCAGGTTAATACCACTCCCAAATGTCAAGCCAATGTCAGGCTGGAAGGATCCTTACATCATAGAGAGGGACTCAAGGAAGCAGTGGTGCCACATGTCTATCATGATGATATCTTGGCTGGGATTGGCAGGAATTTCTTCTCGTATGTTCCACGTATCTCAGTTCTTATTCTACAAGGGACATATTTCCAAATGCTCTCAGTGCTCTCCTAAACTATGCTTTCCACTTTATGGATTGGATCAAAAATGGGATTTATGGATTTTGAATATAGCTATAGTCAGGAATATGGGCTACTAAACCCAGTCTTATCTGGACTAGAAATAATTAGGTCATTTTGCTTTTCTGAAATGGGGAAACCAAGATCATTTGCCCAGAAAGAACAGGCTACATTTTTAACAATTTTACTCCCAAGTTTGGAAGATTTTAAAAAATCATTTGGGATTCTTTAGCATCTCCTATAATCCCATAAAATAATAAGATATAGCTTTTCTATTGTTTCTATAAATCTGATTAAGTAATTTTTATTATTTGATTTCATCTTCTGCATAGTGTCCATGCTGATGTTGGGAAAAGAGGATTAACCGGCTCTAGATACTGATTTTTGGGGAATCAGCCATTTGTTGTTGTTCTCGATATTTTTAATGAAGACAGTGAGACATTTTTACTGTTTCAGCCTTGGAACAAGTCCCAAATTGTGGATGTACATGAGAACTGTAATGCTGAAGAACTTGTTCATGATGCTGTAGATACATTAAATCTCTGGAATGAGGGTTGTTGTTCACCAATTATCCCCAAAAGAAAAAAAAAAACACTAAGAAAAACATTAAATTTAAACTTGATCCCTAGAGAGTGAATACCCAAATTAGAGTACAATATAATTTTAATGTATGCTAGTCTTGGCTATCTGGCTGCTAACATTTTTGGGGTCCTTCCAGTGCACAAAGCACTACTGCAAGTGCTTTATGTGGAATATCTCAGCTTTATCTTCACAGAACTCTAAAAAATCAGCACTATGGCTATACTCATTACCAGATAAGAAAAAGGGAGGTTTCCAGAGGGTTAGTAATTCACTTACCCAACCAGTCAGACCCCATATGCAGCATGACTGACCAATACAAATTGCTTCCTTGACAAGAGGGCTGTTGTCTAATGCTACTTGTGTGTTGTACACAGTGGTGTGCAAAGAATCAAATACACAAATGCTTGACAAAAACGTAAGTGATGGATTGTACTCACCCTGGAGGGATTCTATAACAACCCTATAGGCTGTGGCATGGCGATGTACCTGCCAGTGGGCACACAAGCTGGTCATTTCAACATGTTTGGCTTGGAGATTGGTAACACCCAAGAACACTGGAATGAAATAGAAACATAACTGTATCACACCGCAGACAACACACAAGCATCCCTGAATCTGAAATTAACTTCTGGAAAAATTTTCATTCAAAGCTGCATAGTCAGAGCTGGGAAATCCATCAATTTACAATGAGTTAGTATACAAAAGATAAATGTTTTATGACTTGAGAGAACAGATTGCAAAACATTATGCATGATGTGGTCTGTCTGCTATTTTTCTTATTTGTTTGTTGTTTGTTTGTTTTGAGATGGGGTCTTGCTCTGTAGCCCAGGCTGGAGTGCAGTGGCATGATCTCATCTCACTGTAACCTCAACCTCCTGGGCTCCAGCAATCCTCCCACCTCAGCCTTCCAAGTAGTTGGGATCACAGGCATGTGCCACCACATGCAGCTAATTTTTTTTTTTTTTTTTTTTTGTAGAGGCAGTGTTTCGCCATGTTGCTCAGGCTGGTCTCAAACTCCTGAGCTCAAGCCACCTGCCTGCCTCAGCCTCCCAAAGTGCTGGGATTACAGGTGTGAGCCACTATACCTGGCCCTGTATGCATTTTAAATAGAAGAGGAAGTGCATATTGATAGAAAAAAGACCAGATGCAAAGGATGATGAAATGTTGGGTAATTTTAAATCTTACCCCCTTTATATACTTGTGTTTTCTAAATATTACACAATAAATATGTAATACTTGTATAATAAAAAAGTAAATACAGTATGTATTTATCAACCAATGGGATAGCCATGGCTTAAAAAGAGAAGAGTAAAATAGTCAAAATGGAAGGGTTCTGCAAACAGGAGCAGTTTCACAAGGACTGGTCTTCAAAACACGATTGAATAAACACTTTTGAAAATTTAAAAATAAAAGATTTTACAGAGATAACACAAATTATTTTTAAAATACATAGGTTCCTATTAATCTTAGACATTGTGATATGCAAAAATTGTTGTTTGGGGAGGCAATAAGATATTGTTTCTACAAGACAATAGAAAAGTAGGTAGCCAGTGTTTATCATTTGGATCCAAGCAGAAAATCAACATATTTACTTTTCCTAATGACCTCTGACTTCCATTCATATCATTTTCTATTATTTCTCTCTCTCTCTTAGCTTACTCACAAAATAAAAATACCTCGGAATTATCTTTTCAAGATGGTAAAAATAATCTTGTCTAACTATAATTTATACATTTACACTGTTCCTTTCTGTTACAGCAAAGAAAGAAGACTTTTTTCCTAAAGCCAATTAAACAATCTCTCTTCCCCTAACAAAAACAAATGAAATTAATGTTAATTGATTTATATAACTTTTTTGTTTTGTTTTTTGAGATGGAGTCTCGCTCTTGTCACCCTGGCTGGAGTGCAGTGGCACAATCTCAGCTCACTTCAACCTCCACCTCCTGGGTACAGGCGATTCTCCTGCCTCAGCCTCCTGAGTAGCTGGGATTACAGGTGCATGCCGCCACACCCGACTAACTTTTATATTTTTAGTAGAGACAGGGTTTCACCATGCTGGCCAGGCTGGTCTCAAACTCCTGACCTCAGGTGATCCACCTGCCTCAGCCTCCCAAAGTGCTGGGATTACAGGCGTGAGCCACTGCACCCGGCCCTGATTTATATAACTTTTATCAATGTTAATGATTTATGTAACCACACAAAATATTTTTAAAATACCTTATATTAATTTATTTGCCATTGTGGGAGATTTTCTTTTGCTTGGGAGAAATAGAGAGAATAAATAATAAACTCACTAATTTATATTTTAAGGACAAGACTATAAAACAATTCAACAATCTCAGTCTTTTAAAATATGTTTGGAATGCTCAATATATTTATTAAGGGAGAGAAGAAAGAGGAAACAGAATTGAAGAGGGAGCAGAGAAAAGAGGATGGAAAAAGACAAGAAAGACTAGGGAGAAGAGAGACCAGTAAAAAATCACAGGGCTGGGCGTAGTGGCTCACGCCTGTAATCCCAGCACTTTGAGAGGCCAAGTCAGGTGGATCACCTGAGGTCAGGAGTTCAAGACCAGCTTGACCAACATGGTGAAACCCTGTCTTTACTAAAAATAGAAAATTAGCCATGCATGGTGGCACACGCTTGTAATCCCAGCTATAGGAGATGCTGTGGTATAACTAAGGAAGGCTGTGAAGTTGCCATAGGAGCAAAACAGAGGAAATACTTGGAGGTTTCATTAGTGAAGCCACAACAGTGTCACATCAACAGCCAAGCACAAGATCAGAACCCCAACCAAAGGCTTCCTAGGCCTGTTGAAGATGGAGACTATTTCTTTTAAGATAAATTTATTCACTGTCTAGCCTTTAAGGTCTCAAGATATTCCACGACAGAGAGTTCAGGACACCTCTTCTATAAAAGGGCTGGCCCTATATGCAATCGGGGGGCGCTGGGGTCTGGCTTAATATATGGCCCACTCTTGCTTGACAGTATTGATTAGATTAATTATTTTTTAGGGATGAGGGTAAGATATAGGGCAAGTGCATAAAGCCCCATCATTACAATAATAATAGTAGTTATTTATTGAATATTTGCCACATCGTAAGCACGTTACATACATTTTTTCTCTGTAATCCTCACAATTTGCCTGAACGATGGTTATTATTATCTTCATTTTAGAATTGAAAAAGCTTGGGCTGAGGGAAGTTAAGCAATTTGCCCAAGGCCACACTAACAAGTAGCAGATTTGAGGCTTATTCTTTTGACAATACCATGACTATGATCTCAAGAGTGGGGCATGTGCTGTTGATTGCACTCAGGACTATCTAGACTAGCATACAGCCAAACCACTTGTATTTTGGTCATTTATATGTTGTCTTTAATGTGTATTTTAAAATGTGATTAAAAATTTTGAGTGATATAATGGACTTTGGGGACTAAAGACGGGAGGTTTGGAAGCGGGGTGAGGGATAACAGACTATGTATTGGGTACAGTATACAGTGCTCCAGTGACGGGTGCACTAAAATCTCAGAATTCACCACTAGAGAATTTATCCGTGTAACCAAAAACCCCTTGTACCCTAAGGGATATTGAAGTTTTTAAAATAAATAAAATAAAATAAAGATGTCATTTGACTATCAAAAAAGAAAATAAAATGTATACTTCAAAAATAATTTGATTGTGGTGATCATTACACATTGTAAACATAAATCATCACATTGAAGATTGCAGATCTATGTATCTACACCTTGAATATATACAATTTTTATTTGCCAATTATACCTCAATAAAGCTAGAAAAAAAATGAAAGAATAGTGAGTATTTGAAACAACAACAATAATATCTTAAGGGGTTTATAGCAATAGAGTTACAAAATAGATAGAAAAAGAGTAGCAAAAAGGAAAAAGGTATTATACATTGTTATAAAATTCTTAAGCCAAAAAGCAGTAATTTAAGGTAGACTGGAATAAGCTAAGGATTCATATTGAAATCTCTAGGGTATCTATGAAAATTTGGATATTTAACTAAAAAGCTAGTAGAGGAGAAAATATTTTTTAATATATTAAAAAATAAAAATACTGATTTTCTGTTTAGGGTAACTACATGGATTTTGAAAAGTATTTAGGTCAAAAACTGTAAGTCAATCCAAATAAATAAACAGATCATGCGGAGGTATAACAAACTTCAGGAATATGGCACACAGGTGCTGGAATTTGGAAAACATTGCATTATTGTGTGGGTGTCTGGGAGTGGTGTATGCCACTAAGGAGTCCCAGATGGTGTGCAGACAACGTGAAAACCCTCAAAGGAGTAGAGAAGGAAGTGCTGAGAATGGGGTGGCATGTACTTTTGATGGATGGCATATGTGCACGTGCAAGGGGGTGGAGTGACCCCTCTGAGAAAAGACAAACCTCCTCCTGCTCCAACTTTGACATTGGCCATCTCGGGCTACAGGCTGTTTGGAAAATTTCACCTAATTTGAAAAATGCCAACACAGATTTTCCAGAAGGAAATCCTATCTGCAATCATCAAGTCTATTTGAAAGCCAGGTACTGACATCCCGCCTGCCAACCAGGACTCTGAACTACCCCAAATAAAAAGCACACCTTTCTTTCCATGAAACACCATCCAGAAAGGGCAATGCAGAGGAAAAGGAAAAATGAATGACCAAATGGAAGCAGGGTTGAGTGAAAGTTACAGTGAAAACAAAGCAGCAAAACCCCATGTGCTTGGGAGGCTGAGGAGGTTGAATCACGGGGTCAAGAGATTGAGACCAACCTGGCCAACATGGTGAAACCCCATCTCTACTAAAAATATGAAAATTAACTGGGCATGGTGTCTTGTGCCTGTAATCCCAGCTACTCGAGAGGCTGAGGCAGGAGAATCACTTGAACCCTGGAGGCGGATGTTTCAGTGAGTCCAGATCGCACCAGCGCACTCCAGCCTGAGCGACAGAGCGAGACTCCATCTCAAAAAACAAAACAAAACAAAAACCCATATGCGGCTGAGGCCATCGGAAATGGCTCTTACATGTTTTCACCATGCCTGTCAGGGCGTCGCTGAAGCCTGAGGCCTGGGAGGCAAATATCTTCACATTGTAGTCCATTCCGCTGAGGAGGTTTGTGATAAGGATGGTGTTAATGTCAGCTCCCACAAACGTTTCCAGTGTTGGACCAGGAACTAAAGAAGAAAGAGGATATATTTTAGTTACAACAAAATATGGGAAAATAGAAGCACTCTTAGATCAAATTGTATTCACTTGACTGCTTTTCAGTTGCCTGGGATTATACAGCAAGCAGACAGCAGGGTTGAGGTTTGAATCTGGTCTCATCTAGCTCTAAAAACTGCTGGGCTAAAGGTTATTTTTAGGGACCTAGTCATTTCCCTAAATATAGTTTTATCCTTGTACTTATTCAAAGAAATTGGTCCACCTCACAGTCTACCATCTGCTATATTGTTATGTACTATGTTGTAATAGGCAATTGAGGAATTAGTCCAATTAAAGAAATAATTCTCAATTGTCCCTTCTAAGGTAACCAACTTTGCTCCCAGCAGGCACACAAGCGGCAGTCATAGCAAATTTTATCATGGAGACCAGGCCATACCTTGCCACATTGTGAACCAGCATCAATGTTACCACTTTATTTTTATCTGCTCCTTTTAGGATGTTTAATACCAGACAGATTATGCTCTTATTCCAAGGCCCTTGATTAGCTAGCATTTTCAGGTCTGTATGTTTTCACCTCTTCTTCAATCTAGTGGGGTCTTTAATGAAGCATTAAAAACATTCATTGCTAAAGCCTATACAAATTTATTTACCTCCTGCTTCTTCCCATGCATGCTCATTCTTTAAGAGCTTTGAGTTAGTGACAAGTTCTCAAAATACTCATCACTTTCCTCCAGAAGCCCCCTTCCAACAATACATTTATATGTCTATCTCTGTATGTGTTACCTCAGTAGCAATTTTCCCATGCCCCACACGTACAATGCAAATGACCATACATGTATATTTCTCCCACTTGGCCTAGAACAGGATTTCTCAGCCTCACTACTATTGGTATTTTGAACTGAAAAATTATTTATTCTGGGGCAGAGGAGTACTGTCCATTGTAGCATGTTTAGGAGTGCCCATTAGATTCCAGGAGCAAGTCCTCTCTCACCAGTTGTAACAATCAAAAATGTCTCCGTTTGGGAGCAAATGACATCAACTGAGAACCGCTGGCCTAAAATAAAGCTTTTTGTGCTTAGAAAGCCTGATCAATATTTGTAAAATGATCCAAAAAACAAATTAAGCAAGGCTGTCTTACAAATTAACGCATGCTTCCGGCCTAAAGCAAACAGACAAAAACATTGGTGATGGGTCCCAGAGAATGAGCCTGGAGCAGGCTAGTGCACCCATGTTCTAGTCTTACTGTTTTATTTTCCTAGTTATAAGGATGTTTGTCTGGAGAAATTGGAGGTGGGAGTATTTGAGTCTTACGGGCCTGAAGACAATAGCACCTGGATAATGAGGCACAATAGAAAAGGCTGAAAATTGATATGGGGCGAGAACCATATCTCAGATGAAAGATTGAAACTAGGCCGGGCGCGGTGGCTCACGCTTGTAATCCCAGCACTTTGGGAGGCCGAGGCGGGTGGATCACGAGGTCAGGAGATCGAGACCACGGTGAAACCCCGTCTCTACTAAAAAAAAAAAAAAAAAATTAGCCGGGCGTGGTGGCGGGCGCCTGTAGTCCCAGCTACTCGGAGAAGCTGAGGCAGGAGAATGGCGTGAACCCGGGAGGCGGAGCTTGCAGTGAGCCGAGGCTGCGCCACTGTACTCCAGCCTGGGTGACAGAGCGAGACTCCGTCTCAAAAAAAAAAAAAAAAAAAAAAAAAAGAAAGATTGAAACTAATGGAGTTTTTGAAGGCAGAAAGTGCTTATATTTTATTTTTATTTTTTGAGACAGGGTCTTGCTTTGTTGCCCAGGCTGGAGTGCAGTGGTGTGATCACAGCTCACTGCAGCCTTGACTTATCTGGCTCAGGCAATTTTCCCACCTCAACCTCCCAGGTAGCTGGGGGTACGGTGCATGCCACCATGCCTGGCTAATTTTTGTATTTTTGTAGAGACTGGGTCACACCATGTTGCCCAGGCTGGTCTCAAACTCCTGGACTCAAGCAATCCACCCTCCTCAGCCTCCCAAAGGGCTGAGATTACAGGCATGAGCCACCACACCCAGCCAGCAGAAAATGTTTTAATGACCGTAAGAATGTTTTTAAAATTTTCCTGCCCTTTCTGCTGAACAACTAGAGTACTGCAGGCCCAGGTCTAGAAAACTGAGAAGACCTTAATAACATCAATTCTAGTCTCCTGTTTAAACTTTGTGAGATTGCTAAGAATGGGGAGATGGTACTGTAAGAGGTGCTGGGGCATACGGTCTCCTCTTCACAGGCATACAGACCAAGGGTACGATCGCTTTCTACTTGTATCATTTTCATGCCTTCAAGATATAATGATGTGGGAGGTAGAGGCGAGAGGGATCCTCTTATGGAGGTGGCTAAGAGACTGGTGGAAAAGCATTTTACTACCGTGATGAGTTTTTTTTTTCTTCCCCCTATTCCATTTCCAAACTGAGGAGACTAAGAAGTTGGTAAATGAAAATTTTCCAACTAATCCAAGAAGTAAGAGGTAGAAGAGAACTTTGAAGTTAGAGATTCCAAATGTTTAGAATTTATGTCTTTATTGAGCATAAAGCTTCCTATTCCTATAAAGTCAAGATTTCCTTAGATTGGTTCCTGGTCTAGGGTATGATTAGGTCATGTATATACCCAATATATAGTCTTCTAATTGATGTGCCCAGTAGTTTTTTATGTGATGTCATAGCTTCATCATCCTGATAATATCTACCCTATCACTGACCATACTAAAACACTTTATTTTTCCAAAACAAGTAAGAGGTTCTCCCTACTTCTTTAAAAAAATACAACCAAACATAAGGTGTTATAAGAAAACAATTTATCTTAAAAGACATTTTAAGTGACTACTCATGGTATCAACATTATTTACAAAGCATTACTTACCACTGACAGGTTTGTAGACAATTCTATAGCCTTTCACCGGGGAAGATGGGGGGTCCCACGTAATGCGCAACCGGTTATACCATTCCTCGGACACCCGCAAGTTCTGGGGCCCCGAGGATGGTACTGAGTAGAAAAGAAAAGGAAAAACAGGGATTCAGTGTAATTTCCTTCTTTATGTCCTACACTGATGCCATCAAAATATAAGACATCTTCCCACAAAATTAAAAATATTTAAAAGTGAAAGTGCACTGAAACACACAATGAGAAGCCTTTGAGAGTCTGTGGTTGTTTTCAATTTTTTTTTTTCTTTTTTGAGACAGAGTCTCACTCTGTCACCCAGGCTGGAGTGCAGTGGCACGATCTCCGCTCACTGCAACCTCCACCTCCTGGATTCAAGTAATTCTCCTGCCTCAGCCTCCCAAGTAGCTTGGACTACAGGCACGTACCACCACGTCTGGCTAATTTTTTGTATTTTTAGTAGAGATAGGGTTTCACCATGTTAGCCAAGATGGTCTTGATCTCCTGACCTTGTGATCCATTCTCCTTGGCCTCCCAAAGTGCTGGGATTACAGGCGTGAGCCACCATGCCCAGCCTTCAATATTAAATATATGGGAAATAATTGCTCTTAGAACAAAATACTTTTATCTGAAATGTAGAAGTCTTTCATTGTTATTTTGATTCCCTATTCATCAGTTAATTTTAGGTATAATTGAATTCAATCGTGTTTATTAGAAATGTCTGTCTCCATGCCACTGTGTTCCACTAAGCATATGTGAACAGCAATACTGGGGGTGTGTTCATAGAATGTTAATGGTGATTATTCTCAGAGGTAAGATTCTGATTTTATTTTTTGCTTTCATCTTCATATTTCCTATACTGTTTGAAGTTTTATATTATTGCTTATCCATTTTTATCAAAACATTACAGTCATTTATATGGAGGACTGTTGTAAATTTGTATGCATTTTGTCATTATCATTTTGTTGTTGATAAAACGTAGTTGTGTTGGCCACTCCTTAATCACTGCTTAGATCATCCACTAACACTTCAAAATAATTTTACTATATAGAGATTTTTAAGACGTAATGGCATTTCTGTAATAAGATTTAAGCCCTATTTTCATACTAATAATCTTTAAATAGTTTTTATTTAAAGATAAATACATAATAGCAAGTATTTACCTCGCTAGGTAAAATACTACTTGATGTTTTCTTTAATTGTTGCTTAAGTCTGTGATTTTGGTTTTCAAACATTTATTTAGCAGCAACATACCAACATATGCTAGAAATTCCAATGCATAGACCAAATCAAGATGCCAATATACTGGTAAAGGTGGAGTGAAAAGTTTGAAATCTCCCTATAGCTCTGCTCTTCTGTTTTCCTTCTCTCCTTCCTCATGTCCCTTGAGGAAACAACTATAGCAGCTCCAAGGACTCACAATACTCTGGGTGATTTTTAGCAAAATGTGCAGGCTTGGTGGGAGTCTGGGTGGAGGCACACGGCATAAGCACGGGAGGAGGGAGAGATGCCAGCACTGTTAAATGAGGAGATGATACCTATTTGCCCAGCTGAGCAGAATCAGGACTCTGGGCTTCAGAATTTTAATGATTTTCGCAAACTTAGTTGAAAACTCCACACTTCGGTGCCCAGGTACATAATTCAGCCCTTGACACCATTTTGAACCTAACCACATGTCACCATTTGGTAATTATGATGGATAAAGATGGTCACAGAGTTTTCAACCCTCCTTCCATTGACAGGTGGCACTATGACTGTTTATTTGGATCTGAGTGGGTTCTATGACTACCTTGACCAATAAATAGACTGCAGCAGAAGTGACACTAGCAGTTTCCATTTTATGCCTCTTGGAACTCTTGCTGTTACAGTCCTGAGCTGACATGTAAGAAATATGACTGCTCTGCTGGAAAGACCACATGGAGAAGCTCTGAGACTAAGGGAGAGAGAGAGGCACTCAGCTGGGTCCAGCCTGCTTGCCACCCCCACCAAGATGCCAGACATGTGGGTAAAGTTGTCCTGTAACATCCAGACCAGCCCAGCCCTCAAGTGAATACCACCAGGTGACACTGATCAATCCCATGTGGAGCAGACTTTCCCAGCAAGTCCTGCCTAATTTCCTGACCCAAACAATTGTGAGATATGATAAAAAAAAATGGTCACTGTTTTAAGCCATTAAGTTCTAGAGCAGTCTTTATGCAAGAATAGAAAATCATATCAATAATGAAGACAACTATGACTCTGCAGTGCTTTAACCAAGGGTTTTCATGCATCTTTCTCATTTGAGGAACATGGTCAATCCATCTTAAATAAGCGTTGCATGACGCCTCCTCTGTGCCACCCAGCACTATAGGAGCTTGGCATGCAGAGGTGAACAGTATTGATGAGGCCCCAGGCTCTCATGATACTTTGCCTTCCAGGGATGGGAGACAGAAAGTGAGCAAATACATGAATAAATAAGAAAATACCAGGGAGTAATTAGTGCCATGATATGACCAAAAACAACAAACAAAAAAGGATAATATCATAGACAGTGGGGGCTACTTTGCATGGGGTGGCCAGAAAAGGCTGAGGAGGTGACATTGAGCCTAGACCCGGATGACCAGAAAAACTCTTACATGCAAATATCTGGGAAAGCATATACCATGTAGAAGGAATCGCTAGGGCATGGGGCCTAAGGCAGGAACAACTTCAAAGAGTCCAGTGGAGAGCAGACAGGGAGGTATGAATGGGGAAATGGCCAGGAGGGGAGATCAAAGAGATCGGCAGGATCCAGGTGGTAGGTTGATCTTTGTAAGGCACGGAAGGACATAAGATTTCATCCTGGGTACAGTGAGAAGCCATTGGGAGGCCTAAAACAGAGGTGCAGATCATTTATCTGCTGAAAACCTCCTCAAGCTGCTATAAGAAGAATAGGAGATGGCATGAGTAGAAGCAGGAAGACCTGACAGGAGGCTAGTACACTCATCTGGATGAGAGAGAGAGTGGCTTGCATAAAAGGGAATGAATTAATGGCATTTGCAGCAACCTGGATGAGATTGGAGACTTATTTTAAGTGAAGTAACTCAGAAATGGAAAACCAAACATCATATGTTCTCACTTATAAGTGGGAGATAAGCTATGAAGATACAAAGCCATAAGAAGGATACAATGGACTTTGGGGACTCCAGGGGAAAGGGTGGGAAGGGGATGAGGGATAAGAGACTACCAATTGGGTTCAGTGTATACTGCTCGGGTGATGAGTGCACCAAAATATCACAAATCACCACTAAAGAATTACTCATGTAACCAAATACCACCTGTTCCCCAAAACCTATGGAAATAAAAGTAAATTAATTAAATAAAATGAAAATAAAAGAGAGAGTGTGGCTTGGACTAGAGCACACCTGTTAGATGAAGAGAGATCAGGCATGCAGAATACATTTTGATGAATCACAGGACCTTGACGAATTAAACTCTGGAAGAGAAAGATGTAGTTGTTTTTCAAGTCTTCACTTCCACAGAAAAAGAAACTGCAGCCCAGAACATTTAAGCAATTTGCTCAAAGTCACATAGCTTGTGTGTGTAAAGACAGGATGCAGACAGATTTCCTGTTCCCAAATCTTTTAGTTTCTTCACTGCAATCTACTGTATCTTTCAGGGTGCATTACAGGGGACAAGCATTTCCATTTAATGAGTCGGCTTGTATTCAAAGGGAGAAAGCTTCACTTACAGGTTTTTCCAGGAGCGGAGACGCTGACGCCTTCGCCATCCGTGTAGATGGGAGTCACTGTGACTTTGTATTCAGTATCAGGAAGCAGAGGCTTCAGAAGGAGGTTGTTCTGGCTTCCAGGCACCATAACCTGAACAAAAAAGCAAAGGACTGCAGTCTTAGTGAGACCCGTTTCCACTGATTTGGTAATGGAGCATAACTTTATGCATTTTGAAATAATCAAAAGAAAAGAGATGTGCTTTGAGAGTGAGGAGAAAAGAAAGGGCACTCATGCAAAAGCGTTTCTCCCTGAAATTCCCATCACAGTAACCCTTAGTTTATAATCACTAATACAGAAGGTTTAAATTTGACACTCTTAAGCTCTAAGGAATATTCTTCTCTCAACATCTTCTTGGCATTTGTAAAGTATCCAGAAGAGAGAATAATGGCCTGTTTAGATAGCAGGTGTTTATAGATTGGGAGAGCTCATTCTATAATCCAGCCTGCTGCTTATCATTTTTTATTTTACTTAAGTATCCTCTTGCAAAGTCAGCCTTCCATTATTTCCTCCTTCAGAGATAATCAGACCCCAGCATTTTCTTCTTTCAGTTAGAAAGGATGGATCCTAGCCAAGAGCAACAGAACCACACATCAAAGCCAAGTTTTCTTGAGCTGAAGCATATTTACCAGCAACACTAAAAAACGGTGCAGCTTTTTTATTTCTGAAAGGAGTTGTCTTCCTCAATCTAGAATCACCATCACTCTGTGTCTAAAAGGCTGTCCCCACAAAAAAGAAATGCAGCAGTGGGTTCGACATCGCGCAAGTGTGAGTGCAGGGCTCCATGTGGTGGCTTGTGAACTCTGCCACCTCGAAAAGAATCGTCTGGACCAGAAAAGCCACATGTTCTCAGTGCTAAAACCACAAAACTTTCTGTCTGTGCTCCAGGAGTGAGAAGCTGGCCCATCACCGGGCCATTTAAAGAACTTAATCATGGCTGGAAAAGTGCTAGGATGTAAGAACTGACTCAAACGGGTTTAAGGGAGTCACAAGACCAGGACAGCTGGAGTTACTTTTCGATTCAAGTGCTGGGTAAAATGCCAGCAGGCAAAGGGCGATGCTGTCTCCTTCTGGATGAAGGAAGGAACCTATAAATCATGGAATAAGCCCTAGAAAGCCTCGAGTTGAACCCAGAAGCAGCTGTTGCTAAGATATTGCTAAGCCCTTAAAAGCAGTATTTTAAATATGAAACAAGGAAATCTAAATTAGATGATTTTTATATGAGATTAATATGATTTTGCTCCTCATAGGAAAGGGCCATTGAAATGTACAGGTCTGAATTGATGTGTGGACTCGGGGTCCTGAGAAGGAGATATTTACAAAGAAGCTCTGCTTTATTCCAGAATGAGTTAGACGGCCCTAGCACTAAGAACGTGTAAGAGAAGAATTGAGGTTGCCCTGACTTGCATTACTCCACCAACATAGCTTCCCTCAGGGTGTTTCTCTTAAATGTAACCCCTCTGAAGCAGAGCCTGGGCATTCATTTCAATTTGTCCATCTAACAAACCACCCATGTTGATGTTAAATAATGTCTTCTTTCAAACTGAGAAGCCCATGGTCTTGGAACTAACCAATTAAATTTAGCACATGGAATACTAAAAAGCAGTGTGACTGTTTTAGAAGACTCATTAGCTTGCCAGGAATAGTTGCTGTGATTTATAGTAAGAGGCTTCCCTTACCTAGCAATTACTATGTGCCAGGTGCTGCTGTAAGCATTCTAATACAGCATATGCAGATTGAGTAACCCTTATCAGAAATGCTTGAGACCAGAAGTGTTTTGGATTTGAAATTTTGTTAGATTCAGGAATATTTGTAGATGTATAATGAGGTATCTTGAGGATTAGACCCAAGTCTAAACACAATATTCATTTACATTTCATATACACTTTATATACATAATCTGAAGGTAATTTTATACAATATTTTTAATAATTTTGTGCGTAAAACAAAGTTTGTGTTAATTACTTCTATGTGAAATTTTCCACTTGTAGCATCATGTCAGTGTTCAAAACGTTTTGGATTTTGGAGCATTTCAGATTTTGAATTTTATGATTAGGAATTCTCAATCTGTAATTCACTTAATCTTCACTACCACCTTTTGAAATAAGGGGTATCATCACATTCATTTTACAGATGAGAAAACTGAGGCCCATATAGATATTGAGTAAAAGAGCCATACCGAAACCCCAAGAATCTTGTCTGGGCCTTTGTCCTCTACTCCACATGACTGCACCACTTGAACCTTCTTACCCTATTGATATTCATTTTCAAGAGTAAAAAACCATCTCCTCTTGGGTATGCAAAGTTCCTCTTGCTTGGCCTCTGCTTGTTTAGACAAAGCAAAGTAAAAAAATGTGCTCCTACTAAAAACAAATGCTGCAGGTCAGAACAGATGCTGGTTTTATTTATAAAACAGTTCTGTAAAAAATGTTCATGGTTAAGTGGGATGGAAATATAACCAGTGAGCTTCATGCTTTTAATTTTTTTCAGAAATGGATTTTCATGTCTGGCTCTAATATCACCCAAAGCTTTTCAGAGCAACCTGGACCATATCCAACCAGCTGTTCCTGCAGTAGAAAGAGGATGCCCTGCATCTCGCTGTGTTCCCCTCTTATGAAGTTCAGTTCTAGGCAGTGATTCTCAAACTCTTTGTGGTGAAGGACTAGTTGCTATTGTTGGTGGTGGTGGTGTCATTTTAATTCCCATCCATTGCAGACCAATTTATTTGTAAAATACGATAAAACCAAGTGGTTAGAAAAGTGATCATGTTCTCAGGTTGTTGCAGTAATGTCAAATGGCTATCAATGTTTCTAAAATGTTAATCTTAATATCTGAAACTATCATGCAGTCATGTAGGAGACTGAGTCACACTTTGAGTATTCTTACTCTAGACGTATTCTTGCAACCCAGAATTCATGTTAGAGCTACAGATTTTTACACTGAGGCTCTAGAAAATTCTGAAATCCTGACTAGCCTTTTAAAATAAATGAGAGACCTTCCTACCCTGACAACAAAATGTATGGCAATGTCATTGCCACTCCTCCATATTCCAAGACAGAGTTGAAAGTCAATCCTTACAAAATATTTGACAGGTACTATAGTTTTATTTCTAAGAATTCAAAGGGTTTTTTTTAACCTAGAAGTATTTGATAGATGTAATTATATCTAGAAAGTATAGAAACATTTCATTTACCTCAACTGGAAACGTAAATTAAATTCCCCTTGTTTTACATATGTTTAAGCTGAAATTTGGTCTACAATGTTATAGTACACAGTGTATAACATATACATACACTATTGTCCAACTTCAGTACACAAGCTTATCATTTCTTTGTGTAAATTTAATCAGCCTTGAGAGTTAAGGAAGGTCTGGTATTCCTCTTATCTTGACACATTTCCTTTCTTGCTTTCATAGTATGTCTTAGCCATCTGTCTTTCTGCGCCATACATTATTATTTTAAGATGTCATTTGGTCCATGTGATTTCAAGACCCTCAGACTTTAATAGAGATGTGCATCTGCCTGTCCACCTTAGTTTCATAATCTAAATTTACATGCAGTCCACTTTCTGTCTCCAGTCATAACACATTACATTTGTATCACAGTAACACTTCATAAAACACTGATACAAATTTTCAAAGAACCCTCAGGTGAGTCCCTGAGAGGGCACCTGTAAATCAAGTGTGTACATATCTTATTTAATTAAAATCCTCTAAAGGAGCTTGATACTTAAAGAATTCTACAGTAGGTTCTTCTGTAAGGCAAAAGAGAGAGAGAGAAAAAAAAAAACAGTTTTGCAAAGCAAATAAGCACCACCAAATTTATCAATATTTTTCGTTTTTACTACAGGTTTGTTTAACTGGGTCAGAGTGTTTAAGACTTTTGATCTTTTTTTCCCTTCATCTAGGTGTCCAACTATGTCAAAAATAAACAGTGTGAAACGAAAGAAACTAGAAAAGGAAAAATTATCTAGAGACAACCCAAAGTAAATATTATTATTATTTTACCTTGCATAGCTTACAAGTGCATGCATGATATTAAATTTTTATTCTTTCCAAATTAACAGGAATAATTCACTAAGAAGCTTAATGTATTTCTCAGAAAAAGTAAAAAACAAAAAGCAAACAAACAAAAAAAAAACAAAAAACAGAAACAAAACAAAACAAAGCCTCTCACCTTGGGAAGTTTCCACGGGTCTCATTTTTAGGAACTCAATTACAATATGAGAAAAATAACACAGAAAAAAAAATCACAACTTATATATTTAATTACCATTCCTAACCATAATTTTATTTTATTTTTTGAATTTGCCAATCATGAACCATTTGAAGTGTATGGTCTGAGTGAATTTGTAATTCAATCTATTTTGTTTAAGAATCCATTAACTTTTCAAAAGTACTCCCAGATCAGTGTAATGGCCTTCTGGCTATTCACAGTAGGTGTGGCTCTTCTTGGGTCTGTCACTGTGTCCTGTAATATTTCCTCCATCAGCCAGAAATGAAGTACTTTCCTTAAAGGATTCTGGGGTCAAATAGTTGTTTATGTAAGCACATAAATAAAAGTAACTTCCCATTGAAGGCTTTTTGAGTGAGGAAGGCAAAGGAATGATAATGTTATACTTGAGCAATAATAAATTTTGTAGACTTCTTTCCCAGAGTGTCAGAAATAATGCAGCAGAGGGCAAGAAATGCAAGTAATGAGCTAAATAAACATATTTTATGACTCAAAAGAAAAATTCTTCTGGATGCATACTGGAGTTACCTGGTTTGATTAGAAACATGTCTAAGAAAGAATTTTCAGGTTCTAGACTGAAAGGAATGATATAGTGTAAATTTAGAATACATGGGAAGGCCATGATTAAAAGTGTACCAGGCCACAATTAAGAGTGTATCATTGATTTTGGTGCCTGGGCAAGATGGCCAAATAGGAACAGCTCTGGTCTGCAGCTCCCAGTGAGACCAATGCAGAAGGCGGGTGATTTCTGTATTTCCAACTGAGGTACCGGGTTCATCTCATTGGGACTGGTTAGACAGTGGGTGCAGCCCATGGAGGGTGAGCATAAGCAGGGTGGGACGTCGCCTCATCCAGGAAGCACAAAGAGTTGGGGAACTCCCTCCCCTAGCCAAGGGAAGCCATGAGGGACCACGCCATGAGGGACAGAGCTATCCAGCCCAGATACTATGCTTTTCCCACGGTCTTTGCAACCCACAGACCAGGAGATTCCCTTGGGTGCCTATACCACCAGGGCCCTGGGTTTCAAGCACAAAGCTGGGTGGCCATCTGGGCAAACACCGAGCTAGCTGCAAGAGTTTATTTTCATACCCCATGATGCCTGGAATGCCAGCGAGACAGAACCATTCACTCCCCTGGAAAGGGGGCTGAAGCCAGGGATCCCAGTGGTCTTGCTCAGCAGATCCAACCCCCACGGAGCCCAACAAGCTAAGATCCACTGTCTTGAAATTCTCGCTGCCAGCACAGCAATGTGAAGTCAACCTGGGATGCTCGAGCTTGGTGGGGGGAGGGGTGTCCGCCATTAGTAAGGCTTGAGTAGACAGTTTTCCCCTCACAGTGTAAACAAAGCTGCCTGGAAGTTTGGACTGGGCAGAGCCTACCGCAGCACCACAAAACCACTGTAGCCAGACTGCCTCTCTAGATTCCTCCTCTCTGGGCAGGGCATCTCTAAAAGAAAGGCAGCAGCCCCAGTCAGGGGTTTCTAGATAAAACTCTCATCTCCCTGTGACAGAGCACCTGGGGGAAGGGGTGGCTGTGGGCGCAGCTTCAGCAGACTTAAACATTCCTGCCTGCTGGCTCTGAAAAGAGCAGAGGACCTCCCAGCACAGCGCTCGAACTCTGCTAAGGGACAGACAGTCTCCTCAAATGGGTCCCTGACCCCCGTGCCTCCTGATGGGGAGACACCAGGAGTCGACAGACACTTCATACAGGAGAGCTCCAGCTGGCATCTGGCAGGTGCCCCTCTGGGATGAAGCTTCCAGAGGAAGGAGCAGGCAGCAATCTTTGCTTTTCTGCAGCCTCTGCTGATGATACCCAGGCACACAGGGTCTGGAATGGCCCTCCACCAAACTCCAACAGACCTGCAGCAGAGGGGCCTGACTGTTAGAAGGAAAACTAAAAAACAGGAAGCAATAGCATCAACATCAACAAAAAGGACGACCACTCAAACCCCATCCAAAGGTCACCAACATCAAAGACCAAAGGTAGACAAATCCAGAAAGATGAGAAAAAAACCAACATAAAAAGGCTGAAAGTTTCAAAAACCAGAATGCCCCTTCTCCTCCAAAGGATCGCAACTCCTCGCCAGCAAGAGAACAAAACTGGAAGGAGAATGAGTTTAATGAATTGACAGAAGTAGGCTCCAGAAGGTAAGCAGTAACAAGCTCCTCCGAGCTAAAGGAGCATATTCTAACCCAATGCAAGGAAGCTAAGAACCTTGATAAAAGCTTACAGGAACTGCTAACTAGAATAATCAGTTTAGAGAAGAATATAAATGACCTGATGGAGCTGAAAAACACAGCGTAAGAACTTTGTGAAGCATACACAGGTATCAATAGCCAAATTGATCAAGTGAAAGAAAGGATATCAGAGATTGAAGATCAACTTAAGGAAATAAAGCATGAAGACAAGATTAGAGAAAAAATAATGAAAAGGAATGAACAAAGCCTCCAAGAAATATGGGACAATGTGAAAAGACCAAATCTGCGTTTGATTGGTATACCTGAAAGTGACAGGGAGAATGGAACGAAGTTGGAAAACACACTTCAGGATATTATCCAGGAGAACTTCCCCAACCTAGCAAGACAGGCCAACATTCAAATTCAGGAAATACAGACAACATCACAAAGATACTCCTCAAGAAGAGCAACCCCAATCATCAGATTCACCAAGGTTGAAATGAAGGAAAAAATGTTAAGGGCAGCCAGAGCGAAAGGTTGGGCTACCCACAAAGGGAAGCCCATCGGTCTAACAGCGGATCTCTCTGCAGAAACTCTACAAGCCAGAAGAGCGTGGGGGCCAACATTCAACATTCTTAAAGAAAAGAATTTTCAACCCAGAATTTCATATCCAGCCAAACTAAGCTTCATAAGTGAAGGAGAAATAAAATCCTTTACAGACAAGCAAATGCTGAGGGATTTTTTCACCCCCAGGCCTGCCTTACAAGAGCTCCTGGAGGAAGTAACAAATATGGAAAGTAAAAACCGGTACCAGCCACTGCAAAAACATACCAAATTGCAAAGACCATTGACATTACGAAGAAACTGCATCAACTAATGGGCTAAATAACCAGCTAGCATCATAATGACGGGATCGAATTCACACATAACAATATTAACCTTAAATGTAAATGGGCTAAATGCCCCAATTAAAAGACACAGACTGGCAAATTGGTTAAAAGTCAAGACCCACTGGTGTGCTGTATTCAGGAGACCCATCTCACGTGCAAAGACACACATAGACTCAAAATAAAGGGATGGAGGAATATTTACCAAGCAAATGGAAAGCAAAAAAAAAAAGCAGGGGTTGCAATCCTAGTCTCTGATAAAACAGATTTTAAGCCAACAAAGATCAAAAAAGACAAAGAAGGGCATTACATAATGGTAAAGGGATCAATGCAACAAGAGGAGCTAACTATCCTAAATATATATGCACCCAACACAGGAGCACCCAGATTCATAAAGCAAATTCTTAGAAACCTACAAAGAGACTTAGACTCCCACACAATAATAGTAGGAAACTTTAACACCCCACTGTCAATATTAGACAGATAAATGAGACAGAAAATTACCAAGGATATCCAGGACTTGAACTCAGCTCTGGACCAAGAGGACCTAATAGACATCTACAGAACTCTCCACTCCAAACCAACAGAATATACATTCTTCTTAGCACCACATCACACTTATTCTAAAATTCACCACACAATTGGAAGTAAAACACTCCTCAGCAAATGTAAAAGAATGCAAATCATAACAAACAGTCTCAGGCCACAGTGCAATCAAATTAGAACTCAGGATTAAGAAACTCACTCAAAACTGCACAACTACATGGAAACTGAACAACCTGCTCCTGAATGACTACTGGGTACATAACAAAATCAAGGCAGAAATAAATATGTTCTTTGGAACCAATGAGAACAAAGACACAATGTACCAGAATCTCTGGAACACAGCTAAAGCAGTGTTTAGAGGGAAACTTACAGCACTAAATGCCCACAGGAGAAAGCTGGAAAGATCCAAAATCGACATCCTAACATCACAGTTTAAAGAACTAGAGAACCAAGAGCAAACAAATTCAAAAGCTAGCAGAAGACAAGAAATAACTAAGATCAGAGCAGAACTGAAGGAGATAGAGACACGAAAAGCCCTTCAAAAAATCAGTGAATCCAGGAGCTTGTTTTTTGAAAAGATTAAAAAAATAAATAGACCACTAGCCAGACTAATAAAGAAGAAAAGAGAGAAGAATCAAGTAGACACAATAAAAAATGGTAAAGGGGGCAGGGGTGGTGCATGCCTGTAATCCCAGCACTTTGGGAGGCCAAGGCAGGCAGATAACAGGGTCAGGAGTTTGAGACCAGCCTGGCCAACATGGTGAAAACCCATCTCTACTAAAAAAAACAAAAATTAGCCGGGCATGGTGGGAGGTGCCTGTAGTCCCAGCAACTCGGAAGGCTGAGGCAGGAGAATCGCTGGAACCCAGGAGGAGGAGGTTGCAGTGAACCAAGATTGCACCACTACTCTCCCAGCCTGGGCAACAGAGTGAGACTCCATCTCAACAAAAAATAAAAATGATAAAGGGGATATCACTATTGATCCCACAGAAATACAAACTACCATCAGAGAATACTATAAACACCACTATGCAAATAAACTAGAAAATCTAGAAGAAATGGATAAATTCCTGGACACATACACCCTCCCAAGACTAAACCAGGAAGAAGTCGAATTCCTGAAAAGACCAATAACAAGTTCTGAAATTGAGGCAGTAATTAATAGCCTACCAACCAAAAAAAGCCCAGGACCAGAAGGATTCACAGCCAATTTCTGACAAAGGTAAAAAGAGGAGCTGGTACCATTCCTTCTAAAACTATTCGAAGCAATAGAAAAAGAGGGACTCCTCCTTAAGTCTTTTTATTAGGTCAGCATCATGCTGACACCAAAACCTGGCAGAGACACAACAAAAAAAGAACATTTCAGGCCAATACCCTGGATGAACATTGATGCGAAAATCCTCAATAAAATACTGGCAAACCGAATTCAGCAACACATTAAAAAGCTTATCCACCACAATCAAGGCGGCTTCATCCCTGGGATGCAAGGCTGGTTCAACATTCGCAAATCAATAAATATAATACATCACATAAACAGAATCAATGACAAAAACCACATGATTATCTCAATAGATGCAGAAAAGGCCTTCAATAAAATTCAACACCCCTTCATGCTAAAAACTCTTAATAAACTAGGTATTGATGGAATGTATCTCAAAATAAAAAGAGCTATTTATGACAAACCCACAGTCAATATCATACTGAATGGGCAAAAGCTGGAAGCATTCCCTTTGAAAATCGGCACAAGACAAGGATGCCCTATCTCACCACTCCTATTCAACATAGTATTCGAGGTTCTGGCCAGGGCAATCAGGCAAGAGAAAGTGATAAAGGGTATTCAAATAGGAAGAGAGAAAGTCAAATTGTCTCTGTTTGCAGATGACATGATTGCATATTTAGAAAACCCCATCATCTCAGCCCCAGATCTCCCTAAGCTGATATGCAACTTCAGCAAAGTCTCAGGATACAAAATCAATTGCAAAAATCACAAGGATTTCCATACACCAATAATAGACAGAGAGCCAAATCATGAGCGAACTCCTATTCACAATTGCTACAAAGGGAATAAAATACCTAGGAATCCAACTTACAAAGGATGTGAAGGACCTCTTCAAGGAGAACTCAAACCACTGCTCAAGGAAATAAGAGAGGACACAAACAAATGGAAAAATATTTCATGCTCATGGATAGCTAGAATCAATATCATAAAAATGGCCATATTGCCCAAAGTAATTTGTAGATTCAATGTTATTCCCATCAAGCTACCATTGACTTTTTTCGCAGAATTAGAAAAAACTACTTTAAATTTCACATGGAACCAAAAAAGAGTCCATATAGCCAAGACAATCCTAAGCAAAAAGAACAAAGCTGGAGGCATTACACTACCTGACTTAAAACTATAGTCCAAGGCCACAGTAACCAAAACAGCTTGGTATTGGTACCAAAACAGATATATAAACCAATGGAACAGAACAGAGACCTCAGAAATGACACCACACATCTGCAACCATCTATCTGTGACAAACCTGGAAAAAAACAAGCAATGGGGAGGGGATTCCCTATTTAATAAATGGTGTTGGGAAACCTGGCTAGGCATAGGCAGAAAACTGAAATTGGACCCCTTTCTTACACCTTATACAAAAATGAATCTTAGACAAAAAAAGAAACAGGCAACCAAACACCGCATGTTTCAAAAATGAAAAGATGGATTAAAGATTTAAACATAAGACATAAAACCATAAAAATCCTGGAAGAAAACCTAGGCAATACCATTCAGGACACAGGCATGGGCAAAGACTTCATGACTAAAACACCAAAAGCAATGGCAACAAAAGCCAAAATAGACAAATGGGATCTAATTAAACTAAAGAGCTTCTGCACAGCTAAAGAAACTATCATCAGAGTGAACAGGCAACCTACAGAATGGGAGAAAATTTTTGCAATCTACTCATCTGACAAATGGCTAATATCCAGAACCTACAAGGAACTTAAACCAATTTACAAGAAAAAAACAAACAACTCCATCAAAAAGTGGGAGAAGGATATTAACAGTCACTTTCTCAAAAGAATACATTTATGCAGCCAACAAACATATGAAAAAAAGCTCATCATCGTTGGTCATTAGAAAAACTCAAATCAAAACCACAATGAGATATCATCTCATGCCAGTTAGAACGGCAATCATTAAAAAGTCAGGAAACAACAGATGCTAGAGAGGATGTGGAGAAATAGGAACACTTTTACACTGTTGGTGAGACTGTAAATTAGCTCAACCATTGTGGAAGGCAGTGTAGCGATTCCTCAAAGACCTAGAACTAGAAATACCATTTGACCCAGCAATCCCATTACTGGGTGTATACCCAAAGCATTATAAATCATTCTACTATAACAATACATCCACACATGTTTATTGCAGCACTACTCACAATAGCAAAGACTTGGAACCAGCCCAAATGCCCATCAATGATAGACTGGATAAAGAAAATGTGGCACATATACACCATGGAATACTATGCAGCCATAAAAAAGGATGAGTTCATGTCCTTTGCAGGGACATGGATGAAGCTGGAAACCATCATTCTCTGCAAACTAACACAGGAACAGGCAACCAAACACTACATGTTCTCACTCATAAGTGGGAGTTGAACAATGAGAACACATGGACACAGGGAGGGGAACATTACACACTGGGTCCTGTTGGGGTTGTGGGGCAAGGGGAGGGATAGCATTAGGAGAAATACTTAATGTAGATGACGGGTTGATGGGTGCAGCAAACTACCATGGTCCATGTATACCTATGTAAAAAACCTGCATGTTCTGCACATGTATCCCAGAACTTAAGTATATTAAAAAAAGATAAATAAATTAGAAAAAAAGAGTGTATCATTTAGAAAAAGGAAAGATAGATAAAACAACTCAAAGAAAACTCAATGTATAAAAATCTAAATCCCTGAGGGGATACATCCATGTTACGAATAATTAGAAATGACTATAAATCTACTCAATACGAGTTGATGTCAATGAAAAATATAACTATTGGTTAACGGATGGTATTTTATTAAGAATATTTTCACTATACCATATAGAAGACCTTTTCTGTGTCCTTTGCTTAAAAGTTTTTTTATCAGATTTCCAAGGGCAGAAGAAATTATTTTCTATATTAAACTTTTATACATGTCTATACATACATATATACAGACACAAGTGCATATGGCCTTTTATGACCCAACTTTGGTGCTCGAACAGGTGCAAGGCAGCAGAAGAGAAGCAATATTTGAAACAATGTTCAGAGGTTATTAACTTGGAGCAAGTTGTACATGGAGCAAGTTTTGGATTTATAAAGGTCACTAAGAAGCCAGTAGTGGAGTCAGATTAACAGAGAACATTAGTTTCTGGAGATGGCAGAGTCACTGAGAAAAGAGCAGTAAAGTTTGCATTGATCTCCGAAGACAGTCTTATTAGCTGTGTTAGTAACATCTGCAGAGTTTCTAGTCAGTTGAATTTATACAGACCGTTCCTATGACTTCTTCCTCAGGGTCCCCTTGAGCTGTCATGTAGGTCACCCTAAACTGCTGCACATCGCTGTCAGAAATGTCCCATTTTACCCGCAGGCTAGAAGTAGTTTCATCACCTACAACTAGGTTTCTGATTCCCGTCTGGAAAACTGGAATAAACACAACCAAGGATTAAAAAACTTTTAACATATCATATTCCAAAATGAGCCACAGAGAATACCTGTGGGGTGACAGCAAGCATCATTTAATGTATCCCTGTAATATAGTTGTATATGAGGCAAGAAGGGCTCAGCTATGGTGCTTAATGGGGAGGCATGATACCTACTAGCAGCAAATAAAAGTGGAATTAAGAGATGCTTACAAGATGAGACCATGGAGCCCTCAAAACTGTCAGTTCTGTATGTGCACTAGTAAAGAGAACTGGGAAGAAGCCCTGAGACTAGAAAAACAGCCCATGGAACCCAAAGGAAAGAGTGGTCATGAGAACCTCACACTAGTGCTCTGTGGACAAGTGGGCACAGTGGGCCAGACTTTGTCCACCTCTGTGTGCAATCCAGCATCCAACACACATCCCAATCACCTGCCCTCACCTCCATTTCTCTTTTAACACCTGTCATTCAAAGCACAAATCTGCGCTCAGGCTGCCTTTATCCATTCAGCCCACACAGACACGATCTTTTCTCTGGTACTTGTCCAAACTCCTTTACCTGTGTTTCCTGGCACATTCGTGCTCATCTCTCAAGGTGCCTGCTCCCTTATTTGTTGCATTTTTTTCTTTTCTCTTCTACCCTAACTTCATTTCCCTTTGTCCATCTTTTCTCATTCTCCTTTCTCTTCATTCATCTATTAATTCATTTAGAAAATATTCATTGAACTTTTTCTGTGTGTCAGACTGTTAGGGCTTTGGTTTTTATATAGTTATTAACTCAACAAAAATAGTAAAAGTGTCACAGAGGAGGAGGGGGTTGACATTTACCTGGCAACATTGCAGGGGGGCTACCAGGCAATGGGAATGGGAGGGAACTTCTCACATTTAGGGAAAGGAGTTCGGGATTGCAAGAGAAAAACGGGGGAAGCATAGGAAATATGGTTGAGGCCAGGAAGGGAAGCAGGACCCAACTAGGAAGGATCTTGGATGCTGTGAAAAAGACTTTAAAGCACAAAGAAGGCTTGATAAGGATTAAATGAAGAATGAACAAATCAACAAATGGGTAATGGAGAGCCATTGAAGTGTCTTAGAGAAGTAAATAAATGATATTATCAAACTTGTGTTTTACCAAGTTGACTCTGACAGCTAGTTGGGAGGTGTATTACAGTGAAGGGGAAAGCTAAGCTGAGAGAGGAAACAACTAATGTAGGAAAAACAATAGACCAGCCAAGTGTCAGTTACCCACAGAAATGCAAGGAAAACATGGTAAGAATAATTCTCAACAAGGCCAGGCATGGTGGCTCATGCCTGCAATTCCAGAACTTTGGGAGGCCAAGGATGAAGGAACATTTGAGCTCAGGAGTTAAAGACCAGCCTGGGTAATATGGAAAGACCTCATCTCTACTAAAATTCAAAACGATTAGCCAGGCACGATGACACATGTCTGTAGTCCCAGCTACGTGGGGGGCTGAGGCTGGAGGATCACATGAGCCCAGGAAGTCAAGGCTGTGGTGAGCCTTGATCGTGGTGCTGCACTCCAGCCTGGATGACAGAATGAAACCCTGTCTCTAAAAGAAAAAAAGAGAAAAGAAGGGGAATTCTCAACAGAGAGCAACAGAAGTGCAAATCAAAACCACAATGAGATACCATCTCACACCAGTTAGAATGGCAATCATTAAAAAGTCAGGAAACAACAGGTGCTGGAGAGGATGTGGAGAAATAGGAACACTTTTACACTGTTGGTGGGACTGTAAACTAGTTCAATCATTGTGGAAGACAGTGTGGCGATTCCTCAGGGATCTAGAACTAGCAATACCATTTGACCCAGCCATCCCATTACTGGGTATATACCCAAAGGACTATAAATCATGCTGCTATAAAGACACGTGCACATGTATGTTTATTGTGGCACTATTCACGATAGCAAAGACTTGGAACCAACCCAAATGTCCAACAATGATAGACTGGATTAAGAAAATGTGGCATATATACACCATGGAATACTATGCAGCCATAAAACATGATGAGTTCATGTCCTTTGTAGGGACATGGATGAAATTGGAAATCATCATTCTCAGTAAACTATCGCAAGGACAAAAAACCAAACACCACATATTCTCACTCATAGGTGGGAACTGAACGATGAGAACACATGGACACAGGAAGGGGAACATCAGACTCTGGGGACTGTTGTGGGGTGGGGGGAGGGGGGAGGGATAGCATTGGGAGATATACCTAATGCTAGATGACGAGTTAGTGTGTGCAGTGCACCAGCATGGCACATGTATACATATGTAACTAACCTGCAAATTGTGCACATGTACCCTAAAACTTAAAGTATAATAATAATAAATAAAATAAAATAAAATAAAATAAAAAGAAAAAAAAAAGAGGAGGGCAAAGACCCCTGGGGAGGCAGCTACGTTAACATCCCAGGTAAGGTGCATGAGCATCCAGACAAAGATGAAAGAGGTAGAGTGATGTATCAGTGAGATCAGTTGACTAGGAGATCCATGGGCATTTAGTGGCAAGGAAGGTGTTGAGAGGCTCTGAGAGGCGTGAAATTTGAACCAGTGTGCCAGAAAAGGAAGGGAGGGTCATCTCTTTTCCTAGTTAATAATAAATAAAACCAGGATAATATAACATCTGTTTAAAGAAAATTTTTAAAGTGGTTAAGCAGGCTACTATTTGACCTTACCTGAAGTCACAGATGTGGTAGGCACTATGGTTGTAGCTGGTTCTGTCCAAAAACTGTCAACTAAAAGCAATATATTACTTTAAAATGCTGCAAAAACAACTGTCCATTTTTCTATAGCATGTTGTAGCTTTCAAAGAACATTTCACCTATATTATCTCACTTGCCTCCCACAACAAACATGACAATGGTTAGAAGACGAAAGAAATGAATTGTAAGTAAGGCAGACATACCTGTGCCACAGATAAGAAAACTGAAACCCAAAGAATGTTAAAGTTTCTCATCACAGATACCAGGCTTCATATAAACATTTGAACTACATCTACAGAATTGTGAAACCACCCAATTACTTTGAAATAGGGGCACAGCCATGGTAATTAAGGGAAATTAGACAGTGCTGTAGACCAAGTTGTGAAAAGGCTGCCAAACAGGACCACCACGGAATGCAATGTGCTTGGACAAGCAATGCATCTTCTATTTCTTACAGCCACCGTGGGCATATAGCAGAATGAAGTACAGATGTGGTGCTCTTCCCAGATCCTCTTTTTAGGGTCAACACACCAATCCACTTGGTGCTGGAACACTGCCTGCCAACAGTTCACAGCTCTGGGAACTGTCTCGCCTGAGTTCATGGCCTCTGTCAGGGAATGGCTCACCTCCAGCGACTGGGGATGCAAGGGTATGAAGTCTCAGCCCCTTTGTCTCAATTTGGGACAACTCAGAAGGGTCATCCCAGCACTAGACCTCCATTATAATAAGATTAGCTGAGGGTTCAGTTTCAACTTCTTCCCATGCCCCCTCCTGCTGTCCTCAGTTTTTTACGTAAGCATCTCCCAACTGCACTCTTCAATAAACTTTCTGGCTGCAATTTCTGTCTAGAATCTGGTTCCAGGGAACCCAGGCAAAGGCAATTTAATATGTGGTCAATACCTCATATTTTAAAAATGAAGAGATGAATGAATCAGCAAGTAAATTTTGTACAAGACTCTTGGAACCAATATCAACTTGGAAAATTCCAGAAACTCTTTGACATGTTGGCCCTAGGTTTATTTGTTTGGCAATCTATTCATTTGTAAATTATTTTATCCATTCTTGCATACATCCATTCATCTATCCATCCATCCATTTGATGGGTGTTTACTCTACAGTTAACATGTGCCAAGTACTGTGCTAAGTCCTGGAAAATATAATGGTGAGCAACACAGATATGGTCCCTGCCTTCATGTTGATCATTATCTAGGAAGCTAAGATGCTTCACATACTGGTTTCATTGAAAGTGAAGATATATGAAGAATTCTGGGGGACAAAGAGAAATTGAAGCTTACATAGCCAAAGATAAAGCAGATGGGGAAGGAAATTGATGGGGTAAAGAGGGATTGTGGGAGCAGCTAAAACGCACTGTGGCCAGACCAAGACTTACGTGTGGTCCCGACAGCAGTCACCACCTCACTCTCGCTTCCATCATCAAGTACGGCCAATAGTGAAACTTCATACTCCGTACCGGGCTCCAGGCCTTCAATAACATGTGAGTCCTGCTCTTCTTTCAGGACAACCTGAAATATATTTTGGTGCTTAGTAACTATGCTTATTTGAAAAAAAAGTAAAGAAAAAGTGTTATTCTGAGCATAAGCAAGAAACAACCAATCATAAAGAACTCCAAGGCTGTCGAAGTCCATTTTAAGGTCAAGCCAGAGACTTTATTCCTTTCAATCCCCTCAGCAAATAAATTATTAATATTGCAAAAGTGACATTTTAAAGTTGTATTAAATGTCATTTATTAAAGTCAAAGAATCTGAAAATATATAAATATATAACTAAAGCTCTGGCAACAATACATCATAATATTAGGAAAATCTTATGATTTGACATTTCTAAAACTCCAAGCCATGTAAAATACTAATTACTTCTGGGATTCCTAATATATTTTAAAGTGAAGACCAACTCCAGCAGCAGTAGGTATTCACTAATGCTCCAGATTAATTTTCAGTCTGTTTCAGAAAACTCACCTCCTCAGTCTTCCCCCCATAGACTGGAATCCACATCAATTTGTGTAGCCCTTCATCAGCTGAGAGGGGATGCCAGGTCACCCTAAAACTGTCTGTCGTCACCTCATCAATTTCTAAGTATTGCTGGGCTGGAACTTCCTCTGTAAACCGAGGAAGGAGGTTTTGTTAGGGAAATGAGAAGGCAAGAAAGCCAAAACCCAAGTATCTCCCAGGGGTGTAGAAGACTCTTTGAGGAATCTTTTGCTTTAGGAAAGCACAGGAAAGAAGGAAAACTGGGGCCCATCAGTCCAGGGTGGCCTTCCATTTCTGTTTCCAGCATTCACCAATATCATAAATTAGGGAAACCATGGAAATAACAGATCTTAAAACTTTTCCAGTAATTTCCAAAACTCTTAGCTTTTCTATTTGGCTGTTTTCATTAACTATAAAAAACAAGAGTGCCATATTCATTTTTTTTTTAAATATTATTTTCCAAGTATCTTGAGGAAATTAACAAAATAGGGGCCTAAGAAAGCTTCCCTTTTAGTTCTATTTGCTTTAGTGGCTAAATTGCTCCCTGGTATTAATCCTGGAAAAGAAACTTCAATCTTTTAACTTGTACATATGGTGGTCATCAGAAATGAAATAGAATTTATCAGGCCTTCCACTGTTTCAGAGCTTACACACTTCTGGGATGTACAACAGAAAGTATAACACCCAACTGCACCCAAAATAAATTATCAAAGAATTGATTTTTATTATTTGAAGTCAGAGTTTAAAAACAAAAAAAAAAACATAAAAACCCAACTTTTTGATAGGACACCATGAGAATCCCAACTAGAATTAGCCTTCTGGAGATTTGGTTAAATTACTGAATTTTTCCACAAACATTATTTCTCAATCCAGCTTCTTTTTCATCTGTCTCCAAATTACCGTCTCATCTCCTCAGTAGAGACTACATTTGTTTCCAAGTGCAATCCATGATAAGTTCAGAAAGCAAATAATAGAATTGTTGCCACCAAGAGATAAAAAGTGGCTACAGGGTACATATAGAAAAGAAAAATAATGTATTCATGTCTTATATTTAATTTTAGTGTTTAAAATATTACTTATTATTATATGAAGATTTCAGGCTCGGGGAAAATCATCGACTGATATATTGAGCTAAATAGTATGAGACTGTCATTTTTGTGGGCCAAAACTGTTGGAGATCAGCAATTTTGGAAATTCAACTTAATACACACACTCATTTGAATGGAAGAAGGATGTAGAAGTTTTACACTAAGGAATGAAAGTAAAAGATATAAGATTAGGAAGAGAAAAACATACATTTTTTTAAAAACAGACCTTTTGAATTTAGGTGGTCTTTTCTCTCTCTTCCTTGCTTTGATAAAAAATAATTAGCCACTACACATAATAGTCATCCAATTGTTTATTTTTTAATAACATAAAAGAAATAAAAATTAAAATTTAATCTCTTCAAAATCACAAATAAAGAAGGTGCTCCAGGTTCTGGTTTCTATATATTAATAGCTACTCTCAAAACTTTTCAAACCATAATGAGGCTGCTTACCGGTGGTAAAAACTCCAGTCAGAGGCTCTGACTGTCCTTCATCATAGATGGAGAAAATAGCAATAGTATACTCTGTGAGAGGTGTCAAGCCCTTCAGAGGGAAGGTAGTAATAGGATCGACTTCAACCTGTCAAAGAAATAAGTCATAATAACAGCTCTATCTAATGCTAAGTATAAGAATCATTTTATTATTGTCTGTAGCTCGCTTAGCTGACAGCAAAGCTATAAACACTGCAAAACAAATTACTGAATTATAAAACCAGTTTATGTATGAACATTTCTGATCTTACACCCTTAGATTACCCATCAGTGAATTCTCAGGACAACTTTGCAATCAATATTCTTTCCATTCATTCCAGACACAAAGTGCAGACAACTTAAGAGGCAGACATAAATAGAGATAATGTTTCCAGTTAGATCTGCTAGTAGCAGCCAGTTTTTTGCTTCACTGCGTGGGCTCTCCTGGCCCCATAGCTAAGTAATACATGATAGCTCCTATAAGAGTTGTACAGGTGAGCAATGATGCTGGGAAAGAATCAGGGAACATTAATACTAAAGAAAATAGTAAATATTTGAAACATTCCTCTATCTTCCACAGAAAGACATATTTGGTGAAAATATTTTCCAACTTCTTTGGGGCATATAAAAGATGAAATCCCAAGGAATGGAGATCAAGGGTGTAAGAAAAATTAAGGATTAGAAAAGAGAACTTGACAACAAAAAACATACATTGAAAAAAGAAACCATAAAGTAAGAGAAGATGGGTGGGTTGGGCTTCACGGGAGCAACACCAAATGATCCCCCGCAGTACTCTGAGCCCTAGGATTCATTTTCCTTTTCACAGTAGGTGGCTTAACCAGCATTGTGTTAGCAAACTCCTCATTAGATATTGTGCTACACGATTACACGCCTGCAATCCCAGCACTTTGGGAGGCCGAGGCAGGTAGATCACTTGAGGTTGGGAGTTCAAGACCAGCCTGGCCAACATGGTGAAACCCCATCTGTACTAAAAATACAAAAATTAGCTGGGTGTTGTGGTGCGCACCTGCAATCCCAGCTACTCAGGAGGCCATGGCAGGAGAATCGCTTGAACCAGGGTGACAGAGGTTGCAGTGAGCTGAGATCATGCCACTGCACTCCAGCCTGGGTGACAGAATGAGACTCTGTCTCAAAAAAAAAAAAAAAAAAAAAGGAGATGAGGGCAGGGTCTAGAAGGCACCCTCAAGGCAAGAGAAAGAACAGATGCAGCTTTGTCACTGAGGTGTTGGGCACGGGGCTGCAGCGCTGCATAGTACAGGGTGCATATTGTAGACCACATATATGGGGCCCACACCTAGGTATTTCACATATATTCTCTTTAATCCTCACAAGGACTTATAATAATGCATAATGAGGTGCCCCAACTGTGGTGATACTCTGGAAAATTTAAGAAATGACCATATTTACCTGAGAGCAACCTCTGCCAAAAATAAGCTCTGCTTAAAATGTTCTCATGAGACATTTGAGCAGAGCAATAAGATCCCTTTTTTTGTTGTTGTTTTTTGGAGACAGGTTCTTGCTCTTGTCAGCCAGGTTGGAGTGCAGTGCCACGATCTTGGCTCACTGCAACCTCCGCCTCCAGGTTTCAAGCTATTCTCTTGCCTCAGCCTCCTGTGTAGCTGGGATTACAGGCATGCGCCACCAGATCCGGCTAATTTTTGTATTTTTAGTAGAGACAGGGTTTCACCATGTTGGCCAGGCTGGTCTCAAACTCCTGGCCTCTAGTGATCCACCCACCTCGGCCTCCCAAAGTGCTGGGATTACAAGCGTGAGCCACTGCACCCAGCCAAGATCTCTTATTTATGATACTATCAGTGACTAATCTTGATGCTACCTGAGGTTCAGGGGAAGGTCACTAAGCTCAACACTGTATGTGTTTGCTCATGGCAAAGTAACCTTTAGCAAAATATAAAATGTCACCTCTCTACTTAAACCTTCATTGGCTGTCTATTGCACTCTGAATCAAAACCAAGCACCCTGAGATACCTCTTGGCCTTCATAATCTGGGGCAGCACCTTTTCTTTCTGCCATACTCCAGTGGCCTTTTGGGTTCCAGCCACACTGGCCTCCTTTCAGGTCCTTGCCTTTCCCACCTCAGGGCCTTAGCACATGCAGTTCACTCTGTCTGTGACCCTATTCCCCAGCTCTTGTCGAAATTAGGCCTTCTTCCTCTATCATGACTATGCTTAACTATCACCTCCTCAGAGGAGATTTCTCTTTCCACCTATAAGTAGGGTTATTCTCTGACACCGGCCTTGTTGTTTCCTCCTTGGCACCAATGGCAACCTGAAATTACTTTATTTACCTACATGTTTATTGTCTATCTCCTGCATAGAGTTTAAGCTCCTTGAGGGCAAGAACTTGTTTAGTTTCTTCACCACTGTATGTTGAATTATTTTTTTTTGAGTGAATAGAATAAGTAAATTAAAATGAAGATGAAGGCACCAAAAAAACTGTTTCTTAAAAGAGGTGAGAAAGGTCTTCTCTAATCTAAGGGCCAGTCCAGAAGCCAAATACACCTCTAAAGAATCTACACGTCTGTAGGTCAAAAAAGAGTGCCAACCCTGGAAAAAAGAGCTGTCATTGTACTGTACCATTGTGCTGTACTGAGCCACTCTTCTGGAGAGGGCCAGAGAATCCCAGCCTTTTCAGACACTCCAGTTGAGGGGTCACACATGGATATGAAGTCATCCTAGAAGTTCTGGTCAAGTCAGACTCCCAGATGAATGCAAGAATCACCCCAGCTGACACCACATGGCAGAGCCCAGCTGTCCCTGCTGAGTTCTGCCCAAGCTGCATGCTCCTAGGCTGTATTTTAAGCTGTAGTGTTGGTTACACGGCAATGGTTAATTGAAAATATGGATTATCTTCTTCTAAATCAGGGATTGATAACATTATAGGTCATTTTTAGCACTTATTGTTTGCTGCAGCCTGCAAACTGTCTGCATGCTTTATATGCATTCACTTATTTAATCCTTATCACAATCCTGTAGGGGAGCTAATTATTACTCCCAATTTGAAAATGGAAAAATGTGATTCCAAAAATTAAGGAACTTGCCCAAGGGGAAAACAGCTAGTACACAGGACTTAAACACAGGTGTTTCAGGCTCTAAATCCTATGCTCTTAAACACTATTTAAAGTATGGCTTCATTATTTAAGCTCACAGAAAATACAACCCATGTTAAAAAAATGTGAGTTCAAGACATATTTTCCTAACCTCTAGTTACATATTGCTTTCTGATGTTTTGAATTGTCATGGCTGAGATTTATTGAGCACTTACAAAGAGTCAGGGACTTGATACATATTGTCTTATTTAGAGTCTCTCCCACCCACCTTTACCTATCAAACACTAGGTGCTTTTACAACTATTTTCCGAAGGAAAACCTGAGGCCCAAACAGCTTAACTAACTTGCCCTGAGCCAAAAAATTATTAACTGGAATGTCTAGTTAGGCCTTGACCTTGTTTCTAAGTTTCAAATATGTGACAAATAGGAATTTTGCAAAGATATCAAATATACACAAAAGCAGTTAAAATCTAGGTCCTAGATCCTTAGGTACACCAAAGAGGAAGAAGGACTAAAAGGAGAAACGTGTGTGTGTGTGTGTGTGTGTGCATGTGTGTGTGTGTATCTGTTAAAAAGGATATTGTTTATTAAATATTTGATGCTGAATAGACTATATTTTACATAATTTCAGCATTGATTATTTTACTTCATCTAATGAAGACCTTTAGGTATCATTTATTTATATTAGTTAAAATATCATGTTTTAAACGATTAGTCCCAGAACTGATTTTGCTGGTAGTATTTTAAGATGTAGAAGAAAAATTTGAGGAAATAATAACAAATAACCATGATCTCATTGTTATGAAACTGTTTCTGAGAATTATCCTCAATCAGTCTAGCTAAAAGTTTAACTTCAGCCTAATTTTAGAAGGGATGTAGAAAAGGGCCCTGATGAGGAACAAGGGATTTGGGCTCAACTCCAGGCTCTACTGCTGAGTCACTGCTATTAGGAACCGGCCTCTCAAAATCCAAAAACTGTGGCCTTTGCATTTATAAAACTCAAATGGCAGCACTTAATTCTCCATCATGTTTGTGTACTTCCAAAATCCTTTCACAGTAAATGCTACCTGAGATGACTTCTGTCCGTAGTTTGACAAGTCATGCTGTCAGCATTTGGTTCTGTAAGGATTACATGAGATATTCTCTTTAGAGCACTCGGAACAGTGCCTGGCTCATGGGAAGCACTCAACAAATGTTAGCCACCATTATAATCATCACCATTATTATCATCGTTGTCATCATCATCATCATCACCATAATCATCACCATCATTATCATTATCACCATCATCATCACCATCATCACCATTATCATCACCATCATCACCATCATTATCATCATCAATTAGCAGCAGCAGCAGCATAGACATTTGTTGAAATACTTGTTTCGTTTTTCTTCCTGGTCTCCAAAAAGTTGGGGAGAGGGGTAATGCAGAAAAGATGCAGAGGGAGGAAGAGGAAGTGAGAGAAGGAAGATGAGAGGAAGCGAAGCAGAAAATATTGAGTGTAAATCAAAAGCGTTAATAATCAATTGCATGGGCTGGGCGCGGTGGCTCACACCTGTAATCCCAGCACTTTTGGAGGCCGAGGTGGGCAGATCACGAGGTCAAGAGATCGAGACCATCCTGGCCAACATGGTGAAACCCTATCTCTACTAAAAATACAAAAATTAGCTGGGCGTGGTGGTGCGTGCCTATAGTCCCAGCTACTCGGGTGGCTGAGGCAGGAGAATCGCTTGAACCCAGGAGGCGGAGATTGCAGTGAGCCAAGATCGTGCCACTGCACTCCAGCCTGGAGACAAAACAAGACTTCATCTCAAAAAAAAAAAAAAATCAATTGCATGTTGGGTACTAAGCAGATTTTAATTGGGACATTTTACAGTTCATTCCAGAATGTTTTTTGAGGATTTCTTAAAAACCCAATTGTTGCATTGTCTATAAATAGAAGCTTAAATTCATAGAAATTAAAGCAAAATCTAATAGAAATATTCATCCTTAAAATTATATATTCTAAAATTAGGTACAGTAATACTTCACTTCAGTAAAAGATGCTTATCCAGCAACCTCAAGTATCTATAGCATGGCTATGAATTAAGAAATAAGAAAAACACACACACACACACACATACACACCCTAGTCAAAACCGATGTTACAAAATCCATGCATGGCTTATGCATTTTACTCAAAATTTTCTCAAATCTTCATTCATAGCCCATTTTCTCATATTTTAAGTTTGGTTTTACCAAACATAGCTTTCTAATTTCCCAGAAATAGCAAATGCTAGCAGCTTCCCCAAGACTGAAAAACACTACCAAAAAAACCCCCAAACATATGTTCTCAACAAACATGTTAGTCTGGGGCTATTCTTTGCAAAGACAAATAACAGAAAATAGTAGAAGAAGCTATAGCAGTTGCTATGGTCTGGAAGGTTGTGTCCCCCTGAAGATTCATATGTTGCTACCTGATCCCCAATGCAGTAGTATTAAGAGATGGGGTCTTTGAGAAATGATTAGGTCATGAGGGATGAATGTCCACATTAGAGAGGCCCATGGGAGCTTGTCTGCTCCTTCCACCAGGTAAGGGCACAGGTAGAAAGCTCCAACTATGAGGAATACACCTGCAAATTCAGGTGCAGGTGCCTTGATCTTAGACTTCTCAGCTTCTAGAACTGTGAACAATAAATTTCTGTCATTGGTAAGTTTCCCAAGCTGGGCACAGTGCCTCACTCCTATAATTCCAGCACTTTGGGAGGCCAAGGCAGATGAATCCCTTGAGCCCAGGAGTTTGAGACCAGCCTGGGCCACATGGCAAAACCTCGTCTGTACAAAAATTAGCTAGGCATGGTGGCATGTGTAGTCCCAGCTACTCGGGAGGCTGAGGTGGGAGGATCACCTGAGCCTGCAAGGTCGAGGATGCAGTGAGCCACGATCACACTACTGCACTTCAACCTAGGCAACAGAGACCCCGTCTCTAAATAAATAAATAAACAAAAGTTCCCCAGGCAAGGTATTTTGTTACAGTAAACCAAATGGACTAAAAGAATGCTTATGATTATTATTATATAATTATATTTATAAATATAACTGATATATAAGAAAATTTGTTTTTTGTTTTATTAAAAATTATTACCAAAGGAGGATGCTCTACAATGAACAAATATTTATTGGGGAATATAGTCATGTTACTTTCGTTGTTCAATGAGTCAACTCTTTTAAATTGATAGGTTTTATATAAAAATAGAAATCACTGGTATCTCTCCAGGAATCTTAAGATCTGGCAGCCCCTGCCTGGATTTCTATCGAGCAGCAATAAGTAGAAGCTGAGACTGGCTGCGTCCTGGATGCACACACTTCCCATCCACCAGTCCCTAGTATCCTTGTCATTGAAACTCACTGTCCGTTGTCACTTATCATTAGTCTTGTTTGTTGTCTTTCTTTCAGTAGAGAATTTCTTCTGCATTCATGTCCTCAAAATGGGAAGACAAAATATAGCCTAAGTTAGGCTGGGAGCAGTGGTTCACGCCTGTAATCCCAGCACTTTGGGAGGCCTAGGCGGGCGGATTGCCTGAGGTCAGGAGTTTGAGACTAGCCTGCACAACATGGTGAAACCCTGTCTCTACTAAAAATGCAAAAATTAGCTGGGCACAGTGGCGCACGCCTGTAGTCCCAGCTACTCAGGAGGCTGAGCCAAGAGAATCACTTGAATTCGGGAGGTAAAGTTTGCAGTGAGCTGAGATCATGCCACTGCACTCCAGCCTGGGCAACAAAGTGAGACTCCATCTCAAATATGTATATATATATGATATATATTATATATATTATATATCTATTTATATATTATATATATATAGACATATACTTATATATTTATATTTATATATTTATTTATATTTATATATTATATATTTATATATAGATATATACTTATATATTTATATATATTTATATTTATATATTTATTTATATTTATATATTATATATTTTTATATAGATATATACTTATATATTTATGTATTTATATTTATATATTATATATTTATATATAGATACATAAAAATAGATATATAATATATATTTATTTATATTTATAATATATAATTTAAATATATAATATATATTTGTAAATATATATTATATATTTAAATTATATATATTATATAATATAGCCTAAGTTAGCCTCATGTGTCAAGCAAAACATAGAGTATTTCTTTGCAGGTGTGTCTGCTTCTACAGATTTAATGGCATGCTTCACTCATTTATATTATCTTCCTCATCCTCCTACACAGTTGAATTAACCCTTGGGAAAGTAGTTTATGTATTTCTGGTGACAAAGAGACACCTATAGCTCAGTGTTTTTTTATTTCAATCTTTTTACTGCTCCAGGCTGCTATCTTCAATAACAAAGCAACTCATCCAAATGACCAGACTCTTCAGGATTATTTACTCTCAAGATTTACAAAGGTTTAATGAAGGATATTGAACAGTATTTCTATATGTTAGCAAATGTGTACTTACTGCCCGTCCATTACACAATGTCCCTCATGAGGATGCATTTTGTAAAATATTGCTTGGATTTAATTTTAGAAAAATGTTTGTCTCTGCATATAAAAACACTTGCTTTATTTGGTCAGAAAATAGAAATGATGCAATCTAACATATTTCCTTCTTTGCCTTAGCTTACTGGACCAAGATAAGGGAAAATAAAATAAAAATAACCTCGCTGTTTTGCTAAAACACATTTCCAAGGAAACACTTTTTTGAAAGTATTAGTCACTGCATGCAAGATACTGTATCTTCATGGGTTTTAACAAGTTCCATTATCTGAAAGTACTTCTTAGATAAAACTTGAATTATTTGTTAAATTTAGGCTCATCTAACTAGAGCCTTTCAGATGCCAGTTTACTCAAAAGCAGGATAAACTAGACAACAGTGACATTATTTTTAATACAATGCTTCCATGAACATACACCTTCCCCACCCCCATCCCCTGTGGCAGGCTGCATTTTCCAGAGATGGCCACATCAATGAATATCTTCTTCTCTATATGCTCCTCCTATCCTGTGACTGACCTGTCTCCCACCATAGGTAGGATCTGTGTTTCTCCCCACCTATAAATCTGGGTGAAGCTGGTGACATCTCATACTAATGGAGTGTGATAGAGGTGATATCAAGTGACTTCAGAGGCTGGGTCATTAATGGTGGTACAGCTTCTACTTAGCTCTCTCTCTGTTTGGACATGGGTCATGGGACTCCTGAGCCAACTCCCCTGAAGCTGCATGCTGAAGGCATCATGTGAAGGGTCTAATTAGAGATATGGAGACCTGCTACAGCTCCCAGCTGTTCCAGGCTCCCCAGACCAGGCACCAGATACATGAGTAAAGATGCCATGAGATAGCTCCAGCTCCAGCCACTATCTGGCCCTAACCTCACTGGGGAGCACCCCTCCTCCAGTGATAACTGCAATCCACACCCCAATTCCTGACCTACATACAGGAACTATGCGAGACAATAAATAATTACTATTATTTTAAGCCACTAGGCTTTGAGATGATTGGTTATGTAGCCATAAATAACTAGCACGCCACTACCTAAAAAATATACATTATGTCCCGGAACTTACCTCATTGATTTCAGTCCCATCTGCATTGTTATATACAATTCGATAACCATTGATCTGTCTTGAAGTTGGGTCCCAGGTTAATCGAGCACTGTTAGAGCCAACATTGGAGATTCTCAGGTTTCTTGGTGGACTTAAAGCCACTTGGCAGTAAATGGAATAGAAAATAATTAAAATGTCAAATTACATACATGTAAAAAGAAATTGCATCTTTGACTTCTAAACTATTTACATATGAAAAGTGTCACCTAGATAATAACTTATAACACTGAAATAACCAGTGTATTGTCTCATAAAAATCAATAATGTTCTCTAATTAGCAAAGAAAAAAGTTTTCTTTGTAGAGAATAAATAGCAGTAATAAGTTACACATGGTTAGAAATAAATAGGATTTAGGTAAATTTTCTCGGCCTATCACTCTAGCTTGATGTAAGTAGGAAACTTAATGGATTAAAAACAAAGTAACTTGAAATAAAATTTTAGCTAGTCCACTCAATTACCATGTGACTCTGGCAAAGCCACTCTACCTCTAAGCTCCACAATTTTCCACATGTAAAATGAGATGCCCATCTGCCATTTCCACGTTGGTATCTATTAGGCAACTCCAACTTAACCAGTCCAAACAGAATCACTGACTCTTGATGCCTTCCCCTCTTGCCTCTTCCCTCAGTCTTCCCCTCTGAGCAAATGGAAACTCTATCCTTCCCACTGATCAGTCAAAAACCTTGGAGCCTCCTGGATTGCTCTTTCTCTCGCAACCCACTTCTAATCCATTATCCAGATCTGACCCCTTCTCTTCACCTCCACTGCCACCATCTTGGTAGAAGCCACTATCCCCTCTTGGCTTGGATTTTTGCCATGGTCTCCCAGCCAATCTCCCAACTTCCATCTTCCCCCTACTATTAATATAATTATTCCTCAGCAAGCAGCCAGAGTGCTTCTTTTAAAATGTCAGCCAGGTAATTTCACTTCTCTGCACAAAACCTTCCAAATGGTTCCCAACTCCCTCAGCGTAAACCCACAGTTCTTAGCATGATCTTTTCTTTTCTTTTCTTTTTTCCCCTCCCTTCCTTCCTTCCTACCTTCCTTCCTTCCTTCCTTCCTTTCTTTTCTTTCTTTCTTTCTGACAGAGTCTCACTCTGTCATCCAGGGTGGGGTGCAGTGGAAGGATCTCAGCTTACTGCAAACTCCACCTCCCAGATTTAAGTGATTCTCATGCCTCAGCCTCCTGAGTAGCTGGGATTACAGGCGTGTGTCACCACACCTTGCTAGTTTTTATATTTTTGGTAGAGACGGGGGTTTCACCATGTTGGCCAGGCTGGTCTTGAACTCCTGACCTCAGGTGATCTGCCTGCCTTGGCCTCCCAAAGTGCTGGCACTACAGGCGTGAGCCACCGCAGCAAGCCTAGAATGGTCTTTATGGCCCTACATCAGTGGCCTGCTGCTATTTCACTGGTTCCATCTGCTACTACTCCGTGCCTTTTCCATGCCACTAGCTGTGACTGGAACCTGCCACGCATGCTCATTCATAGGCCACTGCACTTGCCTTCTCTTTGCCTTCAAGGCTCTTCCCCTAGATATACGCATAGCCAGTTTCTTTGCCTCTTTCAGGTTTCTGACCATATGCCACCTGCTTGGTGAAGCTTTCTATGATCATCTTACGTGCAACAGCTCTTCCACTCCATACTACCTGTCTCCTTCTTCTGTTCTATTTTTTTTCACCGTATATTTCTGGCTTATTGTCTCTCTCCCCCAGGATATTGTAATCTCAGGGGGTTAGATAATTTGGTTTCATTTTGTTCCCAGATCTATCCCCAATATAGCAAGTACTCAATAAACATTCATTGAATCAATGGGTAATTATTTGACCTGAATAAATCACAGTGGCTTTGTGAGACAAATAAAAATAAACATCTTACTATTGCTTTAAAATTATTTAAAGAGGTATTGGCATTTCTGCAGATTCCTAACTGTCAATTCCATAGCTTTTTGAACCTCTTCAAGGACCCCTATCTAATTCAACAAATTAAAAATTGTCCATAATTTTTGACAGCTTCATGAGCTCTTTACAGGCTTATTGTAAAAATAATTGTTAACATTTACTGAGTGTTGTCCATGAGTCTGACACATAGCATATGTTAACTTATTAAATTCTTACATTAGAATGCAAGGATAGAGTTGCAATTATCCCCACTATATTGATCACAAAATTGAAGTAACTTGGCCAACGTCCCAGTTACTAGGAACAGAAGAGCAATTAGAATTTAACCTAGAAAATTGATTAACTGATTCCAGAGCCCATGATATTAACCAGGATGCTAATTTCTCCTCTCTCACTGTTTCTCTCTCTTACTCACACTCTCTCATCCCACAAAGTCAGTGCTGATAGAGCCAGCAAAGCAAAAAACTTGAAGACAAATCATGACAATTACCAGCCATAGCCACGAAGCATGATGTTTCCTAACCTCAAAGCCCAGTTCTTTCATTAATTCAATACATACTGATTCTTTGACAATAAAGATCTTGTAGGAGTTAGTGAATCTCTTAATAATTAAGGTGCTAGAGAGAAAGTGTAGAAAAGAAAAAAAAGCAATATAATTAAGTAGTGTGCACATTTGGCTCTAAATTTTTCTGGAATTCTATTACATTTGGCAATATAATAGAATAGTGTCTAATTTACTTAGCACATAAAAATGCCAGCCTCAGGAACAAGTATCTAGGATATCATTTTTTAGGACCTTTTTGCTAATCATGGGAAGGAGTTGTACATATTTTTAAGAAGTATAAAGAAGTGAACACTTTGAGTGAAACAGAGATGGGCTGTTGGGGAAAGCTTTTCTTTCAAATGGTTAGAGTCCCAGAATTCACTTATGTGGTGGATGCTTTCTAGCATGATTTATTTCTTTTCTTTTTCTTTCTTGGGCTCTCCCAGAGCTTTTGTTTGTTTCTTTGTTGTTTTAATTACATTGGTCTTTCTCCGAAGAGCAAGAATAACATAGTCTTGACTAACAAAGAGTGGATGTGTGCAAACTTCTTTATCATTAAACTTCTATTTTGTTTTCCCAAATGGAATCTTAATGAGAAAGGCATTGTAGAAATTGTGCTATTCATCTCCCGAGTCTAGGAGAAGAGTGGTGAGCAAGACCCCAAGTCTCCCTGCACTTTCTTATGTTTCAAAAGATCACGAATAGAGCCATATTTTAATAGTATGTGGTAAGTATTATCAGTATGCCACAGTAATATTGTTTATACCATATTTTTAAAAATAAATGCATACATTTCCCAAAAAGTTCTAGGAATTCCCTACATTTATCCAAAATTAGCCTTACCAACAAAATTTTTACTCAATTGAAAATGAATTACAATAGTAATAGGCTCAGTTAAAGACAGCAAAGATTTTTAGGAAAAAATGTTTGTTAATTTTGATATGAGTGGAAAATAAACAGATATTCAGTAACTATGTGCTGAGTGTTTTCACATATACTACTGTATTTAATCTTATACCAACCACATGCTGCAAGATTATTGTTCTTCCTTTTATACAATCAAAAAAGTTGTATCAATCACCCATTGTCACCTGGCTAAAATATGAGTTGAGCTGAGATTCCCATCTCAGCTGCTATCTTGCAAAGCCTACACTCTTCCCTCTAGATTCTGACCTGCATTTGAATTTAGACAAAGAAAGACATAGGTGGAATTATCTGGAGGATGCTGAAGCTTGGTTCTGGCAACCTTATCACTCATAATAATATAATATATAAGAAATACATTTCCTTGCCCTAAATAGAACATGAGATTTTTAAAATTATAATTAGCTTTTAAGAGGTTTCAACAAAACTAGTAGTTCCAATTCAGAATCCCCACATTCATGTGGGCTTTTACTACAGCATCCCAACTGAATGGCTGTGCTGCTCACATGTTGTTTCTTGTCCCGTAACAGGATCACTGGCCTCTTCTCCAAACATGGCATAAACTGTGACTGTGTATTCTGTATTGGGCAACAACCCACTCAATTCAATATCTGTGTGGGTCTCTCCAATTTTCATCTGAAAAGAACACATGTTGTTAGATCATTTGCCAATACATATTATTCATGCTGATCAGAGTGGAACAGAACAAAGGTGAGACTTCATGGGATAAGACTTTACGTCCTGTTACAACCCCTTCATCAAACAGGCTTCAGTCATAATTTTTAAATTGTCTTGTGTCATTTTATACTAGGAACAGATATTATGGAACCATATAAGTCGAAAAGTACCATGTGAACTGTGTTAGGATAACTCTTTACATCTGGACAAATGGCAACTCCAGCCAGAATAACAATGTTGAGTATATGCTCCCCAGGAGAAGGTGGGTGGGATTGAATCAGAAATGTTCTCTAGAGACTGTGAGCTCCAGGCCAGTGTGCTGGAGGCAAGGCCAAGTGGGCATCTTTCAGTATTTGGCTAATACTAACCAGTGCTCTGGCCAGATGCCCAGTTTTTGCTTCAAACTCAATGAAGCTGGGCCAGTTTTGTGTCCCCATTCAACAAGAGAATCCACGCAGTTGAATTGCAAGTTACTTCCAGTATTCAGAAGAGATCAACTCACCTTGACACCCAACTTGGCAATTTGCTTTTTTGATTCTTGAACACCTTTTCTGACCCTTGGATTCAAACTATCCAACATTCTCAGTTGTGTGACAGTAGAGTGACGAGATAGTTTTATGTTTTGGAAGGAAAAAATAAATCTCCAATCTACAGGCACATGACTGCCAGGATTAATCATCAAATTAAAATTTTGAATTTTGAACTATCTCAATATATACAACATAAACTTACAGAAAATAATATAATACACACTGATGTACCCATTACTCAAATTGGATAAATATCAAATTTTTGTCATATCAACTTCAGATTTTATTTTTTAAAAAACTAATATATTCAGATAAAACAACAGGTCTTTCTCATTCTTTCTGTCCACTACCTCCACCCTAAGGTTGATGTATATCTTACTGCTGCATTTTTGTACTTCTGTATGTGTATAGATATATCTATAAACAATATATGATCCTGTATGTTTCACAATGCACATAATGGGATCATATCAACACAATCTTTTTGCAGCTTGTTATTTTTTCTGTGTTAATATTACATTTTGAGATTTATCCATGTTGATACATAAGGACAGAGTTGACATCATTAATTCCTTTATGATATTCTTTTCTATAAATATACCACTATTTTCCATTCCTCTATTAACAGGCCTGTTAGTTGTCTGCAATGTTTTATTCCAACCAAGTGCCTGCATTGAAAAATGCTTGCAAGATGTTTCCCTATGATACATTTCCAAAAAGTAGTATATATCTTCAACAGGATGAAATATTTCAAAATATCCTCCAAAGGAGCTGTACCAATCTATATGCCCGCCAGCAGTTACAGGAGCGATTCTTTTCCTGTGTGCTTATGAATACACAGTATTATCAGACTTTAAAATTTTTTTGCTAATCTATTGGTTTTAAACTACTATTCCTTTTTTTTTTCTCTTTCATAGTGAGGCTGAGCATCTTCTCAGCACTATTTGTAAGTCTCTCTTTTGTCAAAATAATTTAGATCAACTTTAAATTCAAATAGACAAAAGCCATCTAAGCCTTGGAAATAAAAAGACACATGTCACCAATACTCTGTTCTTGACACTCAGATTCACCATTTTTTTGACCCTAAAGATTTCAATCATCAGGGACAGGCTTTACACAATTTTAGACAATCAAGTTCTCTGAATTGCTTTGCTTATTAACTCCACCTGCCTGGTCATTACACTTCCAAGTGCCAGAGATTCATCCTCTTCATTCCTTAAATGTCTGCATTATAGCTATTGTCCACTACAAATTAAAAATGAGGACTAAAATGTTTGAAAGTCATCTGAAGGTCAAAGGTTCATCATTTAAAATGGAATAAATTCAAAATTTTGCACCAATGAGGTATGTTTATCTACCTCTCAAATTAGTAAGAAAAAACTTAATTCAGTGTATATGGAGAAAACAGTCACTTATGCACCACATAAAGCAAAACATATAACATTTCTCTAGAGCCATTTGGCAATACTGAGTATAAACCTTAATAATTTGCCTACCCTTTGAAAAATAAACTCTATTTCTAGGAATTTATCCTAGGGAAATAATCAAACAATTATGCAAAAACATATGTTAGGAATATTCACAAAAGCATTATTTATATAGCAAGCTATCTAAATATCCAATAACATAGATTGATTAAACATGATCTGTTCAAACCAACAGTAGAATACTATGGGTGTATACAATGACTTTGTAAAATGTTCTTTAATGACATGGAAAGAGCTTCACAACAAATAAAATGAAAACAGCAGGCTACGAAACCATTTCCATGTGTTGCTTTCAAAATGCATCGACAAAGACTGTTAATTAAATGTTAACAATGGCTATCTCTCAGTGGTGGGATTATAAGTGTTTTTTTTTCTTTTGGCTAATCTGAAATTTCTAAATTTTCTACATTAAATTTTTACAATAAAAATTTTATTTTATTTAAGGAAATAAAAGATTCTAGGACTGTAATAGGTAGGAAGTGGTTACCTCTTTTTCATCCCCAGCCAGGCCCTCTGTTAGAGGAGCATAAAGGATCAGGTAACCTGAGGCCCCAGGCACTGCATCCCATTTGACTCGCATGCTGTTCTCAGTCACGTCGTACAGTAGAAGGTCAGAAGCCATCGGTAAAGCAACTGCAAGAGATTTTTTTTTAAATGTTGAGCCACTTATATATGTGTCCTTGAGAAAAATGAAATTATCAAGAAATAAGATTGACCATATTTGAGGGGAAGGGAGAAAGGGATTAAGAATAAATTGCAAGTTCCTGGGTTAAACAATGCTGATGAAAAACAGGAAACACTGCTGTTTTCAAATATGGTTCTAGACCCTCCCTAATGTGACCCTGCCCTACTCTTCTAACCACAGTGTCAAGTTCAGGACTTTGCTGACATTTCCAGCTCCTTGTACAGGGATCTATGAGAGTGCTTACAGCCCTTCATTGCACTAATCTGTTTGCATGTCCTTGGATTGCGTCCCCACCCCCTACTACACTAAAACATCCTTTTTCTTTTATTTATTATTTTTTTGAGACCTGTTCTTCCTCTGTCATCCAGGCTGGAGTGCAGTGGTGCAATCTTAGCTGCAACCTCTACCTCCCGGGCTCAAGCAATCCTCCCACCTCAGCCTCACAAGCTGGGACCACAGCTGCGTGCCACCATGCTCAGCTAATTTTTGTATTTTTTGTAGAGATCGGGTTTTGCCATGTTGCCCAGGCTCACTAAAACATCCTTGAGAATAAGGATTGTCACTAAAATATTTCTGCAAAGTGAGGGCATTAACACTCATCCGACAGATTGTTGCCAGGGATAAATCCAAGAAAGTTCAGAGAGTGATGATCACAGTGCCTGGCGCATTGTGATTAGTGTTGTTTACACTGTTATTGTTCTATCAGAGGCAGATTTTTTAGAGCAATTTTGCATAGTGACTTGCATGTAATAGGAACTCTGTTAATATTAGAAATGACTATAAGATGTTCGATCTTTTTTTAAAGATTATCTCTTCTCATGATTCTGTGTGCGTGTGTGTATTATGTGTGTATGTTGTCATGGTGTGTTATTACGATCCTACCCAGGGAGGGAATTATTAGTATTCAGAAGCTTGTTTTACCTACAATGATATGAACAATAAAGATAGCAGTAACATAATTTCCTTGGCATTCAATTGGGCGGGAGAGCTATGGAGTTTTTTCTCTACTTCTACTGACAAATTCAAGGACAATTCTTAGTTCATAATAGGCATTTACTAAACACTTATTTAATAAATGAATGAATGTTTTTTGTACTCTTCACCACCAAGATTGCTCTTAAACCTATCAGAGATTTATAACAACTTTTTCAAGACATAGCACCGGCAAGACTATATCAAGCATGGACCAGTATCACATATAGCACGACAAATGTCTTCTATGAATTTGATTGAATTCGATTCAGGATGTCTATCAACATGACCTGAGCAGAATTTCAATTTAAGAAAGGCCTCCTAAGCAGCACTCTACAAAGTTAGAAGTGGGGTAGAATTAAATACATACGTGTAGTTTCAGTTCCCCGTAGGCCTTCACTAGCAGTGTGGGCATAGATTGCAAAGACTGCTATCTGATATTCAGTTAAAGACATCAAGTTTTTCAACACTGTGGAAGATACAGTTCCATCTACCACCACCTGTTTAAAGAACAGTTTGAGTAATGAGAGTATGGAATATCTTACACGCAGAATTGAAATCAAAAAGCGAAAATACGTCCAGCAAAAATATTTCATTGAATATTTTCTTGTTTGTGCCACATCCCCCTTTCCACTGTGGCAGTCAACTCTCTTTGAATTCCTAAGTGAAGTGATGCACCTTTTATGGAATGTGTCTAGAAGTCCCTTATTAATTCATATCTAATAGAAATAATTGTGTCAATACCAGGCTAATTATTATCCTATTTACATCCACTTAATAACAGTAAACATGATATTTTTCCATAGAGCTTTGGGAAACATTTAAAAGATTTATTAGTCATGAAAAATAAAAGAATCATTGGAAGCACTCGGATCTTTTTTTTTTTTTTTTGGTCCAAATGATTTAAGACTCCACAATCTACTTTTCTAACACTTAAAAAATATCATAAATCCTACCATAACACAGAACATTGTGAAATATGCTGAGGTCAGTCAGAGGCTAGAACAACAAAAAGAAAAAGACAAAAGAATTTCATCGTGTTTTAACTTATTGCTTGTGAATTGTGGTATCAAAGGTAGGAAATGGGAAGGATCTAATCATCTGGCAATAGGTGTTCTCGCCTGTGTTGGCCAAGCCATAAAAATATGCCAGCCATAGCGGCTTTATTATGGCTTTTCCATTGCACTAATCCCTACAAATGTCCGGAAAACTCCAAGCCTTGGAGGACTAGTCCATATATGACCACGTACTTTGGAATTCACAGACTTAACTAAGGCAGAAAGCTCAGACCACTCCCAAGTAGAAAAAATGCACAAATAGCAAAAGGGGTCCTGGCCAGATAATTAGCTACTGATACCTTTTACTTTAGAACTTATTAATTTTAAGAAGAAAAATACGTTGTGTTAGAAATTCATACCTGACCAGTTCTGAGTGTTATTTGGAGAGATGAAAGATGTAATTGCCATAACTCAGAGATAGGGGAGAACAATATGAACAAGTGGAAATGTATTTCAGTCAAATTCTTTAAAATGTCTGTGACGGAATAATCTTATATTTATATTTCTGCCTTGTTCTCACTATTGTAGAAGACTTGAGAGAATAAAAAGAATGGTTTGAAAATACTCTCTCCTTATTACCTCGTCTGGTTTTCCACCCCTGGTAGGATAATACACAACTCTGTATTTTTCCACATTTCCTGGGGCATGAGTCCAGTTAACCATAAAGCTTCTGGCAGTGACTTCAGAAGTAATCAACTCCGTAGGCGGCCCAGTGATGGCATGGGCTGAGGCTAAATTAAAAAAACATATCAAATAAACCTCTTACCCAAAGTTATTTCTTATGAAGCTAAGACATCTCATTAGACAGAAATAAATATTGATTTTATGCTGCCTCTAAGATTTTCCTCTTTAGATAAGTTGATTCAGTTATCCATTTGTTCATTCAAACATTTAAATGTCTATTAGGTGCCAGGTACTATGCTAAGTTCCGAGGATACCAAACTTAAATAAGACATAGTTCTTGACTCCAGAGAACTTTCTTAAATTAAGGTCATTGTTAATAAATAATAAAAACAAACATTAACAGCCAGGCACAGTGGTTCATGCCTGTAATCCCAACACTTTGGGAGGCCGAGGCGGGCAGATCACCTGAGGTCAGGAGTTCAAGACTAGCCTGGCCAACATGGCAAAACCCCGTCTCTACTACAAATACAAAAATTAGCGTGCATGGTAGCAGGTGCCTGTAATCCCAGCTACTTTGGAGGCTGAGGCAGGAGAATCACTTAAACCGGGAGGCAGAGGTTGCAGTGAGCCGAGATCGTGCCACTGCACTCCAGCCTGGGGGATAGAGCAACACTCTGCCTCCAAAAAACAAACAAACAAACAAACAAACATTAACTAAGCATGTGTGTATCAAAAGGTACTCTTCAGAGTCTTAAGAAGTTTTTTTTATCTCATCTACTTCTCCCTAGTTCCTATTACTGTTCACACTTCATATATGAGAAAATCAATGCACAGTGAAGTTAGCTAACCTGACCAAGGTCTCACAATTAGTATCAGAGTTGACATTGATATCTGGGCTTGACACAAGAGTCTATGTTTTTAAGCATCAGCGAACACAGGCTCTATACTAAAAATTTCAATTCAACAAGTGACTAATACCTAAAAATTTAAAAAAAGAAAAAGCAACTAACATATACTAAATGCCCACTATGAGCTCGATACTAGGTAAGCATTTGTGTGTGTGTGTTACACATGTTAAAGCAAATGATTCTATAAAAATTTGGGACATGCAAAATCTAAGTGGAAGGGGAATACAATATGTAAATTATAATAAAGAGCTTAAACTTTAGAATTTCTCACCCTTTAAGAGCACTTACTCAAAGGGACTTTAATAATCTCAATTTTTAAAATACTGTTTTGAACACAAACTATGGGCAGGAACTTTATTACATGCTGTATCATCAACCACATGTAGACTATTTTGGAAAAACTGAGCTCTAAAGTAGCTTCACTTTGAAGCTCAGAGAAATGTGTTCAGGATCATACTGCTTGGGTGCCCAGCCCAGCCCCACAAGATCTAGCCTGGGGAAAGGGGAATGATGATAGAGAGAAGGACATGTAGCCAGAAAGAACCATTTCACACTGGTTACAACAGAGGCAGCAAATAAAACCAGACTCTTGAAAGAAGACTTGGATATTACCCTCTTCTCAGATTACAACTCTATAAGGCAAGCACAATCTGCAGACCAATGATATGATATCTCTCCAAATAAAGTAAGTGCTTTACTCTATTCCTTTTGCTGAGTATAACTAAAAACTCTGGAAATTATATCAAAGACAAGCATAAGAAGATGCTGAAAAGTAGAGAGAAGAAGGTCAATGAGTGCAGAACTACAGGGCTCAGGAGCTCCCAGCGGTGAGCTCCCACTTCCTTTTACTCATATATCCCAGACATGGAGCTAAAGTATCTGGCAACCTAGAAACACCAACAGATACAGACTAAAAATTGCTAACAAAATCTTCTCCCTCTAGCAAAGGACCAGGAAATGGCCAGCCTACCAAGACTGAAACGTTTTAAACATTTTTGGTAATAATTGTTCTACTGCAGACAATCAACACAGAAAAAAAAAATGTGGCCACACCTTTACCCATGCCAGCAAAGGCCTAGTGGGAAGTCAAAATTCCAGCCTTTTTTGGCTGTAATAGGGTGCCCTAACATCCACCCCAACCCCCTCATGCCAGCTAGGTTGGTGTGAGAGGTCAAGTAGAGAAGAGATATTCATCCCCAGCAGATGGTAATGAATCTTTTCCCCTACAATCCTATCTATGATATCAAGAGAGACCACATGAAGAGCCTGCCTGGACCCTCAACCCCACTTGGGAGTAATGAGGCACCATTCTCCCTCACTCTGTGACAGTGTCAGAGGAGACCTAGCAGTGAGTCAGGACTTTCACCACCGTCCAGTAGCAAGGAGGCCAGTCTTAATGAAAACTACATTAAACAAAACATGCAACCGGGATATGATCCAGCCATTGTACTACTGGGCATTGTCCCAGAGAAATGAAAACTTATGTTTGCACAAGAACCTCCACATGAACATTCACAGCAGCTTGATTCATCATAGCCAAAGGCTGAAAGCAACCCAGGTGCCCCTCAATGTGTGAATGGTTAAACAAACTGTGGCACATCCATATCATGGAATCTGGCACTCAGTTAAAAAGAAAGAGCTGTTGACACATGCAACGACTTGGATGAATCTCCAGGGAATTCTCCTGCATGAAAAAAGCCAGTCCCCAAAGGTTACATACCACATACCTCCATTCACGTAATATTTTTGACATGAAAAATATTGGAGATGGAGTAGTGGTTGTCTGGGATTAGGGAGAGAGAGTGAGGGATATAAGTGAGTGTGGCTATAAAAGGGAACAGGAGTGATCCTTGTGGTGGAAATGTGCTGTGTCTTGCCTGTGTCAATGACAAGTATTCAGCTTGTGGTAATGTAATTAGTTTTACAAGATTTTACCATTGGGAAAACTAGTAAAGAACACACAATCTTTCTATGTATTATTTCTTACAAACTGTATTTGAATGTATAACTATCTTAAAATTAAAAGTTTAAGTTTTAAATAAATGTAAATGTAACATTATGGAGAAAATCATCTTGTGTTTAAAGAGTCCCTCCTTCACCCCCACAAAGCCTGCTAATATACTCCCTTTTCTACTCTGACGGCTCAGGTCTTAGGGGAATAAGGGGTCTTCAAAAAGCCAACATGAAAAATGAAAAGAATTTTCCCAATTCACAATAGGCTTGTGCACCATAATACTGACATCCACAGGACTGCTCTGTCACTCATTTTACCTTTAATTTCTCTGTCCTGTTCTTCCACTCTAGAGCAGAGAGTCCTGGTCAGACTCTCCACAACTGTGTGCATCAGATCGAATTCGGCAACATTGTACACATGAGTGCTGTCTGGTTCAGAGGCGATCTCCTGCAGCTCATTCACATCCGCGTTTTTCACCCCTTACACAGAGGACAAAAAAGAGAATGGTGACTTTTATGCCCCCTTGGAAAGAGTGACTGCGGTGGGCCTGATCTGACCCAGTCAGTCAATCTTCACTGCAGTCAAAGCATCATCTGCTACTTGTATATATATATTTAAAATTTTATTTAAAATGCGCACACGAAATAAACCGATGAAATGAAAAAATATAGTCATATCTATTATATAACACAAAACAATAGCTCTGATTCTAACAAATTATTCATATAGAAAGAAAATAAGCAAAAAAAGGGAAGAGCGAGCATATGTACCATTGCCAAGATGAAAGCTGTTATATGCTTGTGTTCTGGTAAACAACACTTGGGACCCCCCCCCACCCCCATCTGAGAGGCTGTTTCAGTTACCCTCCCCACTTCTGGTGGACCTGCAGTCTTGGATTTGGTTAAAAGCATCTGCCACTTTAAAGAGGAACATTTCATGTGAGATTGCTTTTTACAGAAATCAGTTGCAGAATCGTTTTTAAATGATTAGATATTAATTTTACTCAATACATCATAACAGGAAGATGACTTAATAAAACTAACTTCTGTTTTGCATGAATATTGCAGAAGCAATAGTAATTAAACCAGCATCCTAAACTATCAAAGCTTCAGGTTTAAGTTTCTATAAAATAAATTTACTGAAATTGAGAAATACTGCTAGAACAAATATATATATATATATATATATATATATATATTTGAAATTATTATTATTGTATAGCATTAAGCCAAGGAGAAAGCTAGGGAAAATTATTTTTTAACATACTCAAATACAATTTGCTGTCTAGTAACCACTGCAATTTTACTAATGTAAATAGAAAATTCCTGGTCCTTCCACAGTATCTACTGAATACCATGGTCAAGCACAAAGTTGGGTGTCTGGAATACAGCAGGGAATAGAATAGGACAGAAAGCAGTGAACACGAACCCTTAAAAAAGAGTGTGATCACTGTGCCCCCAAGCACCATAGTAAGTGTTTTCCATATAATAACACCTTTAATCCTGACAATCAATCCTATGAGTTTGGAACTATTGTTCCCCTATTTTATACTGCCTCTCAGAAGACTGCACATTAAAATGAGTAAACATTTACCAACAATGTTAGAGATAGGAAAGGAGAGGCATGAGGTTAAGTTTTATGGGTATGAAGTAGATTTCCCTTCTCCAAGCCTCATCAAACAAGGAGGATTTCTTTATAATCCCCGTCATTTCAATCATCGGAGGGTATTAAAAGGAGGTTCTATAGAAGCAAGGAAGAGAAATTACCTGGGGCAACATGAATTACTTCTTAGATGGCTGGCTGTGCCAATTAATTTATCTTTCAACCCCAACATATTGAGCAACAAAGCATTAGTTGTCTCTGAACTATTTGCTTTAGGAGGTTGCAGGTTAATAAATACTGCTGATTTCCAAGTAATTTTCAGAGAAGTCTAAATCACATCTGGATGAATTTACTGAAAGCTTTGCTTAAAAACTCACCTATTCATCATTAACAAGAGCAGAAAATGGAGAATAAACATATAAATTAGTTCTCCATTAGTTTAAGTCTTTGGCAGAGATTTCCTTTATTGGACAAAAGGACAGGAAAATAAATCTCTCTGATGGTTCTTGCCTGAAGGACTTCTACAATTGCTTCTCAAATGTACATCTGAATTAATATAACATTGAGTGTATGCTGAAGCAGTGCCAATAATGCTTTTTTTGTGATATTCAGTTGAATCCAACAAGTTTGGACTTATATAGAAATATTCTGGGAAAAATAGGCCCAATTTTGCTTCTCCCTCACCTTCCCAAATAAAATAGTTTGACTGTTGCAACTGCACAGAAAAGAGAGGAAATGGTCATCACGACTTTGGAGGAATTTGTTTTCTAAGGATTTTGCCTTGTTCATCTTTGTACCCCAACAACCTCCACAATGCCTGGCACATAGTATGTAAGCTAATACTTCTTGAATCAAGCATTCTATAAGCCACATTGTGAATAGCAAATCTAGGACAGGGTCTAAAGTTTTTTTTTCATTGATAACTCTAAAAGATGTACTGTTAAATTTCAGGGTAAGAAATGTTCCTGCACAGCAAATTTAACTCAACTCCTAGGACCAACTTCACATTTATCTTTACAAGTGAAGCTACCGTATGGTTAAATCCATTTATTGCCCATTTAAATTCCAGGGGTGTGCTGGTAAATGTAAATATTTAACAGTCAGCTTTCTGCCCTCATTTGTAGTGTTTGCCAATTTCTGTAGAATAAATACCCCACTGTAGCTTATTCCAAACTACCAATATGAGGTCACAGGATGCAGACTTGGGAAAAGGTGTGCACAATTGGCTCTTGCAAACTGGCATGAGCTGGCTCCTGCACAACACTGAGCTATAACAGCTACCTCCTCCTGCACCACACACACATGCACACAAAATAACAAGGTTCTAATTTACCAAAACAAAGTTCAAACATAATACATTTTTAATTTTTTCCCTGGATGTCTTTGTTCTTTCTTCTGTAAATGAAAAATGTAGCAGTAATGGCTACATTACTATAGGATAATATACATCACTTACTTGAATAATAATAATACACTTCTCTTACATGTATCTTTCAAGAATATTTTTATTTTTAATACTAAGGGAAATAATGCTATCTTAGAAATTCTTTAGAGCACTAACTTATTAAACAGCCATTTATTGGATACTTTTTAAGTGTCAAGCACTGGGATAGGTGATCAGGATGAAAAAGTGAAGAAGATACAACCTGAACCTCTGGGAACTCACTGCTTAGAGATGCTGTAGGAATAAGGAAAAGAAACAGGAGGGAACATCATAGTTTCCACAGCTTCTGCAGCTGTTCTTAGACTGTACTTGGCTACATACTAGTAGGAAACAAGTTCTGAAAAAATGATCAGAAACCTCCTCTGATGAAAAATAATATATATATATATATATATATATATATATATATATATATATATATATATAAATAGGAAAACTTTTTAGGATCTTTCTCTAAAGGAGACAAACTTACAGTATACCTAGAGGAGATATTCCCTTGGGCTTACCAGTAGTTCTCAACCCTGGAGAATGATTTTAAGGTACAGAACTGGGTATGGTTTTAAAACACGTATTCCCAGGCCCCTTCTCCCTGGATAGTTCAATTTCATAAGAGTAGAATAATACTCTGAAATATGTAGTTTTTATGCCAGCACCCACTATAACTGGGTATGTAACTACAGAGCAGAGAGTACTATCTTTTGATAGAAGAAACAGCTCATGGAAAGTTCACAAAAAGAAAAATGCACCATATTCTTGATAAATGCAGAAAGATAAATGCATTTTATTTGGACTAAAGATTGATCACAAATAAAATAATTAAATATGTAAAACATAATAAAAGGGACCCTTCATGATAACCAATTTCAAATGTCTTCAGAGCCCTATTAAGGAATTCGCTGTTATATTTTGGTTTGTGTTTCAGTGTTGCTTGGGAATCAGGCATTTTTTCTGCTGAGAAAGTTTGTTGTTCTCTACTAAATAGAAGACGTTCCCATTGCCAAAGAAAATGTTAACATTTTAATCAACAGCAAAGTCACATCATCTAAATATTTTGTAGTTATTCTGAATGTATGCTATCTATATATATATATGCTTTTTCACACAAGAAGGATACCTTATAAAGGGTTAGTTTCAGATAAGAACTACTACAAATCTTGAACTTTGTGTCTTCTTTACGTAGTTGCAGGATCGTATTTCCTTGAAAATGATAAATTAGATTCTTCCTATATTACCAGAAAAGAGATAGCTATGACCCTTAAGAGAAAGTCTTGACTTACTAAACAGTAACAAACATGTACCTGACCTTTGCATGCCACTTTATGCTTTTCACAGCATTTTATATATGACACCTCACTTAGAAATCCTCACACCATGGGATACATGACAGCTAGCATCACTCCCATTTTAACTGTAAGGAAGCTGGGCTCAGATCACAGGGCTGCCTATGACAAGTGCCAAGACTAGAAAGTGCTCAGGTCTCCTGGCTTTCAGTGAAGTGCATTTCACATTACATATTGTTTTAAGTGGTTGTGGGTCTATGCCCTTAGTTGAAACAAGACTATAAAGAGCACATACCTATGGCAAACAGTTCTACACCAGACTCACGAAGATTTCTAGATGGTGGAATAATGTCATCTTGGGATTTTCCATCTGTGATTAAAATGCCAATTTTGGATACTCCAGTCCTTGATCCTGCTTCTGGTTTGAAGCTATTTTCAAAAATGTAGTTCAAAGCAAGACCTTGGAGAAAACAAGGAAAAGTAAACACCAGCTATCTCTAATAAAAAGTCTCCTAATTCTTCAAGATATAACCACAAGATGGGTAACCTATTGAGCCATAGACTTTTTATTACATGCAAATCTTCATTTTTGTAATAACGTTGTCTTTCACAGATTCAACAAGGAACTAAAATCCACTGGAATAAAGGTAATGAAAATAATTAAACACTGCATTCTTTCAGAAACTAGCATTTATAAAGAACACTGAATTCATGGCCAATGGATGATAATAGATTTCATGTACAAGCAGATCTGAACCTTTATAATTCAGGATGAAGCAAGAATACTCACACAGTAGTGCGTTATCACTAGGTTTTCAATTTTGTTCGTGATATTCTAAAGAACCAAAAAATCCCTCTCTTTGTTTTTTAGGAGTAGAAGGGACAAATCTAATATCATTAATCGTACTCCTGCCTTTTGAGCATGACACTTTCCATCCAGAAAAAAATAAGAAATGGTGCAATATTGTTGTAGGATTTGTGTTCAATAAATTGTTTGCTGCATTAACAAAAATTCCACGAGACTTTGCCTCAAGTTGGCAAAGCAATGATCAGGATTCTACTGGTTTACCTAAAAATCAATAACAACATCTACATTGCTTCATCTGAGCATCTCTAATATGTGCCTGTGGCAGGCAATACAGGTTGAATATCCACTATTCAAAATCCTTGAGACCAGAATCGTTTTGGATTTCAGGTATTTTTGGATTTTGGAATATTTGCATTATATTTGCTGGTTGAGCATCCCAAATCTAAAAATTCAAAACCTGAAATGCTTCAATGAGCATTTTTTTAGCATCATGTTGGCACTCAAACATTTTGGATTTTCAGAGTTGGGATGCTCAGCTTGCAGCATGTCTCAAGGTGAAAATTTTTACAAACCCCTTGTGATTGTGCCATGGATGATTATAATGTAAATATTCTTATATTCGTCATTCATCAAAAATACTGTGAGCCAAAGATCCATATTATTATTATGAAAAGAGAGGATCTTGACTTTTTAGAAAATTATTTCACAATATTTTCATGATAACTAATGATTGCAGAATAAGGGCAAAGAAAATATCTTCTTTGAAAATAAGAAGAAATTTGTTTATATTTGAATAACAGGGTGGAGGATGGCAGGAGGAGAAAAGTAGCGAAGAGATTAGCTGACAAAAGTTAGACAGCTACTCCACTCTGTTGGTCTCAGGGCTTGCTTCATTTTCTCCTAGCCCAACCAAGCCCTTCCTGGGACATTATAGTCATAGAGTAAAAGGAATGAGATATCTGGCTTTTAACTCAATGCTGAGTTTGGGAAAACAGCCATCAAAGAATCCTAAGTGCTAGTTTAATTAAAACATTATGATAACGCTTACAAAGTGGCAAAATGAGGTAATACAATTATTCTTCAAAAAGATATGTTGTTATAACATGGATTGAACAAAACATACCTGTTAGTGTATTTCCTCCTTTATATGGGAGGTTTCGGACAGCTTCAATCACTTCATCTTTTGTGCTAAATGCATTCAAGTGCCATTCTATTCTGGGGTCACCACTATACTGTGCAAGACCTGGAAAAAAAGATTAGGAAACGCACCAGGAATAATGGGTTACTCAAAAATCTAGTGGGCTACTCAAGAAACTGGAATGACGAAAGGCCTCATCTTTGCAAAAATTTTTTATTTTGGCCTGGCTATAAATTTTCAAAAAGATTTGCTGAGTAAGATCAATTAAAGGAATCAAGTTAGACATATACGGGGGTTGAGGGAGTGTACATATTTTTTAGCCATTTATAAATGAGCGCCCAATTAGGTACTTGGCATTAAAAAAAACTCTGATCATGTTTGTAGATAAAAGGTCTAGATTTATTTGTTGTTGATTTATTCTCAAAGGAGTCATTTTTCTTAATGGCTATTTAAAAGTTAAACTAGGAGACTTTGTTTAATAAAGATTTATTATTTTTATTATTTGATTACAAATAATAAATATTTGTAATTGCTCAATATTGCTCAAAGATTTACAACTTTTTTGCTTCTTATCTGGGCTAGAATTAATTTGGCAAAGGTTATCTTGTACTATTAAATGACTGCCAATTTTCTAGTTCAACATTTTCCTAGATTTAGCTATTTCTTTTAAATAAAAAGAAAACTGCTATGCAATAAATTCTTAAACCAGCTGTAACTTTTAAAGTAACAGAGAAGAACTTGACTTTTCAGAAGATTAAAATATGTTCAATAATTAATTGAATGACAGTGTCATTGCAAAAATTAGAAGGAATAAATAATATTTATTGATCCAAACATGTACTTTAGGGGACCATGAGTATCCTGCAATCCTGAAAGTCACTTTGTAAGGAATTTTTGAAATTTCTTAAAATACTTCCCAGCAGTTTTGCACTGACAACTGACTGCTACTGCTAATAATAGAAATTATACCAATTCGTGTCTTCTCTGAGCCCACATCGAATGCTGTAACCAGGTTTTCCAAGAAATGCCGAACCAGTCTGAAGTTGAATCTTCCAATACTCCATGAACCATCGACCAGGATTACAATGTCAGCAATTGCTGGAGTTTGACAGACAAATTTCACTTCTGCAAAGCACAAACCAGAAAAGCGCATGTGTTACTGTCAGAGCAACTTCAAAAACAGTCCATCTTAATGTCTTTTAGACAACTTAGTGCTAAGAATACAAAAGAGTTCCCGTAGGAGCAGCCATCTTTTTACAACTCTTCCCTTAAATGTATTTTACTAGAAAAAAAATTGTGGTAACTGTTGGCAGTAGAGCCAGTACTCTGGAAATAGGAAAATACTGGGCAGGTTCACACCATCCTGACAACTCAGCCTTCTGTGTATTTTAGAAAGTAGTGTCTGTGCAAAAGCATCCAGCTCTGAGCTTTTGCCTGTTGATTCTTTCCAGGAAAGGTCTTAGCAACACCAGCGTGTGCCAGTCAGCCGAGATGGGAAGACGGCCAGGAGGCAAAAAGACGGCTCTCCTATCCTGATAAATTTATGCTACAGGAAGTGATAGAAAAAAGAGAAATGCGGACTTTCTGAATTCAAGGAAACATTACAGCCACGTATTTAATCCAACAAAGGTACAGAGACTTTTTCTAAAGTAGGAAGGGCTTTTGGAACAAGATAATGGGAAAAAGGCCAAAGAGTTTCCCCAAAGTCAAATGTTTTTTGCATATTATGTGTATGTGACAGTAAATTTTGCTCCTAAAGATCATGTAAATAATTGATTTTTTTAAATGGCTCAGTTAGGACTCAGGACAAAGATTCAGAAGAGGATGCCCAGTGGCCATGGTACCTATGTTTTACTATTAGAGAAGGCCCCACTCACAGCAATGCTGGGGAAATGCAGAAGGTGAATGGTTAAGTCTCTACAACAATGGAGGAGGCTGCCTGATCTAGGGTAGGTCTGTGTTTCTTTAGGGGAAACTCACCATTTCTATTCACACCGAGCCAAGACAAAGGAATATTCTCCAAGTGTTTCACAAATCCTTAACAATGTCGATATGGTTTGGTTGTGTCCCCACCCACATCTCATCTTGAACTGTAGCTCCCATAATTCCCACGTGTCATGGGAGGGATGCAGTGGGAGGTAATTAAATAATGGGGGCAGGTATTTCCCATGCTGTTCTCTGAATAGCGAATAAGTCTCACAAGATCTGATGGTTTTATAAAAGGGAGATTCCCTCTGCACACGTGCTCTTGCCTGCCACCAAGTAAGATGTGCCTTTGCTTCTCCTTTGTCTTTCGCCATGATTGTGAAGCCTCCCCAGCCATGTGGAACTGTGAGTCCATTAAACCGCTTTCCTTTTTAAATTACCCAGTCTCGAGTATGTCTTTATTAGCAGCGTGAGAACAGACCAATACTTTTAGTACCGATCGCAACATTGCTTCGAACTCTGGTCTGTGCTTCCAAAGAACTGCTTAACTTTGCTGAATTTTCATGTTAGGACTAGAGATCATTAAGTGTGTGTGGCGGGCAGAGGGGTTTGGGGCTGGGTTTCCTGTATCCTTTTTATTCTTGCTGGTCTAAAAAAATCTTTATTTTTTTAACATATATAATGAAAACCAAAATACAGAAGTATTCATAAACAAGTTGAATATGCTTTTACTTAAAAAAAAATAGTTGAACTATTATGGTTGGCATAGGCAGTTTAATATACGTGTCTCTGCGCCTACCAGGCCACATTTTGCTTAAAGGATCTTGACTTTTTCCAGATATAAATATTCATGGGATACCTAGATGCTTTTACCAGATGGGGAAAAAATGAATTTGCCAATGAAATACTCCAATATTCATTATGGAAGCTAAACAGTACAACTTAATCCAAAGTTTGTGTATTCACTTTCTGGCACCAGATTCCCTTTCTTAATCACCAAATACAGAGCCATCAGCTGGTAACTTTGTATTTGGGAGTCAACCCTACTGTACCACACTAAGAAAAAGGCTAAAATGGAATGCCACAAGAAGTCAAGGGATAAAAATTAATTTGTTTTTTGGACATAACCAGGGAAAATTGAAGTCTGGTTAAGCTTCAAGAACCCATTTTTCTCTGTTTTTATGGGGAAAAGTTACTCTCAAATGGAGAGTAGTTTTCTTTCTTTTCCAAAACTACTGGGGATATTATTTCACTTATAAATTAATTGGGAACCATGTGGATAGGATCTTAGAAAGGGAACGCTTTCTGCTTATTTAAAAGAGAGGTAATGAAATTGGTATTTTCTGGTTTAAAAAATAACTTCCAATAGATATTTTCTGTTTATTTAGCTCATTCAAGTCAGAAATGACTTGGAAATACAAATTCTGTATAGCTCCTAAACAAGATATAGAACTAATTGACTATAAATCAAAAGATTGATAAGTTTAATAAGACTAAAAATGTTTAAGTTGGTCATCAAAAGACATCTTAAAGAAAATAAAAGCATAAGTGTGGGGTATGGTCAAGGTCTTAGATTTTGGGGGTAAGGGGGGGCTTGGGTGCTTATGACACCATTAAAAATTACTAATTAAGTAACTAATTAAAAGAAGAGGGAAATAATCCTATCTGGCATGCAGAAAACATTATCTAGAAAAATAATTTGAGTGTTTATGTCACATAATTTAAGCACCAAAAACCTTAAAAGCAAACTACAACTAGGCATATTTCACTTGAAATTAAGACTCATAGGACTGGCAGCCAAGATGGCCGAATAGGAATGGCTCCGGTCGACAGCTTCCAGTGTGAGTGACGCAGAAGACAGGTGATTTCTGCATTTCCATCTGAGGTACCGGGTTCATCCCACTAGGGAGTGCCGGACAGTGGGCACAGGACAGTGGGTGCAGCGCACCGTGCGCGAGCCGAAGCAGGGCGAGGCATTGCCTCACCCGGGAAGCGCAAGGGGTCAGGGAGTTCCCTTTCCTAGTCAAAGAAAGGGGTGACAGATGGCACCTGGAAAACCGGGTCACTCCCACCCTAATACTGCGCTTTTCCGAGGGGCTTAAAAAACGGTGCTACAGGAGATTATATCCCACACCTGGCTCGGAGGGTCCTACGCCCACAGAGTCTCGCTGATTGCTAGCACAGCAGTCTGAGATCAAACTATAAGGTGGCAGCGAGGCTGGGGGAGGGGCACCCACCATTGCCCAGGCTTGCTTAGGTAACCAAACCAGCCGGGAAGCTCAAACTGGGTGGAGCCCACTACAGCTCAAGGAGGCCTGCCTGCCTCTGTAGGCTCCACCTCTGGGGGCAGGGCACAGACAAACAAAAAGACAGCAGTAACCTCTGCAGACTTAAATGTCCCTGTCTGACAGCTTTGAAGAGAGCAGTGGTTCTCCCAGCATGCAGCTGGAGATCTGAGAACGAGCAGACTGCCTCCTCAAGTGGGTCCCTGACCGCTGACCCCCAAGCAGCCTAACTGGGAGGCACCGCCCAGTAGGGGCAGACTGACACCTCACATGGCCTGTTACTCCTCTGAGACAAAACTTCCAGAGGAACGATCAGACAGCAGCATTCGCGGATCACGAAAATCTACTGTTCTGCAGCCACCGTTGCTGATACGCAGGCAAACAGGGTCTGGAGTGGACCTCTAGCAAACTCCAACAGACCTGCAGCCGAGCGTCCTGTCTGTTAGAAGGAAAACTAACAAACAGAAAGGACATCCACACCAAAAACCTATCCGTACATCACCATCATCAAAGACCAAAAGTAGATAAAACCACAAAGATGGGGAAAAAACAGAGCAGAAAAACTGGAAACTCTAAAAAGCAGAGCGCCTATCCTCCTCCAAAGGAACGCAGTTCCTCACCAGCAACAGAACAAAGCTGGACGGAGAATGACTTTGACGAGTTGAGAGAAGAAGGCTTCAGACGATCAAATTACTCCGAGCTACAGGAGGAAATTCAAACCAAAGGCAAAGAAGTTAAAAACTTTGAAAAAAATTTAGACGAATGTATAACTAGAATAACCAATACAGAGAAGTGCTTAAAGGAGCTGATGGAGCTAAAAGCCAAGGCTCGAGAACTACGTGAAGAATGCAGAAGCCTCAGGAGCCAATGCGATCAACTGGAAGAAAGGGTATCAGTGATGGAAGATGAAATGAAAGAAATGAAGCGAGAAGGGAAGTTTAGAGAAAAAAGAATAAAAAGAAATGAACAAAGCCTCCAAGAAATATGGGACTACGTGAAAAGACCAAATCTATGTCTGATTGGTTTACCTGAAAGTGACGGGGAGAATGGAACCAAGTTGGAAAACACTCTGCAAGATATTATCCAGGAGAACTTCACCAATCTAGCAAGGCAGGCCAACATTCAGATTCAGGAAATACAGAGAACGCCACAAAGATACTCCTCGAGAAGAGCAACTCCAAGATACATAATTGTCAGATTCACCAAAGTTGAAATGAAGGAAAAAATGTTAAGGGCAGCCAGAGAGAAAGGTCGGGTTACCCACAAAGGGAAGCCCATCAGACTAACAGTGGATCTCTCGGCAGAAACTCTACAAGCCAGAAGAGAGTGGGGGCCAATATTCAACATTCTTAAAGAAAAGAATTTTCAACCCAGAATTTCATATCCAGCCAAACTAAGCTTCCTAAGTGAAGGAGAAATAAAATACTTTAAAGACAAGCAAATGCTGAGAGATTTTGTCACCACCATGCCTGCCCTAAAAGAGCTCCTGAAGGAAGCAATAAACATGGAAAGGAACAACCGGTACCAGCCACTGCAAAATCATGCCAAAATGTAAAGACCATTGAGACTAAGAAGAAACTGCATCAACTAATGAGCAAAATAACCAGCTAACATCATAATGACAGGATCAAATTCACACATAACAATATTAACTTTAAATGTAAATGGACTAAATGCTCCAATTAAAAGACACAGACTGGCAAATTGGATAAAGAGTCAAGACCCATCAGTGTGCTGTATTCAGGAAACCCATCTCACGTGCAGAGACATACATAGGCTCAAAATAAAAGGATGGAGGAAGATCTACCAAGCAAATGGAAAACAAAAAAAGGCAGGGGTTGCAATCCTAGCCTCTGATAAAACAGACTTTAAACCATCAAAGATCAAAAGAGACAAAGAAGGCCATTACATAATTGTAAAGGGATCAATTCAACAAGAAGAGCTAACTATCCTAAATATATATGCACCCAATACAGGAGCACCCAGATTCATAAAGCAAGTCCTGAGTGACCTACAAAGAGACTTAGACTCCCACACAATAATAATGGGAGACTTTAACACCCCACTGTCAACATTAGACAGATCAACGAGACAGAAAGTTCACAAGGATACCCAGGAATTGAACTCAGCTCTGCACCAAGTGGACCTAATAGACATCTACAGAACTCTCCACCCCAAATCAACAGAATATACATTTTTTTCAGCACCACACCACACCTATTCCAAAATTGACCACATAGTTGGAAGTAAAGCTCTCCTCAGCAAATGTAAAAGAACAGAAATTATAACAAACTGTCTCTCAGACCATAGTGCAATCAAATTAGAACTCAGGATTAAGAAACTCACTCAAAATTGCTGAACTACATGGAAACTGAACAACCTGCTCCTGAATGACTACTGGGTACATAACGAAATGAAGGCAGAAATAAAGATGTTCTTTGAAACCAATGAGAACAAAGACACAACATACCAGAATCTCTGGGACACATTCAAAGCAGTGTGTAGAGGGAAATTTATAGCACTAAATGCCCACAAGAGAAAGCAGGAAAGATCCAAAATTGACACCCTAACATCACAATTAAAAGAACTAGAAAAGCAAGAGCAAACACATTCAAAAGCTAGCAGAAGGCAAGAAATAACTAAAATCAGAGCAGAACTGAAGGAAATAGAGACACAAAAAACCCTTCAAAAAATTAATGAATCCAGGAGCTGGTTTTTTGAAAGGATCAACAAAATTGATAGACCGCTAGCAAGACTAATAAAGAAGAAAAGAGAGAAGAATCAAATAGATGCAATAAAAAATGATAAAGGGGATATCACCACCGATCCCACAGAAATACAAACTACCATCAGAGAATACTACCAACACCTCTATGCAAATAAACTAGAAAATCTAGAAGAAATGGATAAATTCCTTGACACATACACCCTCCCAAGACTAAATCAGGAAGAAGTTGACTCTCTGAATAGACCAATAACAGGATCTGAAATTGTGGCAATAATCAATAGCTTACCAACCAAAAAGAGTCCAGGACCAGATGGATTCACAGCCGAATTCTACCAGAGGTACAAAGAGGAGCTGGCAATTCTACCAGAGGTACAAAGAGGAGAAAACCTAGGCATTACCATTCAGGACACAGGCATGGGCAAGGACTTCATGTCTAAAACACCAAAAGCAATGGCAACAAAAGCCAAAATTGACAAATGGGATCTAATTAAACTAAAGAGCTTCTGCACAGCAAAAGAAACTACCATCAGAGTGAACAGGCAACCTACAAAATGGGAGAAAATGTTCGCATCCTACTCATCTGACAAAGGGCTAATATCCAGAATCTACAATGAACTTAAACAAATTGACAAGAAAAAAACAAACAACCCCATCAAAAAGTGGGCGAAGGACACGAACAGACACTTCTCAAAAGAAGACATTTATGCAGCCAAAAACCACATGAAAAAATGCTCACCATCACTGGCCATCAGAGAAATGCATATCAAAACCATAATGAGATACCATCTCACACCAGTTAGAATGGCAATCATGAAAAAGTCAGGAAACAACAGGTGCTGGAGAGGATGTGGAGAAATAGGAACACTTTTACACTGTTGGTGGGACTGTAAACTAGTTCAACCATTGTGGAAGTCAGTGTGGCGATTCCTCAGGGATCTAGAACTAGAAATACCATTTGACCCAGCCATCCCATTACTGGGTATATACCCAAAGGACTATAAATCATGCTGCTATAAAGACACATGCACACGTATGTTTATTGTGGCACTATTCACGATAGCAAAGACTTGGAACCAACACAAATGTCCAACAATGATAGACTGGATTAAGAAAATGTGGCACATATACATCATGGAATACTATACAGCCATAAAACATGATGAGTTCATGTCCTTTGTAGGGACATGAATGAAATTGGAAATCATCATTCTCAGTAAACTATCGCAAGGACAAAAAACCAAACACCGCATGTTCTCACTCATAGGTGGGAACTGAACAATGAGAACACATGGACACAGGAAGGGGAACATCACACTCTGGGGACTGTTGTGGGGTCGGGGGAGGGGGGAGGGATAGCTTTAGGAGATATACCTAATGCTAGATGACAAGTTAATGGGTGCAGCACAGCAGCATGGCACATGTATACATATGTAACTAACCTGCACATTGTGCACATGTACCCTAAAACTTAAAGTATAATAATAATAAAATAAAATAAATAAAAAAATTTTAATTAAAAAAAAAGACTCATAGGAAGATATTTTTTCAACAATTTCAAAAGTCAAAATCCATCATTGGTTTTGTACTGCAAAGTATGATTTTTCTTGAAGACTAGTACGTACTCACTTGAGAACTGTAAAAACAATATTTTTTCTTGTGTCCTAAATCCAGGTTAGCAGCTCTAAGACATACATAAACACAATGAACCCTAATGGCTATTTCCATCATAAGGTACACATGTACAATGTTTGTCCCATCAACAGGTTTGCCTGTGCCAGGGGCAAACAGCTGTTCATATACTTGGTACAAAGAGGTAATTTAAAAGCCACTGTGTTCAAGTTCAATAATCATATACCTTAACCATAATTCCAGCTGTTACAGTGAATCTTTTTAAAGAAATGCATTCAAATCATTGTCTTACTATAAGCAGGAGCCCAGATTCAAAACTGAAGACAACATTACTCTCCACTGGCAAACACATTACCCATTTCACCATTCTTAGAGAGACATCAATCAGAAAGAATATATTAAGTACCTTAAAATGTGTTAAAAATCAAGTAGTAGAAAAGAAAACCAGACACGCCTGGGAGCCCAGGTAAATGTGTAAAATCCAGCAGCTAAATGTAGTTTAAATCTATAATATAAAGGAATGAGTGCATAAGCTTTTATTGCTAAGACAATATTCCAAATTAATTTGTAAAATAACATAAATCCTTTTTGTCTGCAAGCCTGTATTTAAAATTAAAGCAAAGGGACAGAGGAAATGACCTGTTGAACTGTGTTTTAATTCAGCTCTTAACTTTACATGGGTCTTACCTAAAATGCAATTCTGAAAATACAGGTTGTGTTTTTAAAAATGCCTAAGCAGCTGAACTTAAAGAAAAGCACTCAATATATGGCCTTGATTACAAAGATAATAATAATAGTTTCATGTCACAGATAGAATCAAAAGGAACAATTGCACAAGTCCAGGAGAAATGATCCCCTTTCTCTTCTATACTTTCTGGAGTTTTGTGATGAGAAGAGTTGGAAGAACTAGCGATTTCTTAACATTTCATATTTGGAAATGATGTACATTATTATATTAAATGTTAAGTCTGGGTGTGGTGGCTCATGCCTGTAATCCCAGCACTTTGGGAGGCCAAGATGGGTGGATCACCTGAGGTCAGGAGTTCAAGACCAGCCTGGCTAACATGGTGAAACCCCGTCTCTACAAAAATACGAAAATTAGCTGGGCATGATAGTGGGTGCCTGTAATTCCATCTACTCGGGAGGTTGAGGCAGGAGAATTGCTTGAACCCAGGAGGTGGAGGTTGCAGTGAGCTGAGATTGCACCATTGCACTCCAGCCTGGGTGACAGAACGAGACGCCATCTCAAAAAAAAAAAAAAAAGTTAAGCCTTCCACACTTATCTGTTGATTTAGTCCTCGCAACAACTCTATGGAACAGGTACCATTACTATTATTCCCATTTGCAGTCAGAAAGGATGGCATACAAGGGCTGTGTGATTTGTCCAGGGTGTCACACAGCTAAGAAGTGGCAAAGCTGGGATTTGAAACCCAAGTAATGTGTCTCCACAACCTATGTTTTTAACCACAGGGCTATATACTGACTTCAGGAAGGTACTCTATGTTACGTAAATCTAGAAATTAAGGGGGAAAAGCTTGTTACATAAAGCAGTGTCTCTGCAGGGCTTGCCCCTGCTGTGTCCACAGCTAATCTGTGCTGTTTGCTAACATGTCCAATTATTTGTCTAGAATGTTTTTCCATCCCAAATAAATGCACTTTCATAGTGAAGTTGCCCATGTGAAAAGCATCCTTCTTCCAATAATTTTACACCAATTTTATTGTGTTACTGACATCATGAGAAACTCCAAACCCATGTTTATTCATTTGATGTTATGCAACTAATTTCCTAGATGAAATTTATTTATTTTTTTGAAAATCTATTTAGTGTTTATTATGTACCAAGCACTATTCTGAGCAACTGGGAACACAACAAAGCTCCCAACTTCTGGCAGTTCAAATTCTTTCATTTTATTTTGACTCTTAACACCACTCGGTGATTAAATTCTTAGTGAGAGGAAATAGACTATAATAAAGGACATAGGTTCAGATGCAAAAAAGCGCTTTATAAAAGTAAACAAAATCATACAAAGAGTAACTCTATGTGGGGGCAAGGGGTAATGTTACTGTAATGGCAATAGTATGAAATTACCAAATTAAAAATCTTCCTTTTAAACAATATTATTGGTTTTGTTCTAATGGTATTCAAATTAAAGACCCAATTATGGTTTATATAATGAAATGTTTACAATGCATTTTTAGATAAAGGTATTTATCAACATAGTCAGTGAAGATAGAAAGGACGGAGCTGACAGAAGATAACTTTTGCTGCCAGGTAAACTCCTATTCATCCTTCAAAACCCAGGTTACACTTTACCAACTCCATGAATCTTTTCCTACTGTCCTTAGATGGAACTCATTACCTGCCCCTCTTTATTGACTCTGGATTTGTACATTTTTTTTGTGCCCATCACACTGGAATATTATGACTGGCTTCCATTTCTATCTGCCTGACTAGACTGAACTCCTTGACTGGGGAGGACTTTTGTAACTTGTCTTTTTAGCCACTTTATCTGGGTCATCTCTTGACATACAGTACATCAGTGTAGGTAAACTAAATTGAATTGTGTTGTTAAAAAATAATTCCTCTGTTCACATAGTTCACACTTCCAGCAGGGCACTAGAGAAATGAGCCATGATGGCTCAATTAAATGTGTTCTCTCCTCCTGCCCTGCCACACTACCGCACTGGGAAAGTGGATTACAGTTATTTAGGAATCAGGGAGATTGTATCAAAGTGGCCTGCCTTCCTTGATATTTTCCTAATGCTGGAGGCTAAGTTGAACGAAAGGAGAGTGTGTACTATTTTTATTCACCCTGTCTTAACCTCAGTCAGAAAACCTCACAATGATTTCACCACAACTGGTCTAGGATTCATTTAGGGGCTTTGAATTATTTTGTTCTATGCCACTAGCAAAATATCAGCCTCAGCCATTCATTACACAAGACATTTGAAGGAATACTGTGGCCACAGAACGATTTTTCACTTAAGTCTCCTGTGAGGTTACATTCAAGTTTCCAAACCAAGAGCAAAAGAAAATCCCTAAGAATTTGGTACAGTAGAACTCTTGGAAGCTCACTGTTACTGTGTAGAGATTGGCTCCAGCCACACTACTGAAGATATTTTTATAAAAAGAGTTAAGGTCATTTTACATTGCCAAAAACTCAACGAGAAACTTTCATTCTGAAAGGGTTTTTCAATACATTGGCAAAGTCTGACTTTTACAACATTCCCATGAGAAGCCATGTTGTCCCCATTTTTCAGAAAATTAAATTGAGAGCAGGGCGTGGTGGCTCACGCCTGTAATCCCAGCACTTTGGGAGGCTGAGGTGGGTGGATCACCTGAGGTCAGGAGTTCGAGACCAGACAGGCCAAATGGTGAAACCCCATTTCTACTAAAAATACAAAAAATTAGCTGGTCGTGGTGGCAGGCGTCAGTAACCCCAGCTACTCAGAAGGCTGAGGCAGGAGAATTGCTTGAACCCAGGAGGCAGAGGTTGCAGTGAGCCAAGATCACGCCATTGCACTGCAGCCTGGGCAACAAGAGCAAAACTCCATCTCAAAATAAAAAAGAGAAAAAAGAAAATGAAATTGAGGTTCAGAGAGGACAAGTGACTGACTTACTAGTTACCGGCAGAGCTAGGACTGGATAACAGCTATTTTTTTCTTCTTCTTTTTCTCTTTTCAGAGACAGGGTCTCACTCTGTTACCCAGGCTGGAGTGCAGTGGCGCAATACTAGCTCACTACAATCTCGCATTCCTGGGCTCAAGTGATCCCGCCTCAGCCTCCTGAGTAGCTGGAACAATAGGCACACATCACATGCCCAGTTAATGTTTGTTTGTTTGTTTTTTAATTTTTGTAGAGATGGGGTCTCACTGTGTTGCCTTGGCTGGTCTCGAACTCCTGGGCTCAAGCGATCCTGCAACCCTGGCCTCCCAAAGCACTGGGATTACAGGTGTGAGCCACCTCCACTGCACCCAGCCACAACAGGTCTTCTAAATGTTTTGTCCAATATGTATTTTCCAACATATCACACTATCACTACCATGGAAGTTGTCCTCACAGAATGCAACACAGATGGTCACTGCTGTGGGAGACAACATCAGAAGCCATCCATGTAGGGGATGTGCAGCAAGGGGCTCATTTCAGCTGTGTCTGGAATTTACATTAATCTGAGTGAGGTTAATACCCATTTAATCCAATCGTGGGTGGAAATGTACCTTTCAAAGCCTCCCTGACAGATGCCTGCCCTATCTAAAACAGCACTCCCGTGACTCACTCCTTTTATCCCTGTTTTATTTTTCCTCCTATAACTTCTGTCTTCCTAGAAATATATTATACAGCGTGTGGTTAATTTCTTGTGCCAATTTGACTAGGCCATGGGGTGCCTGCACATTTGACCCAACATTACTCTGGATGTGTCTATGAGAGTATTTCTGACTGATTTTGGTAGACTGAATAAAGCAGATTCTTCTCCCTAATGTGGATGGGCCTCTAAGGGATTGCAGACTGAAGAGAACAAAAATGCTGAGTAAGAGAGAAGCCTGCCTGACTGCCTTGAGCTCATATGTTGCTTTTCATGCCTTGAGACTTGAACTAAAACACTGGCTCTTGGGTTTTGAGCCTGCCAGTGTTTGGATTAGAACTTATACTATCAGCTCTCCTGGCTCTCAGGCCATTGGATTTGAACTGAAACTACATGGTCACTCTCCCAGATCTCCAGCTTGATGACTGCTGATTTTGGGATTTCCCAGCCTCCATAATCACATGAACCAATTCCTTATATTAAATCAATATCTCAAGCCAGGCACAGTGGTTTGTAATCCCAGCACTTTGGGAGGCGGAGGCGGGCAGGTCACTTGAGGCCAGCAGTTTGAGACCAGCCTGGCCACTATGGTGAAACCCCATCTCTACTAAAAATACAAAAATTAGCCAGGTGTAGTGATGTACACCTGTGATCCCAGCTACTCAGGAAGCTGAGGCACAAGGATCTCTTGAATCTGGAAGGCAGAGGTTGCGGTGAGCAAAGATCACACCACTGCACTCCAGCCTGGGCGACAGAGCAAGACTCTGTCTAAAATAAATAAATAAATAAATAAATAAATAAATAAATAAATAAATAAATCTCTTCCCCCCCCACACACACACCACAAACACATCTCACACATACACACACACTTTCCTTTGCTTCCTTTTTTATATTAATAATTATGAAAAGCCTACCACTTAGTGATAGCTTTCATCAGATGCTCTGCATACATCATTTTCATCTAAGTCCAGTATTAATCCTATGAGGTAGATGTTCTTCCCATTTCATAGAGAAAGAATGGTTAAGTAACTAAATAGGTTAAATAACGTGTCCACCATCACACACTGAGCAAGTGGAAAAGCTGAATTCAAATTCAAACCCAGAACTAACTCCAGAGCCTGAACCATTCAACTCCCATCACAGAAGAGAAGTATTTCGGAGAAAGGAAGGGAGGGAGGGAAGGAAGAAGGAAAGAAGAAAGGAAAGAAAATATGGACAAGCCTTGCAATTAAAGATAGCAGGAAATCAAAGCCGTACGCATTTGTCCTATATTCGACCTGGGATGAATAACATCATGACACCTTATAGGAACATGAAGCCTGGTTGTTGTGCCACAGCCGAAACAACATTTCAGCACTCGCTCAGAGACCTTCAGCTTAAGAATAACTAACAATCCTGTAAACACCACATGCATCACATTTCTCCTCTGCTCTAAACTGGAAGGGACTGGGAGAAGACATGACAGCTGTCTTCAAATATGTAAAGGGCTGTCATATAGACAAGGGATTAGGAGGATTCTATATGCCCAGAAGGAGTGTGTAAAGTGACAGATTTCAACTCAATTACAGACAGGATGTCCAAAGATGACTGTCTTGGGAAATACTAAAATCTCTGTTAATGACAGCAGATGCAGGACAACCCTTGAAGAAATGGCTCAGGAGCCTCTACCATCCCCGTGACTGGCTGAACTGCAGGACTCTCAAAGTGACCTAAATTTTAAGATTATTTCTTCCTTCCTCACCTACCAAATTAAGCCTAAACTGTTCATTGTGCTTTCCAAAGCTCTCCACTTGACCCGTCCATGTATATCTCCCACTTCCTCCCAATACAATTAGTCTTCTTTCTCCCAACAACATCTCAGAAACTTTTGACTCAATTTTTATTCCCCCATCTCCTGTAATGTACCCTCTCCAAACTCTTCCTACTCTACCACAATACAAGATACCTAAAACAGATTTTAATTCCTTTGAAAATATGTGATCCTTTTATATATTTTTACATAAAGTTTGCTTTAGGCCGGGCGTGGTGGCTTCTGCCCGTAATCCCAGCATTTTGGGAGGCTGAGTCAGGCGGATCACCTGAGCTCAGGAGTTTGAGACCACCCTGGGCAATATGGTGAAACCCTGTCTGTACTAAAATACAAAAAATTATCCAGGCATGGTGTCACACGCCTGTAGTCCTAGCTACTCGGGAGACTGAGGCATGAGAATCACTTGAGCCCCAGGGGCGAAGGTTGCAGTGAGCTGAGATCACGCCATTGCACTTTAGCTTGGGCTACAGAGTGAGACTCCACCTCAAAAAAAAAAAAAAAAAACGAAGAAAAATAAAAAAAATTAAGTTTGCTTTAAAGTTTTATTGGTAGAGTTGCCTAGTTATTTCCTGATTTCCTTAAGTTAATATTGACCCAAGAGAGGCTATTTTATCTGATCACCTCTATTTTAAAATGAAATTTGCTCAACTTCAGGAGCCAGTGTATTATATTCCCATTTATTTTCAGCTCTGTGTATATAATACTACATGATCTGGCTGTATGTTTACTTTGGTCATTTAAGGTGATTTTCACAAAACACAACTCAATTATCCCGGTTACTCCAATTCATTAATAACGAACCAATCCTGATATTTTGCAATTTCTGAAGCCAAAACATCGCTTAATTTGACAACAGTCAGCCCTGCAGGTATGGAGACAAGATACTCAATAGAAAATTCTTAGACAAGAAGGAAGTTACAAGTAAGAGAAGCCCGAGCATTCCTACGGGAGACTCACTCTGCCAAAATCAATATCAGTCCTCATAGCTGTAAGGTATCTGATTGTTTTAAAAATGATATATTAAAAGTTATTTTAAGAATGAAGACATTTGAAAACTTATTTCAGACAGAGTTAAGATTTCTTACCACTGGAGAATTCACAAGTTGAGAATAATAAACTTTGCTGGAGGCCAGAGGAAAAGTGTCAGAATTATTCAAAACTATCTTATCAAGGGCAGTAAGGGAGGAACTAGAGGAAAACTGGAGGTCTAACGCTAGAAGAATTTCATCTGATTGTCATCAGGAGTGCATAAGCATAACTTTTCGGGGAGGGGGGTGACGGGGAGGAGTGTCATTCTGTCTCCTAGGCTGGAGTGCAGTGGTGCCATCTCGGCTTACTGCAACCTCCGCCTCCCGGGTTCAAGCAATTCTCCTGCCTTAGCCTCCTGCGTAGCTAGGACTACAGGTGCATGCCACCATGCCTGGCTAATTTTTGTATTTTTTGGGGGGGTCTATGTTTCAAAAAGAAAATGTTATGGAATGCTCAGAGAGCAGAAGTGAGGGGAGAAAGGGGCTAAAATTGCAGGAGAACCTTTCTGTAATACATGTGTTGCATTAGATCAATGTTTCTCAACCATTTTTAGTTATCACTCCCATAAGAAGCCTTTAGACATTTTTTCCTAATCACCTCTTCATGAAATTTTAAAATCACAGGTATACCATATAGCTGTTTATGTATGTATTGTATACTTATACTTAACAGATAAAATAATTAATATTTTTCACTTTTCACTCCCAAAATCAATTTTTGCCCATTCAAGGATGTCACTCCCATTGAGAGTGTATGTGTTACATCATTGTTTGTAAAAGAAAATTGTTTCTTCCTGAAACCCAGAGCAACTTAAGGCATCATTTTAAATGTGGTCTTAATGGTCAAATTATGCTCCATATGATTGAAACTTTACTTTTTAAAAATTCTTCAATTTTTTCATGATGTGGCAGAAACAAGTTCATCTTAATAGTGCACATTTGGGAGATAATCTAAAGAGAATTGTAAAATATTTTAAAGCTCCCCATAGTTGACTTAAATGTGTTTGCCCAATTCCATTCTCAATCCAGATATCTCAGTTAGGGCTAATGCCATCCTTGCAGCTCCTGGTGTGGCCAGTCAGATTCTTGCATTTCCTTGTTCACCGCAATTGGATCAGAGATGGGCACAAGAGCTGGACCAATCAAAACTGTTCTTGAGATGTTTTCTGAAACTAACCTTAAAAAAGGCTTCATAGCCCACCATGCAGTAGCTCATGCCTGTAATCCCAGCACTTTGGGAGGCTGAGGCAGGTGGATCACTTCATGTCATGAGTTCGAGATCAGCCTGGCCAACATGGGGAAACCCATCTCTACTAAAAATACAAAAATGAGCTGGGCATGTTGGGGCCCACCTGTAGTCCCAGCTACTCAGGAGGCTGCAGCAGGAGAATCTGTTGAACTCAGGAGGTGGAGGCTGCAGTGAGCAGATATTGTGCCACTGCACGCCAGCCTGGGAAACAGACCGAGACTCCGTCTCAAAAAAAAAAAAAAAAAAAAAAAAGGCTTCCTACCATATGAGATTGGGGTTGCTCACTATTATGTAATTCTGGAACCTGAAACTCTGGGGGGGACTTCATTGCCATTGTAGGAACCCTACCAAGAAATAAAGCCATCCCAGAGGAAGGCACAGCCAGGAGATGGAGAAGCAAGAGAGAGCAACGGATACTGGATTGAGACCCTAGGTCCAGCCATACTTCAGTTACATGAGCCAGTACAATTATTTCTGTCCTTAAACTAGTTAGAGTGTGTTTCTACTGAAGCCAAGGATTCCTGACTAATATGCTGTCTAGAATTTTTCAGTAAAGGTAGATCTTAAACCAAGGAGAAATGAAGTCTAAAAAAAGAAGAGAAATGAATCCCACACAGACTCTGAGAAAGAAAACAGTATTTCAATTAGCTCTAATGAGGACCAATAAATAAATGGTGGGAATTCCAAATTTTATAACATCAGTTGGATTCTTACATTTAAGTGAAAACATTTAAAATATGTTACAGAATAGTAGTATTCCCAGTGGAGAGAAATCATGTCTTATCTTCATTGTCATGGTTTCAACTAAGTCAATTAATATCACTTTTTAAAAACAGAGGTTTTGCCTAGGTTTTTTTCTAGTGTTTTTATGGTTTCAGGTCTTATGTTTAAGTCTTTAACCCATCTTGAGTTAATTTTTGTATAAGGTGTAAGGAAGGGGTCCAGTTTCAGTTTTCTGCATATGGCTAGCCAGTTTTCCCAACACCATTAAATAGGAAATCCTTTCCCCATTGCTTGTTTTTGTCAGGTTTGTCAAAGTTCAGATGGTTGTCGATGTGTGGCTTTATTTATGAAGACTCGCTTCTGTTCCATTGTTCTATATATCTGTTTTGGTACCAGTACCAAGCTCTTTTGGTTAATGTAGACTTGTAGTATAGTTTGAAGTCAGGTAGCGTGATGCCTTCAGCTTTGTTCATTTTGCTTAGAATTGTCTTGGCTATACAGGCTTTTTTTTGGTTCCATATGAAATGTAAAGTAGTTTTTTCTAATATGGTGAAGTAGTTTTTTCTAATTCTAATGGTAGCTTGATGGGATGGCATTGAATCTATAAATTACTTTGGGCAGTATCACCATTTTCACAATATTGATTCTTCCTATCCATGAGCATGGAATGTTTTTCCATTTGCTTGTGTCCTCTCTTATTTCCTTGAGCGGTAATTTGTAGTTCTCCTTGAAGAGATCCTTCACATCCCTTGTAAGTTGTATTCCTAAGTATTTTATTCTCTTTGTAGCAATTGTGAATGGGAATTCACTCATGATTTGGTTCTCTGTTTGTCTGTTATTGGTGTATAGGAATGCTTGTGATTTTTGCACATTAATTTTGTATCTTGAGACTTTGTTGAAGTTGCTTATCAGCTTAAGGAGATTTTGGGCTGAGATAATGGGGTTTTCCAAATAAATAATCATGTCATCTGCAAACACAGACAATTTGACTTCCTCTTTTCCTAGTTGAATACCCTTTATTTCTTTCTCTTGCATGATTGCCCTGGCCAGAAATTCCAATACCATTCAGGACATAGGCATGGGCAAAGACTTCATGACTAAAACACCAAAAGCAATGGCAACAAAAGCCAAAATTGACAAATGGGATCTAATTAAACTAAAGAGCTTCTCCACAGCAAAAGAAACTATCATCAGAGTGAACAGGCAACAGGCAACCTACTGAATGGGAGAAAAATTTTGCCATCTATCCATCTGACAAAGGGCTAATGTCCAGAATCTACAAGGAACTTAAACAAATTTACAAAAAAAAAACCATCAAAAAGTGGGAGAAGGATATAAACAGACACTTTTGAAAAGAATATATTTATGCAGGCAACAAACATGAAAAAAAAGCTCATCATCATTGGTCATTAGAGAAACTCAAATCAAAACCACAATGAGATATCATCTAATGCCAGTTAGAATGGCAATCTATTAAAAAGTCAGGAAACAACAGATGCTAGAGAGGATGTGGAGAAATAGCAACACTTTTACACTGTGGGTGGGAGTGTAAATTAGTTCAACCATTGTGGAAGACAGTGTGGCATTTCCTCAAGGATCTAGAACTAGAAATACCATTTGACCCAGCAATCCTACTACTGGGTATATACCCAAAGCATTATAAATCATTCCACTATAAAGACACATGCACACGTATGTTTATTGCAGCACTGTTCACAATAGCAAAGACTTGGAACCAACCCAAATTCCTATCAATGATTGACTGGATAAAGAAAATGTGGCACATATACACCATGGAACACTATGCAGCCATAAAAAAGAATGAGTTCATGTCCTTTGCAGGGACATGGATGAAGCTGGAAATCATCATTCTCAGCAAACTAACACAGGAACAGAAAAACACATACTGCATGTTCTCACTCATAAGTGGGAGTTGAACAATGAGAACACATGGACATAGGAAGGGGAACATCACACACCAGGGCCTGTCAGAGGATGGGAGGCTAGGGGAGGGATAGCATTAGGAGAAATACCTAATGCAGATGATGGGTGCAGCAAACCACCATGCCACGTGTATACCTACGTAACAAAACTGCACGTTCTGCACATGTATCCCAGAACTTAAATTAAATTAAAAACAAACAAACAAAAAAAAAAACAGGTTTTATTTAATACTCCAGAGAACTGAAGAACAAATAACTGCATGCACAGTGAGATCTCCATCATTTAGAAATGGGTTCAATAAGTCCTTTTCTTCTTATTTGGCTCTTTTCTTCCTATGTGTTCCCCATTTATCTTTTGAAATTTTAGTGTCCTACAGTTTTACCAACATGATTATGGATGTGGCTATCTTTTATGTTTATGCTCTTCAGAACTCTTTATGTTCATTTGGTCCCTTTTCTAATCTACCTATTTTCCTTATCATGGTTTTTCATTCTTTTCATCTCTTCTTTCAAATATTTCTGAGATTAGTAATCATATTGTTATTTATATATAGTCTATATATATAGTGTGTATGTATATATATATATATATAGTCTTTTTATATGTATACAGTCTTTTTTTTTTTTTTTTTTTTGAAGCAGGCAAAGTCTCGCTCTGTCACCCAGACTGGAGTGCAGTGGCACGATCTCAGCTCACTGCAACTTCCACCTCCCAGGTTCAAGCAATTCTCCTGCCTCAGCCTCCAGAGTAGCTGAGATTACTGATGTGCGCCACCACTCCCGGCTAATTTTTGTATTTTTACCAGAAGCGAGGTTTCGCCTTGTTGGCCAGGCTGGTCTTGAACTCGTGGCCTCAAGTGATCCACCCTCCTCAGCCTTCCAAAGTGCTGGGATTACAGGCATGAGTCACTGCACTAGGCCCTTACTATATAGTCTTTATGTAATGATTCCATAATTAAAGTTCATAGAATTCTGAGGCCACCACTTTTGTGTCTTCTGACACTTATGGCAAATAGTTTACTTCTATGTTTTGAAATTGTGAATTGCAAACTCTCCTTTGGCCTTGTTTCATCAGGCCTTGGCTCAAATGTGATTTTGTGTTTGCTTCTGCCAGTCATTCCACTGATTTTACCAGCTGCAGGGCATTTTTATATTAATTTCTTGAGTGGGCAGGCCTCAGAGCACATGGTGAATGTAAATTTGAATACCTAAGCTGTGTGTGGCACAGGCCCAAGGTTATGCATTCTCAAGACTTTTCCCTCACTCAGGGCACAGACATATACAGAGTGGCTTCCTCAGGGCCTCCCTGCATGGATAAGGAGCAATTTTCTAGTTCACCTTGATGTTGTTGCTGGAACACCATGTCAACTATCTAGATAATAATAATTATAATAACAATGAGAATAAGGAGGAGAAAGTGGGAGGAAGAAAAGGAAAGGGAGGAGGAGAAAACTGGGAAAGAAGAAGAGGAAGAAGCACTAATAGAGCATACTCTATGATCCAGGTATCCTTCAAACCCCTTAATGCATAAATTCTAGCCCACACTTAACCCCAATGTCCTGTTTATGACTGAACCCAACTCCTTCCCCTTTAATCTTGGAGTGGAGTCAGGCTCTTGCCAGCATTAACCTACAAGACCCATCTAGTTCCCTGTACTTTAGCTACCTCCTGACGCCTACCTAATGGAAATTAAAACCCTAACAGTCCCATTTTTACCATGTTGAACTCACAGTCCTGGGTTTGCCAGATCTAAGTCCCACAATAGCTAGTGGAAAGGTGTTAAAATTTCAAATCAATCTCTTGACTGTGAGCCAAGAACCATAAAAGTATTAATGGGAGGTGAGAGATCCCAGTAAGTGAAAATATACCTCAAAAATACTCATGTGCCCAGGCTACACTCAACCATAATGACTGCATAATTCAGAACTGGCCCTTCTCCAAGAGAAGGCATTGAGCACATGTGTTGAGCCCTGCTAGATTATGTAAGCTCCATGAGGGTAGAATTCTGCCTCCCATGCTCACCACTTAATCCCCAGAAACTAATTCAGTGCTTGACACTAGGTGATAATTACCAGCTCTTCTATGTATTCATTATTAAATCAATAATATAAACCATTGGCCCATGATAATCTTAGCTCTTGCAAAATATACATGCTATTATTAACAGCAAATATTATGCTATTTATATATGTATTTAAACTATTTTACGCATGTAGTAAGTGCTATATATAAAATATGTGGCACTTACTATATACTAGGTATTTTACACATTTTAACTCAATCTTCACAACTAACTCCTGAGAGTTCTCATGTTTCAAGTAAAAAAGAATCAAATATGGGAGTATAAGAGGTAGAAATGTTCAAAGGTAGGTATGTGTATATATGTATTTTTTTATGAGTACAGCCTATGCAATTATGAAATAGCAAAATAGAACAGTTGTCCTCGGAAAAGCATTTCATTACTTGGTTTAGTGAAGGATTGTGTGCCAACACATTCAAAAATTTTAAACATTCTAAGACAAAGATAAGCAAACTTTTTCTGAAAAAAGCAAAACAGAAAATATTTTAGTCTTTGCAGGCCATATGATCTCTGTTGCAAATACTCAACTCTGATATTGTGGGACGGCAGCCATAGACAATATGTAAAGGAATGAGCATAGCTGTGTTCCAATAAAACCTTATTTTAAAAAATAGAAGACTGAATTTCGCCCATGGGCCATAGTTTGCTGACTTCTGGAAAGAATAATTTAAGCTCATCTCATTTTTCCCCCAGAAAATGAGAACACTGAGAGTCACCCCTTATATCACCGTAGAGACTACAGTATTTTAAAAAATCCATTAAAAACAAAACAAAGAAGGCTGGTGATCTTAATTTTAAAAATCACTGAAAAAGAAGGAAAAAAAAGCCCTATGCTGTTTTTCCTATCAGTCTCTTAATTATTTCCAATCAGGTTCTGCATTCTTGTGCAAAACTCCAAAAATGATTAAAGAAAGCTGTTTGGACAACGATAGAGAAATAGCCATTAATGCAAATGTGCCAATATTATGCTCAAAGGCAAGTACCATTTTTGTTTGTGAGTTCATTTTGCATTATTAAAGAAACATGTACAGTAGATTGGAAACAATCTTAACTGTAACTTTAACTGCACAGCCACTTCTGTTAAGGATCTTAACTCTGCGTTTAAACTAAAATTGTAAAATATGTATAATACGTCTGATTGTATCTCAGCCACTATCAGTGTAGACTCTTATACAAGAAAATTGTAGATTTCAGGGAAAACAAAGAGCAGTATAGTTAAATGTGGATCACGAGAGTACCACGACTTGGAGGAGGGGCTTATGCTAAGGGTTGCATAAACGACCTGGTTGGGGTGGAGCAGGGGCATCTTTTGTCTCCAGTGGGCCACACTAGTGCATGCCCCTCCACCTCCTAGGAGCCGTAACTCTGTCCTGGATTGTCACCATTGTTTATAACTTACTTCTTAAGACAATTCTCTCACATAACCAGCGCTCTCACAAAGTCCTCACTGCCCTGGCACACACCTCATGGAAACCCTCATCTGAAAGAGGAAGACACCTATTTTCCATAAACCTCCTGAAAGTTCTTGCCCTACCCCAAGTTCTCATCACTACAATAAACCCTTTGAGATAGTGCCTGCCTGAAAGTGGGCTCAGAAAGAACTCCTCCGTAAACATATGTTCAAACATATCTCCAGTGAGGAAGGAAATGGACTGCTTATGAATCTTCCTTCTCCAAATGTGTATTGGTATTTATTAGAACATTTGCCAATAGTAGCCTCACTCTTCCGTTGTCTACTTCTTAGTTTTAATTTGTTTCACTCAATCCTAGGTTTTGGAAAGGAAAGAGGAAGGTGCGTTAGGGGAAAGAATACAGCAGTTGAGACACTTTAGGAATACATAGCTATAGCTAATAAATTCTGACACCAAACTCTAATCCACAGAGGCTTCCACAGATTTCACCTTAAACACCATTGTTTAAGCATCAAGTGGCAAAAAAAAAAAAATGCCAATCCAAACCCACAAACTTCCTTGTAAAATTCTCCCTTAAAAATATTAACAAACCTATTTTTACAAAAAGAAAACATACAAAGGATAAGACGGAAACTAACACATTTGATTATATAGGAGGGGCAAGTAAAACTGGATGGAAGGAATAGCAGATGTGATACTTCTTTTTCAGTGTCATCCTTTTGTAGACTTTTCAACTTCTGGAAATGTGCCAATGTTTTACATACTCACAGATTAACTTAACTGTATTAAAATAAATAAGAAAACCACAGTGAATAGGCAAGAAAAGAACTAATCCAAGATCCTTTTGAACACAGATATGATATACCTTAGACTAAAAGCAAACATTGAACTCGTTAATAGATTTGTTTGTCTTTTTGCAGTATGCACAGATTAGCAGTTCTAAAACTATTTCTATGATTGACCATATGAGTAGATATATTTAGAATATTGGGAGCCATGTTTCTCACTCTCTTGAAAGAGGAGTTATAAATATTAGAAGAAGGAGGGCTAAAATAAACCCTGTGGTATGGGCAAAAGATAGATATAAGATGCAGTAAAATAGATAGATAGATAGATAGATAGATAGATAGATAGATAGATAGATAGAGACAGATAATACAAAGATGATAGATGGATGATAGATAACAGATGATTGATAGATGATAAATGATAGATAGATAGATAGATAGATGATTGATTGCTAGAGAGCAAGAGAATGAGAGAATGAGAGACAGACAGAGAGATAATGGTATGACACTCCAGAAGCAATAGGCACAGCTAGTACCCATATTTTGGTTTCAAAATACTATTCTCCACAAAAAGAAGCCAGGACTCCTGGAAGAAATGGTTCATTTTAGGGCCAGGTAGAAAAAATACAAGCGCTCAGAATGTAAAGTTTGTGCCAGAAAGTAAGAAATAACTTAAGGGATGATGGGAACATATTTAAAAGACATAAGAGACAGCATGAAATAGTTCCCGCCTAGCAAATCTGGAACAATTTGAGCATCATAATAAATAATGATAGTAATGGATTATAATCCACTCAAATAAACTAAGAATCCACCAGTCCATACTCATATGAAAAGAAAAACAAATGTGGGAGAAGGGAGAAAGCTTCTTTACAGTAGAATGCCAAATAATAAATGTAGAATGAAAAATGGAGTTAGAAAAATTACCATTTGAGAAACATCATAATAGTTACTGACTCAGGCAAGAATCAGTAGACACTAAAACAAGTAGGTGAAATTTTAATAAGAAACAGAATATTTACATGTCTCAAAATATCTCATCATAAGCTACTTACTTACTGCAAGGGAAAATATATATCTGGTAGATTTCACCTTAACCAGAAATTTATCAATCAAGACATTAAGCTGTAATAGTCATGCTGGAACGGGAGACAAGACCTTAATGCATTCAAGGTGGGAAGTTGTATTTGATAGTTCTTATGTAAGGGAGGCACCCTCACAGGGCTATATCCTTACAAATTGCTGGACTAGAAAAATAACTGCTTTCTAGCAAGGGAGATGACAAGGAAAGTTGTACATTGGCCTAAGCTCTGTGTGGGGGGAAAACTGTCTGTCCTGTGAATTTGTAACCAAGCCCTGAGTATCTTAAGACAAGAAATTAACATAGAGGATTTCCAGGTTAGTAGCAACCAAAATGTGCCCTTCTGAAGGAGCACACCCTTAAGACATGCTGTGAACAATTTCCACATGAGTCCACAAGCCAAAGTGACACATCATCCTAAGAAACCAGCCCCATGAATGAAAGTCAGTATAAACAAGCAACGAGAATTTAACCCTAACCGGCTGCGGTGGCTCATGCCTGTAATCCCAGCACTTTGGGAGACAGAGGCAGGTAGATCACCTGAGGTCATGAGTTCAAGACCAGCCTGGCCAACATGGTGAAACCCCATGTCTACTAAAAATACAAAAATTAGCTGGGCATGATGGTGGGTACCTATAATCCCAGCTACTCAGGAGGCTGAGGCAGGAGACTCATTAGAACCCAGGACGCATAAGTTGCAGTGAGCCAAGATTGCACTACTGCACTCCTGTCTGGGCAACAGAGAGAGACTCCATCTCAAACAAACAAACAAACAAACAAAAGAATTTAACCCTAAAATACTTTAATAATAGAATTATTGAATTCAGAATATAAAATGATCATGATTAAAATATCAAAATGATTAAAAAGTTAAAAAGGAACCAAGCACCATAAAAAATTCTAGCAACCTTGAAAAAGAAGCAAATGTAATTTCTAGGACTAAAAGATTTCCCCATTGAAAAGAACAGGCTAGATTAGAAAGGGGAAGAGATCTAGTGTCCTAAAAGACAGATATAAGGAACCCAAAATATTATTTGTAAAATCAGAGAGGTACAAAATATTACTATTAAAAGACATAGATTGTCAAAAGAAACTGTCATAAATCTAATTGAGATAAAGAATATGAATATAAGTTGCTGAGAAAAATAATATTTAAAGAGTTAAAGGTTAAGAATTTTCTAATCCTGGTGAAAGATATAAATCTGAAATCTGGAAGCACAAAGAAATCTACATCTGGGCTGATGACAGTGAAGCAGCAGAACCCCAAAGATAAAAGACAGCAAGCCTGAAACGCAACCAGAGAGAAAAGAGAGGTCACCTACCAAGGAACAACCTTTAGACTGAAAACACACATGTCAACAAAGCAACAGGAGCCAGAAGGTAGTAAAATGTCTTTGAAATGATTAGAGACAACTCTTAATCTGGTACCCAGCTAATCTCTCAATAGTGACTGCAGAGTAAAGATATTTTTGCATGAATAAAGATAAGTTTACCACCACAGATCTTCTGTGAAGGGAAGTGGATACACAGAGAAGGTCTGAGATGCAAGATGAAATGGTGAGCAAAATAACTTCGTGGGCAAATCTGGACAAACACTGATTGTTAAAGAATATCTATAATAAATATATTCAATAATATATTTGTGAGGCAAAAAATAAGTTAATGTATTTGTCAAGAATGATGTGTAAGATGGGACATTAATCATTGAATTTAAAGCATTATTAAATTCTATATTCTGTATTATAGGGAAATAGTAAAGATATTGATTAGTATTAGACTATGTTAGCTTTTCCAGGTCAGTAAGTGCTAAAATGGATTTAAAGAAAAAAGAAACTTGGTCAATTTTAAGTAAGGTGTAAAGGGGGAAAAAAGATAAGAAAAATGTAGGGTAATAGCACAAAATAAATAGTAAGTCCAAAATTATCAGTAACATCAACACATTTAAGTAAACCAAAGCTATCAAGTAAAACACAATGACTGTAAGAGAATTTTTTTAATGCAAATAAATCTTCTTTACAAATTACTCACCTTGAACTTGAGACACAAAGAGAGTGAAAGTTAAAGAATAGAGAATCAATGCATTATGTGAGTACTAAATAAAATAAAGGTGGTATAGCTATATTAATATTAGATAAAATAGTCCTTGAGGTGAATATTGAATTACTAAGAATAAAAAGAATCATTACAAAATATCAAAAAGAAAAATTGACTAGAAAAATACAATAATTCTTATTTTTATGTATCTAGCCTTTAGGTATTTAAAACAAAATTGCCAGAGTTACAAATAGAAATGGACTAATACCATCGAGGGAAATTAAAATGCACATTTTTCTCAAGGACACATGGAATGGTTTTAAAAACTGACCACATTTAAGTAATAAAATACCTCAACAAATTTCAAAGAATATTCCTACAGACCCCATTCTCTACCCACAATGCAATAATTAGACATCAATAATAAATAAATATCTTCTTCTAAAATCTCCAGATGTTTAGAAATTAATAGCATATTTCTAAGTAACTCATGGATCAAGGAAGAAAACCTAGTGAAATGTAGAAAATAGTATGAACTACAGCATAACAATACTACATATCAAAATCTATGTGAGACAGCTCAAGCAGTACTTGGATATTTTAAAATGCATATAATAGAAAAGAAAAATTAAAAATTAAGGGATAAACACTCAACTCTGGATGTTAGAAAAAAGAAAATACAATGAAGTAAGTATTAGATATAAAAACACAAAAAGATATCAAGAGGAGCTATAAAAATATACACATGCAGCAACTAAATAACTTGACTCCAAGGTATATGCTCTAGAAAAATTCTACGACTTGTACAGAAGGAGACATAAGCAAAGATATATAAAATTTGAACTTTGTATAATTAAATATGTTTTAAGCTGGCAAATATATATGAAGTAAAATGATAAAGACATATTGGAATGATAAAAACTGACTTCAGCTTAGTGGCAGCCTCCTACAAGACAGGAAGGGGAATTTATAGGAATAAGCAATGAGTTTTAACTGTATGGTAATAGGTTTATTTTCTTAATCTGGACAAACATGTCTATGACATTATTTTTATACATTTTATATCTAACATATTTAATAAGTTGTAATAAATATAAATATAAACCTATACATCATTAGAAGAAAAGTATGAAAATGTTTCATATTAAAATATTAGAAAACCAAGAAATGCATCAAAATTCAGAGTAAAACATTTTTCAAGAATTTTTTAATTGTATTAAAAATTATCAAAAAGATGAATAAAGTTGCAAGGCAAATTATACACCAGGAGAAAATATTTGCAAAAATACAACAATATGTAGAAAAGGGTTTCATACTCAAAATATTTAGAAAGTTTTTATGTGTTCATTAAAGAAATAAAGACAACACAAAACAAAAATAAACAGGAAAAATTACAAATGACTACTAAAGATATGAAAAAATGTTCAACCTCACTAGTAATCAAAAAGATGTAAATTAAACAAATGATATATAATTGGAGAATTTTTTCAATATTAAGGATTTCAAATGTTGAAAAGAACATATGAAATAATTCCTGTTACATATCGTTAACAGAAGTACAAATTACTGAAAAAAATTTAAGTCGATATTGATAGAGCCTGCCATCTATCAATTTGGCAATCTAAAATTTGCTTATCCTTTAACCTTGCAGTTCCACAGTTAGAAATACGTTGTTACAGCATGTTTGTGATAGTGAAAATTAGACAACATTAAATGCCCATCAAAAGGGGAATAATCGGCAGGGTGCAGTGGCTCACGCCTGTAATCCCAGCACCTTGGGAGGTAGAGGAAGGTGGATCACCTGAGGTCAGGAGTTCGAGACCAGCCTGGACAACATGGCAAAACCCTGTCTCTACTAAAAATACAAAAATTAGCTGGGCATGGTGGCACGCACCTGTAATCCCAGCTACTCAGGAGGCTGAGGGAGGAGAATCGTTTGAACCCAGGAGGCGGAGGTTGCAGTGAGCCGAGATTGTGACACTAAATTCTAGCCTGGGTGACAGAGTGAGATCCTGCCTCAAAAAAAACGGGGTTGGGGGGACTAATCAATAAATTATAATAGTCTATCCCATAGAACACTATCTGGCTATTAAAAAGAATGAGGTAGACTAACAATAATACCTAACATTATTCAATGGCAGGCAAAGTTCTAAGTATTTTACACATATCAACGCATTTTATCCCAAAGAACTCTGTGATCTGAATCCCATTCTCCACATTTTGCAGATAAGGAAATAGAGACATAGACATTCGGATAACTAGTATAAGATCACTCAAAGTGGTAAAGGCAGGCTTTGAATTTAGGCAGGCAAGTGGGAGAGCCCATGCAATTTACACTGGGTGATCCTGCCTCCTATATGAATTGGCATGTAAAGGTTTCCAAGTGAAAAGGTATGCACAGAACAAGAAATATGACAGGCTGTACATATATGCACCATTCTGAGAAAGGTGCCTGAAAGGTCACGTGCCAAGTGGTTGGGGGTCATCTTGTGTGGGAAAGGAAGGAAGAGTACAAAGAGGCCACAGGCGATCTTCGTATTAGACCTGCCCTTCTTAGATGGGACCAGCAACCCCACATGTGAGTATTGCCTGTGTAATTAAAACAACCCAACTCCCAATATGAGTTAATTAAAATCGTCTCTGACCTTCTGGTGAAGATGGTCTACTCCCATTTCCTCTGTCCACAACTTTGACTCTGGGCTTTGGATCCTTTCTTTTTTCTAAATCTTTAACTGGAAGAAAAGTAGAGATACAGCACCATGTTATACTAAAATCTAAAAGAAAATATTCAGTGAGTTTTACTAAAACCCTTGAAAGCCCTAAAAGTATCTATAGAAATGAGCTCCGTGGTACAAACTCATCCCCAAATATTAGAACTGCTGTTTTGTTTTGTTTTTTCTCAACTTTGACATGAAAAGACACAGAAACACTTAAGGAATTACTTTGGCTGAGTATGCACTATGGGCAGATGTGTCACATATATTTAATCCTTCATAACTGCTGTAAAATCAGCATAATTATCCCTAGCTTATACATGAGGGAATGAAGAACCAGAAAGCTAACACCTATCTCATAAAACCAGTTAAGTGCTGGCATGGGGTTAAAGCCAGATCTTCAAGTCTCTGGACTTAGCCGATGAGCTTGGTCCCCATTCTAGAAAGATCTTAACCATGAATAGCCTCATTTGGAATTGCTCCAACAGCAAAACAAGAAGATGAAGAGCCTTATAATAATTCCTTTTCAAACTTAAAAAAAGGTCTCTATTAATACATGGTAGTTTTTTATGGCTTTAATTAGAAAATGTTCAAGGACCAAAAAATGCCCCTTGGCCTTTTAATAAATTCATATCAACCTACACCATTAGCTTAACTTTCCACTGCATTCTCTCCTTAAAACTGCACAGCTGCTTTTCTGCCAAATAGCACCTCAGGCTGTTTGAAGCAGTCAAGAGCCTGCCAAATGTCAGTGGTCTCTGCACAAATAAAACACCCTGTGAAAATGCAGAAGTGAGCCAAGGTATTTCAATTAATTGCTACATTCATTTCATGGAAATCAGCAAATGTATTAAAGGGTAAGCTACATAGGGGAAACAATGATTTCCTCTGAACCACCCTTGCTGCCTTCTCCAGGATATTGTTCCATTCATCCTGTCTTTATCACATCCTCCTCCCCTTTCTTTCCACTGTCTTCCATCCCTTTGCTGAAATGGTTTGAGATCTGTCATTTGCCAAGGTCATGTCACTCCAATTCTATTATTCCTTTTCTTAGAAACCTTCCTTGGCTTTCTGCTACCCAGAGATTAAATTCCAGGATATAAAACAAAATTTTAAAAGATTTTAAAAATAAAAATGTAAGATACCTTGATCCTGATATGTATAAATTTTTATAACAATTTTTTAAAACCTCATTCACCGACTTCTTGATAAGCATTGGCACTTTGGAGCACCCCCACCACCACCATCATCACCACCACACACACACACACACACACACACACACACACACACACACACACACTTAAATTCTTTTCTTTCTCAGTTGTTAGAATGGCTTTATCCTGGTTTTCTCCTTTTGACCACTCCGTTTCATTCGCATTCTTTGGGCTCTTTCTCTATTACTATTCACGAAACACAATCATATACTAAGGTTGCCTTGTGTCTCTCTACACCCTCCTGTAATTTTACCATCTCACAATTAAAATTCTCATCTTTTCATAGATAATTTCCAAATCTGTATCTTCAACCCCACCCACACATGGGCTGTCACCCCAAATTACTTGCATTTTCTAAAACAAAATATGTCTGCCACTTTAATATGAGAAAGATTGTGCTGAGTGATGCTGGAGGTAGAAATAGCTCTGGGAAAGACTAGTAATAAATTCAGAGGTAGAGACTTAGAGAAACTTCCGTTTTGAGTCAGACTTCCAAAGAAAGGCAGGAATTTGCAGGCAAAGATTGACAAGACACATTTAAAAGAGAAAAAATTTTCCAACATAGAATGTGGTGAATTCTTATAAATTTTATGTTGCCTCAGCATCCATTTTAAATATAAGTTGGACTTACTCATACTAGAAACAGGCTCAGTCACCCTTGACACAGTTTCCAGTCCTACAACATACCCTAAAGCACTAGTTCCTAAATGTGGTTAATCCAGATATCTGCCTTAAACAACTGCTCCCTGCCCATCTTTCAAAGTCTAGTTCAAATGTCACCTTTCCAGAGGAGTTTCTGCCAGTCTCTACTCGGGAGTTACTCTTATTATTCATTATTCTCTCCTAGATCTATTTCTACCTTCTACTTCTCTATGGGAGAGCTGCACACAGCCCACCTGACTGGCCCCACTGACCCTCATTCTCTGCAGGGACTATGCAGATATGCCACAATGACCACCTCTCAGTCACAGTGTGACCTCCTGGAACTCATGCCTGCTTACTTCAAATCCCCCAATTAAAACTCTCCTCAGAGAAACCCAGGGATAATGCCCTGGACCCCATTAAAGACCTTGGCTTATGGGTGCCCCCACTTCATGTGCTCCCTGACCTCCATGGGTGTGGCCTCCAGGCATACCATGTAACTCCCAGGACCTGTAAGTAATAAAACCTTTATTTCCATCTTGTGTCTCTCCTAATCGTTGAAGAGGTGCCCTCCATATTTAAAGGTCCTAAATTAAAACACAGAGCTATAAAAGCAGTCTATAAATAAACAAGAAAAAATAACAGACATTATGGAAGCTGATCCACTATGTCACATATAAGATATATATGTCTTCCTCATGTAGGGGCAAAATCAGTTGGAAAATAGATTGTTACAAGCAAAATGGTATTTCTTACGACAACAATAGCTACCATGCTGTACTACGTGGTGAAGTAAGCTCATCTGCACAGTAATAGGCATATCATCACCCTCATTTGCAGGTGAAGAAACTGAGGCTGGAAGTGGTTGAGCTGCTTGTGGCAAATTTGGAATCATAATACCTATTAGATCAGATATTCCTTTCTGTCTTAAAAATTCAAACATCATTTCTTATGTTTTACTGTGTATCAAAATATGAACTCATAAAGAATGCAAATCCCTGCACTAAATGCAAACCTATAGCCACAAGGCTTTATCTTGATCACCACTTTCCTGGATCCAACCACGAAAGTTTTCTAGGAAGAGGAGACTAGGCTTTAGCTCTGTCTCACAGAGAGCAAGAATATAAATGAAATGCAAAAGGGAAAAGAAAGCTATCCAAGCAATTTTCATTTTATTCTTACAAACTGCTATTTGGGCAGAACAAATCCCTCTATCCTGCCAATAAAAATAACACAGCTAAAAACATACACGCTTGCATATTATTTATCTGGCTAAAAGTTATATTGTTTCTCTACAGCTATCTTAGCAGAGTTAAGCAAGATGGAAACAAATGAATTTCCTTTTATGTGTTTTGAAGAAGTAGCCTGGGAAGATTTATATGACTCTCTGTGTTTCTTCCCCTGTTCAATCAGTGGAATGTTTGAAATAATCAATTGCAAAACCTCAGACTAGAGAAAGATGAATCTTTTCTCCTTATCCCTTTTACTGCTTCTCACAAACTGTAAGTGAAGTTATTTCAGCAACTCATGCAGGAATGTTGGAGGCCAGAAACTAAAGTGCAGTGCCAGTAAAATGAGACAGAAGGCTGATTTAAACCAAAATTAACATAAAAACCTTTTCCAAAGCTCCCAGACAAAGTGAATCTCAAAAGAATGTAACATTTACAACATGTGTATGTCCTGCTGACAGGTGAATTTGCCAAATGTCTTTGTTCAGAAGTTTCAAGAGGTAACTTAACCAAGTTGTGTTTTCTTTTAAATTTTTAAAATATTCACAAAATATTGGGTTGGTGCAAAAGTAATTGCGATTTTTCCAATTTAAAGTAATTGCAAAAACTGCAATTACTTTTGCACCAGCCTATAAGTCTCACAAAATATTACCAACAAGAGGAAGAGAAAAAAGGGAGGGAAGGGGTGTAAAAAATCTAGATAGAACATTGCTGCACAAAAAGTTCCATACCCACCACCTCACAGATTTATGGATTCATCTTATGGTAGGATTTTAAAAGCTATTGTTTAAAATTTAGAAAAAAATCTACTTGAAATGATGTCTGTGATTTCCTCAAAAAATAATAAGGCAAAGGGTTTGAAAGATAGAAGATATAAGACTGGCCCTGAGCAGCTAATTGCTGAAGCCAGATGATGGCTACTTAGGGGTTCATTATACTATTCTGATGATTTTTTATTATGCTTTAAATTGTCCTTAATAATAAATTGGGTTTTTTAAAAGAGTCTGTTTTAGCAATGAAGTAACAGAAAGTTAACTAGGCTAGGTCTCTTCTGTTTGCATTCACAATACAAAATTTTTATCCTTCACATTTGAAACACTGCTTTCAGGAAGAGGATGTTGCTGTAGTCTCTGGTCACTAGACTATAAGATTCATAGGGGCAGGGATTTGTCATGTGCCCAAGTGCCTAGAAAACAGTCTGGCACTTAGTAGGCATGTGGCGTACATTTGTTCAACAGAAAAAAAAAAGAATGAATGAATGTCTCCTGAGAGACAGAAGAATCAGGGCCTGTGTGGATCTTTATTTTTTATTTTATTTTTTGTTTTTCAGATGGAGTTTTGCTCTTGTTGCCCAGGCTGGAGGGCGATGGCGCAATCTCGGCTCACTGCAACCTCCACCTTCTGGGTTCAAGCGATTCTCCTGCCTCAGCCTCCCAAGTAGCTGGGATTACAGGTGTGTGCCACCACGCCCGGCTAATTTTGTATTTTTAGTAGAGACAGGGTTTCTCCATGTTGGTCAGGCTGGTCTCGAACTCCTGACCTCAGGTGATCCGCCCGCCTCGGCCTCCCAAAGTGCTGGGATTACAGGCATGAGTCAACGCACCCAGCCTGTGTGGACCATTTTTAAACTCAATCTAAGGAAATGCTTCCTAAGGAACTGTGTGGACATTGATTGGACCATCGCAGAGCTTTCACTCCCTCTTAGAATGTCCTCTGCACACCCTATCCTTTCTCCAAATGCCCAATTTACTATTTGAGAACTGGCTCAAACATGAAGCTTTCCCATGCCTATCCTCTCCACAGCCCATTACTCGGGCAGAGAGAGTACCTCTCTTCACAGAGTCCTATATGTACTCTCTCCAATACTTATCACATTGTATTTGTTGACAAATCAGCTTATCATGGAGACTGGCATAGAACAGTCCCTGTGTCAACTGATTAACAATTGGAAAGAATTAAATTCCCTGTTGCATAGGCTGTTTTAGTAGAGCCTGGACTGGCGCCTTCTGGGGATCCTACAGAGGAGATGCAGGCATTATCCATTCAGACATTCATATTCATGGAGCGCCCATTATATGCCAGGCCTGTAATATGCAACTGTGATACAATGAGAAATAAAAATCATTGAGTTACAGTCTTTGCAAAACTTGCAGGCTTCTAGGGGTCACAGAGAAGTAAATAAGCAATTACAATATGGTGTTATAGTACCAGAAGGGAAGCTCTAGATGCTAAGAAATCACATAGGAGAGATGTCTGGGTAAGGTTCAGGAGCCAATGTTAAGAAGTTCATTGGAAACTAAAGCATAAAGGATAAGTAAGAATATAGCAAAATGGGGGAAAGGGAAGGGTAGCAAAGTATTAGAGATCAGAGGAATTCGTTGAAGGTAAGACTGAAGGTCTTCTAGGATCTCTATAAATCTGAAAAATCTAGAATTTTAAGTTGTAGAATATATATCACAGACTCAAATCCAAGGCTGGGACAGAGTCCTGCGGAGGTGCTTTGAGAACTGTAAATACGTACTTCTGAATTGGCCTTGAGCTGGCTTGCTTTCTTTATCTTTATTGTATGCAATAATTTGAACTGTGTAATTCTGGTCTGGCATAAGGCCTTGAATAATTGCTTTAGTTGCAGTGTTCTGCAGATTCAGCTGGTTAGTTTTTCCACCTATAATAAAAGAGAAAAATAAATCAGTTCTAAGAAATAAGGTCCACTGTGTACATTAAGAAACTTTATTAGTTAGCAATTATGGTGTTAAACAGTAAAGGCATTTTTTGAAATGTGTTTTATTGTATATATTTTAAAGTGTATATATTTAGAGTGTACATCATGATTTTTTTACATACATCAAGAGGTGAAGACATTTAAAAATACATACAATGGTATATATGTGTATTGCACCTAATTATAAAATAGTTTCCATCTTCCTTTTTAGCTGTACCCTTTTTACATTAGATAACTAACAATTGTCGAAATTAGAGAAAACCAAATTCACAAAAATATTTCATCATAACACACTACTGCTTTTATATAGCAGGAAAAGCCATAGTACAAGATTACAGGACAGCAAGCCCTCAACATCAGATATACTCTTCAAGGAAAGAATTCCACTTAAAAGTGAAGGGGGAGGCCAGGTGAGGAGGCTCACGCCTGTAATCCTTGCACTTTAGGAGGCCGAGGCAGGCAGATCACCTCAGGTCAGGGGTTTGAAACCAGCCTGGCCAATGTGGTGAAACCCCGTCTCTACTAAAAACACACAAAATTAACCAGCCGTGGTGGTGTTTGTCTGTAGTCCCAGCTACTCAGGAGGCTGCGGCAGGACAATCGTTTGAACCCAGGAGGCAGAGGTTGCAGTTGAGCCGATATTGCGCCACTGCACTCCAGCCTGGGTGACAGACCGAGACTCCGCCTCAAAAAAAAAATGTGAAGGGGAGATATGGGCAGGCCGAAGGTAATTATTTACACTGGAATTTTTTTCTACAGCCTCTCTAAAGTGAGTCAAAGCATCCTTGAAACATGAGCAATTTAATTATCTTAAATCTGACCACAAATGGCTGAGGATGCTGAAGGAATCACTCATTGACTGGCTACTTAAAAGTTGGCTTGGTTCATGAAAAGATTTCAAAATCCCATTACCTCTCCATCAGGTTACACTGACATCTAAGGCTTTCTTGAAAGTGCTGATGATAAATACTCAACTTTTATGCAGAATTCCAAATTTTACTTTTCTTCTCTAATTTTTGCCTGCAATTATGTGTCTGAGAAAAGGAAAATTAATTTAAAACTTCTGTCTCTCTAGCAGTACCAGCAAGAGAAGACTGAAATTTGCTGAATTAATCAAACATAATACAGATTATAATTTAATCATATGCCAATAAAATTAATATTTTTAAATCTGAAATTTGATGCTGCTATTATCTGGGCTGCCTGCTACTGGAGGGCAAAATGGAGTCTTTCTCTTGCCAAAACCCATTTCCTTATGTGCGTTTATGTTCAAGATGTTAAATCTGGTTTTAGGAACTTCTGTCATTTAAAACTCATCTACTACAAAGTGCACCTAATATATCTTTCACAATGTGTGTTTCACTAAAAAAAAGTTTCTCAAAAAACAAACCCTGTATATTAGAGTCCCTCTTTGAGAGTTATGGAGTGTATTATTTTATTAAAGGCTTTGAGATTCCTGAAACAAACAAACAAACAAAAAAAGCTTTAAACTCTGTTTAAACCAGCATTTCCCAAATTTATTTGACCATTAAACTATTTAGCTATATAATAGCTATTAGCATCCTACAGAATACCATGGAACATGCTTTCAGAAAGGCTGGCAGAAACAATAGTTGGACCATATCTCATAGTGTTGAAACAGCTATAAACATTTTGCAGCTAAATGTATTTATTACTCTTTATTTACTATGTTTAATCAAATAGATACCAGATTGTCAAGACTGATTGTCTTGGGTTGCTGCGGTAAGAACACTGTGGAAAATAAACCTAGCATTTATGAAGAAATAATTTGCTTTCATTCCCAATTTTTATTTTATCATGGGAGATGTCTAAGCAAGAACTAGACATCTACTTCTTGGGTGCACTCTTCAAGAGAGGATTGAAGCATTCAGATGAAGGTTTGTTTCAGAGGCTACCCAAGTCACTTCTACAATTCTGTGATTCCTCAGTAACACTTGCTTGGGGGTACTTAATAGTTTGGTATTATCAGCAATTAATCAAAAAAAGTTAAGCTACCAATCACTTGAAGGAAAAAAAATTACCTTTCCAGATCAGACATGAGGGATTCTCAGAGGTAACAAAAAATAGTAACTTGTATTTTGACCTTTAGAATCATAAATCTTCAAGAATCTTTTAAATTTAAATTTCCCATGATAGCTTATTTTTAAAAAAATAAGCTATATTTTTAAAAATCAAAGAAATTTCATAACTGAGTCATACTCCAAAATGAAAACTCTGAACAAGGTTTGCAAATATTGTTTTCCATAAGCAAGTCACTTCTGTACGCCACCATGGGAAAAGTGGACATCTGGTATTGCTCAACCAGAAGTCATTCTAATGAGTCTACGGATAATATTTCTTAATGAAAGATATATCAGGCTGGGCGTGATAGCTCACACCTGTAATCCCAGCACTTTGGGAGGCTGAGGCAGGTGGATCACCTGAGGTCAGGAGTTCAAGACTAGTCTGGCCAACATGGTGAAATCCCATCTCTACTAAACATATAAAAATTAGCCAGGCATGGTGGCGGGCACCTGTAATCCCAGCTACTCAGGGGGCTGAGAGCGGAAAACCACTTGAACCTAGAAGGCAGAGGTTGCAGTGAGCCGAGATTGCACCTCTGCACTCCAGCCTGGGCAACAAAGAGCGAAACTCAGTCTCAAAAAATTTAAAAAATTAAAAAATAAATAAAAGATTTGGCCTTTTGGTGACCAAGCAAGAAACCAGGTGTTTCATCTGCTTGTCTTGTTTGAATGTTTACGTCAACTGTTGAGTAAGACGTCCACATTAATGAACAATACAGCATCTGTCTCCTTCACTGTATCTTTTGGAAAAAGGTCTACCACTGAAAGGCTTGTAGCTCCATATAACCCTCTTTATCACCAATAAAAAGAAAAAATAATTATGTTTACATAAATATATATTATACAAATATGTATTATTAAGTACTTATTATGTACTGTGTGAAAATGGATCCTTGGAGAACTAATGGGACCTGAGAGCATCTTTATGACAATCATAGGTAACATTTACTGAGCACTTACTATATGGCACCACTGTTCTAAGGGCTTTATATTTATTTTAGTCTTCACAACCAGTACTTCCCAAATTTAATGTGCATAGGAATCACCTGGGGATCTTTTTAAAATTCAGACGCTGGTTGAAGAGGTCAAGGGTAGAGCCCAGTATTCTGCATTTCTAACAAGCTCTCAGGTAATGCCAATGCTGCTGATCCCAGATCAACCTTGAGTTGCAAATTCATAGAAAACTCCATGGGGTGGGTACAAATATTGTTTGCTCATTGTATAGAAGAAACTTGAGGCACTGAGTCATTAACTTGCCTGAATCACACTACTTATAAGTGACAGAATCGAGTTTTGAATTCAAGCAATCCAGTTGTTGATCCCATCTTCATCTTCATAACAACCATGTAGCAGAGGCAATTTCCCTATATGGTCTGTATTATTTTAGCTTATTATATTCATATAATAAAAACATAAAATATGAGAAAGAAAAATTCAACCAAATGATGTTGAAAGATACTTCATTATTTAAAGACACTTAATTTAAAGCTTCTTTAAATAATAAAGTATCTTTAAGCATCATTTAAGTATCATCTTTAAAATAAAGATGCTTAATTTAAAGCATCCTTAAATAACTATTCATGATCAAAAAATGTGTTCAACTTATGTTTTTCCTGCCTTATCACTTATTTTCACAATGTCCACTTAGCCTTTCTAATTTCAATGTATAATGCTGAATATTATTCTATTGAGTTAATTAATAATAGTTTATTCAACTAGTCAAAACTATTGGACATTCAGGTGCATTGTATATTTAAGTTCCAATGAATTCAAAGTATTCATTTTATGACTAAACAGAGAAAATAAAACTTGTTGATTGTCTGATTATTTGGTCTAAAAAGAACTGGAGCCAAGAGTCATTCTTTACTCTTTGGGGAACATTATTACCTTGATTAGAGGGTAAGATTTTAAACACTGAAGATTAAACAAACCAAAAGCTTCCAAAAAATCCTAACACAATGCTTGGCACTACATGTTTTTAGTTGCCTATGCATGAAAAGTTGCTAATGCTCTACAAAACAAAGTCAATTGTTTTTACCTGAAGTTGGAGTCACAAGAAGTTTGTAACCACCAAATTTCCCTCTTGGAGCCTTCCATGAAATCTGTATACTGTCATGAGATATTACATTATATCTTAACCTTGTGGGTGGAGCCACTGAAAAGGAAGAACAAAAATGATGTAAACATTGTAACATTTAAGCTTCTATTTGTTAAATCAGAAAGTCAAAGTAGTATAATAAAAATACACACAAAAGACTTCATCAGCCTCAAAATATATAATATATATACATATGCTTTTTGAGAGGGAGTCTCGCTCTGTTGCCCAGGCTGGAGTGCAGTGGCACGATCTCAGCTCACTACAACCTCTGCCTCTTGGGTTCAAACAATTCTCTGCCTCAGCCTCCTGAGTAGCTGGGATTACAGGCACGTGCCACCACGCCCGGCTAATTTTCTTGAATTTTTAGTAGAGACGGGGTTTCACCATCTTGGCCAGGCTGGTCTTGAACTCCTGACCTCAGGATCCACCCGCCTCGGCCTCCCAAAGTGCTGGGATTACAGGCATAAGCCACCACGCCTGGCCATAATATATATTATTTTTTACAACCTCACTAATGAACTGATCAGTTTGCAAGATAACACAAAACTAAAGGCATTTGTTTCTTACCCAAGGGATATCCATTTGTCAAACAGTAGTGACCTTATGACAAAGAACTAAGACCAAGTGTTAGAATGTAATACTCTAGCCTAGTTTAATAATTGAAGCTAATTTTGTAAAATGCTTTCATTATGTTACAAGGATAAATTTTTCTCCTTGAAACATGTGAGCTTCTATAATCTACTCTACTGAGACCTGTTGTTTGTCCTTAGGTTTTTCACTTTGGTAATTCAATATTTTTGATTATATGATAATTTGAGAGGGCTATTACGGATATATTATGGTAATAAGATATTCATTTAAAAACATTTGAGAAAATGATTGTAAAGGCATTCAAGACCAAGTAAAATAATTATGTTTTATAAACTTGGATCCAGTTTTCAAGGATAGCTGATTTATACCTGTCAGAAAGATACAAAGCACATGGTCATGAATCAGCCCAGAATGTTTTATCTTTTCTGACAGTTTACAAAAATGTACTCATTTTTGTGTTACTTTTTGTGTAGGTCATTCAAACTTCAAAACACATTTCTGGAACACTACACAAATGTTCCAGTATTTCAAAAAAGCTAAGAACGTTTTTATTACATACTCTCTAAATTAGTTTGTTAGAAAAGAAAAGTTAATACTTCATGGAAAAGTTAGCCTTTTTTATCCACTTTTAAGCCCAGTCTCTCTTTCTCATTTTAAAAAACAGAGTGTACAGAAAAGAAACAAACATTCTCCTACATAGGCATGGGGTATAACATGGGGTTTGGCTGTTAGTTTCATTCTTGGTTCTACCACTTAGCTAATAACCTTGAGCAGGTTATTGTTTCTTCCAAAACCTGAGTTTCTTTATTTTTAGAAAAGGTGATGGCAATACTTTTTGCAAAGGAGAGATGACAACTTTAAATAGGATAATGGATATCATGAATATAATGCATTATAATAGGGAGTCAATAAATATTTGTTCCCTTTCCCCTACTTCATGTAATGATTCAGCTTAAAAGCTCACTTAATCTTCGAAACATACATTGCTATTCCAATTTTATAGATAAAGGAACCAAGGTGCAACTAAAGCACTTGCCCAAGTTCACATACTGATGAAGGACAATCTCTGACCCCAGATGAAATGCACTGTTTCTTTGAAAGATGATTCATATTAAGAAGTCACCCTCGGCCAGGCAGGGTGGCTCATGCCTGTAATCCCAGCACTTTGGGAGGCCAAGACGGGTGGATCACCTGAGGTCAGGAGTTTGAGACCAGCCTGACCAACACGGTGAAACCCCATCTCTACTAAAAATACAGAATTAGCCAGGTGTGGTGGCACACGCCTGTAGTCCCAGCTACTCAGGAGGCTGAGACAGGAGAATTAATTGAATCCAGGAGGCGGAGACTGCAGGGAGCTGAGATCAGGCTACTGCACTCCAGCCTGGACGAGACAGAGAGAGACTCCATCTCAAAAAAAAAAAGAAGTCACCCTTCATTGAGCTAGATGAATGAAGAATTTACTGCTCCACAAACTGAAATCAGTATGAAATCAGATGAAAGCATCTGAAATCAGTAAGCACTGAAAGACACAATCTTAAGAATAGATTTTCTTTCTATTTGTCCTTTACTATCTCTAAGTAGAGAATGCTAGCCATGCTGAATAAAAACATTAGCTTCCTGTTCTCAATGTGACATGAATGGAAGAAAGAGTTTACATTTCTCTGGCTAATGAGAAAGCATAAATTTATCATAAGAATAACTTTTTTCAAATGGAAGAGGAAGGTGCTGAACCTAACATTTGGATGAACAGAAAACTGTTACTATTTTGCTTAGTCATCAACTTGAGAAGAAAATTTATTAATAGATAGGTTCTTATTACTTATGGAAGAAAATTAAAAGTAAGAATTTTTAAATATTAAAAATATATGCAAGTTTCTGAGTAAAATCAAGTCAGTGGACTAGTAAATGTCATCGCCCAAGTTTTTGCATGAATGAGCTGCTGAAAGAAAGCTGTCTGGGGAACCATCAAGTGGAAAAGTACAAATAGGATGGAGGCTTCAATCTAGGAAATTCCAAGAGAATCATTGATTCCATTAGCACTCCAGGTGTGTTGACATCTCAAAACAGCAAACAACATTCAGGATTCCTAGGTTAAAAATTACTAAATTTTCTATCCATGCTACTATTCTTTAAATGTCATCTGAGTTTATAGCCCTCAACATCTCTTAGTCAATAGACTAAGATTTGGCTTCCAAATCTCCAGTAGAAAATGAGGGCAACGTGGAGCATGTTCAGGTAATCTGGATGGTGTTCTAGAACCAAGAGTGGCATCGGCTTCCATTCAATTGCTCAAGAAAACAAAGTGTAAAACTGTTGAAGCAAATGCAACGACCAAATCCATCAATACTCTACTCTTTCATTAATTTACAAATGATTCAACTGTCTACATTCCCATTATAACTGCTAGCCAAAAACAATATCATTATTACCTTTTAGCAACAGACCACATCTATTGCCTATAGAAGCATAAATACCCTCACAGTCATCAAAAGGAGATCTTGGTTAAACATAACATACACATTTTCTTTAGGTTTTTGCCTTTAGGGTAAAAAATATTGAAAAGAAGAAATGCTAGTTAAAAAAGAAAGAGGCCTGAGGTCACAGCTGTGGATTTCAAAGTTAGGTTTTTTCCCCCTTTCAGAAGGCACTGGGACTGGAGCCAAAGCAAGGGCGGCAGGATTGACAGAAATGCTTTAAGTGCCATGGAGAAATAATTGCTCTTATCTCATGGAACAAAACTTTGTGTACATTTTATACCAGACCCATGATTTTTCTGTTTGCAAGCACAAAGGAAGTACTTTTTTTTAACATATACTTAACTTCCATTAATAATTATAAACGTTTGCATGAACTTGACTGAAAAATTAATTTATGTCAGTTCAAATCCTAATCTTTTAAAAAAGACGAACATCAAGTGTAAAGTTTGATTTCCAGCACACACCAAGAGCCCAGAGGAAACCAACAGACTCATCCTTTGCATGGTGAAGTGTAAAAGATGAGATTGCACATGAGATTAGGCCTGATATAAGATCTGTGAATATATAAACATCATCCCAAAGGGAGACTGAGGGGGAAGACTGAGGAGCGGCTACCCATTATCTTCCACTCCACTGCAGAGTTAGGCTTGTTACTGAAAGTGTAGGGGCATTTTTATTCTGCTGTGCTGTGTTGTGCTTTGTTTGTGAAGGAAGATTTTCTTTAAGCTCAAAGAATACCACTGCAATCATTCCCATAGAGGCTCATAGGCAGGAGAGAAATGTTTATGTCATGTCATTGAAGCCTCACTATTATCAAGCATTTACGAAATTCTGTTTCATAATCTACTCATTAAAGAGTTGACTTTTGGCTGTCCCTTTCTTCCCTCCTTCTTTCCTTCCTTTCTTCTCATCTGAATTTGAACGCTTACGGTTTTGTCAAGTGACAATCTACGTAAAGATACTTATTTTAATAAAATATTCACATTTGTTTATTAAAACGCTAGTTTTTACATAGGGACACTGAAATGGACATCTTGTGTTCTTCCCTACCCATAATCGCATCTCCTCTTCCTTATATGACAGCATCCTGGTTTTCTTCCAACGAACAACACTACCTCCCCCACTGCATAGGGCCAACCATCCTCCCCCGGCTAAAGTCTGGGAAAATCACTTAAACCCGGTCAAGCAGACTCTCCCAAGAATCTGAAACTTGACTCCAGTGATGCAAGGATGGAAAATAACTCCAGTCATTCCAATGACATGCCCTAAGGAAAATGGTCACTAGTTTCTACAGACTGTATCCCAGAGGATTTCCCAGATTCCTATCCTTTTCAAAGCTTGATTATTTACTTTTACTTTGATTATATGAGCTACTGCATTACCTACTGGTGAATACATTTTTGCTTAGTTGACCAGAGAAAATTTATTTTATTCACAACCAAAAATTTCTGGCTGATAAAGATAATGCAGCATGAATCACATTGAGAGTTTTTACCTCTTTAAAACATATTTTAGGATGCTAAGTTGATAGGGCAACCAATTATATTTATTTTTAAAAGACTTTTAAACAGCAGAAAAGTATTTGGCTATTTTTCCAAGTAATCTAAAAACAAAAAAATTCTTTTTTGATTATTGGCGGGGTACAGTGGCTCATGTCTGTAATCCCAGCACTTTGGGAGGCCAAGGCAGGCAGATTCGTTGAGCCCAGGAGTTTGAGACCAGCCTGGGCAACATGGCAAAACACCATCTCTAAAAAGTATATACAAAAATCAGTTGAGTGTGGTTGCATGGGCCTGTGGTCCCAGCTACTCAGGAGGCTGAGATAGGAGGATCACTTGAGCCCAGGACGTGGAGGCCATGATCGCACCACTGCACTCCAGCCTGGGCGACATAGCAAGACTCTGGCTCAACAAATAAAATAAAATACAAAAACTTTAGCTTTTTATGTTAGTCATTTTTTTCAGTTAAATGTACTGCCTAAATGTTTTATAAATCGGAGCAATTAAATTTTGAGAGACTTTTACTGTAGGATATGCTACAGGGATTTTTTTTTAATGTGGTTTAGAACCTCATATGTTGTAATTTCATGATCCATTATAAAGATGCTGAAAACAGCTGTAAGGAAAATATTCTCAACTTTTCAAATGTGTTTGGCTACTAACAGCAAGAAATATGTGTCAACGTGTGAACACAGAGGTCTTTATAAAGTTAAAGCTAGCCCCTATGCGAAGTCTCCAATTTTCTATGCGTCGAGGTTTTTAAATGAGTTATTTTACCTTCAGTGGCTCCCTCCTGTAACCATCCAAAACAAACATCGCTAGAACCAGGTACATATTTACTGTGAAATTTCCAAGAAAGTGTGGATCCCATCACTCTGTTATTGCTGTACGCATTTTTCTCCTACAGCCATCACACTACTTTTTCTGTATTCTAGTTCATTTAACAAGTTGTCTTGAAAAGAAGATGCTGGAATAATCCAGGTTTAAACAGTTATTTGAGCCAATGTAGGTTCACAGGTCCTGGAGAGGGAACATTTTTCATAAAATATTCCATGGAGAGACTAAATGGTAAAGCACATTCTGTGGATTAGCAATTAAGGAGCAAGAATTAATTTCCTGTATGTCTTTTTTTTTTTTTTTTTTTTTTTTTGAGATGGAATCTCGCTGTGTCGCCCAAGCTGGAGTGCAGTGGTGCGATCTCGGCTCACTGCAAGCTCCGCCTCCCAGGTTCACGCCATTCTCCTGCCTCAGCCTCCCTAGTAGCTAGGACTACAGACTACAGGCGCCCGCCACCACGCCCGGCTAATTTTTTTTGTATTTTTAGTAGAGACGCGGTTTCACCGTGTTAGCCAGGATGGTCTCGATTTCCTGACCTCGTGATCCGCCCGCCTCTGCCTCCCAAAGTGCTGGGATTACAGACGTGAGCCATACTGAATGTCTTTTAATACTAGCTATATTCGTTGATTATCGTTACTATAATAAATTTCAAAATCTTAGTGGCTTAAAACAACAGACATGTACTATCTTACAGTTCTAGGGGTCAGAAGTTTGAAATCAATCTCACCGGGCTAAAAGGATGGTGTCGGAAGGGCTGAATTTCTTTCTGTAGGGGAGAATCAATCATTGTCTTGCCTTTTCTAACTTCTAGAGGCTTCTCACATTCCTTGACTTGTGGTCTCTTTCCATCTTCAAAGCCAGCAGTACCCAGCCAAGTTTTTCTCACCTGGCCGCTGACACTGGCTGCCCTATCTCCCTCTTCCATATTTAAAACTTTTTGCAGTTACATTGGGCCCACCCAGAAAATCCAGGCTAACCTCCCTATTTTAAGGTCAACTGATTAACAAACAATTCAATCTGACATCTTAATTCCCCCTTGCCATATAACATATTCACTAGTTCTGAAGATTATATGTGAATATCTTTGCAGGTACATTATTCTGCCTACCACACTGACTTTGCTTTTTTTTTTTTTTTTTTTTTGAGACGGAGTCTTGCTCTGTTGTGCAGGCTGGAGTGCAGTGGCACCATCTCAGCTCACTGCAACCTCCACCTCCCAGGTTCAGGCAATTCTCGTGCCTCAGCCTCCTGAGCAGCTGGGACTACAGGCGCGCACCATCATGCCCAGCTAATTTTTTGTATTTTTAGTAGAGACGGGGTTTCACCATATTGGCCAGACTGGTCTCAAACTCCTGACCTCATGATCCGCCTGCCTTAGCCTCCCAAAGTGCTGGGATTATAGACGTGAGCCACCAGACTATTTTTTTTTCTCTGAAAATGTCTATTTGGCTTTGCAAATTAATGTCAAATTTGGCCAACCCACAGGAACTCACTACTAAATTTGCTTTAAAAGCAGAAAATCAATCCAATAAAGCAATTCATATTTTTTATTCCTTGCTCAAAATCAGTCACGTAAATAAGAGGCGTAATGGTAGAAATAAGATGAGGTTTCTCAAAGGTCTCATATTTTCCTAATCAGCAAAACCAAAGGCCTCTAAAGCGTTTCTTATTGAGGTTTCCCCCAGCGTGCAGCCACCATCTTCCTTCTTGAAAATTTCTCCAGCCTTCACTTATCATCCACTACATTCCCCTGACTCTCCTTATAATTGATGTTGGATTTTTTTTTTTTACTCTTTCAATCAGTCATTTTTCTTCTATTAAACTCTTATTGAACTCTATTGATGTTTGGCAGACTTCATCCTCACCTCTTTCCACTTTGATATCCCTTCCTAATTCTAGTTCTAAGGCTTCAAAAATCCTTATAAGTGAATTCCTAAATAAAATACAATTCGAATATAATCTCCTGCGCTGATCTTTTTTCCCTAAACTCCAGACCACCAACTGCCTACCAGCCATCTCCACCTGAATGTCCCACAGACACCTTAAGCTCCATATATTTGTCTAAAACTGAACTCATTGTCTTCTACTTGTTTAAACTCTTCAACAAATGTCTACTATGACTGAAACATTGCTCTGTACTGGAGATACAGACACTAAAGAGAGAACTATTGGCTTTTATGAGCTGAGGTAAATAAACAATTACAATGCAAAGATATAGAAGCAGTAATGACACAGGGGTCAAGATGAAAGACCCTATCTGCTCAGGTCTCCATCAAGAAACTTGATTTATCTTCAATATTTCCCTATCTTTTGTCTGTCTCCACTTATAATCAGCAGACAACTTTTCTCTCTTATACCCCTTAAATGATTCTTAGATGCATTCTCTCTAATCACATTGCCTACTTCCAGCCTTCAACACCTATTTCATGGACAATTTAGTATATTTTAATGATCTCTCATGACTTGTTTGTTCCTATCCCTCAAACCCCCATGAGTTGCAAATATGAGAATCATCGATATTGCTATTAGAGTGTTTTTCTCAAAAACAGAGTTGTTTAAAATCTTCCATAATCTGGCTGCAATCTATCTTTCCATCTTTGTCTCTGCCACACTTCACCCCCAACATAACTTATATTGCAATTTATTTGCTTACAGCCCTGTCTCCCTAGTACACAGTAACCTGGTTGAAGGCAAAAAATAAATAAATAAATAGGTCTTATTTAGCTTTGTATCTTGAACTTGACACATAGAATATGCCCCATAAGTGTTCACTTAAAACAGAATTTGGTGGCTGGGCACGATGGTTCACACCTGTAATCCCAGCACTTTGGGAGGCCAAGGAGGGTGGATCACTTGAGGTCAGGAGTTCGAGACCAGCCTGACCAACATGGTGAAACCCCCTCTCTACTAAAAACACAAAATTAGCTGGGCTTGGTGGCGCATGCCTGTAATCCCAGCAACTTGGGAGGCTAGGGCAGGAGAATTGCTTGAACGCAGGAGGCAGAGGTTGCAGTTAGCCGAGACTGCGCCATTTGCCATTGCACTCCAGCCTGGGAAACAAGAGCAAAACTCCGTCTCAAAAAAAAAAAAAAAAATGAAAAAACAGAATTTGGCTAACAATATTCATCTGGTAGACAGCATCCTTGAAAGTATCCCGTAAGAGCTATATATGATCAGTTATTCCACAAATTACCACTTCTGAATTATGCTAGACTGAGATAGCAACTCTGGAGGGCTTAGCAACTTGCCCGCCCTTTGTTTCTAAGAATCTGTGTCTTGTATCCTGGAGTTTAGAAGATAAGTGATCTAGAATTTCCTAATTGCCACAGCTAAAAGCATTCTTTCATCAACATAAATAACATAAGCAGAATGTGTCTACCAAACTGCCTGCTGTGTGTTCAATGAAGTAGTTGGAAATACAGTTCCTTAACCCCAGGTGTATAATAGCAATTTGTGGATGCAAAAAGTCAAGTTCCATTCCTTTCCAAACAGGTACGCCTCCCTTAAAGGAAACAGTGTGTGGTGGTTCATGCATTGATCTTTTCTACAACCCTCAATGCCAAACATTAGACATTAGCATTCCTAAAATCACTTTATCACATTTACAATTCCTTGCTCAGCTGATAAATAACATTTCATCACCAACACTTCAGTCTCTGTAGATTCCCATGTTTGTCTAATAATATCACTTTGCACAGTTGTGCATATTCAGAAGTTAGCACATTCTTTTCAGATAAATATTTTTGGCTTTGCGGGACACATAGTTTCTGTCATGACTGTTTAATTCTGTCACTGTAGCATGAAAGTAGCCACAGACAATATGTAAACAAATGTGCATGACGTGCGCCACTAAAACTTTATTTATAAAAATAGGCAGTGGGCCAGATTTGGCCCACAGGTAGTTTTTCAGCCCCAGACTTACTTTATAAAAATGAATGGAAATCAAAAATAAAAGTTCCCATCCCAGGAATGCAAAGAGCAGATTTCACAAATTAAGTTTAATTAAAACAAAGCTAGAAATCATTAGGAATGCTTGAAATGGCATATTGGCAGGCTCTGTCAGGCCCTTATAATGTTCAGACTATGTGCTCAGTTTTTAAGAAAAGGGGCAAAATCAAGGACCAGGTATGAAATGATAGAAATATCCTGTACATTATGTAAGAGACAAGACATGATTAGGATACACACACACTCACATTACAGTTCTTTATTAATACAGCTGTAAAAATAGGGCTTTATTCATAAAGCAATTTAATTATTAGAGCATTATTAATATAACTGATATCATAACATAAAAATTTGACTTTCACTGATTAAACTTGCACAGGCTTTTCAGAAGCACTTTAAGAATAGGCCAGGCATGGTGGCTCACACCTGTAATCCCAGCACTTCGGGAGGCCGAGGTGGGCAGATCACGAGATCAGGAGTTCGAGAGCAGCCTGGCCAATATGGTGAAACCCTGTTTCTACTAAAAATACAAAAATTATCCAGGCATGGTGGCTCATGCCTGTAGTCCCAGCTACTTGGGAGGCTGAGGCAGGAAAATTGCTTGAACCTGAGAGGTAGAGGTTGCAGTGAGCCAAGATCATACCTGGGCTACAGAGCAAGACTCTGACTCAAAAAAAAAAAAAAAAAAAAGAATGACCTATTTAACCAATTGCCACAAAATCACTATGCTCAGTCACTGGTGAGGTTGTAATCCTCATCAAAGATGTGTATATTTCTACAGTGCAAACAGTTGGTAAAACTCAGTAAAAGCCGACATATTGTTAGGATAAATAAAATAAAATGATAATCAGAAACAAGAAAGCTAGAGTCCCAGACCCTACTGATTCTCAAAGTTTTCAATTACCTTGACCTTGGACAATGGTGCAGAAATAAACAATTGCCAAAAAAGGTGGAAGCAACCAGTACCGCATCTTGCGCTGGAAAATCTTCATTTTATTTTCCGCTTTTTACATGGGGTGTAGCAGCCACCTAGAAACAGAGAGAACAGGAACATTTTTGAGAAGGCTGAAAATAAAGTATATGTAATCATTTAGGACAGGCGAATAAGCCAACATGGATTAGTATTGTCAGGAAGTAATTAATTCCCTAGAGCATCGTGCATTTCACTCTAAAATACAAACTGATGAGGAAAAGACTTTTTAGAAGGTGCTGTAAATGGACAGAATGATTTGAAATATTTGGAAGAGAACTTCAGAATGTACTTTGTGACTCTTCCCTATGGACATAAATTGCATAGTGAATTTCCCAAGTGGATAAATTTCATAATTTTACCTGAAATTAGCATTATCATCAATCCCAATGTCCTTGCCAGTAATGTGTTCCTCCCATATTTGTCACATAAAGTTCACATAAACTCCTACTGTTGTCTTATATTGCCTACAAAGAACAAATATATAGGACCTTTCTACTGGTGATCCAAGAGAATTTGAAAAACCACTTTGTACTCAGACTTCCCCTCACTGGGTTGAATAACCCCTAATCCTTTCATCTTTTTCTCATAGTTCTTCTTTTTCCTAATATAAGTGAATCTAAAACTCTTCCAAATTGTTCATTTTCAATGGGATATCAATGAAAGAAGAGCTACAAGCAAAAGAAAGAAAGGACGATAAATGGAAGACAAGAAAATGAAGAAGAAAAAAGAAAGGGTATAATTATTACGTATCTATAATAATTAATAATAAAAATTTTAACATTAAAAAACTTTTAGAAAAAGAAGGGAAAGAAAGGGAAAGGAAAGAAGGAGGGAGAAAGGGAGAGAGGCAGAATTGGAGGGGAAAAAACAATGAATGTTCTGTATTAATTTAAAAGACCATTCTACAAATTGTAGATTACAATTCTATTACTAGGTCATTACAGAGGAGAAATTCTGAAATCCTTCCCTCAGAGATTAAGGAAATATCTCCAAAGTTTTCTTCTACCCAGGGCATATTTTTTAATTCATTTTTTCATTTATATATTCGTTTATTCATTTCCCAGTATTATCCCACAAAGGATCTGAAGCAACTAAATAATAAATAAACATAATGGATCAGATAACGGTGCCAAATTTCACAGGTAAAATACAGGACTATAGTTAAATTTTAATTTGAGATAAATAGCAAATGATTTTTTAATGTTAGTATGTTCTATGTAATAGTTGAAAAACACTATTTTTAAAAAAATCATTGTTTATCTGGAATTAAAATTTAACTGAGTGTCATATATTTGATCCAGCAATCCTAGTATAAGGGGAAATTTTGGTGATAAAACAATAAAGTAATGAGTTAAATGAGCACAGAGAAAATGTATCTGGTCCTGTATAGTTGGTAAAGGATAGTTAAGGTATACCTTACTATAGTAAGGTATAGTTGCTGAATTTGGCTTAAAAATTTATGAATTAGCAGCTAAGCAAGAAGGAAGCATAATAAGCTTTAAAGCTTACTATATTTTTAGATTAACTAAAACATATTTTTCAGGAGATGCATAGCTTTTTCTGATACCGAAAGCTGAGTAGAAGTTTTCCCATGGTTCACACCAAAAAGTCATCTTACTTTATTAACCATAAAATGTATTGAGCCCTTGCTGTATGTAAAGACTACTCCAAGTACACATATAAATTCCTTTAATCCTCACAGCAACTCTTTGAAGTAGGTACAATTCTAATACATAGTTACAGATGGACAATAAGGCACAGAGAAGTTGCCCAAGTCACAGAGCTAGTGAGTTCAGGAGCCAGGATTTTAACCACATAGACATGATCAGACATGGTAGAAGCATCTTAGGAAAACATTTCTACAAGATCAGCCTTCACATCACTTTCTTTCCACTTTAAAAATACCTTGTTCTGCTTACAAAAACAAAGAGTTTTAACAGTGAAAAATTCAGACTACAACAAAGTACAACAAAAACAATACATCTTTTGTTATTATTTTCTTGTTCAAGTGTATTCTGATGACAGTAAATGCCCTTTTACTATATGCGGTATCACAACTTATTTACCTACTTTTATTTGGAAATACAGATTGCTTCCAAATTTCGTTTATACATATAACACCACAATGAACATCCTAATTCACATCTCTTTTAATATATGATTTATTTACTTTGGCTAAATTCCCAATTGTAGAACTGCTAGGCAAAACAAGATGCATTGTTTGTTTGTTTGTTTGTTTGTTTTGAGACAGAGTCTCACTCTTGTCCCCAGGGCTGGAGTGCAACGGTGCGATCTGCTCACTGCAACCTTTGCCTCCTGGGTTCAAGCGATTCTCCTGCCTCAGCCTCCCAAGTAGCTGGGATTACAGGCACGTGCCACTACGCCCGGCTAATTTTTGTATTTTTAGTAGAGACGGGATTTCATCATGTTGCCCATGCTGGTCTCAAACTCCTGACCTCAGGTGATCCACCCGCCTTGGCCTCCCAAAGTGCTGGGATTACAGGCCTGAGCCACCTCACACAGCCCAAGATGCATGTTTTTAAGGTTTTTCTAATATAGGTACACAATGCTCTACAGAAAATAACACTGATTTCCACTTCCACCTGCATCTCATATGAACACCAGGTCACAACACTTCCACCATCACAGAGGTTGTTTTCAATATATTCTGATTTTACAGGTAAAATGGGATTAGCATCTTAATCAGATTTTTCATAACCAGTAAAATGTGACATTTGGTGTTTGTTGGCTATTTAAATTTTTTTAAACAAAATAACTGTTCATGACTTTTACCCATTTTCTTATTGATCTACAATAACTCTTTATATGTTAATTTTAACTCATATATACTTAGTATTTTTCCAGTTTGTTTTTTGCCTGACAATTTCATTTACTGGGTTAAGATTTTTTTTTTAAGGTCAGAAATCTGACTTGATCTTTTTCTTTATGGTTTCTAATTCAGTGTCATGGGTAAAATGGCCTTTCTTACCCCAAAGTATATTTCTAGTTAACTTTTTAGTTTCTGTTATTAATGGACTCTTTCCAACACTGTTATCTGATAGATTCGTTTTTAATATAGAAAAGATATTGATTTTATATATTAATGGACCACCATTCTGAATTCTTGCTACCTTTATATTTTTTTCAGTTTAATCTCTTGGATTTTCCAAGTTGACAACTGCATTGTTTGCAATCGACGTGTTTTTTCTTACTGTATAGGTTAGTAGTTTAAAAACAATTATTTTGCTAGGGATGCCTGAAATATTTTACCATTAAGAATATTAACGGTAGTTGAGTTCAGATATGTTATGTCAAACTTTTAAAAGTTCTTGTCTTTTTACTAAGAATTTTTTTAAATCAAGAACGGATGCTGAACCTTGCCTTTATGACAATTCATTCATTGGAATGTCCGTATTTCATCTTGACCTCTCAGTGTAGTTAACATATTTTGATATGTCTAGCATTAATCTATCTTTGAAATATAGAAATAATTCATACCTATTATGGCAATTATCGCTTTTTTTAAACATTAATGTAATTATAATGGCTTTGGCTTTCAGGCCAAGCCATTTTCAAATAGAGATAGTAATGACATATCATTCTTTAAATAAGATTCCGTTAATAATGATACTACATTTGAGCTACTGTTTTTTTATATTCTTGAACAACAAGAGAGACAGCTCAAGATTGTTTCTGTCCAACTCCTAAGAAACTAATCAAGTGCAAACACTCCTTGTTATATGCTTATCATTTATCAAAATGTGTTCAGCTTTAAATTCCTATAATTTTCTCTACTATAGATATATGTCTCCAGTGGCAACAATAAAAACACATCAATTGAAGTTACCTAATTGCAACTCAAAACTAGGTATGACTGATTACAGGACTCAAAAGAATATTAATTCTTCTTGAGGAATAAGAATGAGAATACTATTCTAGGTGTAATTTACCCCCAAATGGAAGAGTATGAGTATTTTAAAAATTATTATTACAATGATATTTTAAGTCACATTACATTTATCTAGTATCTCCATACTATTACCATTTCAAGATCTTTGATAATGGAATGTCCGGATAAAATTCCCACCATGAGAGGGATTATACCAAGCAGAGTACAAGCTATCTCTTAGCTTACAAAGCTTGGAGACTCTGACCCCCTTGAATGCTTTAAAAAATACTCCATATTGTTTATTTAAATCCCAAGTTTTTTGTGTGTTTGTTTTTGTTTTTTGAGATGGAGTCTCGCTCTGTTGCCCAGGCTGGAGTGCAGTGGTGCGATCTCGGCCCACTGCAACCTCTGCCTCCTGGGTTCAAGCAATTCTTCTGCCTCAGCCTCCCAAGTAGCTGGGATTACAGGCATGTGCACCACGCCCGGCCAATTTTTTTGTTTTGTATTATATTTTTTTTAGCAGACACAGGGTTTCACCCTGTTGGCCAGGCTGGTCCCAAACTCCTGACCTTGTGATCCGCCCACCTCGGCCTCCCAAAGTGCTGGGTTTACAGGCGTGAGCCACTGTGCCCGGCCAGTCCCAAGTATTTTTTAATTGCTGTTATGCTACTTCCCCCAGTCCTGGATGCTGTTCTTTTGAGAGATACTGCACTAGTCTGTTCTTTGAAACAACATCTATAATCTGGTAAGGCATATGCCAATCAGGCTTTAGACTGGAGCTAGGCCTGAAGATTTTCAAACAATCCTGTTTGCATCCTTTCAGTCTGGAGAGTGTGAAGGAAAAACTGTATCAAGTGGGATGTTGGGTTCTATAACTCCTACAATCATTCAATTCTGTGAATAGAATGAGTGGGGTAGATTAATATAGCTTTCAGGTAGTAGCTTTAAGTGCAAAAGCCTCTGATGAATGCAGCAAAGCATAGTTACGTAAACTTTCAAAGTAACATGACTCACGTAGTTAAATCTCTGATACTTGGGTTTTATTTCAAAATAATATGGTATATCTAAAGGAATAAATTAATTATATTTCCTTCAAGCAACCATTCATAAAAAAATTTTTGACAACTAAGCTTTTTTTAAATATCCAATCACAGTCTAGTATACAACTCTTTTATGTTGCCAATAAAAGGGAGACCCATATACTTTGATCATTATACAAATATTCAAGTTAAGGTCCTGCAATAAAAATTAAAGAATGTACTAGTTTGTGCTTAGGGTTCAAAATATATCTTCCCCTACCGGCCTACCACCAAAATGCTAATTAGTAAAGAATGTTTTCTTAGATTAACAAATTCACATACTGGAAATTCCTTAAAATTCCTAATGGAATAGGCAATACATTCAGTGTACATGCTAAAAGAATAGTCAACATATTAAGTGACTACCATCTATATAGCATTATAGCCTGGATTAATTTATCAGAACACAGAAGACATTGGGAAAATGGTTAGTAAAAGTTGATGAACTATGGGAGGAAAAGCCCCAGGGTATACATATAACCCTAACCCTACAAAGTCAAGTAAAACAAGATTAGTGGATTATCCAAACAAGTATAAGCAGCTCTTCTGTAGACAGAAGGCATGAGTGCAGGAGAATTTGAAAAGATATGGCAGCAGGCTTCAGCCCTATCAAATCAAAACATTCAGTAAATCTGCCAGTCACACAGATAGCTGTCCACCACACCCAAAGAAACATATTGCAGCAGAATCACTCAACTCCAATGAAATATTCTAAGATTTCCTTTTCCAAACATTATAACCAGAGGTTTCAATCAGAACAAAGCAAGGAAAAGAAAGGTAAAAAAAAACAGGCCACGTTTGTCTTTTTGGAGAAAAAAAAAATTTCCTTTTCAGATCAGGAGACTTACATTAGACATCCCTGGCCAAGTGTGGTAGCTCACACCTGTAATCCTAGAATTTTGGGAGGCCAAGGCAGGAAGATCGCTTGAGCCCAAGAGTTTGGGACCAGCCTGAGCAACTCAGTGAGACTCTGACTCTACAAAAAGAAATTAAAAATTAAATTAAAAAATGTTAAAAGATACCCATAATACTGTTTTAATGTAGAAGAAAAAGGTCCTCTTTAACATAGGGAAAAGGAACCTTTTTCTCCTATTGTGAAAGGCCACAATCAAATAGCCTTTCTCTATTCTCATCAAAGCAGTTCCTGCATCCAAGTGTTTTGAAGCAATACTTAACATGTAATATTGCAGGTTAATCTGCATCTCATGTACTTTTTAACTAACTAAATAAATGCTATGCTAGTCTTGGCAATTTTTTTGGAAACTGGGCATTATTTATATGGAAAAAGCATTGTAACCATAGCTTATCTTTAAAACCCTTTTTTTCTTTTCTTTTGTTTTCTTTTTTTTGAGACAGGGTCTGCTTCTGTCACCCAAGCTGGGCTGCAGTGGTGAAATTATGGCTCACAACAGCCTCAATCTGTTGGACTCAAGTGATTCTCCCACCTCAGCCTTCCAAGCAGCTGGACTATAGGCATGTGCCACCACACCTTGCTGATTTTTTAAAAATTTTTTGTAGAAATGTGGTCTCCCCATCTTGTGCAGGCTAGTCTCGAACTCCTGGGCTCAAGCAACTCCCCCTTCTCAGACTCTCAAAATACTGGGATTATAGGAATGAGCCACTGTGCCCAGCATAAATTCTTCTTTAGTTGTTGTTTATTTTAAGTTAGGATGAGCAATACCACATTGGGAGAAGTGAAATTTCAGTTTTCCCAAGCTTTTCTGCCAAGTCCCCAAACTTTTGGACAGTAAAGTAAGGGCAAGAAAAATCCCAATGCTATTAAAATGCCATGAGATAGTTTAACATTTACCAAAATGTCAAACCTAATTTGTTAAAACTTTGCCCCAAAGCCTGCACAAAACAAATAACTCTGCCTTGATTTTTTGCTCTTGTTTAAAAACGTCATGTTAGAAATGGCTACTTAGTTCTCTATTCGGAAGGTATAAGCCAAATTTATGGAAAGTTGATAATGTTTAATACAAGTGCTCTTAAAACACTGTCATAATTTTACAATCAGTAACATAAAACTAGGCCCATTAGTGCTAATTTGCCCTTCCACTCATATGTTTGTTTTATTTAATCTCATTTGTCCAGATAAGTTTAATAACGAGCAAAGGCCCAAAGTGTAAGCATTAAGCAATGCTTACAGGCATCCACAAAATTCCCAGACTAACATACAGCCAATTTTATCAAAATTCCTTAAATATTTATCCTAACGTTTTCGTAAACCACACACACTCACTCTCTCTCACGCCGAGATTTATACACATATATACACACAAACCTTGGATAATATTGTATTCAATCGTTGGTGACTTACAAAAAATAAACCATAAACTTAAATGAAATTCTTGTTAGTTATTTGGTATACCATATATCCAGCAACTCCATGCCCTGAGGGAGATTGTTATTTATAGTATTAAATGTTCATTTCAACAATCATTTATTAAGAGTCCTACTATATAACCAAAGCACTGTACTTGATAATAAGAAAGATACAAAACTTCGTACCATATCTTCCCCTTGGTAGCTCACTTAAAGTTAATTGAAAAAAAAAAAGATGAATTGAAAAGTGAACCTTAGGTGAGCTCACTTACAATTTACTTGAAAAGCAAGATTGCCAGCAATCATATTGCAAAACCGAATGAAATAAGTATGAAACAGAACAGAAAGGTAGCACAGGTGGTGGTATGAATAGAAAATTGTGAGTGAGGAAGCCACTTGTGGTGATAATTTGCTATATATAGGTCCTTGGCTAGCTGGTTTAACCACTCTCTGCTCTTTATCAATGAAATGTGTGAGATAATATCTATCTTTTATTTTTTAATTCATTAATTTATTGTTGTTGTTATTTTGATTTGGGTTTTTTTTAGGATCTCTGTCTGTCACCCAGGCTGGAGTGCAGTGGCATGAACATGGCCAACTGCATGCCTGAACTCCTAGACTCAAGAGATCCTCCTGCCTCAGCCTCCTGAGTAGCTGGGACTACAGTCCCATGCCACCTCACTTGGCTAGTTTTTTTTATTTTTTTTTATAAAGACAGGATCTCACTTTGTTGCCTAGGCTGGTCTTGAACTCCTGGGCTCCAGCAATCCTCCCACCTCCGCCTCCCAGTGCCAAGATTATAGGCATGAGCCACCGCACTTGGCTATGTCTACCTTTTAAGATGATTGTGGTATTTTAATTAATTTACTTAGAACACAGATAACTCTCAAAAATTTCTAATTGGTAGCATGATCGCAACATGTTGAAATAGCAAAAAAGGAAAGGGGAATCATAATGAATTTTCTACTTGAGCAGATGCTAAAAAAGGAAGGAGAATCAAGAAGACTTTATCTCTTCTATCACATTAAGGTTGTGGGACTAACTTGGCAAAAAAGTTTAGGCAAAAACTGAATATCCAGATAATGACAGAGGCAACAGTTATTTGCAAGAGTGAACCAGTTTAGACTTTTCAAAATACATTTCTAGCCATTTTTATCATTCTCCAGATGATAGCTCTATACAGGTTTGAAATGATCAACCATATGAAGACATGGGCGACCTGACTCGAGTAATTCATAGGCTTAAAAAAGGACTCAGCAGTTACAACTGACAAGTTCAGGCAAAGAAGACTTGAAAGAAATGGTGATATTTAAGCATATTTTATACGAAAGAAAAATAAGAATCAGAGACACATAACAGAAGTTTTCATATATTAGAAGAGTTTTATGTAGAAGATAAAACAGTATTATTTTACATAGCTTCTGAAAACAGAACTCTAATCAGTTGGGATGCTCCCAACCCACAGGAGTTCTGTAACAGCTCTAACAGTTAGAAGCATTTCTTCTCTGTCACTAGAAATTCTGGGGCAGAAGCTAGCTAAGTTTTACTCATAAGAGATGTTATCAAAGGGATTCCTGAATTTGGGGGCAAGAGAACTGGATAAAATGATCTCTAGGATGCCTTCCTCAACTCCACATTTTATATATATGTTCATATCTACTTTATAGAAAGAGAATTTTACAGTCAACTGATGATCTAGGTCACACATTTTTGTAAATTAAAAAACAAACCAAAAAAACAACAACAAAAGAAATAGGCTTAATGTATCATCCAGTGTGTTAGCTTTGAAAATATTCCTCCTCATTTCTTCTCACTATTGAAATACTACCCTCCTCACATCCAGAATCATAAAAGGATTTTCAAGATTAGCTAACGAGATCTACTTAAAAAGTACTGGAGGAAGTGAGCAATTATTACACTTATCTGTTAGCATCATGACATAGGAGGAAAAAACTCTAAATTAGGAATAAAGAAGACCTAGTTTAGTTCCTATTAGTTTGGTGGTTAGCTTTTTTCTCTCTGAAGGAACTCCCCACTATGCATGGCATGGTGATCAGAAATCAGGGGGAAAGCTGCTGTCTTACTGGCATAAAGCATCAGGGAACAGAATTCAGGAATACTAGAGAAACTAGATATTGAGAAGGGAAATGTCAGAATGGAATGAGACACAATGTGGGGGCAGGGGGAGCAAAATCTGCATAAAACTGCCCTCAAATCCTGGACATTTCAGAATGATAAAGATCACTTAATTAGGAAAAATTAATCATAAATATGTGTGAATTTAATAATGGAGTTTCAAAATACATAAAGCAAAAACTAATAGGACTAAAGAAATAAGAAATAAGCAAAGTTGAAGATTTCAGCACTCCTCAAGAACTGGTTGAACAATTAGACAATATATTGGTATATAGATATATTGATAGATATATATCGGTATATAGATATATTGATAGAGTTGTGAACAACTCTATCAAGTAGTTGATATTTATTGAGCATTACATCCAACAACTGCAAAAATGTACATTTTTTAAGTGTAACAGTAAAATTTAACAAAATAGGCCATATTCTGGGCCATAAAATAAAACTCAATAAATTTCAAAAGATTGAAAAACATACTCTGTATGTTTTCTGAAAATAGATTTAAATTAGAAATGAATAATAGGCTGGGTATGGTGACTCACACCCATAATCCCAGCATTTTGGGAGGTCAAGGTGTGTAAGATGGCTTGAGCCCAGCAGTTTGAGACAACTGGGCAACACAGAAAGACCTCATCTAATTAAAAAAAAATGAATAATAATAAAATATCTTTATAAATTCAAAATATTTGAAAATTAAACAATATGCTTCTAAATAATCAATGAGTCAAAGATGAAATCACAACGGAAATTTTTAAATGTTTGAAAGGGAATGAAAATAAAGGTACAATTTGTGAAAATTTGTGGAATGCAGCTAAAGAATTAGAGATAAACTTATAGGTTTAAATGTTGATATAAAAAAGAAGAAAGATTTAAAATCAATGCTCTAATTTTTTACCTAAAGAAGCTAGAAAAAGAAGAGCAAACTGAATCCAAATTAAGTTGAAGGAAGTGATTAATAAAGATAAAAGCAAATACTAAAGAAATAGAAAACATTAGTAGAAATTAACAAAACCAATATTTGCTTCTTTGAAATATTAATAAAATTTAAAAACCTTTAGGAAGTGTGATCAAGGAACAAAGATTGAAACACAATTAACAATACCAGGAATAACAGAGGATATAACTGCCTACTTCACAAACTAAAAAACAATTAAAAAGGAAAAATACAAATAACTTTTTGCCAATAATCCCAACAATTTAGCTTACTTGGAAATAAACTATTGAAATACTCAACTTGCTAAAACAGACACATGAAGAAATAGAAAACCCAAATAGCCCTATATCTATTAAAGAGATTAAATTTGTTATTAAAAAATATTTCCACAAGGAAAATTACAGTCCCAGATGGCTTCACTAGCAAATTCTATGAAATATTTAAGGAAAATATAATACCAATCCTACACAAACTCTTCCTGAAAGCACAGGTGAAGGCTAGCATAACCTTTTTTTTTTTTTTTTTTTTTTTTTTTTGAGACAGACTCTCACTGTCACACAGGCTGGAGTGCAGTGGCGCAATCTTGGCTCACTGCAACCTCCTACCGGGTTCAAGCAATTCTCCTGTCTCAGCCTCCCGAAGAGCTGGGACTACAGGCGCATGCCACCACACATGGCTAATTTTTGTATTTTTGGTAGAGATGGGGGTTTCACCATGTTGCCCAGGCTGGTCTCGAACACCTGGCCTCAAGTGATCTGCCCACCTCAGCTGCCCAAAGTGCTGGGATTACAGGCATGAGCCACCACACCCAGCCCTAACATAACCTTTTTATCAAAACTAGACAGCATCACAAAAAATAAAAATCACAGAATAACCCTTATGAACATAGATATAAAAATCTTTCACAAAATATTATCAAATAGCATTTAACAATGTAAAAAATAATAATAATGATGACCAAGTAGAGCTTATTACAGGAATGTAATATTGGTTTAATATTTTTAAATCATTTAGCATGTTTAGTATGTTTCTTCCCTCAGGGAGAAAAAGGCTAACCATCAAGATAATATCCACTAATCATTTAGCATGAGATTTTATATATATATATATGTAGTGTGTGTGTGTGTGCGTGTAATCTAAATAGAAGGACAAAAAGTATTTCACAAAATTCAATACACATTCAGGATTTTAAAGAAACTCAGCAAACTAAAAATAGAAAGGAACTTCTTCAATCTAATAAAGGGCATCAATGAAAACTCCATAGCTAGTATCACACTGAATGGTAAAATATTGAATGCTTTTCTCCTAAGATCAAGAATAAAATAGGGATGTTAACTATTACTAGTTCCACTCAACACTGTACTAGAGGTCCTAGCCAGTGCAATCAGGCAAGAAAAAGAAATAAAAGGCAGAAAGAATGGGAAGGAAGAAGTAAACTGACTCTATTCACAATCAACAGGGTTGTTTACCAGAAAATTCTAAGGAATCTACCAAAAACAAAACCCTACTTGAACTAATAATTTAGAAAGACTGACAGACAAGATCAGTCAGCAAAAAATCAATTGTATTCTTATATAATAGCAGAAAATAAATAAAAAGAAAAAAATTTTAAATTTATTTACAATGACATCAAAAACATAAAATAGTTAGAAATTAATATGACATGCAAGGCCTCTATACTCTTCAGAATACCAAAATATAAAAGTGTATTACTGACAGAAATGAAAGAAAGCCTAAATAGAGCAGTGCACCATGTTCATGGGTTAAAAAAAAAAAAGTACTCTGTTAGAATGTCTTTAAGATAATCTATAGATTCAAAGCAATTTTAATCAAAATCTCAAAAAAGTCATGGACAAATATTCTCTAAGACAGTTTGCTAAAAGTTAAACTGCTGGTTATAAAGTATGCTTATTCCTTTTAAAAAGTATTAATGGGTTGGGCACAGGGCTCACACCTGTAATCCAGCACTTTGGGAGGCCAAGACAGGCAGATCACCTGAGGTTGGGAGTTCGAGACCAGCCTGACCAATATGGTGACACCCCATCTCTACTAAAAATACAAAAATTAGACAGGCTGTGGTGGTGCGCTTCTGTAATCCCAGCTATTCAGGAAGCTGAGGTGGGAGAATTAGTTGAACCTGGAAGGTGGAGGTTTCAGTGAGCCAAGATTGTGCCACTGCACTCCAGCCTGGACAACAGAGGGAGACACTGTCTCAAAAAGAAAAAAAAAAGTATTAATGCATATTGCCAAATTGGTCTCCAGAGAGATTATGCCAGTTTATATACCACCAAAAGTATATGTGTCTATTTTTCCATAAACTTGCTGGCTCTGATATTTACAAATTCTTTCATGTATGAAAAAATTGTAGTTCAACATATAACATCACCATGGCTAAAAGTATGACTGCACATCTTTCATTTACTTAAGCTGTCTTTTGTTCGGTGAACTCTCTAGCATATCCTTGGTCATTTTTCTATAGGATTGTTCATCTGTTTTTTGTTTGTTTGTTTGTTTTTTGTGATGGAATCTCACTTACTCTGTCACCCAGGCTGGAGTGCAGTGGTGCAATCTTGGCTCGCTGCAATTTCCACCTCCCAGGTTCAAGCAATTCTCATGCCTCAGCCTCCCAAATAGCTGGGATTACAGGCATGCACCACCATACCCAACTGTTTTTTGTATTTTTAGTAGAGACAGGGTTTCGCCATGTTGGCCAGGCTGGTCTCGAACTCCTGACCTCAAGTGATCTGACTTCCTCGGCCTCCCAAAGTGCTGGGATTACAAGCGTGAGCCACCACACTCAGCTAGGAGTGTTCATCTTTTTATGAGAAATTTTTGTATTTAATATGTGGCTCTTTTTCCATCATATATGATAAAACACGTTGCCCAATATTTATTTTTTTTCTTTTTTATCTCCTATGGTTTATGACATGCATATAAGTCTCTTTCTCCTTTGGAATTATAGCATTTTCCTATATTTTCTTTTAGTATTCTTACATTTTCAATTTTTAAATTGAAATCTTTGATCATCTAAAACTTATTTTGATGTAAATGAAAAAGTTTTAACTTTTATTCTCCATGTCTATCCAATTAGTCCAATACCACTTATAGAATAATTTACCTTTTGATCACAGGTTAACAATGCTATATTTTATTTTCGAATCTATCGATTTTCTATTTATGTGTGACTATTAAGTAATTGTAAATATCAAAACTTTATAATATGTTTTAATATTTTCTTTTAAGTTTTCTTTCTGATTATTTTTGACTAGGTACCAAAAACTCCTCAAAATTGGGATCATGTTAAATTAGTAGACCAATTTAGGTAGATCGACCTTTTTTATACAATAGTCCATCTTTACATCAAAAAAGAATATATTCTTTGTTTATTCAAGCCAGTCATCTTCATTTCTTCATGAGCACTTTAAAGAGTTATATAAATTTGACATTTTGAGTTTATTTCTACATATTATATACATATATGTTTTATTTCCTGTTAATGGATTTTTCTTAATCACTTTTAAACAAGTTGTTTATTAATTATAGTAAAGCAATTTTATTTTTATATTAATTTTGTAACCTACCTTGAATAGTTTAACATTTTTTCAAAGTCTTAAAGTTTGTAAAATTGATTTCCTTAATTTTTTCTGTAGATGATATCTTTCTTCTTACCTTCCAAATTTTATGTTTTTCATTTCTTTCCCTTTTCTTATTACTTTGGCTACTATCTCCAGAATATTTATCCTGGAAACTTTGTCTTGTTCTTATTTTTAATAGCAATGCTTCTTTGGCATGACTTTGATTTTGAAGACACATGGCTAGACAGACTGTTAGAGAAGACAAACACAAATATACTGATATAAATGTATCATGTTTAGTAAATTTCCATCTGTGTAAACTTTATTGAGCTATTAATCTGAAATAAAATGTTAAATTATTGTAGTAGTTATGAAGAATATCCTCTAACTTTTTTCTCTTAACTTTTTAACATGACAATTATATTAATCCATTTTCTAATACTAAACTTACCTGTAAAATTTGAGCCCAACTTGATCATTGTGAATTATTCTTTTGGGTTCTATTTACTAATATGCTATTCATATCAATAAGTACATCAATATTAGTGAAATTAATCTGTAGCTTTTCTTTTTTATTATGCTGTGTCAAGTTTTGATATCAGTATTATTTTTTCCAGTTTTATAAAAAATAACAGAATTTTTTCTTCTTTCTCTATACTGTACTTTGGAACAGTTATTTTTTTTTTTTTTATTTTTTTTTTGTTTGAGACGGAGTTTCGCTCTGTCGCCCAGGCTGGAGTGCAGTGGCGCGATCTCAACTCACTGCAAGCTCCGCCTCCCGGGTTCACGCCATTCTCCTGCCTCAGCCTCCTGTGTAGCTGGGACTACAGGCACGCGCCACCATGCCTGGCTAATTTTTGTATTTTTAGTAGAGACGGGGTTTCACCGTGTTAGCCAGGATGGTCTCGATCTCCTGACCTCGTGATCCGCCCGTCTCGGCCTCCCAAAGTGCTGGGATTACAGGCGTGAGCCACCGCGCCCGGCCGGAACAGTTATAATAGCACGGTATTTTTATTTTTTTACATTTTCATTAGCATTCAATTGCAAAACCATGGGGAGAGTTCAGTACTCTTGGAGAGGTTACTTTTTAACAACTTTTTCAACATGTTTGTGTCTAATGTTTTATTCATAATTCCTGTATAATAAAAAATCAGTTTTAGTAATTTGTACTTTGTTTAAAAATAACTCATTTCATATCATTAAAATAAGAATACTGCCCAAAACACAGCCTGGGTGACAGAACAAGACTCTGTTTCAAAGAGAAAAAAAAGAACGTTACCCAAAACAATATCCAGGTTCAATGTTATTGCTATCAAACTACCTACATCATTTTTCACAGAAATAGAAAAAAAAAAAATTCTAAACAAAACCAAAAAAGAGCCTCAATAGCCAAAGCAATTCTAAGCAAAAAGAACAAAATTGAAGGCATCAAATTATCCAACTTCAAACTCTACTACAAGGCTACAGTAACCAAAAAAGCATGGTACTGGTACAAAAACAAACACACAGAAAACGGAACAGGTTAGAAAACACAGAAATAAAGTCACACACCTACAACCACCTGATCTTTAACAATGTCAACAAAAACAAGCAATGGGGAAAGGACTACCTCTTCAATAAATGGTGTTGGAATAGCTGGCTAGCTGTATGCAGAAGAATGAAATGGGACTCCTACCTTTCACCATATATGAAAATTAACTCAAAATAGATTAAAGGCTTAAATGTAAGATCTAACATTATAAAAAAATCCTAGAAGAAAACCTAGCAAATATCGGCTGGGCACAGTGGCTCATGCCTGTAATCCCAGCACTTTGGGAGGCCAAAGCGGGTGGATCATGAGGTCAGGAGATCAAGACCATCCTGGCTAACACAGTGAAACCTCATCTCTACTAAAAATATAAAAAATTATCTGGGCATGGTGGGGCATATGCCTGTAATCCCAACTACTAGAGAGGCTGGGGCAGGAGAATCGCCTGAACCCAGGAGGCAGAGGTTGCAGTGAGCCGAGATAGCGCCACTGCACTCCAGCCTTGGTGACAGAGCAAGACTCTGTCTCAAAAAAAAAAAAAAAAAAAAAAAAAAGAAAGGAAGAAAAAAGGAAGAAAACCTAGCAAATACCATTCCAGACACAGGCTTTGGCAGTGAATCTATGACTAAGTCCTCAAATCAACTGCAACAGAAACAAAAATTGACAAGTGGGATCTAATTAAACTAAAGAGCTTCTGAATAGCAAAAGAAACTATCAAGAGAGTAAATAGACAATCTACAGAATAGGAGAAAGTATTTGCAAAGTATGGACCCAACAAAGGTCTGATATCCAGAATCTATAATGAACTTAAATTATTCAACAAGCAAAAAACAAATAACCCTATTAAAAATGTAGGCAAAGGGCATGAGCGGATATTTCTCAAAAGAAGACATACAAGCAGCCAACAAACATGAAAAAATGCTCCACATTGCTAATCATCAGAAAGATGCAAATCAAAATCACATTGAGATACTATCTCACACCAATCAGAATGGCTATCATTAAAAAGTCAAAAAAAAAAAAACAGATTTGCAGAGAAAAGGAAATGCTTATACACTGTTGGTAGGAATGTAAATTGGTTCAGCCACTGTGGAAAGCAGTTTGGAGATTTCACAAAGAACTTAAAAAACTACCGTTCAACTCAGTAATCCCACTAATGGATATATACGCAAAGGAATATAAATAATTCTACCAAAAAGACACATGCACTCCTATGTTCATCACAGCACTCTTCACAATAACAAAGATGTGAAATCAACCTAGATGCTCATCAATGGTGGACTGGATAAAGAAAATGTGGTACATATACACCATGGAATACTACACAGCCATAACAAAGAACAAAATCATGTCCTTTGCGGCAACATGGATGCAGCTGGAGGCCATTATCCTAAGTGAATTAACAGAGGAACAGAAAACCAAGTACCACATATTCTCACTTATAAGTAGGAGCTAAACAGTACACATGGACATAAAGATGAGAAAACAGACAGTGGGGACTAATAGCGAGGGAAGGAAAAAAAAGGGGGTGAGGGTTGAAGAACTACCTTTTGGGTACTATGCTCACTACCTGGGTGATGGGATCATTCATACCCTAAACTTCAGCATGACACATATACCTATGTCATAAACCTGTTCTTGTATCCCCAAACTTAAAATAAAAGTTGGAAAAAAAAGAATCCATTTCATCCAGGCTTTCTAATTTATTGGCATATTTTTATTTTAATTACCATTAAATTCTTTTAATTTTCTCCAAGTTAGTGATGTTTCCATTTTACATTTCTTTCCTTGTACACGTAGGCTTTCTTTATTTTGCTTTTTAAAAGACAAAAAGCTGAATAAAATGCACAGTGATTTTTGTTTAAGAGAGAAATATCAAATGGAAGGGGAAAGCAACAGTAAAGTAGGAATAAGGGAAGGAAGAAGAAAAGGGAAAATGATGAAGAGGAAGAAGATGAGGAGGCAGAGGAAACAAAGAAAAAATAAGGGGAAAAGAGAGAAAAGAAAACAGTATAAAGGCAGAAAGGATACAAGATGACCTATCTGGCCAAATGTGGGCCAATGTTGCCTAGATTGGTGCTACTCAAAGTAGCTGGTCTATGAACTGTTACTGGTCCTCAGTGAGATAAGGAGCTTATGCCAATATGCAAGTCTATGTATTCTTTTGCTTCCTTCGTCAGAAAAGCTTTGCTATGAAAAAATAATGATAATCTCCGTTGAACTAACAGTGTGCTTGGTGAACAGTGCGCTTATTGACATATTTGATTTACATCATCGTGTAGTTTTTGTCTTATCAGAGGCAGGTAACAGTTTGTGGATGGGCACCAACCAGCAGTAGCACCAAACTTGATCCTTCACCAACCAGGCCTCTGATGAACTGCATCTGTCCCTCATCTTATTGAGGTTCTCCAGCTAGTTTCATGGCCTCAGTCACTGTTTTAACCTTCTAGATCTTGGGCACTATCAGACATCTAGATGGGCAGTTTAACCCATATTCAAGAAAGTTCAACACACATAGGCAATCAGTAAATATTGATTGATTTAATAGTTAATGACTGAATGATCAGGGCTAATGTGTGTACAGCTCGCAGTTAATGAACTAAACAATTTACACTTCGCCTAGGGTCAATGACACTTGAAATTGGCAGACACTCTGCTCCCAAGTTGTGTGCCCCAGTGCAAAGCTGTGTTATCCAGATAAAACAGAACTGTTTTCTTCTCCCATGCCATAGGTTTGCACAGAGAGGCTTCCTTTTTCTAATTTACAGAAAAACTATATTAGGTTAGCAGCATCCCTGTGAATCACTCAAACGCAAGGAATTTGACTGAAAATTAGCCTCAGTTATACAGCTGCTCAATCAGTATTAAACTCATGCTGTATGTTCTAAATGACAGAAGGTAGAGCCATTCCAAAAGTATGGCAAATTGGAATGACAGCTGCTTGACACAAGAATGTTCTTCACCTGGCTTTTTTTCCCTCTCTTCATTTTTTTCAAACACTGACATAGTTCATCTGTCAAAGAAATGGGAGACTGTTTTTAACTACAATGTACATCTGTAATCAGTATAAAGGGTAGCTTTACATCTCAGTTTAGACATCCTTTCCTTCAGGAAGTTTTCCTTGATCTTCCAAGTCTGGGGTCAGGTGCTCTTCCTGTTTCCTATAGTAGTAATCTTTATTTTCCATTCTGCAGCATTGAACACTACCCCGTAGTTAGCTATTGGCATTTCCATTTGCCAAAGCATATTATTCCCTACTGTATTTTGAATGCTTAGCACAGTGCCAGCACATGGCAGGAGACAGGGCTGGGAAGTGAAGGAAGAACAGAAGCAAACAACCTGCAGCAAATTATCATTTTTAGACATCAATTAAATGTTCTCCTCTTTGCAAAAGCCAGAGACAAAAGGCCACCCAGAAATAGATCTTTATCCAATAATGGGCCCTCTGACTGCTCCTAGATAAAGACACACCCTAAGACATTGCAATGGACTTAGCAAAGCACAACCTACCTCTGGACCAATTTTTGTAAGCAACTCAGATAATTTCTAGGAGAAATGAGGCAAAACATTGCTCTCTAAAATTCACAGAGACACCTTTCAGGGTAGCTCCGACAAAGGCCCATAGAGAGAAAAGTGCAACAAGACCACTAATAAAAAAATTACCTGGAGGAAACGGGGAGTCTAGGCTCTAAACTTTGACTTAAAGAACGCTCAGAATTTCCTATAGACTCTCTTTTATATTCTCAATGCCCGCCTCAGCCTCCCAAGTATCTAGGATTACAGGTGCCCACCACCACGCCCAGCTAATCTTTATATTTTTAGTAGAGATGGGGTTTTGCCATGTTGGCCATGCTGGCCTTGAACTCTTGACCTCAGGTGATCCTCCCAAAATGCTGGGATTACAGGCATGAGCCACTGTGCCTGGCCCCATATAGACTTTTCTTAATCATATTTCTGTCACTTGCTGTCTTTGTGATCCCATACAAGGTGCTTTTTATCCTTGAAGCTCAGTGATTGCTAAAGGAGGAATATTATTTTCTTCCCCAAGTAACTGGGAGACTTAAGTGTGTTTCTAAAAGAGAAAAAGGCAGATACCCAGTAAGTACTCAAAAAATATGCCAACATTTCCAACACACACACACACACACACACACACACACACACGCGCGCGCACACACACACACACACGTCACAGGAACAGGATGCAGTTTGGTCTACAACAAAAGCTTAGTGTATACAGAAAAGTAACTGGATCCCTGCCATTTTTTATTTACTCACAGAAGAAGTCAAGGAGAATGATTATTTTCCTAACATCCAGCACTATCGAGGGGCAAACCTGCCAAGAAGAAAGTTTATTTTTATCACTTTCCTTTAAACTTTCTCCCTCCACTCTACTGTCAGTTCCCTGGGGGGATCAACTAGTGCCCCGTTTACCAACAACTTTGTTCTCAATGGACTATCATAATCCCAGATAATTTGTTAACTCAGTGGTGCTCAAACAGCACCACTCCATCATGCAGCAGTTCTAGGAAGGCTCTTGTCCTTTAAAGGGATCTTAGGTTACACTAGACAGGCCAGGAAAACAGCAGTCATTTGGCTGGGTTTAGATAACACTGACTGCGAATGTGGCTTTACAGTGGTATCACTGCAGAGGCTGTCAACTGAAAACGAGCAAAAGACATTTGTGTTTTACTGTGTGACACTAGGAAATATTTAAGATTGAAAGGGAGACTCCCCAAGAGGTCTTCTTAATGAGCTAGGGGCTTTCCCTAGAGCCCCTCAAATCAGATCGATTTGTTCAGCCCATTTTTAAGAGCAGCCCTGGCTGATTCTGAAAAATCAAGACATGCGTGGAGGGCCCCAAGAGTTCTCTGAAATCCTCAGCTGGACGGTTCGCAGCAGGATAAGTGCCAAGAGCCTCCTCCCATCAATCTTGAAGGCTGGGATCCATCCAAAACTGCTCCAGGAATCCTGATGGGTTCCAAGGAATACTTCCCAGGGAATTACTAAGAGGCCTTACCAGTGGGGCGCCTGTCCTTTCAAAGGGACCCACAGGAGGTCAGGGCTGCAGTGGAGGTTCAGGTCTATCCTGGCTCAGGGATCCCCAGGGAGAAGGAGAGGATGGATACCCAGTATTTACTGAGAGAATAAGAAAGATAGCCTGTACATCATGGATGAACCTTGAAAATATTTTGCTAGGTAAAAGAAGCAGTCACAAAGGACCACATATTGTATTCTTCCATTTATATGAAATGTCCGAAATAGGCAAATCCATACAGACACGGCGGCAGGTTAGGGAGAAATGGGGAGGTACTGCTAATAGGTACAGGGTTTCTTTTTGGGGTGCTAAAATATTCTAAAATGGTGGATTTACTCTGCTCTGTGAAAACACTAAAAATCATTGAATTGTACACTTTAAATTGGTTAATTGAGAGGTATATGAATTATATCTCAATAAAGCTGTTTTAAAAACAAGCAAACAAAACTATTCTGAAGTTTACCTTATAATAGCGAAGCACTTGGGTTCAAAGGAATCCAAGTTACTCTTCTGAAAAACCAAATATTCACATGCTGTTCATTCATTCATTTATTCATTCACTCATTCTAAATTTACCAGTGAGTTCTCTATGTGCAGACTGGACCATGCTGTCAGAAACAGAACACCGGTCCTTCACTGCATCCAGCTTAAAGCCTGTTTGCTGGGTTTCAAGAGAGCCTCTCTATCACCTACTGCAAGTATTATAAAAAGTGCCCTCCCTGTCCCTCAGTAGAGGAGGGGCCCCAAGGCCTTTAACAGGAGTTTCAGGAAAATCCATTTTCATTTCTGCTCTCCTCTCCACAGCCACCAAAGACTTACTCCCATCTTTCTCTTGTTCCTGCCCCCACTCCCACCCCCTTCAGCTGCTGCCAACAGAGGACTCTCCAAAACTTGCAGAAGTAATGGGACTCTGAGAAGCAATGTTTGGGGGGAAATCCTGGCCCATGTGAGAGCTGCACACAAGCTTCATTTGGACACGGAACTTTCCGTAAGGACAGGTCCAAAACCCTCCTGGACCTTAGCAGAGCAACCCTGAGCCACAGAGGACCCAAGAACCCAGCACCAAGATCTGAGCACCTGTGGTCCTGGACCTGCCGGCGGCCTCCAGGCTCTGCCCTAGGACCGAGGCCACTGTAATGGCCCCATGCGCCGAAGCCCAGCTGCCCCGGATGCCTATCCGCCCAGGCGCTGTGTAATAGGAGGCCTGAGGGGGCGCGGGGTGCGGGGGGTGTCAGAGAGATAAAAGGGGGCAAGTGAGAGGTCGGCAAGCCAAAGCGGAGAGGATTCTCCAATATTACAACCTGGCGGTGCCTCTCTCAAAACCGCAACCTCCTGGCTTCTGGCACCAAAGCAAAACGCACGAAGCATCCCAGCCTCCCGGCGCAGAGAGGTGGAGGAGCGCCTACTGTCCCCATCCTCCATCATCGAGCTCTACCTAGCTGTTTCCCTTTGCGTCCAGCGCCTGGTTCTCAGCTACCCAAATCTGTAGCAGAGCCAACAGGTGACTGGGTGAGTTTCGTCCCCTATGATCTCCATCAGCAGCTCTCTCAAGCTATCCCAAACACAAGATAAATAAAAACAGCGTGTTCTTTATGCACACACAGCCCTTCAAGACGGATCCCACCCAAATTACCGCCTTTGTTAAGCCCCTTCTATATGGAAATGCTGGAGCCGCCACTGTCCCGCAGCCAAACGCAGCTTCTTCCCGCCACACGCTCACGTCACTCAAACACTGGGAAAAGCTTCCCGGAGCAGCACATGGTATTTCCACTATCCCTGCGCTCTCATCACCCAATGCCTCTAATCTCCCTACACCGTGAACCCCGCGAAAAGGCATCCAGGTGTACCCGTCCCATCCCGTCCCAAAGGTCCCCAGTCCATTCTGGGCGCGCGCGTGAAAAGAAAGTCCATGGAACTGCATTGCGTCTGCAGGTGGCTCGCTGCCTCCACTTTTCCTTGCTCATGAATGGACTTCGAAGCCGAGCCAAAGAAGAGCAGAGAAAGACGAACTGACCTGTGCTGGGCAAGGTTCCAGCCCAGGTTGGGAGCTCTCCGCGCCTAGGCAAGATCGAAGCTCCGCCGCTAGTTGGTCCTTGGCGGCGCACCGCCCTTGCTCTCTTCCCTCGGAGTATCCTTTTTTAATTAGCCTCTCTCTCTTTCTCTCTCCCTCTCCTTCTGCCGCTGCGCTTCCACTTCCAGCCCCCTGGAGCTGCCTCCGCCTCTCCAGCTGGGAGCCCAGGATCAGATAAGAGGAAAGGAAGGCCCGCCGGCAGCCAATTATAGAGCGGAGGGTGGCCGCGGAGGCGGGAGGTGGGGAGGTGGGAGGCAGGCCTAAGCCCATAACGCCCCCACTTTCTCTCCTCCTCCTCTCCCCCATCCCCGCCCTACCGGAGATGTGGAGAAGCCAGCCCCGTGCCGCTCACGCGCTCGCCTACCCCGAACCTGGCGGTCCCCCCAGGTGCGCGCGGCAGCCGGATGTGGCGCGCCGAGAGCGAGCCAGGCTCTTTCCCTTCCACTGGGGCAGAAGCTACTGCAAGCTCCCAAACCAGGCCCCCTGCTCTCTTTGGGAGGTCTCGAGCCCTCCTGTTCTCAGGTGCTGTGTGCCCACTTCCCCATTTCCAAAAGACAGACTTTGCCTTCCCGCGTCAAAGACCCTGAGCTCCGAGTGAAACAGGTATCCACTATAAAGGCCCCCTTCGAGCCTCCTCTTCTCCCTCTTCCTCTTGTGAACAAGTCCAAGGGCTCTAAAACGCCAAAGCAGCGATGCTCAAACTTTAAGGTGCAGGGGAATCAGCTGGAGGTATCGAAATGGACATTTCTGTAGGTTACAAAAAGACGAATGTAGGCAATTTCGTGTGGTTGTACCTCATAACCTGCTGATTCCCCACCCGCAGAGATTCTGGTTTAAGGAGCCTGAGGTAAGGCCAGGGACTCTGCAATATCACACCCCCTGGTGGTTCAGATCCTTGCAGGCCACTCTTTGAGAGGCTCTGCCTTGAGATGTGAAGAGCAGGAGGCCACCAGGGCCCGGCGCTGGCTCTCCGGAGACTCTGTCCCGCGCGCTCACCTGCTGGGTGGGCCCTCTAGAAGAGTCAACACCTTTACTTATTTTTGACCCATAGTCCCCATCCTGCATGCCCGATTCTTTACAAATGTTAGGCGGAAGGTGGGTGGAAACTGAGAATTCAGCAAAACCCTATTTTGTGAGAAAATACTTCCTTGCTTTGGAAAACTGAAAAGAATATTTCACCACCACCAAAGGCTGGTGATGGAGCAATGAGAGAGGAAGGCAAGTGGTACTCTTAGGTTTCCAAATTTGCCTCCATCATGCCCAGCTGAGAATCCCGATAGAAGGGCTGTGATTTGCAGGGTAGTCCCTCCGACATTCCAACTGTCCAAGCTGCGGCTAGCCACCTCCTCTGCTCTCCTCGAATGTGTTATTTGCATTGCTGCGCGTGCTCCGAGCTGCAGCAGGGGTCCTGCGGCTGGAGTGGATGAAAGGCCCCTTCCAGCCCCCACCGCCGCCCTGCGTCTCGGTCTCGCTCGGAATTGGCCTAAGTTCAGCCACAGGGCGCGGCCGCAGCAAGGCGCCTTTCGGCTTCTGCGCTTCACTGAACGCAATTCTCTTAGGCCAGGCGGCCGGCGCAGCTTTTTAGGAGACCCGCTCCGACTCCAAGGACTGCAAAGGGAGAGCGCCATCTAGTGTCTACGCGGGGTTTGGGAGAGGCGGGATCTGGAAAGACACCCATTCACCCTAGATCCACACGTAGGGATTAGAATTCCTGAAATGCAGTGTTTATTCCTGAAGACAATCACCACTTTAGTTAGATCTCTTTCCCTCTGCCCCCATACAAGTGTCTATCATCCTCATATTCTGATTCCCCTTTTCACTAATTAAAAATTTACTTTTGTGTTCATTTTTACCAAGGGGGTGGTTCCAATCATTTAATTACAGAAAATTGGCCGGGCGCGGTGGCTTACGCCTGTAATCCCAACATTTTGGGAGGCTGAGGCAGGTGGATCACCTGAGGTCAGGAGTTCGAGACCAGCCTGGCCAACATGGTGAAGCCCCGTCTCTACTAAAAATACAAAAACTAGCCGGGTGTGGTGGCAGACGCCTGTAATCCCAGCTACTTGGGGGGCTGAGGTAGGAGAATCGCTTGAACCCGGGACGCGGACGTGGCAGTGAGCCAAGATCACGCCATCGCACTCCAGCCTGGGGGACAAGAGCGAGACTTCGTCTCAAAAAAAAAAAAATTACAGAAAATTGGGAATGGGAGGTTCCCTGATGATTTTAAAATGTGAAATATGTGTGCAAAAACCCACAAATAAGCATAATATTTGATAAAAATCTTATGTGATGATTTGTATTGATTTAGTAATCATATAAAATGGGTTCCTTCTCAAGAATTCTAACTCATCCTTCCTTCCTCTCCTTAAGTTTTGACTTCTTGCATTTCACTTTAAATGTAGATAAACCTCAGTTAATGTTGAATCAGAATGGCTGGTTTCAATCAGTTTTCCATTTAGTTGCAGTTGTGTGTGAAGTGTCAGCTTCGAGAGTGGTTATTCAACACTGATCTTAAGGCCAGTCCTCAGAGTCTGGTGGAGTAATGAGAACTGAATCACAGAAACAAGACCAGAAGACCCCACTGAAGTTTCCCTCCTTCAATCTAGAAAAAAAAACTGCATATGAACATCTGGGGCCTTTTCAAAGATAACCAAAAATTCCAGCTTCTTACAGTAATTGATTTCAGGACACAACTCTTCCCCAGAGTCTCATTCCAAATCTGTGACATGACTGTGATCCTATTTCTCTGTAAGGACTGCACACACACCTCTGCCCCTTTCTTGTCTCACATTGGTGAGGTTATTTTGCCTCCCTGAGCCTAACTCCTCATGTGTAAAAAGAGGGGATAGCCAGTGCAGTGGCTCATGTCTGTAATTCTAACACTCTGGGAGGCCGAGGCAGGTGAACCACTTGAGCTCAGGAGTTCGAGACCAGCCTGGGCAACATGGTGAAGCCCTGTCTCTACAAAAAAAATACAAAAAAAAAAAAAAACCCATCCAGGTGTAATGGCGCACACGTGTAGTCCCAGCTACTTGAAGGGCTGAGGCGGGAGGATCACTTGAGTCCAGGAGTTCCAGGCTGCAGTGAGCTGAGATGGTGCCACTGCACTCCAGTCTGAGTGACAAAGTGATGCCTTGTCTCAAAAAGAAAAAAGAGGGTAATTAATTATATCTTAGGGGATTGTCATGTGGATTAAATAATAGATGTGTTTATGGACCCAATGCATAACCAACAATTAATAAATGGCAGCTATGTTACCCAAACTGCTACTATCCCCCTTCTGCCCGTTGCACAGGACTGTACTCTCTTCAGCTGCCCCTTCTGGAAGATTCTCCTTTCCATGTTTCTCAACAGAGGTACTACTGACATTCTGGGCAGGACAGCATGACTACCTCATTCCTGGCCCCATCAACCAAATTCCAGTAGCACCCACCCATCTCCTAGGCATTGTGATAACCAAAAAATACCACCACACAAGCTGTAGCAAACCCCAGTTTCAGCTGAACAAATTATTTGCAGTTCTACTCCAACCTCCCTGTAACACCCAGCTGTGATTCTTTTCCCCCAGTCTGGTGTCCTTTCTACCCTCATACTCAGCCAGTAAGCAGGCTCCAGCTGATAATAATATGCCATATCTATGAGCAATAACCATGGCCCAAGTCCCGGACCTCCTCTCCCATGATCCCCCATCCATGCTGACTACCCCATTCCTGCTTCTGGGACACCCCTATTTGCCCCGATCTTACAATAGCAAAGCTGGTAACAGAGGGTTGATGGCCAGCACAGCAGAGTGTCTTCCAGACTCTGCCTCATAGTCAAGCGCCCATGCCCCCATCTAACTGACTGATGTCTTTGCTGTACCAGCTGTTAAGCACTTCGTTTCTCACCCTCCATAGCAGAAGTCTGAATTCCTTTAGGAAATTACCTCCAATCCATTGTATGCAGTTGCAGGGGGGTTGTCATTCAGCTTGCCCTTTTTTTTTTTTAACTATTACCCTAGTTAGTGGGCATAGACTCTAAACTAAGCCAAAGAGATACTCTGTCCCTCAAATCTGAGTACTAAGTGGTGGGACACAAGGGCAGAAAAAAATGTTTCCTGAACTTTTATCTCAGTTTATCCTAACAATGATGTCTGAGGGAACACTATCTCCTAATACCCAGATAGCGCTCTCACCTCCAGCAGGAGCATACCATTGCAGTTATACCAGTTGTTAAAATATTGAAATGTGGCCAGGCATGGTGGCTCATGCCTGTAATCCCAGCACTTTGGGAGGCTGAGGTGGGTGGATCATTTAAGGTCAGGAGTTCAAGACCAGCCTGGCCAATATGGTAAAACCCCATCTCTACTATAAATATTTTTTTAAAAAATAGCCAGGCATGGTGGTGCACACCTGTAATCCCCAATACTAGGGAGGCTGGAGGCAGGAGAATCGCTTGAACCCGGGAGGCAGAGGTTGCAGTGAGCCGAGATCATGCCACTGCACTCCAGCCTGGGCAGCAGAGCAAAACTCCACCTCAAAAAAAAAAAATTGAAATATTTCCATATCGGTTGGTAAATAGCTGCTTCTCCAACACCCCAACACCCTGAACATCCTCTTCCCTGCCCCTCCCTGGGACCTCTACCTCAGGTCTCCCTTTTGATCCCACAATTGAAGAGGTAGCCTGGAGATTTGCTGCAGGCCTCTAGTTTGCACTCAAATGTAGCTTCCAGCATTCATTCGGATTGGATTGTCCCTGTACCACCCTGGTTGCTCAATCTTTTGAATACCAGCCCTGCTCAGAGCTCCAGGACATCTGGCTCCTGTTCTTCCTGAATCTTTTGTCTCAGTCCATGAACAACCCCATTAGCTCCAGATTTGATTTATTTCCCTATTAACGGAAGAAACTCAACCAAATCAACCTTTATTCCACCAATCCTGAAGCTGGGACAAAAGCCATGAGAGAGCTTGTCCAAACTTACCCAGAGTATTAACAGCAAAGTGAACACTAGAATTCAAATGGTTTGACTCCCAGGCCAGAGCTTTTTCCACTATAGTGTGCTGACTTCTTTCCGAACAATGTAGTGATACCTCCCACGCTCCTGCAGGGTTTTTGCTTTGCAATTGCCTTCAAGTCCATCACCCTATTTAACACATTAGCTCTGCAAGGTTAAGACTTATTCAGAGGTGAAAATCATATTGTCTTCTTCTTTCCTTTAGGGTGCTGGAGCCCTCCCTTTCTCACAATTGCCTTTCATGTTCTTGAACCAATGATGAAGCATTCCTCATCTTTTCAGCTCCATGGCCCAGATCAAAGTCATGACCCTAACAGCAGCCAAGTTTTTCATGTGTGACAGCGTCCTATCAGCATATGCATTCTGCATAAAAGATTCTATTCATAGCACAATAATGCTGGATCAGGTCTAAGAGATTATACATTCAGTCATGAGTGGCATGACAACATTTCGGTAAACAGAGAACTGCATATACGGCGGTGGTTCCATAAGAATTATAATGTCACGTTTTTACTGTATCTTTTCTATATTTAGATACACAAATACTTACCTTTGTGTTACAGTTGCCTGCAGTATTCAGTACAGTAACGTGCTGTACGGGTTTGTAGCCTAAGAGCAATAGGTTATACCACGTAGCCTAGGTGTGCAGTAGGCTAGCCCATCTAGGTTTGTGTAAGTACATCCTAAGATGTTCGCACAATAGCAAAGTTGTCAAACGATGCATTTCTCAGACTGTATCCCTGTCGTTGAGCAATGCATGACTGTATGTGCCAAACTCCCTTCACTTTACAAATGAAGAAACTGAGATCCAACGAATTAAATGCCCCATTTAAGTCCCCAAAAAGAGTCAGTGTCAGATATTACTAGATTAAATATCATCTGACAAAAAGCCAAGACTGTTTCCAATAATAACAATATTATAATAAGAAAAAGAACTTCTATCAAGAGGCTTTTGGATTCCAGATGTGCTGGGAGAACTGATATGGACTATTTCAATTTTTTAATTATTTTATTAAAATAATTCATACATATAATTTTTAAAGTTATATAATACTGAAAACTTGTAAAATAGAAATAATACTGTCTTGCTTTCCAGAAGTATTTTTTTCTCTCTTAGCAGTTTTTTTTGAGACTTTCAAAATTTCCATACTTCTAAGTAACACGCATGTACTGCCATGTGTCTATTAATCAGTTATATAATATATATATTATAATATATAATATGTAATATATAATATATAATATATAATATATAATATATTAAATATAATATATAATACATTATATAATATATAATATATAATGTATTATATATTATATTTAAAATATTATATATATTATATATATTATATTATATATAATATATAATATATAATATAATATATAATATATAATATAATATATAATATATAATATATAATATAATATATAATATATAATATATAATATAATATATATAATATATAATATATAATATAATATATAATATAATATATATAATATATAATATATAATATATATATATATAGAGAGAGAGAGAGAGAGAGAGTCTCACTCTGTCATCCAGGCTGGAGTGCAGTGGCGCGATCTTGGCTTACTGCAACCTCCACTGCCCAGGTTCCAGCCATTCTCCTGACTCAGCCTCCTGAGTAGCTCGGATTACAGGTGCCCGCCACGATGCTTGGCTAATTTTTGTATTTTTAGTAGAGACGGGGTTTCATCATGTTGGCCAGGCTGGTCTCGAACTCCTGACCTCAGGTGATCCACCCGCCTTGGCCTCCCAAAGTGCTGAGATTACAGGTGTGAGCCATCATGCCCAGCCCTATTAATCAATTTTAAACATCATTTATATATTTCCTATTATGGCAGAAAGGATAGGCTCTCTTATGCTGCCATCTCCCTTTCTCCTCTTCTATCATCCCAATGTGATTAGATTACAATTTTGGTTAAATCCATATTCAGCATTTTCATTCATATGATATGCAAATATTATTCATATGGAAGCATCAGTGATTATTTTCTTTCTACATTTAGTTTTTCCTGAAGTTAATAAACTACCTTGCTTTTTCAGTTTCTTACTTTTCTCTTTGCTTTTTGCTAGTTCTTCCTACTACTTCCAACAGCATCTCAGTACAGGGTTCCATAATTTACATCAGGTAAATTTTTTTAGACATTTTTCCTTCTTTGGACAGTTTTCCCCCTTAGAGCTGCTGCTTGGTTGTCATCCTGGCCTTTGCTTTTCTACTGTTCCTAGAAGTTCCTTTGCCTTTTTCCAAGACTGGATTCTGATTTCCTGGATACGATGGCTCCCTCTTTCCTAGTACATCCCCTTGCTCTGGTTGAGTACATCCTCCAGGAGTTTGATCTGGTTAAAAAGCTGGTTCAACAGTAGCAGGCATGGTGATGACAGCTCTTAGCTATCTGTCTCTTGCGCCAGGCTGCTTCAATTTGAATGGCTGCTGTCCTAGTCAGTTCAGGCTGCTGTAACAGAATACCATAGACTGGGTGGCTTAAACAACACAAATGCACTTTTCACAGTTCTAAAGGCTGGGAAATCTAAGGTGAAGACACTAACAGCTCTAGTGTCTGGTGAGGGCCTACATATTGGTTTGCAAACGGCTGTCTTCATGCGTCCTCACGTGGTAGAGAGAGAGAGAGAGAGAATCTCTCTTGCATCTCCTCTTAGAAGAATACTAATCCCATTCATGAGGGCTCCACCCTCAGAACCTAATCAGCTCCCAAAGGTCCCACCTCCATTACCATCAAATTGGGGATTTAGTCTGCAACATATGGTTCTTTGGGGGGTGGGGACCAAAAATATTCAGCCTGTTGCCACTGACCTCTCTACCTGGGCGCAATTCTGATTCCACAGGTTCTCTCTATTTCTCTCATGTGCTGGATATCCTGTTTTCAATTGTACATGTCTTCCTAGTTCTATGTCATTCCCTCATGTTGAATAAGGATATTCCCCAGTGGTATCCTAAGATAGGTGCGTGGTGAAGGGAGACACATTTTTCAGGTCTTATGTTTTACCCTCACGTTTCATTACAAGTTTAATGGGCGCAGAATTCTAGCTTAGAAATAATATTCCTTCACAATGGTAAAGGTGTTGCTCCCTTCCTTCTTGCTTCCTGCATTGTTGCTATAATTAAGAAGCCATTCTGACTTTTGGTCCTCTCTGAGTGAACAGTCTCCGCAACAACCTACTCCTCCTGCAAGGTTATAAAATCTTTTTGTCTCCTATGTTTTGAAATTTCATGATGGTATGCTTTGATGTGGGTCCAGTTTCATCCATTGACTAGGTACTCTATAGATTCTTTCAATCTAGCAATTCACATGCTTTGTTTCTAGAAAAATCTCCTCAAGCATCTTATTAATGAAATCCTCCCTTCTATTTTTCTTTTCTTTTTGTCTGGATTTCCTTTTTCAGATAATAGACCTCTGAGAGTGATAATGTAATGTTATTACTTTTTCTTTACTGTTTCTCTCTGTCTTTTTGTTCTACCTTATGGATGTTGTCACTTTACTTTTAAATTTTATTTTAATTTCTTGATTTCCTGGCCTTAAGAAATTCACCCATATTGGCCTCCCAAAGTGCTGGGATTATAGGCATGAGCCACTGTGCCTGGCCTTATATTTTAGTTTCTAATTTCTGCTATTACATTTTGATTTCCAATAAATCCATTTTGTGTTTTTTAAAGGTTTTTATAATACTATCCTATCCTTGTTTCATAGGCACAACCTCTCTGAAGATATTAACAATTGTGTTTTTTTAAGCTTTTTTCTCTCTGCATAGACTCTATATTTTCCAAAAGACTTCGTCTGTTTGTTTGTTTGGAATTCCATCTCCACATTAGGAACTTTACTTAGATTTCTGCTATTCTTTGGTGGTCTGAGTATGAGAAAGTATCATGTGGTTCCAAAAAAAAAAAGTCTGTGTAGAGAAGAGCAAGAGAAGGTATACAAAATGTTAACAGTTGATGAATTTATGTAAAGACTATATGGGTATCCTTTGTACTAATCTTTCAACTTTTCTGTAGTTTTTTGTTTTTGTTTTTGTTTTTTTTCAAGATGGAGTCTCACTCTGTCTCCTAGGCTGGAATGCAGTGGTATGATCTCGGCTCACTGCAACCTCTGCCTCTTGGGTTCAAGCGATTATTCTGCCTCAGCCTCCTGAGTAGCTGGAATTACAGGCACTCACCACCATGCTCAGCTCCTTTTTGTATTTTTAGTAGAGACGGGGTTTCACCACGCTGGCCAGGATGTTCTCGAACTCCTGGTCCCAAGTGATCCACCTGCCTTGGCTTCCCAACGTATTGGGATTACAGGTGTGAGCCACCATGCCCACCCTGAGATTTTAATTTTTCAAAGTAAAAATCTGAGATATAAAAAGAAAGGAGAGTAAACGCAGAGTGGGAGATTGAAAAAGGAATTGGAAGCTGAACATAAGCCCCTGCTTTTTAGGGTGACCTTCACTGTAGCCCTTTGTTAAGAAGCCCCAGGGTCAGTGTCTTTATTCCTTCCTCTTGGGCTGGCAGCTTCCTCAAAGTGTGCACTTCCTGTCCCTTGCCTCAAGGACAAAGTCTGGCTGCCAGAGTTCTGATTGAACGAGTTGGCTTGAGGACTTCAAAATCAGCACTCCTTATGCATATGGCCTCTTAATCCTCTATTGTCAGTAGCACGCCTGTTCTCTTCACTGCATGGGTTCACTCTCAGGCTCAAAACTCCACGTTTTTCCATCTCCAAACAATAAACCTGTTTTGTACCAATATACAGGAGTGTAGCATTAAGGAGAGGGACTAGAAATTTGCCCTCTTAAACATCTTCCACCCAATCCTTCTTATTTTAGCACCAACTCTTTTTATCCCATGGCTCTGGGCTGAATATTTCTGTCCTCCCAAAATTCATAGGTTGAAGCCCAAACCCCCAATAAGATGGTATTTGGAAGTAGTGCCTGTGGGAAGTAATGAGGCCATGAGGGTCATGAGGTCATGAGGGTCGAGCGCCCCTGATGAGACTCATGCCCTTACCAGAAGAGTAGACCAGCTAAGAAGCATCTCTAGGGGGTCTATAAAGTGGTACTATTACACTCTTTATTTGCAGAAGAGGGAACTAGGGTGGAGAGAGGAGATTACCAAGATTACTATGGAGTCTGTAAATGGAAGTGAGAATTCAAATGTCACCAAAGCTAATATCCTTAACACTATGCTGATCTATTTTCCCATTCACATTCTTTTAATCAACTTAATTTCATGTTGCCTATTTTTTCTCTTTTAAGGAAAATTACTTGACTATTCTGAAGAAGCCACAATAATAACACACACCCCCAAAAAACAGTAAAAACTGATGACAAGGATGAAGCATTGTTACCTGTTACCTGTTGCCTATTGGTCAAGCCAATATGTTGCTAAAGGAAAAGAAAGAAGTGGTGATTGCATTGTACATCGAGCCTAAAGCTACGTCTCAGATTATTTCCTGCTATTCAGGCTGTTGCTTCCATATACAGCATAGTCCATAGATTCACCAAGGCTAGCCTCAGGCCTCTGGTGAGACTTCCTCCAAGAACCTACACCCCAGAAAAAAATTTTGGATAACATATAACCACCAAGATATATCCACTGAGACTACAAAGAAATTTAAAATATTAATAGGAGCAAAACTTTAAACCAAAGGAAAGACATCCTAAGGCAGCATTTCAAGAATCAGCCTTGGGAAGATTGAAGAGGGCCAGAAAGTCCTCTCTGAGGACATTTTAGATTTTCCAGAGAAATGAGAAGCACACAGAGCTAGAAATAAAGAGAAAACCACAGAGATCTCTTCTTTTAGAGAATTGAGAGAGCAGAGAGACAGAGAACGCATGAGATAGAAAATCTCATATGGGTCTAGGTTTTGGAAAATTCTGTTCATTATGCTGTGGTGAAGTGTTCTGCGAAATTTGTTATTTGTTTTGTTTTCAGCTGTTATTCATGTAAGTTGTGGTTCAAGTTAGTATCTCTTCTGATCTGTGCCCTTTGACGTGTTAATTAATTGATGAAACTTTTGTTCTCAAACTTTTTACTATTTCAATCCAAAACCTTCAGATTTGTCTGAAAATTCACCATGGGCCACTAGACTGAGAATTTCTCTACCCTGTAATAGCCTCAGTACAGAAGCTTAGAGGAAACCAAGCTGAGCACTGAAATCAGTTGGCAGTGCCCTGCTCCCTCTGTGACTGTATTCACTTAAAGTTGTCCAGATTATGTTCTCAGGATCAATGACCATTTTATCTGTGTCCCTAGCACCTGGCTTAGCATATATTATCAATCCAAAACATGTTCTCTGAATGAATGAACAAAAGCAAGAATGAATGAGCAAACCACCATATTCCAGCAGAGCACCATGATGGTTTCGAGCTTGTGTTCGTCTCCAGGCTTTGCCCTCATGAGTTGGGTGACATTAACTAAGTTATTCAAGATATGCCTTCTCATTAACTTATGCCACAGATATTACTGCTGGGCTCTGAGTATGCATGGGGTGAGCAAAACAAGTCCGTTGGCCTTGTGGAGTCTAGAGTCCAGCTACACAAACACACACTGACAAAACATGAAGTGCTCTGATGGTAGCGGGCTGAGGGGCAAGAGTGCAGGTATTATGCAACTTATTCAGGTAGAATGATCAAGAAGTACATAGGTGAGGAGGTGACCTTTAGGCTGACAAAAAGAGAGACAGCCAGCCTTGAGAAGATATGAAACAAAAGCATTCTGAAAAGAAAGAAAAGCTTTTATTAAGTCCTTGGGTTTTCAACCAAACAATTGAAAAAAAGAACAAGAAAACAAAGTCATCGGGCAAGAGAGAGCTTGCATAGGCCCAAATTATTTTGAATGAGCAGAGTTTGGTGAAATCAGAGGAGAGACTTAAGACCAGGTGGAGTGGCTCAGAGCCTTTGTAATCCCAAGACTTTGGGAGGATCACTTGAGCCCAGGAGTTGGGAACCAGCCTGGGAATAAGACCTTATCTCTACAAAATAATAATAATAATAATAATAATAATAATAATTAAAAATTAGCCAGGCATGATGACACGTGCCTATAGTCCTAGGTACTCTGGAGGCTGAGATGGGAGGATCGCTTGAGCCTGGGAGGCACAGGTTGCAGTGAGCCCAGATCACGCCACCACAGTCCAGCCTGGGTGACAGAGCAAGACCCTGTCTCTAAATAAATAAATAAATAAATAAATAAATAAATAAATAAAGATGGGTGATGTGAGACACAAGAGGTGAACAAGGATCAGACCTTGGACAACCTTGTATGCCAAGGTAAGTATTTTGACTATATCTTGGCAATGGAAAGTTTTAAGTAAATGAGGGAAATGAGCAACCCAGAGTGTCTTATTTAGCTGACCAGGAGCAGGGGCAGACATGGGTATTTTATCAGAATCTTCTCAGTGATTCTAGCACACAGCCAAGGTTGAGATCAACAGTCTGTATATTCCTGCAGGAGCAAACCCACTTTACTTACATCCTTCACCTGCTCTGATCCTCCCAGTGGTGGCTCCTTTAAACAGAATAAGGTGTAAATATATTAGCTTAGTAATCAAGTTCCTCCGTGTCTGCCTTAGCCTAACTTTCCTATCTTATGTCCACTCAACCTCCTGGACAAACTTTATAATGTAGATTAAGGATGTGAGTTCTGAAGTCAGAGCCAGACATGTTACTTTATCCACATTGTAGCATGGTAGTTATAGTTACCTCTTATCGTGTTTAGGAGATTTAATTTTATAATATCTGGAAGGCTCTTCACCTATTACTTAGTAAGCACTTCCTAAAAGTTTGCTCTTGTATTATTCCCTGACACCCAAATAGAATTTTCCTAATTCTGCCCTTTTTCTGATGTTAAACCATATGAACACTTTTCTATTCCCATCTACCTAAACAGAACCCACCCCTCCTTCAAGTTCCTGCTCAATACTATCCCAGGGAGAACTTATCTTTGGCTCCCTTGATCCCTTATAGTCATTATTGTGTATTTTGGAAAAAATATACATATTAATTTTAGAGAGCTCTGCTCTCAACTCTGATATTTAGATTGTTTCTTTCTTATCTGCCCAGGTGGAATGCATGCTTCCTTGGAGCATGTTCATTCATAATGCAGTGATTAAAAGCATGGATTCTTGTGCAGAATTCTGGTACCACTACTAACCTTGGACAAGACGCTTAACCTCTTTGTGCCTGTTTTTTAGTATGGTTAAATGGGAATAGTAAGAGTACCCACTATGGTACTCATGGGCATGTGGTAATTATCAAATGAATCAATCCATCTAATTTAATTAATCCCTTCAAGCCTTCAGAAGAGTGTCAGGGACACAGTAAGTCCTCACTGTTAACTAATATTAACTGTGCCAGATACCACTCTGTATCTTCCACTATTTTTATCCCAGGCCTTTTGGGTAATGAGGCCCTAATATATGTGTGCATTTAAAATTTGCTCTTATGAATTGTATAGGTAAATATACCAGAAATAAACTATATGAGTATTTGCACAAAAATGAGTCCTAAATGTTCAGCTAATAATGAGAAAAAGGCCGGGCATGGTGGCTCACACCTGTAATCCCAGCACTCTGGGAGGCTGAGGCGGGCTGATCACCTGAGGTCAGGAGTTTGAGAGGAGCCAGGCCAACATGGCGAAACCCTGTCTCTACTAAATATACAAAAATTAGCTGGGTGTGGCAGCACACACCTGTAATCTTAGCCACTCAGGAGGCCGAGGTGAGAGAATCGCTTGAAACCGGGAGGCAAGAGGTTGCAGTGAGCTGAGATCGTGCCACTGCAGTCCAGCCTGGGCAACACGGCAAGACTCCGTCCACAATAATAATAATAATAATGAGAAAAATATATGTTTCTGACTAATTTGTAATGGCACTTTTATTCTCATCTCCATCAAAAGTTCACATCAATGAATGGTGTGGGTACATTATCAGAATTAACAGAATTCTAATAGCTTTGACATTTGTACCTTTAGAAGCACTCAGGTTAATGTAGTCTGCAAAAGTCTATAATCCTATGCTGTATTACTGTACAAATTCTTTTTCCTGAGTATTAGATTGCCATTATTTAAAGCTGAAAGAGTGACGTCCTTGTGAAGTGTTTCAGTTGAGATCATAAGCAGCACAGTGCCTTGCTTATAGTAGGGGTTTCAAAAAGGCTCGTCAACTGACATTTTATTTCAGCAGAAATCAGAAGAAATGGTCTTAGCTGACAGAGGAAGTCTTTCTGCTTTAGTTTCGTCTGTATGGAAACCACCTATTATAAGCCTGTTTTAGAGAAGCAGAAGTGCGAATATCAACTCCAACACAGGATCTTATTCATAATAGGGACTTGGTAAATGTTTGCTACATTGAATTGAACAAAATTAATCAGTTATGCCTCTTCAATCCTTCCCATGTGGCTGTCATCAGTTTTAAGGCATCTACCTAAATCCACATGTGCACCACATGCTGTCTAACCAAGAGAGCAGCTGGCAGAAGACTCAGGGGCCATTCACTTACTTCCATGTTCATCCATCCCCTTTGACCTGCCAGGTGAAATTCTAGGTATCAGGGATACACAGCAAAAAAGTTCCTTCCATCCGGAGCTTACTCATGGGGGAGACTGACAGAAAACACATAACAGAGGCCGGGTGCGGTGGCTCATGCCTGTAATCCCAGCAATTTGGGAGGCCGAGGAGGGCGGATCACGAGGTCAGGAAATCGAGACCACCCTGGCTAACACGGTGAAACCCCAAAAATACAAAAAATTAGCCGGGCGTGGTGGTGGACACCTGTAGTCCCAGCTACTCGGGAGGCTGAAGCAGGAGAATGGTGTGAACCCAGGAGGCGGAGCTTGCAGTGAGCTGAGATTGCGCCACTGCACTTCAGCCTGGGTGACAGAGCGAGACTCCGTCAAAAAAAAAAATGAAAAAGAAAAAGAAAACACACAACAGAGAAATATATGATATAATGTCACTGGTTAGTGCTGGAAAGAAGGGTAAGACCCAGGGGTGAAAATGGACACAAGCTGCCCTTTTAGATGGAGGGGGGTCGAGGGCATTTAAGCAGGCAGCCACCCTTGGAATTAACTGGAGGAAGGATGCAGGGAGCCCCAAAAGCAGTCTCTGGGGATGTCAGAACAGCAAGGAGGACTGTGGGCATAAGAGGAAAGAGTAAGAGTGAGATCAGAGTGGGAAGAGGGTCCAGATGTCATAAGTATTGTAGCTGGGTCCAGATAGCGTAGACAGACTTTGGATTTTGTTCTGTGTAAGTGAGGGATTTCTGAACAGGACAATGATATGGTCAGATTTAACTATCAAGATGCTCACTCAAGGCTGGCATGGTGGTTCACGCCTGTAATCTCAGCACTTTGGGAGGCCAAGGCAGGCAGATCACAAGGTCAGGAGTTCGAGACCAGCCTGATCAACATGGTGAAACCCCGTTTCTACTAAAAATACAAAAATTACTTGGGCATGGCGCCTGCAATCCCAGCTACTCAGGAGGCTGAGGCAGGAGAGTCGCTTGAATCCGGGAACCGGAGGTTGCAGTGAGCCAAGATCGTGCCACTGCACTCCAGCCTGAGCAACAGAGCAAGACTAGGTCTCAAAAAAAAAAAAAATTAGCCAGGTGTGGTAGTGCGCACCTGTAGTCCCAGCTACTCCGGAGGCTGAGGCAGAAGAATTGCTTGAATCCGGGAGGTGGAGGTTGCCGTGAGACAAGATCATGCCACTGTACTCCAGCCTGGACAACAGAGCGAGACTAGGCCTCAAAAATAAGAATAAAAATTAAGATGCCCACTCAAGCATCCATATCTGACTTTCTCAGAAGGTTTTCTTATGAAAATCTTGCCTCTAAGAGTGATAATAAGAATAATTTTTATGAGATAGCCATTTCACTTTCAAAGCTTCCTGAAATAAACTATCACGCATGATTTTTATCACAAACCTATAAATATAGGAAGAGCATGTAGTAACATCCATTTAGAAAAAGAAATGGAGGCATGAAGAAATTAAATAAGAAAAAGGAGATTTGTGATGATGTAGCCAGTCCCTAGGAGGCACTACCTCACCAGTATGAGGGCCAACTTGCAGCATAATTAATTGGCTTAATATCTCAAACAACACAAAACATTTCCATTCAGAAATCCAGAGGAAGATCCAGGACCATAAAGGGTTAGATATATTCCTTGCTTAGAGGTATTCTGCACAGGGACTCAGCCTTAAACTAGAGGATAGATGATGATGAACCTTCAGCTCATTCCAAACCTCTGTGAAGTGAACCTGCCAAGTTTGATCTGTCGGCACTTGTGATAATGAAATAATTTATGAGTGTCTGTGATGATAGAATTGAACACGATTTAAAAATCTTTCCTTACTACACAGAACAAAAATGCACTTTCAACTAAGAGATTTCAAATCAACGATCGAAATAAATGTATCTGTCTGATTTTTGGAATGAGTACATGTAGCATAGTTGACTTACTACTAGGGACCAATTAATATTCATTTGTAACACTGAAAGGACTTTCAGTTATTTTATTGAACACCTAAACACAACTACATCTTGGAGAAGAAAACAATTCTGTTGATGAGGGTGTGGGATTCTACTAAACCTGAATCATGTTTTAGAAAAAAAAGCTGTCTTTCAAAATATTAAGTATAGTGTACGTATTGGTACAATTAAACTTCACAGTGAAAATGACTGTTGGTCATCACCAAGTCTGGGGGACTAACTGAAAGAAAGAAATTGATTTGGATGACCTTACACTGTCTTTCCTGTTTTAATAATTCTATGATGTATGCAAGTGGAATTTTCCTGGAGTCTCAAGAGTATTCTTTTTGTTTTTCCAAACTTTTTTATTGTACAACAGCAACCACTTCTACACACAGTTGATCTTTTTGGTGTGGCATTTTCTTGCAAATTTGCCCAGAAAAGGGGCTGTTGTGATGTCTTCAGAGTTCATAATTTCTTGGTATCCACACTAAATTTTGTATATTTTTTTACCTGGTCAATTCTAGAAAGACCCGTTAACAAGATCAACTCTAAAAGAGTTGAAGCTGTGAAATTCTTCATCTGGAGTTAGTTAAGTTTTCTATAATGAGGTAGTGGAAAAAATAAGAGCTAATTCCAGCCAGGGGACACTCATACAAAATAATAGAATCATCCACTGGAAAGCATTTGCAAGATCATCTCTATTTTCTGTTTCCAGGCAAGACATCATCTAAGCCATTTCAACTCCTCAAACTACTTGCAATGTTTTGGAAGGCTCCAATGAAAGAGAACCACATTCTCTGCTCCCTTTCCATTGACAGCCTCATTATTGGGAAGAGCCTTTCATTTCTGGAAATCAGATAGCTCTACAGAAGACAGAAGCCTACCCCAGACTGATTTTGCCAACAGGCTAAAAAAAAAAAAAAAAAAAAAGCTTATCTATAAAATATGACTTTAAGTCAAAGCTGATGAATTTAAAAAGATACTGAAATAGTATTGAAAAAGACTAACACTATTCCTGCTTCGTATTGAAATGTTTCATTCAGATTTATATGATTTTTAAATAGGTTTTTATATTTTCGGCCAAATAATCCATGTTTATTATGGAAAATTACAAAAGGGGAAACAAAAGAAAAAAAATCACTCACAATTCAACCTCCCAAGCAGCTACTGTTAATAATCACTTTTGTATAAAACAATTTCCTCTCTATGTAAAAATCTCTATGAATGTTTTCTAAGGATGGGCTCATACTTTTTACAATTTTTTAACTTTTTGTACTCACTGGCCATTGCACCACCATCTTTCCATGTTTAAAAATAGATATCTATCAACACCTGTGAAAAGAAGGGAAGAAAAATGATAGAAATAGATATCTATATGATAATTTTAATTCATTTTAAATTAAATGTATTTGATGTTTCAGAAATCACTTTAGATTTCCAAGTCTGGTGAAACTAGGACAGCCTGCACACTCTTAACAACTTCTCCACTGAAACAACCAAAAAGCTATATAACATATTTAAATAGGCGCTTTCTAAATGTATTGTTAACCTAGTGAGAAAGTTTTTAAAAATCCATAAAGGTCAAAAATTAATAAAAGTCTCCTGGGAATCCAGAAAGGTGCACAAACACTCAGGCATGCTTTTGTCCTGGGGCATCTGCCAAACCCTGGAGACTGAGTTTTGCTGTGACAGCCTCTCAAGCTCAAGGCTAGGTCCCCCTAAAGAGGAATTTTTCCAGGAGATCCTTACAGAAAGCTGGTAACGTAAACAGTTGTACCTTCCATGAAAGTGAGATCCAGAAATAAACCTGCTCTCAGAGCAAACAGTAAATGATGTATTCATTTATTTTTAATCTTGGACCTGGCTAAATAAGTGAGGAGAGATTTCCTTCTGAGATGTACAGCCCTAACACAGCCTTCATCCAGGTTTGTAGCCTGAATTCATATGATGTGTGTGAATTTCAACAGCTCATGGCTAAGAATTATTTTAAATTGGTTCCAGGTTGATATTGGTCCTAAACACCTAGCAAAAGCAAATTCAGTCCTTTCTAGAGGAGCTCACTTTAAACATAGGCCTTGAACAATTCCACGGATAGTGTTCCAAGATATACAAATACATGATTTTTTAAAAAATCACAAAACCACATAAGGAAGTAAGACACTGTAAGCAATAGCCAGCAGAAATAAAACAAGTAGACAATAGACTCATATATACAAAGACCTTAGGTAAGACGATTAATAAGCATGCAATAAGTTATGTTTAAAATATTTAAAGAAGAGAGAGAATTGAAAATATGAGTAAGAATAAAAGATTATTAAAATAACGGTATATATTTGGAAGAAAAAAGAGTTTCTAGAAAAGAAAAACCTAGTATTTAAAAAAATAAAAATTCAATGGATCTAGAGAATCAATAATAAAACATATGATTTACAAATCAGAAAGATAGCAAGATATAAAATGAATATACAACAATCAATAGAGTATCCATCATATATACACAAACAATGGAAGAGTGAATCCCATTTACAATAGCAATTACAATAGAAATAGCCTTAAGAAAATTTTAAAATCTACATAAGGGAAATGTTAAAACACTTCCAAAAACTTAACTTGCGAACTTAAACAAATAGGTAGAGAATGACTCAATGTCATAAAAATGTCAGTACTCCATAAGTTAATTTTCAGATTTAATAAAGCCCCAATAAAAATGCCAAAAAGATTTGATTATCTTAAAATGAGATAATTTAATACTAAAATTTATATGAAAAAAATAAACATGCATGAATAGTCGGGAAAACACTGAAAAAAATAAAGAGCTATCGAGGGACAGGTGGAGGCAGAAATCTCTGTCATACTCAAATATATCAGAAAGCCATTATAATTACAAGATTATTGTACTAGTTCATGAATAGACAGATTACTTAGTGGAATAGACTAGAAGACACAAGTATATATGGAAATATAATGCATGATAAAGTTGACATCTCTAATTACTGGGACCAAGATAGACTTTTAGTAAATGATGTTAGGTTATGACAATTGAAAAGCCATATAGATGATAATATTGTATCCTCACAGTCTACACAAGAAAGAAAACCCCAATGGATTAGAAAACTCATTATAAAACTGAAGCCATGCAAGTATTAGAAGAAAACATAGATAAATACCTTTGAAATCTGGTGATGAAAGACTTTCAAAATATGTCTAAAAATCTAGAGACAATAAAAGAAAAGATTCATGAACTCAACTCTATAAAAATTTTTAAAATTTTTAAAGAACTTTTGAATGACACAAAACTCTGTAAACAAAAACATAGACAAATGATGAACTGGGAGAAAATATTTTCAACACACATTGCAGATAAAGAACTAATATCATTAATATGTAAATAACTTGTAAACATCAAGATTAAAGAAGGACCAAAACCTTATAGATAAATGGGCAAAATATATGATGTAGACAATACACCCCTAAAAAGATACAAAATGTCCTTACACCTATGAAGAGATCTTCTATCTCATTCATAATTAAATCCAAATGAAAAAGAGTAAAACATTTCACATCTATCCAAGTGATCAAAATTAGTATGTACGATGATATACTCTGTAGGGTAATGAGCACTCATATATTGGTGATGGGTGTGCAAAATGATGCAGTCTCCGTGGATTGAAATTTGGCAACATCTAACAAAACTCGATACACATTTTACGCTTTGACCCAGCAACCCGACTTCTGGGAATTTGCCCTGAAGTTTACTTTCAACAATACGAAAATAAATACATAAAATGTTATTTATTAAGACATTATTTGTAATTGCCAAAATACTGGAAACAACTCAAAAATTCCTATATAGAAAATTGATTGCATGAATGATAGATCCTTGCAATAGAATACTGTGCATCTTTTTTTAAAAACAATAAGGAAAACCTATATGAACTGATATAAAATGATTTCCACGATTGATTGATTGACTGATTGATTTTGAGACAGAGTCTCACTCTGTCACCCAGGCTGGAGTGCAGTGGCACGATCTCAGCTCACTGCAACCTCTGCCTCCCAAGTTCAAGCCATTCTCTTGCTTCAGCCTCTTGAGTAGCTGAGATTACAAGCGCTGGCCACCATGCCCAGCTAATTTTTTCATTTTTAGTAGATATGTGGTTTCATCATGTTAGGCCAGGCTGGTCTTGAACTCCTGATCTCAGGTGATCCACCCACCTTGGCCTCCCAAAGTGCTAAGATTACAGGCGTGAGCTACCACACCTGGCCCAATTTATTTTTAAGAAAATAAGCAAGATACAAAAGCCTCAATGGGAAAAGGTGTCATTCTCTGAGATCAAAAATGCCAAACGAGTCTAGAATGACAGGAAAATTAAAAATATTGTTTTGGGTTGGGAGTGGTGGCTCACACCTGTAATCCCAGCACTTTGGGAGGCCAAGGCTGGTGGATCACCTGAGGTCAGGAGTTCAAGACCAGCCTGGCCAACATGGTGAAACCCTGTCTGTACTAAAAATACAAACTTAGCCAAACCTGGTGGCACATTCCTGTAATCTCAGCTACTTGGGAGGCTGAGGCAGGATAATCGCTTGAACTTGGGAGGTGGAGCGTGCAGTGAGCTGAGATCACACCATTGTATTCCAGCCTGAGAAACAAGAGCAAAACTCTGTCTCAAAAAAAAAAAAAATTTTGCTTTGAACTAATTAAGCTTCAGATGCCTTTGAACTCTTAATTTTGGTATGATTTAATTTATTGATATTTTCCTTTATGGTTTACATTATTTGTATCTTGCACAAGAATTAAAATACACTTTCCCATAATGCCTTCTAAAATTATTTTTTGTTTGTCTTTAATCTAATGTGAAACTAATTTTAGCATGATGCGGTGATTAAATTTTATAATTATTTCTCCAAATGTATTTACTTAATACTTATACAGTATTTTATGTGTGTGGGCACCTTTCTGCATTATACAAATAGTAAAATTAAATTTTCATAAATACATAGCATGCTTATCCCTGTTTTACAGATGAGGGAACAGAATTTTGAGAGGTTAAGTAGCTTACCCAAGGTCACAAAGGAAGTAAGCAATATAGCCAAGGATTTTATCCCAGACACTTTGGCTCTGGAATCCATGCTCCTGGTCCCTAATGAATAGCCAATTGTTCCAGCCAATTGTTCTCCTATTTCTCACTGACTTGCAAGTGTGCCAATACCACAGTTTTTACTGTGTAATATCTTGTTTCCCATAAAGTTCCACCACCTAATAACTTTAGCATCCAGTAATGATTCTTGCCTAAGTCAATTTTTACTATATTTGGAATCCTTCTATATTCATTGTTTGGCATTCTACAGTAAGGAAGGCTATACTATTAATATCTATTTATCTATCTACCTCTAGATCCATGAATTTTTAATTTTTATTCAATGAACTATAATACATTACTATCATAATTTATTTTGATTCTCAACTTATTCCATATTTGGCCAGTGGAACCACTTCAGACTGGCTCTGTGTCCTTTTTGACATGACCTCATCCATTTTTGAACAGTTCTTTTACTTTCTGGAACAAGATGTCCCAGGCTTACCTTGTATTTTCCTTTTCTCAGTCCTGGAATCAGTTATTTCTCCAAAGTGGTTCCTTTCACTGGGGGAGAGTATCTAGAAACCAAGCTCTGAACACTCTTGGGACAAGGTTGCCTATAGGCTCTTTGCAGTTCGCTACTACAGGGCTTCTCTTATAACATAATTCTCTCTCCTTTCTCCACAGTCAGAAACATAACTCCCCAAAACATCAATCTATTTCCTCCTTTGCTCAATCATACAACACACACAAGATAGTTTCAGAATTGCCATACTCATACCATTACCAACAATAAACTCACTAAATACACTTCAAGGTTTCTTAGTAGTTATTTTCTGTTTACATTAGTGATATTTAATCAGAGGATGGGATAGAGAAGTTATTCGGATTATTCTCATTTTCCTTTAGGGTATGGGATTATGTAAAGAGAACAAACCTGTGGCTCGTTGGCATCCCTGAAACGTATTCAATAGAAATATGGTAATGTTTGTTTCTGTTTGTATTAAAATTTAGGTTTCATGCCCATCCATGTTGCTTTAATTTTGTGTTTTGATTATGCAAAACACTAGATAGTTTATGATAGTCAAAACTATGTGCTGCCATGCACACTGCCACTGCTGGCACACACAAGTGCGGATCCTGCTGCCACCACCCCAACGAAGCACTTTTGCTGGCATGCTCCCTCACCCCATTGGAGTGTGGTCGCCAGCAAATCAGGAACACTCCTCAGCCCCTCCAATGCAGCAGGCACTTAACCTCGAGGGGCAAGAGAGCAAACCTGTGGGGCAGATCTTAGCCCCCCAAGGTTAGAGCACAAAGCCTAGGAGTGTCGAACTGAGCCTTGGCCCCCTAAAATCATCCAGAAATAAGGCCAGTCAACTAAACCCAACTTATACCACAGTCAAACTCTGAAGGACATCAAAGAATATAAAAGCAAAAAAAAAAAAAAAAAACCCATCCAAAGGAAAGCAACTTCAAAGATTAAAGGAACATCAGCCCACAGAGATAAGAAAGAACCAGTACAAGAACTATGGCAACTCAGAAAGCCAGAGTATCTTCTTACCTCCAGATGACCATACTAGCTCCCCAGCAAAGGTTCTTAACCAGGCTGAAATGGCTAAAGTGGCAGACATAGAATTCAGACACTGAATAGCAATGAAGATCATCAAGATTCAGGATAAAATCAAAACCCAATCCAAGGAATCTAAGGAATCCAATAAAATTATATAAGAGCTGAAAGATGAAATAGTCATTTTAAGAAATAACCAAACTGGCCAGGCACGGTGGCTCACGCATGTAATCCCAGCACTTTGGGAGGCCAAGGCAGGTTGATCACTTGAGGTCAGGAGTTCAAGACCAGCCTGGCCAACATGGTGAAACCTTATCTCTACTAAAAATACAAAAATTAGTGGGGTGTGGTGGCACACAACTGTAATCCCAGCTACTCGGGAGGCTGAGGAAGGAGAATTGCTTGAACTGGGAGGCAGAGGTTGCAGTGAGCCGAGATCACACCATTGCACTCCAGCTTGGGCAACAGAGTGAGACTCCATCTCAACAAAAAAAAGAAAGAAAAGAAAAGAAAAGAAAAGAAAAGAAAAGAAAAGAAAAGAAAAGAAAAGAAAGAGAAAGAAAGAGAAAAAGAAAGAAGGAAGGAAGGAAGGAAGGAAGGAAGGAAAGAAAGAAAGAAAGAAAGAAAGAAAGAAAGAAAGAAAGAAAGAAAGAAAGAAAGAAAGAGAAAGAAAGAAAGAAACTATCCAAACCAATCTGATAGAGCTGAAAAACTTACTACAAGAATTTCATAATACAATCAGAAGTATTAACAACAAAATGCACCAAGCTAAGGAAAGAATCTCAGAACTAGAAGACCAGTTCTTTGAATCTATTCAGAAAGACAAAAATAAAGAGAAAAAAAGTTAAAAGAATGAACAAAACCTCTGAGAAATGTGGTATTATGTAAAGAGACCAAACCTGTAACTCATTGGCATCCCTGAAACAGAGGGAGAGAGAGCAAGCAACTTAGAAAACATATTTAAGGATATTGTCCACAAAAATGTCCCCAATCTCACTAGAGAGGTTGACATTCAAATTTAGGAAATTCAGAGATCCTATACAAGACACCCATCCCCAAGATACACAGTCATCAGATTCTCCAAAGTCAATGTAAAAGAAAAAAATCTTTTTATTATTATTATTATTATACTTTAAGTTCTAGGGTACATTTGTGGGCGAAGGATATGAACAGACACTTCTCAAAAGAAGACATTTATGCAGCCAACAGACACATGAAAAAATGCTCATCATCTCTGGCCATCAGAAAAAAATCTTAAAGGCAGCCAAAGAGAAGGGGCAGGCCACCTATAAGGGGAACCCATCAGGTTAACAGCAGACCTTTCAGCAGAAACCCTACAAGCCGGAAGAAATTAGGGGCCTATATTCAGCAGTCTTAAAGAATATAAATTCCAACCAAAAATTTAATATCCAGCCAAACTAAATTGATAAGTGAAGGAGAAATAAAATCCTTTTTAGACAAGTAAATGCTAAGGGAAATTGTTACCACCAGACCTGTCTTACAAGAGATCCTTAAGGAAGTACTAAACATGGAAATAAAAAACCATTTCCAGTCACCACAAAAACACACTTAAGTACATAGATCCTTGACGCTGTAAAGCAGCTACACAATCAAGTCTGCATAACAACCAGCTAACAACATGATGACATGTTCAAATCCACACATATCAATATTAATCTTGAATGTAAACAGGCTAGACATCTCACTAAAGGCAAAGAGTGGCAAGTTGGATAAAGAAGAAAGACTCAGCTCTATGCTGTCTTCAAGAGACTCATCTCACATGCAATGACACCCACAGGCTCAAAGTAAAGGATTGGAGAAAAATCTACCAAGCAAATGGAACACAAAAAAGAACAGGGTTACTATTCTAATTTCAGACAAAACAGATTTCAAACCAAGAATAATCAAAAAGACAAAGAAGGACATTATATAAAGATAAAGATATAAAGATAAAGTGTTCAGTTCAATAAGAAGACTTAACTTTCCTAAATATGTATGCACTTAACACATGAGCACCCAGTTCACAAGGCAAGTTCTTAGAGTCCTACAAAGAGACTTAGTTAACCACACAATAACAGTGGGCCACTTCAACACCCCACTGACAGTATTAGACCCATCACTGAGGCAGAAAAGTAACAAAAAAAGATATTCAAGACCCAAACTTAACATCTACAGAACATTCCACCCAACAACAACAGAATATACATTCTTCTCATTCTTATATGGCAAATACCCTAAAATTGACCACACACTCTGCATAAAACAATTCTGAACAAATTCCAAAAAACCAAAATCATACCAACCACACTTTCAGACCACAGCACAATAAAAATAAAAATCAATACTAAGAAAACCTCTCAAAACCATGCAATTACATGGAAGTTAACCTGCTCCTGAATAACTTCTGGGTAAACAATAAAATCAAAGCAGAAATCAAGAAATTCTTTGACAGTCAAAACTATGTGCTTTCATGCACACTCTAGAAGAAATCTAAAACAAATGGATAAATTTCTGGAAACATACAACTTGCCCAGATTCAATCAGAAAGAAATTGAAATTTTGAACAGACCAATAATGAGTTCCAAAATTTTCAAACTGATGAAAACAAAGATACATCATACCAGAATCTCTGGAACACAGCTAAGGCAGTGTTAAGAGGAAAGTTTATAGTGCTAAATGCTCACATCAAAACGTTGGAAAGATCTCAAATTAACAAATTAACATCACACCTAGAGGAGCTAGAGGAACAAAAGCAAACCAACCCCAAAACTAGCAGAAAACAAGAAATGACCAAAATCAGAGCTGAACTGAATGAAATTGAGATGCAAAGAAAACATACAAAAGGTAAATGAAACCAAAAATTGGTTCTTTGAAAGAGTAGATAAAAGTGATCGACTTCTAGTGAGACTAACAAATAAAAAAGAATGAAGATCCAAACACCATCATAAATGACAAAGGGTTATTACCACTGATACAACAGAAATACAAAAAACCCTCAAAGACTATTATAAACACCTCTGTGCACATGGACTAGAAAATCTGGAAGAAATGGAAAAATTCCTGGAAACACACGACTTCTCAAGATTGAACCAGGAAGAAATTTAAACCCTGAACAGACCAATAATGAGTTCCAAAATTGATTCAGTAAGAAGAAGCCTACCAACCAGTAAAAGCCCTAGTCCAGATGGATACAGCCAAATTCTACTAGACACATAAAGAAGAGCTGGTACCAATCCTACTGAAAATATTCCAAAAAAATTAAGGAGGAAGGACTCCTCCTTAACTCATTATGTGAGGCCAGTATCATCCTGATACCAAAACCTGGCAGAGACACAAGAAAAGAAAATTTCTGGCCATTATCCCTGATGAATATAGATACACAAATCAGGAACAAAATCCTAGCAAATTGAATTCACTAGCACATCAAAAAGCTAGTCCACCTCAATCAAGTAGGCTTTATCTCTTGGGTGCAAGGTTACTTCAACATATGCAAATCAATAAATGTAATTCATTACATAAACAGAAGTTAAAACAAAAAACACATGATTATCACAGTAGACACAGAAAAGGCTTTCAATAAAATTCAACATCACTTCATGTTAAAAACCTTCAACAACTAGGCATTGAAGAAACACATCTCAAAATAATAAAAGACATTTATGACAAATCCACAGCCAACATCAAACTGAATGGGCAAAAGCTGGAAGAATTTCCCCTGAAAACTGGAACAAGACAATGATGCCTACTCTTACCACTCCTATTAAACATAGTACTAGAAGTCCTAGCCAGGGCAGTCAAGCAAAAGAAACAAATAAAAGGCATCCAAACAGGAAGAGGTAGTCAAACTACCTCTCTTCACAGATAATATTTTATACCCAGAAAACCCCATAGTCTCTACCCAAAAGCTCCTAGATCTGATAAACAACTTCAGCAAAGTTTCAGGATACAAAATCAATGTACAAAAATTAGTAACCTTTCTATACACCACCAACATCCAAGCTAAGACCCAAGCCAAGAGCACAATCCCAGTCCCAATAGCCAAATAAAATAAAATACCTAGGAATACAACTAACCAGGGAGGTGAAAGATCTCTACAACAACAGTTACAAAACATTGCTGAAAGAAATCAGAGATGACACAAATGAATGGAAAAACATTCCATGCTCATGGATAGGAAGAATCAGTATTGTCTAAATGGTCATACTGCCCAAAGTAATGTATAGATTCAATGCTATTCCTATCAAACTACCAATATTTTTCACAGAATTTGAAAAAGCTATTCTAAAATTCATATGGAACCAAAAAAGAGTCTGAATAGCCAATAAATCCTAAGCTAAAAAAACAAAGCTGGAGGCATCACACTACCTGACTTCCGACTATACTACAATGCTACAGCAACCAAAACAGCATGGTACTGGTAGAAAAACAGAAACGCTGACCAATGGAACAGGTTAGAGAACCCAGAAATAAAGTCTCATACCTACAGCTATCTGATCTTCAACAAAGTCAACAAAAACAAGCAATGGGGAAAGAACTCCCTATTCAATAAATAGTGCTGGGATAGCTGGCTGGCCATATGCGAAGATTGAAACTGGACCCATACCTTTCACCATATATGAAAAACAACTCAAGATGGATTAAAGACTTAAGTATAAAACCTAAAACTATAAAAACCCTAGAAGAAAACCTAGGAGATACCATTCTGCACATAGGACCTGACAAAGATTTCATGACAAAGACTCCAAAAGCAATTGTAACCACAACTAAAATTGACAAATGGGACCTAATTAAAGAACTTCTGCACAGTGAAAGAAACTATCAACAGAGTAACAGACAACCTGCAGGATGGGAAAACTATTTGCAAACTCTGCATCCAAGAGGTCTAATATCCAGAATCTATAAGGAATTTAAACAAATTAACAAGCAAAAAACAACCTCATTTAAAAATGAACAAAGGACATGAATAGACACTTCTCAAAAGAAGACATATAAGCAACCAACAAGCAAATGAAAAAATGTTCAACATCATTAATCAATGCAAATCAAAATCACAATGAAATACTATCTCATACCAGTCACAATGGATATCATTAAAAAGTCAAAAAATAACAGAGGTTGGCAGGGTTGCAGAGAAAAGGGAATGCTTATACACTGTTGATGGGAATGAAAATTAGTTCAGCCACTGGGGAAAGCAGTTTGGAGATACCTCAAAGAACTTAAAACAGAACTACAATTTGACCAGCAATCCCATTACTGGGTATATACCCAAACAAAAATAAAATAAATATCTGCCTTAAAGACACATGCACACATATGTTAATCACAGTACTATTCACAATAGCAAAGACATGGAATCAATCTAAATGCCCATCAACAGTGGATCAGAGAAAGAAAATGCGGTGCATATATACCATGGAATGCTACACAGCCACAAAAAAAAGAACAAAATCCTGTCATTTGCAGCAACATGGTTGGAGCTGGAGGCCATTATCCTAAGAAAATTAATGCAGGAACAGAAAAGCAAATGCATGTTCTCACTTATAAGTGGGAACTAAACATTGAATACACATGGACACGAAGAAGGGAACAATAGTCACTGGGGCCTACTTGAAGGTGGAGAGTAGGAGGAGGGTGAGGATTGAAAAACTACCTATTGGGTACTTCACTTATTACCTGAATGATAAAATAATCTGCATACCAAACTCCTGTGAAATTTTGCCCATGTAACAAACCTGCACATGTACGCCTTGAACGTAAAATAAAAGTTGGAAAGAAAAAGAAAGGGGGTGGGGGGGTTCTTTAAATTTATTTATTTATTTATTTATTTATTTATTTATTTATTTATTTTGAGATGAAGTCTCACTCTGTTGCCCAGGCGGGAGTGCAGTGGCGTGATCTCGGCTCACTGCAACCTCCACCTCCCAGGTTCAAGCAATTCTCCTGCCTCAGCCCCCCAAGTAGCTGGGATTACAGGCGTATGCCACCACGCCCTGCTAATTTTTGTATTTTTAGTAGAGATGGGGTTTCACCATGTTAGCCAGGCTGGTCTGGAACTCCTGACCTCAAGTGATCTACTCGCTTTGGCCTCCCAAAGTGCTGGGATTACAGGTGTGAGCCACCACGCCCAGCCAGAAAAAAATAAAGTTGAGAAACTATGATAAAAGGTATATGTGAGAAGTCACACCCTCCCCTATTACTCTTACAATTCTTCTCTATGGGTAAGCAATTTCCTAGTTTCTGGTTATTCTTAGTGTTTGTGAGGGTTTTTTGTTGCTATTTCGGGTTTTTTTGCAAAAAGAAAAATATAAGTATGCAGAAACACACACACACTCATGCACACGCACACACATGCACCTATCACCTATTGTTATTTTTTCCTACTCTCATAGAAAAGGTAGCACTATTGTGTATTTAGGAATCATCCTCAATGCCTCAGTCTTTGTTGAATTCCATAGTCCTGTTAATCACCAAGACCTTCCCACATCCTCTCTTGCTTACTCTGCCAATCTATTTTCTTTTTCTTTTTCTTTTCTTTTTTTTTTTTTTTTTTTCTGAGACGGAGTCTCACTCTGTCACCCAGGCTGGAGTGCAGTAGCACGATTTCAGCTCACTGCAACCTTCACCTCCCTGGTTCAAGCAATTCCCCTGTCGCAGACTCCTGAGTAGCTGGGATTACAGGCGCACGCCATCACACCCGGCTAATTTTTTTGTATTTTTAGCAGAGACAGGGTTTCACCATGTTGGGCAGAATGGTCTTGAACTCCCGATCTCAGGCAATCCGCCCGCCTCGGCCTCCCAAAGTGCTGGGATGATAGGTGTGAGCCACCACACCCGGCCTCTACCAGTCCATTTTCTATATTGAAGTGAAAGTAAACTTCTCAAAATGTCAATCCAAACAGGTTACCCTCTACTTAATCTCCTTCAATAGTTTCTTGTTACTGTTAGGATAAAGTCAAACATTCTTAATATGGCCTAAAAGATTGCTTTTCCTACTTTGTAACTTTGTCTTGCTCCAATGTTGCCCTTTTAATGATACTTCTTAGAAGACAACTTCCCCCTGACTCTCTTGCCATTAGTCATGTTTAATCACAGGAAAAGCTAATTCCTCTATGATTCCTGGTTGTGCTTATACTTGTAAACACTCATACCAATAAACTTCCGTTCATAATATTTATATCTAAGATTTATCAAGATTATCCCATGAACTCATTTTAATCAGATAGCAGATGGATAAAAATATTTGCATTTGGGAGAATAACCAGACATGGTCTTTTATCAAACAATTCTTCAGCAAATGGAGATATTACAGAGTAAACCAGAACAGCAGTGCTGTGAGTCTTGTCACATCTCCAGGCTGCCTATGAAGGTTGGAGAGGAGAGGAGAGACTGGGAATGTGTATGGAAACTGAAGAGAAGACCTTCAAAATATGTGTGCTATTTGACTCAGAAAATATAGTTATGATATTTACTTCTAGAATTATCCTAAGGAATGACCATGGTTATTTTTGAAATTTAAGAGACAAGGATAATCACAACAGCAAAACAAAATGGACAAAGTATGTGTTATATGTGTTAAGAAGGTCTGGAAGAATATAGACCAAGGAGTAATAAATCATAATTTCCTCTGGGTGATGAGGTGATAGTAATATAAATTTTATTCTTTTTTGTTTCTCTTTATTGCTAATGTTGTCTACAATTATTGTACCTTGCTTTGATCATTTTTGGAGGTAATTTTTATTTTAAAAAAATTGTGTTGGAGTCTTTACTGAGTTTGCTAGCTTTTAAAAATGTTCTCTCCTCCAAGAATAGAAGTTAAAATTCCAGAGAGGAAGCAGCTAGTTGCAAAGGAGAGAGATGGGGAAACACTGAGGGGAAGTAAAGTTCCCTCCCCATCCTCAGCCCATCTATTCTGAAATTTAGCCAGGTCTTCTCCAGCCCACACTTCTGCCATGAAATGACTCCCTCTGCATCACACAGACACCTGCAAGAGGCAGACTGAATTGATGTTTAGGCAGCAAGCCTAGGAAAAAGTGGAGGGTCCTTGCCAAAAACGAATTCAAATTCCTTCTGAGTTTAATTGTTTTCCATTTCACCATGCCTAGATCTCCTCTTTGTCTTCTCTATCCCAAGAATCTTCCTGAAGCTTGGGTACTTAGTCAGGTCTCAGGTGTGAACTATTTGGAAAGAAATAAACATTTTCTGTACCAAAAATGTGTCAGACTCTGAGTCAAGTGTTAGCTCTGAGCCCTCAACAACCTTAAGATTTCCCCCAGGTGTCGAGAGAATGAGAAAACCGCCATAATGGACGATATGTGAGAATCAGGCGGGAAGGTCAGTGGGGTCCAGTCCATCACGGGTAAAAGCATGATTGGAGCACAGCCTCCAAGAGATGCATTTCCATGATGTTTTCTGAGCATTAAGAGACATGGGCTTCCTTAAGACAAGAAAATGTGGGGCCGGGCGCCATGGCTGAGGCCTGTAATCCCAGCACTTTGGGAGGCCAAGGCAGGCGGATAACTTGAGGCCAGGAGTTCCAGACCAGCCTGGCTAACATGGTGAAACCCCATCTCTACTAAAAATACAAAAATTAGCCGGGTGTGGTGGCACACCTGTAATCCCAGCTACTCAGGAGGCTGAGGCAGGAGAATTGCTTAAACCCAGGAGGCGGAGGTGGCAGTGAGCCAAGATAGGGCAACTGCACTCCTGCCTGGGCGACAGTGTGAAACTCCATCTCAAAAAAAAAAAAAAAAAAAAAGAGAAAGAAAGAAAGAAAACATTATGGTTGGGTAGGTATTTCAACCTAGATGTCAGTGACTCTGAAAATATGTTTTGTTTTTGTTTTATAAACCTTGTGATATTGTCACCAACTATATCAGTGTTTTTAAAACTCTTTTCTACTACAATAAAGAGATTTACATCATAACCTAGCATACAGTCACATGTACTCTAAAACACATTTACAAAGAAAATCTTCCCAAAACAATATACACCTTTCCTAAATGCAGATGGATCATTACTATTCTGTCCTATTTCTACTTTTTATCATGCTGGTTTTAACCCACTCTGGTTTCAGAGTAGGCTAGTTTCAACCTGTGAAATATATTTCACAACCCATTAATAGATCCAAACCTGCCTACATTATTTATATAAGTTGCTTTAGGTGATGTTTTCCTGATATTAGCTTTTAAATTTTCATGGATTTATTTTTTACATAAAATTATATTTTGGCCAATATTTTCCAATACTATTATTATCACTACAAATAGGCAAGAGAGGTTGTTCTGTGTTTGTCCACATTATTAGTAAGTTTCTTATTCAGACAAAGCCTTCTCAACCTTCTGTCATTAAATATTCTGTCTTTAACTGCTTGTGTAGAATCTTTATCGTGGCTATTACAGCCATTGCATTTCTGAGTCATAATATTTGTGAAGCAGGGGAGAAGCTAGTTCTCTAAGGAATGCTATATAAAGTGAGTCTGAAAAATAGCATATTTCTAGTTTTTACAAGTATCCAGAAATTGTCCATTCTTCCTTGAATAATGTGCATGTTTCTAAAGATAAAGCATTGCAGTGATTGTGTGATCTTAAGGAAGACATCTCCGAGTGACTGTTTCCTCACCTGAAAGATCATACAATCTCCTAGGGTAATTGGGAGCTTTATAGGAAATAATCCAGAGAAAGGGCGTGGTTCAGCACCAGGCACAACACAAGTTCATTTTGAGACATGACTGTTATTATTATTACTATTAATGAATCCCTTGTGTTAAACTAAGTCCTCTAGAAAACAGAGCCTGAAACAAGAATTAAGATCCTAAAACGGTTTTGGGAAAGTGAGAACCCAAAAGGCAAAGAAAGATGAAAAGCAACACAAGGGGATGTGTTCCATGCTCTCTGCTGTTATGTATTTCATGACACATTGCAAAGAGCCAAAGCAAGTTTGCCTTGCACAAAGAACCTCTCTAGAAGGGTTGCCAGGAGGAACTGCATCTCGGAGTAGCCTACGGAAGAGAGAATGGTGAGGAAATCTACTCACTCTACTACTCTATCTCTCTCTTTTTTTTCCCATTGGTTATGTTTCACTCTGTAAGAAGCTAACTCCTCTGTACTTCTGTGTTGTGTCTAACCCCTTGGCAGTTGCTGAGGAAGTCAGAGCCCTGCTGGATTAGTCCGTTTGTGTTACTATAAAGGAATAGCTGAGACCAGGCAATTTATAAAGGAAAAAACATTTATTTTGGCTTATGGTTCTGCAGGCTGTACAGGCAGCATGGTGCTAGCATCTGCTTCTGGTGAGGGTCTCAGGAAGCTTACAATCATGGTGGAAGGTGAAAGGGGAACCAGAGTGTCACATGGCAAGAGAGAGAGCAAGAGAGAGGGAGGAGCTGCCAGGCTCTCTTAAACAATCAGATCTCACATGAACTCATGGAGTGAGAACTCACCTCATTATTGCGAGGACCACACCAAGACATTCATGAGGAACCCGCCCCCATGACCCAAACACCTCTCACCAGGCTCCCCTCCAACATTGGATGTCACATTTCAACATGACATTTGGAGGGGACAAAACATCCAAACCATATCACCTGCCCTGTTTTGTGGTGTTTCATCCCAGTCTCAAAATGGAAGACCAACCTGGCCGAGGTGAGGTACCACTAGGAGAGAGAAAATTAGAGGTGACTGAGGATAGTAGTAAGAAAGCGTGAAAGGTCTGGGGCTCAGTGCACCTCAAGTGCTCTCACTGGACTCGTCTCAACCCTTAGTTCATGACACACTACTATCATTGTTCCGTACATGTTCACTTTTTTCTTTTCTTTTTTTTTTTTTTTTTTGAGGGGGAGTCTCGCTCTGTCACCCAGGCTGGAGTGCAGTGGTGTGGTCTTGGCTCACTGCAACCTCCTCGTCCGGGGTTCAAGTGATTCTCCCACCTTCTTCAGAGTAGCTGCGATTACAGGTGTGTGTCACAACACCTGGCTAATTTTGTATTTTTAGTAGAGATGGGGTTTCACCATGTAGGCCAGGTTGGTCTCGAACTCCTGACCTAAAGTGATCCACCTGCCTCAGCCTCCCAAAATGTTGGGATTACAGGTGTGAGCCACCACGCCCGGCCTCACTTTTTCTTACTATGATGTAATATGATAAAATGATACCTGTGAACTTATCACCAAGCTGAGAACTAGAATACTGATAATAAATTACAAATATATATCTACACTCATGGATATGTACATAAATATACATACACATATACATAAGTAGATACATATACATGCTGTATTTTTAGTTTTAGTTATTTTGAACTCATTTTTTAATTCAATATTGAAGGATTTATTCCTATCAATACATGTAGTTATAATTGATTTTCAATGATACATAGCATTATTTGTGGGACTGAATTGCATCTATGTTCTCATTATCTAAGCAATGGGTTTCAGATTGTTGTCCTTTTTTTTTCTTGTGAATAGTGATGCCAGTACAGGAATGGGAATGCTGGTTCATAGGGGTTAGGAATATTCAACCTCATGAGATACTGCCAAACTCCTTTCCAGTGTGATTGTGCCAATTTATTCTTCCTCCAGCAATTTATAAGAGATGTAAGAGATTTTGATGATAACATCTTTCTAAAGGTCGGTTTTGTCGGGCTTCTTAATAATTGCCAATTATAATGAAATAAATATGAAATGAAATTAAATAAATGTATCTCGGTCTCACAGTGGAATGCTACATATTATTAAAAATCAATTATATATGTAATCAAATATATATACATACATAATGAATAGGTGTAAAATGATGTATCATTAAGACATAGTAAAATGGCCTTATTTGGCCCAGCAGAGATAGAACTCTTTGACTTGGAATGAATGGACAAGGAAATAAATTTCTTTGTGATAACAGCAATAGTAGCTAACAGTTAGTTACTGGCTGCCTGATACAGCCAGGTATTCTAATTTTATATATAAGGTTAAAGTAAATATGTGAGAAATATTTTTATTAGATTCATTTTACTAAAAAAAAAAACTGGGGTTCAGAAAGGTTAAGTTGCTTGAGCAAAACCTTAATTTAAAGCTACTTCATGTTAGGAATTAGGATTCAAAACTCAGTCAGTCTAGCTCTACATGCACAATGACAAGAGCAAGTATGACAGTTTGAATCATGTAAAGGTTTCTTAGGGGCAACGCATCTATAAATTTCTGCCAGCCCTGTAGGATTTCACTAGCAAAAGAGAGAGTAGAGGAAAGAAACAAGTTATACCACTAGGTCAGAAAAATAATTTTTAAAAAGAATGTTTTTATGTTTATGTTTTCTTTAACTTCTGTTATCTTCAGTTTTAGGACAGTCTTTCAAAAATGTCAGCCTCTCAATCCCTCAATTTTGGCCAGTGAATTCTGAGTGGAAGTAAACATGTGTTATTTCTGAGTCAGGACAGTGTGAGAGACCAGATAGGTCAAGACCAACGTGATGATGGGAATGTTCCATAATCCACACTACAAAATATAGTAGCCAGTAGCCACAAGTGGAAAAAATTATCAGGCACTTGAAATGCAGCTTGTGCAAAGAAGGGACTGAAATTTCCATTTTCTTTGATTTTAATTACTTTTGAATCAAATCTAAGTAACTGCAGGTGGCTACAAGCTGTGTAAAGCACAGTCCAGTTTCTAGGGTTTTCTTTTTGTTGCGATGACCAGTGTTGCTCCATCTAGCGGTTGGTCCATCAGCCTGAGAAGGGGCGACTCAGAACAGCGCTTCCCAGCTGATGGTTGATTTGAATGTGTGTTAAAAAGAAATAAACTTCTGATGTTTTAAGCCACTGAGATTATTTTCCTGCAGTAAAACAACCTATCCTACGAGAGACAGGGGTAACTAGATAAGAGCTTTAATGGAAGGGTTGGAATTGAGTTTCCATTGCCCACTGTGGCGCAGGCATGGGTGGCCATGTGTTCCACGCACAGACACGGCCCTTCTAATGGCACCCTCCTGACACCTGCACTGTGGCCTCTCCAGGCCGGGGCACTACCCTAAAGAGTGAGAATAAAGCACGTAGTGTTGGGTATCACATAACCTAATTTGAATTTCTGCGCCACCACTTAATAACTGTGTAAGCTTGGGAGAATTACAAAAGCCTTTGAGCACTAGTTTCAGGGTCTCTTAAATAGCCGTAATGGTAGTCCTTAATTTACAGGATTGTTAGGAAGACTAGTTAAGAGAATGTTTATAAATTGGATGACACATAGTAACTGTTCATAGAAAGATCAGCTACCTCTTCTTATTCTTACATTGTTATTCTCATTATGTTCACGGAAGTGCAGAAGTGCAGAAGCACACACACAATGGGGAGTCTGCACACACATGTCTTCAATCTCAAATTCTGACACTCATGAGCTGTCTGACCCTAAACTATCTAGTTTCTCTCAGATTACTCATTTCCAAAATGGATAATAAAATACTAAAGTGAAGGCCGGGCACGGTGGGTCACGCCTGTAATCCCAGCACTTTGGGAGGCCAAGGCGGGCGGATCGCCTGAGCTCAGGAGTTTGAGATCACCCTAGGGAACATGGTGAAACCCGGTCTCTGCTAAAATACAAAAACTTAGCCGGGTGTAGTGGCATGCACCTGTAGTCCCAGCTACTCAGGAGGCTGAGGCACGAGAATCTCTTAAGCCCGGGAGGCAGAAGTTGCAGTGAGCCAAGATCGTACTACTGCACTCCAGCTTCGGCTACAGAGTGAGACACTCAAAACAAAAGCAAAAACAAAACTAAAGTGGAGTTGCTATGAGGGTTAAATGAGAGAGTGTCTTGAAGTGCCTGGTACATAGCAGATGTTCAGCATGGACTCCTTTTATGTCCAAGCTGCTGCCTTTCCTATCTTACCCTCCTCTCTGCATCATACTTACCATTCTTTCTCTTTCTCTGTCACACATACAAACACACACACACACACTCTCTCACACACACACACACACACACACACACACACACACACACACACATCTGTATATCCTTCCCATTATCTTATTTAACCTGGCCATAAACAACTGGACAGTTTCTGGCTACAGTAATAATGCTTAAACCATTCCAAACTCACCGCATCCTGCCATATGTCAAAGGAATTGACTAAGGTAAGCAGTGGTGCAGCTGGCAGTACACCAGGGCCACCATGTAGCCAGCCCTGAAGAGACAGTAAAGATGTCTCTTGAATTTCTAAGCTTATGAGATGGAGAAAATGTCATTGACTAATATTCCAGGAAGCAGGAAATATGTGATATGTTTCCTCACCCATCATAAGGATCAAAGCTGACACGCCATAACAAAGGACAGGTTAACAAGAGAAAAGCATAACAAATTTATTTAATCAAAGTCATCCATGACATGGGAGCCCTCAGAAATGAAGACCCAAAGACCCAGAGAAAATGGTTCATTTTTATCCTTAGATTTAGTAAAGTGTAGACGGCCATGTGGAAATGTGATTGGAAAAATGGGTATGATCTAATGGTAATAGACTGGGGGAGAGAGAGTTAACCCAGCAAGGCCTGTCTGTTCAGATTCTTTTTGGCCTCTCTATGCAGCACTTCTTCCTCCTGGTATAGGACAGAAGCCCTCTAGAAGGAGGGTCTTATGACCTACTATCAGAAAGGTAGGTCAGAGAATTTCTTAAGGCCAGCTCCTACACAGAAGGCAGGGGAAGGTTAGAGTAATATAGCTGGTTTCTATAACCTGCCCTGGGGAAGAAGAATTCTAATTTCTCTCTCCCTTTTTTTCTTTTTTGAGATGGAGTCTCGCTCTTCTCACCCAGGCTGGAGTGCAATGGCACAATCTTGGCTCACTGCAACCTCTGCCTCCTGGGTTCAAGCAATTCTTCTGCCTCAGCCTCCTGAGTAGCTGGGATTACAGGTGTGTGCCACCATGCCCGGCTAATTTTTGTATTTTTAGTAGAGACAGGGTTTAGCCATGTTGGTCAGGCTGGTCTCGAACTCCTGACCTTAGATGATCTGCCTGCCTTGGCCTCCCAAAATGCTGGGATTACAGGCATGAGCCACTGTGCCTGGCCTCGAATTATAATTTCTATGGCTTGCCATCAAGGAAAAAGGAGAGGAGACCTCAGGGCAGGAGAATGTTGGAGAGAGAGACTTTGCTTCTGAGGCTACTTCTGAGGCCTTCCAATCTCCTTTAGTTCTAAGTACTCAACAAGCCAAAGCATTGTATTTTGGGGTGTCATTTTCTGAGCTCCTACAGTGGAGTCAGCCTAACCTGGCACAGTTACTCCATGAGAGAAGCAATGAGACCTGGGGACGGGGCTACATTTCCTTGGTGACAGTGGATTATTATGTGGGGACAAAGTGGAGCTTGAAGAGAGAACCTAAAGAGATAATGAAATCTAGGGTCCCATCTCCCAAGACGCTGCTAAACATCATGAAATTCCAGGTGTGGTTGAATTTGTGTGCCTAAAGTAGAAGATGTGGAAACTTCTGCTCCCAATTGGAACTGCTACAGACTGAAGGAGACTAAGGAGAAATAACAACTAAATGTCATATGGAGTTCTGGATAGGATCCTGGAACTAAAAAAGGACAATAGTTGAAACACTAATGAAATTGAAATAGAGTCTACATTTAGTTAGTATAGTGCCAATTTTAATTTCCTGGCTTTGGTAATTGTACTATGGTTATATAAGGTGTTTGCCTAAGAGGAAGGTTATTTGGGGCCAACCCTGCCATTGAGAATAAACAAATTTAAAAACTGGAATAAATGATTGAGGTATAATTTGTATGCCGCAAAATGTGCAAATTTTACATTAAAATTTATTGCATCAAAATATTTTTATGTAAGGCCGGGCGCGGTGGCTCATGCCTGTAATCCCAGCACTTTGGGAGGCCGAGGCGGGCAGATCACCTGAGGTCAGGAGTTCGAGACCAGCCTGACCAACATGGAGAAACCCCATTTCTACTAAAAATGTAAAATTAGCCAGGCATAGTGGCTCATGCCTGTAATCCCAGCTACTCGGGAGGCTGAGGCAGGAGAATCTCTTGAACTCGAGAGGCAGAGGTTGCATGTGGTGAGCCGAGATCGCGCCATTGCACTCCAGCCTGGGCAACAAGAGTGAAACTCCATCACAAAAAAAAAAAAAATATATATATATATAAATATTAAAATACATATTTAGGCCAGGCACGGTGGCTCACGCCTGTAATCCCAACATTTTGGGAGATCGAGGCAGGTGGATCACCTGAGGTCAGGAGTTCAAGACCAGCCTGGCCAACATGGTGAAACCCCATCTCAACTAAAAATACAAAAAACTAATTAGCTGGTCATGGTGGTAGGTGCCTGTAATCCCAGCTACTTCGGGAGGCTGAGGCGGGAGACTCACTTGAACCCAGGAGGCAGAGGTTGCAGTAAGCCGAAATTGCACCATTGCACTCCAGCCTGGGCAACAAGAGCAAAACCCTGTCTCAAAAATAAATAAATAAATAAATAAAATACATATTTATCAGGCTGGTGGATAACTTGAGGTCAGGAGTTTCAGACCAGCATGGTGAAACCCCATCTCCACTAAAAATACAAAAAGTAGCCACGCATGGTTGTCCATGCCTGTAATCCCAGCTACTTGGGAGGCTGAGGCAGGAAAATCACTTGAACCCAGGAGGCAGATGCTGTAGTGAGCTGAGACCCTGCCACTGCACTCCAGCCTGGGTGACAGAGCGAGACCCTGACAAAAAAAAGAAGGGGGGGGGCAGTATTTTTTAAATATTTTGGTCTTTTTTTTTTTTTTTAAGAAGAAAAGAAGGGATGGAACGTCACACTTATTGTGGCTCAGGAAGCCAAGCAATAGAAATCATTTTAAAGTCTTTCAGATCCTAGGCACTAAAATTTGTGCCTGGGCCATGTTCTCCACAATTCTCCAAGGGACAAGATATCCCCAAGTGACATCTGGGCTATTACAGGGTAGTTTGTCTGAGTGGCTGCAGTATTCCAGATGAAAGAATGACCACTCTAAGGGAATGAGGTTGGCATTTAGAAGAAGACTTTGCTCTTCCTTAAACGAAAAGTCAGGAATATTTAGTCCAATAGGAGCTGAGCGGGGCCAGCAAGTCCATGTTCCAAGTCCAGGAATGATTCTCTTAGGAATAAGAAACAGCAAGTATTGCCTTTCTCTATTGTTAAAATGATATTTACATTTCTCCAAGGATATTGTAAGAGAGCTTTTAACTTAATGAGGTGTAGTAGTAGCTACTCGTTTGATTTTGGCAGTTAGGAAGATGAGTGAGCCAAAAAAGAAATGATAGAAACAAAGAAAATTTTTAACAGGTCAATAAGTTTTAAATTAAAAATTTATTTTAAAATCAAAACAGAAATTAAATGAACCCTGCAAAAACACAAGGGGGCAGCATTTCATAACATTACAAATAAATGCTGACTCAGCTTTTTGGGGTAAAGCTATATACAAATAAACAAAGAAGTTATCAAGTGAGTCATCCTAAGTAACCTTAAGTCACAGAGCTCAAGAGTGGCAAAACAAGGACCGTCACTAATGCTTCCTACTATCAATTGAGTATTTTTTTCTTTTTTGGAGGGGGGACAGGGTCTCACTCTGTCACCCAGGCTGGAGTACAGTGGCGCGATCTCGGCTCACTGCAACCTCTGCCTCCCTGGTTCAAGCAATTCTCCAGCCTCGGCCTCCCAAATAGCTGGGATTACAGGCGCACACCACCATGTCCAGCTAATTTTTGTATTTTTAGTAGAAACGGGGTTTCACCATGTTGGCCAGGCTGATCTTGAACTCCTGACCTCAGGTGACCCGCCTTCCTCAGCCTCCCAAAGTGCTGGGATTATAGGCGTGGGCCACCACGCCTGGCCTCTCTGAGTATTTTTCCACCCCATGTTGTCTCATATGGTCTTCCTGGATTAAAGATCCCTGCTACATGCTGAAAATGACTGACTTCTCACCAAAAGACCCATGGATAAGGTTTCTATTTTCTGTGGACACCAATTAGGGCATAGGTGACTGACACTTTGTCACTAAAGATGAATAGTTCAATTGGAGTAAAACATGAATCAACTTCCAGAACAGACCTATGCTCTCAATGTAATTATGCACGAATCTTCAACATCAAGGAGGCCTTAAGGAAATGGTTAGGTTGAGACAGTTTTAAAAATGTATTTTGCAAATGTTAAAACTGTGCATTTTCATTTCTCCCTTGAATCATGTTTTATTGCATTCTCTTACCTACCTGCCCTCTTTAGAAAGACAATGAAATCAGACTTTCTGAGGAGAGAAAACAAGGATTTGCTATAGCACTTTGTAGAGCCCATCTTTAAATCAAGGTCAGGGCTGGTGGATGAATTTGCAGTTTTTCGTAATGTAGGGAAGCTTCCTTTTCTGCCCATGACAGTCAGGCCCTGGGACTTGCTGCTCTATGCTTAAAGGTGGCTACAATGTCAGAGAGTAGGCAAAAATCTTGCCTCTTCTAACTGAAGGGACTGTGGGAAGAAGGTATACAGAAAGAAAGGAGGAGGATGAAGTGGTCGGTGTGTTTGTTTTGGGTTTTCTTCTTGGAAATAGAGCCTGAAGGCTGAAGAAAGCCAATGGGAAGAGAGATTTCTACCCTCCTTCATACTCAGGACTCTAGAAGTGATGGCCACTCCTTAGCTGCCCAACTAGGCAATGGCCACCTCAAAGTAAACCTGGCTGTCCTTCGTGGTTAGTAGAGAAAGTAAATGACTCTGAGCTTCCCCAGACAATTTTCTGTAGAGGGTCCACGAGATCCTGAGGCTCCAAGAGACCTTGGAAGGCAGCAGTGTGGAGACCCTGAAGGTGTCCTACATGCCCGCTGCGGCAAAGGATAGGGCTGCCCCAAGGCAGAACCCGAATGTGGGTGGCAGAGCCAGAGGGCCAGGAGGAAGACATGGTGGAACCAGGGTAGCTGTAGGGCCAGAAAGAGCCAAAGTGAGACTGAGACAGCCAAAGAGGAGCCCAGGCCCTAGCCAGGCAGAGAGAAAACAGATTGCAGATTACAACAGCCACAGCCTTGCTAAAAGCTGAACATAGAGAAATGTCCTCCTACTTAGGACAAACTCCTTATTAAGTTGAAAGCAGGACAGCCTTCCTCCCTCCCTTTCCTAAGGATGCTTATTAGCCTACTTCTTCTTTTCTGTTTGATTCACTAATAGTCCCGGTATGTCCCTATTTCTCTAGGGACTTGATATCAAGTCCCTGGTACTGAAGCATAAATCAACTTGAATGCCATTGAACTGAAAATCTTATCTCTTTGTTAATTCCCAGATGGTGTTCCAAACTTCTGCGTCCCAAGACAGCTTCACCCTTCCTGGGGAATGCCTTGTGACCGGGCACACTGCCTGGGAATTCAAAAGGAAGCCACTGATTCTCCCACTCTTCTGGGAAGTTTAGGCCTGGGGACCAGCTATGAGTCCAAACTCATCCACCCAGGGTGCATCATGTTTTCGTGCTAATAGGATGCTCGTCAGCCTGTCTTGCGTAACTTGGACATTGTCTCGCATGCCCAGTGAGATAAGTGGCCACAAGTATGCAGGGAGGCCTTTACTCTGAGACCTTGACTACTGCTCTGAGGAATCACAACAGAGATAATGATGTTCCCAGAAGAAATAGTTCAAGCGACTACCAAAAACACTGCTCCTGAACCTCTTTCTGCAAGGCAGTGGGAGTCGGTGTGCCTGCAGGTCTGAGGCTCTGGGATAACTCTCTCCACTGGCCTAGGCAAGAATTCAAGAGACTTGGTAAAGGAGTCCCGTGAGTGGACAAGAGATTTTGATGTTTGTTTGTTAGTTAGTTAGTTACTTAGTTAGTTAGATTTATGACTGCTAACTCGGCCACACCTCCTGAATTCAAACTCCATCTCTGCCACTTACAGGGTGACTTTAGGAAAGTTCCTTAACCTATCTGTGCCTTGGCATTCTCATCTGTATAATGAGGATAGCAACACTACCTGCCTTAGAGGGTTGTTGCAAGAATTAAATGAGACACAACAAGATATTCCATGTAAAGTATATGGTGTCTGACACATAGGAAGGTCAATAAATGTTACCCGTTATTATTATTAGCTTAATGGTATTAGCCTCCTTAAAGAGACAAAGCTTACATAAACTCTAGAAAGCAACATATCTTCCTATCTAGATAGAAGTAATCAACACAAAATTATACTTCATTAAAATGTATGGGCACAGATTCTAAACCCTAGCCTACTAAATAGCCAAGCCTGTATGTAAATAATATGATTCCCTCTACCTTTATTTCTAGGAAGAATTATCAATGTTCTTTGGTAAATTATCTAATCAAGACTGTACTTACAAATAAGGTGGCAAATTATTAGTAAAACAGCATTCAGGCCAGGCACTGTGGCTCACACCTATAATCCCAACACTTTGGGAGGCCAAGGCAAGCAGATCACTTGAGGCCAGGAGTTCCAGATCAGCCTGGCCAACATGGCAAAACTCATCTCTACTAAAACTACAAAAATTAGGCGGGTGTGGTGGCGCACACCTATAGTCCCAGCTATTTGGGAGGGTGAGGTAGAAGAATCCCTTGAGCTCGGGAGGTAGAGGTTGCAGCGAACTGCAATCACACCACTGCACTCCAGACTGGGTGGCAGAGTGAGAATTTGTCTCAAAACAAAACAAAACAAAACAAAACAAAACAAAAAAACAGGCCAGTTGTGGTGGCTGATGCCTGTAATCCCAGCACTTTGGGAGGCTGAGGTGGGTGGATCATCTGAAGTCAGGAGTTCAAGACTAGGCTGGCCAACATGGTGAAACCTCCTCTCTACTAAAAATACAAAAATTTGCTGGGTGTGGTGGTGCATGCCTGTGATCCCAGCTACTCGGGAGGCTGAGGCAGGAGAATTGCTTAAACCTGGGAGGCAGAGGTTGCAGTGAGCCAAGATCGTGCCATTGCACTCCAGCCTGGGCGACAAGGGCGAAACTCTGCCTCAAACAAACAAACAAACAAAACAAAAAGCAGTACTCTATGGACGAATTGTGACTTTTAGAAGATGCAGAGGCACAGCTTCTGCCAGCTTCTGATCCTTTCGATCTGGGATTACAAAGGTGTGAGTTAAGGGGATCATCGGGCCTGCAGAAGTGTTTGTTTCATTAGGGCAGTGGTTTGGTTCTATTTTGTTTTAACAAAAAACACTGTTGTGAATTTGAATGCTTTAGGAGGAGCACGCTGTCTGCAGCTAACCACAGTCCCTCTACTCACCATCGCCTTATCCCCTGCCTCTGCACACATTTCCATACCCACATGCCAACATGGCATTTGAGTTTACCACCTCTTAAAAAAAAAAAAAAAAAAAAACAGAAAATAGCAACAAAAAAAATTTCAGGACCACTGGGATTCTTGTAACCAGTCTTCTCATTGCAGAAGGACTATTGTTCATACACAGAATCCACATACAACAGCGATCCACCAGTTCCCAAATCTGCCCTTCCTTCCCTCTTTCTCTTCTTCACACTTCCCTTTCAGCTCTCCAACCAGTTTGCAGAGTTGGATTCAGCAGAAGAGGGGCATTCCTATCAATCTTTTCAGTGTTTCTCACCATTAAATAGGTAAGACAGATTACTTGCTTTTTTTCACAGTTCTTAAAAGATGTGACTCTTGGCTGGGGCTTTTCCTGAGTAAACAACATGGCAACAGGGAGATCCAAGCCTTCAGGTATCTTCTGACTTACTGGGCAGCTGTCGGCACAAAGACAACCCCAAGCTGCAGGCTGGATGGGAGAAGCTTCCAGATTTTAGATCTCCTTTTTTTTTTTTGCTTCAATATTTTTCATATAGAGCCAAAGCTCTTGGTGACACCATTTTTAATTCTTGTATTCATGTATCATAGGTCATGGCAAGTTCTCTGGAACTGAATTGTTAAATTTGCTGAGAATTTTAACATTCCTTCTATCTTTATAAACCTACATTCAACTGTATATTCCCTGTTTAATTATTGCATTGTCTCAAAGATTGTTGGGTTTTGCTTTTTTTTGTTTTTGTTTTTTTGCTCTGCAACCAGAAGGAGTGAGGTAGGGACGCAGGTAGAAGAACACTGTTCTAAGTTCCAGTAATGTGTCTTCGTTATTGTATCTAAGTTATCTTAATGTATCTAAGTTAACATATCTAAGCTATCAGCTGTGACACTTTGGTGGTATTCTCCATGACAGTTTCACAAAGTCTCATTTCCTTCACATGGAAATAGAGCCAACTAATAATTTTGAATCCATCATCTTGTGGTAAGAGCTTTTGTTACCCGGTATAGTCAGGAAAAAAATTTAAAAATAAATAAATTGATAAAAGCCCTACAAGGCCTATGAGAGAGATTACTTATCTGCGTAAGACCACTGTAGGGCATGATTCCAGGAAGCATCATTCCTCACAGTTTGTGTGAATGTTGTTGCCTACAGCTGTGCAGGATGCAACCAGCATGACCCGCATACGTTGGCCATGTAAAATGTGGTATTTCCTGCTCTGCGTCTAAATATGTCTGTTGTAAATAGGTAAGTTCTATCTGTTACATCAATCTACTTACAATAATTGCTAGAGAGTATTTTTTTAACTTGGGGCTTTATGAAACAACAATAGAATTTGTTGAGATGAACTGAACAATACACTCTACAATACGAATTATTTATACTTTACTGTGCAATTAATATACCGTAATTATGTAGCTCAAATTCTAGTTACTATTCAATGGTATTCTACCAAAGAATGCCAATTACTCTCCTTAACCAGGAAATGCTGAAAATCATTAGTTTATGTTAGTAAGAATACTGGCCTTTTCTGCTGTGGTACAGATTCTCTTCTTTGTTTTTCATTTAAGTTTTTTCTTTTTCTTTTTTTGAGACAGTCTCGCTCTGTCGCCCAAGAGTCTGGAGTGCAGTGGCATGATCTCGGCTCGCTGCAACCTCTGCCTCCTGGGTTCAAGAAGTTCTCCTGCCTCAGCCTCCCAAGTAGCTGGGATCATAGGCGTGTACCACCATACTTGGCTAATTTTTGTATTTTTTAAAATAGAGATGGGGTTTCACCATGTTGGCCAGGCTGGTCTCAAACTCCTGACCTCAAGTGATCCACCCACCTCAACCTCCCAAAGTGCTGGGATTACAAGGATGAGCCACTACACCAGGCCCAGATTGTCTTCTTTGAATTGCCCAGGGTTTGTTGAAACTGTTATATGTGTCTCACAGTGTTCTTTGCTTGCATATAACTTTCTTATGCCAGTGCCTTCATCACTGTTTGCAGAAAAATTTTATATACCCTCTTATGATATTGCCAGTGAGGTCTTGCTTACCTCCAGTATGCTCTGCTTACTGCTGGAGCCATGTTCCCCCATTGTATTAGCTTCCTAGGGCTGCCATGACAAAGTACCAAAAGCTGGGTGGACTAAACAACAGAAATTCACTGTCTCACAGTTCTAGAGGCTAGAAGTCCAATATTAAGGTGTTAGCAGGGTTGGCTCCTTCTGAGGGCTGTGAGGGAAGGATCTCTTCCAGGTCTCTCTCCTTGGCTTGTAGGTGGCCTCGATCTCCCCGTGTTTCTGCACATCGTCTTTCCTCTGTGCATGTCTGTCTCTGCATCCAAGTTTGTCCTTGTTATGAGGACATTAGTCATTGGACTAGAGCCCACCCTGATGACTTCATTTTAACTTGATTACCTCTGTAAAGACCCTATCTCCAAATAACATTATGTTCGGAGGTACAGAGGGTAAGACTCCAACATCTCTTTTTTAGGAGAGGCAATTCTACTCATATACCCATTTTCCTGGAAATAGCTTTTATTTTCTCTCTCTTTTTTTTTTTTTTTTTTTTGACAGAGTCCTTCTCTGTTGCCCAGGCTACAGTGCAGTGACGCAATCTCAGCTCACTGCAACCTCCTCCTCCAAGGTTCAAGCGATTCTCTTGCCTCAGCCTCCTCAGTAGCTAGGATTACAGGCACACACCACTATGCCCAGCTTATTTTTTTTGCATTTTTAGCAGAGACAGGGTTTCACCACGTTGACCAGGCTGGTCTCGAACTCCTGACCTCAGGTGATCCGCCTGCCTCGGCCTTCCAAAGTGCTGGGATTACAGGCGTGAGCCACCGAGCCCGGCTGGAAATAGCTTTTCTTTGTTTGCTAAATATTACAGCCTGGCTGTACCCTGAACATCCCACTCGGCTCAGTCACTTGGGGTTTCCTTCTTTCTGCCAGAGCAATCATTTGCTGCTGTTGTATCAGCGAATGTGATTAGAATTATCTCCCTTTGTTGAGAGGACAGGCTTGTGTAGAGTTCTATTTTGTTTTGTTTTCCCTTTGAGCAGAAACATGGGCATTATGACATTTTTCTGTGTAAATCCAGCATAATAATCTCCAATTGGCTAAAGTTGGAGTTTACTATTAACTGTTTCACTTCCACTTGGATATAAGCCAGTGATTTTGAAGTTTATGACTGTGACCCAATCACAGTCATAGGAGAGTTTTGAAATCAATATATAGGGTTCTGACTAGCATTTTCTGGAAGGCAGTATAATTTTTTTAAAAAAAGGTTTTAGGCCAGGCACGGTGGCTCACACCTGTAATCCTAGCACTTTGGGAGCGCAAGGCAGACAGATTACAAGGTCAAGAGATTAAGACCAGCCTGACCAACATGGTGAAACCCCGTCTCTACTAAAAATACAAAAATTATCTGGGTGTGGTGGCACACACCTGTAGTCCCAGCTACTCGGGAGGCTGAGGCAGGAGAACCTCTTGAACCCAGGAGGTGGAGGTTGCAGTGAGCCGAGATTGCACCACCACACTCCAGCCTAGGCAACAGAGTGAGACTGCCTTAAAAAATAAAATAAAAGGAACAGAATAGAATAGGGTAGGGTAGAGTAGACTAGTACCTAGTTGAATTAAAAAGAAAAGAAAACATCAGAATGTATCTACACGGTAAGGGTACATGCTTGTGGCAGTCATTCATGCTGTTCATCAGTTGTTTTTAGTTTCTTTCCCAGGCACATGAAGGGATGGCATTTCCCCACTCCTTGAAGTTAGGTGTGGCCAAATGACTTAGCCAATAACATGTGAGGAGAAGTGATGTGTATCGCTCCAGGTGAAGCTTTAAGAGCCACTACAGATTTGCTGTGCTCCCTTTCTCTCTACTGCTGATGTTGGTGACCTTTGAGATGGAGGCTGCTCCATCCAGAGTCCTGGGATGAAGAAAAAAATGGAGCAGGATTCCCAGCCACCTCATGATGCACACAACACAAGCCAGAACAAAATTTTTATTGTTTTAAGCCCCTGAGATTTGTGGTTGTTTATTACTGCAGCATAACCTAGTTGATCTGTTTCAGTATGCTGTGTAAAACTTATATTTCAGTTACATATGTCATTATACAAAATGAATCCTTTTTTTTTTTTTTTTTTGAGAGAAAGAGAGAGTTTTGTTCTTGCCGCCCAGGCTGGTATGCAGTGGTGTGATCTTGGCTCACTGCAACCTCCACCTCCCAGGTTCAAGTGATCCTCCTGTCTCAGCTTCCCGAGTAGCCAGGATTACAGGTGCCCGCCACCATGCCCAGCTAATTTTTGTATTTTTAGTAGAGATAGGGTTTCACCATGTTGGCCAGGCTGGTCTTGAACTCCTGATCTCAGGTGATCCACCCGCCTCAGCCTCTCAAAGTGCTGGGATTACAGGCATAAGCCACCACACCCAGCCCAAAATGAATCTCCTACTGTACATTGTAAGCAAGAAGTTTGATAGCCACTAACATAGACTGCATTTTTATCTTATGTCATTTATCTTATATTTATCTTATATCATTTTTATTTATCACAAAATAGATTCATTTTGTATGATGATATATAAAACTGAAATATAAGTTTTATGGAGTATACTGAAACAGTTAGATCGAGGTTATGCTGCAGTAATAAACAACCCCCAAATCTGAAAGCGACCTGAGAAATAATTCTAGTTCAATGCTCTGGTTTTAGAAGACTACTGAGGCTAAAAGATGTCAAATAATTTATCTGAGGCTGGGCCTGGTGGCTCATACCTGTAATCCCAGCACTTTGGGAGGCTGAGGCAGGAGGATCATTTGAGATCAGGAGTTCAAGACCAGCCTGGCCAACATGGCAAAACCCTGTCTCTACTAAAAATACAAAAAATTAGCTGGGTGTGGTGACACACACCTGCAGTCTCAGCTACTTGGAAGGCTGAGGCACAAGAATTGCTTGAACCTGGGAGGTGGAGGTTGCAGTGAGCTGAGACCATGCCACTGCACTCCAGCCTGGGCAACAGAGCAAGACTCCATCTCAAATAATAATAATAATAATTTACCTGAGGTCACAGTGTAAAGGAGGACCACACTCAAACATACACTTGACTTCCAAGCCAGTGCTTTATCATAAGTTTGTGCTTTGGAGATAATCATATGAAAATTCTTTGAAACTACAAAACTTCATAAGAATGCAAAGTAATGACAGTATCACAAGAAGGGATAGAGAGTAAGGTGGTTAAGAGCCTAGGCTTTGCCAAACCTGGTTTCAAATCCCAAAGGACATTATTTAATCTCTCTGAACCTCTGTTTTCTTATTTGTGAAATGAGGATACTTTTCCTTATTTCATATTTTCTCATGAATAAATGAGATGATCAATGAAAAGTTCTTAGCACAATACCTGGCCCACAAAGTGTTAATATATTATTAGTAGTAAATATAATACCAAAGAATTTATGTTTTAAAAATAAAAGGCGAAAGCTACTCTGGGCCGGGCACGGTGGCTCACATCTGTAATCCCAGCACTTTGGGAGGCCGAAGGCAGGCGGATCACGAGGTCAGGAGTTAGAGACCAACCTGGCCAACATAGTGAAACCCCATCTCTACTAAAAATACAAAAAAAAATAGCTGGGCATGGTGGCAGGAGCCTGTAATCCCAGCTACTCAGAAGGCTGAGGCAGGAGAATCGCTTGAAACTGGAAGGCGGAAGTTGCAGTGAGCCAAGATTGCACCACTGCACTCCAGCCTGGGCGGAAGAGCAAAACTCCGTCTCAAATTAAAGTATTACCCATATGATATAGACAGCAGTTTCTAACCCTTGTGTTGCTGACATTTTGGGCCATCCTGTTCATTATAAAAAGCTTAACGCACCAGATGCTAGTAGTACTCAGTTGTGATGACCAAATATCTTTGGAGACATTGCCAAATGCCCCCTGGGGACAAAATCAGGCCTGCTTGAGAACCACTGCTGCAGAACCTCCGCTTAGAGTTTTTCAATTACTACTTTTTTTTTTCTCCAAGTTATTGGTAGAAAAGAGAATTACTGCTTTCTATTAGACAACAAAAGCAAAAGCACAGAACAAGTTTAACCCCTCTGAGAGAAAGATATCTGTGCTTCCTTATTGTTACATTTTATTGAAGCCACTAGATTAATGTCTATCTCACCCACTAGAATAAAAGCTTCACAAAGGTACTATGTCTGGCTCTTTTCTGCTGTGTCTCTAGGGTGCAAAGCACCAGACACATAGCAGATGCTCAATAAAAATATCACCAAATGGGGCGGGCACGGTGGCTGACACCTGTAATCCTAGCACTTTGGGAGGCCGAGGGGGGTGGATCACCTGAGGTCAGGAGTTTGAGACCAGCCTGACCAACATCATGAAACCCGGTCTCCACTAAAAATACAAAAACAAACGAACAAACAAAAAATTAGCTGGGCATGGTGGCAGGTGTCTATAATCCCAGCTACTCAGGAGGCTGAGGCAGGAGAATTGCTTGAACCCCAGGGGATGGAGGTTGCAGTGAGCTGAGATCGTGCCACTTCACTCCAGCCTGGGCAAAATAGCGAAACTCTGTCAAAAAAAAAAAAAAAAATTCACCAAATAAGCAAATGAGTAAATGAGAGAGTAACTTTTCTCTGCAGTCCCTTCTACCAATAGGAAAATGGTTCCTGCAGGATCAATAGGTTAGAATAGGTTTGTGGAAAGTAACTTCATTCTGGCTCCATCCCTAAAATAAAAAGGTTCTCTCAAGACAGTCTATTCTTGCAAACAATAAGGTCTTGTCCAGAGCACAAGTCCTCAGATGGGGATTTGGAAAGGTTAAAGAGAATCCCAGTTTTTAGGGTCAGCTATGAGGACGCAATATGATGACCCTATATGGAACTCCCAATAGTATTCCAACATGAAGAACTCCTTTCAGGTCAAACTGACAGAAAAGCAAGATCTACAGTATTTTCAAAATTCCCTGTGGCAGTAAGGACAGGTCCCATATTGAACACTCTCCCATGGGTCACAGTCATAAACTTCAAAATCACTGGCTTATAACCAAGTGGAAGTGAAACAGTTAATAGTACATCCTAACTTTAGCCAACTGAAGATTATTATGCTGGATTTTCACAGAAGAATGTCATGGTGCCCATGTTTCTGCTCAAAGAAAAAACAAAAACAAAATAGAACTCTACACCATTAGAGTCTGTCTTCCCAACAAAGGGAGATAATTCTAATCACATTCACTGATACAACAGGAGCAGATGATTGATCTGGCAGAAAGAAGGAAACTCCAAGTGACTGAACCGAGCGGATGTTCGGGGTCGAGCCAGGCTGCAATATTTAGCAAAGAAAAGCTATTTCCAGGATAAGGACAGGTCCCATGCTGAAGATGCAGTGTGAAGAGGGCCAATTTTGTAGTAGGCAGTAAAAGATTGCAAAGCCACTATAGATGTGACTCCACTCCCCTCCTGCTGCTTGTGATTGTGGGCTACTCCCCAGGAGCAGAGCTGCAGGAATAATGACGTTTTTGTGTTCCAGGTCACTCTGCCCTTGTTATTTCTCACATGTAGTGGTTCAGTGAGCCTGAAAAAAATATACACCTTCTCTTCTAAAGCCATGCTATCTATTTACTCAGCTCGTGACTCTGCCTGGATACACAAGACCAGTAACAGTCATTGTGTTTTATTCTAACTTCTTTTTTGTATACCAGCTGGTAAACACAGCCTTCTCTAACTATTCTTACAATCACACAGTCTCATCAGCTGAGTGGATTTTCGTGATTCTTGCTGGCACCCACCCAAAGCTACCACTTTGTCTTTCCTGAGTCCAATAGCTGGACTCAATCTTTTTCTTTTTCTTTCTTTTTTTTTTTTAAGACAGAGTCTCACTCTGTCACCCAGGCTGGAATGCAATTACATGATTTCAGCTCACTGCAACCTCCGCCTCCTGGGTTCAAGTGATTCTCCCACCTCAGTCTCCCAAGTAGCTAGGATTACAGGTACCTGCCATCATGCCTGGCTAATTTTTGTATTTTTTTGTAGAGATGGGCTTTCACCATGTTAGTTAGGCTGTTCTTGAACTCCTGACCTCAGGTGATCCACTTGCCTCGGCCTCCCAAAGTGCTGGGATTACAGGCGTGAGCCACCGCGACTGGCCTGGACCTCATCTTTTTCTGTGGCTTCCTCAACCCCACCTCAATTTACTTTTCCCCATTCAAGTCTATGACTTTGCTGTTGTGGATGAATCTCATTTCTTCCCTTCTCCAGCAGCTTTGAAGCCCGTGTTTATTATTTCCTACATGCTTCTCTGTATGTTTTATTTATCTGTTTCTTACTTTTGTCCTTAAACAAAATATGACTCCTCTTTCCCTCTCCTCCAGAGATGGCCTCTGTAGGATCTCCCAGCAGCCAACGGTAAAGAAAAGACTGTCTTGACAAACCAACAGAAAATGGGCAAAGACTCAAATAGACATCCTCCAAGGAGAATGTCCAAATAACCAATAAACATATAAAATGTGCTTAGTGTCACTGGCCTCCAGGGAAGTCCAAATTAAAACCACAATATACTACCACCACACACTCACCACAGTGGCTGAGATGAAAAGGGTGGAGAAAACACCAGGTATTGGTCTTAATGCTCATACACTGCAAGTGGCAGTATAAATTGGTACAACCACTTTGGAAAACTGCTTGGCAGTATCTACACAAACTAAATATATGCAGTTCCCTACAGCAATGAGTGCTTAGGCCCATCCAAAAACATATTCTAGTATGCTCACTACAGATGTATAATTGCCTCAAACTGGAACTACCCAATATTCATCAACCTAAGAATAGAAAAATAAATGGTATTATATTCCCACATGGAATATTACATAGAAATGGGAATGAATTGGCTGGGTGCAGTGGCTCATGCCTGTAATCCCAGCACTTTGAGAGGCCGAGGCGGGTGGATCACGAGGTCAGGAGATCGAGGCCATCCTGGCTAACATGGTGAAACTCCGTCTCTACTAAAAATACAAAAAATTAGCTGGGCATGGTGGCGGGCGCCTGTAGTCCCAGCTACTCGGGAGGCTGAAGCAGGAGAATGGCATGAACCCGGGAGGTGGAGCTTGCAGCGAGCTGAGATTGCACCACTGTACTCCAGCCCAGGCGGCAGAGTGAGACTCCGTCTCAAAAAAAAAAAAAAAGAAAAGAAAAGAAATGGGAATGATTGTACAGCCTCACACAACGTGAATGAATCCCACCGACAAGATGTTGAGTAATGGAAGCCAAACACAAAAACAATGTACACTATATAATACCGTTTAGACAAAGCCCTAGAACAGGTAAAAACAAATCTGTACTGTTAGGAGTGATAACAGTGGTTACCCTTAGGTTAGAAGGGAGGTGGAGGCTGGTCATACAGGTGTGTTCATTTTGTAAAATTCATGAAGTGGTACCATTATAATCAAGGCACTTTCATTTTTTTCTTTTTTGACACAGGGTCTCACCATCATAGTTCACTGTAACCAAAAACTCCTGAGTTCAAGTGATCCTCCCCACTCAGCCTCCAAGTAGTTACCTCCACATCTGGCTAATTTGTAATTATTTTTGCAGAGACAGGGACTTGCTATGTTGCCCTGGCTGTTCTCAAACTCCTGGCCTCAAGGGATCCTCCTGCCTCAGCCTCCCAAAGCTCTGGGATTACAGACATGAGTCATCGCTCCTGGCCACTTTTCAGGGTTTACGTTATATAGCATCAGGGGTCAGGTTACCTGGAGGTTGACTGAGATTAATATCTGTGGATGAGAAGTTGACTGGGGCAGATGCTCTTAGGAACAGTATCTGTGAAAGAAGAAAGGCAGCAATGAGCACAGCAAGCAGATGAACTGAGAGACAGTCAAAGGCCTCAGTCAAGCCCACTGGAAACTCTGGAGCTGTGATGGCTTTTCCGCTACAAACCCTGCCCTGTGGAAGTAGCCAGCAAGTGGCCCTTCCAGGTTATCTTAAATTGGGCTTTAAGGGCTGGGTCTTTACATGTCCACATTGATTACATATCAATTTTTTAAGAGGTGTCTTCAAGTATTTGCAATGTAGTCAGTCCTTTCTTTAAAATTGTGGGCTACCATAGGGAAGGGAGCATGACCTTGAACCAGGCAGCTCTCTTTAGCAGAGGTCATTTTTGGAGAGAGGCTCAGATGAGAGCTACTGACCACCAGCACTCCTAGCAGCCAGGTAAATGAGTGTCTCAGTCCAGAAGGAGGCCACAGCAACCAGTGCATATGTGAATAAAAAGTTTAAAAACAAAGACTGTGTCTTGGACAATGAAAGAAGAATCAATTGAAAGAACAAATGAACACACGGGACACACAAGATGTACAGTGAACATATACCGGCACTGAAGCGATTTATTAACCACCAGTCATTTGTTTCATTATCCCGAACTCTGGGCCAAAGTGGGCTATTTCATTAGCTAGTTATCATGAGCAGATGTTAATACGTGTGTTTATTCCCATATTGCTTAGTTCCAAGAAGAATTTCCTGTGACTTGCCCAGATACTTACAACCCAGCAAGAGAAACTTTACTTATTAGTAGCGCATTATGGAACTTCCCATATACAATGTGGCATTCCAAAGAGTGGTTGAGCACTTTCAGCCTTGCTGGCTACTTCCAAAGGGCAGGCTTTGCGAGCAACATTCCTGCTGTTCAGTACTGTGGCAAGGATAGCCCTATCCGCTCCAACAGGGCTTGGGCTGAGCCGGTGGATTACTTACTAGAGTTGAGGCTGCAGTTTTCTGGAAGGCAAAGATGACTGAGAGGTTGAAGAGCTCTCTTTAGTAAACAGTGTGTTCCCTGTCGTGGCAACGGGCCCATTGCGAAATCACGTTCCACTGGGTCTCACTCTTCTCCCTGCCACTGGACTGAATCATCTCTTTGGGTGGGAGCCCACAGTCACTCAATCAATCTTCCATACGTTTATCCATTCCTTTTCTCCCAGAGAAAGTCTGGGCTGGGGACAAGCAGATTCTTGTTGAGTTTTAGCCACCAAGAACTCTTCTGCAAGGTAGAGAGGATCCTATCACGGTGGCAAAAAGTAGCGCCTCTCTTTGTTCCAAGTTTCATCATAAACGGTTGTTGAATTAGGGTTCTCTAGAGGAACAGAATATATAGTGTGTATATACACACACACACACACATATATAAGGGAGAGATTATTAAGTATTAACTCAGAAACACAATCATAAGGTCCCACAATAGGCCATCTGCAGGCTGAGGAGCAAGGAGAGCTAGTTCGAGTCCAAAACTGAAGAAATTTGGAGTTCGATATTTCAGGGCAGGAAGCATGCAGCATGGGAGAAAGATGTAGCCTGGGAGGCTAGGCCAGTCTAACCTTTTCACATTTTTCTGCCTGCTTCATATTCGCTGGCAGCTGATCTGGATGGTGCCCATCCAGATTAAGGGGGGTCTGCCTCTCCCAGCCCACTGACTCAAATGTTAATCTCCTTTGGCAACACCCTTGCAGACACACCCAGGATTAATACTTTACATCCTTCAATCCAATCAAGTTGACACTCAGTATTAACCATCACAGTTGTACTTTCCAACAATGGAGCTGAAACAGGAGCCGGGGCAGGTAGAACTGGGAGCCTAGCCAATCTTGGTTGGAAGGGAAGTCTGCCTCTAGCTGCCCTCTTTCGTAAAGTTTTTCTATGGAGTCCTTGCTTTCCTTTCTGTTCCCCAACTCCTCAATGAAAGCCCAAGGTGCCCAGGGTGCTGTGGCTCTGCCAGTGGCTTTTCAGGGCAAAGCCAAATGAGAAGAGCACCACAAAATCAGATCTATTCCTCTCCCTACATTACCACCATCATTTCATTTGAGAGGTGCTAGTGGCTTATAGGAACACTGAGCCCTGGGGACTCACATACCCGCAATGGGCAATTATATACAAGACTATAAAGGGATAGAGCGGCCCCATGGCTCTTTGTTAAAGCAGATTGCAAAGGGCTTCCAAGGTCTCAAGGGTCATGGTTCAATCCTTTCCCAGGTAGCTCCAGAATGTTTTATGTAACACTTAACGGTTCCCATACTGCAAGTGGACTTGGCAGAGACACTCTATAAAAGGCTGCCTGAGTGGATATTTATGGTTTTGTCTTCCAGAAAAGCCTTTCTTTCAAGGAAGTGCTGCTCCAAATTATTGGGACTATGGATTCATAGGACTCCTATGTCTTCAACACAGTAAACACATGTGACCCAGATGAACCCATGGTAGGTTAGGAATCCATCTCTTTATCCACAGAAATTGGCCCAGGGATAGTATGTGATGTAGGTCAGACTACTTGGAATTCTTGGACAAGATATTTTACACTGGAGCAAACAAAAGAAGTATCCTTTCCTTTCTGATTGGTAACCTGTAAGAATTCGAGCCCAGAGCTTCTGTCAGCTGTGCATACACACACACAAAGAGAGAGAGACAAAGAGAAAGATACAGAGAGAGAGATAGACCCCTGGCAGGCAGCCTTTCAGGTTTATTCATCATAACTTCCTTACACTAGGATGAGAAGACATCCAAATGGGTATAGGGCCCATTTGTCCCAGTTTACACCTGTTGTTCCAGCTTAATCATTAACTTTCCTTCTCAGAAGTGTAGCTCTTTCAGTCTCGGAAGTGCCCCAGGTGGATGATAAATTATTTAATCATTGTTCCTGTTGCAATGTGGTTAACTAAAGCAATACAGCCTTTTTCTTTTCTCTTAAAACTGGTTCAAGCTGGTTTTCTGTCACTTGCAAGCAAGAAACATTATGACTGATCTACCACTCTTTTCTGAATTAATCAGGCAATCTTTTCCACAGTACACCTTCTGAATCTGATTGCTTGCATTCTTGCTTGAATTCTTTGGCAGATGCCTGATTCTGTGTCTGGTGCTTGGTCTCCACTTCCTCTGTGGAATTGATACCGTGGGCTCTTCCAAGCTTACTCAACCACCTTGTCCTAATCATGAGTTATTTACTCCCTACGTCACGAAAGGCCACTATAGTCCACAGATTTCATCCAAAAGCTCTAGGACCATGCTCAGAGAGGAAAGCAACCAAGACAGGCCTGGGGAACCACCTGGGTGAATAAACTTCAACTCTTTTCTATACCTTTATATTCTTCTGCTCAAAATTCAAAGTCCTGGAAGGGAATGTTAATTGGTATAGCTTGGGTATGGGACTCATTTTCACTAGGAGAGACTGGGGCACCATGATAGATATCTCACAAGAACCACACAAAATGAAGGAAAGGCAATTTACTCCCAAAATACAGGTTTAGCAAAAGAATAGGAATAGGTACTGGGGGATCGAAAAATATATTCAACAATGTGCATTTAATAATTCAATAGTATAGGCAGCTATTTGTATGTCTATACCATTGAGAGCTGAGTGAACAATTAAAATACATATGATTGGTGCTCAGAAGAATTGGGGTTGATCTTTCTGGAATAACCAAGAATCCCAAATATGATCACCCCAAGTGATAATTTACCTAGTCTTGATCTATTGGACATTTCCACTCTTCATAGTCATGGCAAAGACATTTTGGGCTAGTATTTGTAGGAAGTTTTGGTGGTTTCTCTGATATCCTCATCCCTTGTCTCAAGTCTACCCTGTTGGGTCCTCTCTATCCTGGTGGCCCCCTTAACCCACATCAGATGAAAGCTGGCTTCTAGCATCCTCCTATGGTTCAGTCTCCAGCTTGAGCCCTTTTCCTAGTGTAAATTCTGTGGCTCTATGCTTCTGCCCTATTCTCTTCTTTTGACTTCTGACCTCATGATTTGTTTTCCTATTTACAGCACATCTCACTGCTCTGACCCTCCAGCACTCCCTCTAGAGCTTCATACTGTGGTTCTGTAATTTCCCAACATCCTTAATCTGTAAAAGCCCAAGGCTAATACATTATTCAATCCTGAGTCCTTGTACCTTAGCATTGATCCTTGCAGGAGGCACCTTCAGTGCTTCGCCCTAAGCTGATGAAAAATGTAGTGAACAAAAGTACTGGTCCTGAAGTCAGAAACACCTGATTCATGTTCCAGGTCTGCCATCATCGTCGCTGTGTAAACCTGGGAGTTAGTCTTTCAGCAGAATAATGCCCTGTAGCTTTCCAGAAACTCTGCACACAGTTTTGCAGATTTGTTTTTGTTGTTGTTTTTTTCTTGTTTGTGTTTTTTTTAAGACGAAGTCTCACTCTGTTGCCCAGGCTGGAGTGCAGTGGCATGATCTCAGCTCACTGCAACCTCTGCCTCCAGGATTTAAGTGATTCTCCCACCTCAGCCTCTGAGTAGCTGAGATTACAGGTATGCATCACCACGCCCACCTAATTATTGTATTTTTAGTAGAGACATGGTTTCACCATGTGGGCCAGGCTGGTCTCAACTCCTGGCCTCAAGTGATCCGCTTGCCTCAGCCTCCCAAAGTGTTGGGATTACAGATGTGAGCGACAGCGCCCGGCCCCTTTCCATTTTTCATTTTGTCTCCTAATGTATTTCCACCAAATGCATTGTGTAGATTATGCTTTTTGGCTCTATCTCCAATTCAGGTCCAATACCAGCACCTGGACTTGCTTCTGGATATATCTTTCTGCTGCCCGGGTGCTGACTTTTGGCTGTCTTTCCCATCTGTCATCCTACAGGAATCCACCAGCAGATACAGCCTCTCCAAATGAGCTCCACAGTGCTGCTTCCATTGTACAGTTTTGCCCCCACACTCATATTTATGCTTGTCCCCAGTGTAGCCAGCATCTCAGAGACCCCCATTGTAGCCAGCATCCCATAGAGAGAGCTCAGCATTCAATGAGCGCTGGAAGAGGCTGCCAGAAGCTGATAAGGAGACGTAACAGATTGTGAGTAAAAATGGGGAAGGAAACAGTAAAAGACAGGCAAAGTCAGTTGGTGGTCATGGAGAACAAACGGCAAGGAGATCAAAAGGAAATAGCCTTGCACTTTAACTCCTAGTCAGCATGAATTTTTAAAAAGGGAAGCTTTACGTGAACTTAATCTAGAGTCTAGACATTAACTGTAAAGAAATGTTTCCACCAAAAAAAGGAGGGTATTGAATGAGAACTTGTATTTTTATTTTTTGTGGTAGAATTCTTTTTGGGGTGGCAGGGGTTAGGAGCGGGGGCAAATGAGAGGCAGTCTCTGTTCACGCAAGGAGGGGTGTCAGCCCTTACAGACCCTCCGATTGACCTCACCAGAGTTGCCAGATGAACCAAGGCATGCTTTGTTTCTGGACTTAATCTTTTTCATATTAAGAGGTTTACATCATCCAAAGTCATCCATGATGTAGTTGATGTGAACAGAAGCCATTTCCTACTAGTAAGAAGAGAGTACTTCAGTCCCTGGTTGAAATTGGCTAAAGGGTGATGTGTGCATTCTGCTCCCCCTTCAGACAACTGGGAGGGAGCTGGAATCAGGAAGCCCCCTAACAATTATGGGCATTGTATTACACAACCATAAATATGCACAGCCATTGAGCTGTTTTTGCTCTGGCACTAATGATCTTGAATTGTTCACAGCTACTTTCTCTCCTGATGAAACTTTGAGGTAGTCAGTAACTTGGCTAGGCAGTCTTTCTAAGCTGGCTGGATGACACATTCACCTGAGTAAAAACTCCAACACATTCTTCTGGACTTCTAATTCACATAAGAAAGGCACAACACATCCAAGAATGAAGGAGTTGTCAGGAATTAAAAGACAGCAGCAACTCTCACATCCTGAATTAAGATGAATGTGTTTTTTCCTTCAAATGTGTGTGTATGAGTGTGTGTGTGCACATATGTGTCAGTGCAAAGTCCAGCTGTAACACAGAGCCCTGACCTTATGACTAGTTGTTTTACATGTTGGAGGTCAAAGGGGAGGTAAAAGATCAAAATATAAGATGGAATTGGGCCAGGTGCAGTGGCTCACACCTGTAATCCCAGCACTTTGGGAGGCCGAGGCTGGTGGATCACTTGAGGTCAGGAGTTTGAGACCAACCGGGCCAACATGGTGAAACCCTGTCTCTACTAAAAATACAAAAATTAGCCAGGCGTGGTGGTGGAGGCTGCAGTCCCAGCTACTCAGGAGGCTGAGGTGGGAGAATAGCTTGAATCCCGGAGGCAGAGATTGCAGTGAGCTGAGATCACACCACTGCACTCCAGCCACTCCAGCCTGGGTGACAGAAAAACATTGTCTAAAAAAAAAAAAAAAAAAGTTTAAGGTGGAATTGATGAAGCATTGTGAGAGGTATTAGAAAGTGATTACATGGGACTATGTACACAAAGTAAATAATATACTTCATAATGTACCGTGAACCCAGAACATCTCAGACAGGTCTCAGTTAATTTAGAAAGCTTATTTTGCCAAGGTTGAGGACACATCCATGACACAGCCTCAGGAAGTCCTGACGACATGTGCCCAAGATGGTTGGGGCACAGCTTGATTTTATATATTTTAGGGAGACATGAGACCTCAATCAATATATGTAAGAAGTACATTGGTTTGGTCTGGAAAGGTGGAACAACTTGAAGCAAGGGCAGGAAGACTCCAAGCGGGAGGGAGCATCCAGGCCACAGATAGGTGAGACACAAATGGTTATATCATCTTGAGTTTCTGATTAGCCTTTCCAAAGGAGGAAATCAGATATGCATCTATCTCAGTGAGCAAGGGGTGACTTTGAATAGAATGGGAGGCAGGTTTGCCCTAAGCAGTTTCCAGCTTGAGTTTTCCTTAGTGATTTGGAGGGCCCAAGATATCTTCCTTTCACAGCTCAGAAAACACTTAGCATGTGCGTGACACATCATAGATGTTCAATAACTATTGATATTGTCAGTGAGAAACTTTCTAGAGTCTGGAATCCTGAGGATTTGGCTTGATTCATTTTATGGTGGTTCGGTGACCTCAGATCTTGTAAAAAAAATTAAAAAGGTCTCTGCCTCTCCTCCATCCTTGGGGTAAACCCATACTTTATTCTCTCTGAACTCTAAGAAAGACACCAGGTTAAAGGTCTCCTGTCCTCCACCAGATGTCAGTCCGGCCCTATGGGTGTCTTAAGAAGGACCTAGGGAAAGAGAAGATACAAGCTCGCTTCCAGGAATGAATGAAAAGAGAGTAGAATGTCTCTTACAGGCCATCTGAGAAAGGAGGCAAGAAACAGACTTCAGCAAGACTTCAATTCTAGGCCCACTTACATTTCAGGAAGGGCAAGGGATATTTACAAATTTGCAGAAATGTTTACAAACATATACTTTCATTAACAAATGCTCATCAAGAGGCTTTGTGCTGACCGTTTTAGGCCCTGGGCATGTAAGAATTCATTGATGTAGTTCCAATACTCTAGAGCTCCACGACTTGCCAGGTTACTTTTTGGTTGCCCACCTGTGGTGTTGCAATTTAATATTTACCATAGCAAAGGTCTCCAGCAAATCAAAGAGTCAATCATCGTGTTGAATGAAATGAAACAAAATACATGGATAAAAACAAAGGGTCTGGGTGTTGGCTTCCAGAATAAAACCTACAAAGGAATCTGAAAAATAAGCTACTACACTCCCAGTTTGGGAGCAAGGAAAACCCAGCAATGAACCAAATGATAGGCAGTGATGTTGAGAAGAAAGAGGAAAGCAGGTGCAATCACCAATGCCTGCAGAAGAAAAGCAAGGATGTAATGGCAACCACCAAGTTACAGGAATGAGCCCTAGATCCCTGCTGCTCAGGAGGGGGCTGGGTGTGGTCTCCAACAGCAACACCGAGAAAGTGAGGTCCAGGTGCAGTGGCTCATGCCTGTAATCCCAGCACTTTGGGAGGCTGAGGCAGGGAGATCACTTGAGGTCAGGAGTTCAAGACCAGTCTGACCAACCTGCTGAAACCCTATCTCTACTGAAAATACAAAAAGTAGTTGGGTGTGGTGGTGCATGCCTGTAATCCCAGCTATTCAGGAGGCTGAGGCAGGAGAATCACTTGAACCTGGGAGGTGGAGGTTGCGGTGAGCTGAGATTGTGCCACTGCACTCCAGCCTGGGTGACAGAGCGAGACTCTGTCTCAAAAACAACAACAAAAGAAAAAGAAAGTGGGGTGCTCCCAAAGAACAAGCTCTTGCTCTAGATTGTCTTCTTCCAGCATGTGCATGAGTGACCTTGTGCTTCTGGGCAAACTGGATGGTCCTAGGAGGCAGATGCCCTCAGTAGTCAGTGACTGGGTTCCAAGCCTGGCCCCATGGCTTGTCCAGTACATGACCTTGTACCACTGACTTAACCTTCCTAGAGAGCTGAGTTCCTTGCCTATAAAAAGAGGATTTTGGCAGGGCACAGTGGCTCACGCCTGTAATCCCAGCACTTTGGGAGGCCGAGGCTGGTGGATCACTTGAGGTCAGGAGTTTGAGACCAACCTGGCCAACATGGTGAAACCCCATCTCTACTAAAAATACAAAAAATTAGCTGGGCGTGGTGGTGAGTGCCTGTAGTCTCAGCTACCAGGAGGCTGAGGCAGGACAATGGCGTGCACCCAGGAGGCGGAGCTTGCAGTGAGCCGAGATCGCGCCACTGCACTCCAGCCTCAGTCTCAAAAAAAAAAAAAAAAAAGAGGATTTTATTAGAACCTACCCCATGGACTTGTTGTGAGGATTAAATGAGACTATCTGTAGAAAACATTTAGTAGAGGAGCTGTCATATATTTGGTGTGCAATGAATATTAAGTATCAGTATGAGTTATTTCAAAGACTTTCTGAGTTCCTAAGGACATAGCAAAACAGCACACTTACTGATTAAAAAATGGTCACTTACTGATCAAAAAAAGTTCTATGATTTCATATTTTTGTTTCCATTTATGTAATAAGTTGGGAAGTGAGCACCTACTATGTGCAGGAAAATATATAGGAAACAAACAAACAAAAATAATAAGTTGGGAGGGTATGAAGTACTGATGAGAAGATGGAAAGCAAAGAAGGTGGATGGGTAAGTAGGGAATTGAATGAGTGGATTGTCCTGTGCTTGCAATAAAAAATAATACATACTTTAATGGCATGAGATGGTATACATGAAGCATGAAAACACTAGAAAGTTTTTAACATCTTGTGTAGTCCAGGATGGCCAAGAGAAAAATCTGAAAAAACAGGGGTTCTTTCTCTAACACAGACAGGCTGGTCTGACATTTGGTGAGTCCCATCTTCTTTAGAGCTTCTCACACACTCATTTTCTGCTGCTACATACCAGACCTGGGAGACTCTCTGCTCAATAATTAACTAGTCTTGATATTTCCATGTCACACCATCCATGGGTTTTTTGGGTTCAGGAGTAGGGGCTAGTATTCTGCTTCCTTACCTTTCACAGCTGCAGAAATATCCAAATCTTTTAAAACCTGGGCTCACACTTACCCACACATTTTCAAAATTGAGTTAACAGGCCAATTGCGGTGGCTCACGCCTGTAATCCCAGCACTTTGGGACGCCAAGGTGGGTGGATCACTTGAGCCCAGGAGTTTGAGACTAGCCTGGCCAACATGGTGAAACCCTGTCCCTACTAAAAATACAAAAATTAACCAGGCATAGTGGCACGTGCCTGTAATCCCAGCTACTCGGGAGGCTGAGGCAAGAGAATTGCTTGAACCTGGGAGGCAGAGGTTGCAGTGAGCTGAGACCACGCCACTGCACTCCAGCCTGGGCAACAGAGGGAGACTCAGTCTCAAAAAACAAACAAACAACAACAACAACAACAACAAACATTGAGGTAACAGAGCATACATCTTCCCTCTCTCTTTCTTCCATCCTCTGGGATTGAATCTCAAGAAGTGTCAATGGCCACCTATATTAAGTTTCAATTATGAATTGGCCTCTGTGGACCCAGTCATCTCAGACTTCAAGAAATTTAGTATTTCACCCCAAGGGAGAAAAGCACATTTTAGAATAAGATAGGGAGTCCCAAGAGGCAAAGAGAAAAATTCACATAAGCAGAATGACATGCAAAAGAAAAAGAGAGTTGTCAGGTCCTGGAACTAAGAAAATAGACACTTCAGCCAAGTTCTTTACAGAGCACTCCTTTATTTTGCTCAGTGCATTCCATGACAGCAGCCTGTGCTTCCATCTCTGACCGCAGAAAGCTTGTGCTAACAGAAGCACATGGGGGTGGTGTTGCTTACATAATTCTGGCATGAATCTCTAAAACCTGTACAGACTTAGGAGGCTGCCCTCAAAAGACAAATAATGTCTTAATTAAGGTGTGTTCAGGAAAAGAACCTCCTTTGTCATCAAAACTAAATCTCCAATATATCCTGAGAAAGAGTGTTTGCTGTATAAAATACTCAGTACATATATGTTGATTACTTTGATTGCTTTTCTAACAGGCTGTAAAACTGCGGAGAGTCTGATAAGGTAGTAAGTAGATAATATTAAGCAGTGTTTTAAAATTATTCTGTATGAAATTTTAAGTTTTAAAGATTGGGAAGTTATTTACTTATAACTTTTAGTTTTAAAAGCTAGGTAGCTGAATAAGGATCCAGTGCAAAATTATTTTTGCTTTCTCCCAATTTACAGCCAGAAATCCAGGCTGGAGTGCAATGGCGGATCTCCGCTCACCGCATCCTCCGCCTCCCGTGTTCAAGCGATTCTCCTGCCTCAGCCCCCCGAGTAGCTTGGATTACAGGCATGCGCCACTACCCCCGGCTAATTTTGTATTTTTAGTAGAGATGGGGTTTCTCCATGTTGGTTAGGCTGGTCTTGAACTCCCGACCTCAGGTAATCCACCCGCCTTGGCCTCCCAAAGTGCTGGAATTACAAGTGTGAGCCACCGCGCCCGGCCAGCAAAGCTACATTTTATACCAACCCGTTAATTTCTTTCTCAGTACCTGAGGAATATAGGGAAAGCAACAGAATGGGTGATTTCCTTTACCGTACTCAATTGAATATAGAGTTTATCATATGTATTTTTCTAATACTTGTATTATTGTCTTATGACAATTAAAACAACTAACATGCATATTGCCAGTGTATTAGTCCATTCTCACACCACTATAAAGATACTAACCGAGACTGGGTAATTTATAAAGGAAAGAAGTTTAATTGACTCACAGTTCAGCATGACTGGGGAGGCCTCAGGAAACTTAAAATCATGGCCGATGGGGAAACAGTCACCCTGTTCATAAGGCGGCAGGAGGGAGAAGAGAAAGCAAAGGGGGAAGAGCGCCTTATAAAGCCGTCAGATCTCATGAAAACTCACTCGCTATCGCGAGAACAGCATGGGGGAAACCACTCCCATGATCCAATCACCTCCCTCTTTTGAAATGTGGGGATTAGAAATCCAGATGAGATTTGAGTGGGGACACAGAGACAAACTATATCACACTTTTATTATTGTCTTATGATAATTAGAACAGCTAAAATGCATATTGCTGGTGAAGATATAAACGTATAGACAATGTAATGTTCTTGTGCATTAGTGTGGGCCTGCCAAGATGACAGGTAATTAACATAATATAGTATTAATAATGATAACAATACCTATAGTTAATTTAGGAGCACCTACTAGGTGCCAGATACTGTACTAAAGCTTTACATGTATTCATTCATTAGCCTTAATAAGAGATTACTACAATACTTCACATGAGATTATTATCCCACTTAAAAATGAGAAAACTAAGGTGTAGAAGATGGGCTGAAGAAAAGCATTGGGCTGAGAATTTCTGAGCATGAATTTTAGTCCCAGCTACACATTAGTTGGTGTGAGTTTTGGGGCAAATCACTTCTCTAGAGTGCATTTTCTCTTTTGTTTAGTAGGTACGAAAACAAGAGAAACATTCAATTATTGATTAGGTATTATGGGTCAGGCACAGGGATAAGCATTTTACCTGCATCATCTAATTTAACCCTCACAGTAGTCAAATAGAGTAGGTACTGTTATCCCCCTTTTACAGATAAGGAAACTGATGCCTGGAGAGACTGAGTAACTGGATGTGCTCCTGAGTGTTACAGCAGGAATCTAAACCTGGACTTCATTTATTTATTCTTGTTTTTGAGACGCAGTCTCGCTCTGTCGCCCAGGCTGGAGTGCGGTGGCGCAATCTCAGCTCACAGCAACCTCCACTTCCTGGGTTCAAGCGATTCTTCTGCTTCTGCCTCCTGAATAGCTGAGATTACAGGTGCCCGCCACTACTCCTGGCTAATTTTTGTATTTTGTTGTTGTTGTTTGTTTTTGTTTTTTTGAGACAGAATCACTCTGTCACCCTGGCTGGAGTGCAGTGGCATGATCTCAGCTTACTGCAACCTCCACCTCCCGGGTTCAAGTGATTCTCTTGCCTTAGCCTCCCGAGTAGCTGGGATTACAGGTGCCTGCCACTACACCCAGCTAATTTTTTTGTATTTTTAGTAGAGACGGGGTTTCACCATGTTGGCCAGTCTGGTTTCGAACTCCTGACCACGTGATTTCCCCACCTTGGCCTCCCAAAGTTCTTGGATTACAGGTGTTAGCCACCATGCCTGGCCTAATTTTTGTATTTTTAGTAGAGATGGAGTTTCATCTCTACTATGTTGGCCAGGCTGGTTTAGAATTCCTGACCTCAGGTGATCTGCCCGCCTCGGCCTCCCAAAGTGCTGGGATTACAGGTGTGAGCCACTGCGCCCGGCCTAAACCTGGACTTTATGTCCCCAGAGCCCACACTCTTAACCACTATGATCTTTACAATCTTGGTTCCTTTAGACTTCCTGTTTTCTCTGCAACGCTTTTCTTCCAGATTTCTCTAGGGCTGGCTCATTCCCATACTTTAGGCATTAACTCAAACCATCAGGTTTGCAGAGGCTTTTGCTCAGGGCTGTTGCACTCCATAACTCAGAAAGTGCTGTTCTTATAGATTGTAATGTTAATGGTGCCTCACTGGAATTGTAGACCCGGAAGCCCCGTTTTTCTTTCACCTCTCGAAACCTGGTCATTCTCTATCACTCATTCAGTTTTATTTACTCCTTAGCACTTACCCCTATCTAAAATTAACTATTTCATTTATATAACTTACTTATTGTCTGTCTCCCCAAAGAATATGCAAGCTTCATAAACAAAGGGAGAAAGGGATCTGTCTTACTTACTGCTGTTGGCCAAATATTAAGTGACTGGCCATAGTAGGCACTTAATAAATCATTTGTTGCATGTTCCTGAATATGTCATACCAATTCCTAATAATCCTGGCCTCACTCAAGTCACAGAATTGTAAGGTAAAAGTTTCAAGACATCCTGGGTATTATAAAGACAGTGATGTAGTAAGTTAGGATGGCAAACTACTTCTTAGGGTTTCTGTGCTTTAAAGTTTACTAGCTTTGCAGCAATGTAGAATCCTTAGTATCAATGACAAAATAAACACTCATTTGATCAAAATTAAGAAGTTTCAAACGTCAAGTGTTGGAGAAGATATTGATTACTATACATCTCCCCTGACCCCCGCTTTTTTATTTTTTTAGACAGAGTGTCGCTCTGTCGCCCAGGCTGGAATGCAGTCGTAGGATCTCAGCTCACTGCAACCTCTGCCTCCTGTGTTCAAGTAATTCTCTCTCATCAGCCTCCCGCATAGCTGGGACTACAGGCATGCACCACCATGCCCGGCTAATTTTTGTATTTTTAATAGAGATGGAGTTTCACCATGTTGTCCAGACTGGTCTCGAACTCCTGACTTCAAGTGATCCACCTGCCACGGCCTCCCAAAGTGCTGGGATTACAGGCATGAGCCACCGCACCCGGCATATGCATCACTTTTACATTTTACTTCAACCAATTTGGAGGCTAGTTAGATGCGACTTTGTAAAGTTGAGCATTCACCTTTCTTATGACTCAGCAATTTTTCTCCTAAGTGGATTCCTAAGGGAAACTCCTTCACTTGGACCCCCAGGAGATGCTATGAGAATGTTCACAGTAACCCCACTTATGAAAACAAAAATGGAAACCACCCAAAAGCCCACAGACAAGAAAATAGATAAATAATTGGTGGTCTGGAAATTTATGAAGCTGTGATAAATGAATGAATCACAACTATACACAAACATTTGAAAGAAACTTAATAATATTAATACTGGATGAAAACAACCAAGTCCTAGAAGATTATATAAAACTTGGTGCTGTTTTAATGAAGTTCATTTTTTTAAAAACATAAACAACCCTTAAGAACAAAAAAAAGCAAGAAAATTATAAACTCAATGTTCATCGTTGTGTTTTCCTTGGATAAGAAAAAGTGGCTGGGAAAAAGAATATAGGTAAATGTGAATTATTATCTGTATTCTGGTGCTTGGGTTGGATGGAGGTTTCTAGCATTAAGCCACCTGTTTTAACACGATGATTTTTTATTTACTCCTATATGTGGAGACTTCCAGGATTCAGGCTCAAAGGTGACTCTCAAAGGATTATCTGGGTCCAAGGGCATGTCTACTCATTTTTGTATTTATAGTACCTATATACAATGTTCAGCAAAACCCAAGTCCTCAGTAATGTTTCCTGAATGAAAGAATGAATAAGTGAATAAATTACAGAAAATTCAAAAATATTTTTGGTTATTATTGAGTGTAGTCTGAATAACCTCTCACCCAATACTTTACAGTAACCCATACACACATGAAATTATGTATTGATTTCCTAATTCATTGGGAAAAAAATTAACATTCTCCCAGAGTAGTAAACAATCACATAGTATTTTTCCACATAAAATATTCTATTACACCCATCAATACTGACCTAGGTAGGGAGAAAATAATTCTGAATCCAGCAGAGTACCAAAAAAGCTTTTTAATGCACTATTTGTTTTCCAGGCAAAAGATCTTCAGAAAATATCCGTCATTTAGTAGACTTACAAATGGCACTTTTGGCTACATAGGAGAATCAGATATGAGACCCACGTGTTTTTTCTGATAAGCTAGTAGTAGGTCAGCTTTATAATACAACCCTTTCTTAGAATAAAAAATGGCTAATTTGTTTTAAAAGACAGGAAAAGCTGAAACCCTAAAGTCATTGTTTTAAAAAATGTGGGGCCAGGCACAGTGGCTCACACCTGTAATCCCAGCACTTTGGGAGGCCGAGGCGGGCAGATCACGAAGTCAAGAGATCGAGACCATCCTGGCCAACATGGTGAAACCCTGTCTCTACTAAAAATACAAAAAATTAGCTGGGCGTGGTGGTGCGTGCCTGTAGTCCCAGCTACTCAAGAGGTTCAGGCAGGAGAATCACTTGAACCTGGGAGGCGGAGGTTGCAGTGAGCCGAGATTGCGCCACTACACTCCAGCCTGGTGACAGAGCAAGACTCTGTCTCAAAAAAAAAAAAAAAAAAAGTAACATTTATTTCATGCTATACAGCTATGTGTTTTCATGCAATAATTTTAAGTATTATGGTATACATTTTCATAAGAGGAGCAAATAAATCCCAATATAATTTTAAAATAAAGATATATATTAAGTATCTTTAATATTTTTAATGCATTTGACAATACCATATGCTGTTTTTGATGACAAATTTCATTTTGGTACATGGCAGATTTGTCCTTTTGGTACTGAACTGAAGAAAAAACATGTCACACCTGAAATTCTGCCTTAAGTGAGTAAAACCATGGTCAACTACATCAATAGATTTCAGCCAACCAGCAAAATTGAAATGTTTTAGTCATTCTTATTATTTATAATAAAAATGAAACAAGATTAATAGTCAACAGGAGAGAATAGTTAATATCATCAGTTTAAAACAGGTCTTTTTATTTTTTCGAGATAGTGTCTTGCTCTATTGTCCAGGCTGGAGTGCAGTGGTGTGATCACAGCTCACTGCAGCCTCAACCTCCCAGGCTCAAGCTATCCTCCCTTCTCAGCCTCCAAGTAGTTAGGACTACAGGCACGTGCCATCATGCCTGGCTAATTTTTTATTTTCTATAAAGATGGGGTCTCACTCTGTTGCCTAGGCTGGTCTCAAACTCCTGGTCTCAACCTTCCAAAATGGTGGGATTACAGGTGTGAGCCACTGCACCCAACCTAAAATAGGACTTAAAGCAGATTACTTATACCACATATTCAAAAGAAAATAATATTTGGAAATGTAAGATATCAATCTGAACTGAAAACATTTTTAATATTAATTCCTGTCTCTCCAATGCAGCCAACTTTCATATGATAGTGTGAGGTTGATCACATCTAATCTATGCAAAAATGGGTATCTTCTTCATGTTATCCACCATTTCTCAACTAGTCTCTATATTAATTTACACAATTATTTCACAGAGATTAATAAAACATCAGATAATAGAATCAACCCAAAAGGCAACAGCATTTTTCTTTCTACAAGGGAACATGGCTTTCAATGTACACATCCTACGCTAATGAAGAAACAAAAACTACTTTCATCTCCCTAGCAAAAACATAAACACAAACACCTGGAAAATCATGGTTTTTTTTAAAGGGGGCAAAGAAAGACATTTCAGAGGTTCTCAATGAGTGAAACCTCACGCACAATATGCTTTCCTATTTGAAGATTATACACACAGACATATATGAAAAGCTATTAGAAACACTGCTTATTGTTAATTTAGGATAAATCTTGGTATTACATTTAGAAATTGGAATTTTACATTTCAAGCAGAACAACTGTGAAAATATCAGGCAAAATACTTTTTTTTTTTTAAGATATCATTCAGCAATGAAGACTTGAGTCAATTGAAATATATTCCCCCAGCATTAAGGTAGATGGCACCACTTTCATTTTACGAATACTCCAAAACCAAAGGCTTATTTTGGCCACGTTACCATCCACTGCAGAAGGCTATAGCGTAACAACTATAAGACTGGAAGGCAGAAGACTGGCATCTGGCACAAGCTCTGACCCAACAAGCCTCATGAGGTTGGGCATGCTGTGAAACCATTCCACACCTGTATCTTCATTAGTCCAGTGAAAAGACGAAGCGGGCGGGCATGGTGGCTCATGCCTATAATCCCAACACTTTGGGAGGCCGAGGCAGGCAGATCATTTGAGGTCAGGAGTTCGAGACCAGCCTGGCCAATCTGGTGAAATCTCATCTCTACTAAAAATACATAATGGGGCATAGTGGCACATGCCTGCAGTCCCACTACTCAGGAGGCTCAAACAGAAGAATTGCTTGAACTTGGGAAGTAGAAGTTGCCTTGAGCAAAGATTGCGCCACTGCACTTCAGCCTGGGGGACAGAGCGAGACTCCATCTCAAAAAAAAAAAGACAAAGCTGTGCTCTATGTGGCCCTGTGTAGCACAATCATTTTAGGATTCTCTGACTTTGAAGTTCCTGTTAGGCAATAGGCTTTATTTACAACTTAATTTTTACAATTCTACCCAAAAGTTGGCCAGTTATTTGGTAGAATTTTACAAGTACCAGTAATTTGGTAGAATTTTGGGCAGAATTTTATAATTCTACCCAAAGGTTGGCCAGTAATTTGCATCTGGATAGCTAAAAAGCTTTCAATAGGGCTTTATTCAACAAATAGTGGGTACCTACTCTTCGTGGATTGGAAATGACTACAAATTCTTTGAAGCTCCTTCCATCAAAAGGTGGGGTTTATTTCCCTCGATTCTGGGCTAGCTTTCAAGTCAAAAGAAGATCTTGTACTTTCTGTTCTCACCCTCTTCAATCTCAGATCTCAGCCTGGGCTGGCCATGGGGAAAGGCCATGTGGAGTAGAACTAAGGAATTTCAGCCGACAGCCCCAGCCAACTTTGAGACACATACATGAGGCCAGTCAAGGTCAATCAGCCTCCAACCAATCTGCTCACTAACCACAAAGGTGTGTGGAGTCCCAACTGGCACCCATGGAGCAGTGGTGGATCACGCCAGCAGAGCTCTGCCCAGACTGCCAGAGCATAGGATTATAAGCAAATAAAGGGTGTTGCTATAAGCCGTGATTTGAGGTGGGTTTTTATTTTTATTTTTTTTTAAGCCATGATTTGAGATGGGTTTTTATTTTTATTTTTTTTGAGACAGAGTCTCACTCTGTCGCCCAGGCTGGAGTGAAGTGGCACAATCTCGGCTCACTGCAGCCTCTGCCTCCTGGGTTCAAGCAATTCTCCCACCTCAGCCTCCCAAGTAGCTGGAATTACGGGCGTGCACCACCACGCCCAGCTAATTTTTTGTGTTTTTAGTAGAGACGGGGTTTCACCCTGTTGGCCAGGCTGGTCTCAAATTCCTGACCTCAAGTGATCCACCCGCTTCGGCTTCCCAAAGTGCTGGGATTATAGGCGTGAGCCACTGTGCCTGGCCAGGTTTTTATTTTTTATTTACTTATTTATTTTTTTGAGTTGGAGTCTCGCTCTGTTGCCCAGGCTGGAGTGCAATGGCACTATCTTGGCTCACTGCAGCCTCCACCTTGTAAGTTCAAGCGATTCTCCCACCTCAGCCTCCCAAGTAGCTGGGATTACAGGTGCTTGCCACCACATCCAGCTAATTTTTCTATTTTTTAATAGAGACATGGTTTCACCATGTTGACCAGGCTGGTCTTGACCTCCTGGACTCAAGTGATCCGCCTGCCTCAGCCTCCCAAAGTGCTGGGATTACAGGCATGAGCCACTGCACCCCACCCTTGAGGTGGGTTTTTAGACAACAATAGAGAGCTGACACACTACTCTGTGGCAGGAATTGTGCCAGGTGAAGAAAATACCCTGGATACTAAGACATAGCCCCTGTTCTGCAGATGCTTAGAGTCTACTTAGGCAAACAGACATGTAACAGGGGAATTTCAAAGTAAATGTCATCAGTGCTCTAACGGGGCATAGGGAGGACTTAAGGATCCATGTAAATTTAGAGAAGAGGCATCAATCCTAGAACTGGGGAGCTGGTGAAGGCTTCTCAGAGGAGATAATTTCTAAAGGGAGTTTACATGAAGAAAGAATTTTCCAGGCAACAGTAAGACAGAACATTCTTCTTTCCACGAAGAAGAAAGTACATGTGCAAGGGCTGGAGGGAGTGAGATAGGGTCCCCAGGAAGGTAGGGGTAGTCTTTTTAATTGCTGTGTAAAGATGTCAGGGGTGGGCTGGAGGAGTAGCTAAGGGAAAGCTCTCATGGCCTTTGGCTTTTGAACTTAGGGTGATGGGAACCAAAGAAGGAAATCCTCTCTCCCTTCTTTCCTTCCTTCCTCACAGCCAAGAGGAGATCGTGTGCAATAGATACAGAGAAATGCTTCTCTGGTGCTTAGGTTGGCTGAAGGGAAGTTCTATTATGCCAGGGTCCAAGATAATGGGTAAAGCAGGCAAGAAGAAGATACCATTTCTCAAAAGGAGATACCATTTCTCGAAAGGTATTCCTTCTTCTTTTGTCACTTAATGAATACCTGAGCACAGAAAGCATTTAAGACTCATCTTTTAAAGATGCTATAAAAAATTTTTTTAAGCCAGTGGTAAGGTTTCCCACTTTATTAGTTTTGTGGCCTTGGGCATATGACTAACCACTTTACAAGTCAGTTTCCTCATTTGTAAAATGGAGATAATGACCGTATTGACTTCACAGGTAAATAAGGACAAATGGCGTAAAGTCTTAGCATACAGCCTGGCTCAGAATAAACCCTCAATATAAGGTCCTTAAATGGGGAAAAGTTGAGGGGAGTAACATGGGATTTAGCGTTAAACCTGTGTTTACATTCAGCCTATTTCACCTAGTAGTTCCTGCAGCCGTGTGAATTTAGAGACCATTTTAAAACTTGCTCAGGCTTAGTTTCCACATCTGAAAAATGTGGACGTTAATATCTACCTTGCAAGGTTGCATTGAGGGTTAAAGGATATCATATATATTAAATGCACAGAGCCTGCCATACAGTACAAATGCACACCCACACAGAGGTGATAGTATTTCTCAAATGTATATCAACAGTATTACTGTTAGACATTCTCTGTCACTCCAAAATCCTATTCTCTGACTAAAGCTACAAATCAGAAAAGTTGGATTACCAGAAATATATATATATATATATATATATATATATATGTCTATAACATATTTAGCACGGTAGGTCCATTCCACCAGTACCTATACATTACGATAACCTAATGAAAAGAAATGGCTGTGGTACAATTCTCATATTTTATTTTGTTAATGCATGATAAAAAATTAACGTCATCATTCAGATCCATTATTTGGAATGAAGAATTTAGTATTTCCTGACTGCCTAATTTGGCACTTTGAGGAATTTCCTCTGCACGCTGAGCCCCAAAATGCACTATTTTCTAGACCAAAAATGAAAACGTGCGTATATACAAGTGAGCTGAAAAGTTACAACACAAGATGATCATTTTGGTGAAAAATAATCCCCCCAAATAAGCAGCATGTCATGTCCTTAGAATATGTTACACTAGAAAGCTAGTAAAAATTCAGGCTAAGGAGGCAATTTAGAGTTCAAGTTTTATCACATATCAGCAAAGTTTTAGCCTTCCCTTAAAAACAGACACCTTCAAAGTGAAATCTTGCCAGAAGGGTTGATTTTTAATTATGTGTATATACAAACTTCTCTATTTTAACATTCAACATATTCAGGATTAATTCTAGAAAGATGCTATAGCTGATTTATAAAACAAAATGATTTAGGATCAGAAAGAAAATAGGGGCACACAATTTCATGTAGTCTCTCCCTAACTACCCCCAACCATAGCATCACAAGGTTTTTTTTTTTCCTAATGCCACAATTGAAACCTGTATTAACTTAAAAGTTGACACTAAAGGCAGGAATTAAGAAGTCATTTTTTATGGCTTTTAAGCACTTGAATGCTTTAGAACCCCCTTGAAAATGCTAGTGAACAGGTCTTATTCCTTTAAATGTTGCTTTGATTTGAATCTTGGTGAAATCTAGATTCCCTATTAAATAGCTGCATGCTAATTTTGGAGAAAGTACAATTTAAAACCTTTAACAACTACTCTATTGACTCTGAAGAAGGGGACTTTAGCATGTCGCTGTTTGGGCTAGAGAAGCATTTCAACACCTTTCTGCAAACTAAGATAAAAAACAATGAATGAGAGCTACAAATAGAAATCTAGTAAGGCAGTTCTATCATGTAGGAAAATGGTTTCCCAAATGTTTTCTACACTGACATTTTTTAAAAAAGATATGATACCCGGTTCTTCCACATTCAGTGTATAAAACTCAACTTTAGACATGTATGTGCGGAGAAGACTCGTATGTCCAAAACCATCCATTTGCATGGCAATCTTGTCTTTGCATTGCTTTGTGTCATTCTGGCTTCCCTCACCCACAGGCCACTGGAGGGCTGGGAGGCCCAGGAGCTCAGCACTCTAACTCCTCCATGACTTCCATGACAATCGTCCGTGGGCCCGTCAGAATCAGATTGCTCACGGTCCGGTAGTCTACATGCAGGACATTGAGCCCGTTGACAGAGACGACAAACTGACAGACCTAAAGGAAAGATGCAAAGAAAGAGCATCTATTATAGCGCCTGGTTTTGCACAAAGCTTTAATAAAGACAGTGTGTAGCCCTAACAGGTAACTTCATTCTTAAAATATCCAAATGTATCCAGCTGACGACTCCAATTCAATAATTTCCAAGGAGCTACACATTTTCTGGAAGGCAGTATAATTTAAAAAAAAAAAAATCGTTTTAGTGTTTTACAAAATTTGGCTTAAATCCTAACTCAGAGACATACTAGCTTTAGCTAGTATTTAAATACTAGCTAGGTATTTAAATTTCTGAGCTTTATTTCCCTCAACCCTAAAATAAGAATTAATAATAATAATAAGAGTAATACCTACCTTATAAGACTGTTGTAAGAATTAATGACATATATAGTTTCTACTTGCAGTAATTCACAGGCATGCTTGCTCCCAATTATTAATTATTAGTGTTGAGGACTCAACCAAAGAATGTAAAAAATACCAAAACACCTTGGGAACCATCATTTCCTTTTATTGTTTTCTGTGTGGGTAATATCGATGTAAACTTAAACATGATATTAAGTCCAAAAATATCTATACTTATTACTTAGATACAACAAAATTGGAGAGTACTGGGAAGAGTATTGGAAAGCTCTGTCACTGTGGAAAAGATGAGGGGACTTAGAATCAAAGATACAGATTTAAGTTATAGGTCCCTTTGGTGGAATACATTAATCAAGTAATTTCTCCTCTTCTATGTTTCAACGATATAAATGCCTCACTTGTACAACAGGTAAAAACGCCTATTCTCACAGGCTCACACTAGATAGTGCATTTGAAACCTCTTTGCAAACACCAAGCACTACACCGATGCTGAGTACTATTAATCTCTTTCCTTTCAAAAAATACCCACTTCTTTCACGGTCACAGGCAAAACAAAATGGAAAGCGGGCAGTAGTACACAGACTGCTTATTTACTCAATAAACACTCGCTGTTGTCATAAACCTTGATACTTTGCACTCCCCAACCTACTAGGGTGTTTTCTCCACATAAGATCACACTATTACTGTTTCTCTTTTCTTGGTTCCACAAATTTGTCTTCATGGATTCAGGGTACATCTTATACAAAATCAGCAGTTTTCAACCATGGTGGAGGTCACAGTCATAATCAAGGTCACACAAACAGGTCACAATCTATCCTGAACTAGGCCACAGTAATTTGCAAGACAATTTAGCAGTAATTTGCAATTTAGCAGGCATCAGCCTGGGCTTTGTTTTTTTCTGCTGCAGCAGACTCATGAGCCAAAGAATGAGAAGAATTTCACCTCCTTCCCAACCCAGAGCTTTAGACCCTAGACTTGGAAATTTCAAATCCCTTGTCTTTTCCACAGATACAGGGGTTTCTTTTTCCAAAAAGATGAATAGCCTTTTTGCACTGCCAAATAAGAGGGCAGGAGTTGCCAGGTGAGTGCCCTCTCCAGCTGACCCTTCGCAGGCTCCCTGAGATTAGCCATGTCTCCGCATCGCTCAGGGATCACATTTCACCATTTACTTTTTTTTTTTTTTGACATGGAGTCTCCCTCTGTTGCCCAGGCTGGAGTGCTGTGGCACGATCTCCTCCATCTCCCAGGCTCAAGCGATCCTCCCACCTCAGCCTCCCGAGTAGCTGGGATTACAGGTGTGTGCCACCATGCCCAGCTAATTTTTTGTATTTTTGGTAGAGAGGGGGTTCGCCATGTTGGCCAGTCTGGTCTTGAACTCTTGACCTCCGGTGATCCTCCCACCTTGGCCTCCCAAAGTGCTGGGATTATAGGTGTGAGCCACCACACTTGGCCTCAGCATTTAGTCTTAACCACAATTGTGTGTCCTCTGTCACACATCATGTTTGTTTTAATTGACCAGCATTTAAAATTTAGAAAATCTGCCAGGCACAGTAGCTCATGCCTGTAATCCCAGCACTTTGGGAGGCCGAGGCAGGTGGATCACTTGAGGTGGATCAGCCTGGCGGGTGGATCAGCCTGGTCAACATGGTGAAACCCCGTCTCTACTAAAAATACAAAAAAATTAGCTGGGCGTGGTGGCGGATGCCTGTAATCCCAGCTACTTGGAAAGCTGAGGCAGAAGAATCACTTGAACCCGGGAGGTGGAGGTTGTAGTGAGCCGAGATCACACCATTGCACTCCAGCCTGGGCAACAACAGTGAAACTCCATTTCAAAAAATAAAAGTAAAAAATAAAATAAAATTTGGAAAATCTTTGCATAAAAATCCAGACTCTGGGCTGGGTGCAGTGGCTCACATCTGTAATCCCAGCACTTTGGGAGGCCGAAGCGGGCAGATCACCTGAGGCCAGAAGTTCAAGACCAGCCTGGCCAACATGGTGAAACCCCATCTCTACTAAAAATACAAAAATTAGCCAGGTGTAGTGGCACACCTGTAATCCCAGCTACTCAGGAGCCTGGGGCAGGAGAATTGCTTGAACCTGGGAGGCAGAGGTTGCAGTGGGCCGAGATTCTGCCACTGCACTCTAGCCTGGGCAACAAAGCAAGACTCTGTCTCAAAATAAATAAATAAATAAAAACCCAGACTCTGGCTTCTCTGGGACAATCAGAAGCTGTGATCATACCAGGTGTAGATGGCCATGTGGCCATGGCTGAGTAGAGCCTGCCTGTTCTACACATGGCATGGACACTCATTTGCCACAGTCCTTACGGCTTCCTATCTTCCTAACACCTGGCTGACAGGCATGTGAGTTTGTGGTCCCTGATCTATGGCCACCAGAGGGAAAAGCGTTGAAGACAGGGTGGCTTGAAGCTTCAAGAACTGAAGGACCCCAATGTTTGTCAACAGATGAAAGGAGGTTGGGCGTGGTGGCACATGCCTGTAATCCTAACACTTTGGGAGGCTGAGGCAGAAGGATTGCTTGAGCCAGCCTGGACAACATAGTGAGACTCCGTCTCTACAAAATATATATATCTATATATTTAAAAAATTTAAAAAGACAGATGAAAGGAGAAATATAATTCAGTATATCCATACAGTGGAATATTATTCGGCCATAAAATGGAACATACAACATGCTACAACATGGGTGAGCCCTGAAAACATTATGCTAAGTAAAAGATGCCAGTCAGAATAGACCATAGAGTGTAAGAGCCCATTTATATGAAATGTCCAGAGTAGGCAAATCCACAGAGACAGCAAGTAGATTATTGATTACTTAGGGTTGGGAGCAGGGGTGGTGGGGTGGGGCATGGAAGTGGTTGGTAATGGGTACGGGGTTTCTTTTAGGGGTGATAAAAATGCTCTAAAATTGTTGTAATAGTGACATAAATCTGTGAATATATTAAAAACTACTGAATTCTACAGTTTACATGGATAAATTGCATGGTATGTGAACTATATCTCCATAAAGCTCTTAGTTAAGTAATGAAACAAAACAAAACAATAAACATTGAAGGGAAGAGGGCCCTGATGCTAACAGTGGGTAGATTCTTGGTCTACAAGGATCTCCCTTCTGTCTAGAAGGGAGAGGCTGGTTTGGTTCAAGATGGGGTCCTGTGCACCTCTTGATTGCAGAGCTCTTGGAGGCCTCAGAAGCTAGGATGGTCAAGGCTGTATGTGTGGGAGGATGAGCACCTGGTGAACTCTGCACAGGACCTTTACCCAGGTGTTCAGGGGTAGGAAAAGGGCAGTCAGCAGGGCTGTCTGGCCAAGGGCCAGTGGCACCAGTCACTAATACTGGTCAGGGTTCATTTTACTGGACTGCCTAAAAGCCCTGGGATGGGGGCTGTGGTGGGTTATGGTGCACATGATCTCAAACGGGAAGGACATAGGCAAGGGACACCAAAATGATCTGACATTGAACTTGTCATCAACCTTGGTGATGGTCACTTCAACTGAATTTAATTTTAGAAAAACAGGCCGGGCACGTGCAGTGGCTCACGTCTGCAATCCTAGCACTTTGGGAGGCCAAGGCAGGCGGATCACTCGAGCTCAGGAGTTCAAGTCCAGCCTAGGCAACATGGCGAAACTCTGTTTCTACAAAAATAAAAATAAAAAATTAGCCAGGTGTGGTGGCACACGCCAGTAGTCCCAGCTACTTGGGGGACTGAGGCAAGAGTATCGCTTCAACCCAGGCGGTTGAAGCTGCAGTGAACCAAGATCATGCCACTGCATTCCAGCCTGAGTGACAAAGTGAGATCCTGCCTAAAAAACATAAAAGATAAAAAATAAAAAAATTAGAAAAACAGAAAAAGGTCATTTCTTGTTTTTGTTTTCTAAGTGTATGCACACACACATTTCTCAAATGCCAAAGTTTGTGACTAATTCACTCTTTCATAAAGTAAGGCTGATTCAGGGCTACCCTAGGCATAAAGACAGTCTCACTCCCTTGCGTTCCCACATGCTGTCCAGAGCAGCCAGTCAAGAGTGGGGTCAGAGCAAGCACACCGTGAACTGCTCATTTCACACAAACCTTCTTACTTGTGCTGCCACCTGAGCACATCTCTAGGGGTATAGAGGATCAGGTGAAGACCCTCTGTCACAGGTGTTCTGGAGAAAAAGCCCATGACATCTTGTACCAACTAGTGTGTGGAGAACTTAAATAAGATTTATTAGGTAGGTGCAAAAGCAATTGTGGTTTTGCAACTTTTAATTGCAAAAACTGCAGTTACTTTTGCACCAACCTAATAAATACCAGCATCTTTGCCTTCACGAAGCTTACAATTTAGTTTAGGAGGCAGAGTATCACAGGCAGGATCCTTTTCAAAATAGCAGGCAACCTCTCAATCAATTCAGTCATATATTGAAAAACCTAGTATTTCTCAAGTGCCAATCCAAGTACTTTACACACTTAATAAAAATTGTCCTAAAAGTCATATGGTGACACATCTGTTGGTTTTTGGTTATCCAGCTTCATTTCACTACAGTTGACTTGATATTCTTTTCAGGTATCACCTTTCCTCTGCTGTGGGCAGTATGGATAGGAATGTCAACCAACATGCCCTGCCCTCCCCCTATTCACAGGGTCATCTGACCCTAAGCTTGGCCAGTCAGACTCTGTCTCCTGGACCACTGACTGTGGAGCTGAGTAACACAGGAAAGTTCATTTGCTCTGGTATTTGGGTCCCCAGATCTGCCTTGGTTCCTGTCCTTTATCAAGCTTGGTTCTCCAGGCTAGGCACGGTGGCTCATGCCTGTAATCCCAGCACTTTGGGAAGCCAAGGCTGGTAGATCACCTGAGGTCAGGAGTTCGAGACCAGCCTGACCAACATGGTGAAACCCTGTCTCTATTAAATACGAAACATTAGCTGGGCATGGTGGTGCATGCCTGTAATTCCAGATACTTGCGAGGCTGAGGCAGGAGAATCACTTGAACCTGGGAGGTGGAGGTTGCAACAAGAGCAAAACCCCCATCTCAAAAAAATAAATAAATAAATAAAAATAAAAAGCTTGGTTCTCTGGATCTGCCTTTGTTTTACATACTTAATATCTTTCTAATCAATTTCTTTTTTCTTTTTTTTTTTTGTTAGGCTAGCTGATTTCTGTCACTGGCAACCCACCATCCCCAATGCAATCTCTTTTTTTAAGACAGAGTCTCGCGCTGTCCCTCAGGCAAGAGTGCAGTGGCAGGATTTTGGCTCACTGCAACTTCCTACACCCGGGTTCAAACAATTCTCATGCCTCAGCCTCCCAAGTAGCTGGGATTACAGGCACACACCACCACGCCCAGCTAATTTTTGTATTTTTAGTAGAGACGGGGTTTCACCATGTTGGCGAGGCTGGTCTTGAACTCCTGACCTCAGGTGATCCACCCACCTCAGCCTCCCAAAGTGCTGGAATTGCAGGCATGAGCTACCATGCCTGGCCCCCAGTGCAATCTTTATAAACAAGCTAAATGTCAGAGAGGATAAATTATTTGCTCAAGTTCACACAACTAAGTGCTGCATCTGGAATCTGACCTCCAGGATACTCTACAGGCCTACATAAGAACAAATTTATAAAGTAAAATATGTATATGCAAGTTCTCAGGCATGCACAGAATAGTGGATGACAAACGTTTCTTCTCTTTAACTGTTAAACAGTCCCTAGGGCCACTCAAATATCTTACGGTGTTGATGTTTAGCTTCTTTCAGCTTCTTAAGAAGGTTTTTATTCAATTAAGGTTTTGGGTTTCTTTTTGTGTCACTAAAAACTCTGAATAATATGTAAACTTAGATACTTATTTCAAACTTTTTCCTTGAATAAGGCAAAAAATAATGCCTTCAAAACATTTATCATGTTAATATTCAAGGTAGTAATTTTAGATTTAGGCTATTAGGGCCAGTCACGGTGGCTCATGCCTGTAAACCCAGCACTTTGAAAGGCTGAGGCAGGCAGATCACTTGAGGTCATGAGTTTGAGACCATGGGTGATGGGTGTACCAAAATCTCACAAATCACCACTAAAGAACTTACTTATGTAACCAAACACCACCTGCTCCCCAATTACCTATATAAATAAAAAATTTTAAAAAAAAAGAAGAGTTCTAGACCAGCCTGGCCAACATGGTGAAACCCAGTCTCCACTAAAAATACAAAAATTAGCCAGGCATGGTGGTACATACCTGTAATCCCAGCTACTCGGGAGGCTGAGGCAGGAGAATCACTTGGAACCTGGGAGGCAGAGGTTGCAGTGAGCCAAGATTGCACTACTGCACTCCAGCCTGAGCAACAGAGTGACACTCTGCCTCGATAAAATAAAATAAATTTTAAAATTAAAAAAATAAAAATAAAAAAATACGCTGGGCACAGTGCTCACACCTGTAATCCCAGCACTTTGGGAGGCCAAGGCAGGTGGATCATCTGAGGTCAGGAGTTCGAGACCAGCTTGACCCAACATGGTGAGACCCTGTCTCTACTAAAAATGCGAAAATTAGCCAGGCATCGTGGTGCATGCCTGTAATCCCAGCTACTTGGGAGGCTGAGGCAGGAGAATTGCTTGAACCTGGGAGGCGGAAGTTGCAATGAGCCGAGATAGTGCCATTGCACTACAGCCTGGGCAACAAGAGCAAAACTCGGTCTCAAAAATAAAAAATAAAATAAAAATAGATTTAGGCTGTTAGAAAAGACGTCATCTGTCCCTAAGTGGTCTGAACAACTGCTGTGGTTCCAGCAATTCCAATGTCCTGTTAGTAAAAATGTACAAAATGATCTAGAAATGTAGGTATTACTATGTAACATATTCAGTTATAATGAATTTTCATTTAACATCTATGGTACACTATGTGTTGCAAATCAACACACATTATGAGTAACCACAGGAAGCACTCAGCCTGGGGGAAATTATTTCTCCTCTGTATTCAAAAGCACACAGGCACAAACACACAGAACGCGTGACTACCTCTGAATGGCGGGCGGCCACCTTAGGAACTTATTACCTTCTACTTGAGGTGGGGTGACTTAGATGCCACCCACTGGTGGTAACAAGAGTTCAAGTAAGGTTGCAATACTTTTTTTTTTTTTTCCTTATAATTATCTTTATCGGATCTGTTTCCAAAGATGGGATTGCATTTCCCTAGTTCTTGGAAAAGGGATCAATCATGAGCTCATATAACTGCTCTGTAACTCATCTCCCACAAAGAGGTAGTACCTTCACCTTCAAATGAAGGGATAAGGAGCAAATTCTTGAATGAAAAGGAAGAACAAAACTTTCACAAGTAATATGAAGCCTAGGTAAGTAATGTCTCCAAGCAAGTGGGCACTGGAGGAAAGTTCTAAGAACCGCTGGGTGCAGTGGCTCACGCCTGTAATCCCAGCACTTTGGGAGGCGAGGTGGGTGGATCACCTGAGATCATGAGTTCAAGACCAGCCTGGCCAACATGGTGAAACCCCGTCTCTACCAAAAATACAAAAATCAGCTGGGCGTGGTGGTGCATGCCTGTAATCCCAGCTACTCTCGAGGCTGAGGCCCAAGAATTGCTTGAACCCAAGAGGCAGAGGTTGTAGTGAGCTGAGATGGCGCCACTGCACTCCAGCCTGGGTAACAGAGTGAGACCCTATTTGAAGAATTTAAAAAAAAGTTATAAGAACCTAAGTTAGCCTCGTAAGAGTTAACAGGAAGCAGGAGGCAGGACTCAGCACATTTCAGGGTGTGATCAGGCTGGGATAAATACCTAGGCTGAACTCCAGCCTTCCTCCTGATAGGAAGCCAAACTTACTAAATAATCTTGCCTACAATTCCTCTCCCTGCGCCAGTCCTGGCAGATGTACGATAATCCTCTGGATAGACTGAGTGCCCATGGGATTGTTCAATTGCACATTTGTTCTTATAGGCTGGCGTCCCATCACAATGATTCAATTGTTTCATCCAAAGTGGGAGTGAAGTTGGGGAGAAACACTACACCTATGATTACATAATTGTCTTCTCACTGTCATGGAAGTCTGTATTCACCAAGAAATTTGCATCCCAGAAATTGTTGCATTCATGTCAATACCTTCTTGTTTTTTTCTTTCTGATCTTGAAGGAGAATGAAGGATTGAAGGGGAAGGCTGCTTCTGACTATCCCTGAAAATAACATAAAACATTTAACAATACAGAGAAAGACTCAGACAGAAAAGAATGATAAGATACACACAAATAGATGTGGAAAATGACCAGGGAGAGCTGAGATCTGCTTAGTAGAGTAGGAAAGGCTGCCCGATTAAATGATACAGAAAGCAGAACAAGATGTTAAGTAGCAAGCCATTACTAAAATCTTAATCAAGTAGAGCACTCATTTGTGTTCTAGAGATCATCCTGATCCAACTCCCATAAAAAGTGGAATTCTTTCCTACACGTCCCTACTAGGTATCCAGCCCATCTCTCTAGAATACTTACGTTAGGAAATGCACCACTTAATGAGGAAGACTTTTGGAGTCCAGTTGCATATTAGAAGTTCTAGCTATGCATTTTTGGTTAACATTTGGGCCATTTTTCACTGCGCAATTGCTCAAGTGAAAAAGCACAACCAAATACAAAAAAAGTGGCTCTCAAACCATAGTGTAAATATGAGTCACCTTTGGGATCCCATTCTAAGTATGACTTCTCAGATCTTATCCAAGACCTACCAAATCTGCCTCCCAGGTTCACACCATTCTGCCTCAGCCTCCCGAGTAGCTGGGACTACAGGCGCCCACCACCACGCCCGGCTAATTTTTTGTATTTTTAGTAGAGATGGGGTTTCACCACGTTAGCCAGGATGGTCTTGATCTCCCGACCTCGAGATCTGCCCGCCTCGGCCTCCCAAAGTGCTGGGATTACAGGCGTGAGCCACCAAGCTCAGCCCTGCTAGGATTTTTTTCTACCAAAAGTTAGTTTAAATGCTCATCCCATACCTGTTAGTATTATAAGAGAGCATTCTTTCACCATGAGCATTAACTGCCTCATGCAAGAAGAAGGCTGATGTTTTAGTTATTAAAATTATTACTTGCCTAAAGGTCGGGCATGGTGGCTCATGCCTGTAATACCAGAACTTTGGGAGGCCGAGGCAGGCGCATCACTTGGAGTCAGGAGTTCGAGACCAGCCTGGCCAACATGGTGAAACCCCATCTCTACTAAGAATACAAAAATTAGCCAGGCGTGGTGGCATGTGCCTGTAGTCCCAGCTACTTGGGAGGCTGAGGCACGAGAATTGCTTGAACCGAGAGGCAGAGACTGCAGTGAGGCGAGTTTGTGCCATTGCACTCCAGCCTGAGCAACAGAGCGAGACTCTGTCTCAAAAAACAAAAAACAAATAAAAAACAATAAAAGTATTACTTGATGAAAGTCTGTTTCATTTTTAGAGCCAAATTTTGCTATTCTTTAAACTTCAAAACTAATAATAATAATGATGGACAAAAATGACTAAGTTTAGAACCATTATCGGAGATAATAATCAGGCTCCTGAGAATAAGGACTCAGGCTTTTTGGCAGCCAAAATATCAAAAAGAAAAAGGCTGAGACTGAAGCAGAGCAACAAAAATCATGAGTAGATTAAGAAATATTTGAAAGCCGTTGAAATTTAGATTTTTGAAAGAAAAATTATTTTGATTATTCCTATTTCTTTAAACTTTGCTCCAAATCACACATCTGGCTTTCATAACATGATATCAGATTGTGAAAGCAATGTCATACACATTTAGATAAAGCACTATCTTCTTATAATTTGTTATTTCTCCTCTCTGTCCTATACCTGAGGAAGCCTAGCCATTGGGTCCATCCATGTCTTCGTCTGTTTGGGCTGCTACAACAAACATCAAATACCATAAACTGAGTGGCTTATAAACAATAAATAGTTACTTCTCCCATTTCTGGATCTTGGTTAAGTCCAAGATCAAGGTGCTGGCAGGTGTCTGGTGAGGGCTGCCTCTTTGTAGATGGCACCTTCTATGTCCTCACATGGTAGAAGGGGCAAGGAATCTCTTTCCAGCCACTTTCATAAGGGCACTAATCCCATTCATGAGGGCTCTGACCCAGTGACCTAATCATTTCCCAAAGGCCCTGCCTTCTAATACCTGATCGCTTTGAGAGTTAGGATTTTAGCATATGAATTTGGAGGGGGTGTAAACATTCGGACCATAGTAGTTCATATCCCCAGACTACTTCTTAGGTCACAACTTGCCAGTCAGCATGGGCAGTGCTATAATAGCTAATAAGAACATCTAACAATTTTCCAAAACTCTTTACATGTGTAATTTCATTAAAAATTCCCAACGCAGGTCCTATTATTTTTATTTCCATCTCACGATTGAGGGGGTAGATTCAGAAAGTAAAGTAATTGGCCCAAGTTCACAGAGCTAGTAAGTGGTGAAACCAGGATCTGACTCGAAACTTGTACACTTAAGACCTCGGCTACTCTGCCCCCTGAGCAGTGGATAATCAGCTTCCCCCAAATAGGCACAGATACCACATAGATGAGCATCCTAGCCTGGTGTCTAAGCACCTCTTTTCTTTTCTTCTTATTTATTATTTGTTTATTTATTTCTTTTTTCTTTTTTTTTTTTTTTTTGAGATAGGGTCTCACTTTGTCACACAGGTTGGAGTGCAGTGGTGTGATCTTGGCTCACTGAAACCTCTGCCTCCCAAGTTCAAGCTATATCCTCCCACCTCAGCCTCCTGAGTAGCTGGGACCACAGGTGTGTGCATTCATGCCAAGCTAAGTTTTGTAGAGACAGGATTTTGCCATGTTGCCCAGGCTGCTCTTGAACTCTTGAGCTCAGGCGATCCACCTGCCTTGGCCTCCCAAAGTGCTGGGATTACAGGCCTGAGCCTTTGTGCCAGGCTATAGTGAATTTCTTTTTTTACTTTCTTCTTCTTCTTTTTTTTTTTTTTTGAGACAGACTCTCGCTCTGTCACCCAGGCTGGAGTGCAGTGGCACAATCTCAGCTCACTGCAACCTCTACTTCCTGGGTTCAAGCAATTCTCGTGCCTCAGCCTCCCTAGTAGCTGGGACTACAGGTGTGCACCACCACATCTGGCTAATTTTTTTGTGTTTTAGTAGAGACAGGGGTTGCATCATGTTGCCCAGGCTGGTCTCGAACTCCTGGCCTCAAGCGATCCACCCGCCTTGGCCTCCCAAAGTGCTAGGATTATAGATGTGAGCCACCGGGCCCAGCAGAATTTCTTAAGAACACTGCATTTGACTTTTCCTTCCATCATGCCTAAAAATGGAATAATGCTCACTTGATAATCATCATTATCACCACCATTGCCAACACCATTGCCATCATCTTTATAGATGGAAGAAAACGATGGGGAATGTGACAGGGGCATTTTCACTCTTTTAACAATAACCTGGACTCATCTCTACACCTGGGCCATATCTGGCAGGGGCATATAGCGTCTTATCTTCAGCCAGAGTTCAAATAACAAATAACCATGTTTATTACAACCTAGAGGAGAAGGAGGAAGTTCTCTCCCCCTGTTGGCAGCCCCATTCTTCTGCTAGAGTGACATTAGGACGTAATAATAAGGTGAAGATTAGTGTCTCCTGGATGAAGAGTTTAAAGATTCCAGGTGGAACGATAACACATGAATATTAAGTGTATAATTACCCACGGTGACAATGCTTCAGCCAGCAAGCTCCCCCCACACACCATTTGTCACAGTGACTGATGGCATCACCTAATCTCTGCCTTTAACTGACATTACCAATTCCACTCACATTCCTAGCAGTTCACTTTGTAATAACTGGAGATGTGTATAAATAATTTGTACATTTTCTATATAGTTCAATAAAAAATTGCTTTAACTCCCACCTTTACAATTTATTAGTTGTATGACTTTGGGCAAGTTAGAAATTCTCTGAGTTATAATTTACTCATCTGTAAAATGGGGATCAAGTTTATTATGAGGATCAACTCTAATTAAGTACTAATCCCAGTGTTTACTACCACTGAATGTTAAATAAATATTGGTTTTCCTCTTCCATCCTTCCCCATGCACAATCCCTGTTCCCCAAAATGGCCAAGATGATACAAATTGTTGAAAGGCAGACAAACCATTGCATGGGTCCATACCCAGAAAAGCCTGTTGGGATTCTGTCTTTGAAATGGCAATAGGTGTTAAGTGATGATGTTATTCATTCAGATCACAAAGGAAAAATTAAAATAAAAACAAAAACCAACACAAGGTATGAGAGAGAATTTGCTTCAATCTAAGAGAACCTCCCAAGGACAGAGAATCCAGAAGCTACTATAAACAATCAGCATACTTTTAAAGGAAACAGAGCAGTCAAATTCCGTTAAGGAATTTCTGATCTTGACCATAAGGTAACCAAGTTGCTTTAGAACTGAAACAGCTGTACAGTGTAACTAGACTCCTGGATGGTCCTTCACCAAAATATTAGACAGAGATGTAAACTGAGTCAAGATTGGCTTGTATCTAGGAATTCCTTACATCTTCAGAATGTTTCATATTCATGAAAACACTCACATTCAGCAAGGACACTACTTAGGAGTTTTGGATACTGCTGTAGTAAATAAGTTATGTGTTTGTGTCTAGTGCACACAGACCTGACAGCAGGACACTGTTCCTGGAAGAAAAAAAAAGTAGAAGAAAAGAAAACTTGCAGCTGTATGTTCAGCCCCATAAATCTCTCTGCAAGTATGCAACTGGCTGTGGAGTGACTGTGTGGGAGGAGGCAGGGATCCAGTTCTTGGACAAACACAGAATTCTCTCCAGAGAACTAGTCTTCCTCTAAGCTTTATGCATTTTAAGCATGCTATAGGGCTATGCGGTGCCCCCAAAGAACAGACTGTGCAATTGACCTTGAAAGAAAGCCAACCATATATAAGAATGACTAACTTTCACAATAAGACAACAACAATAAGTAGCATTAAAGCATTTTTGTTTCAAATTGAGAAGTTTGTAATGCCTGCTGGTCTCATACAGAATCTGCCCCCTTTCAGCCCCAATCAATCAAAGCTCTGTTTAAGATCTAGGCTCCCTCTTGGTACGCTCTGCTCAGCAAATGGGTCAATCACAGGGTGATTGTGGTGTACATAAAAGAGGGGTAGTTATGGGGAACCCTGGTTCAGTCCATACATACTGGATTCCCAAAGTTAGGGCAAAAACTTGCCTTCCTGGGAATTCTCTCTAGAGGCATAGATCAGGCTGAAGGGAGAATTTGTGACCGACACTGATGTCACCTTCCCATCGGCAGCTCATGACAGCTCTAGAAACAATTCCAAGGGCTGCTTGCATTAAGGACAGACAGCATTCTCTCTATCTGGTGGTTTCTGAACGTTATAAGAAGTGTTCAGTTGCATGGCCAGGCCCAGTGGCTCATGCCTGTAATCCCAGCACTTTGGGAGGCCGAGGCAGGTGGATCACCTGAGATCAGGAGTTCGAAACCAGCCTGGCCAACGTGGCGAAACCCCATCTCTACTAAAAATAGAAAAATTAGCTGGACATGATAGTGGGCACCTGTTATCTCAGCTACTTGGGAGGCTGAGGCATGAGAATCACTTGAACCCGGGAGGCGGAGGTTGCAGTGAACCAAGATTGCACCACTGCACTCCAGTTGCTGAAAAGAAGGCAAAATTTACACACTATAACCACAAGATTCTGTGGACTCCCTCCTTTACCACTGAAGGAAAGGTATCTATCACCTAAGAACAAATTCTCACTCTTACATTCCCACACCCCCATACAAAATTTGCTTTTACTGTGGATATAGGAAGTTCTTTAGAATACCCTGTAATTTTGAGTGGGATGGGAAGGAGGGGTTCCAACAGCAAGAGACACATTCTTTTCTTTCTTTCTTTCTTTCTTTTTTTTCTGGGCAGGGTCTCACTCTGTCTCACAGGCTGGAGTGTAGTGGTGCCATCTCCGCTCACTGCAACCTCTGCCTCCCAAGTTCAAGCGATCCTCCCACCTCAGCCTCCTGAGTAGCTGGGACTACACGCATGCACCACCATGGCTGGCTAATTTTTTTGTATTTTTTGTAGAGACAGGGTTTTGCCATGTTGCCCAGGCTAGTCTCAAATTCCTGGATTCAAGTGATCTGCCTGCCTCGGCCTCCCAAAGTGCTAGAATTCCAGGCATGAGCCACTGTGCCTGGCCAAGAGACACAGAGTCTTAACACATGTATCACTCCCACACAAGCTTATAGCAAAGAGGAAATAGATTCCACAAGGACAAACTTCCTCCCTGATCTCAAATTTTTTCCTCCGTAAGAATCTTTTGCCCAATTATCTGTTTGGCTTTAATAAATGTTTATCAATAACTATTTAACACCCAGAAATTATTTTTCTTTTTTCCGGATTATGCCAAAAAGGCAAAATTAACATAACAAAGGTTTTAAAAGATTAAGTACTAAACAAGATGCAGTATTAAAGTTACTAATCATAGCCAGGCACAGTGACTCATGCCTGTAATCCCAGCACTTTGGGAGGCTGAGGTGGGTGGATCACTTGAGGTCGGGAGTTCAAGACCAGCCTGGCCAACATGGAGAAACCCCATTTCTACTAAAAATACAAAACAATTAGCCAGGCGTGGTGGCTGGCGCCTGTAATCCCAGCTACTTGGGAGGCTGAGGAAGGAGAATTGCTTGAACCCGGGAGGTGGAGATTGCAGTGAGCTGAGATTGCGCCACTGCACTCCAGCCTGGGCAGCAGAGCAAGACTCCATCTCAAAAAAAAAAAAAAAAAAAAAAGAAAAAGGAAAAAAAAGAAAAAAAAAGTTACTGATTTAGGATGTGTTGGTGACATTATCTAACCTGTAAGGGTGAGTCAACATATCCGATTCTCCTTATTCTTCCTCCAAGGTGGCACTGCTCTGATCTCAGCTACGAATACAATGTGTGTGTGTGTGTGTGTGTGTGTGTGTGTGTGTACATGCTTTGCAGAGACACACAGTTATACCACTATCTTGTTCGTAGTGTTTTGGTGGGAAAAGTAAGAGGATTATAAATAGGACTGAGCATGGAGCAACCTCTTTTTGGGTGTGATGAGATCGGGACTAAGCAACCTTCAACATCCTTTGCTGGATGCCCCCAGGGGAGAGAGCCAAGTAGCTGGTTTCTGCTCCAGAGCCCCTTTGTCTCACTCTGTCACCCAGACTGGAGTGCAATAGTGTGACCTCGGCTCACTGCAGCCTCCACCTCCTGAGTTCAAACAAGTCTCCTGCTTCAGCCCCCGGTGGAGCTGGGATTACAGGCGTGAGTCACCCGCCCCTTCATTTGTCTACCAGTACATAGCCATATTCAGGACCAAGCAAGTTGTGGGACAGGGATTGGGGTTGCCAATCAAGCTACTCAGGACTGACTCAGTTCAAGAAGTCACTCTAAAGGCTTAAGAGAGTGCTCCATACTGACTTGGCTAAAGATTGGGAGTAAATCCTTGCCTGGCAATTAAAACGTGGATGTGGACCAGTGAGTCATCTGTGTCTTGTCATCTTTAGGAGCCTAGCACACCAGTCAGAGAAATCTATGGATTTGGAGATTGAGATCCCTCCAAATCTTCGTTCCTAGAGAACATCTAACCTCTGGCAGAGTGAAAAACATTTTGCCAATATCAGCCTGATGGAAAGCTGAGGATCAGAAAAGTCAGGTAATATCACACATTTGAAGGGTGCTGTGATATAATGAAAAGACCAAGGGCTCTGGAGCCAGACAGACCTGGGCTAGCTTGGCTTCTGGCTCTGCCATGTAGTTACACAACAAGAGGCTGTGACTCAAACTCTTTCGGCCTCAACTATAAAATATAGCTCACAGCTAGACACAGTTGCTCACACCTGTAATCCCAGCACTTTGGGAGGCAGAGGTGGGTGGAACACCTGAGGTTAGGAGTTCGAGGCCAGCCTGACCAATAGGGCGAAACCCTGTCTCTACTAAAAATACAAAATTAGCTGAGCGTGGTAGTGCATGCCTGTGATCCCAACTCCATGGAAGGCTGAGGCAGGAGAATTGCTTGAACCCGGGAGGCAGAGGTTGCAGTAAGTTGAAATCACATCATTGCACTCCAGCCTGGGCAACAAGAGTGAAATTTTGTCTCAAAAAAAAAAAAAAAAAAAAAAAGAATTCCATATCCAGTAGCATGTATTAGGTATGATACTCACCAAAAGCTCTCTAGCCCCCTTATCAGCCCATCCTCACTTCTCTTTTACTGGATGACTCTCACATTCATTCTCCCCATTCCTGGCTCACACTTGCACCAAGCACATTTTCTGGACCAGTTATGAGGAAGAACATGAATCAAATAAGAAGGTGGAGCTTTTTGGTGTCAACTTGGCCAAAACAGAGCTACATTTTTCAGATTCCCTTTCCTGCACAGTTCCAGATTCAAGTTGGCCAGAAAGAATTTTCCATAATACCTGGAAGGTGGAAGTGAAGCAGCCACCATGGCTGTTCACTCGTGGCTGTTATGGTTAAATGTAGTGAGAGGTAGACGCAGAGGTGCTGAAGGATTTCAGCTCGGCTTTGCCCTCCATTGCTCCACATGCAGTTCTGCTCCCCAGCTGATGGCCCTACTGACCAACAGTGGACTCAAGGCCCCCACCAGCCAACAAGGTCACAGCCTTCATCACCAGCTTCACTTGTGGTCCCACTCGGGAACCTTCAGGAATGAAAGTTAGTGTTGGCTGGGTGTGGTAACTCACGCCTGTAATCCCAGCACTTTGGGAGGCAGAGGCAGACAGATCATTTGAGGTCAGGAGTTTGAGACCAGCCTGGCCAATGTGGTGAAACCTCATCTCTACTAAAAATACAAAAAATTAACTGGGAATGGTGTCAGGCACCTTTTAAGCCCAGCTACTCGGGAGGCTGAGGCAGAGGAATTGCTTGAACCTAGGAGGCGGAGGTTGCAGTGAGCCAAGATCGTGCCACTGCTCTCCAACCTGGGTGACAGAGCAAGACTTTGTCTCAAAAAAAAAAAAAAAAAAAAAAAAAGAAAGTTAGTGTCATATTAGAATGAAGTTTTGGAAAGTATAAGTAACTGAAGTGCTTCCTGAGGGCTCAGGGAATATGGAATAAATATTAGAAAAGGAAGTTATTAATACAGAGGCTAGATGCTGATGGGTTACAACCTGTTCTCTGAAGTGAGAGGTAAAGGCGGAAGTGCTGTTAGTTTCCAAGTTGTTCTCACTCTCCCGCACTCTGTGTCCAGCTCTTCATCCCAACTGCCAGCCCTGCTAACAGGGAGAAGCCTCAGCTCACCACCAGGTCCTTTCCTTTTCCCAGACTGGTAAAAAAGGACTCATCCCTCAGACTTGAGACAGAGGATGAAAGAGCCAGAACTCAAGTCACAGCAGTGGGAATTGAAAGGAGGCATAAAAAATGGAAGCTCCCCAGGTTTGAGCAGGGAGGCTGAGGAGACAAGAGAGCTCCCAGTATCAAGGCTGCCTAATTTGAAGAAAAATGTTGGCAATGATGGAAATGGGGGAGGGGATTAACAGGAGAAGGAAGTTTAAGGCAAAGATGAGTAGAGACTTAGAGGCATCACTGTGTTGATGAGATGTGCTGGCACTGATGTCTGGGATGGGATGGAATATGGGCAGGAGCTCTGAGGAAGCATGGGGTGCAGTCAGCTTTGGGAGGTGATGGATAAAATGGAAGGGATGGGCATGAAATCCTTACAGCACGATGGAGCACATAAGTAAATGCAAATATGCATTTTATTATTATTATTATTATTTTGAGACAGAGTCTTACTCTGTCACCCAGGCTGGAGTGCAGTGGCGCAATCTTGGGTCACTGCAACCTCCACCTCCAGGATTCAAGCAATTCTCCTGTCTCAGCTTCTCAAGTAGCTGGGATTACAGGTGCACACCACCACACTTGGCTAATTTTTGAATTTTTAGTAGAGACGGTTTCACCATGTTGCCTAGGCTGGTCTTGAACTCCTGACCTCAGGTGATCCACCCACCTTGGCCTCCCAAAGTGCTGGGATTACAGGCATGAGCCACTGTGCCTGGCTTTTAAAAATAATTTTTTGTAGAGATGGGGTCTCACTATGTTGCCCAGGTTGGTCTGAAACTCCTGAGGCTCAGGTGATCCTCCCACCTTGGGCCCCCAAAGTACTGGGATTACAGGCATGAGTCACTGTGCCTCACTAGTATTTTTAAAGTAAACTTTATTTTTTAAGATAGTTTTAGGTTCATAGCAAAATTGAGAGGAAGCTATAGGACTTTCCATACGCCTCCTGCCCCACATAGGCACGGTATCCCCCATTATCAACACCCCCTACCTGAGTGGTACATTTGTTACAACTGATGAACCTGGAGGTTGCAGTGAGCTTAGGTCAAGCCACTGCACTCTAGCCTGGGTGACAGAGCGAGACCCTGTCTCAACAACAAAGAAATTGATGAGGCTGGGCATGGCGGCTTACACCGGTAATCCCAGCACAAGGCGAGTGCATTACTTGAGGTCAGGAGTTAGAGATCAGCCTGGCCCACATGGTGAAATCCCATCTCTACTAAAAATACAAAAATTAGCTGGGTGTGGTGGCAGTCCTCTAATCCTAGCTACTGGGGAGTCTGAGGCATGAGAATTGCTTGAAACAAGGAGGCGGAGGTTGCAGTGAACCAAGATCACACCACTGCACTCCAGCCTAGGCAACACAGTGAGACTCCAGCTAAAAAAAAAAAAAAAAAAAAAAAAAAAACTGATGAACCTACACAATACATCATTATCACCCAGAGTCTATGGTTTACACTGGGGTCACTCTTAGTGTCGCACATGCTATGGCTCTGGTTAAATGTATAATGACCGGTACCCACCATTATAGTATCAGACAGAGTAGTGCCCCTGCCCTAAACATTCAAACAGGTACTTTTTTTAGTAATTTCTTTTAATACATATCCTATTTCCACAATATCAGAAATAACGGAAGAGGAAGGACATTTGACTCCTGCAGGATTGGAGACACTAAAGTCTGTTCTCCGCAGATACATCACAGCCCAGGATTCCAGCTTACACAGATGAGGGTCCGCCATAGTATTTGGCCTCCCCTGGCTTGGCCAAGGCAGGGGACACCCATGCACCCCCAGGCTTACGAGGATATGGTTTGTGCCTGGTCCTGATTACTCTGGCTCTAAAAAGTGAAACTTGATCTCATTAACCCAGCTGTGGGTACATGCAGGCAGTCACTCCACCCAGAGCACAGGGCAGTTAAGGCCCCAGCGATCAGCAATTACACAGCTGGCCACATCTGGCCATGATAAAGACAGCTTTCTCCTCAGAGATGCAGAGGGCCTCTCTGGGCCTCCCTTATGCAGATAGCTGGCATTCTGCACTCTCTCCATCCCAAGAGTAAGGCCCATTTAATACCCTGCTCTGTGAACTTTTCACCAGTCAGCACAAACTCCTGCCAAAACGGACTGGATATGGGTCTAGGTATTATGGAGAGGGGTGGGGAGAAGTAAACATTTTCTTTTCAGCAGAAAAAAATCCATATTTTAAAACTTGGCTGGGTGCGGTGGCTCACGCCTGTAATCCCAGCACTTTGGGAGGCCGAGGTGGGTGGATCACCTGGGGTCAAGAATTCAAGACCAGCCTGACCAATATGGTGAAACCCTGTCTCTACTAAAAACACAAAAATTAGCCAGGCATGGTGGTGTGCACCTATAGTCCCAGCTATTTCGGTGGCTGAGACAGGAGAATCACTTGAACCAAGGAGATAGAGGTTGCAGTGAGCCGAGATCATGCCACTGTACTCCAGCCTGGGTGACAGAGTGAGACTCCGTCTCAATAAATAAATAAATAAATAAATAAAATAAAACTCAAGACTCAAAGCATATTTGAATTAATAAGATATTGCCCTCCTTGAACCTTCCTCAGGATAGTATGAAGGATATTTTCCTATTCTTTAAAAAAATGTCCGTTGCCCAAAGAGAACAGTAGGGGCTTTCTAGGATACAAGACCAAAGCCATTCATGGGTACCTTCACTAGGTATGGTACATGAAACAAGAGCTATGTTTTACATTGGCAGTTAGACGGGCCAGGTGTCCTGCATGTCATATGGCACAAGTATGACAATTCAAAGTAACCAAGATGAGTGCATGAGCAATATTGATTTTTTTTTTTTTTAGATGGAGTTTTGCTCTTGTTGCCCAGGCTGGAGTGCAATGGCGCGATCTCAGCTCACTACAACCTCTGCCTCCCAGGTTCAAGCGATTTTCCTATTTCAGCCTCCCAAGTAGGCACATGCCATCACGTCTGGCTAGTTTTTGTATTTTTAGTAGAGATGGGGTTTCACCATATTGGTCAGGCTGGTCTCGAACTCCTGACCTCAGGTGATCCTCCTGCCTCGGCCTCCCAAAATGCTGGGATTACAGGCAGGAGCCACTGTGCCCGGCTGCAATACTTAATTTTAAAAAACTGTTTTTAGATTTGGAGGGGCTGGGCATGGTGGTTCATGCCTATAATCCTAGCACTTTGGGAGGCCGAGGTGGGTGGATCACTTGAGGTCAGGAGTTCGAAACCAGCCTGGCCAACATGGTGAAACCCATCTCTATTAAAAACACACAAAAAATGAGCTGGGTGTGGTGGCAGGCGCCTGTAATCCCTGCTACTTGGGAGGCTGAGGCAGGAGAATTGCTTGATTCACTGGAAGGGGGAGGTTGCAGTGAGCCGAGATCGTGCCTTGCACTCCAGCCTGGGTGACAGAGAGAGACTCCGTCTCAGGAAAAAAAAAAAAAAAAAAAAAAGATTTGGAGCTGTTTCTTTGCTTGGTTTGCTCCAAGAAAATTTTTACATCAAGTGGAGCTAATAAATTCCCAAATGTGTGTGTAAATGATACTGTGCAAAGAAATACTGCAATGTCAAAAGTACATCATTTAGGCCAGGCGTAGTGGCTCATGTCTGTAATCCCAGCTACTTGGGAGGGTGAGGCAGGAGAATCGCTTGAACCTGGGAGGTGGAGGTTGCAGTGAGCCAAGATCAAGCCACTGCATGCCAGCCTGGGTGACAGAGCAAGACTCCATCTCCAGGAAAAAAAAGAAAAAAAAAGTACATCATCTAAATGCCTTCACAATATATTTCATAAACAAACTGTGGAACACCACCTTCCGTTTGAATTTGAGGCATGAAAATCAATGCAGCCCTTTATCCAACAACATGACCGGATTACGCAGCATCATATCCATCTTTAAGAGGTCTGAGCCAGTAGGCTGTCTCTAAGCTCCACTTTAAAATTGCCTGGGAGTTTCCAAACCGTGCTGATGTCTGAGCCTTACCCCAGACCAACTGAGTCTGTATCTTTGGGTATTTTCTAGGAGTTTCCCAGGTGATTCTGACATGTAGTAAAAGTTGAGAAAATCTAGTCTGGGCATTCACTCAAGGATCTCTGTGTTCTTGTTTATGCTTGTTTTAAATAAGAGGATTCTATTCCAGCCCAGTACCTGAAAATGGAATTCATGGCATGAGACAGTTAGAATTTACTCTTTTTTTTTTTTGAGCTGGAGTCTCACTCCCATTGCGCAGGCTGGAGTGCAGTGGTGCAATCTCGGCTCACTGCAACCTCCACCTCCCGGGTTCCAGTGATTCTCCTTCCTCAGCCTCCCAAGTAGCTGGGATTACAGGCATGCACCACCACACCCAGCTAATTTTTGTATTTTTAGTAGAGATGAGGTTTCACCATGTTGGCCAGGCTGGTCTCAAACTCCTGACCTCAGGTGATCCACCCGCCTCTCCCTCCCAAAATGCCAGGATTACAGGTGTGAACCACTGAGCCCGGCCTAGAATTTACTCTTAACTTGGTCCTGAACAACCTCTTTGGGTCTCCATCATCTTACATGTGAAACTGAGTTGGTGGTACTTACTCACCTCTATTTCAGAAAGTTGGGAAAATACAATGAGAAATGTGACATCCTCTGACAAATGTTTTACAAAAGAAAGGCATTATTATTATTATTATTATTATTATTTTATTTTTATTTTTTTGAGATGGAGTTTCACTCTTCTTGCCCAGGCTGGAGTGCAATGGCACAATCTCGGCTCACCGCAACCTCCGTCTCCCGGGTTCAAGTGATTCTCCTGCCTCAGCCTCCCGAGTAGCTGGGATTACAGGCATGCATCACCACACCCCACTAATTTTTTATTTCTAATAGAGATGGGGTTTCTCCATGTTGGCCAGGCTGGTGTTGAACTCCCGACCTCAGGTGATCCACCCACCTCGGTCTCCCAAAGTACTGGGATTATAGGCGTGAGCCACCACACCCGGTAGGCATTACTATTATTAAGAACAGTTGAATATAATATAAACTTTAAAAAGTCTAGATCATATTAGTCTCTGAAACAACTATGATAGTAGAAGTGGAACAGAGGACAGAGAAGGGATGGAAAATTTATATTATGAGTGCCCGATGGGCCAAGCCCTGAAGTGAGTCTATTTCATACAACTTACTTAACAGCATGGTCAGGAGTGACCAGATTCCACTTTTGTTTATCTCAGTTGGCCCTGGATAAGTCATTTCAATTCTGGGCCTTACTTTCCTTACCTATAAAATTAGGATGCTTGGCGGGGTGCAGTGACTCATGCCTGTAATCTCAGCACTTTGGGAGGCTGAGGTGGGTGGATCACCGGAGGTCAGGAGTTCGACACCAGCCTGTCCAACATGGTGAAACCCTGTCTCTACTAAAAATACAAAAATTAGCCAGGCATGTTAGTGGATACCTGTAATCTCAGCTACTTGGGAGGCTGAGGCAGGAGAATCGCTCGAACCCAGGAGGTAGAGGTTGCAGTAAGCCGAGATCACACTATTGCACTCCAGCCTGGGTGATAAGAGCAAAACTCCATCTCAAAAAAAAAAATTAGAATACTTGAGTTCTCTGCCCCCCTTAAAGTGACCACGCAACACAATTCCAACCAACAAGCTGTGAGCAGAAATGCCATGAAAGTTTTCCATCTGTCTCATCACACTGCTACAGCAATCCACGAAATCTACTAAATCTACACTGCTACAGACCAACATGGCGAAACCCCGTCTATATTAAAAACACAAAAAAATAGCCGGACATGGTGGTGCATGCCTGTAATCCCAGCTACATGGGAGGCTGAGGCAGGACAGTCACTTGAACCCGGGAGGCAGAGGTTGCAGTGAGCTGAGATCATACCACTGCACTCCAGCCTGGGCAACCAGAGTGAAACTCGGTCTCAGAAAAAAAAAAAAAAATCAAAAGTCCTAAGAGAGAAAGCTACCACTGGTTTCAGGAGCTAAAAAGCTATAATGGAGGTAACGTAGGAGGAAGGCAGATCAGGTAGGACCGTTTGGGCCAAGGTAAGGATGCAGTGGGAAACCAATGATGGATCTCAAGCAGGAGTGTGGCATCATTTCCTGATTTCCTTTGGTTGCTTGGTGGGGAATGGATGATAAGGGTGCAAGAGCAGACGAAAGGGGACCAGCTAGAGCCACAGTAGTACTGGTAAGAGATGACTGTGGTTTGGATTTTGGGAAATGAAGAAAGATGCATTCGAGAAGCATTCTGGAAGTATCTATAATCGGAGGGCAAAGAGAAAAGCAAGCATGACTTCTAGGTTTCTGGCCCCAGTAACTGGGTGGATGGCAATGATATTTACTGAGCTGGAAGAGACTGGAGGAGGAACAGGAATGTGCAAAACAAAGCATTCAATCAACTGAAGCTCCATAATTCCTGTTCCAGTAATCTGACCCTCTGCCAAACAAATGTTTTCCCATTTTGGCTTTCCATCATTTCTCTCTCTCTCACAGGCTCTCCTTGGAGAACCATAAGCTGTAACTAGAATGCCAACAATATTTGATTTCATCTGGCAGAAAAAAAAAATGGTGGGTGGAATTAAGAGACTCTGAAGCTAAAGGCAAAATGACAGACCCAACACTTGACTTTACAGTCTTCATCACAAAATTCTGAAAATGAGTGAAATGTCCAAATATGCCAAAATATGTATTTGAGAATCCGTCTTTTACCCAGTAACGTTCCTGCCAAATGCACATATCACAGTCTTTAATTAAACATTACATTTAATTAAAATCTGTGTGGATTAACGTAGCTTGTAATTAAATATTTGCATGTCATTAATATCTGTCTTGTCACTAGATCTGAAGCCCCCTGAGGGCAGGGACCTCACTGGCTTTGCTCACAACTGGATCCTCAGTACCTGCCACAGTGTACTATATGTGGTAGGTAATCAATAAATACTTGTTGAAGGATGTTTGTACATTTTTTTCCGGTCAATGACAGAAACTATTGGTTTCTCCCCTGTATCCAATGCCCTGACCCCTTTTCTAATAGAACCCCCATTATTTTTCTGGGCACATGGCCACTGTGTCTGTTTCCTAGGACTACAGTAACAAAGTACCAAAAACTGGATGGTTTTAAAAACAGAAATTTTTTTTTGTCTCACATTCTGGATGCTAGAAGTATGAAATCAAAGGTTCAGCAGGGCAGGCCATGCTCCCTCTGATGGCTCTAGGGGAGCATCCTTCCTTGTGTCTTCCAGCTTTTGGAGTTTGCCCACAATCCCTGGCACTCCTTGGCTTATAGATGCACCACTCCAGTCACATGGACAATTCCCCTTCGCGTCTTTACATGATCTTTCTTCTGAGTATGTCTGTCCCTGTGGCCAATTTCCCCTTCTTAGAAGGACATCAGTCATATTGGATTAGGCCCACCCTTATGACCTCATCTAAACTTGACTACCTCTGTAAGGCCCCTATTTCCAAAGAGAGTCAGATTTTGAGGTACTCGGGGTTAGGACTTCAACATATCTTTTTGGGGGACAAAATTCAGCCCCTAACAGCCATCCAGAATAAATTCTACATTTCCCAGATTCCCTCACACCTAAGTACACCCATGTGTGGTTATGTCCTAGCTAATGGGATGTAAAAGAAGTCATGTGTGCCACTTCCAGAGGTGTCTTTTATTTTTGTTTATTTATTCATTTTTGAGACAGAGTCTTGCTCTGTCACCCAGGATGGAGTGCTGTGGCGCAATCTCGGCTCACTGCAACCTCCACCTCCCAGGGTCAAGCGATTCTCCTGCCTCAGTCTTCCAAGTAGCTGGGACTACAGGTTCATGCCACCATGCCCGGCTAAGTTTTTGTATTTTTAGTACAGATAGGGTTTTGCCATGTTGGCCAGGCTAGTCTCAAACTCCTAACCTCAGGTGATCTGCCCATCTCAGCCTCCCAAAGTGCTGGGATTACAGGCGTGAACAACCATGCCCAATGAGATGTGTTTTTTAAAAAAGGACAGTGCCCTCTGCTTCCCTTCTTTCCTCCTGGGTGGCTAGAATGCAAACCTAATCACTACAGTTCTAGCAGCTGTCTCAGACCTTGAAGTAACCTTGGGAATGGAAGCCAAGCAAAGTAAAAAAAAAAAAACAAAATAGGTGACTGAAACCATGGAGACACAGCTCAGCCCTGAACTGGCTTCCTTCTGGCTTTGACATGAAAACAAAACAAAAAAACAAAAAAATCCAAAATACTAAAATACTAATCTTAATCATTGTTTTGGAGGATTTATGACACTCATAAATGAAGCTAATTGTAACTGATATATAGAATCTTATCTAGGTAACATCCCAGCAGATATAGTAAAGACACTCTCATGTTTATCTTTACTTCCCAAGATTCTTGGGTTGGTCACTGCTATGGACTGTGCCCTCCCACCCCAAACTCAGATGTTGAAGTCTTAATGCCCAATGTGACTGTATGTGGAATAAGAAAATAATTAGGCTGGGCGTGGTGGCCCCGTATCTACTAAAAATACAAAAATTAGCTGGGCATGGTAGTGCGTGCCTGTAATCCCAGCTACTTGGGAGGCTGAGGCAGGAGAATCACTTGAACCCGGGAAGCAGAGTTTGCAGTGAGCCAAGATTGCGCCACTGCACTCCAGCCTGGGCCACAGAGTGAGACTGTCTCAAAAAACAAAAAAAAGAAAAGAAAAGAAAAGAAAGTAATTAAAGTTAATGAGGTTATAAAGGTGGGACCCTATAGGATTAGTGGCCTAATGAGAAAAGATGCCAAACAGCTCACTGTCTCTATCTTCCTTGTGGACACACAGTGAGAAACCGGCCCTCTGTGAGTCAGGAGACAGGCCCACCTCACCATGCTGGCTCCTGACTTCAGACTTCCATTCTCCAGAACTGTGAGCAAATTAATCTGTTGTTTAAGCCATCCAGTCTGTGGTTTATTATGGCATTCCTAACTGACCGATACTGTCATGGATAAATTCAAGAGTACATCTTTGAAAAAAGATGTCTAACTTGGGTTGGATCAGCTTTGAATCTCTTCCAGGTACAGGTCAGTTGAGTGTAGTCCCTGACTTTACAAGTGGGGGCAGTTTCAGCTGAGTGCAGTGGCTCACGCCTGGAATCCCAGCACTTTGAGAGGCCAAGGCAGGAGGATTGCTAGAGCCCAGGAGTTCAAGAGCAGCCTGGGCAACATAGGGAGAGTCCCATCTCTAGAAAAAAAAATTAAAATAGATTAAATAAATAAAAAAACAAAAAGTGGGGACAATTTTAGGACTTATCTAGCTTTGAAGAGTCCTTCAAAGGGGTGACAGATTTGGCCTCACACTAGTTATTTGGATGTGACCTGGAAAAACAGAGTAGCTGCCTAAGTTCTGAGGACTTAGGAGCCTCAAGACTGACCCTTTCTCAGAACTGGCCCTTCTTACTGTCTTTAAGGATCCAACACAAAGAGTTAAAAGGCAGAGTAAAAACCCATAGCAGATCAATTTAGGAGAAGCACAGGATTGTACCAAGATGTTTAAAAAAATTTCCATGTATCTGCTTTGGAAAAGAGAACTTTTCCTACTGTTGTGAATAAAAATGTTTAGTGTCAACAAAACGTTAAACAAACTTAGCAATTAGCAAAAATGAACCCACTGATACGAATGTAGTAGTCAATGGGGCTTGAACTTGTAATACCAGCATTTGCTGATTTTGAGATGCACATTTTAGCAACTCTGAAATCAAAGCGTATCTTACAATCCATGCATCTTTTTTTTTTTTTTTTTTTTTAAGATGGGGTCTCGCTCTGTCACCCAGGCTGGAGTGCAGTGGCAGGATCACAGTTCGCTGTAACCTTGAACTACTGTGCCCAAGTGATCCTCCCACTTCAGCCTCCCAGGTAGCTGGGACTACTACGTGCCAGTAGTGGCTGACTACGTGCCACCAAGTCTGGCTAACTTTTTCTGTAGAGGTGAGGTCTTGCTATGTTGCCTAGGTTGGTCGTCAGACTCCTGGCTTCAGGTGATCCTCCCACCTCAGCTTCCGTAAGAGTTGCAATTAAAGGTTTGAGCCACGACACCCAGCCACAATCCATGCATCTTGTATTTGATGAAATATAGTAGACAGTGTTCACTGAGTGTCCATCACATGATATGGGCATGGGCTTGATACCTCATACACACTTTTTTATTTATCCCCATGACTGTGCCATGAAGCAATTATTATTGCTACTTAAAAATGAGAAACCTAGACTTAGTTTTTCTAAGACTAGAAAGAATTGGAATAGTATACTGCAATATGGCAGAAACATGTGATTACATAGACTCTCTCCCTCTGTTATCCCCTTTTAGCTACTATTCTGTTACTTTGTGTTTTGTTTGCAAATATAAGCGTATTTAAGCAACAATCAGCCAGAAGACTCTGAGTAACACAATTATTTAAATAAGCAATATAATAAATGACACCCAGAAATATTTATTGTTGATTATGCAGCAGCTACTGAGCTAGGACACATATTCCATTTATTTTTTATTTATTTATTTTTGAGACGAAATTTCACTCTTGTCGCCCAGGCTGGAGTACAGTGGCGCAATCTCAGCTCACTGCAACCTCTGCCTCCTGGGTTCAGGTGATTCTCCTGCCTCAGCTTCCCAAGTACCTGGATTACAGGTGCCTGCCACCATGCCCGGCTAATTTTTTGTATTTTTAGTAGAGACGGGGTTTCGCCATGTTGGCCAGGCTGGTCTCGAACTAATAACCTCAGGTAATCTGCCCGCCTTGGCCTCCCAAAGTGCTAGGATTATGTGAGCCACCGCACCTGGCCCACATATTCCATTTAATCATGACTATTATCAGCCCTATTTTATTTTATTTTATTTTATTTTATTTTGAGACAGAGTCTCGCTGTGTCACCCAGGCTAGAGTGCAGGGGTGTGATCTCAGCTCACTGCAACCTCTGCCTCCAAGGTTCGAGTGATTCTCTTGCCTCAGCCTCCCGAGTAGTTGGGATTAAAGGCACATGCCATCATGCCCAACTATTTTTTGTATTTTTAGTAGAGACAGCGTTTCGCCACATTGGCCAGGCTGGTCTCAAACTCTTGACCTCTAGTAATCCACCTGCCTCGGCCTCCCAAAGTACTGAGATTACAGAAATGAGCCACCGTGTCTGGCCAGCATCATTTTAAAGGTGAAGAATTTGAGGCTTAGATTAGTTTAAGTAATTATTTTTTGTCCTATAAAAGTGGTGAAGCTAAGACTCAAACCCCCCATGTCTGACACTTAAGGCAAGCCTCTTCGACAGCAGCCCTCCTGCCAGTCACAAACTAGAAACTCAAGCCCTACGTGAACACAAACATGGGCTGGAAGACAAAGGGAATGTGATGTGTCAGATGAAAAGAATGAGAAGGAGGCCAGGTGTGATGGCTCATGCCTGTGGTCCCAGCTACTTGGGAGGCTGAGGTGGGAGGATTGCTTGAGCCCAGGAGGTGGAGGCTGCAGTGAACCATGTTTGCACCACTGCACTCCAGTCTGGGTAACAAAGTGCGACCCTGTCTCAAAAAACAAAACAAGCTGGGTGTGGTGTCTCTCGCCTGTAATCCCAGCACTTTGGGAGACTGAAGCAGGTGGATCACTTGAGGTCAGGAGTTTGAGACCAGCCTGGCCAACTGGTGAAACCCCGTCTCTACTAAAAATGCAAAAATTAGCTGGGCATGCACTTGTAGTCCCAGCTATATTTGAGAGGCTGAGGAAGGAAGATCGCTTAAACCCAGCAGGCAGAGGTTGCAGTGAGCCAAGATCATGCCACTGTACTCCAGCCTGGGTGACAGAGTGAGACTCTGTCTCAAAACAAACAAACAAGAAAAAACAAACAAAAAAAAATGAGAAGAACTGGCAGGAGAAGTCAGAGATGCTTCTGGAGATTTCGGAAAGTGGGGAACATGCAGTGCTGGTGATGGGGGATACCGGGGTGAAGGTGAAATCCAATGAAATCAGTCAGAAAGGACCTTGGTCCTCAGTAACGAGCAGTGTGGCAGTGACTTAGATGAGGTTAGGAACAGGAACTTGGGGGACATGGAAGGAGTGGGCAGGATTCCAGGGTGACAGGGCAGAGGGCAACTCGATCTGGGAAAGCTGAACCTCAGAGAACTCAAGACATATTTCTAAGACTGAAGAATTATTCAGATTTATTTCACAAGCTGGTTATGCCTCTGAGATGTGCCCATGTACTCAGACTGTGGCGAAGGAGGGAAGGACGACATGGCTGACCGGCATGAGGGGCCCTGCAAGCATTACTTCCTTTAATCCTTCACCAACCCTATGAGGAAGACACCACACATATCCCTAGTTAACAGATGAGAAGGAAGCCCAGAGAAAGGAGACAATTTGCCAAAAGTTACACGGGCGTGAGGAATGGAGCCAAGATTCTGTCTGACTCTAAGAGCCTAAACTAATTTCTCGTGACAGGATCGCGTCAGTGGTTGCCTCTGCTGAAAGAGGCTGACTTGAAAGAGGCACAAGGGGGTCTCTGGAGGGAGAGATGTGTTCTGTGTTCTGATTGAGAGTGACACCAGTGTGCACATCTGATAAACTTACCAATCTATACACTTAAAAGGTATGCATTTTATTTTATTTTATTTTTTATTTTTGAGAGAGTCTCACTTTGTTGCCCAGGCTGGAGTGCAGTGGCGCAATCTCGGCTCACTGCAACCTCCTCCTCCTGGGTTCAAGTGATTCTCTTGCCTCAGCCTCATGAGTAGCTGGGATTACAGGCATGGGCCACCATGCCAGGCTAATTTTTGTATTCTCAGTAGAGACGGGGTTTCGCCATGTTGGCCAGGCTGGTGTCAAACTCCTGACCTCAAGTGGTCCGTCCGCCTCAGTCTCCCAAAGTGCTGAAATTACAGGTGTGAGCCACCACAGCTGGCCAAAAGCTGTGCATTTAAAAAATGTCCTTCTTCCTCTCTAGGCTATAAACCCCATGAAGGTCTAACATAATGCCTAGCACATGGTAGTGGTCAGTGAATAGTGAGTGAACAAGGAACTGTGCACTGTTATCGCTGTATTACTGAGGGCATCAGAGCCTGGCACAGAAGAATCCCTGCAAAGGAAGGACACAGAGCAGAAAAGGGCTCTGTGCTGAGACCCTGAGAAGCTGCCATCTCAGGCCACCGCTTCACAGCAAAGTGGTCATCTTGCTCCTCCCAGTCATGCCCAGTGGTGGGCAGTGGCTCATTGACCCTATCATTTTCTGTTAACTGAGAAGCTACAACTCTGCAAAAGTGAGACATAGCACTGCATACAAAACAATGCTGTTTATCCCATATGACTTTCCTGAACTCCACTGGAAAGGAACTACATTTTTTTTTTCTTTTGAGTCAGTCTTGCTCTGTTGCACAAGCTGGAGCGCAGTGGCGTGATCTTGGTTCACGGCAACCTCCACCTCCCGGGTTCAAGCAATTCTCCTGCCTCAGCCTCCCTAGTAGCTGGGATTGTGGGCATGTGTTACCAGGCCGTGCTAATTTTTGTATTTGTTAGTAGAGATGGGGTTTCGCCATGTTGGCCAGGCTGGTCTCGAACTCCTGATCTCAGGTGATCCGCCTGCCTCGGCCTCCCAAAGTGCTGGGATTACAGGCATGAGCCACCACGCCCGGTTATAACTACATATTTTTAAAACATCACTTCAGGATCTATGTCTTAGGGAAAAAAAAATCACAGAAGGCATTTTCTCATTTGTGTGGATAGTTACTTCACAATTTGCTTCTTTAGTTCCCAAATTATCTTAGCCAAATTAATTAGGAACCTGGCCTCTCTTGGTTCAGGGGGAAAATTCCATGAAATAGACAGTTATGTTGCCATCAGAGGGAAAGACCAAAAAGCAGGATTTTGACATTTTTTTCCTTGCTATGAAAAATAAGAAATTTTGAAAGAGGAAAAAAAGGACATCATGGCCACTAGTTCTTTATTCTGACTCAGATGGTTCTGTTTCTATGTAAATATGCAAAGAAACAGATAAACAGAGAAAAAAGGCCCCGTTAAGTCCACATCCATCAATTCATCACGGCAGGAAACAAGAAAAGAAGCCAGGAGGCTTGAAATCCCTCTGAGACTTGGCACAGGGTAGCATGAAAACTTGAACACTCTCACAGGATTTAATTATTCCCATAAGAAAAAATAAACTTTCCAGAAAAGAGCAAGGATATCTTTTGTTCCTGATTTGTAAGTAGGGCTCAAATTCCTTCAGAGCTTGAAGGCTGAATGGTTTGCTCTGACGAGTGTTTGATTAAACTACCAAAAGTGAGGATTTGGGATTTTTCACTTGGATGACCCTGCTAGATCTAGTCCTGACCTAAGTGAGCAGCTGATGCCAAGAATGAAAATTATTTATTTGATCTTCTCCAAAACAACCCAGGTGAACACGTGACCACTCCAACAAGAATACAAATTCTCTCTGCGGAAGACACGAAAGGTCACGCATCTATGAGCAGTTTGCCAGGGATTTCAGGGTTTAATAGAATATGTCATCTCTTGGGCTCCACCTCATGGGTTTGCATTTTTTGAAATAATACAATAGGAAGCATGTGGGTGTTGGGGGAGATAAATCAGATTTGAATCTAACTCTGACATTTACAAGCTGGGTGACCTTGGGAAATGGATAAGCTGGGTCTCGGTTTCCTCATTTGTAAAGTAAGGCGAACACTACCCACCCAGCTTCAGCAGTTGTTGGAACAGTGAGAGATCATAGGGACACAATGCTAGTGGTCACTAAGTGTATTTCCTGAGCCTTTCTTTGGAAGTATCAGTTCATTGAATCATTTAGTAAATTTGCTTCCAGCACGTACTAAAAGCCAAGAATTGTGCTAGGTATTGAGAATATAGTAGTTAAGACAGACAAGGGCTCTACATTTAGACAGCCGTTGAGAACAGATGGACAAGTAACATATAAATACATATAATCATATTCTAAAAAATATGATGGAGACAATGAGACAGGTGTTACAGACTGAACGTTTGAGTATTCCCAGAATTCATACATTGAGGTTGGGCATGATGGCTTAAGCCTGTAATCTCAACTTTATGGAGATTTTGGTATCCTGAGGTGGGCAGATCACTTGAGGTCAGGAGTTCGAGAACAACCTAGGCAACATGGTGAAACTCCATCTCTACAAAAAGTAAAAAAATTAGCCAGGCATGGTGGCATGATGTGCCTGTGGTCCAAGCTACATTGAAGGCTGACAGGAGGATCGCTTGAGCTCAGGAGGTGGAGGCTGCAGTGAGCCATGTTCAGGCCACTGCACTCCAGACTGGGTGACAAGGTGAAACTCTTTCTTTAAAAAAAAAAAAATTCCATGGCCAGGCATGGTGGCTCACACCTACAATCCCAGCACTTTGGGAGGCTGGGGCACGTGAATCACTTGAGGTCAGGAGTTTGAGACCAGCCTGACCAACATGGTGAAACCCTGTCTCTAATAAAAATACAAAAAAATTAGCTGGGTGTGGTGGTACACACCTGTAATCCCAGCTACTTGGGAGGCTGAGGCAGGAGAATCACTTGAACTCGGGAGGCAGAGGTTGCAGTGAGCTGAGATCGGGCCATTACACTTCAGCCTGGGCAACAAGAGCGAACCTCCATCTCAAAAAAAAAGGAAAAAAAAAAAATTCATACATTGAAATTCTAACCCCCAGTGTGATGGTATTAGAAGGTGGGGCCTTGGAAGGTAATTAGGTCATGAAGGTTGAGCCCAAATGAATGAGATTAGTGCCTTTATAAGCAGAGACTAGAGAACTTGCTCTTGCTCTCTCTGTACTATATCATTGTTGAAAGAGTTATTAAGAAGTTATTTTAGGCAGATAGAGAGGAAAAGGGGTCCTAGGGAAGTTTTTGTTTTTAAAGCAGCTCTTAGAGCCAGGCCAGCAACCTTTAATATGCAAATGGAGGCCATTAGAAACTGGGTCCATACAAACATGGCGATTCCCTGGCCTTCTTGCCCCTGCCCCACATGTTCCTGGCAACATGGCCGCCCCCACCTATCCCAGAGTGTGTAGAACATCAGGGTGCCCTGCATTTGCATATTAAAAGGCTAGGGTGGGAGGGCAAGCTTTTTCGGGCTACGTGAATGACATGCCTCGTCAAACCAATCCCCTGAGCCCTGTGCAAATCAGACACCACCTCCGCCAGCCTACTTATAAAACTGGCTGGTATCCATGGCACCTGGGGTCTCCTCTTTCGGCTTTGGAGCCCCCCTCCCTCTGTCTCTGTACGGGTGAGCATCTATCTTCGGCCTCCTCCCATCTTTCTTGCCTATTAGACTCTCTACTTCTTAAAACCACTCCACGTGTGTCCATGTCGTTTTTTCCAATTTGACTAGAGACAAAGAACCTGGTGTTCCTCCACTCATTGGAGCCATATCATCATTGTTGGGATATAGCAAGATGACCAACTGCAAACCAGAAGGCAGACCCTTACCAAACACCGGGCCTGCCAGCACCTTCATCTTGGACTTCCCAAACAAATGTTTGTCATTTAAGCCATCAATTCTAATCGGCAGCCTAAAATGACTAAGACCACATGGTGATATGAGGAGAAGTGATTGGAGAAAGACGGGAGGAATATCACAGGGTATTCAAGGAAGGTTTCTCTGAAAAATTAACATTTAATCTGAGACTTGAAGGACAACAATGGAACCAGCTATTCAGCCCTAGGCAGGAGAAAACCCAGTGTCTGGGAGGAACAGACAGAAGGCCAGGGAAGGAGATAAAGGTATGATAAGCAGGGCCCGGATTATAAACTTTGTAGACTACAGAAAACATCTGAGTTTATTCCTATTGTGATGGGGAGCCATTAGAGTATTTTGAGTGCCTGAGTCACTTAATTAGATTTTCTTGAGAGGCAGACATAGGCATAATCATGATGTATTACGGAAATGTAAAAATTCTCCCTGACTAAAGCAGAGGATGTCTTCTAGAGGATCATGTAAAATAAGGTTATCATAGATAGTATTGTCCAGAAATGGGTTTAGACTTGATGTGATTAAAAAAAAAAGATTATATCATTCAAGGTTGTGACATGAAACCAACGTTAACGTTTACACAATATTCATTATACTGTAACCTACAGAATAGCTTGGGGGTTGGGCATGGTGGTTTACGCCTGTAATCTCAGCACTTTGGGAGGCCAAGGTGAGCAGATCACTTGAAGTCAGGAGTTTGAGACAAGCCTGGCCAACATGGTGAAACCCTGTCTCTACTAAAAATACAAAATGAGGCATGGTGGCACATGCCTGTAGTCCCAGCTACTCGGGAGGCTCAAGCAGAAGAATCGCTTGAACCCGGGAGGCGGAGGTTGCAGTGAGCCAAGATTGTACCACTGCACTCCAGCTTGGGCAACAGAGTGAGACTCTGTCTAAAAAAAGGGAAAAAAAAATAGCTTGGGGAAGGAACTGGCTTCCCTTTCAAAGTAGCAGCAAAGAGATAAGAGACAGATTTTTTTCCTCCTGGAATGATTTCTTCCTCTAGGATATGAGTATCTGGATGCTGACATTAAATGAGCTCCTGTAGCGAAAGAGCCTTGCACGGCTCAGGGTCAGGTACATAGAAGAGACAGTTCCTTCTCTCGTTTGCTCCTTTCCCCTTTGCATTGAAAGGAAACCAAAAGCCCTGGATATAAAATTCTTCAAGGATGAGTGAAAAGTCATCAAAGGAAAAATGCAGGAAACAACTTCTTGATGTAAATGCATTGCATGGGTTGATGAAACTTTTGATGATTTCCATATTTCATGCTCCATTCTAGAATTGTAGTGCCAAACAAAAGTCCTCCAAGCCCGACGTTTACAGATTTTATTTTTTAAGTAAAAGAACTTTCAAAATAAGAGTAGCTCAAATTCAAAGATGCTTGGTCAAGCCTAGCCAACATGGTGAAACCCCGTTTCTACTAAAAATACACAAAATTAGCTGGGCATAGTGGCACGCCTGTAATCCCAGCTACTCGGGAGGCTGAGGCAGGAGAATCGCTTGAACCCAGGATGTGGAGGTTGCAGTGAGCTGAGATCCCGCCACTGCACGCCAGCTGGGCGACGAGAGTGAAACTCCATCTCAAAAAAAAAAAAAAAAAGTAGTCATAGCAAAAGTGTGAAAATCTCACTGGATGGAGTGGCCACAAAGGCCCAGATGCAGGGCTCTGCCCCCATTCAAAACCTGGGGAAAATGAGAACCCTGACTAAAGGGAGAGCCTGACATTCAGTGCAGGAAGGGACACTGAGGCACTTTACACTATCCTAGGTCAGCTCTGGACAGTCAGAGATGCCAAAAGGAGGCATGTGGTCAGAATGCTGGAAAATTTCCACCACTCAGACCTAGCAGGTTAATCAGTGCCCAAGTGGGCGGATCCTTCCCACAGGGCACCCCAGGACCCTCTTGACGACTACACACCCCAAACTCTGCAGTTTTCTGAGTTGAAGATAGCAGCAATGACAGCTTGCTGGGAACAAGCCTTTACGAATAGATTATACAAATGGCTTCTTTGTAAGTGAAATTATTCTATGACAAATGGTAAAATAGGAAATAATTGAGTCAGTATTTTCGGTAAGAAAATAATGTACAAAATAATTTCTAATGAATATAAGCAGCTAAACTATACGGAAGGACATGGTATTTGCTATCATTGTAATTTAACCAACAAACAGTAATACTAAAAATGTATATCTCTGTATAGTCATGCACTGCATAATGATGTTTCAGTCAACTATGAACTGCATATGTGATGGTGGTCCCATCATCTTTTTTTTTTTTTTTCTTTTTGAGACAGTCTCGCTCTGTCACCCAGGCTGGAGTGCAATGGTGCAATCTTGGCTCACTACAACCTCTGCCTCCCGGGTTCATGTGATTCTTCTGCCTCAGTCTCTTGAGTAGCTGGGACTATAGGCACCCACCAGCATGCTTGACTAATTTTTGTATTTTTAGTAGACACTGGGTTTCAGCATGTTGACCAGGTAGATCTCAATCTCCTGACCTTGGGTGATCTTCCCACCTCAGCCTCCCAGCGTGCTGGGATTACAGGCATGAGCCACTGAGCCTGGCCTCCCATCATCTTATAAGATTGTAATAAAGCTAAAAAATTCGGCTGGGCGTGGTGGCTCACGCTTGTAATCCCAGCACTTTGGGAGGCCGAGGCAGGCGGATCACGAGGTCAAGAAATCGAAACTATCTTGGCCAAAATGGTGAAACCCTGTCTCTACTAAAAATACAAAAATTAGCTGGGCATGGTGGTGCGTGCCTGTAGTCCCAGCTACTTGGGAGACTGAGGCAGGAGAATTGCTTGAACCTGGGAAGTGGAGGTTGCAATGAGCAGAGATCGCACCATTGCACTCCAGCCTGGGCAACAAAGCCAGACTCTGTCTCAAAAAAACAAAAACAAAAACAAAAACAAAGAATGCTTTAAAAAAAAAATTCCCATTGCCCAGTGACATCACAGTTGTCATAATATTATAGCTCAATTCATTATTTTTTCTATGTTTAGACACACAAATACCATTGTGTTACAATTGCCTACAGTATTCAGTACAGTAACATGCTGTACAGTGTTTATAGCCTAGGAGCAATAGGCTATATCTAGGTATGTGGTAGGCTATACCACCCAGGTTTGTGTAAGTACACTCCATGATGGTCACACAATGACAAAATTGCCTTAAAACCCATTTCACAGAACATAACCCTGTCATTAAGTGGTGTATGACTTTATATCAATTCCAATACTGTTTGGCCAAAAATCTTAGAAGGGTTTTAGGGCTATATCTTAACAACAACACTGATAAAGATTCCTTTTGCATGTTTCTCTTAAATGATAAAATGTTATGTTAAACAATTTAAACAAGGTTTTTTTTTCCTCCTGCCAGGTTTGTCAGAGTTTTCAATATGCTAATGTGCTTTGTAAATTTCTAAGAGGGGGATAAAGTATGTGGCAGTTTAAAACTGCTTTGATCAGAGAACCTCAGGACAGATGTTTTGCTGGACCAGGGAGCTGTGTAATAATACAGTGATGGAAAGGCTGCTCTAATGAACTCTGTAAAGCTCTATAACATAAGAAAACCACTGTGTACCTCTGAAGAAACTAAACATATAAACCATATGAAGTATTAGCTTATGAAATTGAAAAAATATATCAGGTAAAACATCGATCAGGGAATATACGTTAAAGAGTTAGTTAATGAGTTGACAATGCCCAGAACGGTTATGTATGTACATCAACAAAGATAAACTAAATCAATTAATTTCACTGTACATTTGGCTAAGCAAAACAAGGTCTTTAGTTGCAATGTAAATAAATTCATTGCTTTCCTCAAAAGAAATGCTCTTTAAGCCAAAGCATCATGCGAGTGAGTGCACACTCAGAACTGAAGCATTGTGCCAAAAAAAATTTATACCAGGTACTTTATTGTGGAAATAAAATATAAAATCCTTCCCCAGCCAAGAGTTCCATTAGAAAATGAAAAATTCAGCCTTGGCATGGACACAAATGCTTGCTTTTTTATGATCCTGGCCAACATTCCTACTCTGAGTTGCTTTGGTGCTGTGCCTGCTGCAGTCCTGGGAAGGTAGAAGGGCTCTGCCATGCACCGCCTTCGCAAGCAGGGCTTCCATGGCTGCCCCAGAGCACAGGACCCCAGGGCCTGTGCCTCCCTGACATGAGTGAGGTGTTCAAATCAAAAGGTGGAAGCAGCCCCTAATCATACCAGCGCTGATTACCTGGGCAAGCAGTAAATGTGCTCTTTGCTTCCTTGAGCCATTTTCTGTTGCCCACTTATTTTTTCCAGCATGCAAACCAATGCCAGAGAGCTCATGCTGGAAATCAGAGAGGTGGCGATCCCAATCATGCTTATTGCTACTCTAGGAAAAGACTGATGGAAGAGGATGAAAGTATTGAATAAATGAACAGGGGAATGATCTTTAGCTTTTAAGCCTTCTGCATCCTCTTATGGTTTTGGATAATCAAGACAGAAATACCCTTTTGTGAAACATTTCACAGACAATAGAACAAAGCTGTGCTATATAAAGGTATTTCAAAGCAGAAAACCTCAACATCCTCTTAAATAAAAACAATGTAAATAGTATATATACACACACAAGAAGTCTAGAAGAATATAAATCAAAATGTTAATGGCTAGGTTTTATAGGATGCCAATTACACACTTCAAATAAAGCTGCTTAAAAAATGTTAACAGTAGTCATCTCTGAGTTAGGGAAGATTAGAAGTAATTTTAATTTTTTTCCTGCTTGCATATATTTTCCAAATTTTCTTGACTGTATATGTGTGTTTTTTTCTTCTTTTTTTTTTTTTTGAGACAGAGTCTTGCACTCTGTCACCCAGGTTGGGGTACATTGGTGCGATCTCAGCCCACTGCAACCTCTGCCTCCCAGGCTCAAGCAATTCTCCTGCCTCAGCCTCCTGATCAGCTGGGACTACAGGAATGAGCCACTACGCCTGGCTAATTTTTTGTATCTTTAGTAGAGACCGGGTTTCACCATGTTGGTCAGGCTGGTCTTGAACTCCTGACCTAAAGTGATCCACCCGCCTCAGCCTCCCAAGATGCTGGAATTACAGGCATGAGCCACCATACCTGGCACGTATATGTATCATTTTAGTACTAAAAAATATGTAACAGTTATTTTCAAAAATCTTCCATAATTCATTCATTAATGAATTGTTGTTTGTGTAGCTCTTTGTACTTTATCAAGGTTTCCACACATTTAATCCATAAAACAACGGGAAATAGTATGATTGTCATTTCAGAGAGGAGAAAACAGACTCTGAGATGCTATAAAACTTGTTCAAAGTCAACGAGCTAGTAGCTAACAGGACCGAGATCTAGATCTCCAGATCTCTGCCAAAGTTCATGGTTTTTGTTTTCTTTTTCTCAGTATTGGCTATGTCGTATGGTCTATTATGTGCTACCGGTTACATAAACCCCACAGGAATACACCTTGCATAGAATAGAAGCATTGGAGTTCTTACACAAAGATTTAAGCAAAGGGAAATACATAATTTTTCAAATTCAGTATTGGTTGAGGGGAAACATGTAAAACACCAGGGGAGGTTTGGAGACCAAACCTCCAAACACCAGGGAGGTAGTAAAACTTGCTCTCCTGGTTCCTATATCATATGTGCTTGGCTTCATTTTAACCCCATTCAGAAAGGGAAAAGGAAATTTGACAAAAATGAAGCCAAAACGCTTAGGGAGAAAAAGTACACATGGCACCAAATAATGAAATTAAGCTAGAGGTATTTAGACACTGCTAAATGTTGTTTTGTTGTTGTTGTTGTTGTTTTGTTTTGTTTTGTTTTAGAGACAGAGTCTCGCTTTGTCACCCAGGCTGGAGTGCAGTGGTGCGATCTTGGCTCACTACAACTTCTGCCTCCTGGGTTCAAGCGATTCTCCTGCCTCAGCCTCCTGAGTAGCTGGGATTACAGGTGTGTGCCACCACGCCCGGCTAATTTTTGTATTTTTAGTAGGGATAGGGTTTCGCCACGGTGGCCAGGCTAGTCTTGAACTCCTGACCTCAAGTGATATGTCTGCCTTGGCCTCTGAATGTGCTGGAATTACAGGTGTGAGCCACCGCGCCTGGCTAGACACTTCTAAATGTTTATTAGAGGAGAGGGAAGACCCAGGGAAAGGTTAAAGACTTTGGAGAACAAGAAAGAGAGGGCAGAAATAGAAAAGGACACAAAATAAGATGGGTTTGGATCCCTAGTAAGAATCATGGCCAATTTAGCATGAAGAACCCAAGACAGATATAAAAGAGGGTGAGAAAGACCCGTTAGTACCTTCATTCCTGCTGCGGCTGCAGGGCCACTGGGGTCTACAGCCTGGATGTGGCATGGCTTACTTCCTCGCACCACAAAACCCCAGCCAACCGCGTCACCAACAATCTAGAGAGGAAAACCACAATTAGCAAGCAGCCGACTGTCTCCGGCAATTTGCTTATTCTTCTGAGGGAGAGAAAACCAGCCCAGGATTAAGTATACACTGTGACATATTTTCCTCCGTTTCTCTCTTCCCTGCCAGGGGATTGGAACACTGCTTCTATCACAAACCCGGGCATCTCCCTGTAGAAAAGGTGGTAAAAAAAATCTAACCTGTTTGGCAGAAAGAAGATGCTCCCATGAGGGCATGATTCAATAAACAACTGGAAGATTTTCTCTTTCTTAGGCTGTTATACAATTTAATGTCAGACTCCAATAGAAGGTTTAGAAAAAGTCGTAACGTGGTTGAAATGTCTCTCCAGATACAATTTCTGCTCTAAGTTTGTTCTTTTCCCCAGTATCCAAATGATACACTCTTGATCCTGCAACGTCATTGAAGTCTAGCATAATTATTGAAATTACTAATGGTGGGAAATAAAGAGACCTGGCTTTTTTTTTTTTTTTTTTGAGACAGAGTCTTGCTCTGTCACCCAGGCTGGAGTGCAGTAGTGCAATCTCAGCTCACTGCAACCCCACCTCCCGGGTTCAAGCGATTCTCCTGCCTCAGCCTCCTGAGTAACTGGGATTACAGGCATGCAACACCATGCCTGGCTAATTTTGTGTATTTTTAGTAGAGACAGGGTTTCACCATGATGGTCAGGCTGGTCTCGAACTCCTGAGCTCAGGTGATCCACCTGCCTCAGCCTCCAAAGTGCTGGGATTACAGGCGTGAGCCACCATGCCCAGCCTCCACCAAGGGAGCCCTCCACCAAGGGCTCCACCATGCCCCTTTCTCCACCAAGGGGGGAAAAGAAGTGAAAAAGTACATAAAGTTCACAATGTACAAGTAGACTCTAATCCAAAAGTTGTTTGGAATTAGAGAAGGCCTTTTCTATAGAAATCATTATTAGAGCTGGCAGTTTAATTCCCTGGACAGCTCCTAGCCACATCTTTCACACATATCCCAACCAAAACACAGCTGAAACACATTCACAATCAATTACTAACAATGTTGGCATTTAAATTAAAAATCAAAAATAAATACTTTCAAAATAACAATCTACCTCTCTTGAATGCTGGAGACTGAGGAAAAACAGGGAGGCAAATGAAAATTTTTGTGGAAATGCTCAAGATTTTCAGGCACTTCCGTTACTTTACAGTTTGCTGTTATTTGTATATTATACTCAATTTCACTTCCGAAGGTGGAGTTTATCTTTTCCTCTGGTACAGACATGTTGTCAGCGCCTTTCTCCTATTAACTCCTCAGCATTCAGAATGTGAAATAGCCCTCAGCAAATGTTTGCAGCATGACTGAGTGTGGATAGAATTCTCCCCCAGCCTGAGGCAATGCCACTAAAGTTAGAAGATGAAGGAGGAGAAGTGTTTTGAAGAGGGTATGAACGTGAATTTGAGGAGATTGACAGAAGGAGACACAGGAAGGGGAGTGGGTGCGGTGATGCTGAAAAGAGCACTTTCATTCCATTTGAAGAAATCCAACGTAGGCATTAGGAACCTAAAGGACCTCCAAGAAGGGGCAGGTGGTCCGGAGCTGCTCACAGCAAGTCAGAGGCTCGTGTACCTCAAGGCATGCACACATTGTCGAAGCACCCTGCCTACGGTAGAAAAGTTTATCCCACAGTTTCCTTTCTCTAGCTTAACACTCCCCTAATGTTTTAAATAATTTCTAGAATTAATCCTAATGCAGAAGGGATTATTGGCATCATTTGCACTTCCATTTGCCATAAAATCTAATAATAATTTAAATGACTAATGGTGGGAAATAAAATCTAAAATTATTAGATTTTAAGGTAAATGCAAGTGCAAATGATGCCAATCTTGAAATTTGCAATTAAATTAGAATAAATGCATAATGGAAATCTTTTCTTTAACAAAGAACACATCAAAAAATTTTTAAATGGTATATTAATAATAACGCATGTGAAGTCCTAATGCACCTTAGTGCCTTGAGGTCAAGAAAGCCTAGTATCATAATTACGCTAAAAACAAAAAGAAAATTAGAAAAGTAGTTTTCATTTCAGTCTATAAGCTACCCATTGACACATGGACACGGTGCAGAAAAATGGGCAGCACGGGAGAAAAAGGCCAGACCATCAGCCTACCGTGAATGTCTTCCTTGCATACGGAGCCCCGGGAGTAAGGAGTTCCTCAGAGGTGACAGGTCTCTTCAGCACTGGCAGACAAACACAATGTCAAGACATAAGCACTTCCAAGTCCTCTATCCATGCATTCAGCAGCTATTTATTGATATCTCGTAGGTGACCATCAGTGAGAAAAAGTGGCAAAGATCCCTGCCTCACAGTTTATATTTTAGCTGAATGGAGACAGTAAATAGCAGCAAACATAAATAACCCTAAACCTACCTTACAAAGCTAAGGAAAAAAAGAAAGAGAAGGAAAGCAAGAGTGCCAGGGGTGGGGATAAGGGGGCAGGTCAATTTTTTTTTTTTTTTAAAGACGGAGTTTTGCCCTTGTCACCCAGGATGGAGTGCAATGATGCGATCTCGGCTCACTGCAACCTCCGCCTCCTGGGTTCAAGCAATTCTCCTGCCTCAGCCTCCTGAGTAGCTGGGATTACAGGCACCCAACACCATATCTGGCTAATTTTTGTATTTTTAATAGAGACAGGGTTTCACCATGTTGGCCAGGCTGGTCTTGAACTCGTGACCTCAGGCAATCTGCCTGCCTCAGCCTCCCAAAGTGCTGGGATTACACGCATGAGCCGCCCAGCCTCACTTCCTTCTTAACACCTAGGACTGCATGTACCCACTGCTTTCTGCCATGAGTAATAATGCTAGTGAACTTTTCTGAGTACTCAACATATGCTAGAGAGGCACCATGTGAGGTGAATATATTAACTCACTTAATCATCACAAGAATGAATGAGTTAGGATCATTGTTATCCCCATTTTATAACTGCAAAAACAACCTTAGAAAAGTTAAATTGATTGTGTCCAAGGTCCCAGAGCGAATGGGTGGCAGAAGTAGAATCAAACTCAGGCATTAGACACCAGCACCCACACTCTCAGCTACTGTGCCACATTTACTCTGGGCCATGCTGTCCTGCAAGCAAAAGAAAGGGTCTAGAAGCTCAGGAAGATAGTGGCATGCTGTCCTCCTGAGACACCCGTTCACATCAGCTCACTGCTGTTGCCCACCAAGATGGCAGACAGCAGCCAATTCCTGACTTGCGGCTGCCTAAAACCCACCGATAATGAACCCCCCCATCCATCCTGTGCTCACTAAGAACTGGAGAGGGGCTGTCGTATCCTCCCCAAGTAGCCAGGGGGTCAGGGGACAGAGACCATTCTAATCCAGCTCTGCAGACATTGTGAACTTGAAGTGCCACAGAGAAACAGAAAAGGCCCCAGCCAAGGGGCCTAACCTGGTGAGGTGGCATCCTCCGATCCCCTTTGCTAGTGACAGTCAGAGGCCAGGTACCAGTCCTGGAAAGAGTGTGCAGCAGACAAGGAAAGGCAGCGTGGGGCAAGGCGTGATGATCTACCAGGCAGCTGGACCTCGCCCACTGGTTACATGAACGGCCTTCTGGCCTGAGAAGCACCCTCTCAGTGAAAGGCAATCCAGTGCTTCTTGTTGAGGTGACAGGTTGCTGATCTTATCACCTTTGCTTTCAGAAATCTCATAAAAGCAAAAATTAATTTATGTTCGCCAAACAAGAGGGAGTAGGTCAAATATCAAGATGGAAACAGAATCTCTCAGCAGATGGATGGGAGGTAAGAAAAGTGGTCAGTATTTGAGGACTGAGATCTTTTTTATTCCCTGTCAGGTAACTCTCTCTCCACTCCCCATAAACCCTCAGGGGGCTTATGAATTTGGATACATGAATCACACTGTACTATTTGGCAGCAGAGCTGACCATTCATTTTAATGCACTTCTCTTTATTATGTTGAAAAATATAGAAACTTTGAGGCCTAGGGAAAACTTTTTTCTTTTCATATCCTTGGAAGCTTATTTGCTTATCACAATGATACTGATAACATCAATATCTTTAGTACTGTTTTTTGTGTCTGGCTTAGGGCATTTATATACAGTACTAAAAAAACATATCCTGGTGTATTTCAGATAATTAATTTTTAAATGCATCACTGTGAAGGCCTGATCATCTGCTTGAGAAAAAAAAATCACAGATGAACTCACTGGGTCTTGGGAATCCTCTTAAGAGTGAGAGAGAAGCTTGTCAAACTATGGGTAAGAAGTGGAATTTACAAACCACAACTCAGTCCTGACAGCTCTTGTCCTTGGGGACCCACGAAAGGAAACGAGACCTTTTTCTTCTGCCTGCATAACAGTAAACTCTTCCCTTTGACCCAGAGGCAAGGAGAAAGAGGAAACATGCTAACCTACCTCAGGGAACATGGATTTTGTTGCTAATTTCAGTAATTAACACTTTTTTCATACTCCATCATAAGCAATCAAAAACTTGTAAAATGGTTATGGCACCACTGACCCTTTTATTGAAACTGAGATCTTTTGCTTTTAACTTTGAGGATGCCTGTCAGATTTCTACAAAGGCTTCAAACATCCCATTTCTAAGAATTCAGTTCTCCTTTTTCATTCTACTTTAGCAGCAAGCTCCAGTAATTGAAAAACCCAGTACTCAACGACTCTTCAGCCAGGACAGTATGGAAGCAAGCTTCTTCATTCACTTACAGGTTACATTTATTCCTGCTGCTAACACTCCAGAAGGCAGCAAAAAAAGAAAAAAAGTTAGATCAGGAAAAAGAGCCACCTTCCTAGATAATACCATTAGATGACAGAGTTTTCTCTCAAAGCCTTTTGAACTGCATCAATTAGTGCTTATTCTTACTAACATGAAATGTTTTGTTTTTTTCTCCAAAGAGGTGGTGTTTTCATTGAGTTGGGGGTTATGACCTGTCATCTTTGTATCCCCAAGATCTGATGATGAGGAAACAACATGAACAAAAGGAACAGAGCCTCTTCCTCGAAGGTGACAAACTGAACTGGGGGTGGACAGTGCCTTAAACAAATGGGTTTGAGAGTGTTCTCTGGCGGTTACTGTAGTGATGGACCACACATCCTCATCCTGGCAAGTGAGGACATTAGGTGGGTAAGGGATGGTGAGAAAGGGTAGTTTCAATGGATTACCAGTTCCTGGGTGGTTGATGAACTGATTGGGTGGAGGAAGGATTGTTTCTAAGTACATGTTCACCAACAATTTTGTGCCTAGATTTTTTTCCTGGAATATAAAGGCCATGGAGGTTGATGAGCAGATTTTGAAACCACAAGACACCCAGGGTCAATTCCAGGGATAGCTGGGTTTGCACACATCCATGCTTCTTCCTTAAGGGTGTTGGGCCCCAACAGATCTTATGCATCGGCTGCATTCTGGGGAAGTGCTGTTTCCCCTGCTGTGAGCACTGTCACATACTGCCCAAAACACCCTTCAGGGCTCAGGGACTTCTCCCAGCTCCGAGAGTGCTAATGGTGACAGCCCTCAGCTGTCTTGGAGACCATCTCTCTGAAGACACCTGCTTTGCCCAAGGTCATGCCCTCCTCCCAGGGGCAGCCAATACCTAATAAGTGGCCAACATGTGGATCTAAAGGCCCAGCCCCCTCAACACAACTCCAGGCAACTTGGAAGGGCCATCCCAGCTCCAGAGGTCTTACTGGGTCAATGATAGCCTTCATTGAGACTGGGCTACAACCCAATTTCTCCTTCAGCCCAATTCTTCCTTCCCTTCCATTCAACACGTGTGGACCCCAAGAGCATGCTCTAACTTATTAGAACCCACACACTAGTCTCCCGCTATCTCAGATTCTGCTTCCCAGGGACCTGCCCAAGTCCCCACAGTCTTAGGAGCGGGGCCACCTTTTGGGCACTCACCGGACTTGGGGTTGCAGAGCACAGGGGGGCTGCTGCTGAGGGTGGGGCTGCTGCTGAAGTAGCCGCTGCTGCCACAGCTGCTCATGCTGCTTCTCCTCACTGCAGACACGATCTTGATCTCCTTGCTGGGGCTCACTGTGTAGGCCAGAGAACACACACAGTCACCAAGGGGGTGGTCTCGGCTCACTAGAGCACATAGGCTTTCAACTGCAAGGTCCAGAGGGGCCAGGAGAAAGCACACTGGTCTTAGTGGCAGAAAAACAAGAACTTGAGTTGCAGCTCTGCCACTTACTTTATATTATATATATATATATATATATTTTTTTTTTTTTTTTGAGATGGAGTCTTGCCCTGTTGCACAGGCTGGAGTACGTGACACAACCTGGGCTCACTGCAACCTCTGCCTCCTGGGTTCATGCGATTCTCTTGCCTCAGCCTCCTGAGTAGCTGGGACCATAGGTGTCCGCCACCACGCCCGGCTAAATTTTGTACTTTTAGTAGAGATTTGTTCTCTGTCACCCCTGATAACGGGTGGATAACCAGTCACTTTTTTGTGGTTACTGGTGTAAATGCCCACAGAAATAATCTTCTTATTCATCTTTGAAATGGATAGCTTTGCAAAGTTGTGATTTACAAAACTGAATAATTAAATGATATATAAAAACTACTTGTAAGGCCGGGCGCAGTGGTTCACACCTGTAATCCCAGCACTTTGGGATGCCAAGGCAGGAGAATCACGAGGTCAGGAGTTTGAGACCAGCCTGGCCAACATAGTGAAACCCTATCTCTACTAAAAATACAAAAATGAGCCAGGCATGGTGACACGTGCCTGTAGTCCCAGCTACTTGGGAGGCTGAGGCAGGAGAGTCTCTTGAACCCGGGAGACAGAAGTTGTGGTGAGCCAAGATTGCACCACTGCACTCTAGCCTGGGCAACAGAGCGAGACTCTGTCTAAACAAATAAACAAACAAAAACTTGTATTTATTTATTTATTTTTAAATTTTTTGGACAGATGAGGTCTTGCTATATTGCTCAGCCTAGTCTCAAACTCCTGATCTCAAGTGATTCTCCCACCTCAGCCTCCCAAGTAGCTGAGATTACAGATGTGTGCCACCATGCCAGGCAAGAATGGCTTGTAAATGAAAAGTAAATGAGGTTTGAGTGAGAGCCTAGAGGACTTCTATAATTCAAATACATAATTTTATAAAACAGAGTCCTGGCATCTAAGTTGGCTGTGCAAGAAAAACTTAGGGTTTCAGAATTTTTTTCATGCTTCTTGGTTATGAATAAGTAAAAATTCTACGCTCTGATAGAGAACAGAATTTCACAAAGGTGAGTCATGGCTCCACTATTTCTCAAAAGACAAACACTTGAGCTCCAATAAATGCCGGGATGGCATACCTGACATAAAGCTGGTAGATTTCCGATTGTCATGGCTCTGCTTCCTCAGGCAGAAGGGACTGTCATGAGTTTCCTGGGAGGAGGGGGACTTTTCATTGAGCAGCTCCATCAGTCTTCGCCTCCGCCGGAAGTTCATTCTGAACTGGTAGAGAAGATTGCTGTCCACAAATGGGTGCTTGTTGGACACTGGGGAGAAAAAAAAAAACAACCAATGAGGACTATCTGGCATCCTGGCCACTGAGCGCTACAGCCAAAGGACTGCAGGCAACAGCGGCAAAAGTCTCAAGAAAGACTTCTCTTCCACAGATGCCACATGAGCTGCCGCCCATCCGCCCATGGTTCCAAGTTCTTTCCACGTGACATGCACTTTAAAAATTTGCTAACCAATTCCTCTGGGGAACTTTGCCTGACCTTGCTTTCAATCTGAGTTCTATTCTTCCTAGTGTTCTCCTGGCTCCTGTGCTGCTTCCACCAAAGCACTGATAACACTGCACCCTCACTGTCTGCCCCTTCTCTTTCCCTCTAAACTCTAAGCTTGTTGGGGCAGTGATCATGGCTTCACTTACTCATGTGTCCCCATTGCCCAGCAGAGAGCTTGTCTCATAGCCACACTCGATCCTTTTTCTTTTTTTTTGAGATGGTGTCTCGCTCTGTCACCCAGGCTGGAGTGCAATGGCATGATCTCGGCTCACTGCAACCTCCGCCTCCCAGGTTCAAGCGATTCTCCTGTCTCAGCCTCCCGAGTAGCTGGGATTACAGGTGCCCACCACCACACCTGGCTAATTTTTGTATTTTCGTAGAGACGGGGTTGCACCATGTTGGCCAGGCTGGTCTCGAACTCCTGACCTCAACTGATCCACTCTCCTCAGCCTCCCAAAGTGCTGGGATTACAGGTGTGAGCCACCACACCCAGCCCCTCAATTCATTTTTAAAAACTTTTTATTTTGAGGCCAGGTGCGGTGGCTCAAGCTTGTAATCCCAGCACTTTGGGAAGCCAGGATGGATGGATCACTTGAGGTCAGGAGTTTGACACCAGCCTGGCCAACATGGTGAATCCTCGTCTCTACTAAAAATACAATAATTCGCCAGGTGTGGTGGCATACACCTGTAATCCCAGCTATTTGGGAGGCTGAGGCATAAGAATCACTTGAACCCGGGAGGCAGACATTGCAGTTAGCTGAGATTGCACCACTGCACTCCAGCCTGGGCAACAGGGCAAGACTCTGTCTCAGAAAAAACCAAAATAACTTCTTATTTTGAAATAATTATAGACTTACAGAGAGTTGCAAAGAAAATGCAGAGACCACACACTGTATGATTCCATTCATATGGAATGTCCAAAACAAAGACACTTCTAGAGACAGAAGTATACTGGTGGTTGCCAGGGGCTGGAGGGGGGCCTTGGGGTTGGTTTGGGAGGGGTATTAGCTACAGCACACAATTTCTTTTTGAGGTGATGAAAATGTTCTAAAATTGCCTGTTGTGATGATTACAAAACTCTGTAAATATGCTAAGAACCACTCAATTGTACACTTTAATGAATTGCTTGGTATGTGAACTATATCTTCATAAAGCTGTTAAAAAAAATCGGCAAAGAGTACAGAGAGTTCCTGGGTACCCTTCACCCAGATTTTCCCAATGGTAACCCCTTACATAAATAACTATAGTATAATATCAAACCAGAATGTTGACATCGGTACAGTCTACGGCCCTTATTCAGATGTCACCAGCTTTTACATGCACTGATTTGTGTGTGTGAGTGTGCATGTGTGTGCAGGAGCACATATAGTTCAGTGCGGTTTTATCACACGTAGAGATTTCTGTAACCACCACAACAATCATGGCAGAAGAACTCTCTCCCTGTGTTTCCCCTCTATGGCCTCCTTCACTGAATTCCTGATGCCTGGCAACCACCTTTGCTCTCCATCTCTACAATGTTATCACTTTGAGAACATTATGTAAGTGGAATCATACTATCTGTTGCCATTTATGTTTGCTGTTTAATACATAAATAAATGGTTACCCAATAATAAAGCCTGCTTAGTCCCTAAGGAAATCTATACTTTATTTATTTACTAATTTATTTAGAGATAGAGACTCACTCTGTTGCCCAGGCTGGAGTGCAGTGGCACGATCATAGCTCACTGTAGCCTCGAACTCCTGGGCTCAAGTGATCCTCCTGCCTCAGCCTCCCAAGTAGCTAGGACTGCAGGCACACACCACTGTGCCCAGCCAAAATCCACACTTTAGAGTGATATAAACATGCCAGTGTGTCAACTTGAAGTCAGTAATAACAAGAGCTAGCCCTCATACAGCATGTCCTATAAACCCAGCATGACCTTAAGTAAGTGTCTTATATGTTCTAATTCCTTTAATTATCACAACAGCTTGGGATATAGGTACCATTATTTTATTTCCTTTTTTTTTCTTTTTTTTTTGAGACAGAATTTCACTCTTGTTTTCCAGGCTGGAGTGCAATGGCACAATCTCGGCTCACCGCAACCTCCACCGAGTCTCGGGTTCAAGCGATTCTCCTGCCTCAGGCTCCGAAGTAGCTGGGATTACAGGCATGCGCCACCACACCCATACCTGGCTAATTTTGTATTTTTAGTAGAGACGGGGTTTCTCCATGTTGGCCAGGCTGGTTTCAAACTCCCAACCTCAGGTGATCTGCCCACCTCGACCTCCCAAAGTGCTGGGATTACAGACACGAGCCTCCGTGCCCGGCCTATTTTATTTCTTCTTCTTCTTTTTTTTTTTTTTTCCTATTTTTGATGAGGGAACTGAAGTCCAAAGGTATTAGGAAGTCACCCAAAGAAGACATAGTAAATGGCAGAGGTAGAAATATAATACAGTATCTGATTCCAGAGTCCAAGTTCCAAACCACTGCTCTTACTGCTTCTGTGAGAAACAATTCCTTCTCCAGATCATCATAAAAATCAAAACCATGTCCCATAAAACTGCTCATGTATGACTATTAGTCTGGACGTACATCCAATTCTATACCATTTATATCTTAGAAATCCATTGAGATTTATTTATTGCCTCAATTTTATACTTTGAGTTCATGATTCTTGGAGCTATAGTGCAGGTTGTACATCAGGCCCCAAAAGCCATGTTCCTGGATCATTTCTGTCTGTAGAGTCATCAGGGACTCTGCAAACTGGTCACCATCATGCGGAAGTCTCATGCAACTTTCCCCCAGAAGCAAAAAACTTGAATAGATGACACAAAAACAGAAGACACACAAATATCTAATTAGCACATGAAAAGAGGCTCAACCTCATTAGTCAATATGGAAATACACATTAAAACCCCACAATGAGGCCAGGTGCGGTGGCTCATGCCTGTAATTCCAGCACTTTGGGAGGCCAAGGCAGGTGAATCACTTGAGGTCAGGAGTTGGAGACCAGCCTGGCCAAGATGTTGAAACCCAGCCTCTGCTAAAAATACAAAAATTAGCCAGGCATGGTGCATGTCTTTAGTCCCAACTACTCAGGAGGCTGAGCTGGGAGGATCGCTTGAGCCTGGGAGGTGGAGGTTGCAGTGAGCCAAGATCACTCCATTGCACTCCAGCCTGGGTGACAGAGCAAGACTCCACTATTTTTTTGTTGTTTGATCATCCATCCATTTATTCAACTACCATGTATTGAGTTAGGTTGACTATATACCAGGTACTTTTCTTGCCCAGTGTTTTAGGAAAAGATGGTAAAAACAGAAGTTAAACAAAAAATTCAATCCTGGCAACTTTTTTTGGATTGTAAAATTCAAAATGTTATAAACCACTAGGAAAATAATCTAGATAATAAAAACCCATTAAGAATCATATTAACGCATTTATCAATCATGCTAACTGGTTCAACAGTCTCTTTTCTATTTCACAAACAGCATCACATCCTCTCTAGGTCAACATCAACACATGCAATCTAGGGTTGTAACTATATTTATTATCTACATATGTTAATAAACAATTATTCTGGTCACATAAATATCAAGTCTCACAACCTGGGTCCCTACTAAGAGAGCACCAGTGCCAGCATTTAATCTAATAATCCATATGGGTATTCCACAGTTTTTAAATGGTGATATTCACTTTGGCCAAATGAATAAAGTTGGCCTCAAAGACAAGTATAGTTAATTCAGTGGTATTTCTACATGTTCTTAATAAATAATCTGGACAGGTGTGGTGGCTCACACCTGTAATGCCAGCACATTGGGAGACCAAGGTGGGAGGATAGCATGAGGCCAGGAGTTCAAGACAAGCCTGGGCAACATATTCTGTCTCCAAAAATAAAATGAAATTAAAATATTAGCCAGGCATGGTGGAGCATGCCTATAGTCCCAGCTACTCAGGAGACTGAGGCAGGAGGATCGCTTGATCCCAGGAGGTTGAGGCTGCACTGAGCCGTGATCACACCATTACATTCCAGCCTGGGCAACAGAGTGAGATCCTGTCTCAATCAACCAGTCATCAGTGAATGCTCATGCATGTAATCCCTGCACTTTGGGAGGCTGAAATGGGAGGATCGCTTGAGGCCAGGCATTCAAGACCAGCTTGGGAAACATAGTGAGACTCTGTCTCAAAAAATAAAATATAAAATATAATAAAATCATAAATAAACCAACCATTCTTGGATTCAGGAGAGGCTCACCTAATGCAACCTGGACCAAAAAATAAGTCAATCACACTTTGATATGATAGCTACCAATGTGGCTCTCTTGTGGATAGTCAAATTTTTACATAAATTCACTACATCGCTATACTCAGTAATGCTATAATAAAATTTTGTAGGTAAGTTATTTCTGGCAACCTTCTGAGTTTATTGAGATTTTTAAAAAATCCTCAAGTTGGCTTTGGCAACAGTATCTTAAAATTATAACCTGCAAATATATAGCCCTGTATACATTTATTAAGACCTACTGTTTTCTCTTTGCACAGTGAATTACATAAAATATTGGCTCTGTATAAATAAATCCAGAAAAGCATTCTAAATCCAAAAAAAATCTATAGCAGACTTCAAAGTACTTTGAGATTATTTTTAAATGAAATAGAAATTTGACTGCTGACCTAATTATGTATCTCCTCCAGCTTTAATTACTGACCCAGTGTTTAGTTTACATCCAGTCTCCAGCTTATACCTCCCCACCTCTATACCACCTATAACCAACAGGGCAAACATACTATCTAAGATCAAATACAAAAGTCAACTTTATATAGTCCTTCTTCATCACATTCTCTCCCCAATAGAACAGGTGACCTCAAACATGAGGAAGTCAGGTAACATGAGGGCCAGATGAGATAGTCAACTATAAGTGTTCAGCATAATGCCAAATACATTGTAAGTACTCAATAAATTATACATTTATTATTTTACAACCACTGTTGTTTTTTACTGTTATCATCACCTATTGATGATATGCTGACATTTGGCCTAGGAGAATTCAATTTTATGGGATATAATATTTAATTTTCAAGGATTTTCAAGAATTTTCAATTCATCCTCAATTTTCAAGGATGGATTTGGATCCGAGTGTCTCAGGAGCAGCCACCCTCCCTGAAATGAAGGTTGCCACGTGTTTATTCACCTAGCTGTGTGGCTGGCACAGATGGAATCGAGTTCTCTCAGCATACAAAAGTGACAATTGTATGTATCACTTGCATTGTTGCCAATAAGTTATTAATATTTTGCCTTTTTTCTGTCTTTCATTAAAAGTTTAATGATATAAACAGTTTAATGACATAAACATTGAGTTTCACACATTTGCTTTGTGTGTGAGTAAAGTTTTAGGTTTAATATATATAATCACAGCTTCAAAAGCTGAAAGAGTGCAGGTAGACAGCCATATTATGGCACCAATAAATCACACGTGACATTCATTCATTTGACAAACTGAGCACCTACTAAGTATCATACTCCATCCCAGCTACTGATCTTAACATTGTGATTGAAATATGACACCTTCATCTGCTCATCTCTTTATGCTCACCAATACCAAAGCCTGCTAAAAGAGACATCATTTCACACAAGAACATGGCAATTAAGTTGGAACTTTATTGACAATTTTTATGCTGAGTAACTTTGAGAAATTTCTTTTTCTTTTCTTTTCTTTTTTTTTTTTTTGAGACAGAGGAGCCTTGCTCTGTCACCCAGGCTGGAGTGCAGTGGCGTGATCTTGGCCCACTGCAACCTCCGCCTCCTGGGTTCAAGTGACTCTCCTGCCTTAGTCCCCCAAGTAGCTGGGATTATAGGCACCTACCACCAGGCCTGGCTAATTTTTGTATTTTTAGTGGAGACAGGGTTTCACCATGTTGGCCAGGCTGGTCTCGAACTCCTGACCTCAGGTGATCCACTCGCCTTGCCTCCCAAAGTGCTGGGATTACAGGCATGAGCCACCGTGCCCGGCCTACTTTTAGAAAATTTATCATACAATGAAAAGTACAAGTTTTACAGCCAGGTATCTTCAGTTTCAATCCTAGCTCTGCCACATTTACTATCTGAGTATTTGGGCAACTTGTTCAATTTTTTGAATATATTCCATGCAAAGGAAAAATGAGATAATTTATGTAAGAGATATGGCATGGCATCTGACATAGAGTGTTGTAAGCCTTCTTCATTTTAGACTTCTAAAGATTGACTTCACACTTTGCTCATTTAAGTTCCTATGCAGAACTCATTTCCTCTATCTTTTCTGCCTTTCTTTTTTCTTTTTTTTAATTTACTACTTATTCTGAAATTCTAATTCTTCTAATTCTTCTTTTTTTTTTCTTTTTCTTTTTTCCTTTTTTTTTTTTTGAGACAGAGTCTCACTGTGTTGCCCAGGCTGGAGTGCATTGGTGCAAGCTCGGCTCACTGCAACCTCCACCCGCTGAGTTCAAGCAATTCTCCTGCCTCAGCCTCTCAAGTAGCTGAGACTACAGGCGTGCACCACCATGCCCGGCTAATTTTTTGTATTTTTAGTAGACATGGGGTTTCACCATGCTGGCCAGGCTGGTCTTAAACTCCTGACCTCGTGATCTGCCCACCTTAGCCTCCCAAAGTACTGGCATTACAGGTGTGAGCCACTGCGCCTGGCCTAACTTTCTTTAAAGAACACATTGCCCTTCTCCGAGCAGTTTGTTATCCTTTTACCTATGAAAAACGTATGAAATCATAACCAGATATACAGCTAAAGTTTAGTGAGTGCACCACTGGAAGATATTCAAACTTGAGAAGTTGACAGAAAGCAAAAAATAAAGCAGTGTATTAAGACACAGTAAGGTTTGGGAAGTAACTAGATTATGAAAGTCAAAGATCGTTTTTATAGTCATAAATTATATAAGTAGAGGCTCAAGAATTAACAACAGCTAAATGACATAGAGTTTGTATTCCAGAGGGAGAAAAGTTGATTTTTTTTGTACACCTTTTTGGGACAGTCTTGCTCTGTCATCCAGAGTGGTGCGATTTTGGCTCACTGCAACTTACGCCTCCAGGGTTCAAGCGATTGCCCTGCCTCTGCCTCCCAAGTAGCTGGGATTACAGGCATGAGCCAACACGCTCAGCCTGATTTTTTTTTTCTTTTTCTTTTTTTTTTCGAGATGGAGTTTTTGCTCCGTTGCCCAGGCTGGAGTGCAATGGTGCGATCTCAGATTACTGCAACCTCCACCTCCTGCGTCAGCCTCCCGAGTAGCTGGGATTACAGGCACCTGCCACCACACCCCACTAATTTTGTATTTTTAGTAGAGATGGGTTTTCACCGTGTTAGCCAGGCTGATCTCAAACTCCTGACCTCAGGTAATCTACCTGCCTCAGTCTCCCAAAGTGCTAGGATTACAGGTGTGAGCCACCGCACCCGGCCTCAGCCTGATTTTTTCCTACACATTAACATGCAATACTCCATACTGAATATAAAAATCCTTGCTACATAAACAACTTACTTTTTGTTAAACACAGAAAAAAAAAAATCCATGATATGGAAAAAAAAGTAAAGAGAAGGAAGAAAAAAGCATGGGGAACAGTTTGTGCCTGTAAGTCTTAAATTTGTTCCAATTCTACATTTCTCAGATCCCAGTGATATACAGGACCTTCGTATTATAGTAAATATAATACATACCATTTGATAAATTTCATTTTTTGCTCCTTGGAACTATTTATCTGTAAACAGGACAAAGATTCAAAGAGGCAGTGTTCAACATCTACATTCAATATCTAATGTTCCAGTTGTGATCTTACCAGTTGTAATTGAAAACTGACAATTTGTTACTCATCCAATTGATAATTTCTGGGACTTTCCAAGCCTTCCCTTTTGCTTTGGTAGAATTCTCTAGGGCCTTGTCTTGACTTCGTATTAAATGGGATTTAAACTAGGAAGAAAAGCAGATGTAGCCAGAAAGCTAGAGCCACATAAATACAACAGGATCTCTGTTTAGGAAAGTTGGAACTTTAGAAGCACTCAATTCACTATTTGGTCAAAGAAAAACAGATCCCTATACACCGTTAGGTTTAACTGCAGAAATCATGAGGGAAATGTCATGTAGTTTACCAAAATAATAAAGTGACATGGTACAGATATATTCTTCTTTCTGGGGATAACGTGACTACATTTTCCTCCCTTATATATTATTAGGATGATTTTAGCAGACAAAGAAATAATAGAAGCTGATTACTTAAAAGGGGGGAAATTGGCTCCCATTCAACTCATGCATGTAGTCCAAGGATGAATATAAAAATGTATCATCTTGAATTCTACAGGTTCTCCTGAATATAAAACTATTTTCGTTGGGCGCAGTGGCTCACACCTGTAATCTCAGCACTTTGGGAGGCCGAGGCAGGTGGGTCACCTGGGGTCAGGAGTTCGAAACTAGCCTGGCCAACATGGTGAAACCCTGTCTCAGGTAAAAACATAAAAATTAGCCAGGCATGGTGGTGCGCACCTGTAATTCCAGCTACTTGGGAGACTGAGGCACGAGAATCACTTGAACCCAGGAAGCAGAGGTTGTAGTGAGCCAAGATCATGCCACTGCACTCCAGCCTGGGCATAGAGTAAGACTCTGTCTCAAAAAAAAAAAAAAAAAAATTTACTCTACTTATCTAGTTGGAAGGAGGAAGGTCACATACTTTCATTCATCCTTGAAATGCTTGCTCATAAATGATATAACACAACAGGCATCATGAAGCATGTGAACTGAATCCAGCACTACGATAGCACCATATAGGGAATGCGCAGACATCAACTGTGCCCTGGATGACACATCATCAAAAATTTTTAAAAGGTGGTCTTGGACTTACGGTCACGTAAACAACTTAGTAGACTGAAAACAGACTTAAACAGAGAGGGAATAAAGATGATGATTATCCTACTGAGGAAGAAGAAGGTCAGCAAGATGGGGCTAACTGCAAACCAGTGTCAAAGTTACAGAGGTCATCAAGATCACCTTAAAGACATAAGACCCTCACTAGCTGCCAGCTCACTGCTTCACCAAGTGCACAAGGGTGGCTGGGGCTTCTGTGAAGGATCATTTTTTTGGTCACCAAGGATGGCACTCTATCCAACCATTCACTCCTTTTCCTCTTATTTTCTTAGCTACTACTGATCTCTGATAGACTAGCCCTGATAGACATTGCTCAAAATCACAGATAAACTGCAAGGATAAATGGATGGTAGACCTATTCCTTAGACTTGGTGTTTCTAGAAGGTGAGTAAATTCTGCATACAAAAGTACTGTGGTTTCCCTGCCAGCAAGACTTAAGCTTTAACTTCTTTCACACATCCAGGGATAGATTTGCAGTATTTTGTCTTCTGGGTCCTGCTAGATCACAGTCTGACAGAGTCCAAGCATCTGATATCATTTAGTATATTTCATAATTTAAAAATGGTCAAGACTGAAGAAATATTCATAACATGCTTTTTAATCATGCATTTGTAGAAAAACCTTATTTAAGAATTAGTTACAATAGAAAAGTTGAAGCTATTTTTTTTTAAAGAAAATCTGACTGGAGGCTATTAACCTTAGTACACTTATGCAGGAACAGAAAACCAAATACCTCGTGTTCTCACTTGTAAATGGGAGCTAAATGTTAGGAACTTATGAATGCAAAGAAGGAAACAATAGCCAAGCCAAGCGTAGTGGCTCATGCCTGTAATCTCACCACTTTGGGAGGCTGAGGCAGGCAGACCACTTGAGGCCAGGAGTTCGAGACCAGCCTGGCCAACTCAGCAAAACCCCGTCTCCATTAAAAATGAAAAAAGATTAGCCCGGTGTGGTGGCACACGCCTGTAATCCCAGCTGCTTGGGAGGCTGAAGCACAAGAATCACTTGAACCCGGGAGGAGGAGGTTGCAGTGAGCCAAGATTGTGCCACTGCACTCCAGCCTGGGAAACAGAGCGAGACACTGTTTCAAAAAACAACAAAAAAAGACCAGGCCCTGGGGCCTACATGAGGGGTAAGGTGGAGGTGGGAGGAGGAGAGGAGAAGAAAAGATAACTATTGGGCACTGGGCTTAATATCCTGGGTGATGAAATAATATGTACAATAACCCCCCGTAATACATGTTTACTTACATAACAAACCTTCGCATGTACCCCCAAACCAAGAATAAAAGATTTAAAAAAAAAAGAAAGAAAGAAAGAAAGAAAGAAAGAAAAAGAAAGAAAGAAAGAAAGAAAGAAAGAAAGAAAGAAAGAAAGAAAGAAAGAAAGAAAAGAAAACCCGAGCTGTACTTAAGGCCATCTCAACCATCTCAAGCCATCCTAAATGGAAGCAATAGTTGAAGGAGCCCTATTTCCTAAAGCAGCAAAAGTCCTTGAATCGACTTTTCAAAACAGTAAGCAATTGTTTTTAAGTGCCTACTCCATAAAAACGGTGCTAGCTGCTTGGGATACAAAACTCTCCAAAAGGCAATAACAACAGTGAGTCAGAGGACTAAAATAATTACTTCCTTAGCACTGACAACATTAACAAGAGGATATGAAAGCAGGAAATTGATTGTAGGACATAAAGTCCTATTAACTGATATTACTGAAACAAAATACTTCACATTCACAAAGTTATAACCCACTTACACTTATTTAATTGATTGAAGGGAGGCAAGAGGATGGAAAAGAAGTAAAAGGATTCAAAGTAACTTTAGTAAAGATAGAAAACCAAACATGACACTGTGATTGTCTGAGTGCTGCAGCTTCTGTGTCTTACTGCCAGAAATGTAAAGGCAATAAACAGATGGAAAGTCAAACTATGTTTTATTCTTCTGTATGTATCATTAAACGATAGCTGGGGTGGCCGGGCATGGTGGCTCACGCCTGTAATCCCGCACTTTGGGAGGCTGAGGCGGGCGGATCACCAGGTCAGGAGATTGAGACCATCCCGACTAACACGATGAAACCCCGTCTCTACTAAAAATACAAAAAGTTAGCTGGGCATGGTGGTGGGCGCCTGTAGTCCCAGCTACTCGGGAGGCTGAGGCAGGAGAATGGCGTGAACCTGGGAGGCGGAGCTTGCAGTGAGCAGAGATGCGCCACTGCACTCCAGCCTGGGCGACAGAGTGAGACTCCGTCTCAAAAAAAAACTAAATAAACAAATAAAAATAATAGCTGGGTACATTCCAAAGACTAGAAAGAACCTCTACTGTTAGTGATAACATGCAGAACAAGGGGTAGGATTTTCAAAGATAATCTTGTTTATCAGAAACTAGATTGTACTGTAAGTGCAGAGAAGCCTAAAAACAAAATTATTTCATCCGGCAAATGGAATATCTCAGATACATAATTCAACAAAAGAAATCTGTAACTCTATTCTAGATCTTTTGAAATTATTGGCAAAATAATTAAACCCAAAGGCCCGATCAAAGTATTTCAGTGTTGATTTACTTAACAAGCACGTAATAGCAGAGAGTATGTATAAGATACTGTTCAAGACCAGCAATGGATGAGGTCATCAAATACATTAAGCTTCACCCACTCAGGCATCTGATAATGAGAATGTAGATGATAAAAATAATGATAATTATCATTTACTGAGTGATAGATAGCCTGTGCACGGCCCTGTGCCAAGCACATTACAGGTTTATATCATTTACTTCTCAAAACAGTACTATGAGAGAGTTATTATATTCCCATATATATTATATTCCCATATTATGATTCCCAGTTTACAGATAAGGAAACTGGGGCTTAGACAAGGCAAACTTGCCCATGTATCTCAGAGTCACTAACAAGAAGATCCAAGAGAGAAGTGCTGACGGACTCACTCCAGGTCTCACCCCTGAACCTCCACACTAGACTGCCTCCCATTTCAAGGTGTGATCATGGAAACGAGGAGGCAGACAAGCTTGCAAAACAAGAGAGTGGAGTCTGCTTTGCCCACATTTATTCCTGTTTCCAGGTTACAGACGGTAATTTGGCTGGAAATGTTTTCCATAAAATTCTTAACCAATGGCCCGGCACGGTGGCTCCTGCCTGTAATCCTAATATTTTAGGAGGCCAAGGCACAAGGGTCACTTGAGCCCATGAGTTTGACACTAACCTGAGCAACATAGTAAGACCTTGTCTCTATTTATTTAAAATAATTTTTAAAGAAATATTCACCACCATAAAATGCTAATTACTTTGGAATTGCTTACCAAAAGAATGTGGCAGCCAGGCACGATGGCTCATATATGTAATCCTAGCACTTTGGGAGTCCAAGGTAGGCAGATTACTTGAGCTCAGGAGTTTGAGACTAGCCTGGGCAACATGGTAAAGCCCCATCTCTATTAAAAAAAAAAAAAAAAAAAAAAGAAAAAAAAAAGGATATGGCTATAGCACAGAAAACATTGCTCTGATCTCAGATAGCCCAGGGTTGAATGCCAGTTTAACGATTTACTTAATTACTTAACTGCTCTGAATTTTAGTTTTCTTCATCTATAAAATGAATTGGAGGAACAATGAAACAACATATGTAAAAGGCCTAGTAGGCCGGACACGGTGGTTCACACCTGTAATCCCAGCACTTTGGGGACCCGAGGCGGGCAGTTCGCTTGAGGTCAGGAATTCAAGATCAGCCTGTCCAAAATGGTGAAACCCCATCTCTACTAAAAATACAAAAATTAGCCAGGCATGGTGGTACACACCTGTAATCCCAGCTACTCGGGAGGCTGAGGCAGGAGAATCACTTGAACCTAGGAGGCAGAGGTTACAGTGAACCAAGATCACACCACTGCACTCCAGCCTGGGCAACAGAGCAAGACTCCATCTCAAAAAAATATTTGTAAAATAAAATTTAGACCTGGGCAAGATGGCCGAACAGGAACAGCTCTGGTCTGCAACTCCCAGTGAGATCAACGCAGAAGGTGGGTGATTTCTGCATTTCCAACTGAGGTACCCGGTTCATCTCATTGGGACTGGTTAGATAGTGGGTGTAGCCCATGGAGGGCGAGCAGAAGCAGAGTGGGACATTGCCTCACCCAGGAAGCACAAGGGGTCAGGGAACTCCCTTCCTTAGCCAACGGAAGCCCTAAGGGACTCTGCCATGAGGAACAGTGCATTCCAGCCCAGATACAATGCTTTTCCCACAGTCTTCACAACCCGCAGACCAGGAGATTCCCTCGGGTGCCTACACCACCAGGGTTTCAAGCACAAAACTGGGCAGCCATTTGGGCAGGCACTGAGCTAGCCGCAGGAGGTTTTTTTCATACCCCAGTGGTGCCTGGAACACCAGCGAGACAGAACTGTTCACTCCCCTGGAAAGGGGGCTGAAGCCAGGGAGACAAGTGGTCTAGCTCAGCAGTTCCCAACCCAATGGAGCCCAGCAAGCTAAGATCTACTGGCTTTAAATTCTCACTGCCAGCACAGCAGTCAGAGGTCGACCTGGGACACTCGAGCTTGGTGGGGGGAAGGGTGTCTGCCATTACTGAGGCTTGAGTAGGTGGTTTTCCCCTCACAGTGTAAACAAGGCCACCAGCAAGTTTGAACTGGGCAGAGCCCACCACAGCTATGCAAACCCATTGTAGCCAGGCTGCCTCTCTAGAGGCAGGGCATCTCTGAAGAAAGGCAGCAGCCCCAGTCAGGGACTTATAGATAAAACTCCCCTCTCCCTGGGACAGAGCACCTGGGGGAAGGGGCAGCTGTTGGCGCCGCTTCAGCAGACCTAAACCTCCCTGTCTGCCAGCTCTAAAGAGAGCACTGGATCTCCCAGCACAGCACTCGAGCTCTGCTAAGGAATAGACTGCCTCCTCAAGTGGGTCCCTGAATCCCATGCCTCCTGACTGGGAGACATATGCCAGCAGGGGTCGACAGACATCTCATACCGGAGAGCTCTGGTTGGCATCTGGCAGGTGCCCCTCTGGGACAAAGCTTCTAGCGGAAAGAACAGGCAGCAATCTTTGCTGTTCTGTAGCCTCCACTGGTGATACCCAGGCAAAGAGGGTCTGGAGTAGACCTCCAGCAAACTCCAGCAGAGCTACAGCAAAGGGGTCTGACTTAGAAGGAAAACTAGCAAACAGAGAGGAATAGCATCAACGTCAACAAAAAGGACATCCACACAAAACTCTATCCGAAGGTCACCAACATCAAAGACCAAAGGTAGATATATCCACAAAGATGAGGAAAAACCAGCACAAAAAGACTGAAAATTCCAAAAACCAGAATGCCCCTTCTCCTCCAAAGGATCACAACTCCTCACCAGCAAGGGAACAAAACTGGATGGAGAATGAGTTTGACAAATTGACAGAAGTAGGCTTCAGAAGATGGATAATAATAAACTCCTCTGAGCTAACAGAGCATGTTCTGACCCAGTGAAAGAAGCTAAGAACCTTGAAAAAAATGTTAGAGGAATTGCTAACTAGAATAACCAGTTTCGAGAAGAATATATATAACCTGATAAAGCTGAAAAATCACAGCATGAGAACTTTGTGAAGCATACACAAGTATCAATAGCTGAATCGATCAAGCAGAAGAAAGGATATCAGAGATTGAAGATCAACTTAATGAAATGAAGCATGAAGACAAGATTAGAGAAAAAAGAATGAAAAGGAACAAACATAGCCTCCAAGAAATATGGGGCTATGTGAAAAGACCAAACCTATGTTTGATTGGTGTACCTGAAAGTGACAGGGAGAATGGAACCATGTTAGAAATCACTCTTCAGGATATTATCCAGGAGAACTTCCCCAACCTACCAAGACAGGCCAACATTCAAATTCAGGAAACACAGAGAACACAACGAAGATACTCCTCGAGAAGAGCAACCCCAAGACACATAATCATCAGATTCACCAAGGTTGAAATGAAGGAAAAAATATTAAGGGCAGCCAGAGAGAAAGGTCGGGTTACCCACAAAGGGAAGCCCATCAGACTAAGAGCAGATCTCTCAGAAGAAACTCTACAAGACAGAAGAGAGTGGGGGCAAAATTCAACATTCTTAAAGAAAAGAATTTTCAATCCAGAATTTCATATGCAGGCCAAACTACGCTTATAAGTGAAGGAGAAATAAAATCCTTTACAGACAAGCAAATGTTGAGAGATTTTGTCACCACCAGGCCTGCCTTACAAGAGCTCCTGAAGGAAGCACTAAATATGGAAAGGAACAACCAGTACGAGCCACTGCAAACACATACCAAATTGTAAAGACCATTGACACTATGAAGAAACTGCATCAACTAACAGGCAAAATAACCAGCTAGCATCATAATGACAGGATCAAATTCACACATAACAATATTAACCTTAAATGTTAACGGGCTAAATGCCCCAATTAAAAGATACAGACTGGCAAATTGGATAAAGAGTCAAAACCCATCGGTGTGCTGTATTCAGGAGACCCATCTCATGTGCAAAGACACACATAGGCTCAAAATAAAGGGATGGAGGAATATTTACCAAGCAAATGGAAAGCAAAAAAAAAAAAAAAAAAAAAAAAAAAAAAAAAAAAAGAGCAGGGGTTGCAATCCTAGTCTCTGATAAAACAGACTTTAAACCAACAAAGATCAAAAAAGACAAAGAAGGGCATTACATAATGGTAAAGGGATCAATGCAACAAGAAGAGCTAACTGTCCTAAATATATATACACACAATACAGGAGAACTGAGATTCATAAAGCAAGTTCTTAGAGACCATTCAGGATATAGGCATGGGTAAAGACTTCGTGACTAAAACACCAAAAGCAATGGCAACAAAAGCCAAAATTGACAAATGGGATCTAATTAAACTAAAGAGCTTCTGCACAGCAAAATAAACTATCATAAGAGTGAACAGGCAACCTACAGAATGGGTGAAAATTTTTGCAATCTATCCATCTGACAAAGGGCTAATATCTAGAGTCTACAAAGAACTTAAACAAATTTACAAGAAAAAACAATCCCATTGAAAAGTAGGTGAGGGATATGAAGAGACACTTCTCAAAAGAAGACATTTATGCAGCCAACAAACATGAAAAAAAAAGCTCATCATCACTGGTCATTAGAGAAATGCAAATCAAAACCATAATGAGATACCATCTCATGCCAGTTAGAATGGCGATCATTAAAAAGTTGGGAAACAATAGATGCTGGAGAGGATGTGGAGAAATTGGAATACTTTTCTTTTTGAGACAGAGTCTCATGCTGTTGCCCGGGTTGAAGTGCAATGGCGTGATCTTGGCTCACTGCAACCTCTGCCTCCTGGGTCCAAGTGATTCTCCTGCCTCAGCCTCCCAAGTAGCTGGGATTACAGGCACCTGCCACTACACCCAGCTAATTTTTTGTATTTTTAGTCACTATGTAGGCCAGGCTGGTCTCAAACTCCTGACCTCATGATCCGCCTGCCTTGGCCTCCCAAAGTGCTGGAATTACAGGCATGAGCCACTGTGCCCAGCCCAGGAATGCTTCTATACTGTTGGTGGGAGTGTAAATTAGTTCAATCATTGCGGAAGACAGTGTGGCAATTCCTCAAGGATCTAGAACCAGAAATATCATTTGACCCAGCAATCCCATTACTAGGTATATATCCAAAGGATTGTAAATCTTTCTATTATAAAGACACATGCACACGTATGTTTATAGCAGCACTATTCACAATAGCAAAGACTTGTAACCAACCCAAATGTCCCTCAATGATAGACTGAATAAAGAAAATGTGGCACATATACACCATGGAATACTATGCAGCCATAAAAAAGGATGAGTTCATGTCCTTTGCAGGGACATGGATGAAGCTGGAAACCATCATTCTCAGCAAACTAACACAGGAACAGAAAACCAAACACTGCATGTTCTCACCCATAAGTGGGAGCTGAACAACGAGAACACATGGACACAGGGAGGGGAACATCACACACTGGGGCCTGTTGGTGGGTGGGGAGTTAGGGGAGGCACAGCATTAGGAGAAATACCTAATGTAGATGACAGGTTGATGGGTGCAGCAAACCACCATGGCAGGTATATACCCATGTAACAAACCTGTCCCAGAACTTGAAGTATAACAAAAATTAAAAATAAAATAAAATTTAAAAATAAAATAAAAGGCCTAGTAGCGTCCCTGGTCCATAGAAGGATTCCATAAATATTAGCCATGTGTGCTTCCATGCAAGGGCCCAGGGTGTCAGGGCCAAAAGGATATCTTTCCAAGGTAGAAGCCTTTTCAGACCTTATTTTTATAGAAGGGTCTAGAAGTAACTCTAGGTGGTCTCGGGGAACAGACAGTGGGGTACTGAAATAAAATCCTTCCCAGGAACCCCAGGATGTGAAAGTTTCTTCCCAAAGGCTCACTCCTGCATGGCATTTTCTTAGTATTCCCAGGAAGGTTACCATATTAACTTGCTGGTGCTTTACTGCACAGTAATTTATCAGGTGCTGCTTTTGAGACTGAAGAGATAAAGTCAGTATGTCAACAGACCCTCAAAGGAGGAAGAGGCTAAAGTTCAGAAAAGGAAGATAGCAGTGGCAAGACATAGTCTTTTTTTTAACTGTCTTTATATATTTTCTATATTGTTCATAGCTTTAAAAAAGAAGATGCAGGAAAAAAAAACCCACCTACTTTTTAAAAAATAAACTTTACATTTTAGAATAACTTTAGATTTATAGAAAAGCTGCAAAGAAGGCCAGGCACGGTGGCTCATGCCTGTAATCCCAGAACTTTGGGAGGCCAAGGCAAGCGGATTACTTGAGGTCAGGAGTTCAAGAGCAGCCTGGCCAACATGGTGAAACCCGTCTCTGCTAAAAATACAAAAATTAGCTGAGCGTGGTGGCGGGCACCTGTAATCCCAGCTACTAAACAGGCTAAGGCAGGAGAATCGCTTGAACCTGGAAGGCAGAGGTTGCAGTGAGCCGAGATGGCGCCACTCCACTCCAGCCTGGGTAACAGTGTGAGACTCTGTCTCAAAAAAATAAGTAAATAAATACAAAAATTAGCTGGGCGTGGTGCTACACACCTGTAATCCCAGCTACTCGGTTGCAGTAAGCCAAGATTGCACCACTGCACTCCAGCCTGGGAGACACAGAAAGACTCCATCTCAAAAAAAAAATAAAAAGAAAAAGAAAGAAAAAAAAGAAAAGCTGCAAAGATAGTACAGATAGCTCCCTTATGCCCTTCATCCAGCACCCCCAAATGTTAACATAACTATGGTACATTTGTTGAAACTGAGACATTAACATCGGTATACCCATCTGCTTTTAAATCTAGCTTAGAGCTATTTGTGTTGACACAGGAAGAAAGCTGTTCCTTAAAAGCGTATGTTTCATAAGGAAGTTTGCTTAGTTATTTAATGAAAAAGACATTTGTCCTTGTAGCTGACAGTGCCAGCTGCTTATTCAAACCCAATCTCTCTTTCTTCCTCCTTAAGAATTTTGCTCAGGGCAGTAGTGTGCCCAGCCAAAACCATATGAGTCACCGACTGCCTTCCAGCATGGGGTGACCATGTGACACAGTTCTGGCCCATGAGATGTAGGATGAAATCCCTGGGACAGACTGCCCTTCCCAGATAAAAAGCAAAGTCTTGCTAGGTGACACCTCTCTGCTCTTAACTCTTTGCCATTCCCTGTTCTTCCTGCCCAGAGTGCAGACATGAGGCCTGGTGTACACTAAGAACAGGAGAGAGAGAGATGGACAGCGCCTTTGTGGGGAGTCTCAGTGTCAGCCTGGGATTCTAGACCTGGGGGCATCTCACTTCAGGAGGCAGAGAAACCTCACTGCTTAAACTATCTTTACTGCACTTTCTGTTATGTGTTGCTAAACACAACGCAGATAGCATCCCAAATTCAAGTCTAGAGGCTTAAACTATCTTTACTGCACTTTCTGTTATTTGTTGCTAAACACAACCCAGCTAGCATCCCAAATTCAAGTCTAGAGACATAAGATCAAAAGCTTAGGAAACAAACACTTTCTATCTCTTTGAAGCCCATATCGTGTAAGAAACTATGCTTGACTCAGAAGCCACGAAGCTGCTTAGACAGGAAGTCAAGCTGTCAGAAGACATGGCTTCTAGCAATGTGGCTCAGATTCCCCTGCAACAGAACAGGGGAATGTTCAGTTATGTTATGTTCAGTCCTTAGGCCTCAATTTTTCCATCTGTGGAAGAGAAATTACGATACTGTATTCTTTTATCCAAAGCAAGTGAAAGTAATAAATATGTAGAAACCAATCTCTCCCTGAAAGACATGGTCTCCATAATGCTAATATAGCATTAATAATATTGTTCTGCTGTCAGTAAAACTCCAAAGGACCCCCACAATGAAAACTAGAATTTTTTTTTTTTTTTTTTTTTTTTTTAGAGATGGAATCTCACACTGTCGACTGGGCTAGAGTGCAGTGGCATGATCTTGGCTCACTGCAACATCTGCCTCCCAGGTCAAGTGATTCTCCTGCCTCAGCCTCCTGAGTAGCTGGGATTACAGGCGCCCGCCACCACTCCCAGCTAATTTTTTGTATTTTTAGTAGAACGAGGTTTCACCATGTTGGCCAGGCTGGTCTCAAACTCCTGACCTTGTGATTCGCCTGCCTTGGCTTCCCAAAGTGCTGGGATTACAGGCATGAGCCATCACGCCCAGCCTGAAGACTAGGAATTTAAGAGAATTGCCAAAATCAAGTCCAGTCTAAATAATAATAGCCAACTACATTTTTTTTTTTTTTTTGAGATAGGGTCTTGCTCTGTTGCTTGGAGTGCAGTGGCACAATCACTGCTCTCTGCAGCTTTGACTTTTCCAGGCTCAAGTGATCCTCTCATCTCAGCTTCCTTAGTAGTTGGAACTACAGGTGTGCACCACCACACCTGGCTAATTATTTTGATATTTTGTAGAGATGGAGTTTCACTGTGTTGCCCAGGCTTGTCTTGAATTCCTGGCCTCAAACGATTGCCTGCCTCGGCCTCCCAAAGTGCTGGGAATACAGGCGTGAGCCACTGTGCCCATCCTACATTTTTGACTTCTGGAAATATTAAAAAATCAAAGGTAAAGTAAAAACGGAGTGGAAAGAAAAAGTAGAAAATTTAAGCTGCAAATTGACCTGAATAGACTCCCCCTAAAATATAATTGGTAGTGTAGAATTTGGTGTTAATTCAGTTTGGAAGCCATACATTAACAGTTTGATGGACATTGTTTCGATTCTTTAGGAGAACCTGTTAAACAAGCACAGGAATTGTTTCTCATGGAGGCCATAGAACAGTTGTTTGGAACTTGGATTCTGGAGTCAGACACTATAGTTCTATTTTCCTCATGCCATTTACTGTGTTTTCTTTGGGTGACTTCCTAATACCTTTGGGCTTTAGCTTCCTCATCAAAAACTGAGAGAGAAAGAAAATAGGATTGTGAAATCATGGTGCTGGGGAAGGGAGAACATTTGTTGTTACCTATGTGGCTGGTACCCACTTTATATGGATGTCCAAACTGGCACTGTAAAAATACAGATATCAGAAATCTCAGACATAGAGGAACAAAGATCACAGAGATAAGGGACTGAAAAATGAAATGCGGCTGGGCACAGTGGCTCACACCTGTAATCCCAGCACTTTGGAAGGCCGAGGCGGGTGGATCACCTGAGGTCAGGAGTTCGAGACCAGCCTGGCCAAGATGGTGAAACCCTGTCTCTGTTAAAAATACAAAAATTAGCAGGCTGTGGTGGCACATGCCTGTAATCCCAGCTGCTTGGGAGGCTGAGGCAGGAGAGTTGCTTGAACACAGGAGGCGGAGGTTGCAGTGAGCCGAGATTGTACCATTGCACTCCAGCCTGGGCAACAAGAACAAAACTCCATCTCCAAAAAAAAAACACAAAGAGAGAAAAGAAAAGAAAAGAAAAGAAAAGAAAAGAAAAGAAAAGAAAAGAAAAGAAAAGAAAAAAGAAAAATGAAATGCACACAGGTCAGGACACCATGCTGCCCTCTGCTGGTTTCAAAACGGCCTAGAGCTGTGTTCTCCAAGATGGCAGCCACTAGCCACGTGAGCCTTGAAATGTGAGTCTGATTAAAATGAAAAAACACACTGGATTTTGAAGACTTAGTATAACAAAATGTAAAGTAGCTAATTTGTATTTTTCATATAGATTGCATTTTTAAATGATAATATTTTGGAGATGGCGAGTTAAAGTATATTATGAAGATTAATTTAACCCATTCCTCCTTTTTTTTTTTTTGCTATTTCTACTAGAAAATTTAAAATCACATATGTAGATTGTCTTGGTGGCTCCTAGCATATTTTCATTGGGTAGCCCTGGTCTGGTGGCTGATTTCCCACAAGAACAGAACAGCCAACCAACAAACAAGTTCACCCCTTTCATTGGGTACAGTACTTTGAAAGCCATTTGCCATAGAAGATGATCCTTGTCCTGAACAAGCAAATGATCAAGAGTTTTTCCAGTTTTTCTCACACTATCTCCCCCATCCCATTTCCCTTATTTTGATGAGGAAGCACATTTTGTTCCCACTTAAGAGGAATCCCCCATTGAGGTTATGATTTCAGCACCAAGAAGGATTTCAGAGTCACAGGAGTGAGCCAGTGGGGCAAAACCAACACCCACCCCTTCCCCAGTGGCCTGGAGGCTTTGCCAACTGCCAATATGACCAAAACCTGGGACAGCTTGGGGAGTGGCTAAAATAAAATTTAAAGAATATGAACCCTGATACGCAGGCCTTCCTTGGATGGAAGCGGGGGTGGGGTGAGCTCTTTGTTGGGTTAAGTGTCATCACTCAGAGGAGAAAAAAGTAAAGGGAAGCTTTCTAGAAAAAAAGCTGGGCCAGGTGCAGTAGCTCACACCTGTAATTCCAGCACTTTAGGAGGCCAAGGCGGGTGCATCACGTGAGGTCAGGAGTTGGAGGCCAGCCTGGGCAACATTGCAAAACCCTGTCTCTATGAAAAATACAAAAATTAGCCACGCCCATAGTCCCAGCTACTTGGGAGGCTGAGGAGGGAAAATTGCTTGTGCTTGGGAGGTGGAGGTTGCAGTGAGCCAAGATCATGCCACTGCACTCCAGCCTGGGCAACAGAGCAAGACTCCACCTCAAGAAAAAGAAAAAAAGCTGGATGAAAAGTTCTAGCCTTTAAAATGTTGATTTTAAAATAACATACTAATTAATAATTTTTAAAAACATTACTCTCTAAATCAAAACTGATTATGAATATTAATCAACACACATATTTTTCCAATCATAGTCAGGATAGATGTATGTGAGTGTAAGTGAGATTCCTTCTTAAATTTCATCTTCATACCGTTCCGTGGTCACACTGATGAGTTTGCTTATGCTCAGTTTTATTCCTGGTAGTTACTCCCTGGCATTAACATACTTGGACTTGTTTATCCATTCCTGGCTGGAGTGGGGGTGAGCAGGGAGCAGGGAGCAGGGAGCAGGGAGAGGGAAGATAGAAAGAAGGAGTTTTTCCAAAGAATCAGAGAGCCAAACAGAAAAGACGACCCAGATGTACTGAGATGAGAGTTATCAGCTAAGAGAAACTGAATTATAGTGAGCGGCTCAGAATCAAAAGCCAGAAGCAGCTAGTGGAAAAACTTTTAGAGGAAGAATCATGAGTGACAGCAGTGCAGCAAGGCTGAAACAGCTGAGAGTAATCATTGTTTATACCTGCATAAGGAGAGCCTGGGTCCCAGACAGGAATCCCAGCCCAAACCCCCTAGCCACCCAGCTGGGAGGGGGCTGATACTAGAAACTCACCCAAGGTTGACACAAGGGTCAGGGCTAGAAAAAAGGTCTGTGATGGAAAGAGAATGGAAACAATTCACTGCTTAAAGGAGAGCCTCTCAACTTTTGGTCCCCTTGTCTCCTCAGCCCCCGCCTCCCATTGACGAGTATGATCTAGCTCACGTTCATCAGGAACTGGAACTTAATACCACAGCACTCTTTGACCAGGAGAGAGATGAAGCATATCAGAATCTGAAGTTTGAACTCTCTGTTCCACCCAGGAGACTGAGAAACCTGATATGCTCTTCTAGCGAGCCTGAGACCTCATTCTACAGGCCCCACTGAAAATGACCACTTAAACCCTGCTGAGGATTTAAATGACCAGATAAGGCCAAGCTGAGCACTCAGTAGGAGCACACTTTCAATATACCTCAACTGCATAGAGATATTGTGCTGGCGTTTTAAGACTTCTGTGTGCTGTTGTAAAAGATCATGCTTGGGCAAAGTGAGGACCTCATACTGCAGGGGACACTGGGTGACGAGCTGTCAGGACTGAGGCAGGGGTGGGTAGGAACACAGGCTTCAGAAGCAAGCATAGGTTGTACCTCGAGAAGCAGTTTATATACAATGGACAAAGATTCTACTAATGTCAAGAAGGAAAGAAATATTCATAGGTATGACACTGTTTACAAAAGAAAAACCTCAAATGGGCATGGTGGTTCATGCCTGTAATCCCAGAACTTTGGGAGGCTGAGGTGGGAGGATCACTTGACCCCAGGAGTTCAAGATCAGCCTGGGCAATATAGCAAGACCCCATCTTTAAATTAAAAAAAAGAGAGAGAGAAAGAAACCTCTCGTCTGTGTGCATAACACTCTTCTTTCAAAATATTACATAAGATAAGGCATCCTGTATTCCTTTCATACTTTCTGAAAAGTTAAGGCTTGATGCCGTTATAGGTACATTTTCCTTTAACATAAACCAATACTTTATTGTGTGCCAATGTCTTGGCCCTCTATCAAGCAACCTGTTCCTTTCTATTTACATTACAACAGCATTCTGGCTGTGTCTATTCTTCCTCCTGCATTGGATTCAGCTACAATAGAAAGTAACACAGGGCCAAAGCATATGAGAGAGCACAGTGGGAAAATGCCCAGAAAGTCTAAATTCGGAAAGTAAAAAATTAGATTAGATTACAGCTGCTGCTAAGATTACACTTGAAATGTTAAATATTGAAAGTAGATTGAGAAAATACTCTACCCAGCTTTTTTTTTTCTGTTCAAAGTTGAACATTTAGGAGCTAAGAATGATTATACCAGTTGCAAATGCCTCAACGTCTTCATCTAAAAAAAACAGAGACATGGTCATGTGCAGTGGCTCATGCCTGTAATTCCAATACTTTGGGAGGCTAGGGCGGGCGGATCACTTGAGGTCAGGAGTTTGAGACCAGCCTGGCCAACATGGCGAAACCCCGTCTCTACCAAAAGTACAAAAAAATTAGCTGGGTGTGGTGGCACGTGCCTGTAATTCTAGCTACTTGGGAAGCTGAGGCAGGAGAATCGCTACAACCCGGGAGGCGGAGGTTGCAGTGAGCCAAGATTGCACCCCTGCACTCCAGCCTGGGTAACAGAGTAAGACTCCATCTAATAAAAAATGGCATAAAATTTAAAAAGAGAGATAACAGTATCAAGTGCATTGATTGCTTGTGAAGATTAAATGAGTTAATAGCAGTAAAGAACAGCCTGCCAAGCACTCATTTTCCTGTGGAAACAGGGCTTGCTTTTTCTTTTTTCTTTGCAGGGTGTGCGGGGGGAGGGTGGAACAACTACCCCCATTCTCCCACTTGGTGAATCTGTCAGTCAAAGGGTCCCCACCCAGGGTCAAGAGGTGAGCCTGTGACCCGACCCAGCCAATAAGGGTCCTCTCTAGAACATTAGCATCTGGAGACGGCAACTGCATATGCAGAAAACAGAGCTGATTCACCTGGCCATAGGTGGCTGGAAGGGATTAGTTTTTAGTCACTAGTTCCTGGTTCCTGGATCCCCAGAGTTGCTTCAGTTTCTCTTCTTCAGGTAGCCTTGTTTTCAACATTTCCTTTAACTATCAGCTGGCTCTGCCATATATTTAAAGGAAGTGATGATTGGAGCTGCTTCTATTCAAAGAAAGCTTGCTGGTATAAACACCAGTATTGTGCCCAGCAAAGGCCAAGTCCTCAGTAAGTGGTCACTTTTGTCACTTGTTCATTCAATACATTTTTGCTGATACGATATATATATATCGTATTTTTTGCTGATACGACATATATATGCGCCAAACCAATAGGAATACAGAAATGAACAAAACAACTTCTCTATCCTTAAAACATTTACTCTCTAGTTAGGGGTAAAGAAAGGCTAAGACACAGGGTGCCATCTGTAAAGAAGTCTCCTCCATTTCTTCTTCTTGACTTGCAAGTCCTCTTGGCAAGAAGTTAGCAAATGCAAACCAGAGAGCATGAGTAGGGGGCTGGGAGTGGTGGCTCATGCCTGCAATCCCAGCATTTTGGGAGGGCCAGGCAGGTGGATTGCCTGAGGTCAGGAGTTCAAGACCAGCCTGGCCAATATGGTGAAACCCCGTCTCTATTAAAAATACAAAAATTAGCCCAGTGTGGTGGCACACACCTGTAATCCCAGCTACTCAGGAGGCTGAGGCAGGAGAATCACTTGAACCCAGCACAATCTCGGTTCACTGTGCTCCAGCCTGGGCAACAAAGTGAGACTCCATCTCAAAAAAAAAAAAAAAAAAAAAAAAAAAAGGAGCAAGCATGAGTAGGAGAGCAGGAGAGCCATGATAGAGAGGAAGGGCGGGTGGGCAAGCAAGGCTAGGTCGGCACTGTTAGACGCTCCCCTGGACCAAGCTTCAGTCAGGCTCCTTTGAGCCCTCTTTTCTACTGGGCCTCCACCTTGCTGCTCCCTTCCCCTCCACTCCACCCCTCATCCTGCTGTCTTGGCTTACCCAGCCCAGTTTTAGCAAATAACCCTGATAAGTCAGTATACTGAAAATCCCTCACCCTTGATACCCAATCAAGTTTGTTATCTCCACCTTTGATTTCTAAGTCCTTGGCCTGTCTTGAGCAAGAATCTCTCTGCCCTAAGTCTCCTATTTAGTAATTTTCCATCCACTGACCGACTCCGCACTGTGCTCCTTGACTCTAAATCCCTACTTGTCCCTATATTTTAAGTTGAGCCCAATCTGTCTCCCCTATTGCAATACCCCTATTGTAATTATCTTAAACAAAGTTTTCCTTACTTTTCTAACAAGTGTCAATAATTTTTTTCTTAATGCCATATAGTCTTGAGAAAGTTGCAATTGATGGGGCTCAGGACATGCCACCCTGAAATATGGCTACCTGGCATAAGGATTGTTTGGTACTGGTTATTTTGAGAAGCTGCAGACACAGCAGTAGCTCCAAAAAGTTGTCCTTTCAAAAATGTACATCTGTAAAGGAAATGTCCTTTTGTCCTTTTTAAAAAAATTTTTTTTTTTTTTTAGAGATGGGATTTTGCTATGTTGCCCAAGCTGGTCTCAAACTCCTGGGCTCCAGCAGTCCTCCCGCCTTGGCCTCTAAAAGTGTTAGGATTACAAGTGTGAGCCACCATGCAGAGCTAGGAAATGCCCCTCTGTAAAGGTCTCTCCCTCTCTGCACCAGGAACAGAAAGAAAATTAAGTCACTAGAGACTCGTAATAAATAAAGAAGGTGTTGACCTAAGTCTGCATAACAAACCATACATTTGTATAAGGTCTTTTTCTGACCCTCTGGTTTTAACTGGGTTACATCTTTTTTTCTTTGTTTCAGGGAATAATGGTATTTAAGCCTGAAGTCTGAACTACCCACCCCCCCACCTTTTTTTTTTGAGGCAGAGTCTTGCTCTGTCGCCCAGGCTGGAGTGCAGTGGCACGATCTCAGCTCACTGCAACCTCTGCCTGCTGAGCTCAAGCAATTCTTGTGCCTCAACCTCCCAAGTAACTGGGATTACAGGCACACACCATCAAGCCTGCCTAATTTTTGTACTTTTAGTAGAGACGGGGTTTCACCATGTCAGCCAGGCTAGTCTAGAACTCTTGGCCTCAAGTGATTCTCTCGCCTCAGCCTCCCAAAGTGCTGGGATTACAGGTGTGAGCCACCACGCCTGGCCTGAACTACTCTTTTGAGATCTATCCTAGAGATTTACTCATTTCTCTGGATTTTCACCCATATTTACAGAGGGCATACATATTAAACTTCTGTTCATTTTTCTCTTGTTAGTCCGTCCTTTGTTACAGCAGGTCTCAATTAAGAACTCATGAAAAGTAAAGAAAAAATTATTTTTCCTCCTCGGTGTAATCTTGCCTTTAGCCTCAATCATCAGTACCTTCTTTCTCTTTTTTTTTTTTTTTTTTTTTTTTTTTTAAAGAGACAAGATCTCACTATGTTTCCCAGGCTGGTCCCGAACTCCTGTCCTCAAGCAATCCTCCCCACTCAGCTTCCCAAAGTGCTGAGATTACAGGCATGAGCCACCACACCCAGTTAGTACCTTCTTTTCCTTCCTTCCCTCTCCTCTTCCCCTTTTTCCCCTTTCCTTTCCAGCTGGGCTATTCCAGGCTTAGGCTGATCTCTATCAATTATCTTAATTATTGGAGAGATGCAGTTAATTTCTGTCTGGATGTGGCCTCTAGCTTCCTTTGCTGCAGATCCCAAATTCTCTCTTCATGGCCAGCAGAGCAAATGTCTCTGCTACTGTCTTCCACTGAAGGATGAGATAATCATAGCTACTCTCAAGCAACTGGGAGGATTAAAAAGATAATGTATGTAAAACTGCTTTGTATATGGCACAGTATGATATAAATATATGTTTAAAACAAAAGAAAAAGAAAGAGGGCTTAGTGTTGAAATTGTTGAAGTGCTCTGACTAAAGTTCTAAAACAGGAAATTATCCACGCAGACACAGCAGCGGTAGCCTGGTAGGCCAGGGTCAGCTGCTGCAGCTGTGAGCAATTTACCCACATGATTATCTGGTTTCCATCTCCCTCCATTTAAGGCTGCTAAAATAGCTGGATGGCAACTAAGGGAGTTGGGAAAGATAACTTATGTGAGTAAAGAAGTGTGTTCGGGCCCTTTGCAGTGGCTCACACCTGTAATCCTGGCACTTTGGGAGGCCAAGGCTGGAGGATCGCTTGAGCCCAGAAGTTCAAGACCAACCTGGGCAACTTGGCAACAACCCCCGTCTCTATGAAAAATTAAAAAATTAGCCGGGTGTGGTGGTGAGCACTTGTAGTCCTGGCTACTCAGGAGCTGAGGTGGGAGGACTGCTTTAGCCTGGGAGGTCAAGGCTGCAGTGAGCCATGATCATGTCATTGCACTCCAGCCTGGTCAACAGAGCAAAAACCTGTTTCAAAAAAAGAAAAGAGTCCAGGTGCAGTGGCTCATGCCTGTAATCTCAACACTTTGGGAGGCTGAGGTGGGCAGATCACCTGAGGTCGGGAGTTCGAGAGCAGCCTGACCAACATGGAGAAACACTGTCTCTACTAAAAATACAAAATTAGCCGGGTGTGGTGGCTCATGCCTGTAATCCCAGCTACTCAGGAGGCTGAGGCAGGAGAATTGCTTGAACCTGGGAGGCGAAGGTTGTGGTAAGCCAAGATCACACCATTGCACTCCAGCCTGGGCAACAAGAGCGAAACTCCGTCTCAAAAAAAAAAAAGGTATTTATCCCATTTCCCATTTGCAAATGTTACCCAAAAATCTCAAGGTCCCTGGTCATTGTTTGGAGGAAGAGAATATTGTAGATTTCAGAGGTTAATAATCTTTATAGTATAAATATCTGCCAGGCTATGTCGGCTGATTCAGCTGATGCAATAGAACTTGAGAATTTTTTTCTAGTGGGGCCTGCAGTTAGCATCTCATCTTCTTTAGCGGTTAAGAGTGCAGGCTCTGAAGCTAGACTGTCTTGATTTGAATCTTGAATCTACCACTCACTAGCTCTCATCTTCAGCACATTACTTTTTTTTTTTTTTTTTTTTTTTGAGACAGAGTCTTACTCTGTCACAAAGGCTGGAGTGCAGTGGCATGATCTCGGCTCACTGCAACCTCTGCCTCCTTGGTTCCAGCAATTTTCCTGCCTCAGCCTCCCAAGTAGCTGGGACTACCGGCACATGCTACCACACCTGGCTAATTTTTGTATTTTTGGTAGAGACAGAGTTTCACTATGTTGCTTAAGCAGGTCTTGAACTCCTGACCTCAAGTGATCCGTCTGCCTCAGCCTCCCAAAGTGCTGGGATTACAGGCCTGAGCCACAATGCCCAGCCTTCAGCATGTTACTTAACCTCATCTCAAAAATGAGAATGATTATGATACCTAACTGACAGGGAAATACATACGTGAATAGAGTTGTTAGAACAGTGGCTGGGATATAGTAAGAGCTCTATACATTTCACCTATTATTTAGAGTAGATCAGATCATGTACAAGAGCTAGCATTTGAGGGCCATAAGAGGTAGATGCTGTGTTAAAAGCTTTTGCCAAGTGCAATCACTTAATTCTCCCAACAATTCTGTGCAGGAAAGAGTTACCATAGCAGCCCCAATACGGAAGGGCCGGCTTATGGGGCTGGCCCATGGCTAGCACCTGGGAACTTGGCTTTTGGAAGGTTCCCAAGTCACTAACTGATAAGGACCTTGCCCACCTGGTGCACTGAATTGTGTTGTATCGGCCTGCCTAGACTGTACAAACAGTGTGATTTATGGAGAATACTTGCTTTCCTTCTGAGAGTCTGCAATGTTGCTGGTTGTGGCTGGCTGAGCAAGCAGAGTATACCTATGAGAAAAGCCCCCAGTAAGAATCTTTGGCTCTGCACCTCAACATGGGTATTAGGACTCAGAAACAGACACCCCAAAATATAGCACTTTGATATGCTGAACTGAAGAAAAATCTACGATGTCTCCGACCTTCTCCCCGCTTCTGCCCCTCAATCCTCTGTGTCCCCCAAAGCACTGGATAAAGGTCTCTGAAGTTCCTTACCTGCCTAAGTCTGGACCTGCCAAAGAAGAAAACAATTTACCTCTGGTTCCTTCCCTGAGTTTTCATTAACTGAACTCATATGACAGGAAGAAAGACTGAAGTCTGTGGACAAACCTGGTCAGACTTTTGCCAGGTCTGCTCTGCTGACCCAATGGACTTAGTAGCAGGCCCTTGTATATTCTTCAAGCCTACTGAAGCCTCCTAAAAATCAATCACACTTCCTCATCTCCCGTTCCTCTAAGAAGTAGGATAGGTAGCCTCTGTACCCCATTGGAATATTAGGTAATCACTCTGGTTCTCCTGGTGTACACACTAATAAATTGGTTTGCTTTTTCTCCAATTAATCTGTCTTTTGTGAGTTGATTTTTCAGCCAACCTTCTTTTTTTTTTTTTTTTTTTGAGACGGAGTCTCGCTCTGTTGCCCAGGCTGGAGCGGTGGCGCAATCTTCGCTCACTACAAGCTCCGCTTCCCAGGTTCACACCATCATCCTGCCTCAGCCTCCCGAGTAGCTGGGACTGCAAAGCGCCTGCCACCATGCCCGGCTAAGTTTTTTTGTATTTTTAGCAGAGACGGGGTTTCACCGTGTTAGCCAGGATGGTCTCGATCTCCCGACCTTGTGATCCGCCCGCCTTGGCCTCCCAGAATGCTGGGATTACGGGTGTGAGCCACTGTGCCCGGCCGATTTTTCAGCCAACCTTCAGATGGCAAAGGGGATGTTTTCCCTTGGCCCCTCCGAGGGCTCCCCGGTGGAGATATTGCACACGTGTTACTGCATTTCACGGCTAGAGAAGGGAGTCCCTTCAAGAAGGAAGAACATAGGAAACTGTGCCTGGATTTCTCCACACTCCACCCGATGTGCCCTTTTCTCTTGCTGACCCTGCTGTGTATCCTTTCACTGTAATAAATCTTAGCCACGAACACAACTACACGTTGAACCCTTCTAGTACACACTGAACTTGTGGATGTTCATAGGTCTCTGAAAAAACAAACTCTCAAAGGTCTATTATGTAACTCTAATTTTATAGTTTCAAAATCCGAGGAATGGGAAAGTTATAAGATGCAGACGTGGCCACTTAGTAGGTGAAAAAGCCGCATCTAAATCCAGTCTGTCTCCTTCCGAAGACTGTGCTCATTCCATCATGCCAGGCAGCCATACCCAGTCACATCCCAGACCAAGGCAAGCTTCTTTCTAAGACACAACACCTAGTAGCTACAGGGTAGCTCTGGAACTTGAGAAAAATCTGTTAAAGGATTTGAAGACCAGATTTCTTCACTGTAAATCTGCAATAATAATACTAATGCCACAAAATTGCTGTGAGGATTTAATAAGTACAACATACAAAGCATATGTGTGAAGCACACACATATTAAATATACAGTATATTAAGATCTATAAAGTAGCCTAATGCCTTTATAGATGGTACACATCTATAAATTAAAAAGCTAGACAAATATGTATAGATGTGGTCAACATACAGACATTTGTATAAATATGTACATATACATGCATATATATATATCCACATAAATACACATGCATGTTAATTATTCATCTAACAATTTCTGCCTTGAGTAAAGCGCACCAGTCACCATTCATAGATGAAGCTAGTTAGGATTTCACAGGTAAGCCTGATTTTTACACTTACTGGTTTCAAAATAGGGAACCACTTTTATCCAGAAACCTTCTGCTCAAAGCCTAAAGGCTGACTTTCCTTAATGTTTAACCTATGAAATTAATTATTAGCCAGACAATTAAAAGCTTTGCTCAAGACACTAACTGGTACTTACCATGAGCTCTAACATACACAGGTATGGTAGCCATATTTTCATAACTCCAAGTTACAACCTGTGACCTATCAATGAATTACTGTGCTGGGAAACTGAAACTCCCTCAGAAACCCCAGTTGCTATGTAGAATATTCAGTACTCCTACAATCACGGGAAGCATACTTCGGTGGTTAAGATTTATTATCGGCCAGGCACGATGGCTCACGCCTGTAATCCCAGCACTTTGGGAGGCCAAGGTGGGTGGATCACCTGAGGTCAGGAGTTCGAGACCTGCCTGACTGACATGGTGAAACCCTCTGTCTACTAAAAATACAAAAAATTAGCCAAGCATGGTGGCACATGCCTGTAATCCCAGCTACTCGGGAGGCTGAGGCAAGAGAATTGCTTGAACCTGGGAGGTGGAGGTTGCAGTGAGCCAAGATCGCACCATTGCACTCCAGCCTGGGCAACAAGAGCAAAACTCCATCTCAAAAAAAAAAACAAAAAAAAACAAAACAGATTTATTATCAAAAATGCATTTGTTTTATCCTTTACATTGTACCTTTATGGTGTTTCTGTTTATAGCATTACAGAGTTACACTGTAATTGAAGCATAATTACTTATCCCTTGGAAATCATTTAGAAACCATTCACAGCATCCTCTATCTTCTTTCTAAAGCCAAGGATATACAGTGTGGGTCAGTACATCATAGTATAAGAGGCTGGTTTTCTCCTAGAAGTTGGTATCATCTGACTTTTTTTTTTTTGAGATGGAGTCTTGCTGTGTCGCCCAGGCTGGAGTGTAGTGGCGTGATCTTGGCTTACTGCAACCTCCACCTCCAGGGTTCAAGCGATTCTTACTGCCTCAGCCTCCCAAGTAGCTGGGATTACAGGCATCCACCATGACTCCCGGCTAATTTTTGTTTTTATAGTAGAGACGGGGTTTCACAATGTTGGCCAGCTCGCTGAGCCACCATGCCCAGCCTCATCTTACTTTTTCTCTGTAGAGCAAAGATATGAAAGAACCAACTGTAACCCAAACCTACCATTTTTCACTGGGGAAAACCCCAGTCATCCCACCCAACTCCAAGGTCACACTTACTAGCAGTAATATCCATTTGGACATTACTACCTGAGTGGCCTCAGACAAGTGATTTATCCTATTGGTGCCTTCACCTTCTGATTTGTAAAATGGAGATAATAAAAATACTGGCCCTATAGTATTGTACATCTAAACATTTGTTAAGAAGGGAGCTCTCAGGCCAGGCATGGTGGCTTACGCCTGTAATCCCAGTACTTTGGGAGACCGGGGCAGGCGCATCACTTGAGGTCAGAAGTTCAAGACCCACCTGGCCAACATGGTGAAATCCTGTTTCTACTAAAAATACAAAAATCAGCTGAGTGTGGTGGTGCACAGCTACTCGGGAGGCTGAGGCAGGAGAATCCCTTGAACCTGGGAAGTGGAGGTGGCAGTGAGCCGAGATCTGCCCCTGCATGATCAGAGCAGTAACTGTCCCAAAAAAAAAATAATAATAATAAAAGAAGGTAGCTCTCATATTAATGTTCTTATCACAATACATTTTTTAAAAAAAGAATATCTACCTCATAGAGTTTATTTATTAATAAGTTAATAAGGGTAAAAGGATTAGCACAGTGCCTGGCATATAGTATAAAATAAATAAATAAATGAAATAGATAGCACATCTTCTACTGTTCTCTAATTGCTTCTATAACCATCTCATAGTCCTGACAATACTATGAACTGCTTAAGGTCAGGGATCACACCAGCACTGTGCTTCCCTGTCCATCTTCCTTTCCTCAGTGAACTTAAACCAGAGCTAGACATGTTAGGCCACCAACAGACAGCTGTGAGTCCAACTGTGGCAGAACTGCACAGGAGAAAGCAGCCTGGAATACAGTGTCACTCACTCCAAGCAATGCCTCTAGATCCATGGCTTCCAAAATATTTGACTCCAATACACAGTAACAAATAATTTTTAGGTTGTAACTCAATATACACCTGCATATGTCCCTATGTTTTATAGTGTATATCTAAATGAAATAAAAGTACTGTAAAACAATACTTACTCTTTTTTTTTTTTTTTTTTGGGACGAAGTCTTGCTCTGCCACCCAGGTTGGAATGCAGTGGCACAATCTTGGCTCACTGCAACCTCCACCTCCAGGGTTCAAGCGATTCTCTTGCCTCAGCCTCCTGAGTAGCTGAGACTACAGGCACACACCACCACACCCAGCTAATGTTTTGTATTTTTAGTAGAGATGGGGTTTCACCATGTTGGCCAGGCTGGTTTCGAACTCCTGACCTCAGGTGATCCACCAGCCTCAGCCTCCCAAAGTGCTGGGATTACATAAAATCTTAAAATATTACTCTAACTTTCCCTCTGCCTTTCTGTGTAAAAACAGGCCATAAAGAAATTATCTGACCTACGTTGGTTAACTGTAGGTCATAAGACTCCCATTCCAAGCCGGGCATGGTGGCTCACACTTGTAATCCCAGCACTTTGGAAGGCTGAGGCAGATGGATCACCTGAGGTGAAGACTGTAAGACCAGCCTGGCCAACATGGTGAAACCCCATCTCTACTAAAAAATACAAAAATTATCTGGGTGTTGTGGTGCACGTCTGTAATCTCAGCAACTCGGAAGGCTAAGGTAGAAGCATCACCTGAACCTGGGAGGCGGAAGTTGCAGTGAGCCAAGATCATGCTACTGCACTCCAGCCTGGGTGACAAAGAGAGACTCAATCTCAAAAAAACAAAACAAAACAAAACAAAACAAAAAAGACTCCCATTCCAGAAAGGGTCCTGCCCTACACCCAGGAGGAATGAATGCTGCAGAGAGGCCAAAAAGAATCTATACAGACAGGCCTTGTTGGGCTGCTCTACTCAGTCTATTAACTTTAGATCATACCCTTTTTGTCCAATCATATTTCTACATAACTGTCCATACTTTGTTGAACATAAGCATAACAATGGATGATTTTCCCTGTATCTCTGGCTTTTCATTCTGAAGGCTGCCATACATGTTAATAAATTTGTATGCCTTTTCTCCTATTAATCTGCCTCTTGGGCCCGGCATGGTTGTTCACGCCTGTAATCCCAGTTCTTCGGGAGGCCAAGGTGGGTGGATCACTTGAGGCCAGTAGTTAGAGGCCAGCCTGGCCAACATGGCAAATCCCTCCCCTAAAAATACAAAAATTAGTGCACCTGTAATCCCACTGTAATTCCAGCTACTCAGGAGGCTGAGGCATGAGAATCACTTGAACCTGGGAGGCGGAGGTTGCAGTGAGCTGAGATGGTGCCTTTGCAGTCCAGCCTGGGTGACGGAAGGAGACTCTGCCTTAAACAAAACAAAACAAATCTGCCTCTTGTCAGTGATTTTCAGCAAACCTTCAGAGGGCAAAGGGGAAAGTGTTCTCTTGGCCCTTACATGTATAACCTACGCACATCCTTTTGTATACTTCAAATCATCTCTAGATTACTTCCTGAGTAGCCGGGATTACAGACGTGCACCACAACACCCAGCTAATTTTTGTATTTTTTAGTAGAGATGGGGTTTCACCATGTTGGCCAGGCTGGTCTTGAACTCCTCACCTCAGGTGATCCACCCACCTCAGCCTCCCAAAGTGCTGGGATGACAAGTGTGAGCCACCGTGCCGGACTTGGAATGGGAGTCTCATGACCTACAGTTAACCAACGTAGGTCAGATACAATGTAAAATACCCGATACAATGTAAACACTCTGTAAGTAGTTGTTACATTGTACTGTTTAGGGAATAATGATGAAAAAATGTCTGTGTGTGTGTAGTTCAGACACGACTTTTTTCCAAAGATTTTAAATTCATGGTTGGTTAAATACACAGATGCAGAACCCACAGATACAAAGGGCTGACTAAAACACTTCTTAACCAGTAACTTACATTGCATCATTATGATTTGGCCCTAAACGGAAAGTGATACTTTTATGAAGGCTCTTTGGCTTAACTCTTCACTGTGGCAGCTTACATCATGGTTCAGGAAATGTTTATTCTCTAACAACCAACCTTCTGGGAGGCATCCACTTCCCAACTCCATATTATACTTGACTTCATGACTTGCTTTAGCCAGTTAGATACAAAGTTGTGATGTTACATCACATCCAAGCAGCAACTTTTGGAAGCGCTATAAGAACCTGCCTGCCCTCTTTAGCATCTGCAATAATTTATTAAAAACAACACATCACAGACAGTGGATATTCCTTTAGTCTGTGTCCCAGAATGGAAAGGCGTGGAGCACAGACCTGAATTTGACCCCCAACTTGGAGACAAGCTGAACATAAGCAGAGGTGCAGCTGACTTACAGATTCATGAGTGAGAAATAAGTACGTGTTGTTGTAAGACACAAGATTTGGGGCTGGCTGTTTGTTCCTGCAGCAAAAGCTGCCCAATACGCTCACCATGCTGGATGATGCCATGCTCCATAAGCCGGTGGCAAAGCTGCTCTGCCTCTTTCCTCGTGGTGGCCTCACCTTCCTGAACCAGCCAGTCCAGGAATTCAGATGCCATGAAGGTGCGCTCATACTTGACCCCTTCCTCCTCCCTGGGCTGCAGGAGTGTGTTTTCAGGGCTCATCAGCCTGGGAAGAAAAAAAGGGAAAAGAAAAGTAAACCTATACGAAAGGAAAACAGCTCATTTGAAATCATAGATTTCCATGAAGTACTACAGCAAAGTTGTCAGACAGACAGATGCAGCTGTCAGGTGCCACCACACATGTAATTTCTTTTTTCTTTCTTTGAGACAGATTTTCGCTCTTGTTGCCCAGGCTGGAGTGCAATGGCGTGATCTTGGCTCACTGCAACCTCCGCCTCCTGGGTTCAAGCAATTCTTCTACCTTGATCTCCCGAATAGCTGGGATTACAGGCATGTGTCACCACACCCAGCTAATTTTGTATTTTTAGTAGCGACAGGTTTTCTCCATGTTGGTCAGGCTGGTCTTGAACTCCCAACCTCAGGTGATCCACCCGTCTCGGCCTCCCAAAGTGCTGGGATTACAAGCCCAGCCTACCACACATGTAATTTCTAATTGCTTCAGAAGCAAACAAGATGCATTTTCTCCTAGTAATTTCAAAAAAAAAATTGGAAATGCAATCCAAAACTCTACGATTAGCAGACTGTATTCAAGTTAGCAATCTTGAAAAGAGGTTACAATTTCATGTTCTATTCTACCATTCTGAAAAAGCTAGTATTTCTTTCCTAATTGCATTATTTCACTTCTGTGCTAAGAAGACAAGTGCTGTGAACTGAGTGTGTCCTCACTAATTTTTTTTTTTTTTTTTTTTTTTTTTTTTTTTTGAGACGGGCTTTCACTCTTGTTGCCCAGGCTGGAGTGCAATGGTGCGACCTTGGCTCACTGCAACCTCCACCTCCTGGGTTCAAGCGATTCTCCTGCCTTGGCCTCCAGAGTAGCTGGGATTACAGGCACATGCCACTACACCCGGCTAATTTTTGTATTTTTAGTAGAGACGGGGTTTCACCATATTGTCCAGGCTGGTCTCGAACTCCTGACCTCGTGATCCGCCCATCTTGGCCTCCCAAAGTGCCAAGATTACCAGCGTGAGCCACCGTGCCCAGCGGTCCGTGCTAATTACATATGGTGAATCTCTAGTCGCTAATGTGATGACATTTGCAGGTGGCACATTTGGGAGGTAGTTAGGTTACAAGGCTGGAGCCATCGTGGTGGCATTAGTGCCCTTATCAAAACAGACAAAAGGGAGCTTGCTCTCTTTCTCTCTCTCTGCTCTTGCCACGTGAGAACATAGCCAGAAGACAGCCATCTGCAAACCAAGAAGCAGGATCAAACCAAGAAGCAGCCACCTGCAAACCAAGAAGCAGGTGTCACTGGATCTGCTGGCACCTTGATCTTGGACCTCCCAAACAAATGTTTGTTGTTTAAGCTACTCAGCCTATGGTATATTTTGTTACAGTAGCCTGAACTAAGACGACTACATAGGTGACTCTTTTGAAATCCTCCCATACCCACATAGCTTGCTTCTCACACCTGTCTTCCCAGGCATTCCTCAACTCCTCTGGATTCCATTTTCACATCTCCAAAATAGCTCCAACTGGGCCTATAAGTGTTCCCCTATGCATCCATATATGATGCAATGTAACACAAATGTCAGTCCTTATTCTGGTTGACTTTAATACCAGTATATGGGTCCAGGATTGGTAGCTCACACCTGTAGTCCCAGCACCTTGGGAAGCTGAGGCTGGTGGATCACTTGAGGTCAGGGGTTTGAGATTAGCCTGGGCAACATGACAAAACCCCATCTCTATTAAAAATACAAAAAAATTAGCCAGACACATTGGCACATGCCTGTAGTACCAGCTACTCAGGAGGCTGAGGCAGGAGAGTTGCTTGACCCAGAGGCAGAGGTTGCAGTGAGCCGAGTTCACACCACTGCACTCCAGCCTGAGTGACAGAGGGAGACTCCGTCTCAAAAAAAAAAACAAAACAAAACCCAATAGTAGAAGGTACTGACCACTGCCCTTGGCTAGGGGGACATCAATCACACTCTATTGGTTTTCGACCTGCCCTCTGCTCCTACCTCTTACTCAGCCATCCTTGTGTTGGCTTATCTGCATCTCCCTGGACTTTAAAGGCTGGAATTCCTTGAGATTCAGTCCCTACATACCTCTTTTCTCATTCCATAGTCTCTCTAGTGAGCTCCTCCATTTCCTGTCTTCGATTACTATCCACATTCCAGATTCCCAAATTTATATTCCCAGACCAGGCCTATACTCCCAACCCTACAGCTTTGCATCCACATAGATTTCTCAAAGCCATCTCAAAATCAACAAGCCCAAAACTGAGCTCACGTTCTTCCTTCCAAACCCGGTCCTGTGCCAGTCAATGCTTACATTGTCCAGCCAGAAAATGAGGCATTGTCCTTGGCCCCTCTCTCTTCCTCACCCCCTGCCCAGTCATCAGCATGAACTGTGAACTTGAACTCCTAAATCTCTCTCATGTATGTCTAAGCCTTCCCATCTCAGGCACTGCCACTACCTTAGTCTAAAACACCAATACTTTAACCTAGACAACTACAGTGTTTTCTTAATTGACTATACTATGCATCCACTCTTATTCTCAACCCAACCTTGGACCCCTAAGTCTACACATAGCTATTAAATTATCTTTTAAAAATTCAAACCTGATAATGTCCTTCCCCTGTTGAAAATACACTTCAATAGCTTCTCATTGCTTTTAGGATAAAGACCAAAATTCTTCACATAGCCTATAAAGTATGCGTGATCCTGCCCTCTTTCAGTTCCTCAAACATACCATGCCCCATCTACCACAGGCCTTTGAATTTGCCATCCCCATGGCTAGAATGCTCTCCCTCTCTTCTCCCCACCACACCCTCCCATGCCTACTTGACTTCTTGTTTTGCATCTCGGTTATGGTCAGGTCTCAATTAGACCATCTCATTGCTCCCTGTACAGTTTCTGTGATTATCAGATTAAAGACAGGTCAATTATAGGCTCCAAGAAGGTTGAGTCCATGTTTGTCCATAAAACTTTGGGGTTTTTTGTTTTTGTTTTGTTTTGTTTGAGACAGAGTCTTGCTCTGTCACCCAGGCTGGAGTGCAGTGGTGCAATCTCAGCTCACTGCAACCTCCACCTCCCAAGTTCAGGTGATTCTCCTGCCTCAGCCTCCCAAGTAGCTGGAACTACAGGCATGCACCACCATGTCCAGCTACTTTTTTTTTTTTTTTTTTTTTGTATTTTTAGTAGAGATGGGTTTTCACCATGTTGGCCATGCTGGTCTCAAACTCCTGACCTCAAGTGATCTGCTGGCCTTGGCCTCTCAAAGTGCTGGGATTACAGGGGTGAGCTACCACACCTGGCCCATAAAACTTTGTTAAATTAAAAATTGAACCATATAAAATGTCACGGTCATTGTGTCATCTTCCTCTGTAAAATTATTCCTGATGAGTTCCTGTCTTCCATATGAAAGTCTGGCTGTCTCTTTTAAAAACTTTCATTTCCTTTGAAACTAATAATAATATACAATACAAATTGAACTATTTCATTCTAGAGTAGGAAGAAACCTTGGAGATCATTGTAGTCCAAACCCTCTTTATTCACATGAGAAAAATGTAGTTCCCATTCAAATGAGAAAAATGGAACTGCAGCTTTCAGTGTGGTGGGAAGGAAACTTGCTCAAGGTCATGCAAACACTCACTCTATACCTATCAATCATTGCATTTGGAGGTAATTAAGCCCTGTACCTGAATGCCATATGATGTTTATTTTCAATGCTTTTAGACTCAGAGCCCAACCATGCTGTAGAAAGAACACTGGACAAGGAATTCAAAGATTTAAGTTTATCCCAGTGAGTCACTTAGTAGCTTTGAGATGTAAGGCAAGCCACTTTTTTTTTTTTTTTTTGATACGGAGTTTCACTCTTGTTGCCCAGGCTGGAGTGCAATGATGCAATCTCAGCTCACCGCAACCTCTACCTCCCAGGTTCAAGCGATTCTCCTGCCTCAGCCTCCCAAGTAGCTGGGATAACAGGCATGCACCACCACACCTGGCTAATTTTGTGTTTTTCATAGAGACGGGGTTTCTCCATGCTCATCAGGCTGGTCTCGAACTCCCAACCTCAGGTGATCCACCCGCCTCAGCCTCCCAAAGGGCGGGGATTACAGACGTGATCCACTGTGCCCAGCCACTTTTCTTTTATTCAGCCTTGTTTTTCTCAAGAATATAATGGTAGAAAGAACATTTGACTATGCATTCAAAGATTTAAGTTTATCCCAGTGAGTCACTTAATAACTTTGAGATGTAAGGCAAGCCACTTTTCTTTCTTTCTTTCTTTCTTTTTTGAGATGGAGTTTCACTCTTGTCACCCAGGCTGGAGTGCAATGGTGCAATCTCAGTGCAACCTCCGCCTCCCGGATTCAGGCAATTATCCTGCCTTAGCCTCCCAAGTAGCTGGGATTACAGGCACGTGCCACCAAGCCCAGCTAATTTTTGTATTTTTAGTAGAGACGGGGTTTCATCATGTTGGCCAGGCTGGTCTTAAACTCCTGACCTCAGGTGATCCGCCAGCCTCAGCCTTCCAACGTGCTGGGAGCCACTTTTCTTTTATTCGACCTTGTTTTTCTCAAGACTATAATGGTATCCTTACCCAGCTCTTGTGAAAATCATGAGTGTGAATGAAACAACTTTGTAATAAGAAATAATGTACAGTGTACATAAAGTGTTATGCTATGTAAGTAATCATTGTACCTACATTGGGGCAAGATGAATTTCTGCCTTCATAGCTATGAACTGATGAAAATGGAGATTCCTTTAAGGTCCCTTCTCTCTTCCTAGAAGAATGATTAGAGTTCTATTTGAAATCCATGGAAGGGACTCAGGATTAGAAATTAGGTGCCTGGGACCCAAACACAGCTCTGCTACAAACTAGTCATGTACCTTCTCACTGTCTCCCAAACTCATATTAAATGAGGAAGATAATACCTGTTCCACTTCCTTCACTAAATTGTTGTTATCATCAAAAATCTTGGGGGCAAGTGAAGTTCTAAGTATATGAATGTATACTGTTTTTTTGTTTTTTGTTTTTTGTTTTTTTTTTTGAGAGGGAGTCTTGCCCTGTTACCCAGGCTGGAGTGCAGTGGCATGATCTTGGCTCTCTGCAACCTCTGCCTTGCAGCTTCAAGCAATTCTCCTGCCTCAGCCTCCTGAGTTGCTGGGATTACAGGCGTGTGCCACCATGTCTAATTTTTGTATCTTTAGTAGAAATGAGGTTTCACCATGTTGGCTAGGCTGGTCTCGAACTTCTGACCTCGTGATCTGCCCACCTCAGCCTCCCAAAGTGCTGGGATTACGGGTGTGAGCCACTGCGCCTGGCCCATGAATGTACACCCTTATTAAGAGTATAAGAGTATACAAGGTATAAGCATCTAATAGAACTCATTAAAGACCTTCTCATTCAGCATGTAACAGAAGTCATTTAAAAATCTTATTTAGAGGCCAAGCACAGAGGCTCACACCTGTAATCCCAGCATTTTGAGGCCAAGGAGGGTGGATTACTTGAGGTCATGAGTTTAAGACCAGCCTGGCCAACACAGTGAAACCCCATCTCTACTAAAAATACAAAAATTGGTTGGGTGTGGTGGTGCATGCCTGTAATCCCAGCTACTGTGGTGGGAGGCTGAGGCAGGAGAATCACTTGAACCTGGCAGGCAGAGGTTGCAGTGAACCGAGATCGCACCACTGTACTCCAGCCTGGGTGACAGAGCAAGACTCCGTTTCAAAAAAAAAAAAAGATTATTTAGATATTTTCCCAAATCAAACCTCTTCTGCACTTTAATCCATGCTTAGAAATAGCCAACAGGTGGCCGGGCGCAGTGGCTCATGCCTGTAATCCCAGCACTTTGGGAGGCCGAGGCAGGTGGATCACAAGGTCAGGAAATCGAGACCATCCTGGCTAACACGGTGAAACCCTGTCTCTACTAAATTTACAAAAATTAGCTGGGCGTGGTGGTGGGCGCCTGTAGTCCCATCTGCTGAGGAGGCTGAGGCAGGAGAATGGCGTGAGCCCGGGAGGCGGAGCTTGCAGTGAGCCGAGATGGCGCCACTTCCCTCCAGCCTGGGTGACAGAGCGAGATTCTGTCTCAAAAAAAAAAAAAAAAAAAAAAGAAAGAAAGAAAGAAAAAGAAATAGCCAACAGGCAACAGGCTTCTTTCCCAAAGTTAGTAACAGCAGAGTTGGTATAAGCGATATGAATTTTATTTAATATAATAATGGACAACCCCTTCTTAGAAGGTGGTAAGGACAACTGTCACACGTATGTCAACACAAGTGACAGAAACATAAAAACACTCTCTAGGAAACTGTATGCAAAGATGGACACAGTAGTTCCTCATGTGTCTTCCAGTGTGACTTCATTGCTTCTCCCATCCAGATGCTGAGTCCATTTCTATTTCCCTTGAACTTGGGCTAGCTTTGTGACTTGCTCTGACCAACGGGATGCAGTGAAAGTGAGGTTATTCTTCTTCTTTTTCTTTTTTTCTTTGAGATAGAGTCTCGATCTGTCACCCAGGCTGGAGTACGGTGACGTGATCTCGGCTCACTGCAACCTCTGCCTCCCGGGTTCATGCTATTCCCCTGCCTCAGCCTCCTGAGCAGCTGGGATTACAGGTGCATGCCACCACACCTGGCTAATTTTTGTATTTTTAGTAGAGATGGGATTTTACCGTGTTGTTCAGGCTGGTCTCAAACTCCTGACCTCAAGTGATTCACCCTCGGCCTCCCAAAGTGCTGGGATTACAGGTGTGAGCCACCATGCCCGGCCACGTTATGCAACTTCTAAGGTGATAAACTTGGCCTAGCTTTGTGACTGGCTTTGACCAACAGGATGCAATGAAAGTGACATTATGCAACTTCTAAGGTGAGGCTTTAAGAGGCCTTACAACTTCCACCTTTGCCCCTTGGAATGCCCTCCTGAAATCACCATGAAAGGGGGCAGGTCTAGCTTATTAGAGGGGAAGAGGCCACAGGAGGAGGACCAGGTTGTCCAAGCAACAGCAAGCACCAGCTCTCAGACATGTGAATGAGGGCATCCTGGACCTTCCAGCCCAGCTGACCCTTCAGCAAGCAGATGAATGTGCCCACATGAAACCAATAGAGTAACCACCACGCAAACCATGTAATCAGAAGAAATAACACATCATTGTTGTTTTAGACTGCTAAATCTTAGTATGACTTGTTTTGTAGGAATAGATAGCTGGAACACATTTGTATGAATAAGCAGTGGCAAAGATACATGAAACCACACACACTGAGGCATGTTACATAGCTCGGAAAGTCACAACAGAATGATGGATGAACACTGAAGTTCCAGGGAATAAACTGAATAGAATAAAGCCACATGGAATGATGACAAGAATCTAGAAAAGAAAATAGAGGCCGGGAGCAGGGGCTCACGCCTGTAAAATCCCAGCACTTTGGGAGGCCAAGGTGGGCGAATCACTTGAGGTCAGGAGTTCAAGACCATCCTGGCCAACATGGTGAAACCCTGTCTTTACTAAAAATACAAAAATTAGCCGGGCATGGTGGCGCGTGCCTATAATTCCAGCTACATGGGAGGCTGAGGCAGGAGCATCGCTTGAACCCAGGAGGCGGAGGTTGCAGTGAGCCAAGATTGCACCATTGCACTCCAGCCTGGGCGACAGAGCAAGACTCTGTCTGAAAAAAAAAAAAGAAAGAAAGAAAGAAAAAAAAAATAGAAGGACCCATGTGCATGCCCAGGCAAGAAATACCACCATTCCTTCATTTCTTTTGACCCTCAAATAAGCTGTCTTGGAGGACAAAATGGAAGAAAAACTAGCGTCCTCAGTTTTCTGGTTTTAGATATCACTTTCTCTAAGAAATCTGCAATTCCTACAAATCTGGACCATGTACCATTTCTAAGGTCCCTCTCGAAGCCTAGGGGAATTACTTGCTCACTTGATTAGAAGCTTTTTGAGACCAGAGTCCCTGTCTATGTGGTTCACAGTTTTTTCCTAGCACAGTAGGTTTTCAAAAAGCTAAGTGAATAAATTAAATTTAATTATATGCATTCTCCTGCTATACATCATTATCCAAGTATATACTAAAAACAACCCCAAGCTGGGTGCAGTTGCTCACTCCCACCTGCAATCCCAGCACTTTGGGAGGCTAAGGCAGGAAGATCCCTTGAGCCCAGGAGTTCAAAGTTGCAGTGAGCTATGATTGTGCCACTGCACTCCAGCCTGGATGACACAGCAAGACCCTGTCTCTGGCCAGGGACAGTGAATCATGCCTGTAATCCCAGCACTTTGGGAGGCCAAGGCAGGTAGATCACCTGAGATCAGGAGTTCAAGATCAGCCTGACCAACAGGGTGAAACCCCGTCTCTACTAAAAACACAAAAAAATTAGCTGGGTGTGGTGGTGGGTGCCTATAATCCCAGCTGCTTGGGAGGCTGAGGCAGGAGAATCACTTGAACCCAGGAGGCAGACGTTACAGTGAGCTGAGATTGTGACATTGCACTTCAGCCTGGGTGACAGAATGAGACTTCATCTAAAAAAAAAAAAACAAAAAAAAAAAACAAAAAACCCTGTCTCTTAAAAAAAAAAAAAAAAAAGGAGACCTGTGTGGAGATAATCAAGAGACTTTGGCACTATTGATAGTCTCCATTTAAGACACAGACACAGACTCCTGGCCTTTATCCCTGGTTCTGACCACTCTGTCCCTTCCAGTTCAGTGAATTTCCTTTCAGGGAATGGGGAGGGCCAGTGGATGGGGTTAACTTGTGTCATTTCTTGTAACTAGAAACATGACCTGCCAGCCCTCTAGAGCTCCTACTAAGTATCTGGTGGCCTCTGGACAAGTGACTGGTTAGCTGCTTCTGCCAGTGTGAGCTTTAGGACTGAGGCCAGCTGGCATGCCTGCCTGGATTGGATCAACTTGCCATTTACAACATGCTCCACCAGCCTTAGCGCTTCCTTATTTCACTTCCCCTTATAATCAACTAATGTCCCCATCCAGGTTCTTATTTTGAAGACCACGCCTTTCGTGGGATTTTATTTTAGGATTAATATGTAGTCGCAATGTTAAAGCAAGAGTTTGACTTACTACTTGTTGCAATTATTTTTGCCATATGACAAGCTACTCCCAAACTTGGTGGCTTAAAATAACCATCATTTAATTATATGTTAGTATTGTATGCATTGTCTGGGGTTCACCTGGGCAGCTCCTCTATGACTCTAGCTTGGGATCACTCACAATTACATGCAGATGATGGCCAGAAGTGGATCGTTGGCTCTGCGGTACCCCTCAAAATAGCCTCTCTCCAGTAAGGAAGTCTGGACCTGGTGATGCGGGGCTCAAGAAAGAGGAAGCAGATGCTGCCAAGATGAGTTCTTCTCCTTCTCTTCTCCCGCACCCTCCCCTTCCTTCTTCTTCCAGCTTTACTCAGAGATAATTCACATACCATACAATTAACCTATTTAACACGTACAATTCAGTGGTTTTTAATATATACCTCATGCCTTATATAAAAATTATGTCAGCAGGGTGCAGTGGCTCACACCTGTAATCCCAGCACTTTGGGAGGCCAAGGTGGGTGGATCACCTGAGGTCAAGAGTTCGAGACCAACCTGACCAACATGGAGAAACCCCGTCTCTACCCAAAATACAAAATTAGCTGGGCGTGGTGGCACATGCCTGTAATCCCAGCTACTTGGGAGGCTGAGGCAGGAGAATCGCTTGAACTCAGGAGGGAGAGGTTGCGGTGAGCCAAGATCACACCATTGCACTCCAGCCTGGGCAATAACAGCGAAACTTTGACTCAAAAAAAAAAAGAAAGGAAAAAAATTATGTCAAAATGGATTATGGAACTAAACATTAAGAGCTAAAATTATAAAACTCCTATGTTTGAAAGAAAACGTAAGTAGCAAGTTTCCATAGGCTTGGATTAGGCATGTTTTCTTAGATAGGAGGCCAAAAGCACAAGCAACATAACAGAGAAATAGACAAATTGGACTATTTCAAAATTAAAAACTTTTGTGCTACAAACAATACCATCAAGAACAGAATGGGAGAAAATATTTGCAAAGACTATGTCTAATAACAGATTTGCATCCAGAACATAATAACTCTTAAAATTCAATCATAGAGGCCGGGTGCAGTGGCTCATGCCTGTAATCCCAGCACTTTGGGAGGCCGAGGTGGTTAGATCACCTCAGGTTGGAAGTTCAAGACCATCCTGGCCAACATGGCAAATCCCTGTCTCTACTAAAAATACAAAATTAGCCAAGTGTGGTGGCGGGCACCTGTAATCCCAGCTACTCAAGAGGCTGAGGCAGGAGAATCGCTTGAACCCAGGAGACGGAGGTTCCAGTGAGCCAAGATTGTGCCACTGCACTCCAGTCTGGGCAACAGAGCAAGACTGTCTCAAAACACACACACACACACACACACACACACACCAATATTTGCCTGCTGCAAGCACTCACCAGGTTTTGCTTGTGCATGTGAGCTGATTTCCACCTTTCCTGGATCTATATCTGACTCAGATTTCCCAGACCCGTATTAACCTAGAGGGAAGGCAGCACTACAATAGAAGGAACTACTACATTTAGGGGCCAGTACAAGAATAGAAATAAGCTGATAGCGATCTCCTTGTACACTGGGAAAAAAAATTCAAAAGAGCTGAGGAGGCCCTGTGTAACCTGGGAATAGATGTGAATGATGTACAGGAGCAAAAGCCAGGGAGGGAGACAAAATGGCCTGTGGGGCTTAGGTCAAAAAGATGCTTCAGAATTTAGAAAGAGAGCTTTAAAAAACAAGTCATGTGTTAATATGATCAATTATTTTTAAAAGCAAAACAGACTGGGCATGCTGGCTCACACCTTAATCCCAGCAGTTTGGGAGGCCAAGGTGGGAGGATTACTTGAGCCCAGGAATTCAAGACCAACCTGGGCAATATGGCAAAACCCCATCTCAACAAAAAATACCAAAAGATTAGTTGGGTGTAGTGGCACATGCCTGTAGTCTTAGCTGCTCAGGAGGCTGAGGTGGGAGGATCACTTGAGCCCAGGAGTTTGAGGCTGCAGTGAGCTGTGATTGCACCACTGTGCTCCAGTCTGGATGACAGAGTGAGACCCTGTCTCCAAAAAAAAAAAAAAAGTTAATTATTCATTCACCCAAATATTAAAACCATTACCTTGGCCAGGCATGGTGGCTCACGCCTGTAATCACAGCACTTTGGGAGGCCAAGGCGGGTGGATCACCTGAGGTCAGGATCTTGAGACCAGCCTGGCCAACATGTTGAAACCCCATCTCTACTAAAAATACAAAAAATTAGCCGGGCGTGGTGGTGGGCACCTGTAATCTCAGATACTCGGGAGGTTGAGGCAGGAGAATTGCTTGAACTGGGGAGGTGGAGGTTGCAGTGAGCCAAGATCGTGCCACTGAACTCCAGCCTGGGTGACAGAGTGAGAATCTGTCTTAAGAAAAAAAAAAAAAAAAAAGAAGCTATCTGACCTATCTTGTTTGACTGTAGGTCATAAGACCCCCATTCCAGAGAGGGTCTTACCCCACACTCAGAAGGAATGCATGCTCAGAAAGGCCAAGAAGAATCTAGATAGACGGGCTTTACTGGGTTTCCCCACTGAGTCTATTAACCGTAGATCATACCCTTTTTGTCCAATCATATTTCTTTCTTTCTTTTTTTTTTTTTTTGAGACAGAGTCTTGCTCTGTCACCCAGGCTGGAGTGCAGTGGCACAATCTTGGCTTACTGCAACCTCCACCTCCTGGATTCAAGTGATTAAGTGATTCTCATGCCTCAGCCTCCCAAGTAGCTAGGATTATAGGCGTGTGCCACCATGCCCAGCTAATTTTTGTATTTTCAGTAGAGACGGGGTTTCACCATGTTGGCCAGGCTGTTCTCAAACTCCTGACCTCAAGTGATCTGCCTGCCTTGGCCTCCCAAAGTACTGGGATTACAGGCGTGAGCCACCACGCCCAGCCTCCAGTCATATTTCTACACAACTGTTCATAATTTCTTGAACCCTAGCATAAAAATGGACAATTTCCCCTGTATCTTTGGGTCTTCATTTTAAAGGTTCCTATGTCACATAAAACTATCCATAAATATATATGCCTTTTCTCCCTTGGCCCCAACAGCAAGAAAGGGAAAGTTTTCCCTTGGCCTTGACAGCAAGAAAGTATTAATTAGGGAGAAATGCTCACATGAGCATTGATATTTTTAAGTACTATGCTATTGTCTATAGAGCACATGTTACATAGCTAAATTGATATAATTTTCATAATAATTTGGTTTGGAACTAATAAACAGCTGCTCAGTTAATATTTATGAGTAAAACTACTGCATACTGGAAAAGGTGAGGAACAAGGGAAGAAACAGTACTTTATAGTCTGACAACGAGGATCTTCTACCCTCCTTCACCAGCCTGCATATCAGACACTGAATAGAACATACTCAATCTCACCTTGGTTCCTTACTCATGGTGTTCCCTCACTTCTTCCCATTTTCACTTCCCTGAAGAAATTGAAACTACACGTCCTTTGCAGGGACATGGATGAAGCTGGAAGCCATCATCCCCAGCAAACTAACACAGGAACAGAAAACCAAACCCACATGTTCTCACTCATCAGTGGGAACTGAACAATGAGAACACATGGACACGGCCCGGGGGGAACAACACATACTGGGGCCAGTAGCAGTGGGAGGGCACGGTGCATGCAGGGCTTAATACCTAGGTGCCAGCAAACCACCATGGCACACTATTACCTATGTAACAAACCTGCACGTTCTGCACATGTATCTTGGAACTTTAGGGGCTCCTTGTACAGTAATACAGGTTGTTCACTGTACAAGGGAACCTAGGTTCAGGGGCTGAAATCCAACTCCAGGCCTTCATGACCAGTCCTGTGTCCTGTGTGGAGGTGAGGGGCTGCACCAGCATGACGGAAAGAGCAGAAGGTGCCTGGCTGTCATTCATATAAAGTGTCAATGGAGATAGTGGGACTATTTTAAATGGACAGATTAAGCCCTAAGGTCTCTGTGAACATATCCCAACTAAGGAGCAATCCATACAGGTCTTGCCCTCTCTTTGAATTTCCTCTCTTTTTTTTTCTTTTAAAGAAATTCTTTGACTTCCTCTTTTTTTTTGAGACAGAGTTTCACTCTGTCGCCCAGGTTGGAGGGCAGTGTTGTGGATCTCAGCTCACTGCAACCTCTACCTCCTGGGTTCAAGCAATTCTCTTGCCTCGGTCTCCCCAGTAGCTGGGATTACAGGCGTGTGCCTCCATGCCCAGCTAATTTTTGTATTTTTAGTAGACAGGGTTTTGCCATGTTGCCCAGGCTTGTCTTGAACTCCTGACTCAGGTAATCCACCCATCTCATCCTCTCAAAGTGCTGGAATTACAGCGTGAGCCACCACACTCAGCTTGAATTTCCTCTCAATTTTTACGTACTATTTTTATCCCTCCAGTGAAACTAGAACTTTCTGAAGAACAGGCACCATGTCTTAAATGTTTTTATTTCTTAGAAAACTGAGCCCAGGGAGGAGGTATACATTAGGTGCTCAACAAATATCTTCTAATCAACTGACTAAAAACTAAGTGAATACCATAAGCAACAGTAATGGAGGGTGTTATTTGTTTTTGGAAATAAAATCCCTTCCTCTTTGCTTGCTATTTCAAATTAGCTGAAAGAAAGATGAGAACTTTTTAGTGTTGGTTTTACACTCTGAAGAGACTGATATTCTGGAAAGTTGTAATTTTCACATTCCCCATGGGTTTTAGTGTTGCCTTCAACAGCCATTTTCAGAATCTGAATCAGCTTTAGATAGAAGCCAAGTGTGGATTCTCAGGCCATGGCCATCCTAAAAGGCCACATTCAACTATGGTTTCATCACCACAAAATTATATAAGAAGGAGAGAAACCAAGTGCTTGTACCCTCAATTCAAAACAATTCAAACCTCGGTGAGCCTTTTCAAACAAATGTCAAGGGAAGCTGGGTTCTAAAACCTATTATAAAGGCTCATTTGACAGGAATGGTTATTATTTATTCTGAATGCTTTCATAATTATTAGAAAATAGAAGAAATTGATACCAAAACAGAGAAAGAAAGGAGGAGTAAATAAAGATACTTAGGAGAGGTAAGATGAAGTGATGAAGGAAAACTGATGACAATCTGGGAAAATTGATGTGTGTGTGTGTGTGTGTGTGTTTGTGTGTGTGTATATTAGATAGTGTCTAACCCCGTCAGTGGTGTGACCACACCTCACTGCAGCCTTGACTTTCCAGGCTCAAGCAATCCTACCACCTTGGCCTCCCAAAGTGCTGGAGTTATAGGTGTGAGCCACTTCACCATGCCAAATATATTTAAAAGATATAAGAAACATGGCAGGGTGCTGTCGCTCATGCCTGTAATCCCAGCACTTTGGGAGGCCGAGGTGGGCAGATCTCTTGAGGCCAGGAGTTGGAGACCAGCCTGGCAAACATGGTAAAACCCCATCTCTACTAAAAATACAAAAATAATTAGCTGGGCATAGTGGTGCACGCCTGTAATCCCAGCTACTCGGGAGGTTGAGGCAGGAGAATTGCTTGAACGGGAGGCGGAGATTGCAATGAGCCGAGATTGCACCACTGCACTCCAGCCTGGGTGACAGAGAGAGATTCCATCTCAAAAAAGAAAAGAAAAAGAAGAAAAGAAAAGATTAGCAAGGTGTGGTGATGCACACCTGTAATCTCAGCTACTCAGGAGGCTGAGGCAAGAGAATTGCTTGAACCTGGGAGGTGAAGGCTGCAGTGAGCTGAGATCGCACCACTGCAGTCCAGCCTGGGCAACAGAGCAAGACTTCGTCTCAAAAAAAATTAAATTAAATTAAATTTAAATTTAAAAAAAGAAACAATGATAAAATATTGAACACAATGATCAGTAGGAACTGCCTTTCTACATAATAACAGGTTAGGTGATAGCAGGGCTTCTCTGTCCCTCATATTTGTGGAAGCAGTATAAAAAGACAAGAGAAGCAGTCTCCGCTTTCATTATTCAACCAAGGTGTTTTATATTATTATCTAAACACAAATTTTAAATCACTACTTTGGTATATCTATGGTCAACTGATTTCAACAAGGGTGCCAAGGCCATATAACGAGGAAAGGGTCGTCCTTTCGACAGATGGTGCAGGGACAGTTAGATAGTCACATGCAAAATACAGAAGTTGGATCCTTAACCTCATACTACACAGAAAAAATAAGCCTAAATAGATTTAAAAGCTAAATGTAAAAGCTAAAACTACCCTTCTTCTGGGATTACAGTCTGGTCGCAGTGATTCGCATCTGTAATCCCAGCACTTTAGGAGGCTGAGGTGGGTGGATCACCTGAGGTCAGGAGTTCAAGACCAGCCGGGCCAACATAGTGAAACCCTGTCTCTACTAAAAATACAAAAATTAGCTGGGCATGGTGGCGTGCACCTGTAATCCCAGCTACTCAGGAGGCTGAGGCAGGAGAATTGCTTGAACCCGGGAGGTGGAGGTTGCAGTCAGCCAAGATCACGCCACTGCACTCCAGCCAGGGTGACAAAGTAAGACTCTGTCTCAAAATAAAAACAAAAATAAAAACGGGCAAATGATCTGAATAAACTAAAGGAAATATAAAAATTAGCCAATAATTACATAGAAAGATTTGCATCAGGGAACTGCAAATAAAAACTATAATGACATAACATTTCATATCCGCTAGTTGGATAGAAACAAGACAGAGAACAAGTTTTGACAGTGATATAAACTAGAAGCCTCATACACTGTTGGTGGGAATTTGAAATGGTGCAGGCACTTCAGAAAATAGTCTCACAGTTCTTCAAATCGTTGAACACAGAGTTACTGTATGATCCCGCCATTCTACTTCTAGGTATGTGCCCAAGAGAAATGAAAACATATATCCACAGAAAACCTTGCATATGAATGTTCATAACGATATTATTTATAAAGGCCAAAGAGTAAATACAATCCACATGTCCATCAACTGATGAAACTGAAAATGTGGTGTATGCATACAAGGAATTAGTTGGCTATAAACAGAAGTGAAGTACTGAAACAAGCTACAACATGGAGAAATCTTGAAAATATTATACCAAGTGAAAGAAGACAGTCACAAAAGGCCATACATTGTATTATTCCATTGATATAAAATTATCAAAATACAGAAATGTGGTCGGGCATGGTGGCTCATGCCTGTAATCCCAGCACTTTGGGAGGCCAAGGCGGGTGGATCACCTGAGGTCAGGAGTTTGAGACTGCCTGGGCAACATGGTGAAACCCTGTCTCTACTAAAGTTACAAAATTAGCTGTGTGTGGTGGCGCATGTCTGTAATCCCAGCTATTTGGGAGGCTGGGGCAGGAGAATTGCTTGAACCTGGGAGGTGGAGGTTGCAGTGAACTGAGATCACGCCATTGCACTCCAGCCTGGGCAACAAGAGTGAAACTCCGTCTCAAAAAAAAATAAATAAAAATTAAAATTAAAAAAATAGAGAAATGTATAGAGACAGAAAGTAGATTAATGTTTGCTTAGGGATGAGGGGGTAGATGAAGGCATAGGGGAGTGATAGCTATGGGGTAAGGGGTTTCTTTTTGAAGTGATGAAAATGCTCTGAAATTGACTGTCGTAATGGTTGCATACATCTGTGATTATACTATAAACAAAGTTTTTAAAAAGTATAAAATTAACTTATATGCTTTAAATAGGCGAATTGTATGGTATGTGAATTATGTCTTCATAAAGCTGTTAAAAATCAGTATTTAGTACTTTCATTTGTTCATTCATTTAATAAATATATTTTTTAATTCTTATTTTTATTTTAGTTTTTATTTATTTATTTTATTTTTTGAGACAGAGTCTCACTCTGCCACCCAGACTGGAGTGCAGTGGCACGATCTTGGCTCACTGCAGCCTCCATCTCCTGGGTTCAAGAGATTTTCCTGCCTCAGCCTCCCAAGGAGCGGGATTACAGGCACCTGCCATGATGCCTAGACCATTTAAATATCTATTGAGCATCATCTGTCTCCCAGGATATGCATAAATGAAAAGACGTGGCCCTTACTCTTAAGTTGCCTACTATCAGATGGGGAAGCAAATGTTAAAAAACCTATGTGCAAGACAGATAAATGCTGTAACAGAGGTACAGGTACATACAAGATGAAGGGGAAGCAAGAGAATGAAATACTTAAGTGTCAGAGGGCACTTTCAAGTTCCAAGTTAAGAAGAAATGGAAGTTGGTCCTTCGAGATGGTGAGAGGACACAGGATCAAGGAGCAAGTACAAATGCATGGTGCAAATGAGAGGTCAGGACAAATCATGTGGTACTGGGCAGGGAGAGGATGGGGGAGGGCAGGAGAGCAAAGCACAGGGAGCTAAGCATGGGCAGCAGGTAAAGATTAGGTCAGAAATGCTTCATTGCCTATAGGTGATAGCCATGGAAAAATTCTGAGCTCAAGAGTGTCAATCAGGATAAAGATGACAGCATAATGATCCTTTTGTACTGTGATTATCCATCACCTTTTCACTTTCATTATGGCAACAGTGCTTTCAGTTCAGCAAGTGTCTCAGGCACATACTGGATACGCCGCCCTGTGCTAGTCACTGGGAATATAAAGATAAGGCAAAATTTCCACTTTGGAAGATCAGGAGGAAGCAAAGTAAACAAACCTCTTGAAAGCTGGGAACTGCTCTTATATATAATGATTTCACCCACTGGCTAGAAACCAGAAGGGGTTCATCAGAGCCAAAGCATCAGTGACTAACTTCAGTCTAGGGTCGATGGGAAAAAGAAACAGCAAGCAGGAGCCACTGGTGTGCAGGCAGATGCTTGGTGACTCTCAACCATCTCAGCATGGACTAGGAGAAAGGAATGGCTTGCAAAAGCAGAATATGATTGAAAGGGAAAACTTCACAGTTCTTTCTGAATACATCTGTCCTAGCACAGGAAGGAAATATAATGAGTACAAAACAGTACTCCAGAGCCACACAAAAGGTGTTGGGATGATCTGGTCAATTACCTTGTCCCCCTTTCTTGCCTATGAACATCCATGGCTCCGGAGAGGTAGCGGCAGGAGGGAAGCCATCCTAGGACTTCTAAACTGCAGTTGGGTGCTATGATCCTGAGCTGCTTCTTGTACATAATGAGGACAATAATACTTACCTTAACAGAATCATTGTGAAAATTAGAGCTAATCTGTTTAAAGCATCTAGCATATTGCCTAGCATAAAGTAGCATGAACAAGTGATATACAAGGTTCATACACACACGCCCCTCAGAGCTGACCCTTGCAGAGGCTGGATGACAGTCTGAACTGGCCAGAATAACAAATTCCAGGCATCTGGAGAGGGTGAGGGAAGAAGGGCAGCATCAGGTGGCAGGTGAAACAGAGAAAAGCCAAGAAGTTAAGTTACTTAAAAGAATGTTTTATATTCTAGAAGAAACTAACACCAATGCAAAAGTTAATTTTGTTTAGCATATTAAACCTTGGTAGAACACAGAGAACTTTTTTTTTTATTTTATTTTTTGAGACAAAGTTTCGCTCTTGTTGCCCAGGCTGGAGTGCAATGGTACAATCTCGGCTCACCGCAACCTCCACCTCCCAGGTTCAAGTGATCCTCCTGCCTCAACCTCCCGAGTAGCTGGGATTACAGGCATGTGCCACCACACCCGGCTAACTTTGTATTTTTAGTAGACATGGGGTTTCAGCATGTTGGTCAGGTTGAACTCCTGATCTCCAGTGATCTACCACCTTGGCCTCCCAAAGTACTGGGATTACAGGCATGAGCCACTGCACCCGGCCTCAGAGAACATTAAAAAAAAAAAAAAACCAAACACTATTTGGGTGGTGGTTCCACAGGTATGTTCAGTTTGTGAAAATGAATTGAGCTGCACACTTATGATATGTTCAGTTTATGGAGATTACATTTCAATAAATTTAACTTTATCATTAAAATTTAATTACAAATTTAACTTTAATAAAGTTAAAAATGTTATTCAGATTTTCTTTCTTTCTGGACTGAAACACTCTTTTGTTAGGGGGTCTGAAATTATTAAATGTTTTTTGTCAATTTGGTGCCTTTTTCCATTTGGTGGAACAATGCCTTTGTTTTCCCTCCGAAGCTCTGTGTGAAGGGACTGCAATTAAGCGGGGATGTTTTCATTTAGCAAACAAAGCAAGAAAAACAATACAGCAACTACACCCCTTGGAATCATCTCTGCGCTTAACAACAAAGCGCCCGACCAACCGAGGGAGCCTTGGTTTGCGTGGACAAAGCCTTTCATCATGGAAGAATATCCTCCTCCTTTAAAACCTCCCAGCCATGCCTTCCACTGGTATCACTCTTCAAATATCCACTTTTACTTCAATACGTGCCTCTTCTCTCAGAAGGCCCCAACCCCGTTGCTGCTCTGTCTGTGTCTTAGAACGTTTAGCACAGCCTAACGCTGACCCGTGTGCCTTCATCCATTGGCTCTAGAATCTCCACACTTAAAAATAAACAAGAGGGATTTCCTCTAGGAAGGGCTCTGAGTTTTAGTCTCTCTTCCAGATGGAATCAACTGACCCTCTGTGGCAGCTAGGGTTCTTGGATTCAAAACATGCTGAACATGGCATTCAATTTCTATAGGTTCACTGCAAGGAATTTAACTTTTTTATTTTTAATGCAGAATTGTGGGAAAGTGAAGAGCCTATGCCATGAGCAACTGTTGGCCAGAATCACTCTTTAGCAAATGGAGTATTGAAAGCATCTACTTAGCCCATCTCAAATTAACCTTCCTTATTTGTAAATTGGTGATGAAAATATTTTCTTCTTAGAGGTGTAGGAAGGATTAAATGAACTAATATGTAAAAAATACTTAGGAAGGTGCCTAGAACATAGAAATCCTCAGTAAATGATGGCTAAGATTATTATTCTTATCTTCTGAATTTTTATGATCAGAACCCACAACCAATAAACACAAATAGAGTGACCTAGAATAATCAATATCTTCTACTAGTTTTACTGAAATTTCAACATTCTTCAGGTTAGGAAAAGGAGGAAGGGACTGCCTATTGATTTCTTTCCTAATTAAGAATTACCATGCATTCATCTATCTATTCATCTCTTCAACAAACATTTATGGGGCATATGCTATGTATGTATACCAAAGTTGTGTGAGGCCTCAAGGTGCATGACCTCAGAGAGCTTATAGTTCAGCTGGAGAGACTGACACATCAAGACTCAATCACCCTGTTGAGATGGCTGCTGTGCTGGGACCCAAGGTGATACAGAAGCAGAGAGGAAGGGTGTCAAAATAATTCATTATAGGCTGGGCGCAGTGGCTCACGCCTGTAATCCCAGCACTTTGGGAGGCTGAGGTGGGCAGATCATGAGGTCAAGAGATTGAGACCATCCTGGCCAACATGGTTAAACCCTGTCTCTACTAAAAATACAAAAAATTAGCTGGGCTTGGTGGTGCGCACCTGTAGTCCCAGCTACTCAGGAGGCTGAGGCAGGAGAATTGCTTAAACCCAGGAGGCGGAGGTTGCAGTAAGCCAAGATTGTGCCATTGCACTCCAGCCTGGTGAAACAGCAAGACTCTGTCTCAAAAAAAAAAAAAAAAGAAAAGAAAGAATTACCATGCAATCATTTATCCATTCATGTCTTCAACGAACATTTATGGGGCATATGCTATGTACGTATACCAAAGTTGTGTGAGGCCTCAAGGTACATGACCTCAGAGAGCTTATAGTCAAGCTGGACAGACTGAAATATCAAGACTCAATCACCCTGTTGAGATGGCTGCTGTGCTGGAACCCAAGGTGATACAGAAGCAAAGAGGAAGGATGTCAAAATAATTCATTATAATCCAGCCATATTCCATGCTCTTACAACAGTGGCCACTAAGTGTATCACGTGCCAACTTCAACCATCACATCATGCATAGTACACAATCAGAAGAAAACAAAACAAAACAAAAAGAGCAAGTGGCTTTTCCATTTATAGAGTGTGGATAATTCTGCCTGCCTGTCCACTCAAGGAGATGGGAGATGAACTCGTCTCACTTTCCAAGTGGATTTCACAGGCTCCCAGCCAGAAATAACAAGGCTATGCAAATGGGTTAATAAAAAAGACAATTTAGGCCCAGAGCGGTGGCTAACGCCTGTAATCCCAGCACTTTGGGAGGCCGAGGTGGGCAGATCACGAGGTCAGGAGACCGAGACCATCCTGGCTAACACGGTGAAACCCTGTCTCTCCTAAAAAAAATACAAAAAATTATCCGGGCATGGTGGCGGGCGCCTGTAGTCCCAGCTACTCGGGAGGCTGAGGCAGGAGAATGGCGTGAACCCGGGAGGCGGAGCTTGCAGTGAGCCAAGATTGAGCCACTGCACTCCAGCCTGGGCAACAAAACGAGACTCCGTCTCAAAAAATAATAATAATAATAAAATAAAAATTAAAAAGACAGTTTATAATAAAGGAACTACCAAAGCTATGGGTAGGGTTAAGGGAAATTATAAAGGACGGTGAAGCTCCTGGTCTGACAGAACGGGGTGGGGTGGTCATTAACAACTTTAGGCCTCAGGATTGTAGAGAGAGACCAGTTTCCAGAGCCCAAAGGGGACAGATGTTAACGGGAGGGCTGCATGACAGTAACCGTGACTGATGTGGTTTGGCTCTGCGTCCCCACCCAAACTCACCTCGAATTGTAATCCTCATAATCCCCACATGTCGAGGGAGGGACCTGGGTGGGAGGTGACTGGATCATGGGGGCAGTTTCCCCCATGCTGTTCTCGTGATAGTGAGTGAGTTCTCACGAGATCTGATGGTTATATAAGTGTTTGAGAGTTCCTCCTACTATCTCTCTCACCCTCACCTGCTGTCATGTAAGATGTGCCTGCTTCCCCTTCTGCCATGATTGTGTTTCCTGAGACCTCCCCAGTCATGCAGAACTGTGAGTCAATTAAACCTCTTTTCTTTATAAATTACCCAATCTCTGGCAGTTCGTTACAGCGGTGTGAGAATGGACTAATACAGTGGCCTTCAATGGCAGGGAGGAAGCAGGGGAATAAATACGCTCACCCCAATCTCCTTCCTTCCACCTACTTCCTACTAGTGCCTCCCACTGACTGAGCTGAACCAGAAGCCAAAGGGCAATGGACTCCGGTGAAACCGTCCATGTAAGTCAGCCTCTTGGGGACACAGCAGGTTGGAAAAGGATAGAGAATGGATCTGGAAGGACAAACAGAAATGTCCCACATACAAGCTGAATATCTCACCATGCTGAATACAATTCTAGTATAGGAAGGCATGTGTTTTTTATGCAGCTTGGGTAGCACAAGGATACTTTAGACTACATGCATTGCATTTTTCCTTGTTTATTAGAAACCTAGCATATCCTGCATTAGATGAAACTCCACTGGATTTTATCATGTCCTCACAATATGCCTGTGAAGTATGCATTTTCTTCCCATTTTCCCATGAAAAAACAGAGACTCAGAAAAGCTGAATGTCTTGCTAATAAGGGGCAGGATAAGAACTCTGACATGTCCTTCTTCAACTCCAGAAAACTTAAATGATTTCTGCATTCTATCAAGTTGAAAAATTACTACAGAGATGGATTAGCAAAATCAGTGTTACAGAAACTTGGTTCATAGCCCTGACATTACATAGGATTAGGAAAACTTGGCGGAAGTAGCCAGCACAGTCAATCTCCACCATCAATGAGTCCAGTCTACCATTCAAATAGCAATATATTTACCTTTAAATCAAGTCACGGCCGGACGCGGTGGCTCACGCCTGTAATCCCAGCACTTTGGGAAGCCAGGGTGGGCAGATCGCCTGAGGTCAGGAGATCGTGACCAGCCTGGACAACACTGCGAAACCCCGTCTCTACTAAAAATACAAAAATTAGCCAGGCGTGGTGGCACACACCTGTAGTCCCAACTACTCACAAGGTTGAGACAGGAGAATTGCTCGAACTCACCAGGAGGTGGAGATTGCAGTGAGCCAAGATCATGCCACCATACTTCAGCCTGGGTGGCAGAATGAGACTCCGTCTCAAAAAATCAATCAATAAATCAATAAAAAATAAATCAAGTCACTTCTACATACTAAGCCAGAGCTAGAAATCTGCAGATGACAATCTAGGGCTGATGGCTTCTGGCAAGCACAGCTGGCCGGCTGCCTGTTTTGCATGTTAACAAATTGCCATATATGTTACAGCAGGGGGAGGGGGGCATTACAAAGAAACGGTAAGAAGGATGTGATTTCCAAAACTAGACCCAAAAAGTTGGCATGAGCCAAGTGACAGACACTTTTTCCCCCACTCATTTAAAAATTGATTAAGCTGCATACCGTTTATCTTTATTTAGTGGGTTCATTACTGTTGCTGCCTGGGACTGAAGGAAAAAGTTAAGATCATGGGTCCTAGAGCTGGAAACCAGGGTTTGAAGATGCTCTCCCACACTTTCCAGCTGTGTGAATTTAGGCAAGTTAGCTAAACTCTCTAGACTCAATTTCCCTATTTTCCAAAGGGAGAATAACCATATTTATCTTCTTGGTTTAGAACGAAGCTTTTAGAAGATACTTGTAAAGTTCTTGGTATACAATAAGCATCAGTAAGGGCTACTCGCCCTGGGTTTGCTGCCTTCATCATTATCAACATCTCCAGGCTTACTCTGCTATCTCTTCAACTCCTCTGATCAAAAACATCTGGCCCCAACTGTTTAGATATCATTTTGGCTTTCTCTTGCTTGCCAGTACACTGATAAGATAAGCCTGTATGTTCCCCACTCCCTGCCTTTTTGTGTGTTTTAAAATATTGATTTACTTTATTTTTTATTGTGGTAAAATATACACAACATAAAATTTACCATTCTAACCTTTTTTTTTTTTTTTTTTTTTTTTGAGATGGAGATTTGCTCTTGTTGCCCAGGCTGGAGTGCAATGGTGCGATCTCTGCTCACTGCAATCTCTGCCTCCCAGGTTCAAGTGATTCTCTCGCCTCAGCCTCCCAAGAAACTGGGATTACAAGCATATGCCACCATGCCTGGCTAATTTTTTGTATTTAGTAGAGATGGGGTTTCACCATGTTGGTCAGGCTGGTCTTGAATTCCTGACCTCAGGTGATCCACCCACCTCAGCCTCCCAAAGTGCTGGGATTACAGGCATCTGCCACCACGCCCAGCCCCATTTTAACCATTTTTAAGTTCAGTAGCACGAAGTACACTCATAGCAGTGTACAACCATCAGCACCATCCCTCTCCACAACTTTTTCATCTTCCTAAACTGTACCTTTAAACCCATTAAACAATGACTCCCTATTCCCCCCTTTCCCCTGCTCCTAGCAACCACCATTCTACTTTCCATCTCTATGAATTAACTGTTCTAGGTGCCTCACACAAGTAAGATCATATAATATTTATCCCTTTTGTGATGAGCTCATTCCACCTAGCATAATGTCTTCAAGGTCCATCTCTGTTGTGAAGCATGTGTCAGAATAATTTTTCTTTTTTTTAAAATTATTATTCTTTTTTTAATTTGAGACGGAGTTTCACTCGTCACCCACGCTGGAGTGCAATGGCGCGATTTCGGCTCACTGCAACCTCCCGGGTTCAAGTGATTGTCCTGCCTCAGCCTCCTGAGTAGCTGAGATTACAGGCACCCACCACCACGCTCGACTAATTTTTGTATTTTCAGTAGAGACGAGGTTTTGCCAAGTTGGCCAGGCTGGTCTCAAACTCCTGACCTCAGGTTATCCACCCACCTTGGCCTCCCAAAGTGCTGGGATGACAGGCGTGAGCCACTGTGCCCGGCCATATTTTTCCTTTTTAAGGCTGAATAATATTCCATTATATGTGGCTATCACATTTTGTTTATTCATTCATCAGTGAACACTTGGGTTACTTCCACTTTTTGGCTATTCTGTATAATGCTGTTTAGAAATATGGGTGTGCCAATATCTCTTCAAGATCCTGCTTTTCTACTTTTGGGTACATACCCAAAAGTAGGATTGCTGGATCATGGTAATTACATGTTTTTTTTGCTTGGTTTTGTTTTGTTTGAGATGGAGTTTCACTCTTGTTGCCCAGGCTGGAGTGTAATGGTGCCATCTTGGCTCACTGCAACCTCCACCTCCTGCGTTCAAGCGATTCTCCTGCCTCAGCCTCCCAAGTAGCTGGGATTACAGGCATGCACCACCAAGCTTGGATAATTTTGAATTTTTAGTAGGGACAGAGTTTCTCCATGTTGGTCAGGCTGGTCTCGAACTCCCAACCTCAGGTGATCTGCCTGCCTCGGCCTCCCAAAGTGCTGGGATTACAGGTGTGAGCCACTGCGCCTGGCCTGGTAATTACATGTTTACTTTTTTAAGACACTTCTATACCATTTGTCATAACTGCTGCACCATCTTACATTCCCACCAGCAATGCACAAGGGTTCTAATTTCCCCACTTACTCACCAACACAAATTTTGTTTGTTTGTTTGTTTAAAATAATAGCCACACTGGCCGGGTGTGGTGGCTCACACCTGTAGTTCCAGCACTTTGGGAGGCTGAGTCAGGCGGATCACTTGAGGTCAGGATTTCAAGATCAACCTGGCCAACATGGCAAAACCCCACCTCTACTAAAACCGGGCATGATGGCACATGCTTATACTCCCAGCTATTCGGGAGGCTGAGGCAAGAGAATCACTTGAACCCGGGAGGTGGAGTTTGCAGTGAGCCGAGATCGCACCAATGCACTCCAGCCTGGGTGACAGAATAAGACTCTGGCTCAAAAACGAAAAAAGCCATACTAATAGATGTGAAGAGGTTGCCTCCCACCACTTGTTTTCCAATAGCTCTGTGTTCACACATGCATTTTACCACCAGTCCCTTGGTATAACCAAATATGTAGACACTGACTAGTTGTTCTACTCTGAGGAAAGAGGACTGAGCTCAGCTACCTGGATGAAACTAGACATGAGGCTGCCTCCTGAGACGGCCCTTCCCCGGCAGACCAAGCTTGCCGCTACAGAAGATGAGCGAGCCAACAAAGTTAGGTGACCTAGGGCTGGTTATTTGCAACATGCAAGCACACTCTTTGACATACTTTAAATGACACTTATAATTTATGAGACATTGTTTACATAGAGAAATTATACAGTATAAACTTTTTGTTGAAATTTAGAGTTATAAAACACTGAGTTTGCTTTATGTAGTCTCTTCAGTCCCCAAGACCCCTGATGGGCAAATTACAAAGCATCTGAATAACCTGTCAGGCTAGACAACTTTGCATGGCTTCCTATAAAGAAATTAGAGAAACACAGAGAGAGAGAGAGAGAGAGAGAGAGAGAGCAAGAAGGAACACAATGAAAAGAAAGAAAGAGAAAGAAAGAGAGAAAGAGAAAGAGAGAGAGAGGGGAAGGCAGAGAGGGAGAAACGGGGAGGGAGGGAGGGAGGAAGGAAGGAAAGAAGGAAGGCAGGCAGGCAGGCTGGGTGTGGTGGCTCACACCTGTAATCCCAACAATTTGGGAGGCCGAGGCAGGCAGATCACTTGAGGCCAGAACTCTGAGACCAACCTGGCCAACCTGGCAAAACGCTCTCTACTGAAAATAAACCATTAGCCAGGTGTGGTAATGCACACCTGTAATCCCAGCTTCTGGGGTGGCTGAGGCAAGACAATCACTTGAACCCAGGAGGCAGAGATTGCAACCAGCCAAGATTGTGCCACTGTACTCCAGCCCGGGCAACAGAGCAAGATTCTGTCTCAATTAAAAAAAAATTGAAAAAAGAAAGATACAGATTTCAGGAGCATCTAACAAACATGTATTTCTAGGTGAAAAATTTCCCATGGCTCTAAGCTGCACATGAACAATAAAACCACTTAAATTTTGTTCTAAAGTTATTAAATACCCTGTGGGAAGAGATGATGGCCCTTTAAAATTAGCATAGGCTTAAAACTTTTAAAACTAACTTCTTTTCTGAAATCTTTCATATAATCCATTTTCAAATTTCATGTTTATGACATTTACTTATAAAAGTTAAACAGAGAAACCTATAAGGTAGTCTTGATTACACAAAAAATAAAGAAATAAGAGGATTGGTGAGGATAATTACAGTTACTCCAATGATCAGCTACGGAATCCAATTTACTTGTACATTTTGCGGTAGTTGTTAGAAGATAACTCTTTATGGGTCTCTCAGATTTCTTTATGTCTTATAAGCAGAAGCACTGACAGCTTTTGTTCCAGACTAGCTTTTCAAGAATTTTTGTAAAGTGAACAGACCTAAGAGATAAAGGTAGTATTTCTTTCTGGAGCAACAGGGCAGATTTGTTTTCTGCCAGCATAATGAAGATAACATCTTCCTTATCTCAGACAGAGGGCAAGTTTTCTTGAAGACCATTATAAAATATTCAGGTTCCTGAAGCTTAGGGTTCCTCTGCTGTCACACAGCCCACTGCATGTGCAGGTATCACTTGCCCCTCACTGTGCTGTTCTGTGAGAACTATGGCTTGGGAATTGATTCATTAAAATTGATGATACTCTGGCTGTTGCTCTTCCTGAGAGTAATGAGCTGTCTTTGTCCAGAGGTCTTCTGTTTTCTGCCAGTATCCACAAAATGGTGGCAGCAAACTTGTGAGCTTGCAAGTAGGGTAAAAATCTCAGACTCCTAACAGTTCTTGACATTAGTTACATAGTGTAAACATCTCTGGTCACACAAACAGAAAGTTACAAAAGGTAACAACTTTAACCCACTCACATTGCAATCTTAGGACATTGTTCAAATAAACCAAGAAGGCCGGGAACATTCATTCTAAAATTATATGTAACCACTAGGGCAGCACAAGTAAACTGTGAAAGTGCATATCTATGCATATATTAGAAAATATGTATATGTTTTGAGACAGTCTTGCTCTGTCACCCAGGCTGGAGTGCAGTGGTGCAATCATGGGTCACTGCAACTCTGCCTCCCGGGTTCAAGCGATTCTCCTGCCTCAGCCTCCCAAGTAGCTGGGACTACAGGCACCCATCACCACGCCTGGCTAATTTTGGTATTTTTAGTAGAGACTGGGTTTCACCATATTGGTCAGGCTAGTCTTGAATTCCTGACCTCGTGATCCGCCTGCCTCGGCCTCCCAAAGTGCTGGGATTATAGGCGTGAGCCCGGCCAGAAAATATTTTTATTACAGTTTGCAATTTGTAAAACTCAGGATCTCAGTTTAAGAAACATTTCTTTTTAAAAAATTACTTTATTTATTTATATTATTATTTTTTAGACAGAGTCTCACTCTGTCACCCAGGCTGGAGTGCAGTGGTGTGATCTCAGCTCACTGCAACCTCCGCCTCCCAGGTTCAAGCAATTCTCCCACCCCAGCCTCCCAAGTAGCTGGGACTACAGGTGCCCACCACCATGCCCAGCTAATTTTTGTAGTTTTAGTAGAGATGGGGTTTCACCAGGTTGGCCAGGCTGGTCTCAAACTCCTGATGTAAAGTGATCTACCCACCTTGGCCTCCCAAAGTGCTGGGATAACAGGTGTGGGCCACTACGCTTGGCCTTATTGTAAAATTAATAGAAACAGTCTCACTATGCTGCCCAGGCTGGTCACCTGAAAAACACCTCTATACTGGAAATAGAACAAGATGGAGACAAAAGCTTGAAGACTTTTTTTGTTTGTTTTTCACTCCAGTTCCTTACCTAGGGTCTATCTCAGTCATTAAACCTCTCTCCACAGCTCATGTCCCCCATTTTTATAATGGGAATAATTATGCCTGCTGGATATAACTCACAGAGTTGTACAGAGGATCAAACAAATTAATGTATATGATGGTTTGTGGGCTCTAAAGAGGCCAGACAAGGTGAATTCTGGCTATTGTTGCTTGTTATTAAAAGCAAGCTCTGTGTAGCTCATGGTACAGGCTCAGCAGCTTATAGCGATCACAACATGTAGAGCCCTTTGTTCATTCAACAAATATTTATTGTCCCAGGCACTGGGAGAGAACAGGAGAAAGATCCTAACACACAGGGTAGAGAAACTTCTGATAAGATAAAACACGCAGAAGGGCTTTGCCTCTTTGGATGTACTCTCTCCCTTTTATTTCTCTTTGGTCCTGTGGAAAAGAAATTGAAGGAAGCAGTAGGAATTCAATAGACATCTAATGGCATACGGGCTTGTTAAGCCAATTCTTCATCAGGTCTAAACTCCTAAGCAGGATAAAGAGACTAATAGTAGCTGGAGATAGAAACTCCTGCTGCTGAGAAAATCAAGGCCCTTTGGATAAAAAAAAAAAAAAAAAAAACAACTAGACTAATGTGTCTATGAACCAGATTAAGAGGGGATTTAGTTCCATATCAAAACTGAGGTTGAATTAAAATTAAGAAGTCTCTTCTAAGTTTGAAGATAAAATCGAAGTTAGTTTAAAATATACATTTCAACTACTGGGTTTAGTGAGGAAAAACCAAATTGTACCTCAAACACACACTCACTTTTATAGCTGATTTTATTTGTTACTATACAGAGGACTTGATAATCCTGAATTCAACTTTTTTCTTTTCTTTTCTTTTCTTTTTTTTTTTTTGAGATGGAGTCTTGCTCTGCTGCCCAGGCTAGAGTGCAGTGGTGCGATCTTGGCTCACTGCAACCTCCGCCTCCTGGGTTCAAGCAATTTTTCTGTCTCAGCCTCCTGAGTAGCTGGGATTACAGGTGCATGCCACCACGCCTGGCTAATTTTTGTATTTTTAGTAGAGACAGGGTTTCACCCTGTTGGCCAGGCTGGTCTTGAACTCCTGACCTGAAGGGATCTGCCCGCCTCGGCCTCCCAAAGTGCTGGGTTTACAGGTGTGAGCCACCGTGTCTGGCCAGCTTTTTTCTTAAATAAATCTATTTTGCCAATCAAGTTTTGCAGTGGGGAACATGCACTCAAAACCCTTTCTACCATCTTAAGGCCGCGGATAGAGATTCAACATTGTTCTTTTAAGTTATGAGTACTATCCTGCTTATAAAGGTTTCCTTTGAGAAGTAAAAATTGTACTGTTTGGGAAAATGTGACTTATGTTCATGTGTTGAGTGTCTTGGGTACTTGTGCCCATGCAAAATTAAGTGGAGAGCTGTAAGCCCCTCCCGAAGAGACAAAATGCTATGCCTTATTCTTTGCACCCTCAGTCCATTTGCTGGCCATAATGAAGACTCAGCAGAGCTTAGAGCTTGTTGATGAAAGTGTATTGTGCCCTGAATGTACTTAGATGAATTCCTCAAAATGACAACATCAGGGCATCAATCCATAAGCACACACTCTTTCTCATACTCCCCCACAGCTGGCAGCAGGAGGTGAGCAATAGCATACACTCATATCTGATGCGGGCCCTGTCCTGTGTGCATACTCATTAGTCCATTTTACTCCCACAACAAGTCTATGAGGTCAGGATGGTCAGTATCTCCATTTACTAGATAGGCAAATGGAGACAGAGAGAGAGAAAGCCACATGCCCCAAGGCATGGAGCCAAGATTCACACCCAGGTAGCTGGGCTCCTGGGCTGTTATCTGCTATGCAAAGCTGCATCTTAAAATAATTTGAGAAAACAAGAATAGGTGTCACGTATTTATATTATTATTTACTACTCTAATAACAACAGCTAACATTTCCTAGGCTCTCAGTCCATGTCAAGCAGTGTGCTCAGCACTGTACAGATGGATCTCGGTCAGTCCTCCCAACAGCCTTTTCCAGCAGTGGGTCCCAGCCTTATCTCCACGGTAGACTGCAGATCACAGAGATTTAGTCAGCCTGCTGAAGGGCACAAAGCAAGCAAGTTGTGAAGCTGGGATGGAAGACCCAGGCTGTGTGACTCCAGAGCCTACAGCCATTGCCACTCACTGTGCAGGACGATCCATGCCTCCAGTTCCTCTAAAGCTTTCCTCACTCACACTGGGGCAACTTGAAAGGGCCAGCTTCTTGCTTCTTCATTAGTGTTTGTTCCAGCATGTCTCAAGTAAGGTAACTAGAGTGACATACATACTAAGAGCCAGCAGAGTTACTGAAATTGTAGTTTTGAGACCTGGGTTTATCCTACCAACGAGCAGACTGAGAAACACCACTATGGGTTAGAAAGCCAGGGTACCCAGGCCGGGCGCAGTGGCTCACGCCTATAATCCCAACACTTTGGGAGTCCGAGGCGGACAGATCACTTGAGGCCAGGAGTTTGAGATCAGCCTGGCCAACAAGTTAAAACCCCATCTCTATTAAAAATACAAAAAATTAGCCAGGTATGGTGGCACACGCCTGTAGTCCCAGCTACTTGGGAGGCGGAGGCATGAGAATCGCTTGAACCTAGGAGGTGAAGGTTGTAGTGAGCCGAGATCATGCCACTGCACTTCAGCCTGGGTGATAGAGTGAGACTCTTATAAATAAAAATAAAAATAAAAAAGAAAGCCAGGGTTCCCAAAAATCAACATGGTTCAGCAAAACCTCAGTCAGAAACCACAAAGTTTCACAAAGTCCTATTTATAACACAGAACAAACAAGCAAGAAAAGAGCCAAAAAGAAATACTGACAATACGCCCACCCCCTCAGAGCTGCTGAGACAGCAGCAGCCCCAACACCTGCCACCCCAGGTTCATGTCTCACCCTGTCCCTCGCAAACTGTGTCAACATCACATATAAATTACTTAAATGCATTGGATCCCAGATGCTCCCTCTGAAAATGGGCCAGTAAAGTAATGCTCCATCTATTTTAAAAAGAAGCTTAGGTAAAATAATCTAAAGGAAGTGCATTAAGAAGCTTAACTTACAAATAATAAACATTGTGTGTGTGTGTGTGTGTGTGTGTGTGTGTGTGTGTGTGTGTGTGTCTTGCTCTGTCTCAAAGAAAGGGGGCTTGAACTTCCCAGGTTCAAGCGATTCTCCTGCCTCTCAGCCTCCCAAGTAGCTGGGATTACAGGTGCCAGCCACCACGCCCAGCTAATTTTTATATTTTTAGTAGAGATAGGGTTTCGCCATGTTGGCCAGACTGGTCTCGAACTCCTGCCCTCTGGTGATCTGCCCACCTCAGCCTCCCAAGGTGCTGGGATTACAGGCATGAGCCACCACATATTACTTGAGCCACCTTCACAATTAACTGGAAGCCACAGGAGTCAGTGATTTAGGGAAAGGGGTGAGAGCGGCATGAGTCCTCTAGGCAGAGGGAACAGCACATGCAGAAGTATATCAGATTGCCACTTCCCCACTCCCTCCTCTCCAACGGCCTCCCATTACATTTAAAATCACCAGTTCTTACTGTGGTTTTAAGGGCCTTATTATGAACTGGCCCTGTCTCATCTCCTGCTACTCTCCTCTTTACTTCTGCCCTCTGGACACTCTGGTCTCATTACTGCCCTTAAATATGTCCAGCACATTCCCATCTCAAAGCCTTTATCCTTACCGTTCCCTTTGCCTGGGATGTTCTTCCACCAGATATCTGCAAGGCTTCCTTTATTCAAATGTTGTCTCTTCAAAAACGTCTTCCCCGATGCCCCTATTTAAAGTACCCCACCACCCTCAGTAAGTCTATTTTTCTTTCTTGCACCGACGACACCTGTATTATACTCTGTCACATCTTCATGTGTCTGTGCCTTTAATGTCTGCCTCTTCAACTGAAGTGCAAGCTCATGAAGGCAGGGGCTTTGCTACAGGCATTTCTGGTGTCTTTAGCTGTGCCTAGCATGTGGAAAGGGCTCAATCTATATTTGTTGAATAATTAATGCATTAATGCATCTCCTGAAGGGAAAGAAGATGCTCAGAGATACACAGTGCTGTGTGACTGGCCCATAGGATGGAAGGGAGATCCAACAGAACATGAGGCTGGAGTAAGTCTGCTTTCTAGAAGATGTGAGCAACTTTAACTCTTCTTACTGTCTTGCCATCATAACTATCCCATTAAGCAATAACAGTTCTCTGCCAGACATTTTCAATTATAGCTGATCCCTGCCCCACAGTGTGGTTATGCAGATCCCAAGAGATAAGCTGTAGCTAGAGAAGAGTGTTATAGGTGCAGTAGCTCATGGCTGTAGTCCCAGTGCTTTGAGAGGCCAAGGCAAGAGGATCACTTGAGGACCAGAGTTTGATATCAGCCTGAACAACATAATGAGATCCTGTCTCTACAAAAAGTTAAAAAAAAAATAGCTGGACATGGTAGCATAAGTCTGTACTCCCAGCTACTTGGGAGGCTGAGGCAGGAGGATCACTTGAGCCCAGAAATTGAAGGTTACAGTGAGCTATGATAATGCCACTGCACTCCAGCCTGGGAGACAGAGCAAGCTCCTGTCTTTATAAAATAATAATAATAATAATAATAATAATAATAATAATCTTTTTTAATTAAAAAAAAAGGAAAAGCGTTTACAGAATCCACTGGCCTTCATCCTTGGAGATGACATGCATGTTTTGGCCAACATAGAATCATTGTTTGAAAGGAACATCATTGTAATTGAAATACCTAACACCTGCTAGAATTTTACAAAAGGAACTAAGAAATTAAAAGAAAGTAGCAACAAAACAAATGCACATGTTCAAGTAAACAAATGGAGGTTCTGATGGATCCCTTCCATTCAAATTCATGTGAGTCAGAAAGATGAGAGAGTTTCTCCATTTCAGTATAGAAAGCAAGTGATAGTAGACTGAGTACAAATTAGGACATCAAATGGTGATCATTCCACCTCAAGAAACGGAGACAAGAACTGGGACAGAGCGCATAACACAGGAAGGACACAGTCGAGGGTGGCCGTCAGTACTGTGCTCGTATTTGGAATGGCTATCATCTGTGAGGTCTTACTACACACCAGAGACCCTGAGCTAAATACTTAAGCACTTGACACAGCTATCGTTTAACTCCCACAACAGCACTAGGAGGTAGGTTCTATTGCTGCTGTCATGTCACTAATGAGGACACTGAGCTTTACAAAGGTAAGGTGACAGGGCTACACTTCAAACTCTGTCTGGCTTTTAACCATCATGCCAATTAATCTGACCACTCAGACACCCACCCAGACCCTTACCCCCAACCACTGTACAACAGGCTCTTTTATGTGACAAATATGTTTTGTTTTTTTTTAGTTTTGAGATGATGTCTCACTCTGTCACCCAGGTTGGAGTGCAGTAACGTGATCCCGGCTCACTGCAGCCTCTGCCTCCTGGTTTCAAGCGATTCTCGTACCCAGCCTACCAAGTAGCTGGGATGACAGGCACTCACCACCATGGTGGGCTAATTTTTGTATTTTTAGTGGAGACGGGCTTTCACCATGTTGGCCAGGCTGGTTTCCAACCCCTGACCTCAAGTGATCCACCCACCTCGGCCTCCCAAAGTGCTAGGATTACAGGCATAAGCCACCGTGCCTGGCCGATAAATACGTATTTTTCAATTCCCTCAAGTCTTGTAAGGCAGCCAGGGTTACAAAGCACGTGCCATTGCTTCTGCACCCCTTTTTCTAATGGTTGCCCTGGAAAACTAAATGAGGAAGGCAGAATGGTAAAGAGGCCACAGAAGTAGCAGATCAACCCAGAGATGGCCACTCAGAAGATTCGAGACCCACCAACCAAAAACTCCTGTGCTACACTATACTTATCTCTTGAAAGGGCTGAAACTTGTTCCTCATAGACATCCAGCTATCTGAAGTTCTCTCACTACTCATCTCCTGGCCTGACCAATTCCCCTGCTCTCGATGCTGCTTCTCCAGTCACTTACAAGCCTGAAACTCCAATTTACAAAACAACAGTATTTAAAAGAAAAAAGGGGGCCAAGCACGGTGGCTCACACCTGCAATGACAGCACTTTGGGAGGCCGAAGTTGGTAGATCACCTGAGGTCAGGAGTTTGAGAAAAGCCTGGCCAACATGGTGAAACCCTGTCTCTACTACAAATACATAAATTAGCCAGGTGTGGTGGCTCATGCCTGTAGTCCCAGCTACTCAGGAGGCTGAGGCACGAGAATCACTTGAACCCAGAAGACGGAGGTTGCAGTGAGCCGAGATCATGCCACTGCACTCCAGCCTGGGCAAGAGTGAGACTCAGTGCCAAAAAATAAAAAATAAAAATAAGAGAGGAAAGGGGCATCCACATCATTTGATGGTAAACAAAAATTCTGGAGCTTTGTAGAATCAACTTAAATACAGAAAATAAGATTTAAGTAAATTCTTTATTAAGAACCTTATGAAATTGACTTATTTTCTGGCAAAGAGACAGCAAATGCTTGATAGTTTTCTCATATGGAAAAGAACAGTTATGTAACCAGCCCACATAGAAAAGCCACGCTGAAATCAACATAATGAGACTGGCACAGTTCTGCTTCTTTCTATAAGTCAAGATTACAGGGGGGATTTCATGCGGAACATACTTTTCATATAGCCTCTGTCCTCTCATAAAGGCCTTCACTTCATTATCCAATGGGAAGGTGCCGTCATCCTTTCTAAAGCGGTAGAAGAGTTTGACATCCTTGAATTCCTTATGCTCATCACACACTGAAACACAATATGCACAGAGAAGCAAATGAGAAAAAAAATCGCTCTTATTTAATTACTCAAGCGAAGTATGATGCTAATTAAGAATTATTTCACTATCACATTCTTCATGCATGCAAATATGTACCATATGAGCTAATACTTGTAAAATAGTTACATAGTACTTGGTACAGAGTAAGTCCTCAGTATTTTTAGCTATTATTATCACCATCACCATCACCATAGTCATCATCATCATCATCATCATCATCATATTTAGGAAGTTCACACAATTCAATTCATCATGCAATCCACAAATTCTTCTAAAGCATATTGGGGCATGCATCAGCCTCAAAGAATGTGAAATCTAGTGAGGTAAGGAGAAATGTCAACTGTAATTGAAATATGGTGTGATAAGGCTACAGAGGTAAGGAGAGAGTGCAATGGGAGCCCAAAGGAAGAGTACCCAGTGCCCCAGGAACACAGTGACACAGCTTTTGAAAAAGAAAGCTTCCCTGAAGAGTTTTCATGTAAGTGGAGACCTGAAGAATGAATCGAAATTGGGCAAAAAATGAGGCGAAAGGGTATTCCAAGAGAACGATGGCATGTGCAAAGGTCGAGGCCAGGATGAGAGATTTCAAGAAGACATGTTGGTGAATCTTCATTGAACCCACTGAGAGTAACAGCAAAAACTTGGAAACCATGTAAATGCCCACTGAAAAATGTATAGTGGCATAATTATACATATGTATTATACAACAGCAAAAATAACAAATAAGACATATACTATCAATGTGGATGAAGCTCACAGTGTGTTGATCAAGTTGCAAAAGCATAAATATGCACTTCTATAATGATAGAAAACTTTTAAAACAATATGATGCATTCCTTAAAGATGTATATACAGACAGGTATAAAGCAGTACATAGAAATAACCCAAATGCCAGCTGGACACAGTGGCTCACGCCTGTAATCCCAGCACTTTGGGGGGCTGAGGCGGGCAGATCACCCAAAGTCAGGAGTTCGAGACCAGCCTGACCAACAGGGTGAAACCCGGTCTCTACTAAAAATACAAAAAAAAAAAAAAAAAAAGAAAGAACCCAAATGCCTCTTAGAGGCAGGAAGAAAATGCAATCAGGGAGAGGTACACTGGAGATAAAATAAAGCAAAATGTTTTCTTTCTTAAGTGGGTATGTTCATGAAAAGATCTAGTCCTTCCATTTCTCTCAAGTCACCTTGACTCGCCACCGCACTCACCATGGTGAATAATGCCCCGGTCTGCTAATTTCTGCATGAGTTTAATTGCCGTCTCTCTGTCAGAAGCCTCTTTGTGTTCAATCAGCCAGTCAATCAGTTCTTTTGCGACAAAACAGTTTGGGTAGGTCTTGAGATGATGACGTCTATCTTTAATAACCTTTTCTTCGTGCAGCCTGAGCCTGAAAGAAAAATTAGCAATTACTTTGGAAATTCTGATGACAGCACAAATTATTAAACCAATCCCAGACAGTAATAACATAACAGAAGTTCTAAAGGCATGAAGGTGTCATTGAATATCTTTAGCTCGCTTGGTGATTTCCATACTGTCAGAGTTCAAAGGCTCCAGAAAGTGACTCCAGCCTCTGATCTAGATGACAGAGGTAAATATGAGGGTGAAACAATCACAGCCAACCCAGAACCCTCCTGCCACTCCTGAGAGTGAGAAAAGCTCTCCATCCCCTACTCTGCCTCACTCCCTGCTTTTTCTCTCTCCAGTGGGGTTATTGTTTCAACCAGCAAACAAAAACCCTAGAAATGCACTGAAACAAAGTGCACCCTCTTTATCACAAATTGTTCAGGGCCCACCCTACTTGTAGTCATTCATTCATATAAAAAATATTAATGAATGTCTACTACCTGCCTGTTAGGTACTTCTAGGCACTACAGACATACATCAGGGTGTGGTGGCTCATATCTGTAATCCCAGCACTTTGGGATGCTGAGGCAGGAGGATCACTTGAGGTCAGGAGTTTGAGACCACACTGGCCAACAGTGAAAACCCATCTCTACTAAAAATACAAAAATTAGCCAGGTGTGGTAGCAGGTGCCTGTAATCCCAGCTACTCAAGAGGCTGAGGCAGGAGAATCGCTTGAACCTGGGAGGTGGAGGTTGCAGTGAGCTGAGATCGTGCCATTGCACTCCAGCCTAGGCAACGAGAGTGAAACTCCGTCTTAAAATATATATAATATATATATTTATATATATATAATATATATGTATATATATATGTATATATGTGTCTTGAGCTACTACTAGCCAATCTTGCCATCATAAAGGAAGAATCTGCCTAGAAAGAAATACAACACAGAGCAAAGTGGACCAGATAGATAGAGATAAAGGGATAGAGACAAAAGAGAGAGACAGAGAGATTACAAACAACTCTATTTGAGCACCTGAATTCAACAGTTCATGAAGCCACCTAACCTGGGTTTAAATTACATGAATCGATACATTCCCTGTGCTTTAGTGAGTTTATTCAGGTATCTGTTACTAATACCAATATTGTCCCAATACACCCTCGAGCTGAATGCTAGCTTGTGGCTCCATGGCACGGAATGTTGCCACAGTGGTGCCTTCAGAGACCACGTAAACGGCCAGAGCTCTGTACTCTGCACCCAGTGGTTCCAGAACTTCATAGGGTCTGTTTCTCATTCTCCTATCTCCTTTCCCTGTCCTGCTGTGATATGCATATGTTGTCCTTGTTCCTAAACTCAAGCAGTTCCCCTAATCTGCTGTTTCTCTTCTGCCATGGTCTGCTAAGTAGTCAGTATTTAGGATTTAAAATATTTTGAGCAAAAGCCTGATATGAACATCTACGAAGAAAGAAAATGAGCATTTTGGGCATGGAATTTATGACATCTATTTTGGTCACTCAAAGGCTATCTTATGTGCTTTATTACTGCTCTTTGGCTGAGTGCTAAATAATTGGGAATGAATGTTAATGATGCTTATTTACTGTACAATGTTCTACCATCTGCAAATATTTATTATCTAAAACTTAAGAGTCAAGTCATACTATAGGATTGGCTAAGGAAAGGACATAGCAATGAATCCACTAGTAACAGAGATGAGGATATCAGTGATATCAGGAAAATACTAAAGGAGAGGTATCCAGTAGACCCAGAAAACATTCTCATAAGATGGTGGTGATAGAGTAGGGCTGCCAGGTTTAGTAAGGAAAAACCAGACAGGAAACCCAGTTAAATTTGAATTTCAGATAAACAGCAAACCATTGTGTAGTAAAAGCTTGACCCAAATATTGCATGGGACCTACTTATACTTTAAAAAAACAATTTATTATACTGTATCTATAATTCAAATTTTAGAGGGCACTCTGCATTTTCTGACAACCTTATGGGGGATATATTTTATTAACCTTGAAGGTTAGTACATTAGGATTAATGTTTTATGCTAAAAAAGAAAGGAAACTACACTGATGCCAGAAGACACTTTGAGTCCTTAGGGCTTCCTCTTCTAGGGAAAGCTAGTTGTGTGATTTTTTTAGAGCACCTGAATCATCATGTTTATCTGAGTATTCCAGAAGATACTTCAACCCATGTGCTTGGAGCCAGACTAGGCTTCATTTGCCAGGGACCAGGTAGGAAATGGGAACTGTAAAGATTATAAATTGGTAAAGCTGGTGGAGTGAAATCGGAGCACAGAATCTCCCTTTCTTCTATTAAGGAAAATAATTTTTTAAAAAAACAGCAAACAGAAGTAGCCAGACAAAGAAAAAGAAACCCTAACTACATAAATGTTTTTAATTGGCATCCTAATCAAATTAATGCTGGAACAGAAAACCAATACCACATGTTCTCTCTTCTAAAAGGGAGCTAAACATTGTGAACACATAGACATCAAGAAGGAAACAACAGGCCGGGCATGGTGGCTCACGCCTGTAATCCCAGCACTTTGGGAGGCCAAGGCAGGTGGATCACTTGAGGTCGGGAGCTCGAGACCAGCCTGGCCAACATGGTGAAACCCCGTCTCTACTGCAAATACAAAAATTAGCCAGGCACGGTGGTGCATGCCTGTAATCCCAGCTACTAAGGAGGCTGAGGCAGGAGAATTGCTTGAACCTGGGAGGCAGAGGTTGCAGTGAGCTGAGATTGCACAACTGCACTCCAGCCTGGGCAACAGAGCAAAACTCTGTGTCAAAAAAACAAAAAGTAAACAGGCAACAATAGACACTGGGGCTGATATGGTTTGACTGTGTCCCCACCCAAATTTCACCTTGAATTGTAATAATCCCCATGTGTCAAGGGCAGGGCCAGGTGGAGATAATTGAATCATGGGGCAGTTTTCCCCATACTGTTCGCGTGGTAATGAATAAATCTCAAGATCTGATGGGTTTTTTTTGTTGTTGTTCTCGTTGTTGTTGTTTTTATTATTTTCGTTTGTTTGTTTTTGAGGCAGAGTCTCACTCTGTTGCCCAGGCTGGAGTGCAGTGGTGCAATCTCGGCTCACTGCAGTCTCCACCTCCCATGTTCAAGTAATTCTCCTGCCTCAGTCTCCCAAGTCGTGGGGATTACAGGTGTGTACCACCACTCCCAGCTATTTTTTGTATTTTTAGTAGAGACGGGGTTTCACCATGTTGGCCAGGCTGGTCTGAAACTCTTGACCTCCAGTGATCCACCCACCTCGGCCTCCCAAAGTGCTGTGATTACAGGCGTGAGCCACCACACTCAGCCTTGATGGTTTTATAAATGGGAGTTTCGCTGCACAAGTTTTCTTGCCCACGGCCATGTATCTTCCTTTGCCTTCTGCCATGATTATGAGGCTTCCCCAGCCATGTGGAACTGACAGTCCATTAAACCTCTCTCTTTTATAAATTACCTAGCCTCAGGTATGCCTTTATTAGCAGCATGAGAATGGACTAATACAGGGGCCTACTTGAGTGTGGAGGGTGGGAGGAGGGTGAGGACCCAAAAACCACCTATTGCCTACTATGCTCATTACCTGGGTGGCGAAATAATCTGTACGCCAAACCCCTGCAATATGCAGTTTATTCATGTAACAAACCTGCACATGAATTCCCTGAAACGAAAATAAAAGTTGGAAAGAAAAAAATAATAAAATAAAAATAAATGAATAAACAAACAAACAAAAGGAATCATGATATAATAAAGTGATTTAGGCCTGTTTTACCGATAGGGTAGATTAGCCTTAAAATACTCTCCACCCATTGAAATGACCAAAAAAAGTCTTTGTAATTTTTGAATAAAGGGAAAAGATGAAAACATAAATAAAGTAGCAGCCAAAAAAATAAGCAGGAGATTTTAGAGTGGCAAGGTAAGGCAAGTAGACTCTCACCACCCAGAAGCCTTGTTGCTAAGTCAATGAAATCCTCAGAATTTTCATTAAGAACCCCAAAGTTTGAAGGAAAAAAAACCATAAATAACTGAGTTTTCTGTCTTCTGATTAGGGACAGTTGAAATGGCTGTTGGGGAAAGATAGGTGCAATGAAGGAGATGAAGAACTAGACCTTTTCTCTAACAGTGAAGCCTCCCAAACTCAATAATAAATTTGGGGACCATTGCAGCAGCAAAAATATCCCTCCATAGCAGTGGGATCCATCTCTGACTATGTGAAATGAACCCTAGGACAGGAAGTTGAACAACACCTCAGAAGCAAGACTCTCTCCTTCCATCACCAGGAGCCCTTAAGCTGTAAAACAATGGAACAAATAATTAGCTATCAAATTTAGCTCAGAGGGGAAAATGACATTCTGAGATGACTTAGGAAGGTGCTAAGGAGATGTCACCTGCCTTTATTTCCAAGCACAGATAGAGTATGGACAGATTGAAAGCATGGACAAAACTGTCTGCATTAAGCATAAACATCATGGGGAAAAGCAAACAGCTATGTGATACTGTGAAGCAAAAATAATACCAAAAAAAAAAAAGAAAGAAAAAAGAAAAGAAAGGAAAAACAGAGGGAAGGGAAAAAGAGAGCATTCAGTAGATAAGAAGAACCCTGTCTGAAAGAAAACACAATTCAAGAAACAATTTCCTTAAAGTGGTCTGAACTATAAAAAATTTTAAAACAATTTAAAAAGAACATAAAGTCAAGAAAATAAGGATTCAAAGATAAAATAATTATGAAGAGGGAGATATAGATCTTGGAAAATAAATGGATGTCAGACAGTTTATCAAGCAAATTATAAACTGTCAGGACAAATAAATCACATAGCTGAAAAATGAAATTCTTATTGAAAAAATACTTCAATAAAGAAGAAAAAGCAATTAAAGCAGATAGGCTGGGCATGGTGGCTCACACGTATAATCTCAGGACTTTGGGAAGCCAAGGTGGGAGGATAACTTGACCTCAGGAGTTCAAATCAGCCTGGGCAACATGGCAAAACCCCATCTCTACAAAAATACAAAAATTAGCTGGGTGTTGTGGCACACAGCTGTAATCCCAGCTACTTGGGAGGCTGAAGTGGGAGCATCACTTGAGCCTGGGAGGTGGAAGTTGCCGTGAGCCAAGATCATGCCACTGCATTCCAGCCCGGGCACCACAGAGAGACCTCATCTCAAAAATAAATAAATAAATAATAAACAAATAAATAAATACAGCAGATAGAGGTTAATAGATGTGGAGATTTTTTAAGCCACTAAATTAATTTATAATATTACCTCAATATACATAATAAGTCTAAACAAAACCAACTAAAATAGTCTCCAGCACACAGCTCCAGGGAAGACCTAGGTGATCTTCAGAACAAAAGAGGTGGCAGGAGTATTTCCCAGCAAGCCAATGAGGTTCAGTTCTTCCTTTTGACAACCAGCCCATGTTCGGGGATGGTGTTTCAAGAAGTGCAGACCCACCAACTCTTCCTGGGTCTGAAGTACTTCCTGGAGAGAAGCACTACACACTATCCCTACTGTCCCACCAGGGCCTGCTACATTTCCACTCCACACAGATTTGTTCATTTCTGACTATCACAGATTTCACCCCAAAATGTCAGTTCTGAGGATAATGAGAAAAACGGGATTAGGAATACAAAGACTTGGTTCTCACCCTGGTGCTGCCAGTAACTCTACAACCTCTGAGCATCAGAGTTTTTACTGGTAAAATGAAGATAATCTTATGCATCTATGTGCTAGGGACAGTTTGAACTGCTTTATGGGCATTAATCCTCATAACAACTCCCTGAGGCAGTCAATTCTAAAACCACAAATGATACCTATGTAGAGTTGTAATTATTAATAATAAAAACTAAGCACCAGCTTAAAAAAACAAGTTTACATACGGTGTGCTAAAGTCATCCCATGAATCCTTCTAATTAATTCAGTGACAACGACACTGAGTAATTTGTTTAACATGCTCAGAGTGGCAGAATGCAAAATATTAATTCTTAGATGTGATGTCTGTCAGGAATCCAAGAATAATGAAGACCAATTTACTTAGAAATTAAAATGTGGAACAAGCTACTATGTAATTTGTTATATATAGTAGGAGAAGGACTATATTATGAGCCAAGAGAAGAGTTTTAGCTCCTGTAAACTTTCCAACCTAAGAGAATTATTAGATAGTATTTATCTTTTTTTTTTTTTTTGAGACAGTTTCACTCTTGTTGCCCAGGCTGGAGTGCAATGGCGCCATCTTGGCTCACTGCAACCTCCACCTCCTGGATTCAAGCAATTCTCCTGCTTCAGCCTCCCGAGTAGTGGGAATTACAGGTGCCCGCCACCATGCCCAGCTAATTTTTTGTATTTTTAGGAGAGACGGGGTTTCATCATGTTGGCTAGGCTGGTCTCAAACGCCTGACCTCAGGTGATCCACCCACCTCGGCCTCCCAAAGTGCTGGGAATTACAGGCCTGAGCTACTGCGCCCAGCCTATTTATGTTTAAATACTACAAAATAATTAGCCGGGTGTGGTGGTGTGTGCCTGTAGTCCCAGCTACTTGGGAGGCTGAAACAGGAGAATTGCTTGAACCCAGAAGGCAGAGGTTACAGTGAGTCGATATCATGCCACTGCATTCCAGCCTGGGTGACAGAGCAAGACCCTGTTTCAAAAAACAAACAAACAAACAAAAAAAAAAACTACAGAATAGAACCTTTCAGTTACCATCCTTCTATGACCCTGGAGCTTAGGGCTAATTCTTGAACATTCCTGATTTCCACCAATTCCCTGCAAGGGTAGAAGGGGAGAAGCACTACACACTATTCCTACTGTCCCACTGGGTCCTGGTACATTTCCATGTTTAAGAAAACTGAGTATGATGGGGGGGAAATAATTTTGGATCCAGGATATAGCCTAGAACTCAATATTTTTAGACATGTCACCGGGGTTAAAATCTATAAGAACTGTGCTATTATCTTTTTTCTTTTGTAGTCAGAAACACAGACTTCTAAAAATGAGCTTTGAAAATTGTATATTCCAGAAAAACTATCCCAATAAAGAGATAAAAATTTTCACACTGCACACGTATGTGTTTTGCCTGGCACAGCAAATACTTAATATTTGGTGAACAAATGAATGTATAAGGACACTAATAGAAATGATGTTATTTTCAGCTGGGCATGGTGGCTCACACCTGTAATCCCAGCACTTTGGGAGGCCGAGGCTGGTGGATTGCCCGAGGTCAGGAGTTCGAGACCAACCTGGCCAATATGGTGAAACCCCATCTCTACTAAAAATACAAAAATTAGCTGGGTGTGGTGGCACATGCCTTTAGTCCCAGCTACTATGCCGGCTGAGGCGGGAGGATCCCTTGAGCCTGGGAGATGGAGGTTGCAGTGAGCTGAGATTGTACCACTGCACTCCAGCCTAGGTGACAGAGCAAGACCCTGTCTCAAAAAAAAAAAAAACCTCAGTGCTAAAAGTCATCGAGGAAACTGGACCATTAGGAAGGAGAGGGGAGTGGGGGCAGCACAGAGAAGCCAAGAAAGCAACAGGAAGCCCCTGAAGCAGCAAATGAGGGATGCAAGAGGAACAAGTTGCAGGAGTTCCTCAGATCCTTAGAGTTTTCCAGTTTCTCTTCCAAGCCATGTGCACTCGTATAATAACCAAGACACTACCAATCCCCTCAGGGGGCTGAGTGGGACTCGACTCCCTGGATCCAAAAGAACCTCACCTACCCAGGAGCTAAGGAGGCCTTCCACCCTGACCCTAGATCGCCTCTTGAGCTTCCTTGTCTCTCTCACCTCCCAATCACATGCATTCCTGCTTTGTACTCTGAATATTCTGAACTCTTCTTCAGCCTCTGAACATGCTAATCACCCTCCATGCCTCTGCTTAGAATGCTCCTTCTTCCTGCCTTCAATAATTCATAACCATTTGACTTATCTTCAAGGGTCAGCTTTTCAAGGGCACCTCCTCTGTGAACGTTTTCCCAGCCTTCCAAAGCCAGAAAACAGCCTTCTCTCTCCTCTATTGTCCCACAATATTTTAGCGCCAACAGTAAAGCATTCATCGCACTGTATTACAACTAGATGACATTAGGGATACTAAAGGGGAGCTGCTTATTTATTGTTGCAATTCTAGTGCATAGCAAATAGTAGGAGATAGAAATCTCATTGATGTGAAAGTTAATTCGTGCATATTATGTATTCAGCATGGTGGGAAGCATAGATAGAATAGTTTTCTGAGCAACAGAGTCCCAATCACATTAAACCATTGGGAAGAGTGACCATCTGTATTTTAGCTGCATTTTCAATCCCACTGGCTATGAAATATAAATTAAGAAAAAAAAAACCTTCCTATTATTCATCTCAGACAGCTGGTTCACAGGCTTTAGATTCAAGGTGATTCTGTAATGTTCTATTCCTGTCCAGCTAACCAGCTGCTGAAATTGCATCAGACCATTTCCTCTTCCAGCCCTAAGAGAACAAACATTACTGGGTGCAGGGTGTTAACAATACCTGCAAAATCACTGTCCATCTGATAAGAAATGTAGAAATTGTTTTTCAAAAATAGCTTGCAGAGAACTGTGGCAGATTGTGGGACTCAGGGAACAAAGGGGAGATTGAAACCACATATTCTCATTTTAAAACAGCGTCATAAATCTCAGCCAAAGTAAACAGTTTAACAAACACAGCAAGCCAAATAGTGGGGCTGACAGTGTGAGCCTGTGATTTGGGCAACAGTACTGACATAGATATGCTTTAAACTACAGCTCTCCTCCTTTCCAGATGTTCTGCAACAGCCAATATCTGTCCTTGGGGATCTGAGAACCCAGGGAAAGTCACTCTTTATCACACACCGTTGAAAGACTCTGAGTCTAAAAGAAAAAAACAAAATGGAAATATAATACACTGCATTTCCTTTTAATATCTGAACTTATTTTCTAATTCAGATTTTAAATTATCAAAATAATATATCCTCACAGTAGAAAATAATTCAAATATATATAAAAATGAAATTAAAAGTCTCTTTTCTCGGTTCAGATGAAGAGACAATTATTAAAGCTGGGTTAACTGGCAATGAACTGATCATTGCTGAAGCTAGGAGATGGGGACATAGGAGGTCACTATATGTTTCTACCTACTGTGCAAAAAATATGTTTCAGGCTTTCCTCCACCTCCACTTTCCAAAGGAACCTAATATAATAGCTGCCTATGTATTCTTACAGAAATCTTCTAGGTATGTGTACACATATGGCTATATTTGTATATTTTTTACATGAAATAGGATCATAATACACATTTCATGTAGTTTTGCTTCAAGAAAATGCTTGAATTCTCCCAACCTGATCAGAACAAAACAACAAATACAGATAGAAATAAGAAGGAAAGAGAATAGAACTGGTTTATATAAACAGAGCACAGGTGATTCTGTAGGGCCAGAAGCAATTGGTCTTGGACAACACACACACATACACATACACACACACACACACACACACACACACTCACTATGCAAATAGCTGCAGTAACCACTTCATAAGGTATTCCATGGCCAGGCGCGGTGGCTCAGGCCTGTAGTCCCAGCATTTTGGGGGTCTGAGGCAAGCAGATCACCTGAGGTTGGGAGTTCGAGACCAGCCTGACCAACATGGAGAAACCTTGTCACTACTAAAAATACAAAATTAGGCTGGGCGCGGTGGCACACGCCTATAATCCCAGCACTTTGGGAGGCCAAGGAGGGCCGATCACAAGGTCAAGAGATCAAGACCATCCTGGCCAACATGGTGAAACCCCGTCTCTACCAAAAATACAAAAATTAGCTGGGCATGGTGGCACGTGCCTGTAGTCCCAGCTACTCGGGAGGCTGAGGCAGGAGAATCACTTGAACCCAGGAGGCGGAGGTTGCAGTGAGCCGAGATTGTGCCATTGCACTCCAGCCTGGGCAACAAGAGTGAAATCTGTCTCTAAATAAATAAATAAATAAATAAATAAATAAATAAATAAAGGTGGTCCATGCCAAATGTTTCACTAGCAATGGCTCTGTGAATAAAAAACAAGTCAGAGTCCTAACTCCTATACAGAGCCCTTCCAGGACTCACGTCAAGTTAATACAAAGCAAAGTTCTATGCAACCTCTGTGTCTTGTCACTGCAATGGATTGAGAGGATAAACACACCCAGGAAGTAAAGAGGTGGGTTGCCCCTCCACACCTGTGGGTTTTTCTCGTTAGGTGGAACGAGAGACTTGGAAAAGAAAGAGACACAGAGACAAAGTATAGAGAAAGAAAAAAGGGCCCAGGAGACCGGCGTTCAGCACACAGAGGATCCACGCCAGCCTCTGAGTTCCCTTAGTATTTATTGATCATTATTGGGTGTTCCTCGGAGAGGGGGATGTGGCAGGATCATAGGATAATAGTGGAGAGAGGGTCAGCAGATAAACACATGAACAAAGTTCTCTGCATCATAAACAAGGTAAAGAATTAAGTGCTGTGCTTTAGATATGTATACACATAAACATCTCAATGCCTTAAAGAGCAGTATTGCTGCCCGCATGTTCCACCTCCGCCCTAAGGCGGTTTTCCCCTATCTCAGTAGGTGGAATATACAATCGGGTTTTATATCGAGACATTCCATTGCCCAGGGACGGGCAGGAGACAGATACCTTCCTCCTGTCTCAACTGCAAAGAGGCGTTCCTTCCTCTTTTACTAATCCTCCTCAGCACAGACCCTTTACGGGTGTTGGGCTGGGGAAAGGTCAGGTCTTTCCCTTCCCACGAGGCCATATTTCAGACTATCACATGGGGAGAAACCTTGGACAATACCTGGCTTTCCTAGGCAGAGGTCCCTGCAGCCTTCTGCAGTGCTTTCTTTCCCTGGGTACTTGAGATTAGGGAGTGGTGATGACTCTTAACGAGCTTGCTGCCTTCAAGCATTTGTTTAACAAAGCACATCTTGCACAGCCCTTAATCCATTTAATCCTGAGTTGACACACCACATGTTTCAGGGAGCACAGGGTTGGGGGTAAGGTTATAGATTACAGAACAAAATGGAGTCCCCTATGTCTACTTCTTTCTACACAGACACAGTAACAATCTGATCTTTCTTTTCCCCACAAGGAAGGAAGCATGTTTCATTCTGAATCTCATATATCATGTACTGTCTTTGAAATCAACATGGAGTATTAGCAGAGTGAGACAATGTAACACATATAAGAGGGCATGTTTGCTCATTTCTGTTTGCCAACATAATTTCACAAAGCCCTTGACTCTAATAATGTGTAGCTCTCTAGAAAGATACTTTGAAGACGAAACAGGATAGAGCACACAGCCCCGTAGATCTCTTGCCGGAGTCACTGTACACTTTAAAAGATAAATGAGGCCCCACACCATGGCTCACGTCTATAATCCCAGCACTTTGGAGGCCAAGGCTGTCAGATTGCTTAAGCCCAAGAGTACGAGACCAGCCTTGGCAACATGGTGAAACCCCATCTCTAGCAACAAAAATTTAAAAATTAGCTACGTGTGGCGGCACACGCCTCAGCCTGGGTGACAAATCCAGACCCTGTCTTAAACAAACAACCGACCAAATAAATAAACAAATGATAAAGGACTCTAGTCCTTGCCTTTTCCTACCCATAAGATAACATCTGAAGGGGTTAGTAATTATGCCTCTGTAATCTACAACCAGATGCACTCTTACATCCAAACCTTGCTGTGATTCAGCTTAATGTAATTTCTGAACAAGTCTGATGTGATTTTGCATGTACTGAACCTCCACCACCTGTATATAAGCAATGGGCTGAAATACTGTGCAGGGGCAGTTGGATAGAACCTTTCTAAAGGGCTGCTCCTGAGCTGCTGACCCCTGTCTATAGTCCTCAGTAAGCCTTCCAAATAAAACTAACTTTAATTCTTTAAAAGCTTAACTTTTTCTTTGGTGGACAGCAGACATAGTAACAGTAATAACCTTACATCTGAATGGCACCATAATACACTATCAGAGCTGAGCCTTATAATATCCCTGTTGGCTGGGCACCGTGGCTCGTGCCTGTAATCCCAGCATTTTGGGAGGCCCAGGTGGGTGGATCACTTGAGGTCTGGGGTTTCAGACCACCCTGGCCAATATGGTGAAACCCCCATTTCTAAAAAAAAAAAAAAAAAAAAAAAAAAAAAAAAAAAATTAGCCTAGCCTGGTGGCATGTGCCTGTAATCCCAGCTACTCGGGAGACTAAGGCAGGAGAATCACTTGAACCCAGAAGGTGGAGGTTGCAGTGAGCTGAGATCGCGCCACTGCACTCCAGCGTCCACCCGTTATTCACTGTGTAACTTTGGACAAAGCATTCAACTTCTCAGTGCCTTTACTTTCTTATCTGTAAAATGGGAATGATAGAGAATGTCTCATAGGGTTATTGAGAGGATTAAATGAGAGTCAGATTTTGCCAGAAGTGCCATCAAGAGGCCACTAAGTAGCATTTCAGCTTTTTTTTTTTTTTTTTTTTTTAACAAATGAAGTCCTGAATCAAGGAAAAATTGATTGGCAATTACTGGAGAGACTTGGCTGTTCTCTTTTGTTAAAGGATTAGAAAGAGAGCCCTTCTGGTGGAGTGGTAAGTCAAAGCAGAGAAAAGTCCAGGTGAGAGAGTACTTGGCCACTCCCTACTGCGAGGTTTGCTGGAATCAACCTCATCTCTTCTATGGTATCAACCTAACTGATAACCAAAATCACTGAATTGTCTTAACTGGAAAGAAATGTCAGGCAATCTAGTTCAAGTCCTTGCCAATATCACTGTTTTACAGCTGGAAAAACGGAGACTTACAGAAGTTAGGTAACTTGCCTCTTTTCCCAGATAAGAGTTAAACCTTGACCTCCTGACTGCTACCAGAATATTGGTTGAGCGCCACTGTGGAAACAGAAGTTGCTAATCTAGTGCTTTAACCAAGAGTGGACTGCTGATGAGAGAGCTAGCCTAGAATCTGTTTGTGACAGCCCTGCAAGTCATTTCTGGAAACACCCAGATTATACTCACTCTTGAGAAAGACACTGCATTGCCATGAAATGTTTAGTCCTGGAAACTGAAAACTTCTTCCCTGAGAAGAAACAGTCTCAGGGACAATTTTAGACAAAGACAAAATATATAGAAAGATCAAATATAAAAACATTATTTAAATAATAACTAAAATAGGCTGGGCGTGGTGGCTCATGCCTGTAAGCCCAGTGCTTTGGGAGGCTGAGGCAGGCATATCACGAGGTCAAGAGATCAAGACCATCCTGGCCAACATGGTGAAACCCACCTCTACTAAAAAATTAAAAAATTAGCTGGGCGTGGTGGCACATGGCTGTAGTCCCAGGCATTCAGGAGGCTGAGGCAGGAAAATTGCTTAAACCCAGGAGGCAGAGGCTGCAGTGAGCTGAGATTGTGCCACTGCCCTCCAGCCTGGTGACAGGGCGAGACTCCATCTCAAAAAAAATAATAATATTGCCCAATATACCACCCCCTCATGGAATATAAAAAATACACACCAAGTAATCTGCAGACTGCTGCAACTATTATAGTCAGAGAAGGTGAGAGCAGTAATTCTCACAAATAGACTGTGTTAGAATCACCTGAAGGGCTTGTAAAACACAGAAGGCTGAGCCCCACCTCCTACGGTTTGTAATTCAATAGATTTGGGGTGGGCCCAAGGATTTGCATTTTTCAAAAGTGCTTGGGGGATTGGCAAGCTCACGCCTGTCATCCCAGCACTTTGGGAAGCCCAGGCAGGCGGATCACCTGAGGTCAGGATTTCCAGACCAGCCTGGCCAACATGGTGAAACCCCGTCTCTACTAAAAGTACAAAAATTAGCCTGGCGTGGTGGCAAGCACCTGTAATCCCAGCTACTAGGGAGGCTGAGGCAGGAGAATCACTTGAACCTGGGAGGCGGAGGTTGCCGTGAGCCAAGATCGTGCCACTGCACTCCAGCCTGGGCAACAGAGTGAAACTTCATCTCAAAAAAGAAAAAAAAAGGCTTGGGTGATGCTGATGATACTGATTAGGGACCACACTTTGCAAACGCAGGGGGTTGGAATGAAACAGAGCCAACATTGCATTATGAAATAAATAAGAGGGTGGGCACGGTGGCTCATGTCTGTAATTCCAGCACTTTGGGAGGCCGAGGCAGACAGATCACCTGAGGTCAGGAGTTTGAGACCAGCCTGGGCAACATGGCAAAACCCCGTCTCTACTAAAAATACAAAAATTAGGCATGGTGGCACTCGCCTGTCGTCCCAGCTACTTGGGAGGCTGAGGAAGGAGAATCGCTTGAACCCAGGAGGTGGAGGTTGTAGTGAGCCAAGATCATGCCACTGCACTCCAGCCTGGGTGACAGAGCAAGACTTCTCAAAAAAAAGAACAAAAAAGGAAAAAAAAAAAAAGAAAAGAAAGACTGGGTAGGTATTAAAGCCATTCCCATTTTGATGGGGAAGGAATTTAAACTAGGAAGCCTCATGATTTAGAAGGAAAAGCAGGAGGGCTTGTCCCGCTGATGGGACAAGGATGGGAAAGGATGCACAGAGGTGACGCTAGGGCATGGTAAGCCAACTTGACAATTGTCCAAGCCTCGATGGAACAACAGAAGCCAGGGCCTGTGTTGTCTCTAGGAGGAGTCAGGACACCTAACTGAAGAGTGTGCATTGCTGGTTTAGGTAACATGGCCTGGGGAGACCTCTCACCCAACTAAGACCTCAGCTTCCTGAGGAAACTGACTGGCTTTATCTCTAAAATCTCTCAACTCAAACTTCTCAGGTTTTTATGGACACCCTGATGAACCACGAGAAATAAAAACCTTTTATCTGAGGAATATGAGCCCCTTTAAATTATCAGGCTTAGAAAGACATTTAAAAGGTAACAGCAGTCACATCCCACTCTCACTTGAGCTAAATAATTACCTCTTGAAGCCACTTACTTTGTGGGCTATAGACTGACACTAAGTAGCCATAAAATGCCATACACCCTGTAGTTCAACAATGTACAGCCAATCACCAATCAATGTTATTTCTGTAAACCAGTGAAAATGCCTGATGAACAACTTTTGTCATTGCCCCCTCTCTTTGTTCGTCCTCTTTTTTCCTTAAAAATGTGAACCTCTCTTTTGTTTTCCAGACCACTCCCCAGTGCAACTTGGAAGTGCCTGGTGCTGCAGTCCTCAAACTTTGAGCTTGAATAAACACTCTTTAAACTAGATTCTGGCTGGGTGCAGTGGCTCATGCCTATAATCCCCAGCACTTTGGGAGGCCGAGGCAGGCGGATCACTTGAGGTCAGGAGTACAAGACCAGCCTGGCCAACTGGGTGAAACCCCATCTCTACTAAAAATACAAAAATTAACTGGGTGTGGTGGTAGGTGCCTGTAATCCCAGCTACTCGGGAAGCTGAGGAGGGAAAATCTCTTGAACCCAGGAGGTGGAGGTTGCAGTGAGCCAATATCGGGCCACTGCACTCCAGCAGGGGCAACAGAGCAAGACTCCATCTCAAAAACAAACAAACAAAAAACAAAAACAAAAAAACAAAGCTAGATTCTGATCCTTTTTATTATTTTAGGTTGACAGCCTCTAGGATACATCCTCACACACAAGATCAAAATAGAACCAACTGTGTTGGGCACATTTTGTACTGAAAAGATCTACCGTAAGCCACAAGGCCAGGGAGCACAAAACAGCAAATCTCATTTCCTTTGGGCTTCCAAACAAGGATGAACACATTAAAGTGAATCTTGTGCTAAGCATGCTGTACAAACACTGTGTAGGGTTATGATCATCTATTTTCAGTTCACAGGACAGACGCTGAGGCTGCCAAAGTGCCACAGGCTTTGAGTGTTGCACGTCTATAACTTGAGAATAGACAAGGTTTCTCTGGATTTAAAAATATTTCAAATCTTCAGAAGTGTTCTCAGGAACATCCGCAGCTATCGCGGAGGCAGCTTGCAGTTAAGGGGCTTGCAAAAATTTCTCAACCGAAACACATTTATTGATTCCCAACTGCATACCTGGCATAGCTTAAACAACTGTTCATGCTGGCCCAGTTTCTGGAGTTCAAGGATTATGTAACTGAAACAGGTGTTGTTTCTTCCAAATGGAAATGTTGTATTCTATATGTTAGGGAATTGTGTGTGTGTATGCCAGTCAAAGTTTCCTTAATATGTTAAAACTCAATCTATCCAACATTATTTTCCTCTTCCAATTTTAGCCCAATCCTTCCTTTCTGCCTCTTCCCTATATTTAGGCTACTCCCTTTTCAGAATATGCTCTCCCTCTTTTCCTATTTATCCACCAAATTCAAATGCCTCAGCCTTCTTCCATGATGTGTTCTTTCATCCAACAGATATGATCTACTTTCTAAAATGCTCATGTTTACCTATATAATATTTTGTATTACTTTAATCTTATTTGCATTAATTCTCTTCAATTATACTACAAATTTGATGAGTAAAAAACTATCTCATTCTTCTTTCATATTTCCCAAAATGTGTGGGACAGGGCTTAGGGTAAATGACACTTCGTGAGTATAAAGGTTTGGATTTTCATCTTTGTTTCAGTCTGGACAGAAGGAAACCATAGTGTAGTACAGAATGCAAACCTTGAGCCTCTAGTGTGGGGTCCTTTGATAGCTGTGTTCATAGCTGTCATGTCCATGGAAGAGAAGGACTTCAGAATGTTTCTGCCATCACCTTTCTATTAATATGAAGAAGTATTTGGACTACCCGTGTGTGTTTAGTTCCACTGGATAAGAAATGTTACATAACCCTTCCTTCAGAAAGGAACATGTTATTCTTCACAGAATGTGTACACAGCAGGGGCCAGGCACGGTGGCTCAGGCCTGTAATCCTAGCACTTTGGGAGGCTGAGGTGGGTGGATCACCTGAGGTCGGGAATTCAAGACCAGTGTGACCAACATGGTGAAGCTCTGTCTCTACTAAAAATACAAAATTAGCCAGGCCTGGTGGTGCATGCCTGTAATCCCAGCTGCTTGGGAGGCTGAGGCAGGAGAATCGCTTGAACCCGGGAGACGGAGGTTGTGGTGAGCCAAGATCACGCCATTGCACTCCAGCCAGGGTGACAAGAGTGAAACTCCGTCTCAAAAAAAAAAAAAAAAAAAAAAAAGAATGTGTGTACATAGCATGGTCCTGGCTGTGGCTGAAGCTCTGTCTGCTGTCAGGATCCAGGCAGGTCTGGATAGGTGTAGCTCAGGCTGGTTCACAGGGCACTCCAGGAGACAATGGATAGCTGAGCAAAGAAGTCAGAGCATTAGCTAGCAGGGAAATTGATAGAAGGCCACGGTATCTGGTCAGTCCCAAAGATAAACAGCCAACACTGAAGGTGCTCCTGTTCACTAAAGTCCTGTGAGGCAATGGGTGGAGGCAGCTCTGCTGTGTTGAAAAGATAAAACAGCACCCACCAAAAATGCTGAATACTGAAAATCTCAGACGCAGTGATGGAAACATACATACACAAACATACACACACACACACCCCTCTAGGAAACAAAAAAGTCACAAATGATCCCAAACCACTCCACATTAAGCATTTTGGGGGTTAACTATCCCTTACTCATCATTAACTCACGTAGTCAAATGTTTAGGCCATCTTTGGTACTCAATGCAGACATCAAATACACTTGGTACTGTGATTTATTTTTATGTCTAACAGAATGTGAGTTAAAATGAAGCCTGGGGGCTGGGCGCAGTGGCTGACACCTGTAATCCCAGCACTTTGTGAGGTTGAGGCGGGTGGATTACTTGAAGTCAGGAGTTCGAGACCAGCCTGGCCAACATGGTGAAACCCTGTCTCTATTGAAAATACAAAACTTAGCTGGGCACCTATAATCTCAGCTACTAGGGAGGCTGAGGCAGGAGAATTGTTTGAAACCGGGAGGCGGAGGTTGTAGTGAGCCGAGATCGTGCCATTGCACTCCAGCCTGGGGGACAGAGCGGGACTCTGTCTCAAAAAAATAAAAAATAAAAAATAAGGCCTGAAAAAAAATTCAAAAACCCTAAAAATTTATATTTCACTACTGACAATGTAGAAAACAAAAATGTTTCCCAGGGCTGCGTAATAAAATGCTATTTCACATATCTGACCACCCTCAGGAAAATCTTTTCTATGTCTGTTAGACACAGCCAGTGAAAAGCACCTTCTGGTAATCTGTATATTGGCTTATGCCAGGTTTGCATTTTCCCTTTCTTAACATAGGTGCTCTGACTTTTGCAGGTGTTCTATATACTTAGAGTCAAATTTTCAGACTACCTGTTTCCCAATGTAGCCCCTGAATACTCTTGGTATATGCCTGTATATGATGAGGCTTTGGTAGATAAAATTTCATATATCTACATACACCTCTATCTGGATCTCCAGGTCACTTAAACAGTTTGAGGATCAGAAAAAAATACAAGAGGCGCCAAAGCCATTATCAACAGCCAAGTGGAAATTTATGTCAGGTGTGAGTGAGACTTTAGGTGGTAGCTCCAGATTATCCAGTGTTCTATGTATCTGATACCTAATGAGGTTCTACATAATAATAAATCCAAATTTCATGTGCTCAGCACATTATGGCTTATTAATTACCTCTACATACTGCATCTCATTTGCGAAAACTTGATTTGGCAAACAAGCATGTAACCTAGTTAAGAGATGATTAACCCTTGTCTGTAGATGAGAAGAAGGTTCACTTCTGGTGATTGGAATTGGTTATGAATAGTTTGTAAGTGGCAAGGCCACACACAGAATCTAGAACTTAAGATTTTTCACTCATCAAAACTCATATTTGAAAGAGCATATTTAGTCTTATTAATATTTCTGCATGGTTTGCAATTGTTTACATTAATGGTTTTATCTGTAGAGTTAATTTGCATATTTACACCTTTCATGCCACCCTAAAGGCTCTGTTTTCTCTCTGTAACTTTCTACTTTGCTATGGTAGATAGGCAGGTGTTCAAACCCTGCTGATGCCTATATAAAGACAGAAAATTTAACTCTATTTAGAGTCCCAAGAATGCTGACAGGGTGCCAAACACCTGTGGCTACTTATAAAATACAGCACTCATTAAGCCAAAGACAGTGTCTTCTAAAGATAGCTAGGTAACTAAAGATTTCATCAGTTATCTGTCGCATTCTCCTGACAGCTGTCATTTGAACTGGGGTGGCACTTGGCAAGAACTAAAAAGTCACACTCTATTAATTAGGCTACCAGAGGCAAGGTAGGGAAGCTGAAAGAGGACCCTTTGGAAATCATTAAGATTCTAGAGAGCCTTTGAAAGTCTTTTCTCAATTTAATATAATCACACTACTGCACCTGTCTCCAATATCTTTCCATCCTAGCATTTGTTATTGTGTGAGATGCTAGGAAGCAAAGCCAATACGACAAACTCTCACTCCAGGCACCAAGAAGTAAATGATACTTGTGTTCTGAGAATTAGTGGGCTGGCTGTCATGGTTTTTAAATGAGGCCCTGGCATCTATTTTAGCCTAAGGCTCTGTTCCTTGGTGACTCTGATTTACATCACAGTTACATTTGCCCTGGAGGAATCTGATAACTCTCTGATTTATTTTTCCAATGATGTAAAATGTCCAGAAAATCAGTCCGCATTTATCAGACTTGTAATTTTCCCACTGATTACACAAGGGAAGCTCAGGGACAAACAGCTTGATTCAATAGCAACTCAAGTCCTCAATTTCTTTGTTTTAAGAAAAGAGCTGCAAGCAGCCTGGCCAACATGGTGAAACCCCATCTCTACTAAAAATACAAAAATTAGCCAGGCGGGATGACGCATGCCTGTAGTCCCAGCTACACTTGTCCCACAAGACTGCCCCCACTCCAGATACCAATTGCAAGTAGTAGGCAGTCACCTGTACTTTTAACTGACTGGCTTTAAATCAAGATTCCCATCATCTCCTCCACAAGTTCAAATAATTTGTTAGGAAGGCTCACAGAAGTCATGGAAACACTTACTTACATTTATTGGTTAAAAAAAATTTTTTTTTTCATTTTTTGTACTACCAGGGTCTCACTATGTTGCCCAAACTGGCCTGGAACTCCTGGCCTCAAGCCATGCTTCTGCCTGGGCCTCCCAAAGCACTGGGGTTACAAGTGAGCCACTGCACCTCACCCATTTACTGGTTTTTTATCCAGTATATTAGAGGGGATACTGATGAATGCCAGATGGAGATGGATAGGGCAAGGTATAGAAAGGGGGACACAGAGCTTCCATGCCCTCTCTTGGCCAGCCACCCTCCCAGCACCTACACATGTCAGCAACTCAGAAGCTCATCAAATCTCATTGTTCAAGAGTCTTACAGTTTGATCTCCGGACTCCTTCGGCCTCCACTTTTCCTAGTGGTTGGTGGGTGGGGTTGAAAGTTCCAACCCTCTCATCCTCTAATCACTTGGTCTTTCTGATGGCCAGCCTCATCATGAGGCTAGCTAGGTGTCCCACCCTGAGTCACTTTATTAACATAAATTCAGTTGTGCTAATAAGGGCTTATTATAACAATAGACACTCTTATCACTTGGGAAATTCTGAGAGTTTAAGCTCTGTGAGGAACCAGGGACTAAATATATTTCATATTATATCACAGTAACTCAATTGCCCTCCATTGATTCATGGATTCTTATTTTCTTCCCTTTTTTTTTGTTTTTTGAGACAGAGTCTCTCTCTGTTGCCAGGCCAGAGTGCAGTGGCATGATCTCAGTTCACTGCAACCTTCAAGGGATTCTCCTGTCTCAACTTCCTAAATAACTGGGATTACAGGCATGCGCCACCACGCCCCGCTAATTTTTATATTTTTAGTAGAGATGGGGTTTCACCATGTTGGCCAGTGTGGTCTCAAACTTGATCCACCTGCCTCGGTCTCCCAAAGTCCACCACACTGGCCCTTATTTTCTTTCTCTACCTAAAAAGTCATCTCCCTAAGGGCAGGAATCATGGTGTCTATTTCTTTCTATTTCTTGATTTTAGTACAAGCAAAAGCTGTTCCCACAGGCCCTCAATAAATATTTATAGGCTGATTAACTAAACATAAAATATTATCCGTAGGCATATGTATTTTAAAAATCATTCTGGGAAGAAAATATTTTTTAAAAAAATATCTAGGTTTCTTTGAAATTTTGTGAAGAAATCTGTGCCCCATATATTTCTTAAAAACCTCAAATTAATCTGTAATACAATGTTAATTGCACTTCACACAAAACACTACCCCTCAACCTTGTTCCAATCCATCCATTAGTAGGAAGGTAGTGTCATGGGCCAGATCTTACGTTTTGTTGCCATGTGAAAAAAACAGTTTTGTTGCTACAACATCATAGACCCCTGGATTCAAAAGTCAAACAGAAAAATATGCTTTTGGTGTTGTAATCATCACCAGTAAGAGCCACGGTGGGAGGAAGAATAGCCTCATTCTCTTCGCCTGCTTATACAAGGGCTATTTACCATGTTGACAGTCCTTTCATCCCTGCCAAGAGAGTCACAATATCCCTTTTATTAATCACTCACCACAGGCACCATGTAATGCACAGGAATACTATTGGCCCTGATGAACAACGCGAATGCTCTCAGAAGACACAGAGAAATTATGTGAGGGTCTTGACTACCCTAAGATAAACAGTGAGGGCTAGAGCTCAAAATCAAAGCTCTGGTGTCCTGCATAGAGCTCTGGGAAATCCTATGAAGGCCTTCCTTCAGTAAAGTCTATAAACATTTGTCACCAGCCATCACTTTAGGCTTATGGTCCAGCAATAGGGAAAATCAAACTCACTCCAACAATCCATATTTATTGGGTGCCTAGTAATGCTAGACAAGGGGTATACAGCAGTGAATCTGACAGGCCTGGCCTCTCTCACAGGGCTTAGAGTCTTAAGAGTGGTCTATAAAGGAGGGGCCTAAGACCAACCATTGGTGCACAGCTAGAAAATATCAGCATATCTATACTTTTTCTTAAAAGGATTTTAATTTTTTTTTTCTTTTGAGTCAGGGTCTCATTCTGTCACTCAGGCTGGAGTGCAGTGGCATAATCTTGGCTCACTGCAACCTCCACCAGTTGGGCTCAAGTGATCTTCCCGCCTCAGCCTCCTGAGTAGCTGGGACCACAGACATGCACCACCATACCCGGCTTTTTTTTTTTTGTATTTTTAGTAGAGATGGGGTTTCATTATGTTGCTCAGGTTGGTCTTGAACTCCTGAGCTCAAGCAATCTGCCTGCCTTGGCTTCCCAAAGTGCTGGGATTATAGGTGTGAGCCATTGCACCCGGCAAAATTTGTGTGTGTGTGTATATTTATGATATACAGAGTGCATTAGTATAGTAGTACATGTGTGTAACTGTTACATTAGGCCAGGCACAGTGGCTCATGCCTATAATCCCAGCATTTTGGGAGGCTGAGGCAGGAGGCCTGCTTGAGCCCGAGTTCGAGACCAGCTTAGGCAACATAGCGAGATGCTGTCTCTGTAAAAATAAATAAATAAATAACATTTTAAAAATTGGCCAAGTGCAGTGGCTTGCGCCTTTAATCCCAGCACTTTGGGAGACCCAGGCAGGTGGATCATTTGAGGTGAGGAGTTCGAGACCACCCTGGCCAACATGGTGAAACCCCATCTCCATTAAAAATACAAAAATTAGCTGGGCATAGTGACATGTTCCTGTAGTCCAAGCTACTCAGGAGGTTGAGAGGCAGGAGAATCGCTTGAACCTGAGAGGCGGAGGCTGTAGTAAGCCGAGATCATACCACTGCACTTCACTGTACTTCATCCTGGGCAACAAAGCAAGACTCTGTCTCAAAAAAAAAAAAAAAAGCCCATATAAAGCCCATATTGGGGAAAAATCTATGCCTAAAATATTTTTACAGATAAGAGATGGGCAAGCAGAAACATCAGAAACATCAAAAACCACTAGACGACAGGACTATTTCAACTTTCCTAAACATGTCATGTTATTTCAAACCTTTCTTTCCACCTGCTCTTGTCTCTGTATGGTGCTTCTCCCTTCCTGCACTGCACTCCTAGTAAAAACACCTTCAAACTTCAAACCTCACTCAGCTGTCACCTGCTGCAGGAAGTCTTGGCTATCTCACTCTCCCAGGTAGTCTGTCACTTCCATCCGGAGCTCCCATTGCACCTTGCACATCCTTCTATTGCAGAAATTCTCATGCTGGGTTGTAATTGTCTGTCCACATTTCTATCTCTGGCTGTAGCTGTCTGGAATCTCATGCTGTGAGCTTCTTGCGGACAAGATTCCAATGGTTTTCATATTGCCATCAAGGGCTAGCACAGGGCCTGGCACATAGAAGACTCACAGTTTAGGTAAAAGGTGCATTCACTGGCTGGGCATGGTAGCTCACACCTGTAACCTCAGCACTTTGGGAGGCCAAGGCAGGAGGACTGCTTGAGGACAAAAGTTAAAAACCAGCCTAGGCAACATAGTGAGACTCTGTCTCTACAAAAAAAAAAAAAAAAAAAAAAAGCAAAAATTAGCCAGGCATGGTAGCGTGTGCCTGTAGTCCTAGCTACTTGGGTGGCTGAGGTGAGAGGATCACTTGAGCCTAGAAGTTTGAGGCTGTAGTGAGCTATGATCACACCACTGCACTCCAGCCTGGGCAACAGAGGAAGACTCTGGTCTCTTAAAAATAAAGGCGGGGTGCAAAATGGCTCATGCCTGTAATCCCAGCACTTTGGGAGGCCGAGGTAGGTGGATCACCTGAGGTCAGGAGTTCGAGACCAGGCTGGCTAACATGGTGAAACCCCGTCTCTACTGAAAATACAAAAATTAGCTGGGCATGGTGGCACACTCCTGTAATCCCAGCTACTTGGGAGGCTGAGGCAGGGAGAATTGCTTGAACCCAGGAGGTGGAGGTTGCAGTGAGTCAAGATCACACCACTGCTCTGCAGCCTGCGTGACAGAGTGAGACTCTGCCTCAAAAAAATAAATAAATATAAAAATAAAGTTAATTTTTTAAAAAATGTATCCAGTTTTTTCTACCTGCAATTGACTTAAAGGTAACTGAGGTTTACGCCGGGCGCAGTGGCTCATGCCTGTAATCCCAGCACTTTGGGAGGCTGAGGAGGGTGGATCATCTTAGGTCAGGAGTTGGAGGCCAGCCTGACCCACAAGGTGAAACCCTGTCTCTACTAAAAATAGAAAAATCAGCTGGGCGTGGTGGCAGGCACCTGTAGTTCCAACTACTCGGGGCGGCTGAGACATGAGAACTGCTTGAACCTGGGAGGTGGAGGTTGCAGTGAGCTGAGATCGTGCCACTGTACTCCAACCTGGGAGACGGAGTTAGACTCCATCTCAAAAAAAAAACAAAAAAAAGAGAGAGAGAACTGAGGTTTCACACAGCCAATTAAATCGAGTGCCTTTTACTTCCTCCTCCTCTTGTGGAGGGATAGAGGCACTTTGGGGTGGGGAAGAGTGTTCAGGCTCAAGATGTCAGAATAGCAACTCCTGGCCCCCAGAGTCAGGAATAACATTTACAGAAGGGAGGTGGGAATGCTACACATTTTAAATTTACCAGTGAGGGCTGCCCAGTTTCAATCTTGAATTAAAGATTGAGACTAAGCACTGGTAAAGCTGGGAAGACCAAATTCGAAATGCAGAAAAATGCTGTGTTTGGGTGGCACAGTCCTGTGAAGATGCCTGCAGGACTGAGCAGAAAGGAGCCCAGGACGGAGCTGTAAGCCTCATGTCCTGCTCAGTCTCTGTAGGTTACCTCAGAGGCCACTCGGTCTCCAGAGGAGTCAGTCTGGATTCCCCATAAGTACTCTCATAGTTGACATGACGAAATAGGAGACCAAGACTGTCAGTTCTCATCCCTGATCTAATACCAAATCAGATGGCCAAGCAAGAGTCCTTTAAAGGAGCTGGATTAGATCATTGCTGTTTCCTCCAGCCTAAGTTTCAACAACTTCACTATGTTGATGACATAAAGATGGTATGTTAATCAACCATGCAAGGTTTGAGTAACCTTTAGGAAGACCCTCATTAAGGAGTGACTTATGGCAACAAACTTAGGGCAAAAAAATAGTATTTTTGGCTGGGTGCAGTGGCTCACGCCTGTAATCCCAGCACTTTGGGAGACCAAGGTGGGTGGATCACCTGAGGTCAGGAGTTTGAGACCAGCCTGGCTAACATGGCGAAACCCCATCCCTACTAAAAATACAAAATTAGCTGGGCATGGTGGCAGGGACCTATAATCCCAGCTACTTGGGAGGCTGAGGCAGGAGAATTGCTTGAACCCAGGAGGCCGAGGTTGCAGTGAGCTGAGATCGCACCATTGCACTCCAGCCTGGGCAACAGAGCAAGACTATCTCAAAAAAACAGGACCTCACCCAGCCAACGAATATTACTTGAACTCCTACTTCACTGCTGTCCATTGGGCACTGTGCCAGGCACTGGGCATAGAGTAGTAAACAGACACACATAGACCCTGCCCTCACGGAGCACACAATTTTAGTACATTTCACTTGTCTTGTCTCCAAATGTACAGGTTCTTTCGTGTCTAAAAACCCTGAAATTTGATGATTCACTCTAAATTCCAAAGTGGCACGACCCTCAAGATGTTCTCTCCAATTTTGCATATTTTTAAAAAATTCCCCTTGAACACATAAGAACTATACAACTTAATTTTAGCTGAAAATAATTCCTCATCCAACTTAAGAAATCTGCATCTTAAGATTTCAAATGTATTTCTTTACTTTAGCTCTTAGCATCACTATAAACTACTTCAGTTGTCCTCTTTCGAGCATAAGCATTAGGAAACTATGAAACTTGGAGTCAAAAAATCCTAAATCTGCCAGACATGGTGGCTCACACCTGTAATCCCAGCACTTTGGGAGGCCGAGGCAGGTGGATCACCTGAGGTCAGGAGTTTGAGACCAGCCTGGCCAACATAGTAAAACGCCATCTCTACTAAAAATACAAAATTAGCCAGGTGTGGTGGCACATGCCTGTAGTCCCAGCTACTCAGGAGGCTGAGACAGGAGAATCGCTTGAACCAGGGAGGCAGAGGCTGCAGTGAGCTGAGATCGTGCCACTGCACTCCAGCTTGGGTGAGACAGAGTAAGACTCTGTCTCAAAAAAAAAATCCTAAATCCTAAATCTGAGCAGTCTCCATCACTTAGTCATGTGTGCCCATGGCCAAGTCACTTAGTTTCTCTCTGAGCTCCATTTATTTTGCCACTTAGCATATTTTTTATTCCTTGTCTATTGTATACCCATCTTTGTACCAAATCCTGGGGACACAACATTGAGCAAGGAAGTATTACAAGACTTCACGTAAAGCTTTTCATCTCTAAATTGGGAATCAACATAATCACTCAGGTTCCTCTCTGCTCATAGGATTAAGGGTCAGTAGGATGTTGGGGATCAGCAGAATGGTGTATATAAAATCTCTTTCCAAAATATAAGATGCTGTGTAAATGTTAGCGGATGTTCATAATATGTATCACAGACACTTAGCACAAAAATAAAATCAAGAAAAGGAAAATTGAAAAAAAAAGTTTAAAAAGGATAAAAAAGAAATAAATAAAATAAAATAAGGAAAGGAAAACTGTTACAGAAATACAGAAATAGTGGAATTTCCTTACATTTTCATCTCACCCAGCAAGTGTTCCTTGTGATTCTACAGACCAAAGGCTAACAGTATGACCTGTGTCCATTGCTTCAGAAAGCATTGGAGCCATCAACAAATAGCTGCTGTGAATCAATGAGAGTGAAATTATCACATCTTTCGTTCTTTTTTTTTTTTTTTTTTTGAGACAGAGTCTTGCTCTGTTGCCCAGGCTGGAGTGCAGTGGCACAATCTCGGCTGACTGCAACCTCCACCTCCTGGGTTCAAGCGATTCTCCTGCCTCAGCTTCCCAAGTAGTTGGGACTATAGGCACATGCCACCACACACAGCTAATTTTTTGTATTTTTAGTAGAGATGGGGCTTCACTGTGTTAGCCAGGATGGTCTCGATCTCCTGATCTCGTGATCCGCCCACCTCAGCCTCCCAAAGTGCAGGGATTACAGGTGTGAGCCACCACGCCTGGCTGAAATTATCATATCTTTCTAACAGCATCAGGGAGAGCTAAAAATATTAATATGTTTGTGCATCTTCTCACCTGCAATTATATAATCAGCTGATTCTGAAATGGGAGTTTGTGTTTGTACCTAAATATTTAGCAGTTTCAATAGCACACTGAAGTGACAGACTGAAACATAAAAAGACCAATAGAAAGTTAATGGCTCATGAGAGAATTGCATAAATATCCTCGTCCATGCATAGATCTGAAACTGCAAACAACCAAATGAAATCAATTAAGTACAAACACTCTGCTTCTTACTCCCAATGTAGATTCCAAAGCACAGAGAGATTCAATTCTTAAAATCTCTGAGTCTTCCTACTTTTGAAAAAGGAAAGAGGAGAATGAAATTTCAATGCTTTGAAACTAAAAGCAATTTTACTTTCCACTAGGGATCAATCAACATGCATTTCACATTTATTTATATTCTACTCTATGCCTAGAAGAGTGAAGATGCTGTGGGAGTTGCAAAAATAGAATAACATTCAGCCATTTATATAACAAATGTAGTTAGAAGTCAAACATTTTTGGGTATTAGAGCTCATACAAATGTGAGGGATAAGATGGTTATTCTATATCAAGCAGAATTAGCCTTTGCTTATACCTTGTAGCAGGCAATACTTTAATATAAATAGCTCTGTCTTTGTGCTTTTAGAAAAGAAAAAAAAGTGTAAGGTCCAGGTGCACTGATTCACATCTGTAATCCTAGGACTTTGAGAGGCTGAGCCAGGAGGATCACTTGAGCCCAGGAGTTCCAGATCAACCTGGGCAACATAGTGAGACCTTGTCATTCCAAAAAAAAATTAAAAATGAGCCAGGTGTGGTGGCACATGCCTGTAGTCCTAGCTACTCAGGAGCCTTAGATGGTAGGATCACTTGAGCTCAGGGGGTCAAGGTTGCAGTGAGCTATGATCATGCCACTGCACTCCAGCCTAGGCAAGTGTGAGACCCTGTCTCCCAAAAAAAAAAAAAAAAAAAAAAAAGGTGAGGGGTGTGTAATAGACATTTAGTTTTTTTTTTTTTTTCTTTTTTTTTTTTTTGAGATGGAGCCTCGCTCTGTTGCCCAGGCTGGATGGAGTGCAATGGCACAATCTTGGCTCACTGCAACCTCCACCTCCCAGGTTCAAGCTATTCTCCTGTCTCAGCCTCCCGGGTAGCTGGGATTGCAGGTGTGCGCCACCACGCCTGGCTAATATTTTGTATCTTTAGTAAAGACGGGGTTTTACCATGTTGGCCAGGCTGGTCTTGAACTTCTGACCTTATGATCTGCCTGCCTCAGTCTCCCAAAGTGCTGGGATTACAAGCGTGAGCCACTGCGCCCAGCCGACATCTATAATTTTTGTCACATAGAATTTATATTTACCCATTCCTGGTACTAATCTCTGTGTTAATTATGGTTCTTTGATTACAAGAAACAAGAACAAATTCTGGCTAATTTAAGCAAAGAGGAACTTTACTGAAAGGAAATAGAGGCTCTTATAAATTCAAGGGAAAGCTAAAAAACCAAGCTCAGAAAAACATAACTGTATAACTGTGACTATGCTCAGGAGTCTCATTAGGGAAGCATAGGAACTGCTAGAAGCATTTAAAATTAGATAGGTAAGATATTTCCAGAGACATTTAAGAACTTCTACATGATGAAGACTGCACGATCTTGAAATAGGTTTGCGAGTTTCTCTGAGCTATGTAGTGATTCACGGAGCACAAATTATGGTTGTCTCATAACAGATTGTGATTTTTAAAAAAATGTTTTACAAAACAAAAACCATTCCAATTGCCAATGCCAGAAAACTCATCTCAGAAAGCAGATACTTTATTTAACTGAAATTTTTGACTACCATTGTAAATACACATAGATTCTTGCACAGATTTAAGGCATTAACCTTCTATAAGTCTATGTTTAGCATCTGAATGAATGTATGCATGCCTTTTGGGTCCAATTGACAAACAACTTTTCCCGCTTAAAGAAGATATGAAAATGAATGAAGAGCAGGTAATTCCTTCTTCAGCCTTCATTCAGCTCCTAGATAAAATCCTGAGACAAAGAACAAGAATTAAAAGATATCGAAAGAGACTCCTGTGTTAGTAAAGTGCAATCCAGCTAAATAACAGGTTTCTAAAGTAATTTCTTGTCTCATAACATGAGGAAGTCTGATAACATTAACAAAAACAAGCAGCTGATAAATATATGACAAAATGAATAAATCACTCTATTACAGGATAGGGAAAAGCTGAAGAACAGTATGACTTTCTATCTACAATACTACTTTTAAATTTATAGTGGCTGATAGAGGGTTCACCAAAAGCGATGGGAGAAAATTAAGTCAGTATTCCACATTTGGCTAAAACAACAATACATGTGGTCTCATATGAATTTCACCAAAAGGAATATGGGGTTTTGGCACAGGCTGCACAGAGAGAACCCATTAGTCCTTAGTGGCACATATATTTTTAATGTCATCTTCTGTATCAATGAAATAAGTGGTAGGCATCTATGCTGAGGGGAAAATAACTAGAAAACAAATGATTTAGGGTTCTATGTGGCTAACTATTTAAGTGAAGTATTTACCCTTGATCAAAACTATCACAATGTCCCTAAGCTTGCTTTCCTAAAATATAAGGCTTTTTTTTTTTTTAGTTTTTATTTTTTTTGAGACAGGGACCCAGGCTGGAATGCAGTGGTACAATCTCAGCTCACTGCAACCTCTGCCTCCTGGGCTCCAGCGATCCTCCCACCTCAGCCTCCTGAGCAGCTGGGACCACAGGCACATGCCACCATGCCAAGCTATTTTTTGTACTTTTGGGAGAAGCGGGGTCTCATCACATTGCCCAGGCTGGTCTTGAACTCCTGAGCTCAAGCAATCTGCCCTTCTTGGCCTCCCAACGTTCTTGGGATTACACACGTAAGCCACCACACCCAGCCCAATACAAGGCTTTTAAAATTAAAATTATCATAATCAACACCAAACCTTTCAAAATCAATTTATAAATTTATAATCTCTTGTTTGGGAGAATGCCAACAATTTCTAGTAAATGTTCCTTAGTTTAACCGTATAGAAACCGCAGAAACACATTCACACACGTACACAACACACATCTTTTCTTTCTTAGATATACACCAAGGGTTGGCAAAGGTTTTCTATGAAGGGCCAGATAGCAAATATTTTTGGCTTAGGAGACCACACAATTTCTGTTGCAACTACTTAACTCTGTTGTTGAAGCATGAAAGTAGTTGTAGACAATACGTAAATCAGTGGGCATGACTGTGTTTCAGTAAAACTTTATTATACAGGTAGCCATAGTTGTTGCCTATCCCTCACATTGGCATCTATAATTTAAACATCTCTACATTTAAAATGATGTATGAATATTTGTACATCTTCATTTCATAATTGAAAAAAAGTTACTTCCTGAATGTTAACTGAGTCATGTTGACCTATTTACTACTATTAATAGCAGGAGCAACTAACAATGAGTGTTTCCTACATGCTAGGTCTCATTCTAAGAACTTCAAATGCATGTACCTCAAATACCCCTTTTATTCTTCTTATTTTATAGAACAGTAAAAGGGCCAGGCGTGGTGGCTCACGCCTGTAATCCCAGCACTTTGGGAGGCCGAGGCAAGCAGATCAAACAGATCCTATTTTCTACCAAATCTCAAGGTCTTGTGTGAAAAAATTCAGTTATAGTCATAAAATTATTGCCTCATCTATTCCTACAAAGAAAGTGGGAGGGTCTTGAATTAATTATCCAGTGCTTACAGAAATCGAGAAATATCTTGAAAAGCTCTTATACTACAATATACCAAATAATTTTTTGAATTATTTTTTTGAGACAGAGTCTCACCCTGTCAACCAGGCTGGAGTGCAATGGTGCAATCTCAGCTCACTGCAACCTCTGCCTCCCAGGTTCAAATGATTCGCCTGCCTCAGCCTCCCGAGTAGCTGGGATTACAGGCGCCTGCTACCATGTCCAGCTAATTTTTGTATTTTTAGTAGAGACAGGGTTTCACCATGTTGGCCAGGCTGGTCTCGAACTCCTGACTTCGTGATCTGCCCACCTCGGCCTCCCAAAGTGCTGGGATTACAGGTGTGGGCCACCGCTCCCGACCTGGAATATGTTTTAATGATCCTTACATGAAATTCTGTTGGATAATCTATCCCTTATGTGTAAAACACATCCAGTCTGGGGATATGCATTTTTCTAGAGTTTCATGTCATAGAAACTCTTCGAGAACCTAAAATATAACCAACTACACTCATATTCTAGAACTTCTAATATTTTTAGTTAATTATAATCCATAGTGATATCTTCTTATATGTGTACATATACACATACACTGATCACTATGTTGTCTGGTAATTAGGCGTACATAATAGTATAAGTAAATAATTATTCATGCAACCAACCCAAGTTTTTGTAGCTTTTATTAATAAATATTTCTTCATTTGTGATGTATTAATGTTGTTATTAATCATTTCCATATATGTAGTTGACACAATTATTATCATCTATGTAAGTTTAATTTTTGCCCAACACAGACACAAATATTCAAAGATTAGTCAAGGCTGGGCACGGTGGTTCACGCCTGTAATCCTAGCACTTTGCGGGGCCGAGGCAGGAGGATTGCATGAGGTCAGGAGTTTGAGACCAGCCTGGCCAACATGATGAAACCTCGTCTCTACTAAAAATACAAAAATTAGCCAGACAGTGGCACCTGCCTGTAATCCCAGCTACTCGTGAGGCCAAGGCGGGAGAATCACTTGAACCCAGGAGGTAGAGGTTGCAGTGAGCTGAGATGATGCCACTGCACTCCAGCTTGGGCAACAGAGCGAGACTCAGGCTCAAAACAAAACAAAACAAAAACACAAAGAAACAAAGAAAAGTCAAAGTTCAAAGGTCCAGGCTCCATGTCCACAATAGCTGGGGCATCTCCGCCTCTGACCGCCACACTCCAACAGCTTAGGGCTGAGCCCAGCTGTGTCCTCAACCATCAAAGAGCATGGCCTTTGGAGGGAAACTGGAGCTGCAATCCCAGCTCCCACCTGCTCACCTTGTAACCCTGGGCAAGTTTCTTAATCTTTCTAAGCCTTTGCTTTCTCATTTCTAAAATGGGACTAATGATACTTACTCCAGGATTAAATGATACTGTTCAAATAAACTGCATGCCACTACTGGTCACATAGTATGGTTCAATAAATACTGGTTTTTATTTTTATTATTGTTGTTACTATTTATTGAGAAGGTTGAAAGAAAATCTACATAACACAAAATCCATAAATACTGCAAAAAAAATAGCATAATAACAAAATTTACAACCTACTCCCAAGGAATAAATTAGCCATGTATCTTGGCGGACATAAAATAGAGTGTTAAAAAGTGTTAAACAATTAAAAAGAGTAAGAGGTTAAAAAAATAACCTAGTTTAACCTTTGATCTAAACATCCTTATCTAATAAGATAAGGTAAAGTTTAAAGTCCTCATTTCAAAGCATCGGTGTAAGTCAAAATGCATTTGTACCATGGAAATAATGGTATGCCTCTTCCTGGATTTTAAGCAGGAACCCCTGGATATATGAATGAATAGGACACCATACCTCACCTTGGAAAGTGTGCAGACATGCCAGCTGAGGAGGGACCCAAGGAATTGGTGGATGTGACCTCAGAGGCTCAGCTTGATCTGCTAGGCTGTGGGTGGGCTGGGACTAGTAGCCTGGCCTTTCCACAGCAGAAACTGCAGCTTCAATCAAGCCCCCAAGGCTCTTCTGTGCCTGAGTTCAAAATACTTGTCCTCCAGAAATAAAGCCATTCAGCCATTCTCATGCTTATACTACAGCAGAGGGATAGGGTACCCCCTGAGGAACAGAAACATGCAGCTTGGCCAGACAGGTTGATGTACCTGCCCAACTCATTGTAGGATAGTAAGAGGACAGAGGACTGCACGTCCCTTCTTGCTGATCCTTTGGATTTATGCGTGCCCAGTTAAGCTGTTCCTTAATCTGGACCATAAAATGTTGTGGTATTCACCTTTATCTACTTCACCACACAAACAGGACAGAAATGTGCAAGGCTGTAGACCCTCTGATGGAAGTCTATACAAGGTACTAAAAGGCTCAATGCAGGAAGGGCACCCATACTTTTAAGTCACTAGAATAATGAGTCCAGCAATTACAGTTGTACTTCTCTTTCAGGTTTCAACTATTGCTTACACTTTCCATTCCTGAAAGTCTGAAGGAGAGGGGGAGACAGGCCTGCAATCACCTTGACCTTTATCCAGGAAGATTATCAAATGGGACATAGGGGCTCTTCAAGTAGAAAACATCTGCCCTGTGAGAAAAATATACCTCACTTTGACAACGTTCTACCATGGAATGCATTTCATGTCACACAGATTCGATTCCCAAAGCCACATGGCCTCGTGTGGTACAAATGTCTACCTTCTAATGTATGCAAATTTTAAGTGACAAACTGCATTTTTCAGATGTAACCTTTGAGAAAGATTCTGAATAGACCCCAGGGTAGTTATAAATAAGTATTGTCTTTGTTACATACTATACCGAACTTTCTATGAAAGTCCAATTCCCAGGATTCTCCAGGCATATTAACTAACTGTGGCTATGTTCTATTAATAATAGTAAATTCAATTACTAACTTTTAAGAACTATTAGAGGCCAGGCGCGTTGGCTCACGCCTGTAATCTTAGCACTTTGGGAGGCAGAGGTGGGCAGATCATGAGGTCAGGAGATCGAGACCATCCTGGCTAACACAGTGAAACCCTGCCTCTACTAAAAATACAAAAAATTAGCCGGGCATAGTGGCGGGTGCCTGTAGTCCCAGCTACTTGGGAGGCTGAGGCAGGAGAATGCCGTGAACCCAGGAGGCGGAGCTTGCAGTGAGCCAAGATTGCGCCACTGCACTCCAGGCTGGGCAACAGAGCGAGACTCTGTCTCAAAAAATAAATAAATAAATAAATAAATAAAAAAGAACTATTAGAGGCCAGGTGCAGTGGTTCACACCAAAGACATAATCCCAGCACCTTGGGAGGCCGACGTGGGAGGCTCGCTTGAGCCCAGGAGTTTGAGACCAGCCTGGACAACATAGTGAGACCCTGTCTCAAGAACAACAACAACAAATTTTTAATTAGCTGGGTGTGGTGTCCCAGCTACTCAAGGGTAAGCTAAGGTGGAAGGATCGCTTGAGCCCAGGAAGTCAATGCTGCAGTGAGCCATCATCACACCACAGCATTTCAGCCTGGGCAACAAAGGAAGACCTTGTATCAAAAAACAAAACAACTGTGAGGATAAATATCATAATAAAATTTCCTTTCACACAAGCTGTTAATAAAGATTGCAATGATTTCCCCAAAAGTATATAGATCCCGTTAGTATGACTACCATAGTGATGGTGGCCTTTCCCTCAACACCTGTCTATTTAGAAGTTCACGAAGATGAGATAGAGTTCTGGCCACTAGAAGTTTTCTCTGGCAGAGGCTGGAGAATCAATGGAGGAACACTGGTAGGGTAGCAGAGTTACAGGTGACAGAGTAGTGTTCTGAATCTCAAGAACCTATGGAGAGATTTTTTTTTTTTGAGACGGAGTCTTCTCTGTCACTGGGTTCAAGCAATTCTCCTGCCTCAGCCTCCCGAGTAGTTGGGGTTACAGGCGCATGCCACCACACCCACTAATTTTTGTATTTTTAGTAAAGACAGGGTTTCACCATGTTGGTCAAGCTGGTCTCAAACTCCTGACGTCAAGTGATCCACCTACTGCGGTCTCCCAAAGAGCTGGGATTACAGGCACGAGCCACCAGGCCTGGCCTAGGAGAGAAGATCTTTATGAGATTCATCCACCAACTTCATGCACTCTCAGTAAGTCTGGCTTCATCCAGGAAATCATAGACTACAGATAGACAGGAACAACATGAAGGAACCAAAAATGTCCAGATAATGCCCAAATTCTCACAGATTTCAAACTCCTCCCTGAATAAACGTTCTTCCAGAACTGCTGACAAGTAGCCAAACCAACTTCCTCTCCTTCTCTGTGTTCCCCTTTAGGGAAAGAAATTATCTAGCAGCTGAATAACCACCCAAAGCAGAGGAAGACAATTGAAGAGATTTCCCCTGGTTAATTAAGCATATAAATAATCAAATAACTTTTTGTCCCATGATAAATGAAATGGCTTAATAAATCCTGGTGCATTGGGATAGTGGTTTCTAAAGAATTCCTGCCCCTAACCACTATACCTTCACTTGAAAGATGTAATTGTAAATTATAATAAAGTCTGCCAGGCGCGGTGGCTCATGCCTGTAATCCCAGGACTTTGGGAGGCCGAGGCAGGTGGATAACCTGAGAACAGGAGTTCGAGACCAGCCTGGCCAACATGGTGAAACCCCGTCTCTACTAAAAATACAAAATTTAGCCGGGCATGGTGGCGTGTGTCTGTAATCCCAGCTACTAAGGGGACTGAGGCAGGAGGATCGCTTGAACCTGGGAAACAGAGGTTGCAGTGAGCCAAGATCGTGCCACTGCACTCCAGCCTGGGCAACAGGGCGAGACTCCGTCTCAAAAAAAAAAAAAATTATAATAAAGTCCTTAGTAATCAGACTCTGCTCTTCTTGGCTTAAAGCTCTCATTAGCGCAGACTCAGCAAATAGTGAACATGTAGACAAATGTGTTGGCTCCAAGCCCAGCTTCTTGTATTTCATAGATGCTTCTCAATGGGTTTAACTGGAGCTTCTCTCTTTTGTAGTCAACACAGGCATAAGAAAAATCATGCTTTTCATATCACAGTTCCTTGTCAGTACATGAGTACAAAAGGTTTGCTGCATGTGGACACGTGCTACCCATTTCATAGAATAAAAGGCTAAACTCATACAGTATTATCTGAGCATAAAACCACTTTTATTTGGATTCATTACTATTACTTATATTTATGGTAAGATGCAGTACAAAATCAATGCCAAAGTTACTGTTGTAATGTCAATGCAATGATATACTGAGGTATAAGCTTAATCTTATTAATAGTGGAGAAAAATATTGACACCTTGATAATCAAAGGTAGCTCCAGGCCAGGTATAGTAGCTCATGCCTGTAATCCCAGCACTTTGGGAGACCAAGGCGGGCAGATCACCTGATGTCAGGAATTTGAGACCAGCCTGGCCAACATGGCAAAACCCCGTCTCTACTGAAAATACAAAAATTAGCTGGGCGTGGTGGCACGTGCCTGTAGTCCCAGCTACTCGGGAGGCTGAAGTGGGAGAACTGCTTCCACCCGGGAGGTGGAGGTTGCAGTGAGCCAAGATTGCACCACTGCACTCCAGCCTGGGTGACACAGCCAGACTCTGTCTCAAAAAACAAAACAAAACAAAACAAAAAACAAAAAAACAAAGGTAGCTCCAACAGAGGCTGAGGGGATGACAAATATATTGAAACACATGACCTGAAAGACCTTTACTCAGTTGAGTTATGCAAGTAAAGAACATTTTGCAGTTTTCCCAGAAGTCTGCATCTTAATTATTCCTCAAGTAGCTTTGCTTATACAAAGAGATGACTTTTATACAGCTTTGGCTGGGACTCTCTCTGAGTGGAGGTGTTTCTTGGAAAGACATCAAAACTCAAGTAATACAAAAATCATTCCATGAAATTTGAATGTAAGCCAATTGCCACTTCAGTCATATGTTGAGAGCTCTATTTTACTTTATTACTGAGCAAATCTTTGCTGGGGGGGACAGGCATATCTTCCAAGTAAGGGAATGGTTTGGGGTGAAGGAGTGAGCATGATGAACAGGCCGTCCTCACGGTGAGGAGGTTTACACCAGGACAATTACATTGTAAGTAGTAAAGAACAAAATGTACACTAACATCTCCTAAGTTTTCTCAGCCTGTATCTTTTTCTATGGAATATTTTCTTCAACCAATGAAGGACATTGCTGTGCCTTAATATCTAGTGGGTCTGTGAGTTAAGATGATTCAAAAAGATCAGAGCTCACAACTTTTGTGGATGGTGAATGGCAGACAGCCCCGTCTTCAGTCTTGATTGCTGCGGGTGGCCATTGTAAGACTATAAAAGAAGTCTTCATGAAGACATCGTGAAAGCTCAGAGTAGAATCAAGGAAATTTAAGAGAAATAGACCGAGTCTACAGCCATACCACCCTGAACGTGCCAGATCCCATCTGATCTCGGAAGCTAAGCAGGGACAGGCCTGTAATCCTGTGATTACAGGCCTGTCCACAGGATGTTCCAGTGAGCCAAGATTGCACCACTGCCCTCCAGCCTGGGTACTTGGATGGGAGGAATAGACCTGAAATTCTGATCAAACCCTCTCCTGAAATTTAATGTTACATAAGCTTAAGAAATCCCCATTATTGTTTAAACCATTCTATATATTGCCCTTTTGAATTAGTACCTAAATGCATATGTCTTTTCCTCCTTCCCATCCTGCTTAGACTGTGACCCGAAGGCAAACAGAATAAGCCTTACTTCTTGATATTTTACAGGGCTACTTCCACAGCTGTATGTATGTATTCTGAGAGGCCTGGATTCAAAACCAATAAACCAAGCTCCCATACTTACCACATGTGTGACCATGGCAAGTTGCTCATGCCTTGGTTTCTTCCATTTTAAAATGGAGATAATAAAATTATTGTAAGAATTCAAGGAAATAATGTACATATAAAAGCATAAAATAGGACATGACAACATTGCTATCACTATTATTTAACAAATGACTGAATTGTCGCATTTCTTCAAAACTCACATATAGGCCAGGCACGGTGGCTCATGCCTGTAATCCTAACAATTTGGGAGGCCGAGGTGGGTGGATCACCTGAAGTCAGGAGATCAAGACCAGCCTGGCCAACATGGTGAAACCCCATCTCTACTAAAAATACAAAAATTAGCTGGGCATGGTGGCGGGCGCATGTAATCCCAGCTACTTGGGAGGCTGAGTCAGGAGAATCACTTGAACCTGGGAGAGGGAGGTTGCAGTGAGCCAAGATTGTGCCACTGCACTCCAGCCTGGGTGACAGAGTGAGACCCTGTCTCAAACAACAACAACAACAACAACAAACAAACAAACAAACAAAAAAACTCATATAACAATGGACACCTTGCCAGGCGTGATGGCTCACACCTGTAATCCCAGCACTTTGGGAGGTCAAGGTGAGTGGATCACTTCAGGTCAGGAGTTCAAGATCAGCCTGGGAAACCTTGTCTTGACCCGAAATACAAAAATTAGCTGGGTGTAGCGGCCCATGCCCGTAATCCCAGCTTCTCAGGAGGCTGAGGCACGAGAATCACTTGAACCCAGGAGGCAGATGTTCCAGTGAGCCAAGATTGCACCACTGCCCTCCAGCCTGGGCAACAGAGTGAGACTCCGTCTAAAAACACAAAACAAAACAAAACAAAACAACAACAAAAAAGACACCTTGATCACTTCTCTACAATGATTATCATCACCTCTAACTTTTTGTCCCAAATTCATCTAAAAGTCATGAGAAGACTTCATACTGTACTGAGCTACTGCCACAAGCTTGTTAGGTCAGAAGGGCAACCCAGAAGCTAAAGGGTCAATTCTGGCCTGGTTTCCCACAACATAGGCTCTTTATCACTTATTCTAGGTTTATGGTCTTAAGCCCCCTTGCCCTGCACTGCTTTCCCTTCTCCACTCCTCTCCCCTGTCCTCCCCTCCTCTCCCCTCCCCTCCCCTCCCCATCCTCCCCTCCCCTCCCCTTCCCTTCCCTCCCCTCCCGTCCCCTCCCCACCTCCCCACCCCTTCTCTCCCCTCCCGTCTCCTCTCCTCTCCTCTTTTTCCTTTCTGAGACAAGCTCTCGCTCTGTCACCCAGGCTGGAGTGCAGTAGCCCGAACATGGCTCACTGCAGTCTCGACCTCCTGGGCTTAAGTGATCCTCCCACCTTAGCCTCCCAAGTAGCTCAGATCACAGGTATGCACTAACACACCTGGCTAATTTTTAAAATTTCTGTAGAGATGGGGTCTCCCAGTGTTGCCCAGGCTGGTCTGAAACTCATAGGCTCAAGCCATCTTCCGACCTCAGCCTCCCAAAGTGCTGGGATCACAGACGTGAGCCACTGCACCCAGCTTCTGTGGAAGTTTCTAAGACAGTTATCTTCCCTTGTGTTAGAAGCATGACTTACTTTTTTAAGTGTCCTTCTTTGCCAAGGATGCCTGATAACATCTTCAATACTCCCTAACTCCTCCACCCTTAGATTTTGAATAACTTCATTTTAATGTTTCCCAGTTTTTATATCTATTGAATTATCAGTATATTTATTAAAGTTATTGTGTACAAATTTTTAAATAAATTCATTATATGAATAATGTATGAGACATGAGATTTCCATAATATGTGCTTTTGCCCTTTTCCGCCCAGGCATTCTCCCAACTCCCACTCCTATATGATATACACCCCTTCATAAAATTGATTTTACCTCAGGACAAATACAAATGAACAGACAAAGAAGTCTTTTTTTTTTTTTTTTTTTTTTTGCTGAGACAGAGTCTTGCTCTGTCACCCAGGCTGGAGTGCAATGGCATAATCTCTGCTCACTGCAACCTCTACCTCCCAGGTTCAAGCAATTCTTCTGCCTCAGCCTCCTGAGTAGCTGGGACTACAGGTGTGCACCACCACACCTGGCTAATTTTTATATTTTTAGTAGAGACGGGGTTTCACCATATTGGCCAGGCTGGTCTCAAACTCCTGGCCTCAAGCCATCTGCCTGCCTCGGCCTCCCAAAGTGCTGGGATTACAGGCGTGAGCCACCGTGCCAGCCTTGGATAAAGAATTCTTGTTTATCCATCAAGATTGTTGATTGTTGACTGTTTATCAAACTAGTGATGAGGCACTGAGAAAAATCCTGCCCAGAATTCAACAGGAAGACAGAGCCCTTTATGCCACTGTTGAGTCAACTTTTGGCTTCAAAATGTATAATCCAATCTTTTCTATAGCTTTTCGACACTTCTGCCAAGTCGAGAGCTAAAGGCAGGGGAGGAGAGGGCTTGATATATGACAATTCTAATAGTATAGTATCATAATTCTAAGGAAGCAGTATAATTTCAGAAGAAACATAGTTACCTACGAGTGTGGCATCACTTGGTTATTCTATTTGGAGGAGTTGTTTCTCCTAGAAGGAGAAAAATATGATGTTGTGTTCTCTTTGTTCTCTTTCTAATAAAACAAATAACATTTTAAATTAATTGTTGTAGTAAAAAAAAATAAATAACTGAGGCCCAGTACAGTGGTTCACCTCTGTAATCCCAACATTTTGGGAAGCCAAGGTGGGAAGATTACTTGAGCCCAGGAGTTTGAGAACAGCTTGAGCAATACAGTGAGATGTCGACTCTACTAAAAATTAAAAAAATTAGCCAGGTGTGTTGGCACACACCTGTAGTCCCAGCTACTCAGAGGCTGAGGCAGGGGGCTCACTTGAGCGGGTAGGGTTAAGGGTGCAGTGTGCTGTGATCATGCCCCTGCACTCCAGCCCGGGTGACAGAGCAAGACCATGTGTCCAAAAAACAAAACAAAGAAAGAAAGAGAAAACAAAAACAGCTGCAGTGGCTCACACCTGTAATCCTAGCACTTGGGGAGGCTGAGGTGGGCGGATCACTTGAGGTCAGGTCAGGGGTTAGAGACCAGCCTGGCCAACATGGTGAAACCCCATCTCTACTAAAAATGAAAAAATTAGCTGGGCGTGGTGTTGCATGCCTGTAATCCCAGCTACTTGGTAGGCTGAAGCAGGAGAATCACTTGAACCCTGGAGGCAGAGGTTGCAGCGAGCTGAGATTACACCACTGAACTCCAGCCTGGGTGACAGAGTGAGTACAACTCCAGAAAGAAGAGAAGGGAAGGGGAAGGGAAGGGGAAGGGAGGGGAGGGGAGGGGAGGGGAGGGGGAACGGGAGGGGAGGGGGGAGGGGGAGGGGGGAGGGGGGGAGGGGATGGGGATAGGGGGAGGGGAAAGGAGTGCAGGGTAAGGGGGCTTAAGACCATAAACCTAGGATAAGTGATAAAGAGCCTATGGTGTTGCATGCCTGTAATCCCCAGCTACTTAGTAGGCTGAAGCAGGAGAATCACTTGAACCCTGGAGGCAGAGGTTGCAGGGAGCTGAGATTATGCCACTGAACCCCAGCCCAGGCGACAGAGTGAGTAAAACTCCAGAAAGAAGGGAAGGGAAGGGAAGGGAGGGGAGGGGAGGGGAGGGGAGGAGGGGAGGGGGGGGGGAGGGGAGGGGGAGGGGAGGGGAAGGGGAAGGGACTGGTAAAAACACATAACCATTTCTCCATAGTCTTTAATATAATGTGGTTTTAGGTCATGAATTCCACTTAGTACACACACTTGGTAAAACTGGGCAGGATACATTTTGAGCTGCTCAAGAATAAAAGCCTTCTCTTATTTCACTTGGTATCTCTCACAGCTAGTACTGAGATGCCCGACAAATAGCAGGCACTGAGTAAATATGAGCTGAGCAAGTGAAGAAATGGTATCATTTGCCAAAAATAGGGTTTGTTTAAAAGAAATTCTCATAAAATTAGCTGAAATATAGTTGTCTATTATAAATTTAAGGATTACTATCACAGTGTTGACCTCCCGCATCGTAGTTTTACATTTGCAAAGAAATAAGATTGTCTTTTCACTGGAGTATTTTCTAATTTGTTACACTATTTTTCTTTTTCTCAAAACAACATGTACTAGTGGGTTTTTCCCTTTCTCAAAATAGCAGAAAATTATATTAACCAGCGCAGTTTTTCTGGAAGTGGTAGAATAGGGTTGTGCGTGAATCGTGGAGTGACTCCTGTATGTGTCTATGTGTGTATGTATGTATCTGTGTGTGTGTATCTGTGTGTATATGTGTGTGTCTGTGTGTGTATGTGTATGTGTATGTGTGTGTGTGTCTGTGTGTGTGTACTGGGGGAGATGCCCCCTTGGCTTGTGTCATTCCCCTCCCCTGGCTACAATCCCACCGACTCAGGAATAGGCATGTGACCTAACCAACGAAGTCAGGGTGAACCTCAGGACTTGTGATTGGAGTCCTGAATGGAAATACTTCCCTTTCTCCCAGATGTTATTACAAGCCATATGAGGCCTGACATTCCTGTTCTACCACTGGCTGGAAGATGAAGCCAACCAATAAAAGAGCTGGCACATGAAGGAGCTACAAGAGAGAACCAAAAGAATTGCAGAGAATGAATTAAATTTTAAGGCATTGTATCTCCTGAACTTCCACTTATAGGAGGCAACAGTTTAAGCTGATTGTTTCTTGCAGTCAAAAGCATTAAAAAATATCTGGATAGGGATTTGCGTTGTATAGATGTGCAATTGCTTTAGTCAATATTCATCAAATGGCATATTTTATTGTATATAAATTTTATCTCTGAAAAAAAGAACCAAAAGCAAAGAGTGAATACTAGTTAGTACACCGAGAGCTGAAGGTTTTAGGAAAAGTGTATTATTGTCTACAACGTACTCTGAAATACTTTCCAAAAAAAGATGAATTAATTGACAGATGGATAGAGGGAGAGCTAGATGGATAGTCATGTGATAAAGCAATACAGTGAAATGTTAATTGTGGAATCTTAAGTGGTGGACATGAGTATTCACTGTAAAATTATTTAAACTTTTCTGTACATTTGAAATTTTTCATAATACAATGTTAGAGGAAAAAGCTCTAACTTACTCCTATTGCTTATACTTGGATGTCCTTAAATATTATGTGATGGCTTCTGGCTCTTCAAGTATAACAAGAGAAAAAAATGTTCCTTATCATGGCGTCAAGGCCTGCTAATCCTCTCTCATGACGACCTAGGCTATGCTCACTGTATAACAGTAGAATTTGTTTCTACCGTTAGAATTTATTTTATTGATGACTGGTTTGTAGAATGTAATTGGCAATGTGAGGGAAAATGAATCAGAGTCATACATTAGGTAATTCCCTCAAAACCACATCCCTAAACAGTTTTATTATTGTCAGTTCCTCAGAACAAAATAGGAAGAGATTTGGTAAAGTCTTATTTTATCAACCACAATATAACTTAAGATGATTAAGGGGCATTTCACACTTCAATGTAAAACACAGTCATATACCACTACAGGGAATAAACCCCACTTTTTGCAGTGAATATATTCTGTGTACATCACTTTCATATATAGAAAAGTTAAAGAGAAAAAATAAGTAGCGCTTTAAAAAAAATTCAGTGAAAAGAGGGTCCAAGGTTACCCCATTCTCCTTTCCTCTTGGGAAAGGAGAAAGAAACTAAGAAGCAAAACAATAGTTATTCAAATCAAGAAATTCAGGCCAGGCAAGGTAGCTCACGCCTATAATCCAAAACGGGCCGATTGCCTGAGCTCAAAAGTTTGAGACCAGCCTGGACAACATGGTAAAACCTCATCTCTACTAAAATACAAACAATTAGCTGGGCATGGTGGTTCATGCCTGTAGTCCCAGCTACTCAGGAAGCTGAGGCACAAGAATTGCTTGAACCTTAGAAGCGGAGGTTGCAGTGAGCTTGAACCCTGGAAGCGGAGGTTGCAGTGAGCTTGAACCCTGGGAGCAGAGGTTGCAATCATGCCACCACACTCCAGCCTGAGCAACAGAGAGAGACTCTATCTCCAAAAAAGAAAAACAAAAAAAGAAATTCCCTCTTTACTACACTCATTATATGTGTTTGGAAATAGGACACAAACCTTATCTGTATAAGGAACTTGCATTTTAAGTAGCAAACTAACTCAAGATCCTCAATAGAAATATGTGCTCAATCCTTCAACATGAAAAAAAAAAAAAGCCAATCCTTTAAAAGTATTTTTTTTCTTTGCAAATTGCCTTTTCTCATATTGGTTGTCCTTAAATCAGCAAATAATTCTTTATTTCTACACTGTCCCCCCACTACACTGTCTTCTTTGCTTTCGGACACCACTCACGACTCGCATAGTATTCCTCCAGAATTTCAATGTTTGTTAGATGTTAGCCAAACTTCATACATAATAAAATGCAACCGGCCAGGTGCAGTGGCTCATGCCTGTAATCCCAGCACTTTGGGAGGCCGAGGTGGGCAGATCACTTGAGGTCAGGAGTTTGAGACCAGCCTGGCCAATATGGTGAAACCCCATCTTTACTGAAAATACAGAAATTAGTGAGGTGTGGTGGTGCCTGCCTGTAGTCCCAGCTACTGGGGAGGCTGAGGCAGGAGAATCGCTTGAACCTGGGAACCGGAGGTTGCGGTGAGCCAAGATCATGCCACTGCACTCCAGGCTGGGCGACAGAGAAACTTCATCTCACTCTAACTCTAACCTAACTCTAATGAAACGAGGGTGGCATGCAATGAGAGAATGGCTATGAGAATGTTCATTTGTTTCTTATACCTTAAGTCAAGGTCAGAGTAGCTACTGAGCGTACTGTGCTAGGACTAGTCCTTCTGAATCCTGCCTGCTCTGCACACAAAGGACAAGGTTCTGTTCTCTATAGCTGTAATAGTTTCATCACTCAAAGGAGTGCCTCATGGAGCTGGATGCTCTAAACAAGGCCAAGACATAGATACCTACTGGCCCAAGGCTTACTCAATGAAGAGAGCTTCCGGGTAAATATCAGAACCCAAAATCTGTAGGTAAAAGTATTGCAGGGAGATAGGAGGACACAAGGATCAAAGCAAACAAACACAGTCAAACAGATCTATAAGTAGCAGCCTGAGAGTTATAGGTGGAAAGACTTGAGCCTTGAGCCTCCCTCAGCTGCTACCTACCTCCTCCTCTGCAGCTGCCACGGGCTTCCCCAAGCTAGAGGCCATGACATTTGTTCCCTTTTGCTACACCCTAGCAACAGCTGTTATCTGAAAAGTGGGAATACTAAAGCATATCCTTCTTTTTTTTTTTTTTTTTTTTTTTAAGACGAGTCTCGCTCTGTCGCCCAGGCTGGAGTGCAGTGGCGCGATCTCGGCTAACTGCAACCTCCACCTCCCGGGTTCACGCCATTCTCCTGCCTCAGTCTCCTGAGTAGCTGGGACTACAGGCGTCTGCCACCACACCCGGCTAATGTTTTTGTATTTTTAGTAGAGACGGGGTTTCACCGTGTTAGCCAGGATGGTCTTGATCTCCTGACCTCGTGATCCGCCCGCCTCGGCCTCCCAAAGTGCTGGGATTACAGGGGTGAGCCACCGCGCCCGGCCCTAAAGCATATCTTGTCTCACACTGCAGGGTGTGTTTTCTCTCCTCATCTCCCCACCCAACCTCACAAATATTTGTAAAGCTACCAAAAAGTGATTCTCTGCAGCCAGCCCTGATGAAAATAGCTCAAGTTGATCCTGAAGGTACCACCTTGCAAGCATCCTATCTGTCCCACTAAATCCTCTCCCCAACTCCATCTTCACGATGTCCCCCGTGTATCTAATGATACATAGAAACAATCACTGCCATAAACTTCTAAGTTTAGTTAAGGCTGATAATACTAGAACAAGGATCTCAGATTTGGTACCCACCTCTCCTTGGTAGATAATGGAACACGGAAAAGTATAATTACCGTGTAGAAAGTAGGACCGATTGTTCTTTCCTTTGTCATTTCCTAATCACTAAACTCATGGAAACCAACCATTTAAGAGCCACCAATGAAGGGGAAATGAACTCCTGACTCAAATGAAAGCTAGAAAGAACAGGACAAGAAGCTGGTGCTGATGGCCTCTAATATCAGCACTTTGGGAGGCTGAGGTGGGAGGATTGCTGGAGTCCAGGAGTTTGAGATCAGCCTGCGCAACATGGCAAGACCCCATCTCTACAAAAAATACAAAAATTAGCCAGGTGTGGTGGTACATGCCTGAGTCTCAGATACTTGAGTCTCAGATACTTGGGAGGTTGAGGTGGAAGGATCACAAGAGCCCAGGACCCAGAGGTTGAAGTGAGCCAGGATCATGCCACTGCACCTGGGCAACAAGAGTGAGACACTGTCTAAAAAAATAAAAATAAAAATAAATAATAAAAAAAGATATAAAACAATGTATTTTTTTCTAAAATTTAAAAAATTAAAAAAGAAATAACACAACAGGACAGAAGAATGACCTTCCTTCACCTTGCATTCTCTTCTCTTGAGGTTTAACTTATTTTCAGTTTTATTGATTCCAAAGCTGATGGAAGCCATAACTTATATCAGCAATGGCCTTTTAGAAAAGTAATTACAAGGCCGAGCGCAGTGGCTCATCCCTGTAATCCCAGCATTTTGGGAGGCCAAGGCGGGTAGAAAACCTGAGGTCAGGAGTTCGAGACAAGCCTGGCCAACGTGGAGAAACCTCATCTCTACTAAAAATTAAAAAATTAGCCGGGCGTGGTGGCGCTTGCCTGTAATCCCAGCTACTCAGGACGCTGAGGCGGGACAATCACTCGAACCTGGGAGGCAGAGGTTGCAGTGAGCCGCGATTGCACCACTGCACACCACCTGGGTGACAGAGTGAGACCCTATCTCAAAAATAAATAAATAAATAAATAAATAAAAATAGAATAAACATTCTACATGAATTAGGCTCTTGACCATTGACTCCAAATACAGGGACTCTTCATTTCCTAAAGCCCTTCTTTTTCAAAAATCTGTATAGGCAGTAATTTACTGACTCCAGGATATCTCTCTGCTGTTTAGGAGAAGAAAATTTCAATCCTAGCTTCTAAGGGACACCCCCTAAGATATTCTTATACCAACCGTAAAGTTCCTTAGGTGCCTACTTGAATAAAATGAATTATTTCTCCTTGTCCTGTTGTGTATGCTCTAAATTCCTTATCTCATATTCGATTTATTAGAGCTTGATCTTTGGTTCAAAGGCCCATTTTACCTTTTTTTTTTTTATTATTTTTTTTGAGACAGAGTCTCACTGTGTCTCCCAGGCTGGAGTTCAGTGGTGCCATCTCAGCTCACTGCAACCTCTGCCTTCCTGGTTCAAGCGATTCTCCTGCCTCAGCCTCCAGAGTAGCTGGGACTGCAAGCACGCACCACCACCCCCAGCTAATTTTTTTGTAATTTTAGCAGAGACGGGATTTCACTATGTTGGCCAGGCTGGTCTGGAACTTCTGACCTCAAGTGATCTGCCCACCTCGGCCTCCCAGAGTGCCAGGATTACAGGCCTGACCCACCACACCTGGCCTGTTTTTACCTTTTTTCTGAAAACTGCATTAACATTTGCAAAGCAAATTTAGGAAAGCAATTCAATATTTATTAAAGACGTTTTTATTAAAAAGACAATAGTAAGCCTGTAAGAGCCTGAAAGGCAGCCTGTTATAGAAAAAAGGCAAAGGTGACAAACAATTTGAAAGAACTGCATTTCCTCCAACTTAGCTAACTAAATTCATAGCCTAGTAAGTTGCTTTTGGGAAGTCAGCCTTAGTGATTGGATAAGATTGTTGTAATCAGCACACTTCATCTTGGTAGAGGAGCAAAAGTGAAATTAATTATGAATTAATGAAATTAAATGAATTAAAGTGAAATTAATGATTGATGCATTTTCTCTCTATTTAAGCATTCCCTTTATTATACATTCTGAATTCTCTTCCTTACCCTACTCCCATTCTCACAGATGGCAAAATAGAACTGCAATTTATCTTCCCATTAAAATGGTTACAAATTCTGAATCAGTGGAGTCCAAATTCACTTTTTAAAACCACATGTCAGAAAGATTGAGTTTAATATTTAGTAGAGAAAGTGACAATCCTACCTTGTCAAAATATAAATACTCACAGGAATAAATCAGATTTTCCCCAACAGAATGGAAAAGCTACTTGTCTACTTTTTTATTTACCAAAGTTGTCACACTGCAATGTGATATTCTCATATACATGATTCTGTTTTAAAGTTGTTTTAGTGTTTCATTTTTTTTAACCCTCTAAGTCACTAGTTGGGAACAGTATTGTAGCTTATCATAGTGCTTAAGAGCAGAAACACTCAACTCTACCGTAACTTTCTGGCTGAATAATCTATGGCCTGTTGGTTTAAATGATCTTTTCCTCAATTTTTTAATCTACAAAATAAAAGTAATAAAGGTATCTGCTACATAGAGTTGCTATAAAGATTAAAGGCATTACCATACATAAAGTGCTTAGAAGAGTCCTTACCAGGTAATAGGTGCCATGTAAGTGTTATTGTTATTATTATAATTGCTACCATTGCTAGAAAGAGAATAGTGATATTGTTGGGCTTCTTTATTTTATTTTATTTTATTTTATTTTATTTTATTTTATTTTATTTTGAGACGGAGTCCCGCTCTGTCACCCAGGCTGGAGTGCAGTGGCGCAATCTCGGCTCACTGCAACCTCTGCCATCTGGGTTCAAGCAATTTTTCTGCCTCAGCCTCCCAAGTAGCTGGGACTATAGGTGCCTGCCACCGTGCCCAGCTAATTTTTGTATTTTTAGTAGAGACGAGGTTTCACCATCTTGGCCAGGCTGGTCTTGAATGCCTGACCTCGTGATCCACTCGCCTCAGCCTACCAAAGTCCTGGGATTACAGGCATGAGCCACCATGCCCGGCTAATTTTGTATTTTTAGTAGAGACAGGGTTTCTCCATGTTGGTCAGGCTGGTCTTGAACTCCCAACCTCAGGTGATCCACCCACCTCGGCCTCCCAAAGTGCTGGTTACAGGCATGAGTCCCCGTGCCCGGCCCTTGATTATTTATTTATTTAAGACAGAATCTTGCTCTGTCACCCAGGCTGGAGTGTCATGGTGCAATCTCAGCTCACTGCAACCTCTGCCTCCTGGGTTCAAGCTATTCTTGTGCCTCGCCTCCTGAGTAGATGGGACTATAGGCATGTACCACCACGCACAGATAATTTTTGTATTTTTATTAGAGACAGGGTTTCTCCATGTTGTACAGGCTGGTCTGGAACTCCTGATCTCAGGTGATCCACCCACCTTAGCCTCCCAAAGTGCTGGGATTAATAGGCGTGAGCCACTGCACTCAGCCCTGTTTTTGATTATTATGAATAGTACTGCTATGAACATCTGTGTACAAGTTTTTATGTAGACATGTTTTCTCATTTCTCCTGGGTATATACCTAAAAGCAGAATTTCTAGGTCATATGATAACTCTATGTTTAATATTTGAGGAGCTGCCAAATATTTTTCCAAAGGGGCTGTACCATTTTACATTCCCACCAAGTAGTGTGTAGGGGTTCTAATTTCTCCACAATTTCTCCACATCCTCACAAACACTTGTGACTGTCTTTTTTGTTATACCCATCCTGGAGGCTGTGAAGTAGTATCCAAATGCATTTTTTTTTTTGAGACCGAGTTTTGCTCTTGTTGCCCAGGCTGGAGTGCATTGGCGCGATCTCGGCTCACTACAACCTCTGCCTCCCAGGTTCAAGCAATTCTCCTGCCTTAGACTCTCGAGTAGCTGACATTACAGGCATGTGCCACCACGCCTGGCTAATTTTGTATTTTTAGTAGAGATGGGGTTTCTCCATGTTGGTAAGGCTGGTCTTGAACTCCCGATCTCAGGTGATCCGCCCGCCTCAGCCTCCCAAAGTGCTGGGATTACAGGTGTTAAGCCACCGCGCCTGGCCCCAAATGCATCTTTAAGATGCAAAAATTGAAATACATTGGGAGAAGGAAGTAAAATCTTTTATGACAAGGGAAAAACATGAAGAAAATTAAACAAAGGGTCCTGCAGTTAAGCTGAAAAAGGAAGCAAGAGATATTTTTAGGTCTGTTAGTTAATTTCTTGTCCTTATACAACCAACCGCCCTTTAAAAAGTGTGAGGATTGGCCGGGCATGGTGGCTCACGCCTATAATCACAGCACTTTGGGAGGCCGAGGCGGGCGGATCACGAGGTCAAGAGATCGAGACCATTCTGGCCAACATGGTGAAACGCTGTCTCTACTAAAAGCACACACACAAAAAAAATTAACTGGGTGTGGTGGCACGCACCTGTAATCCCACCTACTCGGGAGGCTGAGGCAGGAGAATCGCTTGAACCTGGGAGGCGAAGGTTGCAGTAAGCCGAGATAGTGCCACCGCACTCCAGCCTGATGACAAAGTGAAGATGCTGTCTTAAAAAAAAAAAAAAAGTGTCAGGATTGGCCAGGTGCAGCTCATGCCTGTAATCTCAGCACTTTGGGAGGCTGAGGTGAGCGGATCACCTGAGGTCGGGAGTTGGAGACCAGCCTGACCAACATGGAGAAACCTCGTCTCTTCTAAAAATAAATAACTAAATGAATAAATAAAATACAAAATTAGCCACAATCTCCGCCTCCTGGGTTGAAGTGATTCTTGTGCTTCAAGAAAAATAAATTTAAAAAATAGAAAATAGGGCGTGCCTGTAATCCCAGCTACTTGGGACGTTGAGGCAGGAGAATCTCTTGAACCCGGAGGCAGAGGTTGCGGTGAGCCGAGATCGCGCCATTGCACTCCAGCCTGGGCAACAAGAGTGAAACTCCATCTCAAAAAACAAAACACAAACAAAAAAAGAAGCGTCAGGATTGTGGAGCCAGCCCCCAATTTCACATCTGGAGGTTACAATAGTCATAACAACACTCTTCTTGCTTTATCGATTTATTTTACAAAGTTTCTTCCCATGCTGTACCCTATTTGATCCACTACCACAAATCTTATGTGGGAAGATATTATTCCCATTCTGTAGGGAAGGATGCTTAGGACTAGAGAGGTTAAGTGACTTGCTCAAGAGGGCATAGCTACAATTAAAGAAAGAAAAAGAAATTGATAGAACTGGGCCTAGAGGCTAAATTTTTTATTTCAAATCCCAGTCCTTGGTTTCCTCTTATCACCTCTACCTCATCTCTGATGACCCAGAAAGTAATGCAAAGTGAGAGAAAGCAGAGGGGAACTGAGAGTGTGTGAAGCACTTAGAGGCAGGAGGCCTGGACATTGCAAAGCACTTACAATCCTGCAGTGAGAGGGGAGCTACAGACAGAAGAACTCTTTGTGAAAGTGACAAGAATGACTGAACTTCCAACCCTCCAATAACTAGGAAACCAGGCATACGACCGCTTTAATTCCTAAATTCTGACTATTATACTGCTCTGTACTAACAGAAGTATATTGAATACTTACGATATTCATTTAACTACTTACTGAGTAGTTACTATGTGCTAGTTACAGTGCCAAAACAGTTGAGATAAAAAACAGCAATGATTAAAATTTTCCAAAGTAGAATTAAGTGGCTAACATTTCCTAAGCCTTTTACATGTAGCATCTCATTTAATCCTCACAGAGCTCCTGAAGAAGTGTCATCAGAATAACATTTCGTAGAAGAGGAAACTGAGACACAGAGAGGCTAAACATATTGTCCTAAAGTTACAGAATAAATGGTGGAGGCAGAATAAGAACCCAGGCAGCCTAGTTCTATATCCTGCGCTCTTCACCACCACCCAATCCTTCCTGCCCAATCTTGCTTGGCTGGAAGTCACATGCAGTGATGCAGAGAGACCAATAATACTAATTAATTCCAGGAACTATTTGTTGAATGCTCATTAATACATGAAGCCCAGGGGCAAATTCTCGCAACTCCATGAAATACATTCATCTTCATTGTCTTTTTCAAATGTGGAAACAGAGACTCAGAGAAGTGAATTTACTTGTCCAAGGTCACAGAACTCTACCTTAGCTAATGTTGACCTGGTGCTTACTACATATCTATCAGAAACTACCCTAAGCGCAACTCATCTAATCCTCATAGTAACACTATGAGGTAAATTCCATTATTACCCATCCTTCTTCTTCTTTTTTTTTTTTTGAGATGGAGGCTCACTCTGTTGCCCAGGCTGGAGTGCAGTGGCACTGTCTTGGCTCACTGCAACCTCTGCCTCCCAGGTTCAAGCAATCCTCTCACCTCAGCCTCCCAAGTAGCTAGGATTACAAGCATGCACCACCACACCCGGCTAATTCTTGTATTTTTAGTAGAGATGAGGTTTCACCATGTTGGTCAGGCTGGTCTTGAACTCCAGACCTCAAGGGATCCGCCTGCCTTGGTCTCCCAAAGGGCCAGGATTACGGGCATAATCACTTGTCCAAGGTCCCACACTAGTAAGTAGCAAAGCCAAGATTCAGTCTAGCTTAAAGTCTTCCTTGAAACAACTTAATGCTGACACTTGCCTACATAATGGTGGAGCAGTCATTCAAACCCAGGTCTAATTCCTGCATGACAAGGATGGCTCTCAAAACTGCTGCAGTGCAGAGAGGCGCTAGAAAAGTGGGGAATAACAAGTGCTCTGGGGACTGCAAGGAAGAGGCATTTAAACTGCATCTTGAAGGAAAAAGTACTTGCTGGACAAAAAGAGCCATCATGCAATTTAATATTTGTAAAATAAATGAAAAATAAGTAACCCTATCCAACAGAAGACTTTTAAAAAGATGGCCCAGTAATGAAGAGCAGAGAAATTAAACTTTCTTTCCCACAGTAGGCTTTAAAGGGACTGAAGCCTGTTATCACTCGCCTGCTACAGCTTGGGCTTCTAAAGCCTACAAACTCTCCTTACAATTCCCCCATTTTACCTGTCCCAAAACTGGACAAGTCTTACAGGTTAGTTCAGGTTCTGCACCTTATCAACCAAATTGTTTTGCCTATCCACCCTGTGGTGCCAAACCTGTACACTCTTTTGTCCTCAATACCTTCCTCCACAACTCACTATTCCATTCTTGATCTTAAAGATGCCTTTTTCACTATTCCCCTGCACCCCTCGTCCCAGCCTCTCTTTGCTTTTACCTGGACTGACCCTGACACCCATCAGTCCCAGCAGCTTACCTGGGCTGTACTGCCGCAAGTCTTCAGGAACAGCCCTCATTACTTCAGCCAAGCCCTTTCTCATGATTTACTTTCTTTCTACCCCTCTGCTTCTCACCTTATTCAATATATTGATGACCTTCTACTTTGTAGCCTCTCCTTTGAATCTTCTCAGCAAGACACCCTCCTGCTCCTTCAACATTTATTCTCCAAGGGATATCAGGTCTCTTCTTCCTTACTCTACTCTTTACAACAGGGCTTTATGAAGTCACCCCCGCCTTCTTGGACTGCACCTCACAAACTTACACCACTATCCATCATCTACCCAACTCCTATAAAACAACCCCTTCCCCATCTCCCTTTGCTGACTCCGTTTTTAGACTCAGTCCACCTGCACCCAGGTGATTAAAAAGCTTTATTGCTCACACAAAACTTGTTCGGTGGTCTCTTCACACGGGCACCGCGTGACAGGTTTCATTAGAAAGTACTTTTGATGAAGGAAAAAAAGTTTTTATTCCCTTTAATTCTGACCACGTATTTTTAAAAATCAACAAAGAATCGATAGGTGCAATTTGCCTTTTGTAACATTAAAAATCAGTTAATTCTGACTTCCAATATTGGTCTCCTTCAGAGACCTTTGCAAGACACTCTTTCAGGTCCTGAAACACAGACATTTAGAAACCAAAACAAGCTGGGGAATTCAGGCTAAGAACTAGAAGTAACAGGGGCCCGCGTACAAGTTGTGGCTCAAACGCTGCAGAGCTGGGTTTTCTTTTTCCTGGCAAACTGATTTATAACCACACGAAGGGCAGCTGCAGAACCAGTTAGACCATAAGTACTATTCCCAAACAGCCCTAGAGGAAGGACCATACAGGGATGGGAATGGCAAGGGGGATTCTGGGGGTCGTCCTTGTTCCCAAGTTCCGTGAGACGCCGCAAGTCTTAATTCTTGCAGGAGCCAGGGTCCCCATGGATCCTGCTGCCCAAAACGTGCGAGCCCGGGGAGTTGGCACAGCCTCAAGGCAGCCCGACAAGGTGCCTCCACGCCCCCTTGCGGACCCAAATGATTGAGGACGATGTGCCAATTAACTGATAGGTGCAGGGTTTCAGAAATGCTCTCTCAGTTTAACCTCACAAAAAGCCCTTGAATCAGCCCTGTTTTACAGATGTAAAACACCGAGGCTCAGGGGAGTGAAGGAAGACTTGTCAGCAAAAAGGAAAACCTAGTGAAGACTATCGTTGGTCTTGCTCCTTTTATCAAGGAGTAGAGGGGCTGGGGTCGCCTCGGGACCCCACAGCGACCCCTCTTGCTCTCTTCGCGGATGAGGCGCAGGCTGTCAGCCGGGAGGCCTGGCGGCGTCCAGGTACACGGGAAGACGGACAGCGCGGTGGGTGGCAGGGACTTTGCCCGGCACAGGACTGCAGCAGCCAGGCTAGGGCGCAGCGCGCACCACCCGCTCGTCGGCTTCTGCCAGGCAGCCCCGCTTGGCGAGCGAGTCCTCAGGGACCGAGGCTGCAGCAGCTAAGCGCGGGCGCACCGAGGACCATCCACGCGCCCGCAGCCGTTCCGGCGCCCCACGCGAGTCGCAAGCCACGAGCCAGGGAGCGCGTGCGCGCAGGACTGCAGCGGGCACGCGTTGGCAGTGCCATCGTGAGCTCACCCGCTGTGTCTCTTGCCTTACCGTAGCTGTTCCCCGGTGACCAAGACCTCAGCCATGCGCTCCAGCTCCCTTTGCTGCGCCCCGCCACTCCCGCTGGTGCTGCTGTCACTGCCAGCACTGCCAGTGCTGCCGCCCTCCTCCATGGTTTTAGGGCCGTGCGGCTACCACTGGCTCCGCTGTCCGCCGAGGGTTTGGGTGCTCGGATCAGTCTGCCCTCACAGACGCTTCCCGCGCCATCTTTGTTCGGGGCAGCTCCGCTGCTCTGACTGGATTGGCTGGAGAGGGAATCCCTATGGGTAGGCAGACGCGCTGGGCTAGTCCGGCCCCAGAAACTTGAGCTTGGGGGCGTGGCTAGAGCCCCTCATGGTCGGGGGGCGGGGCCGATGGAGGAAAATATAAACATCTGGGCGGGGCGCTGCTACTGAGCTGTGTGTGCTGCTGGAGGCTGAATTTGGTGAGCTCTCTTTACCCACAAAGCTCATGCTGTAGAATCCTGGGGACAGGCCTGGAGGTTATTAGTGTGAAGGCGTTTTTATTGTACGTTCCACACCCCAAGTTGCCAGAGAGCAAAACATAATTCAACAATCTGGCCAAATGGTCAACAGTGAAGGTTATACATGTCATTGAAGGGCATGGAGAAATTAAACATTCTTCTCTCCCCAACCTCTCTCTCCAAAGACGACTTGTTTGCCTTATGTTGTAATCAATAAGGAACGCCGGCCTAGGAATCAGGCTGACCTGGGATCCAGCTCCGCTCCTGTGATGTCCTATTTAAATGTGTTTAATCCTCCCTTACAAAATAAAAATAATTGCGGCTACCACTTTTGACATCTGCTGCATTAAAGATACTTCAGGTATGGTATTACCTCGTTTAATTATTACAATAATTCATAAAATAGGTATTGGTGTTCGTTTTGCATTAGAATGCAGGCTTGGAGAGGTGAAGTTACTTGTCTAAGGCAAGCAAATAATAAGTATAAGAAGAGCCGGGCACCGTGGCTCATGCCTGTAATCCCAGCACTTTGGGAGGCCGAGGCGGGCAGATCACCTGAGGTCAGGAGTTCCAGACCAGCCTGACCAACATGAAGAAACCCCGTCTCTACTAAAAATACAAAATTAGCCGGGCGTGGTGGTGCATGCCTGTAATCCTAGCTACTTCGGAGGCTGAGGCAGGAGAATCGCTCGAACCCGGGAGGCGGAGGTTGCTGTAAGCCGAGTTCGGGTGAGCGGAGTTAGTGCCATTGCATTCCAGCCTGGGCAACAAGAGCGAGACTCCGTCTCAAATCATCATAATAATAATAAGAAGAAATCTAACCGAGGCAATTCTGGCTTCAAAGTTATGCTTTGAAAAGACTGAAAGACTGCCTCTTAAAATGGGGATACAATGGTATTGTCTATCCGTAAAAGATTATGAAAAGAAATTTGATTAGTACCAAATAAATGTTCTGATTTTCTGTTTCATGCAGAGTCGGAGTTGGTCTGCAGGAAGGCGAAGTAATGTTTATGGCAGTATTCATGTGTGTTGAGCATTTATTCTGTGCTTTACATTGTGCCAAACACTTTATCCTCACAAAACCCTGGAGTTTGGTATTATTTTCAACTTACAAATGAGAAAGCTTAAGTATAGAAAGATGAAGTAATCTGCCTAGAAAGTTAGGTAGCCCTTAAACCCTGGCCATACTCAGCCCCACTCCAGAAAGAGAATAGTTGCCCAACTCCCTTGAACATCCGGGAGCAGACCAGCTCTGAATCTGCATGAGACAGATGTTAGGTGACTCTTTTGCCAAAAGAAATTATTTAAGTTTCTTAATTTTTTAAATAGGCCACAATAGACATGTAGACCAAGGCAGACATAGTTCTAGGTGACTGTGATTCTAAGAGCCTTATTCTGCATAAAATACATAAATCATTCAACAGAAGTCCCAGAGTTAATGAGATTAAAAGGTGTCTGTTGCTCATGTTTTAATCTTATAACTACTAAATAGAATATCAAGAGTTTGCACGGGCTTCTCAGTCAAACATGCAATTTCTATCTCAATTCTGTCGTTTGCTAATTTTGCAACCTTATGCTAGTTATTTCTCTTGGCCTCCCTTTCCTATCGATAAAACAGGAATAATAATTTCTACTTCATAGGGATGTTGCGTGGCTTAAATGAAATAATGTAATCCCAGTTCTTTGGGAAGTTAGGGTGGGAGGACTGCTTGAGGCCAAGAGTTCAATGCCAGCCTGGGCAACATAGCAAGACCCTGTCTCTACAAAAAAAAAACAAAATTAATTACCCAGGTATGGTTGTGCATACCTGTAGTCTCAGCTACTTGAGAGGCTGAGGTGGAAGGATCACTTGAGCCCAGGAATTCAAGGTTACAGTGAGCTATGATTGCACCACCGCACTCCAGTGTGTGTATCAGAGCAAGACCCTGACACTTAAAAAAAAGAAAAAATAAATAACATTAAAATTTCTATTATGTAAAGTTTCCAAGATCCATGTCAGTAACACAAATTTGTAACTTTAAGATAAAAAAGCACCTTAACATAAAGAAAAGAAAAGAAAATTCGAGTTAGGAAAATACCTGATGCTATTGTTCCAGTGACAGTGAGAGAGCATGATTTATTTTTCTTGCCTGATAAGAGGTGTGTGTAGGGGGCGGTGTGTGTATAGGTAGGTATATTTGAACAGGAAATGGGAACTGGTTTGCTGTTATTGTTTTAACCTTTTGACATATGACACACACCATGCTCCACTGGGTAAGAAGACAGATCCTTTTTCCTAACTTAGGGAAAAATTGGTGAGCCACATCCTGAGGACATGTCCATGACTGTGAGCCCAGGAGCAACTGGTTCCAGATAAACTGTAATTTTTTAGATATTGATCAAGGAGAAAAGGGCACTCATATGGCAACTAATTCAGCATAAATATTTCAGAAAAACAGAATTCTGACAAACCTTGGTTTGATTCTTGGCCATGTTTGGGCAAGCTCCTTATCGTCTCTGAATTTGCTGTCCCTCTTTTGTAAAATTTAGATAATAACACCAATCTCATTGGGTTATTGGGAGGATTAAATAAAATTTACTGAAAGCACTTATTACAGGTGGGAACTATTAAGTGTGAGCTTTCTCTTCTAGCTCTCCACACTTTTCTCTTCTAGCTCTCCACACTTACCTCTTTCATGCCTTCTGTCTGTTTTGGTGCTTTGGGGCCAGTGCTTCTCAAAGGTTTGGCGGGGAAGATCCACCTGTGTGTGTGTGTGTATGCTTTCAACCCATTGAAGCCTGATACTTTGATGAAATACAATAATACAAATGAAGCCAGGTGCAGTGGCTCACGTCTATCATCCCAGAACTTTTGGAGGGTGAGGTGGGTGGATCACTTGAGGCCAGGAGTTGAAGACCAGCCTGGCCAACATGGCGAAACCCTGTCTCTACTAAAAATACAAAAATTAGCCGGGTGTGTTGGCAGGTGCCTGTAATCCCAGCTACTTGGGAGGCTGAGGTGGGAGAATTGCTTGAACCTGGGAGGCGGAGGCTGCAGTGAGCCAAGATCGTGCCCAGTTAGCAAACCACACTTGGAGTAGCACTGGTGTGATAAACACTTCCTAAAGGTCAGCAGCAATATAAAAAGGAGATGAACTTGAATTGATAAAATGCATGAAAGAATACTGTCAGCTATGAAGATTAATATGTTAGCTGTCATGATTATTGTTGCCTTTTAATATGCATTGGTATTATTCTTGCCTGATTTTAATTAATTAATTAATTAATTATTTTTTGAGACAGAGTCTCCTCTATCAGCCAGGCTGGAGTGCAGTGGCATGATCTTGGCTCACTGCAGCTTCTGCCTCCCGGGTTCCAGCAATTCTCCTGCCTCAGCCTTCTGGGTGGCTGGGATTACAGGCATGTGCCACCAGGCCTGGCTAATTTTTTTGTATTTTTAGTAGAGACAGGGATCTCACCATGTTGGTCAGGCTGGTCTTGAACTCCTGACCTCAGGTGACCTTCCCACCAGCCTCCCAAAGTGCTAGGATTATAGGCATGAGCCACTGTGCCGGGCCATCCTGCCTGATTTTAAAGGCTAACTGAAATGCCACCTTCTCTGGGCTATTTTCCTGCACTTCTCCAAGCAGTTTATTGCTATTTATCGCCCAAGGGGTTCACCTTGCCCACTGCCTAGAAAGAGCCGATTCATCAAGACAGGGGAATTGCAATAGAGAAAGAGTAATTCACGCAGAGTCGGCTGTGCTGGAGACCAGAGGTTTTTTGTTGTTGCTGTTTGTTTGTTTGTTTTTAATTATACTTTAAGTTCTGGAATACACGTGCAGAACGTGCAGGTTTGTCACATAGGTATACATGTGCCATGGTGGTTCACTGCACCCATTAACTGGTCATCTACATTAGGTATTTCTCCTAATGCTATTCCTCCCCAGCCCCCCACCCACTGACAGGCCCTGGTGTTTGATGTTCCCCTTCCCGGGTCCATGCGTTTTCATTGTTCAACTCCCTCTTATGAGTGAGAACATGTGGTGTTTGGTTTTCTGTTCCTGTGTTAGTTTGCTGAAAATGATGGTTTCCAGCTTCATCCATGTCCCTGCAAAGGACAAGAACTCATCCTTTTTTATGGCTGCATAGTGTTCTGTAGTGTATATGTGCCACATTTTCTTTATCCAGTCTATCATTGATGGGCATTTGGGTTGGTTCCAAGGCTTTGCTATCGTGAATAGTGCTGCAATAAACATACGTGCGCATGTGTCTTTATAGTGGAATGATTTATAATCCTTTGGGTATATACCCAGTAATGGGATTGCTGGGTCAAATGGTAGTATGCAGCCAACAGACATATGAGGAAAAGCTCATCATCGCTGGTCATTAGACAAATGCAAATCAAAACCACAATGAGATACCATCTTACACCAGTTAGAATAGCGGTCATTAAAAAGTCTGGAAACAACACATGCTGGAGAGGATGTGGAGAAATAGGAACACTTTTTGTTTTGTTTTGTTTTGTTTTTATTTATACTGTTGGTGGGAGTGTAAATTAGTTCAACCATTGTGGCAGACAGTGTGGCGATTCCTCAAGGATCTAGAACCAGAAGACCAGAGTTTTATTATTACTCAAATCAGTCTCCCCAAGCACTGGGTGAGCAGTGTTTCAGGACAACTTGGTGGGTGGGGGAGCCAGTGAGCCAGGAGTGCTGATTGGTCAGGGATGAAATCATGGAGAGTCGGAGCTGTCTCCTTGCGCTGAGTCAGTTCCTGGGTCGGGGGGGCCCCCAGATCAGATGAGCCAATTAATCGATCTGGGTGGTGCCAGCTGATCCATCAAGTTCAGGCTCTGCAAAATATCACAAGCACTGATCTTAGGAGCAGTTTAGGGAGGGTCGGAATCTTGTAGCCTCCAGCTGCATAATCCCTAGACTATAATTTCTAATCTTGTGGCTAATGTTAGTCCTACAGAGGCAATCTAGTCCCCAGGCAAGAAGGAGGTCTGCTTTGCGAAGGGGCTGTTATCGTCTTTGGTTTAAACTATAAACTAAGTTTCTCCCCAAATTATTTCAGCCAATGCCCAGGAATGAACAAGGACAGCTTGGATGTTAGAAGCAAGACAGAGCTGGTTAAGTTAGAAGTCTTTCGCTGTCTCAGTCATAATGTTACAAAAGCAGTTTCAGTCTTTCCTACAAATGTACATCTTTTTCTTCTTCTTCTTTGAGACTGAGTTTCACTCTTGTCGCCCAGGTTGGAGTGCAATGGTGCAATCTTGGCACACTGCAACCTCCGCCTGCTGAGTTCAAGCGATTCTCCTGCCTCAGCCTCCCGAGTAGCTGGGATTACAGGCGTGTGCCACCATGTCCGGCTAATTTTTGTATTTTTAGTAGAGACAAGGTTTCACCATGTGGCCAGACGGGTCTTGAACTACTGACTTCAGGTGATCCACCCACCTCGGCCTCCCAAAGTGCTGGGATTACAGGCGTGAGCCACAGCGCTCGGCCCAAATGTACATCTTCTTACAGAAGATTTAAATTGTTCTTAACCATTAATGGAAGTCCTGATTCTTTAGCTACCACAATTTTTATTCTCTTTGTGAATGGAAGATTGATAATTTAGCAATATTCTGTGCAGATCTTTCTGTTTGTAGATCTTTTAAAAATAAATGTAAAAAGCCGGGCACAGCGGCTCACACCTGTAATCCCAGCACTTTGGGAGGCCAAGGTAGGTGGATCACCTGAGGTCGGGAGTTCAAGACCAGCCTGGCCAACATGGTGAAACCTGTCTCTAATAAAAATACAAAAATTAGCCGGGTATGGTGGCACACACCTGTAATCCCAGCTACTCCAGAGGCTGAGGCAGGAGAATCGCTGGAACCCAGGAGGCAGAGATTGCAGTGAGCCCAGATCGCACCACTGCACTCCAGTCTGAGCGACAGAGGGAGACTCTGTTTCTAAATAAATAAATAAATAAATAAATGTAAAAACAGAGAAAAGTACAATTTCCATGGCTTTTGTCATTCACACCCATTTTTAATATTTTTGTCATATTTGAGTCATCTTTTTGTAGTGATAGAAATAAAACATTACAAATAAAACTGAAATCCTCTTGTCCTTCATTTCCAACCCTGCTCACCTCCCAGGAAGTCTTACTAATCTTAACCTTGGTTCCCGCATGGTCTTGAGTACCTTGATATATGCTGCCACCTAGTGATTGCTTTCGCAATGACACGAAATGCTTGTAGGTCTCCTACAGAAAAAGGGTCACCCCCCACGAGGGTTTGTTGGGAACTTTGGGGTGGAGGCTGTGGTGTGTCATATTATTGGGAATGCTACTGGGTTTAGTGATCAAAGACTAGGAATGCTAGATATTCTCACTTGTTTGGGACAACAACTCACAAAAAAATTGGGTTGTTCCAAATCCTGAATGTTTTTCTTATGAGGTATTTTTGTCACAATTTTAGTAGGTAGGCTGGGCTCGGTAACTCAGACCTGTAATCCCAGCACTTTGGGAGCCTGAGGAGGGTGGATCGCCTGAGCTTAGGAGTTTGAGTCCAGCCTGGCCAACATGGTGAAACCTCAAGAAAAAATACAAAAAATTAGCCGGGTGTGGTGGTGCATGCCTGTGGTCCCAGCTACTTGGAAGGCTGAGTGGGAGGATTACTTGAGCCTGGGAGGCGGAGGTTGCAGTGAGCTGAGATCGCACCACTGCACTCTAACCTGGGTGACAGAGTGAGACCCCGTCTCAAAAAAAAAAAAAAAAAAAAATTAGCGTATAATCCTCAATGGTCAGGAATGTAACTATTGTGTACATTGAGAAAAGATTGTTCTATTTAAAATATTACTAAGAAAGGTTTATCACTGCATAAAATTACTCCTCTTTTGTGCCATTTGTGTGGCATACACACCTCCAGTATAACACAACTTCAGTCTGCATTTGGAGCTCTCACATGTGGGGTAATTCTAGGTGTGTGTTGAATAGGAATATATTACTTAGCCAAAGTTTAAAATGCCAAGTATAAAAAAGAATTGATGGTAATATTCAGCTAAATATTGTCTTAATTTTCTTATTCTAAAATTATTCATTATGAGTAGTTGTAAACATCTGACTACAACTATCTCATTAGGCCTTCTACTGTAATAATTTAAATACTGAAATATACATTATTACACATAATTTCTCTTTTTTAATACTCTATTAAGGGCATTATATTGATTTTTCAAATTACGTACACAGCAAGGTTATCTATTAATTTAATGACAACAAAAGAAAATGAGAGTTACATATCTGTTATTTATTTATTTATTTATTTATTTATTTATTTATTGAGACATAATCTCTCTCTGTCACCCAGGCTGTAGTGCAGTCCCACAATCTTGGCTCGCTGCAAACTCCGCCTACTGGGTTCAAGCGATTCTTGTGCCTCAGGCTCCCAAGTAGCTGGGATTACAGGCTCCCACCACTACACCCGGCTGATTTTTGTATTTTTAGTAGAGACAGGGTTTCACCATGTTTGCCAGTCTGGTCTTGCACTCCTGACCTCAGGTGATCTGCCCACCTCAGCCTCCCAAAGTGCTGGGATTACAGGCATGAGCTACTGCACCCGGCCACATATCTGTCATTTTTAAAGGAGACATTGAATTAGATGGGATTGATAATTTTTTAGGTGGAATAACAATAAGGTTATATTTATTGAGCTCTTGCTATGTGTCATGTTCAAAAAGTATTACATTTATATCTCAAAATAACCCTGTGAGTTGGCTATTTTCCTTCCTATTTTCAGATGAAGAAACTGAGGCCCAGAGAGGACTAGGCAAGTCTTCTGTAGTAGAGTAAATTATAGAGGTTGGGTTTGAACCTAGCCACTCTGGCTTTAGAGGCCCCGCTGGAAGTTCCTCCATTCTACTGCCTCTCCATAGAGACAGATCACTGAACCCCAAGCTCTTCCCACAGGCCAGTCGCTCTGTTCTATGTGCTTTACTGGCCTCATCACAACCCTGTGATGTAGGTGTTACTACCTCCAGGCTGCCCAGCCACTGAGAGCCCTGACTGTCTTCACTATTGGCTGTTTCAGACCATGAATGTGATGGTAACATCAACTTCACAGGATTGAATGAGAAATTCGAAGGAGCTTTGCAAGTGCTGTACATGGTATTAGTTCCATCCCCCTATGGGCCTGGATAATCAGCTAGTGTTTTATAACTACATCAAATAAAGGGGAGCCAGGCACAGTGGTAAGCTACTTGGGAGGTTGAGGTGGGAGGATCACTTAAGCCAGGAATTCCAGGCCATCCTGGGCAACACAGTGAGACTCCATCTCAAAAAAAAAAAAAAAAAAAAAAAGGAGGAAGGGAAATGATGGCGGTTCTCTGAGATCAACCTGCTATGACTCCTGCACTGTCATACTCCTCAGTTAGCATCATATTATACGCTAACCATCAGTTAGCATCATATTATACGCTAACCATCAGTTAGCATACTCCAATACAGCATGGAATAGATTTTGTTTCTTGAGTATATGTCTTCTCTCTCCTCCTAAATTATAAATAAGCATGGCACCTTTGTCATCCTCCTTTCTCTCTTTGTGGGGTCCAGCCCAGTTCTAGGCACAGAAAATGTATTTATTCAGTGCCTTGCAACATTAAAATATTATTTTGTTCTCAAATGAAAAATACCATTGATGAAGAAGTTATCAAACATCTTTACTTTTGTCCATCACAATATATGACCTGGAAAATCATTGAGCTTGATATAAATATGTGTGCTTACTGGAAAGTTTTGCTTGATAAAGGGCCACAAGAGTTCTCTCAACAGAGGCACTGAAAACAAAAGGTCAAAACTTTGCAGGTTGTCATAATAAAAAGTCTTAATACCCCAAAACAAATACAAAAACAGTATTACAAGTATAACAGTTGGAAGTAATGCTGTCTTTATTTTATTTAATCCCAGCACTTTGGGAGACCAAGACGGGCAGATCACCTGAAGTCAGGAGTTCAAGACCAGCCTGGCCAATATGGTGAAACCTGTCTCTACTAAAAATACAAAAATTAGCCGGGCATGGTGGCAGGCACCTGTAATCCCAGCTACTTGGGACGCTGAGGAAGGAGAATTGCTTGAGCCCAGGAGGCGGAGGTTGCAGCGAGCCGAGGTTGCGCCACTGCACTCCAGCCTGTGTGACAGAGCGAGACCCTGTCTCCAAAAAAAAATAAATAAATAAAAGAAAGATAACTCTCCAATACTTCAGTTACATCTCCACATTTGTGGGACGTAACTAGAGCAGATCTTAGAGGAAAATTAATAGTTTAAAGTATTTATATTAGAAAAGAAAGGTCTAACACAATGATACGAATCTAGAAAAAGAAGAGTAAAGCAAACACAAAGTAAACAGAAATTAGTATTTCATAAATATTCCTTCTCTTTCTCTTACTTAGGGCAGGAGAAAACTTTTGGGGGTGATGAGAATGTGCGCAATATTAAAAACCAAATATGCAGAATATTCTCATCACCCCCCAAAAGTTTTCTCCTGCCTCTAAGAAAGAGAAGGTATCAGTGTGTACGTGTGCCAAAAGATTTAATTGTATACTTTAAACAGATGCAGTTTATTTTACTTAATTTATACCTCAAAAAGGTTGATTAAAAAAACAAAGGAGGCCTGAGGTAAAAGTGTGTTCTGTAAATTTAGAGAGTGGCAAGGTATGGGTTATGGGGTGTGGGGCAATGGAGATTGCGTAAGGTCTTATTGGCCTTGGTAAGGACTTTGGTTTTTATTCTAAAGGAGATCAGAATCCATTGAAGCATTTTGAACAGAGAAATGCCAAGATTCTGGCTTACATTATTGCAGGGACTGCATGAGGTAGCATATAGAGGGTACTCAGTTGTGTATGTTTGTTTGTTTGTTTGTTTTGAGACGGAGTCTTGCTCTGTCGCCCAGGCTGGAGTGCAGTGGCCCGATCTCCGCTCACTGCAAACTCTGCCTCCTGGGTTCACGCCATTCTCCTGCCTCAGCCTCCCGACTAGCTGGGACTACAGGCTCCCGCCACCGCGCCCGGCTAATTTTTTTTTTTTTTTTTTTTTGTATTTTAAGTTGAGACGGTTTCACCATGTTAGCCAGGATGGTCTCGATCTCCTGACCTCGTGATCTGTCTGCCTCAGCCTCCCAAAGTGCTGGGATTACAGGCGTGAGTCACCGCGCCCGGCCTATACAGGGTACTCAGTTAAGTGCTTAACTCAGTAAATAATTGAATAAATATTCCTTCACTTTCCTTTTCTAAGGCAGTGGAAGAAAAAAAAGGCAAAGCAGGCTGCTCTATAAAACATTAAATAATACTGCCATCTAGTGGGGTAAAAGCCTGATTGTTTTATAAGCAAAATGTTGGAAGTTTAACAAAAGATGTGAAATTAAAATTTAAGCTACTCTATTTTTCATAGAATGAAATGAATCTTGCTGTAAACCAGAACTTGCTCATTTGAAACAAAGTAATACAGTTTCCAAGACACTGCTTTATTCTATTTCTCCAATTGCTTGCAATTTTTTCCTCTGGCAGATACTTCTTTCAAGGCTTCCACCTCAAATGTTAGTGAGGCTTTAACTTCAGCCCTTTTATCAGTTGCACATCACACTGTCCCTGGATGATCTCAATCATAGGCACTCTCCGACCTGGGCCAGTTCACCCCTCCTTAGGCAACCTGGTGGTCCCCCGCTCCCGGGAGGTCACCATATTGATGCCGAACTTAATGCGGACACCCGATCGCTATAGCGCACTACAGCCCAGAACTCCTGGACTCAAGCGATCCTCCAGCCTCAGCCTCCTGAGTAGCTGGGACTACAGGCACGCACCACAGCGCCCAGGAATCATAGGCACTCTCATAACTACAATATATGTACACTTTAAAGCTTTATATTTTAGCTTCTGGCAAGACCTTAATTCAAACTCCAAGTTCACTGTTGTCCATGCTATCTCCAAATTATTATTATTATTATTATTATTATTATTATTATTATTATTATTATTTTGAAATAGGGGCTGGGTGTGGTGGCTCGTGCCTGTAATCCCACCACTTTGGGATGCCGAGGCGGGTGGATCACCTGAGGTCAGGAGTTCAAGACCAGCCTGGCCAACATGGTGAAACCCTATCTCTACTAAAAATACAAAAAAAATTAGCCGGGCATGGTGGCAGACACCTGTAATCCCAGCTACTTGGGAGGCTGAGGCAAGGGAATCACTTGAACCTAGGAGGCGGAGGTTGCAGTGAGTCGAGATCATGCCACTGCACTCCAGCCTGGGCGACGGAGCAAGACTCCATCTCAAAAAATAAATAAATAAAATAAAAAAAGAAATAGGGTCTCACTCTGTTGCTCAAGATGGAGTGTAGTGGTGCAATCATAGCTCATTGCAGTCTCAAGCACCTGGGATCAAGTGATCCTCCTGCCTTAGCCTCCTGAGTAGCTGGGACTGCAGGCATGTGCCACCACAACAACGAATTTTTATTGTATTTAAAATTTTTTTTTTGTAGAGATGGGGATCTCACTACGTTTTTCAGGCTGGTCTCAAACTCCTGGCCTCAAGCAGTCTTCCTGCCTGGGCCTCCCAAAGTGCTGGCATTACAGGCAAGAACCACCGTGGCCAGCCCTAATTACTTCTTAAATCCAGCCACCTTCATCTCTCATTTGGCCTCTTGGCAGGTCTCCTTGCTTCTATTCTTGTCCCCCTTTAATCTGTGTCACAAAATAGAATGATCAACTCTTTCCTTCTCCTTTTCCCTCCCTTCTTCTCTTTCCTTTTTTCTTTCTCTTTATTCATGTGTGATTTATTACCTGCTCATTTGAAGTTATTGTCTGTACATTGGGTTTTGTAAAGCTGAGGAAAATATTTTTAATGTTTTTAATTGCACATATTTAATGCATGAATGTGTTCTCTGTGTTAAGATATATAAAGATAAATAAGAAATCCCTTTTTATCTACCCTTCTACTCCTCTCCTTAGAGGTAAAGCATGGTTATAATTCATTCATTCATTCATTCATTCAGCAAATTGTTCAACAAATATATATGATGATCTACTACATGCTGGGCATTTGCTTAATGATAACCAAAATTTTATCTTATTGAAGTCTATAGTCTGACAAAAAAGACATTAAGTAATCACACAAATAAATATAAAATTGCAATTTACTTAAAACTAAAAACGAGAAGATTTTCTACCATGTGAGCCTATATTAGAGAGATTTGACCTGATCAGGGAGATCAGAGAAAGATTTCTGAGAAGCAACTACTGATTTAGAGTTGAGTGTTCCAATACAGTAGCCACTAGCCACAGGTGGATGTTTAAATTTAAATTAAATAAAATTGAATACAATTTAAAATTCAGTTTCTCATTCTCACTGTCCATATTTCAAGCACTCAAAAGCCATATGGGGCTAGTAGTTACCACTTCACCTGTGGAGCTATAGAACATTTCCAACATCTCAGTAAATTCTATCAGACAGTGTTATTGGCTAGAGAATGAATAGGTGTTACCCAGATAAAGAACATAGGGAAGAATACGCCAGACAGAGCACTGTATGGCAGGAGGCAATATGATATAAATAAAAACCAAAAAAAAAAAGAAAAAGAAAAGAAAGCCAGTGTGCCCAATGCTACAAAGAAACATTGAAGAGGAAAAGGGAAAGTAGTAGATGAGTTCGGTTAGGGTACATATGTTCCAAACTGCTGGAGGAAAAAAATCAAACAAAAGCAATCCAATGAAAGATAATGAAGAAAATAAGCAACAAAACAAATATGGCTATAAATAAAGTAAAAAAGGTGGGAGAGATGAGGTCAAACATAACAGATACAAAAAACGTAAACCATGCTAAACTGTCTTAGGAAAGATACTACATTCATCACAGCAGTTGCAGGGGCCAGACAGGTGAATTAAATGCAGGTATAAGAGGAACCACTAACTCTGCATTCTTTAAATCTTTAAGGGTAGCATTAATTTTTGCCATTACCTCTGTTATGTGATGCTGTTTTTAATTTCTGCATGGAGTCAATTTCAGTGCTTCTACTTGGCCTTTTCTACTATAATAATTCTTTTTTATTTTTGTACAGGGAGTCTCCCTGTTGCTCAGGCTGGTCCTGAACTCCTGGGCTCAGGCAATTCTTCTGCCTTGGCCTCCTAATGTGTTGGGAATACAGGCGTGAGCTACCATTACTAGGCGTGGCCTAGTAATTCTTACTCTAGGAGTGAAAGACCTAAGGAGAGGCTGCCAAATACTAAATATGTCATTCCAAATGGGACCGACATTTGGGAAGCTGGGAAATGATCTCTGATCTCTGATTGACTCTTTTCTAAGAATTATCTCCCATCACTGTGAAGATAGTGTATTTACCATAAAGTCATGTGGTTTTTGCTCTATTCTGCCTCCTGGGGTGCTAACTCTTCTATTTGACGATTTTAGATGTCTCGATTTTGTGCTATTGGATGTACACAAACGATGATTCTCTCTTCAGCTTTATATCTGAGAAGCCCTGTGCACCAGCTGTTCTGTGTTCTCTCCCTAACTCCAGAGATTGTCTGGAAGGAGTAAGGCCATACCTTGAATAGGGAGGTTTGGTGGTAGTTTGTCTTCTGGGAGCTGATGCTCCCCAGCGCTGCATGATTCATTAGCTGCAAGGTGGGGAGGGGGCGCGTTTCTCAGCCTATCCAAGACCATTTCCCACACTGCTTTAGCTTACAAAGTTACTGCTGGCTTATTATAGCTGGACACAAGGGAACTACCAGCTTAGCTACTCAATCAACCTGATACTTGCCCTAGAGCCATCACTCACTTCTTGTACCTAGGCTTTGAGTTTCCCTGATCTTTATTCACTTTACCCAGATGTACTAATTGTTAACATTTTGCCTCACTTTTTCTATCATTTTCTTTATCTTGCTAAAACCAAATATCTGATATTGAAACTTACATGTCTATATAAGAAAATATAAAAAGTAGATTTCCAAAATATAGAACAGGCCAGGCACTCTAGCTCATGCCTGTAATCCCTGCACTTAGGGGAGGCTGAGGCAGGTGGATCACTTGAGTCGCAGAGTTCGAGACCAGCCTGGCCAACATGGCAAAACCCCATCTCTACAAAAAAATACAAAAATTAGCCAGGCATGGTGGTTCCCGTGCCTGTAGTCCCAGCTACTTAGGAGGCTGAGGTGAAAAGATAGCTTGAGCCTGGGAGGCAGAAGTTACAGTGAGCTGAGATGGAGCCACTGCACTCAAGCCTGGGCAACAGAGTGAGACCCTGTCTGAAAAGAAAGAAAGAAAAAGAAAAGAAATAAAATAAGGAAAGAAAGAAAAAAAAATCTGGGATGGGGTAGCGGTGAGGTGATCTTATCAAAGAAATCATATAATAAAACTTCCCAGAACTGAAGAATAATATAAGTTTCCATATTGAGAGAGCCTGGCACAGACCTGAAGAGAACTATGAAGAAACAATTAGCAACTCCAGCCTACTGCTGCTATCCAGAAATATGAGTCCCATGTTGATAGATATCCTGATTTTTTTTAAAAGACGAAAAACGAAAATGTTAATGAAAACTTTTCTAATTTATATGTGGGCTGGGCACGGTGACTCACACCTGTAATCCCAGCACTTTAGGAGGCCAAGGTGGGCAGATCACCATCACCTGAGGTCAGGAGTTCGGGACCAGCCTGGCCAACATGGCGAAAACCCGTCTTTACTAAACGTACAAACATTAGCTGGGCATGGGGGCACACACCTGTAATTCCAGCTACTCGGGAGGCTGAGGCATGAGAATCGCTTGAACCCAGAAGGCAGAAGTGAGCCGAGATCGTGCCACTGCACTCCAGCCTGGGTGACAGAGCAAGACTCCATTTCAAATAATAATAATAATAATAATAATAATAATAATAATAATAATGTGTAAATGATGGCTGAAATTAAACATGCCTGGCCACACAAGCACGAAAGTAGGGAAGGACGGGGCCATCTGTAGGTTTGGCTATCATGTGTGTGAAGAGTACTCAGGGCCGTGGAGTCTGGAAAGGCAGAACGGACACAAAGCACAGAAAACCAGAAACCAGCAGAGGTTTGAGTATGAGCTTTGACAGGAGAGGGAGTGGTTGATGATGACCTGTGAGCATAGTGTAATGTCACTAGAGAACTTCATGTTCAGAAAATTAATCTGACTGTGGTATACAGATGGAGGGGCAGTGGGAAGGGGGATGAAAAGCAGGAAAATCTGTTAGAAAGTCACAGTAATAAGAATAAGGACCGAAAGCAAGGCCACATTTTCAGTTTTTGGAATGTCTGGAAGTGACTGTGTTCCTTTTTTTTTTTTTTTTTTTTGAGACAAGAGTCTCACTCTGGAGTGCAGTGGCATGATCTCCGCTCACTTCAACCTCCGCCTCCTGGGTTCAAGCGATTGTCCTGTCTCAGCCTCCAGAGTAGCTGGGATTACAGGCGCCTGCCACCATGCCCGGCTAATTTTTTTGTACTTTTAGTAGAGACGGGGTTTCGCCATGTTGGCCAGGCTGGTCTCGAACTCCTGACCTCAGGTGATCTGCCCACCTTGGCCTCCCAAAGTGTCGGCATTACAGGCGTGAGCCACTGCACCTGGCCGTCACTGTGCTCTTTATTGAATAAAAAAGAAGAGAAGAGAGGAAAAGAAAAGGAAAAAAGTTCATACATGATTCTATAATATGAACTAAGATTTAGTAAATAAAATTCTCATTTCATGCCATGAAACACAATATATGAGCAATATAATCAAGAGTACAGTGTCCAAGAGAACAGAATCAATTTTAGCTGATTCTGTTCTCATGAACAGAACTTTTGAAATTTATTATAACTGTTCATTTTTTTACCTGATAAAGAATATTTTTTTCCTGCTACCAGATGAATGATTAAGCCAGCTTCAATCGTTTTTTGAAAAGGTACAGAAAATTTCTTACTTTAGAAAAACATATTAACATAATTTTAAAGAATGAATTAATAAAAACTATCATCATTTTGTCTTATGAGAGGAACACAGGTCCAGCTCCCTGACAGAATATCAAATTAATGGCAATAATTTCATACCATTAATTGGAAATTAAATTCATAATGATTAATACATAAAAACAAAAAGAACTGCTGCCATTTATTAAGCAGCCATGCATTTTAGAATGTACATCTTAAGAATGTAGGTCTTATGTGCTTTTTTATCGATAAGGAAGTTGTACTCAGAGAAATTAGGTAAATTGCCTTAGGTCACAAAGTTCTGAAGAGAGTTGGGATTCGCAGCCATGCCTGTCTGATGTAAATGTCAGGGTTCTAGTTGACACTGCTTCTAGTTGTAGGGAATGTTTCCCATTTAATAGAGCAACTACAATGGTTGATTCCCTTCAATAATAACTTCTTATCAGGCAACCACTGTCACATTCAGGATTTCATTCCACCGAATTCCTATGCATTCAAATGTAAAAGAGGCTAGTGAAGAAGTAGGTCACATGAACCAATCTTTCCACCACCAACGAAAGCACTGCCCAGACTCCTGGGATGCCCTACTCTGGTATTTTCGTATCATTTTACCCAAGAATTGAAAAAAATGTCTGCTCAGATCCTTTGAATTCAACACCTTACCCACCACTTTCTTTCACTTCAAGCAAGGTCTGATTTGCACTAACTAGTAGGAGGTCACCATCTCTTAAGTGATTCCTCCCAGACTATTTTAGCTCTCAGGGACAGCCAGGGCCCTCAACGATTCCCTAAGCATCTCTGGGAAAGTTTACACATTACGCTGTTACAAGCAATTCATGTATGTGTGCATAGTGAAAACCTTTTCTCTTAAAACTCTTAATACTGAAGTTCCCCAAACCTTTGGAAAATGTACAAGTCACAGATGCTCCTGTGACTTGTTTTTCCCTTCGGGTGCGTCCTCAACCTTGCTTAAATAAACCTCTATTGAACGAGACCTGCATCAGTCACTTTTCGGTTAACACTAGGTATTCAACGAATAGACTAGTCCCGCCGTTGTCTCCAGATATGATGGTGCCCTGACCCAAAGAAGCGAGATACTCCTTCCCAGGGCCTCGCTCCCGAGCATGGGTTATTTGCACAAAACCCCGCAGGAAGCTTTTAGAGCCACAGTCGGCTAGGCTGGAGTCAGACTCTGTTACCTCCTGACTCTGCCATCACGAGCAAGGAGCCTGCTTCCTCATTGGCAAAAGGGAATGACCAAGGCACCACCTTACAGGGTTGTGGCAACGGGCTCATGGAATTATACATGCCAAGTGGTTATCACAGGGCCCGCCACTGGCGGAAGGTGAGACAATGTGGACGGCGAGGAAATGGGAGCATCGGCTGGAAACCAGGGACGGAGATCGGGGATGGGGGGCGGGCAAGGGGACAGCGGAAAGGGTGGGCGAGGGATCCGTGTCCCAACCCGCCGAGTCGCAGCTCTGCCCCTGCGAGCTTCCGCCGAGACCGCCCCCCGGGAAGCCGCGTTTCCTTCCTGCAGTCGCGGTCCGGCGTGGGGCACGGAGGGGCTCGCGCTCCCAGAAGCCGGCAGGCCTTCCCGCGGGCGGGCCCGCAGCGCGCTCCGCCCCGGAAACACGCCCATGGCCGCCTTGGCGCGCTTTCAAACGCTCAGGTTTCCTACCTTCCGGCTGCTTGGGAACTTCTTTCTTGCCCGCCAAGCCCGCAGCCACCCGGGCGCGGCGGGACTCCTAGACCCGGCGCTGCGATGAAGAGGACCCGCGACGAGGTGGATGCGACGCTGCAGATCGCCAAGCTGAATGCGGCCGAGCTGCTGCCGGCGGTGCACTGCCTGGGCTTCGGCCCTGGGGCCAGCGGCGCTGCAGCCGGCGACTTCTGCCTGCTGGAGCTGGAGCCCACGCTGTGCCAGCAGCTGGAGGATGGACACAGGTGAGCCCTGGTCACGCGGCGCCCCCAGCCTCTGGCCGGCCACGTTATTTTCTCAGCGGGGAAAGTCGGGATAAGAAAACAGGGCCAGAGAGATGCACTGACCTGGCCGGGGGCTCATAGCAAGCTGCCTGTTCCCGAGGAGTCCACGCCTCCGGTGGGCCGTCCAGTTAGCTGCACTGCGGTGATGAGTAGCACTGGTCCAGCTGACCTTGGAGGCATGTGTCAGCGGGAGCAAGTCAGGAAATACTAATACAACCTCCGTGAAGTTTTTGAAGAGTTACCGGTGATTACAGGGACTCTACAGGACACCTGTCACTCTACCTTAAAATACAGTGGTGATACCCAATGTTTATAGAACTCTTGCCTTCCACTTATATTTATTTTACTCAGATGATAGATAGGAAGTGCTGGGAATCAGCTTACAGACTTGGTAATTGGGTGAGACCCCTACCCACCCCGAAGCAAACTTGCTTAGTAGGGATCTGAAGCTGTTTCTAATTCCAGGTCAGATACAAACTTGCTGCAAGATCATTGATTAGAAGTCGAAGTTGAGGTAGTTTTTTAAAGGCAGTCTTGAGAAGTCTAGAGAATCGTTATATCCCTCCACCCTGTGCAGCCCCAGCTCCTGCAAAATAGGGAGCTCCAGCTTGATTCTCTTTTGCACAATTGGTCCTCCGACACCTATATTTTATTAGGCTATTTTTTCTCTTTTTTCTTAATGGAATCCTTTAGGCTGTCTTTCAGTTTTCGTACTTTGCCCACCAAAGAGTGTTAGAGTAAACTGGCCATTCTTCAGATACCTGCTATATACCTCAAAGTACCTTTAAGGGAACTGAAAGAACTTCACTAGTCTGTTTCCATCCCGGTTCAGTTGGTGGAGAGTTGAGAAAGGAACTCAGGTGTGAGGACTTTCTCTCGGTCCAGTTCTAGTTAATCTAGCTGGCAAAAACAAAACAAAACAAAAACAAAAAAATAAAAACAGGCCCTGGAAACGTGTGTTTTTAATTTTGGGGTGTAGGGAGTGATGGTATAAACAAAATATTTCAAAGTGGGGGTAGTGCAGTTAGAGAAATAAATGTTAAAGACTAGGTACTTGGGCCTATTAAGCATTATTAGCATTAGGAATCTAAAAAACCTTTTATTCTTTTTACTTAAATGAAGACTTAGTCAAAAATAAATACACAGTCTGCTATTTCAGGTTTCTTATTATTTATTCAAAAGAAACGAGTTGTGCACAGGAGAATTAAATGCTTTACAGACAAGGAAAACTGCTAGAACCAACTCCCCTGTCATTGCCATCATCTTTGTCTTTAATCCTTCCTTTTCCTCCGCTTCACCTTCATCCTTTCCTCTTCCTTCTTTTTTCTTTATCTTTTTTTTGGGGAGAGAGTGGTGGGAACAGGGTCTCACTCTGTCAGCCAGGCTGGAGTGCAGTGGCACAATCACGGCTCTCTGCATGATGGTGCCATGACTACTTGGGGTCAGGCGATCCTCCCACCAGCCTCCTGAGTAGCTGAGACTTAAGGTGTGCATCATCACACCCAGCTAACTTTTAAATTTTTCTTTTGTAGTGATGGGGTCTTGCTATGTTTCTCAGGCTGGTCTCAAACTCCTGCTCTCGAGCGATCTTCTGGCCTCAGCCTCCTAAAGTGCTAGGATTACAGGCATGAGCCACTGCGTTCTTGCTTTTCTTCAAAATCCCTTTGTCAAAGTCTTTGGTTTAGTACAGTTTTTAAACATATCCTTTTCATATTTTTCATTCACCACTGCATCCTTTTTTTCATAAGGTCCCAATTTTTTTGCAACACAACTTATGGTTAGGCCAGGATGTGCTCCTTTGATTGTGAGGGGGTACTCAGAACAAAACAAGGACGACACTTGGGTGGGGTACCATGAGCAGCAGCTTGGCCTTGGCCTTTCTTCGGGAACTTGTTAGAAATACGGGACCCTGGGTCCCATCCTAGACCCAGTGTATCCCACTCTGCTTTTGAACAACACTCTCTAAGATGCCTATGCATAAATTTGAGAAGTACCACTTTAGCATGTTGTAGAAAATTGAGACAGCTTGACTGAAGCTTCAGGATGCTTTGTCTTGTGTTCTTTCCAGCAGTTTGCACAAGATGCCATGTAGTGCCATTTGGCCTCTTGGCCTCTATGGATCTGTCTTGCCCATCTTTAATTATTTTTCCTTAATGAGGCTCTGGGTGGGGCGTCTGTGTGGCTCTCAGTTGGCCCAATGCTTGCTGTGTGGAATCCAGCATTGTGCTAGCAGGGGGCAGAGGCAGCATCAAAACTTAATTCTAAGTTCTGCAAGCCTAGAGGGTTTGAGAACTGTTTATGATGAAAATGGCTACTGGATTGTCAATAAACTATATATTTTTCCCCCATTTTGCTACAGTCTTGTGATTCGTGGTGATAAAGACGAGCAAGCTGTGCTGTGCAGTAAAGACAAAACATACGACTTGAAGATAGCAGACACTTCCAATATGTTGCTTTTCATTCCTGGTTGTAAAACTCCGGACCAGTTGAAGAAGGAAGATTCACACTGTAACATTATTCACACTGAGGTGCTCTTTTCTGTACTCTGATTTATAAAAGTCTGAGAATGAAAACAGATATGGTAATTTGATCTTTAGTTAAAAAGTTTACGTGTAAAATCTATAATCAGGGAGAATCTAAGAAGTTCTTTAAAGAAATTTGAATTTCTCAGCATTATTATTATTATTATTGCTTGTTTGTTGGAGTCTTGTGAACTTGTCTGTTTTTTCCTGTTTTGATTTTCAAGTCCCAATTTGATCTTTTTTCTATAATGTGCAAAGTTTGTTATTCAATGAGTCATTCTAAAAATTCTACCCATTTTTAGTAGATTTTGCTGTGGATGTGTTTTGAAAGGAGACTCCCTCAGACCGTAACTGGTTCATTTGGTAATATTTATGAGGTGGAGAAATGAAGAAATTTGGGCCAGGTGTGGTGGCTCACGCCTGTAATCCTAGCACTTTGGGAGGCCAAGGTGTGCCGATTGTCGGACCTCAGGAGTTTGAGACTAGCCTGGGCAACACGGTAAAACCCTGTCTCTACTAAAATGCAAAAAAATTAGCCAAGCGTGGTGGCGTGCACCTGTAATCCCAGCTACTTGGGAGGCTGAGGCAGGAGAATTGCTTGAATCCAGGAGGCAGAGGTTTCAGAGAGCCGAGATCACGCCACTGCACTCCAGCCTGGGTGACAGAGCAAGACTCTGTCTCCAAAAAAGAAATGAAGAAATTTGAGTTTTTGAAGGAAGTGTGTTTCTTAGCTTTGAAGTTGGTTTAGTTCATTAATATCTGTAGCCAAGTATAACAAACTTTTAATTATTTTGGAGAATATTGATGGCAGTAACCAAACAACTGTCTAAGTTGTTACATATATAAAACAGTAACTAAGTTCTTACATATATAACAATCCAAGCATAGCCCTTATTTCTTTGGGAATGACTTTAGGCCAACTATATCCTTAAATACAGAATTGGAGAGGAAAGAAGGGAAAATGCTGGGAAGCTCCAGTGATTCATATGATGTTACTAGAATAGAGGAACATCCAGTAAATATACTAGGTTGGTTTTTGTAGGTTTTAAGTCTTTCATTGTAATTAACTAAAAATATTGGCAGTTCATCCTATTGTAAAAAAGTGTTATTTTTTCATCACTTATCTGTTCTGTAGGTGTTTTTGTGAGGGCATAATAATGTCTATGAGAATCTTTGAGCTCTTGCTTGTTATGGAAATTCTATGTACTGAGATTGGCTAAAACTTCAAGATCCACTAACCAAAGCCATAATCCGTGATTGAACCTCAGATGCTTAAAGGGGTTAGATGAGAAATAGGCTGGGGTTGATAAATGGTGGTAGATACCCAGGAGTAACGGAGTGGTTGGGTCTACAGCAAATTGGAAAGCACAGTCCCCAAGTAGGTGGACGGCCACTACTCAGCTGCCTTGTGGGAAAGTAGGCCCAGCGCTGCTAGATTTTTGATTTATTTTTTCCAAGTAATTCTTGAAATTTAGATTTTTGGGGTGAAATCTCCTAATTTTTTAAATGTTGGCATCTAATTGAAACACTATGCCAAACCTCCCCCAGCACACAAAAGCATACCACAATATCTGTGTATTGGACGTAGCCAGAAGGCTGCCATTTTTTTGTTTTGCTTTGTTTTTCCTGAGATGACAATAAAACAGCAAACCACTTTTAACTATGGATAAAATCAGTCTGTCAGATTTGGTCCTTAAGCTCTTCTTTGGGAAGCCTTAGATTCAGCAACATCTCCTTCAGGCTCTAGGCCTCATCTTGTCAATCAAGCCTTATCCTAGCTTGAAAGTAGAAGCATCCCCTGTCCTTCCATTTCAGAGTTGGAGGGCATCCCAAAGATAATCCAGTTGAGCCTTTTTTCTTTTATGAAACACTTGTTGGGCACCTACTCAGAGCTAGGAACTAGGCAAGTCCTGTAAGTGCAGGCAAGGATAACAGATATTCATCCATTCTCTAGCCTCTTATCAACTGGATTTTGAGTGGTAGGCCTCTCACTATTTCACAAATCGAACAGTGGAATTAGCTGCAGTTCTAAACATTAGAAAGATCTTGTATTAAACAGAAATCTCTGTCCCTTAACTTCTGCCTCATTTCAACGTGAGCAACACACCCCCTCTTCCCTTTAATGTCCCTATTTGAAGACTATAATACCTTTTCTCTGTTTTGTTTTTTTGTTTGTTTGTTTGTTTTTTGCCTAAGTATATTCATTTTTAGTTGTTTCCACTTGGTTTGGAGAATTGTCACCATCCTGTCATTTTTTCTGGGCATACTCTAGTTTTCAGAGTACATTTGAGATGTGACATTCAATTATTGATTCTTACAATGTTGACAGTATCTTATTAAGGGGATTTGAAAAGATGTTCTTGAGGATGCCCATCCATCTAGTTGAGATGGCTGGATAAATACCTTCCTGATACAAAGCAGAATACCTTGGAGCTTCCTTTGTACTTGTTGAGGGGGCAGATTGATTAGTTGTAATTTTGTATGAAATTTTCCTTTAGAATGGCCCCTAAAAGGTTACGATATATATAATTTCTAGATCTTTGGTTTTTCTAATAATTATTGGGAATTAAGAAGACGTAGACCCAAGTTAAAGAAGCTAAAGAAACTTTTGATGGAAAATCCATATGAAGGACCTGACAGTCAAAAAGAGAAGGATTCAAATAGCTCAAAAGTAAGACTTATTTTCACTTTTTTATTTGGAATTTAACAACTATAATCAGAGGCACTTAATAGTCACATTCTTACTTTTTAAAATTTATGTTATATAGCTGTTATAAATGCTTGTGTTAAAAAAGTTATAAAATTTCAAGCACACCCCAAAGCACACATAGTATAATGACCCCCATATATTTGTCATTCACTTGAACAATTAATGTCTTGTCAGTCTTCTTTCTTCTATCCCCTTTCTATCCTTCCATCTTTTTAATTTTTCTAGAGTATTTTAAAGCAGATCCTATATATCATAATGCCATTTATATAGCTAAGAGCTTCTCATATTCTTAACTTTGAAATAATAGTTTTTTTAGAGGTAAAAAATTTATTTAATTAAAATTATGACTAGATGCTCTTGAGAGGGGACATAATGGAAGCTATTCTTACTCCAGTGTCAAAATTAACTAATTCCTGAAAGTATGGAAAAACATAAACAAAGTAAAAAACAGTTTTAAAATTTTTAATTTAAAAATTACAGAACTCTACTGGTATATGAAGACCATGTTTGTACTAGAAGTTCCCTTTTTTCCCAATGGACTCTTTCTAAAAATTTTTTTGGTAACAGCTTTATTGAGATATAATTCACATACCACACAATTCACCAGTTTTAAAGTATGCAATTGAATAATTTTTTGTACATTCTCAGAGTTGTGCAACCATTACCACCATCAAGTTTAGAACATTTTTATAACCCCAGAAAGAAACCCTGTAGCCTTTAGCTGTCACCTTCCAGTACCACTTTCTTCTCTCCCCTTTCCCCTAGGCTACCACTAATAAACTTTCTGTCTATATAGATTTGCCTATTCTGGACATTTCATATAAATGGAATCATATAATATGTGGCCTTTTCTGACTAGCTTCTTTCACTTAGCGTGATCATTTCAAGGTTCATTTATGTTGTAGCATGTATCAGTGTTTTGTTTTGTTTTGTTTGCAGACGGAGTTTTGCTCTTCTTGCCCAGGCTGGAGTGCAGTGGCGCAGTCTTGGCTCACTGCAACCTCTGCCTCCTGGGTTCAAGTGATTCTCCTGCCTCAGCCTCCCGAATAGCTGGGATTACAGGTGCATGCCACCATGCCCAGCTAATTTTGTACTTTCAGTAGACATGGGGTTTCACCATGTTGGCCAGGCTAGTCTTTTTTTTTTTTTTTTTTTTTTGAGAGGGAGTCTCGCTCTGTCGCCCAGGCTGGAGTGCAGTGGCGCGATCTCGGCTCACTGCAAGCTCCGCCTCCCGGGTTCACGCCATTCTCCTGCCTCAGCCTCCCGAATAGCTGGGACTACAGGCGCCCGCCACCGCGCCCAGCTAATTTTTTAGTATTTTTAGTAGAGACGGGGTTTCACCGTGTTAGCCAGGATGGTCTCGATCTCCTGACCTCGTGATCCACCCGCCTCGGCCTCCCAAAGTGCTAGGATTACAGGCTTGAGCCACCGCGCCCGGCCGGCCAGGCTAGTCTTGAACTCCTGACCTCTGGTGATCTGCCCACCTCAGCCTCCCAAAGTGGTGGGATTACAGGCATGAGCCACCATGCCCGGCTGCAGTGTTTTATTCCTTTTTGTTGCTGAATAGTATCTCATTTTATGGACATACTCATATTTTATGCATTCATTTGTCAGCTAATAGACATTTGGGTAACTTCTACTTTTTGGATATTAAGAATAATGCTTCTGCGAACATTCGTATACAAGATTTTAATGTGGATCTATGTTTTCATTTTTCTTGGGTATGTACCTAGGAGCAGAATTGATGGGTCATGTGGTGACTCTGTAGAAGCTTTCAAGCTGCCGTACTGTTTCCAGAGTGGCTGCACTATTTTCCATTGATGTTGAACATCTTTTCATGGGCTTATTGACGATTTGTATATCTTTGGAGAAATGCCCATTCGGTTTCTTTGCCTGATTTTTAATTATTTATCTTTTTATTACTGAGTTGTAAGCGAATTCTTTAGATAGTCCAGATACAAGTCCTTTATCAGATATATTATTTGCAAATATTTTCTCCCATTTTGTGGGTTGTCTTTCGACTTTCTTGCTTTTTTCAATTGGAGTAAAATATACATAACATAAAATTTAACATTTTTGGGGTTGGGGGCAATGGTTCACACCTGTAATCCCAGCAATTTAGGAGGGCAGGGTAGGAGGATTGCTTCAGTCCAGGAGTTTGAGACCAGTCTGGGCAACATAGCAAGAATCTGTCTCTACAAAATATTTAAAAATTAGCTGGGGCTGGCTGCACACCTGTAGTCCCAGGATGAGGTGAGAAAATCGCTTGAGTCCAGGAGGTCAGGGCTGTAAGTGAGCCGTGATCACACCACTGCAGTCCAGCCTGATGGCAGAGTGAGACTCTGTATTTAAAAAAAACAAAAACAAAAACAAAAAGAGGCCAGGCGGGGTGGCTCACGCCTGTAATCCAAGCACTTTGGGGGACCAAGGCGGGCAGATCACCTGAGGTCGGGAGTTCGAGACCAGCCTGACCTACACGGAGAAACCGTGCCTCAACTGAAAATTCAAAATTTGCCAGGTGTGGTGGCGCATGCCTGTAATCCCAGCTATTCAGGAGGTTGAGGCAGGAGAATCGTTTGAACCTGGGAGGCAGAGGTTGTGGTGAGCCAAGATCGCACCATTGCACTCTAGCCTGGGCAACAAGAGCGAAACTCCGTCTCAAAAAAAAAAAAAAAGAAAAAGAAGAAAAAATAAAATTTACCATTTTAAAGTATACAGTTCAGTAGCATCAAGTACATTCATAGTGGTGTGCAGTCATTAGCACTATCCATCTCTAGAACTTCTCCATCTTCTCAAACTGAAACTCTGTACTTGTTCAACAATCACTCCCATTTCCCCTGTCCCCTCAGCCCCTGGCAGCCACCATTCTACTTTCTGTCTCTCTGAATTTGACTGCTCTTAATACCTCAGATAAGTGGAATCATACAGTATTTGTCCTTTTGTGGTGATAGTGTTTTGAAGTGCAAAAGTTTATTATTTTGATGATGTCCAATTGATCTACTTTTTCTTTTGTTGTTTGGGTTTTTGGTGTCATATTTAATAAGCCATCACCCAAACCCAGTGTCATGAAGATTTACCTCTATTTGTTTTCTAAGACATCCATTGATTTTGTGTAGAAATCATTACATGTTAACAAAAGAAACTGAGCTAGTGCATAAATATTGCCTTAATCTGTTCTATGTATTTATTCCTCAATATTCAGCAAGAAATCTAAAAACAAAATATTCTTCAAAGGCCTTAAAATATTTTTTTCTTTTTGCAGTATACAACTGAAGATTTGCTTGATCAAATTCAGGCAAGTGAGGAAGAAATAATGACCCAATTACAAGTTCTAAATGCCTGTAAGATTGGAGGTAGCGTTACTTACTACTATTTTAACAATGATGAAATTGGGCATCATAAGGGAGAGAAGTTTTTGGACATCTTCACCCTACTGCGTATAGTTTATTTAATATTCTTTTGGGTTTAAGGATGGTGTCATTTGGGCCGGGCGCAGTGGCTTACGCCTGTAATCCCAGCACTTTGGGAAGCTGAGGCGGGCAGATACTTGAGGCCAGGAGTTTGAGAGCAGCCTTGCCAATGTGGCGAAACCCTGTCTACTAAAAATACAAAATTAGCTGGGTGTGGTGGTGCATGCCTGTAATTCCACCTACTAGGGAGGGAGGCTGAGGTACGAGAGTTGCTTGAACCTGGGAGGCAGAGGTTGCAGAGAGCTGAGATGGCACCACTATTCTTTAGCTTGGGCATCAGAGCGAAACTCTTGTCTAAAGAAAGAAAAGATGGTGATATTTGTCTTTCTTGTTGTAGGATAGAGATTTCATCTTTACATGAGGTCAATCTGCTACCAGTGACTTTAATCACACTTTGACTCCTTCCAATTTTTTTGAATTAGGTGGTAAAGGAAGAACCATGTTAGATTAAGAAAGGTCCAAGCTGGGCATGGTGGCTCATGCCTGTAATGCCAGCACTTTGGGAGGCCGAGGCTGGCCGATCACGACGTCAGGAGTTTGAGACCAGCCTGGCCAACATGGTGAAATCCTGTCTCTACTAAAAATACAAAAATCAACCAGGCGTGGTGGTGGGTGCCTGTAATCCCAGCTACTCAGGAGGCTGAGGCAGGAGAATCCCTTGAAACTGGAAGGCGGAGGTTGCAGTGAGCGGAGATCGCGTCACTGCCCTCCAGCCTGGGCGAAAGAGCAAAACTCCGTCAAAAAAAAAAAAAAAAAAAAGTCCTTAGACATCAAATAGTCTAATCTTTTATTTTTTATAACTGGTGAGGAAACTAGGGCCTAGGAAGGGCAACTAACTTGTCCAGGGTACATGTGGAGTTAGTGACAGCATATGGCATAGAACCCAGGTCCTTGAACTCCTAGCAAAATTAATTTTTTTTCTTTTGGATGGAGTCTCACTCTGTCACCCAGGCTGGAGTACAGTGGCGTGATCTCGGCTCACTGCAGCCTCCGTCTCGTGGGTTCAAGTGATTCTCCTGCCTCAACCTCCTGAGTAGCTGGGGTTACAGTCATGCGCCACCACGTCCAGCTAATTTTTGTGTTTTTGGTAGAGATGGGGTTTTGCCATGTTGGCCAGGCTGGTCTTGAACCTCTCAGCTCAGGTGATCCTCCTGCCTTGGCCTCCCAAAGTGCTGAGATTACAGGTGTGAGCCACGGTGCCCAGCCCTAAAGCTTTTTTTTTTTTTAAAGGCAAATGAAACCATGCATTTTAATGCAGCCCTCTGCATTATTAACTTGCAGCATGGGGATGGATACAATTTCTCTAGGGGGATGCGTAGATTACTTCTTGCTTTCTTCCTCAGTTTTACATCACACAATCCATTTTTTAAATGTTGTCTTTATGTTTTCAGAGTAAGAATAGAAACATTCTCCTTTAGAAATGGTGGATGTATACTTTTCTTTCTCTGGGGTGGTGGTCGTGCCATCAATTATAAAATGGCATTTCATGGCCAGGCATAGTGGCTCATGCCTGTAGTCCCAGCCCTTTGCAGGCCAAGGCAAGTGGACCACCTGAGGTCGGGAGTTCGAGACCAGCCTGGCCAACATGGTGAAACCCTGTCTAGTAAAAATACAAAAAACTTGGCCGGGCATGTTGGCGCATGCCTATAGTCCCAGCTACTCAGGAGGCTAAGGCAGGAGAATCATTTGAACCCGGGAGGTGGAGGTTGCAGTGAGCTGAGATCGTGCCACTACGCCTCCAGCCTGGGCAACAGAGTGAGACTCCATCACAAATAAATAAATAAATAAATAAATAAATAAATAAATAAATAAATAAATAAAATGGCATGTCATAATCTCTCACAGGAATAGGAAAGGGATCTTTATGAAGCCCAGCCCTTAACTTGGCCCTCATCCACATTGTACCTCAGAGTCTATCATCTCTTTGGTGAGCTGGACTTCTTCATGAGTATAGAAATGCCTCTGCAAGATAGCTCTGATGAGAGTTATAACTATGGTAGTGCAGCACAGCAGAGATTATCATGAATATTGAACCTGTGACCTTCACCTCATTTGTATGACATTCTAATGAAATGACTGTACCAACTGCAGATTTCCTAATTTCTGTTTGGAATGACAAGATTATTGTGAGATAACTGAATGTCAAAGCACTGGAGAGAGGGGGTGCCATGGTATGTGCCTTTAATATCCCAGCTACTCTGGAGGCTGAGGCAGGAGGATCATTTGAGCACAGGAGTTTAAGACCAGCTTGGGCAAGAGTAAGACCCCATCTCTAAGAAAAAAAAAAAAAGAAAGCACTTGAGAAAAGCTAGTCATATGTAAAGTACTCTTGAAAAACAACTTGATCTCCCTGAAGACACAGTTTAAAATGATTGGGAGAAAAGCTTAAAAAGAAGCACTGTTTATAGAAAGTGAAGACTTTTTTTTTTTTTTTTTTGGAGACAGTCTCACCATTGCCCAAGTTGGAATGCAGTGGTGTAATCTTGGCTCACTACAACCTCGGCCTCCCAGGTTCAAGCAATTCTCATGCCTCAGCCTCCTGAGCAGCTGGGATTACAGATGTGCACCACCACGCCCAGCTAATTTTTTGTATTTTTAGTCGAGATGGGGTTTCACTATGTTGGCCAGGCTGGTCTCGAACTCCTGGCCTAAAGTGATCCACCAGCCTCGGCCTCCCAAAGTGTTGGGATTACAGGAGTGAGCCAGCACGCCCAGCCTAGTGTCTCTTTTTTGCAGTGAGCAAAAGTATGCTGTGACTTTGTCAATCTATTAGCTAGTTTACATAAAATGTTCTTTGGGCCGGCACGGTGGCTCATGCCTGTAATCCCAGCACTTTGGGAGGCTGAGGCGGGCTGACGATGTGAGGTCAGAAGGTCAGGACCAGCCTGGCCAACATGGTGGAACCCTGTTTCTACTAAAAATACAAAAATTAGCCAGGCATGGTAGTGCGTGCCCGTAGTCCCAGCTGCTCAGGAGACTGAGATGGCAGAATTGCTTGAAACCAGGAGGTGGAGGTTGCGATGAGCTGAGATCACGCCACTGAACTCCAGCTTGGGTGACAGAGTTGAGACCCTGCCTTAAAAAAAAAAAAGTTCTTTGGTAAATATAACTTTTGAAATTTGTAGGTTATTGGAGGATTCTTGAATTTGATTATGAGATGAAACTTCTGAATCATGTAACTCAGCTTGTGGATTCTGAATCATGGTCTTTTGGTAAAGTTCCTTTGAACACATGCCTTCAGGAACTCGGACCATTGGAGCCAGAGTAAGTATTTTAATTTCTTGTCTATCCAGATTTCCTTAAGGGGAAGGGAGTTGTTTTACAGATTGGAATTAAACCCAGGGCATAAACTACAATCATTGTATTTTGATATCTTTGAGAAATGTTTACAATTACAACCGAAGAAGATTTGGGAATTTTGGTCACTGGGGTGAATACATGTGCATTATCTTGTTTGTTTTTGGCCATAAAAATATAAAGAAATAGGCTGGGCGCAGTGGCTCATGCCTGTAATCCCAGCACTTTGGGAGGCCGAGGCAGGTGGATCATGAGGTCAGGAGATCAAGACTGTCCTGGCCAACACGGTGAAACCCCGTCTCTACTAAAAAGTACAAAAATTAGCTGGGCGTGGTGCCGTGTGCCTGTAGTCCCAGCTGCTAGGGAGCCCGAGGCAGGAGAATTGCTTGAACTCCGGAAGTGGAGGTTGCAGTGAGCTGAGATTGCGCTACTGCACTCTCAAAAAAAAAAAAAAAATAAAATAAAACAAACAATAAATAAAGGAAATAATATGTTTGAGCTATTTTATAATAATAAATTTATGCTTACATAATTGATGTTAAAATGTTTAGCATGGGGCCTGGCACATAGTAGCTTCCCAGTATATTTTACTTAGTTCCTAATTTAAATAAAATAATATTTGGCAACCAAAATCACTTAGTATTTGAAATCTCAAATTTCTTTCTTAATTTTGAGTTGGCAATGGGGTTAAAATATAGTGCATAAAAATGCTTATAACTTTTCAAGTGGGTGTTTTAAATTTTTCAGGGAAATGATAGAACACTGTCTTAAATGTTATGGGAAGAAATATGTAGATGAAGGTAAGATTTGGAAAGTATTCTCATTTAACTCTTATATGTTAAAACTGGCATACCTTTCTAAAGCCTGTCGGTGTTAAAAATAAGAACTCTGGCTGGGTGCAGTGGCTCACACCTATAATCCCAGCACTTTGGAAGGCTGCAGTGGGTGGGTCGCTTGAACCCAGGATTTCAAGACCAGCTTGGGCAACATGATAAAATGCTGTCTCCACAAAAAAAAATCCAAAAATTAGCTGGGTGTGGCAGTGCATGCCTGTAGTCCCAGCTACTCAGGAATCCGAGGTGGGAGGATCACCTGAGCCCGGGGAGGTCGAGGCGGCAATGAACCTTCATTGTGCCACTGCTCTCTGGCCTAGGCAACAGAGTGAGACCCTCTCTCTCAGAAAGAAAAAAAAAAAAAAAAAGGCCAGTGCAGTGGTTCACGCCTGTAACCCCAGCACTTTGGGAGGCCAAGGTGTGCGGATCACCTGAGGTGTCAGGAGTTTGAGACAAGCCTGGCCAACATGGTGAAACCCCATCTCTACTAAAAATAAAAAAATTAGCCAGGCGTGATGGCACACACCTGTAATCCCAGCTTCCTGGGAGGCTGGGACAGGAGAATCACTTGAACCCAAGAGGTGGAGGCTGCAATGAGCCAAGATCACGCCAATGCACGCCAGCCTGGGTGACAGAGCGAGACTCTGTCTCAAAAAAAAACGAACTATGGGGTTGTCGGAAGTGAGTTTAGGTGTATAATTCCTTTCAAGAAACTGCAGCAAAGAAAAGGAAATGTTAGTATAATATTTAATTGTAAGATGATAATATGAAAATATCTGATAACTTTTCCTTAGGCGAAGTTTATTTTGAGTTGGATGCTGATAAAATATGTAGAGCAGCAGCACGAATGCTACTTCAGAATGCGGTGAAATTCAATCTCGCTGAGTTTCAAGAAGTGTGGCAGCAGAGTGTTCCTGAAGGAATGGTAACTAGTCTTGATCAGCTTAAGGTAATAGCAATAGACATTGCCACCTTACTTCAACAGTTGATTAATTACTAGGTGAATGATACTTGAGTTGGAGCTGAATTTGGAACCAATTTCTTTTCTTAGACACCCATTAGGAGTGCATGTACATCCAATCCATCACATAGTCCTTAAAACCCAATAAAGTATTGGGGTATAATTTACATATTATAAAATATACCTTTAAAATATTTTTAATAATTTTAAAATAAGTTGCTCTCACTACAATACAGTTTTAGAACATATCTATCACCTCTACAAGATCGCTTGGGTCCATTTTCTGTTAATCCCTCTTCCTACTCAGTGTATCTCATTTTGTTCCGTTTCTCACCATTTCCATCACCCCTCTCCTAGTCCAAACTACCTTGATTTTCTGCCTCTAAACAGCAATAGCATCCCTGGGCATGCCCCTTGCACTTTTAATTTTGCTCCCTTCCAATCCATTCTCTGTGACGCTACTAGAATGATCTTTTGAAAATGCCAGTCAGACCAAGTGCGGTAGCTCACGCCTGTAATCCCAGCACTTTGAGAGACCAAGGCAGGCAGATCACCTGAGGTCAGGAGTTCAAGACCAGCCTGGCCAACATGGCCAAAGCCCATCTCTACTAAACATACAAAAATTAGCCATGTGTGGTGGCAGGCACCTGTAATCCTAGTTACTCGGGAGACTGAGGCAGGAGAATTGCTTGAACCTGGGAGGCGGAGGTTGCAGGGAGCCGAGTTCATGCCAGTGCAGTCCAGCCTGGGCGACAGAGCAAGACTCTGTCTCAAAAATAATAATAATAATAATAAATAAATAAATAAATGCTAGTCAGATCAGATGAATGTCCTGCTTAAATCATTTTATTTATTTATTTATTTATTTTTGAGACTGAGTCTCATTCTGTCACCCAGGCTGGAGTGCAGTGGCTCAATCTCGGCTCACTGCAACCCCCGCCTCCTGGGTTCAAGGGATTCTCCTGCCTCAGGCTCCCGAGTAGCTAGGATTACTGGCACCCACCACCACACCCAGCTAATTTTTGTATGCTTAGTAGAGACGGGGTTTCGCCATGTTGGCCAGGCTGGTCTCGAACTCCTGACCTCAGGTGATCTGCCCACCTTGGCCTCCCAAAGTGCTGAGATTATAGATGTGAGCCACTGCACCCGGCCTTAAATCAGTTTAATGGTCACCTACTGCACTCAGGATAAAAAACTCAGAATTCATGTCTTGGCCTATAAGGCCCTTCAGGATCACCTTCATAGCTTCATCTCTGGCTACTTCCCTTCTGCTCACTGCATACCAACCCTCTTTCAGGTTTTCAACATCATCAAGCTCTCACCTACCTTAGGACCTTCACACAAAGCTTTTTGTTCTAGAATGATATTCTCTCTAATTTCATCTGGTCACCTCCTGCTCATCTTTGAGTCACTTCAAGGAGGCCTTCCTTCATTCTCTGCTTGAAGCAAAGACCTCTGGTTTTACTCTTTGATAGCACGCTATTCTTTCCTTCATGGCACTCTCCCCTTAGCTTGGAAAAATGTTTATGTGGTTCACCACTCTCTACTTTGATGGCATTTTGTTTGCTGTTGCTTGCTAGTATGTAGCATACTACCTGGCATGTGGCGTATACTTGGTAAATATTTTGTTAGTTAAATGAAAAGATTTGCTTGGTATTTATGGAGTTCTTTTTATGTTGAGGCACCATGCTAGGTGCTCAGGAGAAATGTCATACCAGGTGTCATTATGGTGCTTAGCCTGGGAACTGGCAATGGGGGAGACATATTACATGCATAAATCTGTTCTTACAATGCAGAGTGATCTACGCCATGGGAAAGGCATGCACACGATGTTATGAGAACAAAGAAAAGGGGCTTAGCCATCAGACTGGTCAATCACGGATGACTTTCTGACGGAATAGACGTTTTAGCTGCTGAGTATGGAAAGATGAACTGTTGCTCTCTAGATGGAGGGAAAGCCAGAGGTGGAAATCTAGGAGAGCACGGTCAAAGGTGGGGGGCAAATAAAAATTAAGGCACTGTTGTAGGGATGCATGGGCTGGAGTAAAGGATGCTTGTGAGGTAAGGACACTGTGGACTGCGCTAAGGACTTTCAACTCTTTCTAGAAAGCTCTTTGAGGCCACTGAGTGACATCAGTTAGAGAGGTTACCTCATCAGGAACTCATCAGTTTGGCCTTTTGAAAAGAATACTATGACAATAAACAAGATGGACAGACGGAAGGTTGGTTAGATTATGAAAAAGGATTACTGTGCAGGCTGTCAACACATATGCTCCCAACTAAGAGAGTACTGGCTAAAGAGATAGGTAATGGGGGAATGGACAGAGGAATCCTGAAGCCTTAACACCTATTATATAGACTTTAGTGACCACATAGGTGTGGGGTTTGACTAATGGAATCAAAGCTGATGCCTCAGTTTCCTGTTTTCCTAGGATAGTGGAACTAGAGCAGGTTTGGATGATAAATGAGTTCATGTATAGATTTGGATATAGAGGTCTGGGACTCAAGAGAGACATCTCAGCTGAAGATATAAGTATTATAGTCATTAGCAAGTAAGTGGTGGCTCAGGCTACAGGTTTAGATGAGGTTACTCAGTAGAGTGACAGTGAAGCAAGTGGAGTGGTTGGGATGGAAGCCTCAGGGAGCTACAACATCAAGTTACGAGGAAAATAAAAAGACTGATGTCAGGGATGGAGAGATATTTAAAGGAGGAGGAGTAATCAACAGTAACGAAAATAGACGGCTAGGGACTGGGCACAGTGGCTCACACCTGTAATCTCAGCACTTTGGGAAGTTGAGGTGGGTGGATCACTTGAGGCCAGGAGTTCAAGACCAGCCTAACCTACATGGTGAAACCCCTTCTCTACTAAAAATATAAAAATTAGCTGGATGTGGTGGTGTGCACCTGTAGTCACAGCTACTCAGGAGGCGGAGTCAGGAGACTCTCTTGAACCCAGGAGGCAGAGGTTGCAGTGAGCCAAGACTGTGCCACTGCACTCCAGCCTGGGTGACAGAGCAAGACTCTGTCTCAAAAAGGAAAAAAAAACAAAATAGAAAATAGAGGGCTAACACGATGAATCCAAGAAAAGGGCCCACTGGATTTGGCAATGACAGGTTACTGGTGACCTTTAGAACCAAAGCTGTCTTGATAGACTGCTGATGGTAGAAGCCAGATTGCAGAGGAGGAAAGAAGTCACTGCTTAAAGGAGCTCTTTGTATGAAAAAGGCGATTGTAAATCTCTGGATAGTTTAAGTTTCATGTAGCTGACATTTTGAATATCTTGAGCTAAGCTAAACCTAAAGGTAAAAGAATGAGTCATGTTTAAACATTACAACATTACTTTAACTGCTCTGTTTCTTCTCATTTCTTGTAGGGTTTAGCGCTGGTGGATAGACACTCGAGACCAGAAATCATATTTTTGCTGAAAGTAGATGATTTACCTGAGGATAATCAGGAACGTTTTAATAGCCTTTTCTCTCTAAGGGAGAAGTGGACAGAAGAAGATATTGCTCCATATATTCAGTAAGTAATTTATTAAAGACGGATTTTGAGGGTCGTTCTTTTTATAGTCAATGGCACAGCATTTTAGATTTATGATTGGAACACAATTTTCTTGAGTATTCCCTGAGGATACTGCTTCCCTAGAAACTCTTAGGTGGTGGCTGTCTTCTCTGTCCTCCATAATTACTGCTTCTGGAGGTGGAATATGTGTTATCTCTGTTCCTCACTATTGCTTCTAAAACCACTTCTCTGCTCTCATTCCTGGAAAACTGTCCCCTTTGAGGGACAAAATACAGGCCCTACTATGACTCTAAGGCAAACACCCATCTCTGATTGCCACCTCATGCCTTACTTTATTTAACATTTTGGGAGAGGCCAGATTGCAGTAGAACACGTTAGCCCCAAAGTCACTTCTTACAAAATCTTGAGTCCCCTAACGCTTGAAATCCACTAACACTACAACTTTGTCACTGCATCACACCTCTCAGGTGCTCTTTCTTCTCTTTACCCAGCTCGAATCCTGTGGCTGGCCTTCTTAGCTCTTACTGTCTACACTTTACTCCTGTGGCCCTCTCTCCCTCTTGCCATATCTCCCTGGCAAAAAGCTAAAAAGATTAGACTCAACTTTCTGCTTACCCTGTGCCTACACGTGGCCAGCTGAAACTTTTTGGAGAATACACAATGAAGCTGCCAGTCTTGCTTAAGAACCTAGTGGTACTTACAACGGCCCCTCACCAGGCATGATTTGCTCATGAAACTTCTCTACCCTTGGAGCTTCTTCTACATCTTCTTTTCCTTTTTCATACCAGCAGTACCCTCTCTTTCCTTTTATGATCTTATTTTTTTCAGAACATAGAAGCAGTGAGGCCAGAACAACCTTCTTTCCCACTGCCAAATTGGCCAACCTCCTCATGTGTACACCTACTTCCTTTGCAGTCCTGTGTAGTGTATGAATTGTCCCTGCTCCTAAGGCCAATCCTTCTGCACTAGGTCTATCTCCTCTGCCTTCTTAAAGACTTGGATCCTTGAGTTATCCCTTTCATCCCTTGAGTTATTAATGTCTCCCTCTTCTGGATCATCCCCATCAGCATACAAAATTCTGTAATATTGCCCATCTTGCAAGACAACAATAGCAACCTACTGGACCCTATGTCCTTTGCTCTCCTTCATAAGAAAATGCCTTTTACAAGTTTCCTATACTCACTCTATGCTTTTCACCTCCCATTCTTTCCTTTACCCAATGACATCTTCTTAATCCAATGACATCCATCTTTCTATACTCAATGGTTAATTATTTGTCCTTGATTACTTGACTTAGCACTATTTGACAGTGTCTGCTTCCTCCTACTTGAAACACAAGTTTCTCCCCTCTTCCTTGGATGAGAGGGGAGAAAACCATCTCTTTTGTTGATGTCTCCCTGTTCTTCTTCTCAATCTCTAAATGTTGGAGTGCTCCAGGTCTATTTTTGGGCCATCTTCTCTTCTGTTTATACTTTTCCTTTGGTGCCCTCATCTAGGCCTGGAAACAAATTTAATGACTTCCTAATTCCATCTTCATACTTGCCCTTTTCCCTGAGGTCCAGATTCCTATATCTAGTTGCTTAATTTACCTTTCCAGTTGGATATCCAATAGGAATTTCAAGCTTAACATGTTCATAACAGAACTGTTGCTTCTCCCTCATCCTTAACACAGTTAACAGCACCACTACTAATCCAGTTACTTAAACTAAAGTCTAGGAATCATCCCTGTCCTTTCTTTCCCCTACCTTCTGGTTCAAACTATGAGCAAACCCTGATGGATCATCTTGTACCTGCCTCTGAATTGGTCTCCCTGTTCTATTTTTGCCCCCTTCTCCTTTCTCCTTCTTATACTGTTTAAATATTCAAAAATGACAATATAATGAGACCTCCATATATCCACTGCTCATCTTCCATAATCGTCAACTCATTGGCTCCTTTATTTATTTGAGACAGAGTCTCACTCTGTTGCCCAGGTTGGAGTGCAGTGGTGTGATATCGGCTCACTGCAACATTTGCCTCCCGAGTTTAAGGGATTCTCCTGCCTTAGCCTCCCAAGTAGCTGGGACTACTGGTGTGCACCACCATGCCCAGCTAATTCTTGTGTTTTTAGTAGAGACAGGGTTTCACCATGTTGGCCAGGCTGGTCTCAAACTCCTGACCTCAAGTGATCTGCCCACCTTGGCCTCCTAAAGTGCTGGGATTACAGGCATGAGCCGCCGCGCCCGGCCACCTCCATTATTTAAAACTTAGATCACATTGTACTTTTCCATTAATTAAAACACTCCTAGTTGCTTCCCATTATATGTAGAATTAAGTCACAATTCTTTTTCCCTGTCCTTCAAGGTTCTACGTGATCTAGCTGTTGCCCCTTCTCTAGCTCACGTCCTCCTATTCCTCCCTCTCCTTATTATGTTCCGGTCGTAATCTTCTTCTCTTTGAGGTACAGAAGAGGAAACCAAAGTTCAGGAAGCATTGGTAACCTAGACAAGTTCACACAGGTACCTTGTATCCAGGTTCTCTGACTCTAGGCCCTGCTGTGTAGGCCTCACTGTATTACACTGCTTGTATTTCTAATTTAGAGGCTGTGTCATATAATAGAAATAGCATAGACTTTGAAGTTGTACAAACCTGGTGGCAGGATTTGACTCTCATTTATTACTTGTCTGAGCCATAGTTCTCATATCTAATATAGGGTTAAATAATACATTATTTCTAGTTTTTGTTTTTTGCTTTTTTTTTTGTTTGTTTTTTTGAGACAGAGTCTCACACTGTCACTCAGGCTGGAGTGCAGTGGCGCGATCTCCGCTCACTGCAACCTCTGCCTCCCGGGTTCAAGCAATTCTCCTGCCCCAGCCTCCCAAGTAGCTGGGATAACAGGTGCCCACCACCACACCCGGCTAATTTTTTTCTATTTTTAATAGAGACAGGGTTTCACTACGTTGGCCAGGCTGATCTTCAACTCCTGACCTTGTGATCTGCCCACCTCGGCCTCCCAAAGTGCTGGGATTACAGGCGTGAGCCACCCGCCTGGCCTACTCCTACTTTTATTGTGTGGGTTAAATGAGACAATACATATAATGTACTTAATTTAATTAAAACTTAGAACCACTCCCCACCCTATCTCTCCCACAAACACCTACACTTACGCTTGTTGAGAAGACAGATTCAGGGGGAGAGAGAGAAAATAAGTACATAGTACTGTATCATAATATGTTCCCTAAAATATTCATGTTATATATTTTTTATTGTTCCTACAGAGATTTGTGTGGAGAGAAGCAAACCATAGGTGCATTACTCACTAAATATTCTCATTCTTCGATGCAAAATGGTGTTAAAGTTTATAATTCGAGAAGACCCATTTCTTAAAAGAACAACGGTCTTTTCTTCAGGACTCAAGTTGCTTTATAAAGTTGCTGGATAGAAGAAAAATAACTTGTACTTTTATTTCTGACTTTTAGAAACCTAGTCTTCTAAGGCATTTTTCTCCTCATCTTAAGCATTTTGAAACTACTGTTATTTCTTAAATGTTATAGGATGTAGCTTTAAAATTATATTTGTACTATGTACACAGTGTAAACAAGGACAAAAGAATTCTTTCCTATATTATGTCTGAGGTCTCTATGATTTATTTAAAGTTTGGCTTTTTATATTTAAAATGTCATTTCTTTACTTAGGATTTGATGTTCTAATCATTAATACACTTAAGTTTTCCAGAGAACTAAATAGTAATAGTTTCATAGAAGAGAACTATTTATTCACTTAAATATCATTTCTCAAGTGAGTGAGTTCCCCTCTACTTTTAGCCTTCCACCCAAACTGGAAGCCTCTAGGTGCTATCAATTATTTATATCCATCGTTTACATCCATGAAATTGGCTGAATAATTACTCCTCTGCCTGGCGTAGACATGCGCTTTGGGAAAAAAACGAGTTTATAATCCTATAATGAAGAATACTGGCACAGGCAATGCTCACTCGAAAACTTCAAGTAATTTCTAGTTGGTTTTGGAATGCTTGATAAAGTTCCTTTACAGCTTTATTTTCCTGATTTGTTTTGGTTTAGATCAAAGTTCAAATTAATTTTAACTTAGCTAATGAACTCATCACCAGGACAGTTGGAGGGGGTAGGCCGAGGTTAAATGGTCCACGTTTCAAAAATGTTAATGGCTAATCCATAATTAAAGAAGGTTTAACTGTTACTGAAGTTTACAAGTTTTATTGTCATGAACATGAAATACAAACACGATGGCTTCGAAATGTCTTTCAATAAATGTTTCTGCATTTATATGGATTATATGATATATATACACAGTCTATATATCTCTATGTAGTCTATTTATTTATTTTGAGAGGGAGTCTCGCTTTGTCTCCCAGACTGGAGTGCAATGGCATGATCTCAGCTCACTGCAAACTCGGCTTCCCGAGTTCAGGTGATTCTGGTGCCTCACCCTCCCGAGTGGCTGGGAATACAGGCGCACGCCACGACGCAGGGCTAATTTTTGTATTTTTACTAGAGACGGGCTTTCACCATGTTGGCCAGGCTGGTCTTGAACTGCTGACCTCAAGTGATATGACTGCCTCAGTTTCCCTAAGTGCTAGGATTACAGGCGTGAGCCACCACGCCTGGCCTGTAGTCTATATTTTATTCTTTTTTTTTTTTTCTGAGACAGTCTCAGCTCTGTCGCCCAGGCTGGAGTGCAGTGGAACGATCTCAGCTCGCTGCAACTTCCGTCTCCCAGGTTCAAGCAATTCTCCTGCCCCAGCCTCCCAAGTAGCTGGGATTACAGGCGTGCACCACCACGCCCAGCTAATTTTGTGTAATTTTTAGTAGAGACGGGGTTTCACCATGTTGGTCAGGCTGGTCTCGAACTCCTGACCTCAAATGATCGGCCCGCCTCGGCCTCCCAAAGTGTTGGGATTACAGGAGTGAGCCACTGCGCCCGGCCTTGTAATCTATATTTTAAAATAAATACTAAGGCAGCAGTGCCTAGTGAGAGCTGTGGAGTGCTGCAGTTTTGACATTTAGACTACCTGCAGTCTAATCACATATTTTACAGCTTAAATCACCGGACCCAGTGTGTCTGTTCACACAGCAAGCCAGAGGCACGCACCTCCTGATTTCGGGAGACTTCCCACCACCCCACCCCGCCCAGTTACTAGCACCCTGCCCCAGCCTATTTATACCTGGCTCTTCGCAAACTTTGTCCTCCATTCTTCTCAATATGCTTGTACTAGAAAACTACCTTCCCTCCTTTTCTTCCTGCTGTTCTCGCTTCATCCATTAAATAGTTTTTTCCCTATCCTAAATTTTAACAATTCTTTACGATAAGACACATGCGAAGATCGCAAGCCCTGCCCATTGACAAGACTTCCTGGTTCTACCCCCGCCGCCGTTCCACTTCCGCTGACGTCGGAGGTCAGAGGTTACAGACAAGATGTCGGCGGATGGTAGCTTCGAGCCCTTGCGGAGAGGAGCATCTCTGTGACAGAAGCTTGTCGACGGCGGCTTCTAGGAGCTAGTCGAAGGAGCGAGGTTGAGGCGGGCAGCGACCCGTCAGGTCGCTCACCTGGGCACCGGCCAGCTGCGAGACGTGACTTGGGGACCGCAGGGGAGTGGAGAGTGTGAGGTGCCAAAGACTAGTAATGCCCCGTATCCCCCTAGGAAGCCGGGAAGCCAAGCTCCGCGGGACCGCTTCATGCCGCTGACTGGTGTAGAGCCCGCCAGAATGAACAGGAAGAAAGGAGACAAGGGCTTTGAAAGCCCAAGGCCATATAAATTATAAGTATTTTTTCATTTCCCTTCCTTCCTTTTGGTTTTGTTGCCATTAATTATATTTTGCGATTGCTTGAAATTGACTTGGTGGGCCTGGGAAACCTAGTGGGAAACTAGAATTTACTCACTGTGATGGAAATGGTGTTTGTAAGGTAAAAATGTTTTGAATGACAGGTTATTCAGCAAATTTAATTCCCGTTGCAAGTTACTAAAGTTTTTGTCTAAGTACTAGATTGTATTTCTGTCAAATCTGTTTTCGTGACTGTTGCTAGATTTTAAAAAATTATCCCAATTGGTAGAGTGTTTTTTTTTTTTTAATTTTTTAATTTTTAAGACGGAGTCTCTCAGTCGCCCAGGCTGGAGTGCAACGGCGCGATCTCGGCTCACTGCAGCCTCCACCTGCCGGGTTCAAGCTTTTCTCCTGGCTCAGCCTCCTGAGTAGCCGGGATTACAGGCGTGTGCCACGATGCCCGGCTAACTTTTGTATTTTTAGTAGAGACTCGGTTTCACTCTGTTGGCCAGGCTGGTCTCGAACTCTTGACCTCGTGATCCGCTTGCCGTGGCCTCCCAAAGTGCTGGGATTACAGGCGTGAGCCACCGCACCAGGCCCCAATTCGTAGTTTTAAAATGAAATATTGACATGTAATTTTGAATTACTTAGAACATAGTCCTAATTTATACTTGGATAGAATTATACTTTGATTTAATAATAAAAATTATTTTTTCCTTATTTTCTTTTTATATTTATTAATATACAACCCATCAGGTCGTCTGCATCAACAACATAAATTTCCAGAGAAAATCTGTTGTGGTAAGTTTATTCTCAACAATTATAAATAGTAACAAGTCCACTATAAAGAGTAACAATCCACCCCTCACAGTACTTAGAAAGTTTGTAGTCTTCCAGATAATTGTGTTTCAAGAATAGGTAAGAATTAAAATTAGGGTCTGTATGATTACAAGTTCCATGGTCCTTCTATTAATACCTATTGCCTCCCAAATTCTCCCTTTCCTTTTTTTTCAATTTCCTAATTAAAATTTTATTCCTCTTTATCTGGTGTATAATATGAAAGCCTGTATAGCCAAGCATTTTATAATTGTGCATGAAACAAGTATAAGCCCATAGCGACATTTCTTCTATGAAAAAAATTAAGATTAATACACTCACTGACTTGGCTTCTAAGAGGCCATTTTTGCTTCTTGACTGACTTGGTTTAGGTGATGTTGCTTTGTAATGAAGTTTTAGATAGAGTATTTGAGATCTAGAAACCCTCTACCTCCCCCTGCCTCCCGACACAATTTAGATGTATGGATTGCTGATATAATCAATTTTAGGAAAAAGCTTGAACATTCAAGTTTTTTGTTTGTTTGTTTGTTTTTGGAGACAGAGTCTCGCTCTGTCACTGAGGCTGGAGTGCAGTGCTGTGATCTTGGCTCACTGCAACCTCCACCTCCTGGGTTCAAGCAGTTGTCCTACCTCAGCCTCCCAAGTAGCTTGAATTACAGGTGTGCATGACCACGCCCAGCTTATTTGTGTATTTTTAATGGAGTCAGAGTTTTCTCCATGTTGGCCAGGCTGGTCTCGAACTCCTGACCTCAAGTGATTCACCTGCCTCTGCCTCCCAAAATGCTGGGATTACAGGCATGAACCACTGCACCTGGCTGAAAACTCAAGTATTTATTTAATTTACTTTCTTAGGGCTACCTTTATTACATAGGCTAAAATGTTAATGAGAGCTGGTTTTCCTTGAGTGATGGTATCAACTTCTCTGTCAGATTTGTTACCCATGTATGTATATATTTACTTAGGATAAGCTGAATAGATAGAAAAATGTCGCTTTTCATGAGTCATAGAATCTTAGATTTGTAATGTTCCTAAAAGATTTATTAAATTTAGTCTCCTCGTTTATGGAATTTCTCATGCAGTCTTCCCTAGGTTATGTACCTTATATCTTATATAGTAGGATACTTGAGTTGTATTATGTTGTATGAATTGGGTAGGAAAGATAAGGGAATTAGGGAGTCTAGTTCAGAGGTTACTGCGGTAATCTAGGGGAGAAATGGTGAAGTCCTAAATGAAGATAGCATTAGTGAAAATGGAATTGAAATAGAGTTGACATGATTGAATTAGTGAACATATATTTAGCCATTAATATATGTAAGATATCTTCTAAGGTTTATGTGTATTAACTCACTTAATCTTCATAATTACCCTGTGAGATAGATAATATTTTAATCCTAATATTAGAATTAAGGCATGATTGAGGCAGCTAAAAGAATGGAGGTTCAGGGCCAGGCACGGTGGCTCACACCTGTAGTCCCAGCACTTTGGGAGGCTGAGGCGGGTGGATCATGAGGTCAGGAGATCGAAACCATCCTGGCTAACACGGTGAAACCCTGTCTCTACTAAAAATACAAAAAATTAGCCGGCTGTGGTGGTGGGTGCCTGTGGTCCCAGCTACTCGGGAGGCTGAGGCAGGAGAATGGCATGAACCTGGGAGGCGAACTTGCAGGGAGCCGAGATCGCGCCGAACCTGGGAGGCGAACTTGCAGGGAGCCGAGATCGCGCCACTGCACTCCAGCCTGGGCGACGGAGCAAGACTCCGTCTCAAAAAAAAAAAAAAAAACTAAAAAAAGAATGGAGGTTAAGTAACTTTCTTAAGGGCATAAAGTTGGCAAATGATGAAACCCTTTTTAATCACTGATGACCTAAGAGTTTGATGCACTTTTTACGTCTTTCATTCCCCCTTCCACCTGTGTTGTCCCTGAGGAATCAATAGAAGTTGCATGTGGCTTTTTCAAGACTGCTATAAAGGGGTTGTGGATGACTTAAGTTTCCCATTGGAAACTTTGATTGGATGTTGTATGGGTTAGGATCTTGGTAGGAAGTAAATGGCAGATATACATATATGTATGTGTATATATATATACACATACATATATATACACACACACTCACACACACACACAAGTTAATTGAGGGAAATGAAGGGAGTATTTAGAACAGAGTTAACAGAAACCAACATGAGGTGGAGGAACCCTCTGAGCTATCAACAGTGAGGAACAGTTGTCTAGGCCTGAAACAACAACGGGAAGGGGAAGTTACTAGAACCTACTGTAGCCATGGAATGGGTCACCTTGTAGGACCTGTGTCTTTTAATAGAAGAATGAAGCTACTGCTTACCTGCAGCCTGGCGGAAAGGAATCTGGGGTAATTAATATAAACTTGCTTTCCTTCTGTTTTCCAGTTTCCTTTTTGTGGAAACTGTTGGACCAACCCAGCCAGAAGGGTAGAGCCCAGTTAATGCAACTCGTAGGGTATTGAGTAGGGTAGAGAGCAGATCAGGAGGGGCAAAATGAGAATAATCAGAACAGTCTACCTTTTTAACCCCAACGCATCCACTGTTGTCTTTGGTTGAGATGAAAAGCTAGTGCTCCTAACATGGGGAACTTACAAAGTCCTATGAGCCACTGAAAGAGTTGGTAATGGCTGACTACTTGTTTTTTAAGTGAAATGTTACTTGAACACAGCCATCCCCATTTATTTACATATTGACTGTGGAGGTTTTGGAGCTACGCTGGCAGAGGCGAGTAGCTGAGACAGAGACTGTGTGACCCACAAAGCCTGAAATATTTCTATCTGGCCCTTTAAGAGACAGTTTGCTAATCCCTGAGCTATTCTGTTAGTGTGAGAGATGACAGTTCAGCCCTGTTCCCACCTAAAATATTAGCTACCTCTAGTGTCTTTTATGCAAGATAGTGGAAAGAAAAGTGGTTGAAAGAAATAGTATAAAACTAAATTGTAACAGTCCCTGCTTCCCTTAGCTGGTAGTATGGCCGAAGTTGATACATACTGCTTTATTTCTTCACCCCTTCGGTGTTTCCTTTTCCTTCTGCTGACATTTCTATTGGGATGACCTAGACCCTTGTTTCTTTAGGACCTTCACTGCTGTTTATATCTTTATTGGGTTGTTGCAGTTTCTGTTGCCTAGGACTGTTAGGGGGGATCTGAGAGGCATCTGAGGGAATCCTCTAGATTTCAGATGTGATTCTTGTCCTTATTGTATAGCAAAGCTTTAATTTTCTGTTCAGTAATTGAAATGATTCATTCCAGCCAGAACAGGACCCCTTTCTCTGCTTTTTGGTTCTTTGGGATGAGGAGCTCAAGGTGGTCAAGGGGCAGCCTCAACTTCCAATGGAATGGAATCATGGTTATGTGCCCTGGTGGATGCATTCTTCACTTAGGCACTAGGACCTCTCAACATGCTGAACCCAGGGTCACAGAGACAGGAGGCAAAAATTCCTTCCATGGCTGGGCACGGTGGCTAACACCTGTGATCCCAGCACTTTGGGAGGCCAAGGCGGATGGATCACCTGAGGTCAGGAGTTCAAGACCTGTCTGGCCAACATGGTGAAACCCTGTCTCTACTAAAAATACAAGAATTGGCCAGGCGCAGTGGCTCACGCTTGTAATCCCAGCACTTTGGGAGGCCGAGGTGGGCAGATCACGAGGTCAGGAGTTTGAGACCAACCTGGCCAACACAGTGAAACCCTATCTCTACTAAAAATACAAAAAATTAGCTGAGCATGGTGGCGGGCACCCGTAATCCCAGCTACTTGGGAGGCTGAGGCAGGAGAATCACTTGAACACGGGAGGCAGAGGTTGCAGTGAGCCGAGATCATGCCACTGCACTCCAGCCTGGGCAACAAGAGCAAAACTCTGTCCCCTGCTCCAAAAAAAAAAAAAAAAAAATTCCTTCCATGGCCTTTTTGGTGTAATAGTGAGAGTAGTCACTCCAACTTTCACCCCTTGGTTCCCAGTTCTGTTTTGGCTAGGAGAGATACATTGTCTACTAATTAAAGGCAGCATCCTGTGGGAGGTTTCTCAATTGTAGTTGTAACTGAGCCTTCAGCAATTGATCATGCCATCTACTTCTGTAAGATAGGGTACAAGATAAAATGCATAAGTTTAAACAAATGGTTACTCTGTGTATGGAAGGGAAGGGCAGCAGGTTTGAGAGGAAAGATTTATAGGTCAGATTAGAAAATTACATTCCATGCACTTTGGGGTTATTAAATTGAGATGAATAGTGGGTAGTTGGCTACATGTCTGTGCAGATAAAGGATGGTGAGAGAAATTTGGGAGCCTTTGATATACAGTTGTTCATTAAGGGTGTGGAAAAGCTCACTTAGAGTATCTAGCAGGAAGTGAGCATCAGGGAGAAATATCTGAAGAACATGATATTTGAGAAAACTGACACTTGGGCTGTAGAAACCAGGGAAAACCTTTTTTTTTGAGACAGGATCTCACTGTCGCCTAGGCTGGAGTGCAGTGGCGCAATCACAGCTCACTGCAGCCTCAACCTCCCTGGGCTCAGGTGGTTATCCCACCTCAGCCTCCTGAGTAGCTGGGACCACAGGCACGTACCACCAGCCTGGCTAATTTTTGTATTTTTTGTAGAGACGGAGTTTTGCCATGTTGCTTAGGCTGGTCTCAAACTCCTGGGCTCAAGCGATCCACCCTACTTTGGCTTTCCAAAGTGCTAGGATTACAGGTGTGAGCCACCACACCTGGCTGAAAAACATATCTTAAGAAGGAGGAGGCTGGGTGTGGTGGCTCACGCCTATAACCCCAGCACTTTGGGAGGCCGAGGCTGGTGTAAGGTCAGGAGTTTGAGACCAGACCGGCCAACATGGTGAAACCCCGTCTCTACTAAAAATACAAAAAAATTAGCTGAGTGTGGTGGCAGATGCCTGTAATCCCAGCTACTCAAGAGGCTGAGGCAGGAGAGTCGCTTGAACCCAGGAGGTGGAGGTTCCAGCGAGCCGAAATCGCACTGCTGCACTCCAGCCTGGACAACAAGAGTGAAACCCCATCTCAAAAAAAAAAAAGGAGGAAATGGAATGGTTATTAATTTTAAATGTAAACAGGAAATATAAACTTGAAAACTGAAAGTAATCTTGGTCATAAGTGACCATAGCAAGGGTAAAGTATTTGTCCATTTTCACGCTGCTAATAAAGACATACCTGAAACTGGGCAATTTACAAAGGACAGTGGTTTAATGGAGAACTCACAGTTCCATGTGGCTGGGGAAACCTCACAATCATGGCAGAAGGCAAGGAGTAGCAAGTCATCTCTTACATGGATGGCAGCAGGCAAAAAGAGAGCTTGTGCAGAGAAACTCCTGTTTTTTTTGTTTGTTTGTTTCTTGTTTTTTTTTTTTTAATTATACTTTAAGTTCTGGGTTACATGTGCAGAACGTGCAGTTTTGTTACATAGGTATACATGTGCCCTGGTGGTTAGCTGCACCCATAAACTTGTCACCTACATTAGGTATTTCTTCTAATGTTATCCCTCCCCTAGTCCCCCACCCCGCAACGGGCCCTGGTGTTTGATGTTCCCCTCCCTGTGTCCATGTGTTCTCATTATTCAACTCCCACTTATGAGTGAGAACATGTGGTATTTGCAAAAACTCCTGTTTTTAAAACCATCAGGGCCAGGCACGGTGGCTCACGCCTGTAATCCCAGCACTTTGGGAGGCCGAGGCGGGCAGATCATGAGGTCAGGAGATCGAGACCATCCTGGCTAACACAGTGAAACCCTGTCTCTACTAAAAATACAAAAAAAAAAAAAATTAGCCAGGCGTGGCGGTGGGCACCTGTAGTCCCAGCTACTCAGGAGGCTGAGGCAGGAGAATGGTGTGAACACAGGAGGCAGAGCTTGCAGTGAGCCAAGATCGCACCACTGCCCTCCAGCCTGGGCGACAGAGCGAGATTCCATCTCATAAAAACAAACAAACAAACAAAAAAACCGTCAGGTCTCGTGAGACTATCATGACAACAGCACAGGAAAGACTTGCCCCCATGATTCAGTTACCTCCCACTGGGTCCCTCCCACAACGCATGGGAATTCAAGATGAGATTTGGGTGGGGACACAGCCAAATTGTATCATTCTGCCCCTGGCCCCTCCCAAATCTTAAGCCCTCACATTTCAAAACCAATCATGACTTCCCAACAGTCCCCCAAAATCTTAACTCATTTCAGCATTAACTCAAAAGTCCACAGTCCTAAGTCTCATCAGAGACAAGGCAAGTCCCTTCCGCCTATGAGCCTGTGAAATCAAAAGCAAGTTAGTTACTGCCTAGATACAATGAGAGTACAGGCAATGGGTAAATACAGCCATTCCAAATGGCAGAAATTAGCCAAAACAAAGGGGCTACAGGCCCCATGCAAGTCTGAAATACAGCAGGGCAGTCAAATCTTAAAGCTCCAAAATGATCTCCCTTGACTCCATGTCACATCCAGGTCATGCTGATGCAAGAGGTAGGTTCCCATAGTTTTGGGCAGCTCTGCCTCTGAGACTTTGCAGGTTGCAGCCTCCCGGCTGCCTTGACTGGATGGCGTTGAGTGTCTGCAGCTTTTCCAGGTGCACGGTGCATGTTGTCAGTGAACCATTCTGGGGTCTGGAGGATGGTGGCCCTCTTCTCACAGCTCCACTAGGTGGTGCCTCAGTAGGGACCCTGTGTGGGGGCTCTGACACCACATTTCTCTTCTGCACTGGCCTAGGAGAGGTTCTCTGTGAGGATCCTACCTCTACAGCAAATTTCTGCCTGGGCATCCAGGCATTTCCATACATCTTCTGAAATCTAGGTGGAGGTTCCCAAACCTCAATTCTTGACTTCTCTGCACTCTCAGGCTCACCACCACATGGGAGCTGCCAAGGCTTGAGGCTTGTACCATCTGAAACTATGGCCCAAGCTCAAAGTTGGCCCCTTTCAGCCCTGGCTGGAGTGGATAGGATGCAGGGCATCAAGTCCCTAGGCTGCACACAGCGTAGGGACCCTGGGCCTGGCCCACAAAACCACTTTTTCCTCCTAGGCCTCCGGGCCTGTGATGGGAGGGGCTGTGTGAAGACCTCTGACATGCCCTGGAGACATCATTTTCCCCATTTTCTTGGGGATTAACATTCAGCTCCCTGTTACTTATGCAAATTTCTGTAGCCAGCTTGGACTTCTCCTCAGAAAATGGGAGTTTCTTTTTTCTTTTTTTTTTTTTTTGAGACGGAGTCTCACTCTGTCCCCCAGGCTGGAGTGCAGTGGCTCAATCTCAGCTCGCTGCAACCTCCACCTCCTGGGTTCAAGCAATTCTCTATCTCAGCCTCCTGAGTAGCTGGGATTACAGGCGCCCACCACCATGCCTGGCTAATTTTCTGTATTTTTAGTAGAGATGGGGTTTCACTGTCTTGGCCAGGCTGGTCTTGAACTCCTGACCTCGTGATCCACCTGCCTCAGCCTCCCAATGTGCTGGGATTACAGGTGTGAGCCGCCATGCCCGGCCCGGATTTTCTTTTCTATCATTGTCGGGCTGCAAATTTTCCACACTTTTATGCTCTACTTTCATTATAAAATGGAATGCCTTTAACAGCACCCAAGTCACCGCTTGACTGCTTTGCTGCTTAGACATTTCTTCTACCAGATACCCTAAATCATCTTTCTCAAGTTCAAAGTTCCACAAATCTCTAGGGCAGGGGCAAAATGCTGCCAGTCTCTATGCGAAAACATAGCAAGAGTCACCTTTGCTTTAGTTCCCAACAAGTTTCTCATCTCCATCTGAGACCACCTCAGCCTGGGCCTTATTGTCCATATCACTATCAACATTTTGGTCAAAGCCATTCAACAAGTCTATAGGAAGTTCCAAACTTTCCCGCATTTTCCTGTCTTCTGAGCCATCTAAACTGTTCCAACCTCTGCCTATTACCTAGTTCCAAAGTCGCTTCCACATTTTCAGGTAACTTTTTATCAGCACCCCACTCTGTTGGTAGCAGTTTACTGTATTAGTTCATTTTCATGCTGCTGATAAAGACATACCTGAGACTGGGCAGTTTACAAAGGAAAGAGGTTTAATGGGGATCTTACAGTTCCACGTGGCTGGAGAAGCCTCACAATCATGGCAGAAGGCAAGGAGGAGCAAGTCATATCTTACGTGGATGGTGGCAGGCAAAAAGAGCTTGTGCAGAAAAATTCCCGTTTTTCAAACCATCAGATTTCATGAGATTTATTCGCTTTATGAGAATAGCATGGAAAGACTTGCCCTCATGATTAAGTTACCTTCCACCAGGTCTCCCACAACACATGAGAATTCAAGATGAGATTAGGGTGGGGACACAGCCCAAACATGTCAGGTAACTTCAGTGGAATGATGACTGCATAAGTCATACTGTACTGAATGGAAGAGAGAGTTGGAACAGTGAACATATTCTACTTTTTCAAGAATTTCTCTTTTGAAGGTATGGGAAAAAGATGGCACAAAATTCATTTGAGGATAGCATAGATCTAAAGGCATTTAAAACCTTGAGTCTTGAACATATTTATAGGCACGGAAAAAATTCTACAGAAAGGAAAGATTGTAATTATAGGAGAGAGAAAAACAGTGATATTTCTGAGGATATTGTGGGGAGTGGGTGCTAAAGGACCATTGGATATATCATTCTTAAACAGAAGGGAAAGATGGGTACGTGAAACAGAGGGGCAAGGTAATTGGTAGTTGGCAGAGGAGTGGTTGAATTTAAGGATTTAGGGTGAAGGGAGAAAAAGCCCCAGGAGTGCCAAGAAGATTAATAAATGCTTTTGTTATTCTTTTCTGAATTCTTTTCTGGTGAGAAACTGGAAGAAGTCAAGGACAGGAGGATTTCAGGCAGTTGAACAGGAGGACTGGGAGAGAAGTAATGAGAGGGGTGAGGAGAGGCATTGTGGACCTTTGAGTTCATAATGTCAGCATCAGAGCAGTTCTAAGCAGTGATGAAGTGCTTTTCAGAGTGTGATCTTGATTCTTCCTGGATGGAAGTGAAGATTGTAGGAACTGAGGTCAAGGAACTTTGAGGCAGTTTTATTGGATGGATCAGACATATCTATATTCAAGTCACTTAGAGTGATGGCAGACTTGTGTTACAAAAGAAGAGTATGTGACCAGTTGCAGTATTTATACCTGTAATCCCAGTGCTCTTGGAGGCTGAGATAGGAGGGTCACTTGAGGCCAGAAGTTCTAGACCAGCTTGGGCAACATGATAAGACCCGTCTCTAGAGAAAAAAATTTTTAATTAACCAGGTGTGGTAATGCATTTCTGTAGTCCCCAGCTACTCTGGAGGCTGAGGTGGGAGGATCACTTGAGCCTGGAAGATTGAGGCTGCAGTATGCCATGATTGCTACAGTGCACTCCAGCCTGGGTGACAGAGCAATACCCTGTCTCTGAAAAAAAAGAAAAAAAAAAGGCAAGAGTATGAGCCTTCATCAAATGTTGGGGAATTTCATAGATATTAATGAAGAAGCATAAAGGATGATGTACCTGTATAGCATGAACACAAAGGATAAGCAGAAAAGAATAACAAAAGCATTTATTAAGCAAATACTAGATGCCAGCTATAATTTTAAGTGTTTTCCATGTAAGTTTTTCAGTTGTCTTTGTTTTTTGAGATGTGATCTTGCTCTGTCACCCGTGTCACAATCATGACTCGCTGCAGCCTCAACCTCCCAGGCTCAAGCAATCATTCCACCTCAGCCTCCCCAGTAACTGGAACTACAGCCACCATGCCTGGCTAATTTTTTAATAGTTTATGTACAGATAGGGTCTTGCTATGTTGACCAGGCTGGTTCTGAACTCCGGGACTCAAGCAGTCCTCCTGCCTCAGCCTCCCAAAGTGCTAGGATTACAGGCGTGAGCCCATGCCTGGCTGTTCGGTTGTCATAATAACACTAATAGGCCAATAATGTCATTTTTTATGAGGAAACTGAGGCACAGTGGGCTGGAGTTACTAGCTCAATATCATACAGTTACTAAGTGGTAGAGCTAGGATTTGAATACAGGGAGTCTACCTCCAGAACACCTGCTTTTCACGGTGACACTACACTGTCCTTAACCTTGTAGTGTACAGTAAATAAAATCCTATAAGTGACCCAGAAGTAGTCGTGGAAACTAGGAGAATGCCTATTTTCCACTACCCTCGTTTATAGTGAATGGGAGAGTAAGTAGCTTCTTGTCTAGGAGGATTCAGGAACCATTTCATTTAAGGCAAGAGGGTAGAGAGGGAGTTTTAGAAAAGGTTGAAAAGCACAGGGGAAATGTTTAAAATGGAGTGTGGGCTCCAGGAGAATGGTTATCTGTGAAGTGGTGGGGAGAGAGCAAGAAGCAAGGAGTGAGAAGCTAGATGACCCGAGAGGCTTGCAGTTATGCCAGTGGCTAAGGGCAGCAGAGATTGAAGACTTGTAGAGGTTAATGGGTCCGAATGTTTCAGGCAGCTGTAGGTTAGAGCCCTAGGTGGTGGCAGAGGCCTGATGGTACAAGGAGACTGGGCTTTTCCTATCTTCCTGAAATACATTTCATCATTCTATTATTGTTACCAGAGTTTAGAAAACCAGATGCTGTTCTTATGTCCCACCCAAGTAGCAGTTGACAGTACTTCTTTAATCTTTTGTTTTGTAGTTGTCTTGGTTCTAAATCTTATCTTTCAGCTGATCCAAGCTCATTTAAATTTAGAATGGTCATTGGATGACAGATATGCTAATTAAAAGGAATTCTGGTCTTCCTTCCTACAGCAGCTCATAGTTTACACCTTTAAACACAGAATCTTTATCAACTTTATTTTGGCCTTTGTTCTTTTGTTCTCTGTGTTTCTAGCTCACAGATATGTGCTGATTGTTCTAATTTAAGTGTATGGCTCTCCTCTTACTTGGGAATTGAGAACAAAGGGGCTACAGAATCTCTAGGCTTTCTTGAGCGGTTGGACTAAATGTTACCTAAAAACAATTCTTGCATATCATTTAAAACCCTTGTACCCACAGGCATTATGGCATAGTGGGAATTGTTTGGAATTATTTAGTTGTGTTTGAATCTCTAGTCTCTACTTATTACTGACCTACTTTTTTTGCCTTTCTTATCTTATCTGTAAAAAGTTAACTTTTTAATACTGTACAGTAGTATTTGTAGCTTCTCTGTAGAAAGTATAAAGTAGTACTTGTCTCTTAGAGTTGGTATTAGGATTAGAGGGAACATAGGAAAGTATCTAGTGTAATGTCTGGTACCTGGTAGCAGCCATTATAATCTAGTCCTCTGTGGTTGCTGTCTGAATTTTGTCTTAGATATTTCTGTTATAGCCTCTGAAATTTTTCTCTTCACGTTGGAGTCCTGAAATATTGCTATTTCATGCTGTCCCTTGTTTTATGTTTGAGTACATCAATTTTCAACCCAGGATATTAAAATCAATTAACATATATTCTGTGTTTCATCTGTTCGTCTTTCCCATTGATTCAATACAAGAGGGTGGTGGGCAGTCTGTATTTAACTGTTTTTCATGTGTTGGATACAGAGACATTGCTACCATACAGCTAACATGGTAGAACTACATATGGCCTCTGGACTACTTGACAGGAAGTGATTGAACACTGTGATGTATTTGCTGCTCCTGGATATGGCAGCAGATTTTTCCTACTTGCCTTGGTATCTTTTGTAGCTCTTGCTGTTTTACCTGTCCTAATTTACTCATGAGCAGAAACTCATACTTGTTAGCTTCAGTGGTATAATTTTTTACCCCTTTTTTTTTCTGCCATGTTCTTTCACTCATCACCCTTCTGATTTTGATTCCCTTTCTGCTCTGTAATTTTTTTCTTCTTCCCTTTTTAGGGCCTAGTCTGTTTAGAAATTCTGGTTTTTGAGAGTAGTGAGCCCTTTTACTTTTTTCTGACTGCCTAATTTTCACTGATAGTGAATATGAACCACCAGGATGATAAAGTATACATAACTCACACCCATTCAGTCACTAGGACAATCATGTTTGAAATTAAGATACTTGGAGAGCATATGTATGTATGTAGCTATTAGGGATTTTGTCTCTGTAGTATAATATGTGTACAAGTGGTAAAAATAAAAGAAATATATTCTGAAACATACCAGTCTTTATAATGAAGTTGTTATTCTCTATCTTTACAGGGATTTGTGGAACTGACTATATTTCCCACAGTTGCAAACTTGAATAGAATCAAGTTGAACAGCAAACAGTGTAGAATATACCGAGTAAGGATCAATGATTTAGAGGCTGCTTTTATTTATAATGACCCAACCTTGGAAGTTTGTCACAGTGAATCAAAACAGTAAGTTATGCACTTTAAAAGTCACTATTTTTAACAGTTTTGAAAAAATGTTTTTAATGATTGGATTAGTTTTTCTCAAAGTATTTTTTTTTTGGATCGTTAATGGGCTTTGAATCCCAATCTTTATCTGTTTTACCACTCTGTACATTTGGTTCAAGTGATTTTGCTAGCTGTGCCCAACGTAGTTACTAAGTTTCCCTTCTTCATGTTAAAACTTTAAGGAAGTGTTATCTGGGAACTTTAATTAGATTTTCTTAGTCATTTTTTTTACTTTCAGTGTTTTTCTTAATTATTTACTTCATAAATTTTGAAAGTAATTTTCAGTGGGTTAGATGGTCACTGTAATCTGTAGACCAGAGGCTACTTTAAAATATTCTATAAAAAAGTTTTAGAAAGTAGATAATGAAATTGACTGCATTAAACTATCTTATAAACATATTAGGTCTAAAGTAGCTCGTTTCTTCACCTTAGATAAATACTACATCTATTGAGGCTACTTCTGATTTTTATCATTAAACATATATTGCTGTTATCAGTTTTATGTTCTACTTCTATTTCATACTTTGTTTCCATTTTCTGTGTGTGTGTGTGTGTGTGTGTGTGTGTGTGTGTGGACTTCATTTTTTTGTCATCTTTGTGGTTAAATAATACTCCATTTGCTCAGTGTAGTATAGTTTGTATAATTATTCTCCAGTTTTTTGGCATTTTGCAGTCATAAGTAGTGAGTGAATGTTTTGTCACATACAAATTTTTTTCCCTTTGATTATTTTACTTTTCATTTCTAATGGCTGTTTTCAGTATTTTACCTGATTGTGCCCTAGTGTTTAAATGTCTACTACTTTAAATACTATCAAGTACAGTTGAGGGCACTTGCTTTTTCAAAGCTTTGATAACATTGGGTTATATCATTTCTGTGATTCTTTGTGTTTTGGGGTAGGATGCCAAAACTTTATCATAAACTTTTTAGTCAAGATGATGTTTTAACTAGTCTAGAGGTATAATGCCTTAAGGCAGCAGTTCTTAAAGTGTGATTCCCAGACAAGCATCAGCATCAACTGGGAACTTGTTCTACAGGCCAGTTCTCAATCAATACCCCAGACCCACTGAATCAGAAATTGTGGGTAGGCTCCTACAGTTTGTGTTTTAAGAAGCTTGCCAGGTGATTCTGATACAGACCGAAGCTTGAGAACCACTGCCATAAGCAATTGCAAAGTTTTAGAAGGGAGGCTTATTTTTAGACATATTTATGGTCCCAATAATCATTGGTTTAAAATCTTTCACATTTAGAGAGGAGATACACAAATGGGATTGGAAAAATTCAGGGAACCCTGATTTACTCCTGTAACTTTCCATTTCACAAAGGTGAGTTGTTGAAATTACATTGCTTTTAAAGCCACATTTGTAGAACTGACATAAAAAGACTTATTACAAAATTATCTGCATCCCTTTCCCCCCAGAAAACAAAAACAAAAACTTCTACCTTTGGGGAAGTTAGTATACACTAATAAATGGAAAGGTCACCTGATAAAGAGCAGATAGAGGACCCATTACCTTGCCAGAAGGCCAAAATATCCACCCTATCCAGCCTAGAACTCTGCATTTGATAATAGGGTAAGATGCCTGTTTGTCAGTCACAAAAGACAGTGTCTGTACATCTTTTTTACTAATAATTTGTTGTTGCTGCCCAGGTCTCAGGATAATCTGTTAAGTGTAATGACAGGGATCCTGGTCTGTTAAGGAAGCAAGCTTTACTTTGCTCTTTTTATTTTGATAATATTCCCTAAAATTTTTCTCTAGTAATAATGGAAGATGCCTCATTACTTTTAGTGTTCTAAATCAGCAGTTTCTTGGAAGACAGTTTTTCCACGGACCAGGGGGGCAGAGGGGGTTTTGGATGAAACTTCCACCTCAGATCATCAGGCATTAGATTCTCATAAGTAGTGTGCGACCTAGATCTCTTGCATGCGCAGTTCACAATAGAGTTTGGGCTCCTATGAGAATCTAGTGCTGCTGGTGATCTGACAGGAGGCAAAGCTCAGAAGGTAATGCTTGCTCACCCGCTACTCACCTCCTGCTGTGTGGCCTGGTTCCTAACAGGCCACAGACCTGTATATATATTATATTTATAATACAAAGAATGAAAAGGAAGTTATAAAAGAGAATCTTTTCAAAGGTTAGGCTAGGAAATTGGGAAAGATGGAATGTATTTAAAGTTTTTCATTCAACTAGAACCATAGCTCTGTTGGCCATGGCCACTTAGTAAATGCTTGACTAATAATTGTCTACTATGCTTGACTATCCCTGCTTTTTTGCTTAGCTTTAGAATCTTGATTACTCTTTAAGAGAGGTGATTTTCAATATTTTTGCTTCTGTTTATCCTCTGAATTATTCAAAAAGAATTTGAAATTTATTTTAGAGTTTTATTAGACGAAAGTTTTAGAAAGTAGCTAATGAAATTCGCATGAAGGATAAACAAGTATAGGATGGTGGATACTTACTATTAAGTTACTGCACAATTCCTAGAGGAAAACTGTAGATTTGTGTCTTATATTTCTGATTGCCATAGCAAAGAGGGTTTTTAAGATTCATAAGACATGACAAAAACACACCAATTATTCAGAAGAAATATTATGTTTATTGGCAGTTAGATATGAAAAAGACAAGTGAAAGATGTTATTTTTAAAGAGAACTTTGGGAAAGGCAGATAGCTAAGGCCTTTAGCATGCTCCTAGATGCTTCTGTTACTTATTTCTAAAATAACTTTCTTTCTTTAATGAACCAATAAAGCTAAAACAGAAATTAAATATAGCAGTTTTGAAATTAAAAGTGAAACATCAAATTCCGTGGTAAATTTGATTTTACCATTGATTTTACATACAAGTATGTCTTAACACTGAAAGAAATAATATTTAATCACATTTTCTTATTATTTGTTTTAAAGTTAAGGTGCCATGCCCTCCCTATTTTTGATTGAAAGAGTGTGCTTACAGGCCTGGTGCGGTGGCTCATGCCTGTAATCCCAGCACTCTGGGAGGCCGAGGCGGGCAGATCATGAGGTCAGGAGATCGAGACTATCCTGGCTAACACAGTGAAACCCCATCTCTACTAAAAAAAAAAAATACAAAAAATTAGCCGGGTGTAGTAGTGGGTGCCTGTAGTCCCAGCTACTTGGGAGGCTGAGGCAGGAGAATGGCGTGAACCTGGGAGGCGGAGCTTGCAGTGAGCCGAGATCGCGCCACTGCACTCCAGCCTGGGCGACAAAGTAAGACTCCGTCTCAAAAAAAAAAAAAAAAAAGAAAGAGTGTGCTTACAGTGGTTGAGATTCCTTTGAACTGTAGAGGAATATAAGGAAAAGAAACACTTGGATAAGAGGCTGAAAGGCATTTCTATCTATTTTATCCAACTGTTAGCTGACATGTTACATTACATATACTAACAATTTAAAAACATATTGGTTATGTAACGTGTATAAGCAGCTGTCTTTTTGCTTTACTATTTGTCAATAAAATAATTCAGCACTTGAAGTTTTTCGACATATATTTTGTGTGTGAATCTTATGGATTGTAGATAGATTGTAGATTGTCTCCACAGGAGCTACACTTTGGTGTTTTTGTTTTTGCTGTACTTCTCTTTTCTTAGAAAAAGTTAAATGTAGACTTTGTCAGAGAAACTGTCTCTGTGGATGGGTAACCTAGCTTTTTTTCCTCTTTGTTTTGTTCCTAGATAGGCTTTGCCTCTTTTTCTTTTCTTTTTTTTTTAAGACCAAGTCTCGGCCGGGTGCAGTGGCTCACGCCTTTAAATCCCAGCACTTTGGGAGGCCAAGGTGGGTGGATCACGAGGTCAGGGGATCGAGACCATCCTGGCTAACACGGTGAAATCCCGTCTCTACTAAAAATACAAAAAATTAGCCAGGTGTGGTGGCAGGCGCCTGTAGTCCCAGCTACTCTGGAGGCTGAGGCAGGAGAATGGCGTGAATCCAGGAGGTGGAGCTTGCAGTGAGCAGAGATCCAGCCACTGCCCTCCAGCCTGGGCGACAGAGTGAGACTCCCTCTCAAAAAAAAAAAAAGACCAAGTCCCGCTCTGTCATCCAGGCTGGAGTGCAATGGTGCAATCTCTGATCACTGCAACCTCCGCCTCCCAGGTTCAAGTGATCCTCCTGCCTCACCCTCCCGAGTAGCTGGGATTACAGGCATGCGCCACCACACCTGGCTAATTTTTGTATTTTTAGTAGAGACAGGGTTTCACCATATTGGTCAGGTTAGTCTCGAACTCATGACCTTGTGATCATGAGTTCGAGATCATGCCTTGTAATCATGAGTTCGAGATCATGCCTGCCTCGGCCTCCCAAAGTTCTGGGATTACAGGCGTGAGCCACTGCACCTGGCCAGGCTTTGCCACTTTGAGAAGCCCCCCACCCCGCCCCACTTTTTTTTTTTAAAGACAGAGTCCTGCTCTGGCGCCCAGGCTGGAGTGCAGTGACACGATCTTGGCTCACTGCAACCTCCACCTCCTGGGTTCAAGCGATTCTCCTGTCTCAGCTTCCCTAGTAGCTGGGACTACAGGCACGCACCACCACACCCGGCTAATTTTTTTTTTTTTTTTTTTTTTGTATTTTTGGTAGAGACAGGGTTTCACCACATTGGCCCAGCTGGTCTCGAACTCCTGACCTCGTGATCCGCCTGTCTCAGCCTCCCAGAGTGCTGGGATTACAGGCATGAGCCACCACATCCAGCCGAGAAGCCCTTTTTTATTTTACTTGAAATGTCCCAACTTTTCAGTGTCAAAAATGAGTTTAATTTCCACCAAGGAGGGGCAGCAGAAATGAAATTATCTATTTTAGTATATAAATGAAGTAGTTATCCAGTTATAATGATTTTTTTAAATTGCTGTGGTTTTTTTTTTAAGATTTTGTAGATTCTATATTTTAATGCAGACTTCTACATGGAGTTTAAAATTATTTCATTAATGTCACATAATAGAAATTGGTAATTCCCTTATTGATTATGGTTAAGTAATAGCAATAGTTTAACTGAGCTACAATGCTGCACTGCCAGTTGGTTTATTAGTATTAGAATTAAGTTATCTTAGAGTTGGAGGGACATTAGAGTTCATTTAGTTTAAACTTCAACATGAAGCCTTACTATTTCATCTTCTACTTGAATACTTCCAGTTCGGCAGGGCTCATAATATGTTTTTCTTAATTTTTTTATTTTTATATTTTTAAAGACAGAGCCTTGCTCTGTCACCCAGGCTGGAATGCAGTGGTGTAATCATAGCTTACTGCAGCCTTGAACTTCTGCACTGAAGCCATCATCTACCTTAGCTTCTCGAGTAGCTGGAACAATATGTGCATGCCACCACGTTCGGTTAATTAATTAATTTTTTATTTTTTACTGGATGCATGGTCTCACTATGTTGCCTAAACTGGTTTTGAACTCCTGGCCTCAAGTGGTCCTTCTGCCTTGGTCTCCCAAAGTGCTGCAATTACAGGCATAAGCCACCATGCTTGGTCCTCATTATATTTTAACACACCCCTTTCATTATTTCTAAATGCTGGAAAGTTCTTTATTACATTGAGCTACAGTTCATTTTGCCTTAATAGTCACAAACTTAATCCTAATTAAATACATACCTTTCCCCTAAGTTTTCTTATCTTCAGGCTACAGAATTATTGAGATTACTCTCAACCATTCCTCATGTTAGAAACTCTTTCTCAATTTATTTCCATCCTCTTTGTCCTTCTCTGGATAATCTCAGATTTGATACTGTGTTTTCTTAAATGTGGTAATCCCGGAACTCTAGATATGGTTCTTCCTATTTGGACTAATCAGTATATACATTCCAGTAGATCCATTTTGTCCTTTATCTAGATACAGTATTTCTAGTAGCTTGAAACTCATTTGCCTTTTAAAAGTTGTTTTAGGATTAAAAATCACAAACCAAATATCCACTGTCCTCAAGAGAATCACCTAACACCCATAAGGATTCTTGTAGACTCATGGTAAAGGGGTAGCTATTGTTTTATATCAGATAGCAGGAGTAGCTATTCTTTTATATCAGATAAAACACATTAAAGCAACATGAATAGGCATTTGTTAAAAGAAGATATACAAATAGTCAACACATATAAAGAAATTCTCAACATCACTAATGATCAGGGAAATACAAATTAAAACCACGATGACATACACCTTATCCCAGCCAGAATGGCCATTATGAAAAAGTAAAAACAAAACAAAAAAAACAGATGTTGGCGTGGATATGGTAAAAAGGGAATTGCTTATACACTGCTGGTGAGAATGTAAATTAGTACAAGCTGTGTGGAAAACAGTATGGAGAGTTCAAGTAGATCTACCACTTTATCTGGCGTTCTCACTACTGGCTATCTATTAAAAGGAAAATAAGTCCCTATGTCAAAAAAGACACCTACATGTCTATGTTTATTGCAGCACAATTCACAATTGCAAAGATATGGAACCAGCCTAAGTCCACATTTAACTGATGAGTGGATAAAGGAAATGGTGTGTATGTGTGGTGTATGTATACATGTGTGTATATACACACACACATACACCATATATACACACATATATACACACACACACACACACACACACACACACACACCATGGAATACTACTCAGCCATAAAAAAATAATGAAATGTCTTTTGTAGCAACGTGGCTGGAACTGGAGGCCAGTATTCTGAGTGAAGTAACTCGGAAATGGAAAACCAAATACCATATGTTCTCATTTTTTATTTGTATGTTGAAATCTAAACCATCAGATTATTCGAGACTAAGCTATGGGTATGTGAAGACATACAGAGTGATAGAAGTCTGGATATTGGAGACTCAGAAGCGGGGAGGAGGGAGAGATTTAAAAAATGACATATTGGGTGCAATGTACACTACTTGGGCAACAGATACACTAAAATCTCAGACATTCCTATTGTAAAATTCATCTATGTAACCAAAAACCACTTGTACACAAAAAGCTATTGAAATTAAAAAAAAAAAAATGAGGCAGCAATCACATTCGGCTCCCTGTCTTGAGCTATCTATTAATGCCTTGAAACTGCCTGTTATGGCCCAGGTAGTTAGTTAACCTAACAAGGTCACATAGGATGCTATAACTCACACCCTATAGCTTAAAAATATATAGCCAATCACTAATCAATGTTATTTCTTTAAACCAGTGAGAATCCCTGACAGACAGTTTTGTGTCAAACCACTTCCTGTCCCTCTTTTTTGTCTTTAAAAACTTGCGTGCAACAAAGTTTAAATGGAGGCCATATCCAAGGTTACTTGGGTGAGTCTTCTGAGCAGCTGTTGTCACTTTGGCTCATGTAAACGCTCTAAATTTAAAAAAAAACAAAAAAGTTGCATTTGTAGTTGGATCAAATTTGAGCTTGTAAGCAGTGAAACCCCTAGGCTTTTTCATAGGAAAACCTGTTAAGGTAGATTTTTCACTCAGCAGCCTTATGTCATGGTTCCAGGTTAAATTTTGTTTTGGTTATTTTTTTTTTTTTTTTTTTTTTTGAGACGGAGTCTCACTCTTTCGCCCAAGCTGGACTGCAGTGGCGCTATCCCGGCTCACTGCAAGCTCCGCCTCTTGGGTTCATGCCATTCTCCTGCCTCAGCCTCCCGAGTAGCTGGGATTACAGGCGCCCACCACCACGCCCGGCTAATTTTTTGTATTTTTAGTAGAGACGGGGTTTCACCGTGTTAGCCAGGATGGTCTCGATCTCCTGACCTCGTGATCTGCCCGCCTCGGCCTCCCAAAGTGCTGGGATTACAGGCGTGAGCCACCGTGCCCGGCCTGTTTTGGTTATTTTTAGAGTCATCCTTGTTCATTGTGGTTTTGGCTTATTACTTTAATTTTTCAGTTTGTGAAAATTTATCGAGCTGTTTACTAGGGCGTGTGTAGCTTTCTGATTTACTTCCATAAAAGTTTACTTCCATAAAAGTTTACTTCTATAAAAAATTTTTTAAATAGAGGGAAAGTTTACAAATAATTGAAACTGAAGTTTTATAAAATCTGCATCTATAGTTTTAAGAGGCAGATGTTCTTTATTTGACAAATGATTATCATATTAATTCAATATGGATATTTAAAATTCTTAGAGAAAATTATATCTATTCCCTTAATTTACTAATTTTTCAATATCTCTCTATAGCATTTCTTCTCTTTAAGTTGCATTTCTGTAAGGAGGATTGGGAGATGGGGATGGTAGAGGTTATAGGGCAAGGACATTAAATATTTTGTAGTCATTATTATTCTGAAAATTGAAAACACATTATAATTTTACACTGTAATTTTTGACTTCTATGAGGTTATTATGAAAGAAAACATTTGATTTGTGTATTGAAATCTAAACCATCAGATTATTTGAGACTGGCTTCCCAGTTGATTGCATTTATAATGACTCACTCATTTTATTTGGACCACTTCACCTTTTCTCAGGAAATGAGAAGATTAAATGAAAATAATTTCCCATAAAAAAACTAATTAATATGTAATGTTTAAATCTGGCTTTCTTTTTGTACAATAGTTATTTTATTTTTGCATTTCCCTGATAACTTGGGGTGGAATACAAGTTTTGCAATCATCAAATTTTATGTTTTTGAAATTTTATTGAAAATAAATTATACTCTATAGATAAAATAGTCCTTAAAATTAGATGGTGTGTTAAGTAAGTGCTGACAAGGATTTGGAGCAACTGGCACTTTCAGATCTTGCTGATGGCAATGCAGAATGGTACAACTCTTCTGAAACAGTTTTGTAGATTTTTAGAAAGTTAAATGTGTTTACCATATGACTCTAGTCCCACTGTTAGGTATTTGTACTACAGAGATGAAGCTTATATTCACACAAAAATCTGTACACAAATGTTCATAACAGTTTTATTTCACACTTCCAAAGCTGAAAATAACCTAAATGCCCTTCAGCTGGTCAATGGATCAACAAACTGGTACAGTCTATACAATATAATACCACTCAATGGCAAAAGGATCAAATTATTAATATATGTAACAACTTGGATGAATTTCAAAAACCTAGTGACACAAGCCAGTCTCAAAAGGTAGCATTCTATGTGATTCCATTTATTTAACACAAAGGATAGCATAAGGGACTTTTTGGGGATGATAGAACTGTTCTATATCCTACTTTTGGTGGTTAACTGAATCTGTACATATGTTAAAATTTGTACAACTGTACACCCCCAAAAAAGTGGTTTTTTTAATTGTATGATAATTTAAAAAAACACAGGCATACCTCCTTTATTGTGCTTTGCTCTGTTGCTCTGTTGTGCCTCGCAGATACTGTTTTTTTTTTTTTTTTTTTACAAATTGAAGGTTTGTGATAACCTTACATCAAGAAAGTTTATCAGTGCCATTTTTCCAACAACACATGCACATTTCATGTCTCTATGTCACATTTTTGTAATTCTTGCAATATTTCAAACTTTTTCATTATTATATCTGTTAAGGTAATCTGTGATCAGAGATCTTTGATATTACAATTGTAATTGTTTTGGGGACGCCACAGATGGCATGCATATAAGATGGTAAACTTAAATGATAAACATTGTGTGTGTTCTGACTACTCTGTGGACCAGCTGTTCCCTGTCTCTGTCCCCTTCCTCGGGCCTCCCTGTTTGCTGAGACACACAATATTGAAATTAGGTCAATTAATAACCCTACAATGGCCTCTGAGCATGCAAGTGAAAGGAAGAGTCTCATATCTCACACTTTAAACCAAAAGCTATAGAAATGGTTAAGCTTAGGGAGGAAGGCCAAAAGCTAGACCTCTTGGCCCCAGTTAGCTAAGTTGTGACTGCAAAGGAAAAGTTCTTGAAGGAAATTAAAAGTACTGCTCCAGTGAATACACAAATGATAAGAAAATGAAACAGTCTTATTGCTGATGTGGAGTAGGTTTTAAAGATCTGGATAGAAAATCAAACCAGCCACACCATCCCTTAAGGCCAAGCCTAATCCAGAGCAAGGCTTAACTCTCTTCAGTTCTGTGAATGCTGAGAGGTGAGGAAGCTGCAGAAGAACATTTTGAAGCTAAGAGAGGCTGGTTCATGAGGTTTAAGAAAAGAAACTTTGTCTGTAACATGAAAGTGCAAGGTGAAGCAACAAGTGCTGATGTAGAAGCTGCAGCAAGTTATCCAGAAGATTTAGCTAAGGTTTTTGATGAAGGTTGCTACACTAAGCAACAGATTTTCAATGTAGATGAAACAGCCTTCTACTAGAAGAAGATGCTATCTGGAACTTTCCCAGCTAAAAAGAAGTCAGTGCCTGGCTTCAAAGGACGGGCTGACTCTTTTATTAGGGGCTAATGCAGCTGGGAACTTTAAGTTAAAGCCAGTGCTCATTTACCATTCCAAAAATCCTATGGCCCTTAACAATTATGCTAAATCTATTCTTCCTGTTCTCTGTAAATGAAGCAACAGAGCCTGGATGACAACAGGTGTTCACAGTATGGCTTACTGAATTGAATATTTTAAGCCCACTGTTGAGATTACTGGTCAGAAGAAGAGTCCTTTCAATATGGTACTGCTTATTGACAAGACACCTGGTTACCCAAGAGCTCTGATGGAGATGTACTAGGAGATTAATACTGTTTTTATGTGTGCTAACATAACATCTATTCTGCAGCCTATGGATTAAAGAGTAATTTCTACTTTCAAGTCTTATTATTTAAGAAATGCATTTCATAAGGCGATAGTTGCCATAGATAGTGATTCCTCTGAGGGATCTGGACAAAGTCAGTTGAAACCCTGAAAAGGATTCACCATTCTGGATGCCATTAAGGACATTCATGATTTAGGGAGGAGGTCAAAACATCAACATGAACAAGGGTTTGGAAGAAGTTGATTCCAAACCTCATGGATGACTTTGAGGGGTTTAGAGAAGGAAGTAACTGCAGTTGTGGTAGAAATAGCAATGAAACTAGAATTAGAAGTGGAGCCTAAAGGTAAGACTGAATTGCTGCAGTCTCATGATACAACTTTAATGGACGGAGGAGTTGCTGCTTATGGATGAGCAAAGAAAGTGGTTTCTTGAGATGGGATCTACTGGTGAAGATGCTCTGAATGTTTTTGGAATGTCAGTGTTCATTGTCAACAATGTTTATTTAACAGAAAGAAATTATTAAAATATATTGAGAAGTCTTTTCACTTCCAGAACTCTGTGCTTTGTAGTTGTTACCTTGAATAGTTGTTAAAGCCATAGTTATATTATATCCTTCCTAACTGGTAGAGAGATTGATGAAGATGGAGAGGGAATGGCCTCTGTCAAGTTAAGAGTCTGTAGCCTTAATGTTTCTTTAATGGCTTTTCTCATTTTATTTTTCCTTTAATTATTCCGTAGAATATGTGGAACTTGTCTTTTTATTTTTATTTTTTAATTTTTTTGAGAAAAAGTCTCACTCTGTTGCCCAGGTTGGAGTGCAGTGGTGCAATCTCAGCTCACTGCAACTTCCGCCTCCCAGGCTCAAGTGATTCTCGTGCCTCAGCCTCCCGAGTAGCTGGAATTACAGGCATGCACCACCACGCCTGGCTAATTTTTGTGTTTTTAGTAGAGAGGGTTTCGCCATATTGGCCAGGCTGGACTTGAACTCCTGGTCTCAGGTGATCCACCACCTTGGACTCCCAAAGTGCTGGGATTACAGGCATGAGCCACCGTGTCCAGCTAAAACTTGTCTTTTAACTAGATGAAAAAAGTATTAAGTTATAGGAATGTCACTAATTTCACCTTGTGGCTACACCTAACGGCAGGATGGCAGACATAAAGGTGTACAACGAGGATGTGGTCCATGGTGTTTGTGTATTTCATCTTGTATTCTTGCCCTTCCCATTCCGTATCTTTTTCCTGTCTTTCATTTCTTTCGTATTTTTTTAAACTAATTTCAGTGAGGAAATGTAATATGTGTATATGTACACATATAAGTTGCTTTTATGGAGTACAATTTAAAAACCAGTTGAGAACAACATTTTCACGTTTCTGTAAGACTTCATCGTATTGTTTTCATCAAATGGGAAATAAGGTCAGATAACTATGGAACAAATATTTATGTAGTAGTCTCTCCTGACATAGTGAATATAACGGTGAGCCTGCTGAAAATTCTCTGCTTCATTAAGCTTACATTATGATGCACTAATGGGTGGAGGTAGGTGCTATTACATTTTGAGGAACTGAGTCCCATCCTGATTTGTTTTAAACATCTTAATTTTTGTCAAATTATAAAGCTTGTTGAATCCATTCAATTTTTTGCCACATTGATAGGGAATAATTATTTATTCAGTGCTTCACGTATTCTTTACATTTGTATCAAAAAAGGATAGTGGCTTTGGCATTCCAAAATTAATGAAGAATGTGATAGTCATAATAATAGTCATGTAACTTGGTGAGTAGAATATATATTCTGTTGTATTCATAGATTAATAGTTTTTAACATGGTGAGTAGAGCAAACCATTACTTGGCTAAAGAGTGTTCTTAGAAATTATATAAGAAGATAAAATGCTTACAAATAATTGGTATCAAATGATATTTAAGAAAATGCTCAGAGGCCAGGCATGGTGGCTCATGCCTGTAATCCCAGCACTTTGGGAGGCCAAGGTGAATGGATCACTAGAGGTTAGGAGTTCGAGACCAGCCTGACCAACATGGTGAAACACCATCTCTACTAAAAATATAAAAATTAGCTGGTTGTGGTGGTGGGTGCCTGTAATCCTAGCTACTCGGGAGGCTGAGGGATGAGAATGCTTGAACCTGGAGGTGGAGGTTGCAGTGAGTTGAGATGGTGCCACTGACCTCTGGCCTGGGCAACAGAGTGAGACTTCATCTAAAAAAAAAAAAAAAAAAAGAAAGAAAGAAAAATGCTTGGTAAGATACATGGCTTATTATTAAAAGTTGGCTCTTTTTTTTCCCCAGGAGAAACCTCAATTATTTTTCCAATGCTTATGCAGCTGCAGTTAGTGCTGTGGACCCTGATGCAGGAAATGGAGAACTTTGCATTAAGGTTCCATCAGAGCTATGGAAACACGTTGATGGTAAAGCACCAAGAGTATATTGACTGTACACTAAAATCACGTTAGATTCAGACACTAGAGAATTTTACATGAGAACTAATGATGCAGGCACTGTGCCTCATGCCTGTAATCCCAGCACTTTGGGAGGCTGAGGCGGGTGGATCACCTAAGATCAGGAGTTCAAGACCAGCCTGGCCAACATGGCGAAACCCCATCTCTACTAAAAATACAAAAATTATCCAGGCTTGGTGGGCGCATGTAATCCCAGCTACTCAGGAGGCTGAGGCAGGAGAATTGCTTGAACCCAGGAGGTGGAGATTGCAGTGAGCTGAGATCGCACCCCTGCACTCCAACCTGTGCAACAGAGTGAGACTCCGTCTTAAAAAAAAAAAAAGAAAAACAAAAACAAAACGAAAGAACATTAACGATGTCAAAATTGTAAATTAACCAGTTGAAATATATAGAATGGGTTGGAAGCTCTTTTTCTTATTAAGGATCACTGGCTAACAGGATGATACCATTTCAGGGCTGTGAAAAAAGCAATTTATTTCACCGTTGTTTTTTAAAGCTAAAAAAAAAATTTTTTTTTGTTTTTTTTGAGACGGAGTTTCGCTCTTGTTGCCCAGGGTGGAGTGCAATGGCGCAATCTTGGCTCACTGCAACCTCTGCCTCCCGAGTTCAAGGAATTCTTCTGCCGCAGCCACCGAGTAGCTAGGATTCCAGTCTCCTGCCACCACGCCTGGCTGATTTTTGTATTTTTAGTAGAGACAGGGTTTCATCATGTTGGCCAGGCTGCTCTCGAACTCCTGACCTCAGGTGATCCACCCTCCTTGGCCTCCCAAAGTGCTGGGATTACAGGCGTGAGCCACTGCGCCTGGCCATGAAAAATATTTTTAAAAAATCATATAGGTAGAACCTGCACAATATCAAATTAGTTTAGAATTGTAGCATTTTGTAGCAGGAAAGATCCTGAAAAAATCTGGTTAAATTCCTTCTTTTTACAGAAGAGTAATCTGAAGTCTAATGAGAGTGAGTGACCTGCTGAACTTCACTTAGCAAATTATTGGTGAAGTTAAAGCTAAAACACATGGTTCCTGATACTCAGTCTGCAGACTTTTTAAACCTTCTTTGTGTCTTGTATAAAGTTTTAGCCATTGTAATATTGTATATTAGCTTCTGCCTTGCTTATTTAGCCTTATAAAAATTAATCAAGGAAGTAAAAGAGTCCTTGTTTTGTTTATTGGTTTCCGTTGTGGGTGCTGGGGACGGGGTAGGGTTTGTGGAGGAACTTACCCTAATTTAGGGGACAGACGTGGAAGTCGTCATTGCATTTTTAGGGTTTGGAGATAGTGCATATGATTGTAATTCTTGGAGGGAAATTAAAATCTTATGAAAGCAACACAGTTTATAGTGAAGAAATCAAGCATAACAAAAAACGTGATAATAATGCAAATTCTCCGGTGGTGTTCCCTACTCTACCTCTCATCCTTGTACTCCCCAAAGTCACCCAGGGTTAAGTTTGTGGGATAATATAATAAGAGAAAGAACTTGAAAAGTAAGTGTATTAGTCCGTTTTCATGCTGCTGATAAAGACATACCTGAGACTAGGAAGAAAAAGAGGTTTAATGAACTTATAGTTTGACATGGCTGGGGAGACCTCACAATCTTGGCAGAAGGCAAGGAAGAGCAAGTCATGTCTTATGCAGATGGCTGCCAGCAAAAAGAGAGAGAGAGAGCTTGTGCAGGGCAACTCCCATTTTGAAAACCATCAGATCTTGTGACACTTATTCACTATCACAAGAACAGCAAGGGAAAGACTTGCCCCTGTGATTCAGTTACCTCCTACCAGGTCCCTCCCATACCACATGGGAGTTATGGGCGCTGCAAGATGAGATTTGGGTGGGGACACAGAGCCAAACTATATCAGTAAGTTTGGGGTTGGATTTGGAAGGCCTAAGTGTGCAGTGTGGGAGTTTTGGACTTTTTAGGCATTGTACATTGTCAGAAATGTTGAGAGGAGGATATGGCGTAACCAAAGGTGTATTTTGGGAAAATAATACAAGCAATAGTTATAATTGATTGGAGGTAGAAAACCAATAGGGGCAGCCTGTTGAGTTAATATAGGCAGACATATGGTAAAAGTCTAAACTAGGGTAAGTAGTGTGGTTTTTCATATAAATCTCAGTCCTCAATTCCATTTCATGTTCAGCATTAAATCTTTGTCTTTATTATATAGACCACTGTAACTTATGTATCAATGTGTGTATATGTTTATTTGTTGCAGAGTTAAAGGTCCTGAAGATACACATCAATTTTTCTTTGGATCAGCCCAAAGGAGGTCTTCATTTTGTGGTACCCAGTGTAGAGGGAAGTATGGCAGAGAGAGGTGCTCATGTTTTCTCTTGTGGGTATCAAAATTCTACAAGGTAGATTATAGATTCTTAAATATTTCAATTAATTTTTAAATTGCATTTTTTATGTATAAGCAAGACATACATTTGGTGTAAAACAAGAAATACTAGTTTTATTCCCTTCCAAATTTAGACTTCTTTCAAATTACTTTCTGTTAGTCATTCCTCTTAAAAAAAAATTTTTTTTTCTTTTTTTTTTTTCAGACAGTCTTGCTCTGTCACCCTTGTTGGAATACACTGGGGTGCTATCTCTGCTCACTGCAACCTGTGCCTCCTGGGTTCAAGTGATTCTCATGCCTCAGCCTCCCAAGTAGCTGGTATTACAGGCATTCACCACTACACCTGCCTAATTTTTTATATTTTTAGTACAGATGGGGTTTTACCATGTTGGCCAGAATGGCCTTTAATTCCTGACCTCAAGTGATCTGCCTGCCTCAGCCTCCCAAAGTACTGGGATTACAGGCATGAGCCACCATGCCCGACCCCTCCTCAATCTTACATCTCCCTTCTTCTCTCTCATTTTCATGTCTACTGTTCTAAAATAATCATCTCACTTGATTCCTTCTTTTTTAAAAACTTTATATTGAAGTAAAACATACATACAGAAAATTGCACAGAATGTAAAGCTCGATGAATTTTCACAAGTGAACAAGCCTACATAATTTACATCTAGAGACAAAGAATATTACAAGATTATAGAGACCTCCTCTCACCTGCTTTCATACTCTACTTCCCCACTCCACATTCTACTACTCAACTCTGCTTATTTATTTATTTTTTTTGAAACAGAGTCTCACTCTGTTGTCCAGGCTGGAGTGCAGTGGCATAATCTTGGCTCACTGCAATCCCCACCTCCTGGGTTCCAGTGATTCTCCTACCTATCCTCCTAAGTAGCTGGGACTACAGGCATGTGCCACCACACCTGGCTAATTATTTTATTTTTAGTAGAGATCAGGTTTCGTCATATCTTTAGTAGAGATAGCCTGTTGCACCAGCTGGAGTGCAGTGGCGCAATCTCGGCTCATGCAATCTCGGCTCATGCAACCTCCACCTTCCAGGTTCAAGTGATCCTCCTGCCTCAGCCTCTGGAGTAGCTGGGATTACAGGCAGATGCCACATGCCTGGCCAATTTTTGTATTATTAGTAGAGACAGGGTTTCACCATGTTGGCCAGGCTGGTTTCCAACTCCTGACCTCAGGTAATCCACCTGCCTCAGCCTCCCATAGTGCTGGGATTACAGGTGTCAGCCACTGCGCCCAGCCTGTCCTCAGATTATTATAATAACTTCTCTAAACCAGGGATAATGTCTTACACACTTTTGTGCTTCAATACTAAGTACCTACCCTGTCACGTAACACCTTACTGAACTGATGAAAGCTGACTATAAATTTTATATCTAACTTAACCAGCACTCAGTTTGAATTTATACAATACGTTACATACTCCAAAAAAGCAGTTTTATAATTTAATGGAATAAATTCTGAATGTTAGTTATGCTTTATAAAACTTTTTGCTGTGAGCCTTTTTTAGTTTCTAGAAATGAATGCTGCATAAAAACTGACTAATATGCGGATACAAGTTAAAATTATTTTTTAAAACACTGAAAGCTAAGAATTGCTTAACTCTTTTTAGGGTTTGAACTGATGGTACCACATAATATATTTTCTTAATATTGCCAAATAGTATTTGGAAACAGATTTTATTTTATCAGATTTTTTTCAGGTTGTACAGTAAAAAGCTTCAGTAGCCAAATAGCTAAAGGTTTTGTTTGTTCATTTTCTAGAAATGCTAAAATAACTTGCATGTGGGGAAAACAATGTAGAGAACTCTTTGAATACATTTTCTATACTGTCAATCTTTTTTCTAGATTTTGGTTCCCTTGTGTTGATTCATACTCTGAATTGTGTACATGGAAATTAGAATTTACAGTAGATGCTGCAATGGTTGCTGTTTCTAATGGCGATTTGGTGGAGACAGTGTATACTCATGATATGAGGAAGAAAACTTTCCATTATATGCTTACCATTCCTACAGCAGCGTCAAATATCTCCTTGGCCATTGGACCATTTGAAATACTGGTAGATCCATACATGCATGAGGTAAGTCAGAGCTTTCCTCTCTTACTCTCCTCCTGGCCCTTTACTGCTTTTAAAAAGATAGATATTGGCAAGGCACGGTGGCTCATGCCTGTAATCCCAGCACTTTGGGAGGCCAAGGTGGGCGGATCACAGGGTCAGGAGATCGAGACCATCCTGGCTAACACAGTAAAACCCTGTCATTACTAAAAATACAAAAAATTAGCCAGGCGTGGTGGTGGGCGCCTGTAGTCCCAGCTACTCGGGAGGCTGAGGCAGGAGAATGGCTTGAACCCAGGAGGCAGAGCTTGCAGTGAGCTGAGATTGTGCCACTGCACTCCAGCCTTGATGACAGAGCGACATCTCAAAAAAAAAAAAAAAAGGTAGATATTAATGAAATATTGTCTTCCTTCACTCTTTTTTCAACTATCAAGAATATGACTAGAGAGAAAATGTTTCCTTATCTAATATATATAATGATGTGAATTCTTGAATGAATTTCTTTCAAAATGTTGTATTTAAATTTCAGATTATTTTCCAACAGAGTCTTAGCATTTCAAAAGAGCTTCAGTTATATCTTGATTTAGCATATAGGTAGATTTCTGTAACTAATTTTGTTCATTACTAATGACATCTTTTCATTTATCATGTTTTTGAATGTTGTGGTCCCATCTCTGGAATCTAAAATATTGTAAATTCAAAATTAAAGAGCAAGATTTATTCTCTCTTCAACCTATACAGAGGAAAACAGACAGAGTTAGAAACCTGGTTAGCAAACTCATGAAGACTTCTAGTTTCTTCCCAGCACATATCTTATCACAATTCATTTATCAATTGACAGGCCAAATCACAGTTTTAGGCCTCCCCAAGCATGAGACTTCTGCTGATTAGAAAATGATTTATTAGTTGTTAACTCTCTTTTTTCGTCTTCAATTTAGGTTTATTTTTTAAAAAAGAAATACATAAGCATATAATTTGACCACGTATATCTCCACAGCATTTCTTTTAGTCATGTGAATAAAAATTGAGGGCAGCAGGCTTTCGGTGAGCTCCTCAGTTTGCCTTTTATATTTGCCTTGCTGAAATTCACAGGATTTGTAAAATCACTCGTGGAAAAGATTCAGGATATTTTGTGTTGGTTTTGCTTACGTTGTCTTAACAATGACTCTTTTTAAAGGTTTATCCACTGATAAGATTAGCAGTGAACTTTATTGTCTTTGGTAAATGATCAGCTTTAAACATGCTACCTGACTTCAAACTATACTACAAGGCTACAGTAACCAAAACAGCATGGTACTGGTACCAAAACAGAGATATAGACCAATGGAACAGAACAGAGGCCTCAGAAATAATACCACACATCTACAACCATCTGATCTTTGACAAACCTGATAAAAACAAGAAATGGGGAAAGGATTCCCTATTTAATAAATGGTGCTGGGAAAACTGGCTAGCCATATGTAGAAAGCTGAAACTGGATCCCTTCCTTACACCTTATACAAAAGTTAATTCAAGATGGATTAAAGACTTAAATGTTAGACCTAAAACTATAAAAACCCTAGAAGAAAACCTAGGCAATACCATTCGGGACATAGGCATGGGCAAGGACTTCTTATCTAAAACACCAAAAGCAATGGCAACAAAAGCCAAAATTGACAAATGGGATCTAATTAAACTAAAGAGTTTCTGCACAGCAAAAGAAACTACCATCAGAGTGAACAGGCAACCTACAGAATTGGAAAAATTTTTGCAATCTACTCATCTGACAAAGGGCTAATATGCAGAATCTACAAAGAAGTCAAATTTACAAGAAAAAAACAACCCCATCAAAAAATGGGCGAAGGATATGAACAGACACTTCTCAAAAGAAGACATTTATGCAGCCAACAGACACATGAAAAAATGCTCATCATCACTGGCCATCAGAGAAATGCAAATCAAAACCACAATGAGATACCATCTCACACCAGTTAGAATGGCGATCAGTAAAAAGTCAGGAAACAACAGGTGCTGGAGAGGATGTGGAGAAATAGGAACACTTTTACACTGTTGGTGGGACTGTAAACTAGTTCAACCATCGTGGAAGACAGTGTGGCAATTCCTCAAGGATCTAGAACTAGAAATACCATTTGACCCAGCCATCCCATTACTGGGTATATACCCAAAGGATTATAAATCATGCTGCTATAAAGACAGATGCACATGTGTGTTTATTGCAGCACTATTCACAATAGCAAAGACTTGGAACCAACCCAGTCCATCAGTGATAGGCTGGATTAAGAAAATGTGGCACATATGCATCATGGAATACTATGCAGCCATAAAAAAGGATGAGTTCATGTCCTTTGCAGGGACATGGATGAAGCTGGAAACCATTATTCTCAGCAAACTCGCAAGGACAAAAAACCAAACACCACATGTTCTCACTCATAGGTGGGAACTGAACAATGAGAACACTTGGACACAGGAAGGGGAACATCACACACCGGGGCCTGTCGTGGGGTGGGGGGATGGGGGAGGGATAGCATTAGGAGATATACCTAATATAAATGATGAGTTGATGGGTGCAGCACACCAACATGGCACATGTATACATATTTAACCTGCACATTGTACGCATGTACCGTAGAACTTAAAGTATAATAAAAAATGATAATATAAAAAAATTTTAAAAAATCAATGTTTGATTAGTACCGATTTTGTATTTAAGAAGAATTTTTTTTCTACTCTGAGCTATTGAATAGGAACAAGGCAAATGATAGTCAAGAATTGTTTTTCCTGACTTAGTCTTCTCTGTGTCAAATACATGACTTGTCTGCATTATCAGTAAATTTGCTGTCTTGTAGGATTTGTCTAAAAATTAGTCCTTTTTTTGGTGAATAGTATTTTTTATTTGCATACACAAATAAAATTATGATTAAATATGATTAATACAAACAGAGTGTTAATCATGATACAAATTTGGGCCCTGATTATTAGTAATACATAGATGCTTTTCTCCACTCTTATGGTAGCCTCTAATCTGTTCTTTTTAAATGCTATTAGAAGAATAATTTTTATGATAAAAATTTCCCTTGCCTTTATAATTCTGCAGTAATTAGAACTCTTTAGCATGGCTTTCAAGATCTTCTATAATTTGACCGTAATAGATGTTATATTCAAAATAGTTTACTTATATTTCTCTGATCATACCTTTTTTCTTCCCATCTTTGACCCTGGGACGTTCTCTTTTCCTGTACCAAAAGTTTCCTATCAAACTTCTGTTGAACTCAAAAAGATTACCACAGCTTCACACTCCTGCATGAAACCTTACACGGTTGTTCTAGTCAGTGACCTGTGTCATTGTTGATGGCACTCATTTGGCACAGATCATAATAAGAGATAGCATATGATATTTGTGTGACCAAAGTGAGATGTAACCTAATGAAAAAAAACAGAGTTACTATTTCTGTTGCAGGCATTTTTTAATCTCCTAACTACCAGTAAACTTTTCTGCAGTCTTTGGTGTGTAATTGAAATATTAGAGGGGGACTACAGTAATTATTTTTATATGCAGATAATATGATTAACATTAACTGTTGATAAGATAGTACTATAACGTGCATTATTCACTGGGTTAAATATTTATGAATAAGAGGTATGTTTATAATAAACCTTTGAAATTTAAGTCTTATTATGTGTACCTATGAGAAAAAATTTTAATTGAATTTGGAACTAGAGTTGTATTTTAGTTGGTCTGAGCATTCCACAGACTTATAATCCACCGTGAATTTAATTTTTAAGTAGTTAATATTTTATAAATGTGATCAGTAAAAGTGATCACTATTTTCACAACATTTTCTTTCAGCATCTTGAAATTATTAAAGAATAGATTTATGAGAACATTTATTTATAGTTGAGGTGTTTAGGAAATTTCCAATATTAAATTTAACTCTTTCATTTAGATGATCTTCCTTGCTTCTTCTTTTCAGGTTACTCATTTTTGTTTGCCCCAACTTCTTCCATTGCTGAAACATACCACATCATACCTTCATGAAGTCTTTGAATTTTATGAAGAAATTCTTACATGTCGTTACCCATACTCCTGTTTTAAGACTGTCTTCATTGATGAGGCTTATGTTGAAGTGGCTGCTTATGCTTCCATGAGCATTTTTAGGTTGGTATCTCTTCAGATTTGAAATGCCTAAATTAAGATCATGATATGAAGAAAATTTACTGATTTTGCGGTCAATTTTAAGACGAGCTTTGAACTTTTTTCCGCAATTTGGATGTGATTGGCTTTGTACAAAATTTGGTTTTAAAATTTTTTAAATGTAGAAAAACATGAAGACAAAGTTTTTGAGATAACTCAAAAGGCTCATCTTCATCCAGAATTAACTAATATTAGTATTTTCCCTGTTTTAGTCTTGTGTTCATAAATTCTTTAAAAATTGTACAAATTATTGTATGACTAGTATGAATTTTTTTCTAGCACTATTTAAAAATGTACTGATATTGTCAGAAATTTACTGATATCATCAGTGGAAAATGTGTTCTTTGCTTTAAGCAAGTTACTAAGATGATGAATTTTAGCTAAATTTTGAAAAGATTAGAAAGGTGGGAGAATTTTTTCTCTATTTAGCTTCCATTGTTTTAAAAGTGGAATTATTTTATTTTCACTGAATAAGTATTTATTTCTTGGTTATAATGAGCTTTCTTCTCTTTTAAATTCCAGCACAAATCTTTTACACAGTGCCATGATTATAGATGAGACACCTTTGACTAGAAGGTGTTTAGCCCAATCCTTGGCCCAGCAGTTTTTTGGTTGTTTCATATCTAGAATGTCTTGGTGAGTGACCTGAAAGTTCATACTACTGAGAAGAGAATCAAGTTTATTTTTCTTTTCTTTCTCTGCATTTAAGCTGACCTTTGCCCTAATTGCAGATAGCTAATTTAAGAGACACTGTTCTATATGTATTTAAAGAAAAATGATTATAAGTTTCATCCTAACTTTTTGGCCATGAAATCAATATAGTCACTTATATTTATTAGTTAATTAAATTAGCTAATTTAAAAGACACTGTTCTATATGTATTTAAAGAAAAATGATTATAAGTTTTATCCTAACTTTTTGGCCGTGAAATCAATATAATCACTTCTGCAGTTTATAAGGTAAGATTTTGGTAAAACAGTGTCTTAAAGAACTGAATGAATTCTATAAATAAAAGAACTTAAATGTACAGAAATCTGAAGTTAGAATTTTAATGTCAGTGTTCAAAGCAATTGGAAATAACTCAATATTTAATGTAAAATAGTACTCCTCTGCAATATTAATAATTATTTAGGGATTTGCCTACTAGTGCTCAGCTTTGTACCAGTTTGTTGAAAGAAATGAAAGGTATATATGCTTTTTCTTTTCTTTTTTATTAACTTGAGATTATTTTGAAGAAAACAGAAAAATTAAGATTATAATTGTGAACATTCTATACTATATATAGTATGGAAATGTTGGTTTTCTTTTTTCGCTTGCTGGAGTGGAGAGGAGAGGGCAGAGACTAAAGATAGATCTCTTGATTTGTAGTTTTCCTAAAATCACATGTAGAAGTTTCATTAAAGAATAGTGCTTGGAATGTAGTAGGCAAAATATTATGGATGGATGGATGGATGGAGTGGGTAGATGGATAGATGGATGAGTATACAAATGAATAAATGAGTGAGTGATGTTAATTGCCATTTTTCTAGAGAAAGCAAAAAAAAATGAATGAAGGAATTAAACTTTAGGTTTTAGAATATCATTGGTAATGGCATAATGCATGGGATTGGCAATAATAGCATGTAGACTTTTAGAATTGAACAGTATAGTCCTGGCTATGAGCAAGTATTTCCTTAGAGGCAGAGACAGTAAGAACAGAGTTGGGCAGGAGGGAAGCAGCACTGTCAGAGTAGAGCATGTACTCTGGTAATTTATACCTGAAGCAAGACTGTAAAGCAGTCTCATAATGAAAGGTAAAGGCAGGTGTGAATAAGGTATAATAAATGGGCAAGTAGAACTCAGAGGAAGTTGGGAAACCTGATAATTTGTTAATAATTTTCATTTTCTTTATGAAGGCAGGGAAATACACACTACACTTATTCCGTTATCCTCTTTGACATTATCTGAGGAGTTTTTATGATTAAAAGTAATTTATGCTTTGACTTTTTGCTTAGGTCTGATGAATGGGTGCTGAAGGGAATTTCAGGCTATATCTATGGACTTTGGATGAAAAAAACTTTTGGTGTTAATGAGTACCGCCATTGGATTAAAGAGGTAATAACAGCTAGATCCCTTATCCACTTACAAGTCTTATGTCCTCCATTTTTAATGACTGTAAAATACTTTTAAAATACTGCTTGAAAATCCCTAATTTTTCCCAGCAAAATGGGAATTGATTTACTGAGAAAGACTAATGGTCTATTTTATCTAATCTCCATTGTCAACATTGGCCCCTAAAAACCTTTTTTTCCCCTAAGGAAGAGAATATTTAAGTTTCTTAAACATCAGATTGGTCGTTAGGTATGTCCCAGCTCCTTATAGTAGTCGTTTGTAACTGTGCTTCCTAAATTTGTTAGCTTTGTAACCTTAATCTTTCCAAGTCTCTGTTTAAGGAGGGCAATTGTAGTGTCTGCCCATAGGCAGAGATTATTAGACATTATACAAGTAATGTGCATGATGCTTTGCACATATTAACTGCTTATTATATTCTGGCTAGGCTTTGAATGCATTTATGTTGTCATTGTCACATCTTTTTTTTTTTTTTAACGATTTAAAGATTTGGCCAAAAAGAAAACATCAGTTGTATTTTACTTAGCACATTGTGGTCATATACATAAACATTTTAATCATATCATGCTTAGTGTCTTCCTTCTCAGGTGGAAGAATTGCAGCCTTTCATATCTTCATTAAACAAACCTTATCATCTTCCCCGTATTCTCATTTTACATATTATTATCATCCAAGAGTAAACTCAAGTAAGCCAAAAAGTTAATTTTCGAAGACTTCAAACACCTAGAGCTATTAAGGTATTTGTACATCTAGAACTGGAGTCTCTTCTTTATTTCAGAAACTATTAAAGAAGAAGAACAAAGTAACACAACACTTAAAATATTTCACGCACTGTTACAAATGTTTTATAAATATTAAAATGATCTTAATTCTCCTAACTACCTTGCTATCATTCCCATTTTATAGATGAAGAAACTGAGGAACAGAAAGAAAGGTTAAATTATTTGGTCAAAGTATACAGCTAGTAAGTAGTAGGCCCAGGATTCCAGCTTGGCTTTTAGTTTCTTCTCTATGCTGTTTGCCACTTTTCTGTACTACATCTGTATTATTTAAAGCAGTTAGGAGTTTCCAGCACAATTGTGGTAGTGTCTTTATTTTAACTTATGCTTTTTTTTTTTTTTGAGACGGAGTCTCACTCTGTTGCTCAGGCTGTAGTGCAGTGGCGCAATCTCGGCTCACTGCAACCTCTGCCTCCCGGGCTTAAGCGATTCTTCCACCTTAGCCTCCTGAGAGCTGGGATTACAGGCACCCGCCATCACGCCCGGCTAATTTTTTGTATTTTTAGTAGAGACGGGATTTCACCATGTTGGCCAGGATGGTCTCGAACTTCTGACCTCGTGATCCACTTGCCTCAGCCTCCCAAAGTGCTGGGATTACAGATGTGAGCCACTGCGCCCGTCTTCACTTATGCTTTTTTTCTTTTAATTAACCAGGCACGGTGGCATGTGCCTGTAGTTCCAGCTTCTTGGGCTGAGGTGGGAGGATCACCTAAGCCCAGGAAGTCAAGGCTGCAGTAAGCCATAATCAGCTACTGAACTCCAGCCTGGGTGACAGAGTAAAACCCTGTCTCAAAACAAAACAAAACAACTGCCCCCAACCCCCCCTTTTTTTTTCTGTTTAAAAAAAAAAATCCCCCTTTTTAAAAGTTCAATTTATGTCATGTTAGAGAAGACTGGAGAAGTTTTAAAATGATAGATTCCTGACATAATTTATTCCCATTCCTTTTTACTCGCCTAAATTTTTTGAAGCAAAATACAGAGAAGGAAAAATAAACTTGGAGACAGCTCAGAGAGATTGAGAACAGCCATAAGAAAAAGTTGCCAGGCTGCTGTCCAGCCCTGAAGTCATAAAGTAGAGAAGTCTTTGGCTTTTGTCATTCTGCCAGCTGTGTAGGCTGCTTTATTTATAAGAACATAAACTACTCTTTAAATACATTTCACTTATTTTAAGAAATTTACATTCTGATTTTAGGAAATGAGAATTCACAGTTTAATTCTAAAATTTGGTATGTAAAAAAATGTTACTTTACAAATTTTACTGACTCCTATTTTTATATATTTTTTAGGAGCTAGACAAAATAGTGGCATATGAACTAAAAACTGGTGGGGTTTTACTACATCCCATATTTGGTGGAGGAAAAGAGAAGGATAAGTATGTTTATTGTTCAGAGATGATATTATAAACCTTGACTATATATAACAATTATTCCATTTAAGAGCTAAATAGTATTTCATTGTACCTCAGAATTTATTTAACCTTTTTCTTATTGCTATTCTTTGCTAAAGCTTACAGACTCATAAAGCTCATAAGATTGGAAGTAATAAGTAAAATATAAAAATAATTTTTAAAATATCAGATTGATTATAAAGTATCTGAAGTTTTAATGTGCCACATTAAAAATTTTTTTTTAATTTTTTTTAAATGGGGTCTCACATTGTTACCCAGGCTGATCTCAAACTCTTGGGCTCAAGCAATCCTCCTGCCTTAACCAATATGCCACATTTTGAAGGAGATGCATAATACCACTTGCCATAGTTTGTTTATTCTACTATACCAAAGTACCACAGACTGGGTAATAATGTAAACAGTAGAAATTTACTTCTTGTTCTGGAGGCTGGGAAGTTCAAGACTGAGGCACTGGGAGGATTGGTGTCTGGTGAGGGCTGCTCTCTGCACCTAGTTGGCACCTAGTTGCTGCATCCTCCAGCGGGAAAGAATGTGTCCTCACAAGGTGGAAGGGATGGCAGGGCAAGAGAACGCTCCCTTCAACCTGGAGCCTTTCTATGAGGGCGCTAATCCCATTCATGAGGGTAGATCCCTGATGATTTAATCACTTCCCAAAGGCCACCTCTTAAGACTGTTGCGTTGGGGTTTAAGTTTCAACATGAATTTTGGAGGGGGCACCATCATTCAAACAAACTATAGCACCACTCATACACTGTGAGAGTGTAGTTTGATACAGTGTTTCTGATGGGTAATTTAGTGTGGTACTAATCAGAATTGTAGAATGGGTAATTTTTAGATCCAGCAATTCTTCTAGGTATGTGATCATGTAGAAATTCTTCTGGCCCAGCGCGGGGGCTCATGCCTGTAATCCCAGCACTTTGGGACGCTGGGCAGGTGGATCACCAGAGTTCAGGAGTTTGAGACCAGCCTACCAACATGGCAAAACCACATCTCTACCAAAAAATACAAAAATTAGCCAGGCGTGGTGGTGGGTGCCTGGTCCCAACTACTTGAGAGGCTGAGGCAAGAGAATCACTTGAACCTGGGAGGTGGAGGTTGCAGTGAGCCAAGATTGTGCCACTGCACTCCAGCCTGGGGATAAGAGCGAGACTCTATCTCAAAAGAAAAAAAAAAAAAAAAAGAAAGAAAGAAATTCTTCTAGGCATTTATCATACAGAAATATTTGCACATGTGTAAAAAGATACTCACCATAGCATTATTTGGTCTAGTGATAATTTGTAAACAAATTAAATGTTCATGTATGTCGTAAATATTTTCTAGACTGTATCTTTCTCTAAATTTACTTATGATCCTTTTCATTGTGTCAAAATGTTTTAATTTTTATGTAGTCATTGTGGTCTTTATGTCTTCCAGATTTTGTATTTTTTCTTAGGAAAATTTTTCCCATCCCAAAATATAAAGAGAAATTTTTTCCTTCATTTCTTTTAGTACTTTTATAATGGTTTTTGTTTTACATATATAATCAATCTTTAATATATTTTAGTGCATGCTTCAATGTTGGGATATTGATTGGAATTGCACTGATTGTATTGATGGATTTGGGGAGAATGGAAGTATTTACAGTATTGTATCTTCCCATCTAGGAGCTTGGTGTTTGTTTCCATTTATTCAGATTTTCCTTTATGTCCTTAAGTAAAACTTCATAATTTTCTTCTAGTTAAGTTTATTTTTAGATGTTTATTAGTACTAAGGAAATTGCTTATATATTCTCCTGAGGTTTTTTGGGTATTTTCTTGATGTGGTCATGAAATTTATTTTTTATTTAATAGTCACATTTGCTGTATTAGGTAAATGTGTTTATTTTTTTTAGTCCGGCTTCCCATCTACACTTTTCAATAAAGCATCCACATACACTGTCCTGGGAATACTACAGTATGTTTCAGTGTAAAGCCCACCTTGTGATGAGATTGATTGAAAATAGGATCAGTATGGAATTTATGCTACAAGTAAGTATTAAAGTTAAGAACTTAACAATGGTAAATAAAGATCTGTATGTGTATAATCTGAGTATGTTTCTGTAGAATAGGAGTCAGGACATCTGGATTTATAGTTTTGTTTGCCCACTAAGTAACCTGTGCTTTATATTTGCATTTCCTCAGATGTAGAATGGGTATCAATACCAGAACAACTTTGCACATGAATTTTATGAAGATATAATTAGAATGTGGTGGCTGGGCATGGTATCTCATGCCTATAATCCCAGCACTTTGGGAGGCTGAGGTGGGATGATTGCTTGAGGCCAGGGGTTCGAGACCAGCCTGGGCAGTATAGTAAGACCCCCCCCATCTCAAAAAAATTTTTATTACTAAGTCAGGCATAGTGGCATGATTCTGTAGTCCCACCTTCTTGGGAGGTGGAGGCAGGAAGATTGCTTGAGTCCAGGAGGTTGAAGCTGCAGTGAGCTATGATTGTGCCACTTCATACCAGCCTGGGTGACAGAGTGAGACTGTCTCAAAAGAAAAAAAAACTAGAATTGTGGGGATGAAAGTAAAACATATTTATACATATGAATTTGTGTTCTGCATTGTATTAAGGATGAAATGCCACTTTAAACTGTTTTCAATAGAAAAACGTAAACCAATAAAAAAGATGTTTATTTTTGCTATCGCTAAATTTTGCCATGTATTTTAAGCAAGTTTCAGAGTAAATGGTTGTGATTTAGTAGTTGCGAGTGGAAACCAAATGTTCAGCCATTTTTTTTCATTGTTAACATTCTTAGAGGCAGGTAAAAAATAATGCTTTTTTTAAAGCATTTTAAGTTTGCTGTAAAGTTCAGTTTCTTTAATCTTTCTGTCCTTCACCTTGCCTTTTTTTGGTTTGTTTTGTTTTTTTTTGAGATAGGGTCTCTGTCACCCAGGCTGGAGTGCAGTGGTGCAGTCACGGCCCACTGCAGCCTTGACCTCCCAGGCTCAAGGGATCCTCTCATCTATCTCAGCCTCCTGAGTTGCCGGGACTACAAGCATGCACCATCGTGCCTGACTAATTTTTGTATTGTTTGTAGAGATGGGGTTTCACTATGTTGCCCAGTCTGATCTCAAACTCCTGGGCTCAAGCTACCCACTTACCTTGGTCTCTCAAAGTGCTAGGATTACAGGCATGAGCCACCACACCTGGCCTTTAGAATGAAGAACAGAAATGTTAAAAGAGAGATGGTCCATAAAGAGCCACTCAAGCTTTGGAGTGGTATAAATCCTGATGAGTATCATTAGCTTCTTAATTTCTAGTTTCTATATAAACTACAATAAATTATAGGTATTATATATTATTCTTACTATAATTCTTAATATTATTCAGTACATCATTAACATTCAATAATGTTTATATGAAGAATGGTTTTGTATTCTGGCTGCTTATATCTTTGCATATTTCTATTGCTAGTAGTCTTTAGAATAATCTGTGTAATAAATAGTGAAATTATTGTCTTCTATAATTGACTACAATAAAGTTATAATGCAAAGTGAGTATTCTATATAATTGAAAAGAATCTGTTATATGAATTTACTAAATGATTTTATCCTTACAGGTTTTCAATAAACTGCTAAGTCTGGCTAGTACTGCTTCATCTCAGAAGTTCCAGTCACATATGTGGAGTCAGATGTTGGTTTCCACATCTGGGTTTTTGAAATCCATTTCAAATGTCTCTGGCAAAGATATTCAGCCGTTAATAAAGCAGTGGGTGTATCCTTTTCAATAGCAGTTCAACAGAGTGGGGAAGGGAATAAGGTATGTGTGCAAGGGGAAGATGGAAGAAGAGAGGTTTGAGGGGGACTCAAGGAAGTATGAACTGTTTATATTTCTAAACAATGGTAGAAATAATGATGAACTGTGAATTGTTTCATCTAAGATGCCTACTAGACATTAAGGTGCACACACATGTATGTTTATATTTGTAAAGTTTGGCATATTTTAAAGTACTTTCTAGTGAGTAAAGAATATGTGAGTAAAAAAATTGGTTTGATGATAGGATAGGTAAGTAATCTACCAGACAGACCTGTAGGATTACTTGTGAGGTGTGGTAGTTTAGTGACTTGTGGATGTGATTAGGGGTTGGCGCAATTTGAGTGGTATCTTGGAATTTTGCAGTTTTTGCATTTTTCACTTTAAAACACTATTAATAACTTTGTATAGTGGTTCTGCTTCTTTCAAAACACAAATTTGTCAGTGTTTCAGAAATTTTATTTAAATCTGGGAAAGCATTTTTCACAAGTACTTTGAATACTTTGCCACCTGGTTTACTGTAGCGTATGCTCTCAAACTTTGAACTGGTGGGAATGCACTTGAAAATTATTAATACCATGATGGATAACTTACTTTGTTTAGTACATATTCGTTTCAGTATGTAAACTTTCCTTTACAATTCTTCAGAGATCAGAGTGGAGTGGTAAAATTTTATGGAAGTTTTGCATTTAATAGAAAACGAAATGTCTTGGAACTGGAAATAAAACAGGACTATACATCTCCTGGAACTCAGAAATACGTGGTAAGTCTTTTTCCAAAATCGCCTTTGTACTGCTATCTCCTCAGTTTCAATAGAAGAGGGACTTAGGGATGGGTTACTACTTAGAAATTAATGAGATTTTGTTTGAAGTGGATAAATTGAGAAAACATTGACTTTGTCAAAGAAGGGAAGAGGAAGTACAGAGATTTCTGGGGACTCAGAATCTTCCAGTTGCCCTCTTTGGCACCAATTGCCTATCTAGGTCTCCAGATACTCATTTTGTGTAATATTTTATATCTTGATTTATATTTCTCTGTACACATAAGCATACATATTGGTATTTTTTAAATCACATCTCTGAACAGTACGTTTTTTTTTTAAAAGGGACCACTTAAAGTGACAGTGCAGGAGTTAGATGGATCCTTCAATCATACACTGCAAATTGAAGAAAACAGCCTTAAACATGATATACCCTGCCATTCCAAAAGTAGAAGGTAGGCATTACATAATAACTATAAATTGAAAGTTAAACTACAAATCTCACAGACTAAAATGCCAAAATAAAAATTCTCTTGTATACCTAATTTTTTTTAAATTATACTTTAAGTTGTGGGATACATGTGCAGAACATGCAGGTTTGTTACATAGGTGTACACGTGCCATGGTGGTTTGCTGCACCCATCAACCTGTCATCTACATTAGGTATTTCTCCTAATGCTCTCCTTCCCCTAGCCCCCCACCTCCTGACAGGCCCCGGTGTGTGATGTTCCCCTCCCTGTGTCTGTGTGTTCTCATTGTTCAACTCCCACTTATGAGTGAGAACATGCAGTGTTTGGTTTTCTGTTCCTGTGTTCGTTTGCTGAGAATGATGGTTTCCAGCTTCGTCCATGTCCCTGCAAAGGACATGAACTCATTCTTTTTTATGGCTGCATAGTGTTCTATGGTGTATATGTGCCACATTTTCTTTATCCAGTTTATCATTGATGGGCATTTGGGTTGGTTCCAAGTCTTGGCTATTGTGAACAGTGCTGCAATAAACATACGTGTGCATATGTCTTTATAGGAGAATGATTTATAATCCTTTGGGTAATACCCAGTAATGGGATTTCTGGGTCAAATAGTATTTCTGGTTCTAGATCCTTGAGGAATTGCCACACTGTCTTCCACAATGGTTGAACTAATTTACACTTCCACCAACAGTGTAAAAGCATTCCTATTTCTCCACATCCTCTCCAGCATGTGTTGTTTCCTAACTTTTTAATGATTGCTGTTCTAACTGGCGTGAGATGGTATCTCATTGTGGTTTTGATTTGCATTTCTCTAATGACCAGTGATGATGAGCTTTTTTTCATGTGTTTGTTGCCGCATAAATGTCTTCTTTTGAGAAGTGTCTGTTCATATCTTTAACCCACTTTTTGATGGGGTTGGGTTTTTTTTTGTTTGTTTGTTTTTGTTTTTGTTTTTTATTTTATTATTATTATACTTTAAGTTTTAGGGTACATGTGCACAATGTGCGGGTTAGTTACATATGTATATATGTGCCATGCTGGTGTGCTGCACCCATTAACACGTCATTTAGCATTAGGTATATCTCCTAAAGCTATCCCTCCCCTGGGGTTGGTTTTTCTCTTGTAACTTTAAGTTCCTTGTAGATTCTGGATATCAGCCCTTTGTCAGTTGGATAGATTGCAAAAATTTTTCCAAATCTGTAGGTTGCCTGTTCACTCTGATGGTAGCTTCTTTAACTGTGCAGAAACTCTTTAGTTTCATTAGATCCCATTTGTCAATTTTGACTTTTGTTGCCAATGCTTTTGGTGTTTAGTCCTAAAGTCTTTGCCCATGCCTCTGTCCTGAATGGTATTGCCTAGGTTTTCTTCTAGGGTTTTTGTGGTTTTAGGTGTACCTAATTTTTTTAGACAGTCTTGCTCTGTCACCCAGTCTGGAGTGCAGTGGCGCGATCTCAGCTCATTGCAACCTCCGCCTCCCGGTTCAAGCAATTCTCCTGTGTCAGCCTTCTGAGTAGCAGGGATTACAGGTGCCTGCCACCACGCCCCGCTACTTTTTGTATTTTTAGTAGAGACAGGGTTTCACCATGTTAGCCAGGCTGGTCTTGAACTCCTGACCTCAGATGATCTGCCCACCTCGGCCCCCCAAAATGCTGGGATTACAGGCGTGAGCTACCATGCCCGGCCTATGTATACCTAATTTTTTAGGTAGAGAACATGTTATCAGGTATCTTTTTTTCCTCATTTTACTTCCAGTTAGTATTACCAAACATTCTTTGTTTGCTTGCCTTCTTGATGACATTTTTATAAGAATTTTTAACATTTAGTTTTAAGAATCCTCATTTTGTTTGAAGGTAGAGGCCGAGGAGCTAGAATGAAAGTTTTAGTTTTTGGTACTAGAAAAAAATTCAAGACAAATAGGTTCATTCTTGTTAGTCTTGTTGGATTAATACCTAGAGGAAATATTAGAAAAATGGTGATTGAAGGGAAAGAACTGAATATGTCATGAAAAGCCTCTACATCTTGCTTACTATGTCTTTTTTTCTTTTTTCTCTATATCAGCATGCCCCTTCAGAACATTCTTGATGTATTTCAAAGGCAAATTGCCACTTTTCTTTAATATATTCTTCATTTACCCCTTATTTAACACAACAATTAGTATGTATTCTGAACAGTGAGAGATGAGAACATATCTGTGCTTTGCTGGAGAAATACGAACTTTCAGGAACAGAAGTTGTATTATACTCATGACTGTGTTTAGTTCACTCAGATAGATGAGAGTGTCTGTTGACTTTGAAGTCTTTTAAGGAACTTGATTCTGAAATCTTCTTATAGTCATTCTTACTCTGAGAAAATGCTTTCTTAAATCAGAGTGAGATTCTTATTTCTTTTTGTCCTATCCACCTTGGAAATTGGTAACATTTGATTGCTATTCTCAGGTTTTTTTCTCTGTAATAACAGAATGTCATTTGGAGTATTCTTTGGTATGAGGAACACAGGAAAAGTTTTCTCTGTTCCTGTTTTTATTTGCCCTTCCCCAGTTAACATAAAAACTGTTGCTTTTGTTTTTGCTTATCTTGAACCTTGTGCGTATTAATTGGTTCTACATATTGATCAATACTCTTAAGATATTTTATTAGCTAATTCATATAGGACAGAACCTTGCATATATGCAGCTGACAGCTCAGAATTATTCGTATCCCATTTCAAGGCTGATCCTTTTTCTGTTTAAGAGTTTTCTTTATTGATATATCCCCTTTTCTATACAAAATTGCAGCTATCAGTTCTTGGAATATATGTTTTAGGTTGACATTTTATTATATATTCATGCTTCTTGTTAACATTTGATCAGGAAAATAATTTGATGTTTACTTCATTCCCACCAGCTTTAAAATAAAGAGACTTTGTTCTATTTAAATTTTATTACATTTGATAGCCATTTTTCCTAAGGATAGCTTTCAATGTTGTGTGAAATACTTTATTTGAATTTTAGCTGCTGTTAATGTCCATTCAGAATTAGAAATCTCACAATTTTCCAACCTACTTTTTCTTAAATGTAGGAATAAAAAGAAAAAAATCCCACTGATGAATGGAGAAGAAGTTGATATGGATCTTTCTGCAATGGAGTAAGTTAGTTAACTTAAATATAAGGTTATAATACTTTCTGCATTCTCATCTGTCTACTTTGTTATGCGTACGTAAAAGTGTATAACTGTCCTCCAAATGAGTGCTTTAACATTATTTTAATTTAATAGAAACCCTATGTTAAAACAGTTTATGTAAAATCATAACTAATCAGAGATAAAAAGTAAGTCTGCCAGGGCCTAGGTGAAATTAAGAGGAAATGCATTATGGTTGAGGGGTGAGCACAACTTTGACTAGGCAGCTTCCTTATTCTCTCTTTGTGGCCTCTAGAGCAGTGCTCAGACTATAATGTGCATGTGAATCAGTTGGGGACCTTCCCAAAATGCAGTTTCTGATCCAGTACTACACTAGTGAGGCCTGATAGTTTGCATTTCTCATGAGCTCCCAGGTGATATTGATTCTTTGTCCTTAGAACAAAGGTCTTGGGTGCCTTAAGTCTCCCTATGCTTGCAAAACAATTTAAAAACCACTGTTCTAAACTTTATGTGGTAATATTTATTGATTGACAGTGTTTTATTTTTAAATATGATACAGCTCAAACTTTCTAATTTTGCCCATTCTGTACCTGTATATTTTTTATAAAACCTCTGTAATTATTTACTAACTTGATTGCCAGATTATCACTGCTGTTTATATACAGATTATGTTTGTTTGCCCTTCAAAATCAGTGTTAATTTTTTTTTGAGACAGAGTCTTGCTTGGTTGCCCAGGCTGGAGTGCAGTGGCACCATCTCGGCTCACTGCATGCCTGGCTGCATGCCACCATGCCTGGCTAATTTTTGTATTGTTAGTAGAGATGGGGTTTCGCCTTGTTGGCCAGGCTGGTCTTGAACCCCTGACCTCAAGTGATCCACCCGCCTCAACCTCCGAAAGTGCTGGGGTTACAGACATGAGCCATTGCACCTGGCTGAGATCAGTGCTAATTTTGATTTTTCCATAGCAAGTACCCTGCCTGTAGTAAGTACACAATAATATTTGCTGAATTTGAATTAATATTACAGGTGGTGTTCTTTTGATGAAGGTGTCGACATAGACTAGATTTTTTAAACTGTGTTTGTTACTTTGAGAAATACATGAAAATAAATTTGTGATATACCTCCAAATTATGATTTCAGAACTTGCTGTTTGAAAAAGGCGATCGTGAGTCTAGTATTTTTAAAAAGTCTTAAGTCAGCTAAACAAATTAAGAAATTCATCTCATTCTTTTTTTGCCTCATATAATCACAAATCAAAATCACCAAAATAATTTCAGATGGGAAATGAGAGATTCAGTGTCCTTTGTAAAAGACAATTAATATTTTCTTATTTTTGAGTATCTTTTTAGCAAGATTGATATAGATCAGACATTGTGAGAAAGTTGACATATGTTAAACATAATGAGAAATTTGTCAGTGCAGTTTAAAAAAATGAATACAGTAAAACTCCAGGCAGTCTTGAATACTACATCTAAAAGGAAACCTGGTAAATAAATGCTTTGTATTTATTTTCTAAATATATAGATGATAAGTTTAAAAATTAAATTAAAAAGAAAATTGTATTTTCTTGCAGTGCTGATTCCCCTTTGCTGTGGATAAGGATAGACCCAGATATGTCAGTATTGAGGAAGGTAGAATTTGAGCAAGCTGATTTTATGTGGCAGTATCAGCTCCGCTATGAGAGAGATGTTGTTGCACAGCAGGAATCCATTTTGGCTTTGGAAAAATTCCCTACTCCAGCATCTCGGCTTGCACTCACTGATATATTAGAACAAGAGCAGTGTTTCTACAGAGTAAGAATGTCAGCTTGCTTCTGTCTTGCAAAGGTGAGATTATATACAGCATAAAGGAAATGACTATTGTATATATTTTTTGTATCTCTGAAAATGAATTAAAATTCACCTAGTCTTTAAATTTACTTGGTAGCTGATTCTTTGAAAGCTTTTGCCAAAGTGCTTTTAAATTAATAGGACTGTTTTGAAAGAAACATGTTTTGATCTGAAAATAGATATGCAGAATAATTTTATAATTGTCAAAATGAAAAGTTAGATTTTAAAAATCAAAGAGAATTTTCACCATTTTGTTGAATTGCCAACCACATTTTTAAAGCGAAGAATATATTTGGTGAGCAATTCCTTGGTTTGAGTGATGTTTTACATTGTAGTACATGAAATCTCTGTGTGTGTGTGTGTGTGTGTCTGTGGGTGTGTGTATTTTGTTTTTTTAAATAAAGACAAGATCTCACAATGTTGCCCAGGCTGGTCTCGAACCCTTGAGCCTGAGTGATACTCCTGCCTCAGCCCCCAACACAGCTGGGATTACAGGCACGTGCCACCATGCTCCACTGTGCTTGATTGATTGATTAATCTTAATTATCCCACTGTAATAATTATTCACGTTGATTTGAGTTTATAAATTGGTATTAGTGATAAGTAACTTAGAATGGTAGACTATAATATTCTAGAAAAGTTAATTAAGAAAACCAAATATGTTTTTTAGATGCAAATTATCTGAAGGTAGAACAAATGAAAATCAGAAAAATGCAGACAAAACTTTGTCCAGAAATAATGTTTTCCAGGTATTTTTTAAAAACTTGATAATAGGTTCATTTTCCATTTAGTGACTCTTGCCTTCCTCACTGTTAAATCCATATGTCCTATATTTCAACAAGTTAATAATGGTTTTGATTTATTTTTAATGATAATAAGTGAGTAGTTGAATTCCTATGTTCTCAGATATATGAGAAAGCAGTGATTTTCCTTGATAAAACCATCTGCAGAAGATATAATTTCAATGTTTCTATAAAGATCTTTGTGATCCCTGTATGCTAAAATCTTAGCAGGTCTATAAAATTGTAGAATATGTTGTTTAATCATAATTTCATTTTTTGGGGCATGATTTTTATATACCCTAAAAATATCAATAGCAAGACATAGGGTAAAGCAAGATATGCTTTTGTAAAGCATGCTTACAGCCTTAAATAGTAGCACTGTATTTGGCTTCTGGTTCAGTTAGGGTAGATTGAAAAACCTTATTTAAAATTCATGATGATGTTTCTGTCTCATAAGGTTAAAATATTAGAATTATATCTGTCTAAACGAATAAAGACAGACTATTCAAAATATAAGTCTTTTGCATACATATTTTTCTAAAACTTAATACTGCCATTTAGAAATTAACTTGTAGAAAATAATTATAAATACATGTAAGAATTTTTTCGGCCGAGTGCAGTGGCTCACGCCTGTAATCCTAACACTTTGGGAGTCCGAGGCAGGCGGATCACTTGAGGTCAATAGTTCAAGACCAACCTGGCCTACATGGTGAAACCCCATCTCTACCAAAAATACAAAAATTAGCCAGGTGTGGTTGTCTGCACCTGTAGTTCCAGCTACTCAGGAGGCTGAGGCAGGAGAATCTCTGGAGCCCGGGAGGCAGAGGTTGCAGTGAGCCATGATCGCACCATAGCCTGAGCGATAGAACGAGACTCCATCTCCAAAAAAAAAAAAGAGGAAAAATAATTTTTTTTTTTGGAGAGAGTCTGTCACCCAGGGTGGAGTGCGATGGTGCCATCTTGGCTCACTGCAACCTCCCCCTCCCCGTCCTGAGTCAAGCAGTTCTCCCACATCAGCCTCCCAAGTAGCTGGGATTACAGGCACCCGCCATCATGCCCGGCTAATTTATTTTGTATTTTTGTATAGATGGGGTTTCACCATGTTGGCCAGGCTGGTCTTGAACTCCTGACCTCAGGTGATTCACCCGCCTCGGCTTCCCAAAGTGCTGGGATTACAGGTGTGAGCCACCATGCCTGGCTGGAAAAAGAACTTTTTTGCAGGGTGAGTTTGTATAATTTCTTGGAAATGGTGATAAAATGCTAAATTGTTATAAATTTCTGAGAAGTGAAGTTGTTGAAAACCCAATCCAGTTGTAGTATTGATAACTTTTAAGAAGCTGTTTTATTTTAAAGTATGTTTGCATTGGTAATGGAAATTACTTTGTTTTCTAATTATTTGCAGATTGCAAATTCAATGGTGAGCACATGGACAGGACCACCAGCCATGAAGTCACTCTTCACTAGGATGTTTTGTTGTAAAAGTTGTCCAAACATTGTGAAAACAAACAACTTTATGAGCTTTCAAAGCTATTTTCTACAGAAGGTACAGTTTACTTTCTAATTTTCTCATGGTTTTTATATATTTCAGTTTAAGTTGGAGACTGTTCAAATAATAGATGTGTTTACTTTCTTTGCCTCCATTCTTTTTTTTTTTTTTTTTTGAGACAGAGTCTCACTCTGTCGCCCAGGCTGGAATGCAGTGGCGCAAGCTCCGCTCACTGCAAGCTCCGCCTCCCGGGTTCACGCCATTCTCCTGCCTCAGCCTCCCGAGTAGCTGGGACTACAGGCGCTCACCACCATGCCTGGCTAATTTTTTGTATTTTTAGTAGAGATGGGGTTTCACCGTGTTAGCCAGGATGGTTTTCATCTCCTGACCCTGTGATCCGCCCACCTCGGCCTCCCAAAGTGCTGAGATTACAGGTGTGAGCCACCGCGCCCGGCCTCTTTTTTTACTTTTAAACATTTTTCCAAACTTTGATTAAGTGATTATTGATTTTGTGATCTGTGTGCAAGTAACTCATTGGCCACATTAATATTAAAGTGTCCAGAAATGTTTAATTTGCCTTTTTGGTTGGTTACCTGGGGGATGGAGAAGTGAGTAAGCCCTTCGATTGGCAGTCCTAGAATGTGGACAGCACATCTGAGTCAGAGACAGCACAGCATAGAGCTCTAGTTTTAGTCCCAGTCCACTACTCACTAGCAGTTTGCACATGCATAAGTTTCTTAACCTTCTGCACCTCAGTTTAAAATTTATCTTTTTTGGAATTAAGATCAAGTATGTAAAGTGTTTTATGCTATGCTTATATTAAGTTTTCTATAAGTGGAATTTTTAGAAAGTGGTGGTTAGAGTCATTGTTTTAGGAAAGGATATGGGAATGACAGGATGGTCAGCATTTGAGCTATTTGGATATCATACATAGAGGTTTTTTTTTAGTAATTTCATAATGAAGGCAGAGATCAGATTAACTAGATTGAACTAGAAAGGAGGAGTGAAGTTGAAGTAGAGAGAACTAATGAAGCCTATTCTTTCAAGATTTTAGTCAAAGATATAAGAACGGATACTATGTTGAGGATGAAGCAAGGTTGAGAAAAGGACTTCTTGGGTTTGTTTTGTACAGGGGAAGAACAAACTTGAGGCATGTATGACACAGGGAAAAGAGCCAGTGAAGAGGCAGAGATGGAATAGTCAGGTGGGAGAAAGTAAATAGAGACGGCTGAGCAAGTTCTGGAAGTGTTAGAGGGTGGGGCACATTAAGGAAGTAAATTTTAGAAAACAACATTCCTTTTTTTGAGGCAGGTGGAATGTAGATTAAAAACAAGTGAAAAGATAGATGTTGAGGGGAATGTTAGGCAAGTTGAAATTTATTTACGATGGAAAAGAAGTAGGTTGCACAGCAGCACTGGGGTGCCTTTTGAGAGTGGAAGCCAGAATGTATTTATAGTAAATCTAATCAGGACAGATTCAGGATGATCCAAGTTTTGGGAAAGGTAATAATGGTGTGATCAAAGAAGTCTGTGGCATCCTGTTATTTTGTTTTTAAGAACTGCTCTGTATTACCATTTCACGAATTTATGGTATAGAAGCAAGTTAATTTCTGTGTCCACCTGATATATCTGTCTCATGATGCCACTGTGCTTTCATGTAGCTTAGGTCAGTGTTTCAAATTGGAGTTATGAACCATTAGTGAAGGGATCATGAAATCAGTGTAGTTTTTATTTCTATTTTTATTTTTTTTTTAAATAAAACAGAATAGGTAGTATTCAATATAAGGCATTTGGGGTTCACTTTTAAATTTGTATACGTTGCATCTGAAGTGTGTGTGTGTGTGTGTGTGTGTGTGTGTGTCTTAGGTTGTGTTACAAAATGTATTTTTTCCTGTTAGCTACTGTCAAAAAAATTGGAAAGTCAGTGCTTTTATACCAATTCACCTTTCTGATAATACTTCTAGTGGACAGGAGAGAGAGAGAGATTGGTGCCTAAATGAAACTTGAGTCTCAAAGGGCAGAAAAGGCATAAGACAGGTATTTCTACGGAAAAGCGCCTTTCCCTCAGTTGTTCCTATAGTACTAAAACTGACTGTTGTTGCTCTTGTTATCTCTGCTTCTTCAAGCAAGAAAATGAGCCATTTTCCTTTCTGACCTCCATTTTAGAGGATATAGTTATTTTGAGTAAGAAGAGGGGCTAGTCCATATCTCGCCATGTGCTAAAGACTGAGATGTCTATGCATCTGTAGTCCTGCCTAGCATTTAATTAGCTTTGTTTTACTGATAGAGTTAACCAGTGTGTGTAAGTCATGTTTCTACATTCTTAAAAATGTTGCCTATGAAAATTTGGAAAGAGAAAAATTAGGCTGCATTTCAGATAATTTACCATTTTGTCCTTAGGTTGAGGATTGGGTGTTCATGAGGATTAGGTGTTGGGACAATCAATTTGTTCTAAGACTGAAGGTTGGCTCCACCTACTTATATCGTTTATTGCTGAAAATGATTGTGAGGAAATGAGGCTCCTACTCAATAGGCAACGAGCTAAAGGCACCTAGCACAGAAGGTAGTAGAGCTTAGGAGTTGAATAATGGTCCATCTAATGCTAAAATCTGTACCTTTTCCACTGTATCACACAGAAGTAATTCTAAAATCTGTGCCTTTTCCACTGTATCACATAGAAGTGAATTTATATAATTTACATCACATATATTTCCTCCAGCAAATGAAGGCCAAGGCACATAGCCTACAGAGTGATGTGCAGTCATGGAACTCTTCCCTTAGTTTCCTGCCCAGCTCTTCTCTTATGTTAGAATGCTTTGAGATATGTTGTCAGTGGGAGGGGTTGGGGTGTGGAGGTGTTAGGCTCCATCCAGATATCTATGTCAGCCCAAGAGTAACCCTTTTCTATTTATAGTTCAATGAATTGTAGTAACAAAAAGTTAGGTTCTGTGCTTTTAAAAGTTCTTTTTTTTCTTTTGTAGACTATGCCAGTTGCAATGGCTTTATTAAGAGATGTTCATAATCTTTGTCCTAAAGAAGTCTTAACATTTATTTTAGACTTAATCAAGTACAATGACAACAGGAAAAATAAGGTGAGGTACTTTTATTTTTAAATCTTCTACAACAGTTGTCTTAGATAATTTTCTTAATGAATATTACAGAACTACCCAATGGTATTTTGTTTCTAAATAAATATTTAGTCTATAAAAATCATCGTACTTGATGACTGTCCACAGTCCTTGACATTTCTAGAGATAGAGGCATGTAAACACGATTTATTAGAATAACCAGTGGATAAAAAACAATATTAGTTTTTAAATGTTCTTCAAACCTCTTGTAGTGTGGAGAGAGTAGTACATCAGATTTGGGGTAGCCAGTTAAAACTTGATAAAACCTGACAGCACAATTTTATTTACATTGATTTATTTTTTGTTCACCTAATGATACCTAGAAAAGAGTTCTCGATTGGGATTAACTTGTTCCTTGATTCATTTGACCTTTTTTCTTTTCTTTACCATTGTGTCTTTATTCATTTATTTAGCAAATAGCAATTGGATGTCCTGCTTCAAAAATTATTTTATCTTACTTGTTATCATTCCAACAATCAGCAAATGTTTTTAAGAGTATATGCTGTGCTAGAGAGTGTCCCCTGTTAGCTGGAATGAAAAGATGGTTGATGTCTTAATGAACTTTATTTATTCATTAAAAAAACTGCTCTATATTAGTCTGATTTTACACCATCAAGGACACAACCTGATAGGGAAATCAGACAAGTAAGCAATCAGCAGTCACATGTGATAATTGATACAATGGAAATATATATGATTCCCTAGGGGAATGCAAAGTGTAGTCATCTCTCAATATCCATGGGGGATTGGTTCCAGGACCCCCTTTTTGTATACCAAAATCTATAAATGTTGAAGTTCTTTATATAAATGTTATATAATATTTGCATATAACCTATTCACATTCTCTCATATACTTTTAAATCATCTCTAGATTACTTATACTACCTAATACAATGTAAATGCCATATATATCATTGTTAATACTATACTGTTTAGAAAGAATGACAAGGAAAAAAGTCCATACATGTTCAGTACAGACACAACCTTCCTTTTTCTTCCCCAAATAAATTTTGATCTGAGGTTGGTGGAATTCAAAGATGCAGAATCCATGGATATGGAACCCACATATATAGAGAGAGGGTCAGCTATAGTGTCTACTTTGAAGGATGTAGGGAGAGACTCAGGGAAGTTTTGTATAGAAGTAGTGACCCTCAAACTGAGTCATAAAGATGAGTAGGATTTTCCCAAAGTATGAGTAGGACCCATGTAGGAAGATTGTTCTAGACAGAAGGAACAGCACATACAAAGACACAAGTAAGTGTTAGGATAAATCAAATTGATGAAACTTTTTTTTGAGACAGAGTCTCACTCAGTCGCCCAGGCTGGAGTGCAGTGGCGCGATCTCGGCTCACTGCAAGCTCCATCTCCCTGGTTTACGCCATTCTCCTACCTCAGCCTCCCGAATAGCTGGGACTACAGGTACCCGCCACTACGCCCGGCTAATTTTTTTTTTTTTGTATTTTTAGTAGAGACGGGGTTTCACTGTGGTAGCCAGGATGGTTTCGATCTCCTGACCTTGTGATCCGCCCGTCTCGGCCTTTCAAAGTGCTGGGAGTACAGGCATGAGCCACCGTGCCCGGCCAAATTGATGAAACTTTTAATAAAACGTTACAACAGTAAAAAAAAAAAAAAAAAGCACAGGCATGTTTATTAAAAGATGACTTTTTAATGAAAATCAAGAAAACAACATTGCCTCTTTAGTTTAACATTCAAATAATTTAAGCGTAAAGACTCCTTTAAAAATTAACATTGTAAAAGAATACATTAATTCATTTTTTCTTGACGTTGTTTAATACTGTTGACTTCATCTCTGATAGGCTCTATGATCATTGGTCTCTCCCAGAATAAGGCATATTAGGGACATAGGAGTCCAAGGTTATCTTTTAGTTGCCTTTGTTATGATAGTCCAACATTTTTTAATGAGTAGTAAGCTCGTCTATGCATACCAATTTTAGGAAGCATGTGCTTTTTATTCTTTCATTATTGTTTTGCTCAAATGGCTCAGATTTTCATGTAATTTAATACTAAATTAGAATAATAAAACTAATAACTGGTAACTAAAACTAGTAACACTAAATTAACATAAGTCATCTAGTGTTTTATTTCACTCAATAGATAGGTGGCTAAGTAGTTCCCAGGGAAATTTTATCTGATGGATGGTATAACTGGCTATTTATTTTTCCCATTATTTCCCTTAAAAGTTGTTAATTTCAGGACCACGTTAAAGTTTTTTCAGCAATCAACGTTTATTTTTTATTTATTTATTTATTATTCTTTTTTGAGACGGAATCTCGCTCTGTCACCCAGACTGGAGTACGCTGGCGTGATCTCGGTGCACTGCAACCTCCACCTCCCAGGTTCAAGCGATTCTCCTGCCTCAGCCTCCCAAGTATCTGGGACTATAGGCACATACCCCCACGCCCAGCTAATTGTTGTACTTTTAGTAGAGACGAGGTTTCACCATGTTGGCCAGGCTGGTCTCGAACTCCTGACCTCAAGTGATTCGCCTGCCTCGGCCTCTCAAAGTGCTAGGATTACAGGCGTGAGCCACCATGCCCAGCTGTAGTCAACCTTTAAATTGTGTTGGCCTGCTTGTTGGAAGCCCTCAAATGTACCCAAAACACATAATTACTATTATTTTTTGAATTACTCTCTGATGCTTGATTTGGGGATTTGATTTTCAATTTTTTTTTTTTTTTTTTTGAGATGGAATCTTGCTTTGTTGCCAGGCTGGAGTGCAGTGGCACAATTCCAGCTCACTGCAACCTCTGCCTCCCGGGTTTAAGCGATTCTCCTGCCTCGGCCTCCTGAGTAGCTGAGATTACAGGCACGAGCTGCCACACCTGGCTAATTTTTGTATTTTTTTAGTAGAGACAGGGTTTCACCATGTTGGGCAGGATGGTCTCGTTCTCTTGACCTTGTGATCCGCCCTCCTTGGCCTCCCAAAGTGCTGATATTACAGGTGTGAGCCACCACGCCTGGCCTCCAATTTTTTTTAATATTTAATAAAGTCCTTTTTTTTTGTCATGTTAGGCTTTGTTAGAGGTTTTTTGTTTGTTTGTTTTTACCATGTATGTTGCATTAAAATAGCTCTGAGGATCCTACTAAAATTGAAATTTTTTAATGAGCTATTTATTCATATGATGCTGGAGTTTCTTTCTAATAACACCAGGTTCAAATCTCATGGAACACTATAACTACAAGAAGCCAAATGTGTAATTTAGTTCAGCTATTTGCTTTGTAACAAGACTAAGAGCATATAAGGGGAAGTTATTATCTCTGCTGCTTTTAAAGAAATCCAAGATTGGGATTTTAGGACCAGTTTTACTAATCAGGTCAGTATGTGGTTTTGTAAATAAATTTTCTCCGTGTAAATCAGGGATGTCCAATCTTTTGGCTTCCCTGGTCCACATTGGAAGAGGGCTTATGTTGGGCCACACGTAAAATACGCTAACACTAACGATAGCTGATGAGCTAAAAAAAAAAAAAAATTGCAAAAAAAAATCACAATATTTTAAGGAAGTTTATGAATTTGTTTATGAACATTCATAGCTGTTCTGGGCTGTGTTGAATAAGCTTGGTGTAGATAGTCTTTGTGTGTAAATAGCCTATATGTCATAGTAAATATATAAAATACTGGAAAATAGTAGACACCTTTTAGTTATCTTTCTCTAAGTCAGACACTTAAAGTTCATTTATTTAATAGACATTAATACTAGGTTTTGATGATACTGTGATGAGTAACTTATGATCTTTCCAGGTGCTTAATCTGTAGTGAAAGAAACATACAAAAGATCAATTTTTTTTTTTTTGAGATGGAGTCTCGCTCTGTCCCCCAGGCTAGGGTGCAGTGGCGCCATCTTGGCTCACTGCAAGCTCCGCCTGCCAGGTTCACGCCATTCTTCTGCCTCAGCCTCCCGAGTAGCTGGGATTACAGGCACCCGCCACCACACCCGGCTAATTTTTTGTATTTTTAGTAGAGACAGGGTTTCACCATGTTAGCCAGGATGGTCTCGATCTCCTGACCTCGTGATCCACCCGCCTTGGCCTCCCAAAGTGCTGGGATTAGAGGCGTGAGCCATCGCGCCTGGCCAAGAACAATATTTTTAATAAGACAATTATTATGACATTAGGTTAATTAACCTGCTAAGGAAGTGCTTGGAAGGATTAACCCAAATTAAGGATGGGGAAGCCAGAAAAGGCTTCCTGGGAAAGGTTGAATCTAGAGAGAGCTGTAAGTTGTTGAGGTGAAAGAACAGGAGAGGAGGAATATGTGGTCAATTATAGAATCTATATATAGAGAGGGAGCTTATTGAATTTGAGAGGTTTCAAGATCATTATTTTAGAAGTTATTTTTATAACTTTTGGCATATTTCTTGAAAATGGATCCATCTTCCTCATATTTTTACTTACCTCATAAGATGTGAGTATCTTAACTCCTACTATAAATCCAGTTTCTATTATTGTATAAATTATGTAAGTACAAAGAGGATATAGATATAAATTTAACCCTCTGTAAGTCTAAGAAATCTGAGAGAGGATGGTGGGGAGTAAGAATGGGGAGAAAGGGTTGGGAAAATAATTGTAGCCTTGAAGAAATGAGGGATTGATTTAGAATTTAGAAAGTTATGGAAAGTATATCAACTTTTAACTTGGAACTTATCAGCAAACTGAGCTCTTAAGACTTCTTTGTATTTTTTTTTACATAAATAGAAATGGTAGTGTATTATAAGAATAGCTTTAGCACAATGCTATTTGGAAAAGAATAATCTACTTATTAGGTAATTGTGCTGTTTAATTTTGTAGCTAAATTTTGCTATTATTTCTTCTCCTATCTTTTTAAAAAAGGAAAATTTTAAAGAAAGGTAACCATAGGTTTTTTTTTTTTTTGAGAAAATCCAAGCTTGCTTTTTCAATAATGATGATGTTGATTCTGATGTTCACTTATTGAGTGCTTAGTACATTCTTGGTACCATAAGTGCTTTTCCTGCATTTTCTTATTTTAAGTAATATTATTATTGTTATTATTATTATTATTATTATTTGAGATGGAGTCTGTCTCTTGTTAACCAGACTGGAGTGCAGTGGCATGATCTCGGCTCACTGCAACCTCCACCTCCTGGGTTCAAGTGATTCTCCTGCCTCAGCCTCCTGAGTAATTGGGATTATAGGTGTCTGCCACCACGCCCAGCTAATTTTTGTATTTTTAGTAGAGACGGGGTTTCACCATGTTGGCCAGGCTGGTCTCGAACTCCTGACCTCAGGTGATCTGCCCACCTTGGCCTCCCAAAGTGCTGGGATTACAAGCGTGAGCCACCACACCCGGCCTTATTTTAATTAATATTATTATTTTATATTGTGTATCTTTTAAAAATTTATTTTAGATTCAAGGGGTGGGTAGGTCTGCGGGTTTTTACATTGATATGTTACCTAACAGTTGGGTTTGGACTTCTAGTGTACCCATTACCCGAGTAGTAACCGTTGTACCCAATAGGTAATTTTTCAACCCTCGCTTCCCTCCTAGCCTCCGCTCTTTTGGAATTCCCAGTTTCTATTATTTCCTTCTTTATGTCCATGTGTTCCCATTGTTTAGTTCCCACTTACAAGTGAGAGGATATGGTATTTGTCTGTTTCTAAGTTATTTCACTTAGGATAATGGCTTCCAACTGCAGTCATGTTGCTGCACAAGACTATTTTGTTCTTTTTTGTGACTACATTTTCTTTGTTCAATCCAAAGTAGGTTGTTAATTTGAGATCTCTCTTTTTGATGTAGGCATGCAATGCAATAAACTTTACTCTTAGCATTGCTTTTGCTGTATCCAAGAGGTTTTGGTATGTTGTATCTCTATTTTCATTCTTTTTTTTATTTGTCTTGATTTTATTGCTTAGCCAAAAGTCATTCAGGATCAAGTTGTTCAGTTTCCATTTGCTCATGTAGTTTTGAGAGTTCCTCTTGATATTGATTTGTAATTTTATTCCACTGTGGTCTGAGAAGATACTTGATATTTTTGATTTTTTTTAATTTATTGAGATTTTGCATTTTAGCCAAGCATGTGGTCAGTTTGGGGGAATGTTCCATGTTCAGATGAGAAAAACGTATATTCTGCAGTTGTGGGTAGAATGATCTGTAAATGTCTGTTAGGTCCATTTGGTCTAGATTCTAGTTTAAGTCCAGAGTTTCTTTGTTGACTTTCTGCCTCAATGACCTATCTAGTGTTTTCAGTGGGGTGTTGAAGTCCACCACTATTATTGCATTGCTGTCAATCTCTTCTTAGGTGTAGGTGTTGTTTTATGAATCTGGGTGCTCCAGTGTTGGGTGTGTATAAAATTAATTCTTGGTTTTGTTTTAAACTTCGTCAGTATATAATGCCTTTCATTTTGCTTCTTTCTTTCTTTACTATTGTCAGTTTAAAGTCTATTTTATCTGATGTAAGAATGGCTACTCGTGGCCGGGCACAGTGGCTTATTCCTGTAATCCCAGCACTTTCGGAGGTCGAGGAGGGCAGATTGCTTGAAGTCAGGAGTACAAGATCAGCCTGGCCAACATGGTGAAACCTCGTCTCTACTGAAAATACAAAAATTAGCCAGGTGTGGTCGCACATGCTTGTAATCCCAGCTACTCAGGAGGCTGAGGCAGGAGAGTCACTTGAACCTAGGACGGGGAGGTTGCAGTGAGCCGAGGTTGCACCACAGCACTCCATCCTGGGCAACAGAGCGAGAACCTGTCTCAAAAAAGTAAAAAAGAATGGCTACTCCTGCTTGCTTTTATTTTTCATTTGCGTAGTATATCTTTTTCCATCCCTTTACTTTGAGTCTGTAGGTGTCTTTTGTCATTGAGGGGGTCTCTTCTAGGCAATAGATGGTAGTGTCTTGTTTTTTATCCAACATGCCATTCTATATCTTTTTTTTTAAGAGACGGAGTCTCGCTCTGTCGCCCAGGCTGGAGTGCAGTGGCGTGATCTCAGCTCACTGCAACCTCCACCTCCCAGGTTCAAGCAGTTCTTCTGCCTCAGCCTCCTGTGTAGCTGGGACTACAGGTGCATGCCACCAGGCCCAGCTAATTTTTTGTATTTTAGTAGAGACAGGTTTTCACCATGTTGCCCAGGCTAGTCTCGAACTCCTGAGTTCAGGCAGTCCGCCCTCAGTCTCCCAAAGTGGTAGGATTACAGGCGTGAGCCACTGCACCTGGCCACTCTATATATTTTAAGTGGAGCATTTATGCCATTTCTGTTCAAGGTTAATATTGAAATGTGAGGTTTTCTTCCTGTCATAGTGTTGTGGGTAGTTGCCTTGGGGCCTTAATTGTGTAATTATAGGATCTGTGAGCTTTCTGCTTGCATGTGCTTTTATGTTGGTGAGTGTCATCCTTTCATTTCTATATTTAGAACTCCTTTGAGCATTTATTATAGGTCTGTTCTAGTGGTGATGAATTCCCCTTGATTTGCTTGTCTGGGAAATACTTTATTTTTCCTTCATTTATGAAGCTTGGTTTGGCAGGATATAAAATTCTTGGCTGGCAATTTTTGTCTTTAAAGAGATGAAAAATAGACCCCCAATCTCTTCCTGCTTGTAAGGTTTCTGCTGAGAAGTCTGATGGGATTTCCTTTATAGGTGATTTGACACTTCTTTCTAGCTGCTTTTAAGATTTGTTCTTTTATGTTGGCCTTGGGTGGTCTGGCCACTATATGCTTTTGTGAGGTTTGTCTTGTATCATTATCTCCCAGTTGTTACCTGGATTTCTTGTCTGGATATCTATCACTGTAATGAGATTGGGGAAATTTTCCTGAATTATTTCCTCAAATATGCTTTCTAAACTTCCTACTTTTTTTTTTCTGCCCCAGGAATGCCTATAAGTTACAGGTTTGGTCACTTTATGTATTCCATATTTCTTGAAGACTTTGTTCATTTAAAAAAAAAAAAATTGGGGGCTGCGTGCAGTGGCTTACACCGGTAATCCCAGCACTTTGGGAGGCTGAGATGGGCGGATCATGAGGTCAGGAGATGGAGACCATCCTGTCTAACATGGTGATACCCCGTCTCTACTAAAAATACAAAAAATTAGCCGGGCATGGTGGCACGTGCCTGTAGTCCCAGCTACTTGGGGGGCTGAGACAGGATAATCGCTTGAACCCGGGAGGCGGAGGTTGCAGTGAGCCGAGATCGCGCCACTTCACTCCAGCCTGGGGACAAGAGCGAGACTCTGTCTAAAAAAAAAAAAAACAGTTCTGACTGGGTTAATTCGAAAGACCAGTCTTCAAGCTCTGAAATTCTTTCTTCTGCTTGGTCTAGTGTGTTGTTAAAGCTTGCACCTGTGTTTTGAAGTGCTTTAAGTGAATTTTTCATTTCTGGAAGTTCTGTTTGTTGCTCTTCTAAAAATACATCTATCTGGTCTTTCATCTCCTGAATTGTTTTTCTGGTTTCTTTGTATTGCTTTTCAACTTTCTCTTGTGTCTCTTTGGGCTTCCTTTCAATCCATATTTTGAATTCTTCATCCATCATTTCAAAGTTTTCATTTAGGATGAAATGAAATCATTAGGATCCACTGATAAGAGAGCTTGTGTGTCACAGTATTCTCTTTCTTCGTGTTGCTGGAGTTGTGCTCATTCCTTCTCATCTGTAGCTGTTGTCACTTCTGATTTTTGAATTTACTTTCGTTTGGATGGGACTCTTCCTCTCCTCCCACCTTGAGGGTGCAACTATACAGTATATTGGGTAGGGTATTTTTTTGGCTGTACTTCTATAGCCCTGTGTATTTCTGTTATTAGGGTTTGTGTTGGGTAATGCAGTTCAGCCTACAGGCCAGTAGGTGGTGCTTCCAGGTAAGAGCCAGCTGTGGTAAAAGCAGATGGGTATGTACTTGATCTTTGTTTACTGTGTGGTACTCTTTTTTGTTTCAGCCCTGACGGGGGTGGCTGGTGGAGCTCCTAGTGAAATGCACTGAAGTCTCTGCAGGGGGGCTGCACTAGCTCCAAGTCTTAGACAGGCAGAAATGTGATCTCTTTCCCTGTCACACTCCTGTACTGGGGCTCATAACTCTCCATGCAGATGCACACTGTCGTCTGTCTCCAGGCCATAGTGTGATTGAGAACCGCAGAAGACACCTCTCCCCTGGCTCTCCACTGGAGTGGTTTCACGCTGGAACTCCTCACTCAGCCCAATACAGACAGCTCTGTGGCTTTCCTGTTCTCCAATGTGGTAATGCTGCTGATTGAAGCAGAGAGGGAGAGGGGCTCCATCTTTTGGCACATGCAGGTGGGTGTCAGCTGTGGTGCTGTCAGCTGGCTGGGTCAGCCTAAGCTCAGACCCGATGGACCTAATAGACATTTACAGATTATTCTACCCAACAACTGCAGAATATGTATTTCTCATCTGCACGTGGAACATTCCCCCAAATTGACCATATGCTTGGCCAGAAAGCAAGTCTCAATACATTCAAAAAAATTGAAATCATATCAAGTATCTTCTCAGACCACAGTGGAATAAAATTAGAAATCAATACCAAGAGGAAAAAATAAGGAGTTTTTCAATAGGTAGAGGAAGGAGAATGGTGCCCTGGGGTTAAGAACACATTAACAAAAGTACAAGAGGCATGAAAATGCAGTGTGTAAAGGAAGAGAAAAGTTAATGATGCACCTTCATGGTAAAGGGGTACAAAGCCGGAGGTAGTGGACTGGACGAGGCAAACCTCCAAGCCCAGAGCCTGTAAATGGCCTGCTCGATGGTGTATGGGAAGCCTCAGGCAGTAACAGCTGAGTTGGTGGCAGAATACGCAGGTGGTGGGAACCCCAGGGTTGATCACAGACCTGTCAGCATGGGCTCTCAGAAGGGCTCCAGCTGGCAGCTGAAACGGTTGGGTGGGAGCAGGGTGGCCGTGCTGCTGTTCTTTCGCTGAGGAAGGCGGACTCCCTCAGCTGGAGCAAGGGAGGCTGGCAGCTGTGGGATGCGTGGCCCGATTGCACTTCCCTTTTATAGGAGTGGAGGTGTATTTCGCTGTTGGGGACATGCAAACGTGCTCAGCCTCCCCCTCTCTCCCTGGCCTCGAGGTGGCAGTGTGGCATCTGTGGTGGCCTGTGGTGACAAAAACTGCTGTGGCAGGAGCCAAAGGGCAGGTCCCTGGCTTCTTGGGGCTGGGCTCTCACTACACTGGGCCACAGCCAAAATACACATGCAGTGGCAGGGCGGCTGCACTGTGGACCCAGCGCTGAAGAAGCAGGGACCTGTTCAGCAAACAGTAGCTGAAGCAGACTTTCTTCACATTCTGCTGTCTGCCTGCTGCTCTGTACTGTGGCTGCCGTATCTGTCTTTGGGTTGTGTGAAAATGCCGGGTCTGCCTGCTCCTTCCCTGGTGGGGCAGTAGCAGCTGGCACCTGACTGCTCAGGGGCCAAAGCCTGTGGGATTCCACGTAGACTCCAGCAGCGTCTCTACAGTCTTCGGGCAGCTCACTGTATTAGACTGGAAGCCTGAGGGGCCAAGAGGTGTCGGCTCCCTGCTGCTAGGATTGTAAAAGTTCTTAGTAGGAGTGTGGAACCCCAGGGATCTCTCACTCACTTATCCTTTCCCCACATCCGGGAGCTTCTTCCAGCTCCACACTTGCCCTGGTTCAGCGGGCTGCTGGGCTTTGCTCTCCTCTGCTTTCCATGATTCCCGTCGCTTCTCTGATGAATTACAGCATGCCCTCTTAAGATGATAATAGTTGAATTGTTCATATTTACTTGTTACTTTGATTCCTGTCTGTGAGAGAGGCACCCACTAGCTACTTCTAATCAACCATCTTGAACCGGAACCTCAGTGTTAATATATTAATCTATATTTTTATTTCATTTTAGATACTCTTCCTCCACAAAGTTATATCAATCACATTATAAGAATTGATGAGATTGGAAGGTAGTCCTGTTTATCCCCCTATAGTAAGTGGCTGTCAGTTCTGTGTCATATGAATTAAATTTGTGGAGGCTTACAGAATCAGAAGATATATGCAGGTGTGTGCACATATGTGTATGTGTGTAAATCAGAAAGCATGTGTAACACTTTTTTAAATGATTTTGAGAGCGCTTCTTTACCCTATTTATATACTTTTCCAGAAGAGGTTACTATATACCTACATATATCATGTATCTTCCATCAGCAACTTTTTTTTGTTATTTTTTTGAGAGAGAGTCTTGCTCTCCTGCCCAGGCTGGAGTACAGCGGTGTGATCTCGGCCCACAGCAACCTCTGCCTCCTGGGTTCAAGCAATTCTCCTGCCTCAACTTCCCGAGTAGCTGGGATTACAGGCATCCACCACCATGCTCAGCTAATTTTTGTACCACACTCAGCTAATTTTTGTACCACACTCAGCTAATTTTTGTATGTTTAGTGGAGACAGGGTTTCACTGTTTTGGCCAGGCTTGTCTCAAACTCCTGACCTCAAGTAATCCACCCACCTCAGCCTCCCAAAGTGCTGGGATTACAGGTGTGAGCCACCATAAGTCGTCACTGGTAAGCAGAACTTCCATAGACTATCCAGCCTTATTCATGCTGTAGCTTTATGATGTAAAATATTCATACTCTTTCATGTATAACAGGTTTTCTCAATCATGGCACCTCTAATATTTCGGGTTGGATAATTCTTTGTTGTGGGGCTGTCCTGTACACAGCAGCATGTTTAGCAGTATCCCTGGCTTCTACCCATTAAATGCTTGTAGCACCCCTTACCTCAGTTATGATATCCAGAAATCTCTCTAGACATTGCCAGAAAGTCTGACGGGCAGAATTGTGTTGAGAACCACTGATGTGTGGGGATAATATTAAGAAATATAGAAATAGTTTATTACAATAGATTCCTAAATCGCTAAGTAGGTTAGCTGAGATAAAGTTGTAAAAATGAATCTATTTGTGAAGTTAAATTGAATGTAATATCATAGTTGTAGTGTATATCACCAAGCATAAGACTTGATTCTTCCTTTCAGCAGCTGTGATACCTACATCGTCTTTTCTATTTCAGCATCCTAGTTCAGGCCTTTATTCTTCCCTGGACTCCTGAAAAACGTGTGTCATCTTGAGCAAATTACTTAATCTCAGTGTCTTAGTTTCTTCATCTATTAAGAAAAAGCGTGTTAGTAATAGTACCTCTATCTCATAGGGTTTTTGTGGAGATTACACAAGATAATATATGTAAGGCACTTAGAGGAATCCCGACAGTTATGTTACCTATCATTAGCAGTTGCAACATTATCATCATTCCTAGCTCAATATCCCAATACCTTTCCTCTTAAAATATTTTTATAATTAAACCAGAGTAATCTTTGTGATGGAGCTCACCTGAATTTCTTTCCTCCTTAAAAAAATTCCCTTCTTAAAAACCTTCAAAGACTGTCCAGTGCTTATAAGTAAGTTTATGCATGGCATTCAAAAACATTTTGAATGTTGGTGGTCCCAGTCCACCCCTCCAGCTTTGTACCCCTTTACCGTGAAGTTGCATCAGTAACTTTTCCTTTAACATACTCATTTTCATGCCTCTTGTACTTTTGTTAATGTTGTCTCCTTAACCCAAGGGTGCCTTTCTCCTTCCTCTACCTATTGAAAAACTCCTTATTTTTCTAAGATCAGCGTATCCTCCTGATAGGATGCATTGTTTCATTTTGTTTTGTTTTCTTGACTCCTGGAACAATTTGATTACTTTTCCTGTCTTCTTACTCTTTTTTCTGTTTTGCTTGCAAATAAAATAGTTCTTGTCTTGAAGAAGTCATCTTATCTCTGTGTCTCCAGAACACTTGACAAGTACTAGATGCCTATATTTATATATTCATTTAATTGTGTCTCTGTGTCACAGTCACTTTCTCAATCATTATCTGGCTACTATTTAGGAAGTATTTAATTTATCTCCTTTAATCACAAAGCCCGCAGAACTTATTACATTGTATAATAGCAAAAACACAACAGTGGAGATAAATTAGATTTAAATTTCCTCTCAACCAGATATTTTATTTCCTTTGAGAACTGTTATACCTGACCTACTGTCTTCTGGATTTAAAATACGTATTTTTTTAATAAAAAATTAAAGACATTTTGGTAAGATTCTTTCCTTCCTAGTCTGCTGGTTTATTTTGGCCTTAATTTTTAGTGTTCCTTTTTTCCCCTACACTTGAATTTTCTTTACTTGAAGAAATTAGAATTTAGGATGGTGGCAAATCACATTATATTCAAATGGAAGAGGAAGATGTTTTATACATTATGTCTTTTTTTTGTGGAGTATTTATATAATTTAATTCCTTTATACTTCTTTCTACTTTGTATAGTGATTTTACTCATCTTAAATTCTTTGAAATGTGCCTATTCCTGTGGTTGAAGGTGTTTGTCAACCCTTGTTTGACAAAAGTAAGACACAGAAATTGAGAGTCTAAAATTACACAGGAAATGTATTCTGGGAATTGTGCTGTAAGGCCCTGCTACCCATTTGTGTGGTAATGTTTTTAGTATTACCATGTTACTTTACAGCATGCCATTATGCTTGTCATCATTTATGATTTTGTGTGGCACACACTGGTATATTATTAAATTTTATACTTCATTATTGTTGTGGAACCACATAAGACTCACTGTGTTTTCATTTTGAAAAGAAGGCTAATCAGTTTTTATAGTTAGGTGTTGTAAATTCAGTAGTTTTATATGACTTAGTACTTCAGAATACTAAGGATAGCGTAAATGCAAATAATAACTACAATAGGTAACACTAATAATAAGTTCTTGTGTGTTCCATGCCTTATGCCAAAACATAGATGATCTAATATCCCCACCAGACCGCTGAAATAAATACTATATTTATGTATTTTTATTTTATTTTATTTTATTTTTTTTGAGATGGAGTCTGGCTCTCTCACCCAGGCTGGAGTGCAGTGGCACAATCTCGGCTCACTGCAACCTCCACCTCCCAGATTCAAGCAGTTCTGCTTCAGCCGCCCAAGTAACTGGGATTATAGGCGTGTGCCACCACACCCTGCTAATTTTTGTATTTTTAGTAGAGACAGGGTTTCACCATGTTGGTCAGGGTGGTCTCAAACTCCTGACCTCATGATCTGCCAGCCTTGGCTTCCCAAAGTGCTGAGATTACAGGTGTGAGCCACCACGCCCAGCCTATTATTATTATTTTTTGAAACAGTCTTGCTCTGTCACCCAGGCTGGAGTACGGTGGTGCAATCGTGGCTCACTTGAGATGGAGTCTTGCTCTGTCACCCAGGCTAAATAGAGTACAGTGGTGCAGTCTCGGCTCACTTGAGACGGAGTCCTGCTCTGTCATCCAGGCTGGAGTACAGTGGTGCAATTTCGGCTCACTGCAACCTCCGTCTCCTGGGTTCAAGTGAGTCTCATGCCTCAGCCTTCCGAGTAGCTGGGACTACAGGCGCCTGCCACCACACCTGGCTAATTTTTGTATTTTTAGTAGAGATGGGGTTTCACCATGTTGGCCAGGCTGGTCTCGAACTCCTGACCTTAAGTGTTCTGCCGGCCTTGGCCTCCCAAAGTGCTGGGATTACAGGCGTGAGCCACCACTCCCAGCCTTAAATACTATTATTGTCCCAGTTTTCATGTGAGAAGATTGAGGCTTATAAAAGTTAAGAGATTTACCCAAAGTCACATGATTGTTTTCTGTGGCTCCAGTAAACTGAAGCTATAGAAATTAAAATTTCAATCATTATAGTGGTCTGAAAGCAAAACTTTATAGTGAATACTTTTGGGGTATTTTTTCTTTGGTGTTGTTTGTTTGTATGTGCCTTGCTTTTTTTCCTGCCCCGTATTTGAACATAAAAATGTTTAGGGACTCTGCATTATGTGTGTCAGTGTGAGCTTCTGCCTCCACAATAGAAGTCAATAGCGGGCAGATAGTCTTCTTCCAGTCTCTTGGCAGTTTGTGTTATCACAAAATATTCTCAGCATGCTGATAGAATTCATTTGCTTGCTCCATGTTGAATTTCCCTGGCCACAGCATCTGATTTGCTGAGTATAAATCAAGCCATATCCAGGTCACCTTTCAATAAATTGCTTCTATGAGAATTGACTGCCATGTAGATTAGGATTTGTTTTTTTTTTTAGTGGCTTCCTTCTCTTTTCTGTTTCTCTGGCTAGAACTCCTACATTAACCCTCCAGTTTCTTTATGCTTTCCTCCTATTTTCTATCATTAGTTTTCCATCAGTAAACTAATGTATTGTTATAGTGAATCTCTTACTGTTTTCAGAGTGACCACATGCAAAGGGTGGAGTTGAATGTTTACCAGAGGACTTGCTTGTGTTTTGGGAAAATTTTTATTTTATCTAAAATGTAATTATACAAATTTTATTTTGTTAATTTTGATCAGAAGAGTTAATTTTGTTATCTTCACTTAATTTTTCTTTGGCCTAGTTTTCAGATAACTATTATCGTGCAGAAATGATTGATGCCCTGGCCAACTCTGTTACACCTGCAGTCAGTGTGAATAATGAAGTTAGAACTTTGGATAACTTAAATCCTGATGTGCGACTCATTCTTGAAGAAATCACCAGATTTTTGAATATGGAAAAACTTCTTCCGAGTTACAGGCATACCATCACTGTCAGGTATGATTAAATTCCTTACTTTAAAGTTATATGTTCTTATAACTGTAAAAGAAATTTATTTTTGTTATAGAAAATTGGGAAATATAGTAAAGTAAAATGAGAAAACTAAAATTCTGTATGATTCTACCACCCACAGATAAATTATTAGTATTTGGAGAATGTCCTTCTAAATTTTTTCTCTCTTTAACTACATAAATTTTTAATTACTTGAGATTATACTGTATATGTAGTTTTGTATTCTGTTTATATCATACTTTCTCATGTCATCACAAATTCTTCATAAGCATTGCTTTGATGTCTGCATATTCTTTTATTTCGTTGGATTTTATATAAACATTCTCTATTGTTAGCCTTTTTTTAAGATGACTTTTCACTTTTACCAGCTTTATATGGCTATCATGCAGTTCTGCCAATTTAAGAGTTTGCTAAAAGTTGATTCAAACATAAACAATTTTAACTTTCTATATAGTGAACAAACTATATTACTAAAACATTTGGAGAAAATATTTATATTTTATGCTAAATACTTCTTTTTCTTAAAACTATTCCTGTAACAAGTATAATGACACTTGAAACTTTGAGTTTTGGGATTTGTTTTCTTTTTTTTTTTTTTTGAGACCAAGTTTCGCTCTTGTTCCCCAGGCTGGAGTGCAGTGGCGCAATCTTGGCTCACCACAACCTCCACCTCCTGGGTTCCAGTGATTCTCCTGCCTCAGCCTCCTGAATAGCTGGGATTACAGGCATGCACCACCATGCCTGGCTATTTTTGTATTTTCAGTAGAGACGGGGTTTCACCATGTTAGTCAGGTAGGTCTCGAACTCCTGAACTCAGGTGATCCACCTGCCTTGGCCTCCCAAAGTGCTGGGTTTATAGTTGTGAGCCACCACACCCAGCTGGAATTTGTTTTCTTTTAACAGACTTTAGATATTAATTTTGAATTTTTATCATTGCAAAAATTTATTATACTTATATGTCACTTAACAACAGGGATATGTTCTGAGAAATTAGTCTTTAGGCAATTTTGTTGTTTATGCAAATGTCACAGCATATATTTACACAAACTAGATGGTGTAGCCTGCTGTATACCTAGGCTTTATGGTATAGCCTGTTGCTCTGTTGCTCTTAGGCTATAAAGCTGTAAAGCATGTTACTATACTGAATACTGTGGGTAATTGATAACACAATGGTAAGTACTTATATATTTAAACATATCCAAACATATGAAAGGTATGGTAAAAATACGGTATAAAAGATAATAAATGTTACCCCTGTATAGGACACTTACCATAAGATAAATGGAGCTTGCAGGCCTGGAAGCTGCTGTGGGTTTATCAGTGAGTGAGTAGTGAGTGAATGTGAAGGTATAGGACATTATTATTGTACACTACAGTAGACATAATAAACACTGTGGACTTAGACTACACTAAACATATTAAAAATATTTTTTCTTTAGTGATAAATTAATTTTAGCTTACTGGACCACCATTGTATATGCAGTTCATCATTGACTAAGATGTCTTTTATATGGCTTGTGACTCTATTACAAAATTGAAGGTGGATTAAAATCACATCAGTTTTTAAATTGATTGCCACAAAGGATTCTCTAATGCCTAGGAAACAAACTGATTCATAATACCTCAGTGAAAGTAGTTAACATACGTATTTTTTTCCCTAGTTGTTTGAGAGCCATACGGGTACTTCAGAAGAACGGACATGTGCCAAGTGATCCAGCTCTTTTTAAATCTTATGCTGAATATGGCCACTTTGTGGACATTAGGATAGCAGCTTTGGAAGCAGTTGTTGATTATACTAAAGGTAATACTTTAGAAATACGTGCTCATATCATTTTAGAAAGAACTATTTACTTTTTAAAGCCAGTGTTGTTGGGGTTTTCGTAATATGTATAACACAGATATTTTAATTTTAAATTCTTGACTTAGTGATTTAGAAATCATCTTTGATAAATGTAGAATTCACATAAGAGTTAATAAATGAGGGAAAGGAATAAAATTATAGGTATCTTTAGCCTTTCCAAGAAGTCAGTTTTCATCCTGTAGCTTTAATTGGACGTTATTTTAGGAAATAGAATATTTTTGAGAAATTTCTAAGAAGGATTCAAGAAAACATCTCACACCTGTATAAAAATTTGTGTCTGTGAAAGTAGAGGACTAGACATAAACACAAACTTCAGGAGGGGAATTAGGCAAGGCATCATGAATATAGAAAAAACATAAGGCCAAAAAAGTCGCTAAGGGAAGAATACACATATTTTTTTTTAATTTAGGGGAGAAAGATACAGAGATGGAAATGTTAAAAAGTCGTGAAGAATAGAGCAGGTAGAAGACAAGCTGTAATCCAAGAAACAACAGAATACTCTGGGGGGGCGTAAATGAAGCAGACCTACAGTAGTTTCTGATGAAATTTTAATTTTTAAGGCTAAGGGAAAATGTGTGAGTTTCTAGGACTATCAGAACCAGATTATGGTGCAAGGCAAAAGAATAGTGTGGCCTCTGAATTCTTTAGAATATGTAGATTCAAAAGACAGTGAACAAATGGCTATGTCATTTTTAGGGAAAATTATGACCCAAGATTTTCTGCTTTGCCAAAGTTGTTGCTCATGTAGCCTTGGAGAATTAAAGCTGCATCTCTTATGTAACATTCTTAAAAACATAACTCCCAAAGATAATTTTCAGCTGACCTGGATGTGAGTCAAAATAATAACTCAAGACTGGTGAAAATGTGAAATGAAAGAACTAGTGATGAATAATTATGCCTGTCAAATACTTAAGCCTAAATATTTGTTAAACTGGTTGTAAAATGTAATGCATATTTCAAAAATAATTTTTAAAAAATATGAAAATAGAAGAAACATGGAAATATAATCTAAGTCTAAAATTCCAGATTCTAGCACTAAAATATGAGAGGAGTAAAAAACTTAAAAGTATGCTAAACTTTTATCTGACTGTGGAAGGAGAGGAAGGGCTGAGAGAAGTTCTTCAGTAGATACTGGTTCATTTTTAAGTAGGGGAAAGTATACTTACATCTTTGTAATTTTTGGTAAATTTCTGTAGAAATACTTGTTTACAGTCAGAAAATAAAGGGTAATAACAGCATAATGTGTATATTCTTATGTGTTGACCCAACTTCGAAAAGGACTGTCATTTGTGCTTCCTTTTTATTGAAGGTTAAAATATCCTTTCCTGTTAGAAATAATTATTTATAAAAACAGTGATTTTGTTGTTAAATGTATTTTTTGGCATGAAAGAAAATGTAATCCTATATCTCTCTCCATTTCTGTTTTGACAAGTTTTGAGATCCACCAAATATGTCATTGTTGCCAGTCTTCTTTCCCAAGATGTATGGATAGTTTTTAATGTCTCATAAATATGAGTAAGATTTTATAAGTTAGTACTACCTTAAATGAAATAGAATACTAATATTAGGATTTTCAAAAGAATGCTAAACTTTAATAGATGTAATTTAATTGTGACACTTCACTTTTGTCCGTGTCTAAATGTGAACTATGAATATAATTTAATTGTGACACTTCGCTTTTGTCCATGTCTAAATGTGAACTATGACTTCAGACTTCATGTTTTGTTAAACTATGAATTTAAATACTGGTACTCAAGTTAGAAAATGGAAGAAATGAAAAGTATTGCAAATAAAATTCTGAAGACACAGCTTTTCAAATTATGAAAGTAAAACTTGTTTGAAAAGGTGAATGGAAATAGCTAGTCATTTTATGTCAACTATATTCATAGCACTATTTTTGTAACTGCCTTTTATATTATGCTTGAAAAGTAAAACTGTTCTTTAGTCTTAAATGGAAGAAGCCACTTGGGCAAAAACAGTGGACTATACTATATAATATAGTTGAGATACCATTGAGTGTCAAACCTCTCCATCATTTAAGCATCTAGGAAGACAATTGTATTTAAACAGATTTTGTCCAGTTAATCATCTGTAATTTAGGGTTCTTAATTACAACTTGCTTTATGTTATGCTTGCCATTGGTTTGAACTTTAGTAAAAAAATACATTATTGATGCAACTTTATGTCTTGGCTCTAATATATAGCTTGATACTTATAAAAGTTACAAAGTGGCCATTGCATAAAAATATAAGAGCTTACCTATAACCTTCAACTCTGATTGAAAACTCAGCTAAGGCAGAGTCCTAAATATTAAATGTAAACTCCCTGCTTGTCACTCATTATTCATTATTTAATTTGTTATAATTAACAACAAATATATTTTCTTTTATTTTCAGTGGACAGAAGTTATGAAGAACTGCAATGGCTACTTAATATGATTCAGAATGACCCTGTACCCTATGTAAGGTTAGTTTATGTGCTATGATGCTATGATATTTTGTAAGTCCTATAGTGAACTGAGTAATTTCAGATTACACATAAAATGCTTGTTTATGATTTTTGAAAATATGGGAATATCTTTTGCATTTATTCATGTCCTTTTTAAATTTGATTTTCAACATAAAAGTTATTTGTTTTTTTTTTGAGATGGAGTCTCACTCTGTGGCCCAGGCTGGAGTGCAGTGGCACGATCTCGGCTCACTGCAACCTCCGCCTCCTGGGTTCAAGCGATTCTCTTGCTTCAGCCTCTCTGGTGGCTGGGATTACAGGCATGCGCCACCACACCTGGCTAATTTTTGCATTTTTAGTAGAGACGGAGTTTTGCCATGTTGGCCAGGCTGGTCTCGAACTCCTGGCCTCAAGTTATCCACCCCCTTGGGCCCTTGGGCCTCCCAAAGTGCTAGGATTATAGGTGTGAGCCACCGCACTCAGCTAAAAAAAAAAAAAAAAAAATTATTAGCAGACCTTACTTGGCATTTAGAGTAATTTAGGTGACTTGGAAAGCAGCCAGACAGAAACTTCACTTTTCTTCATCAAACAAATTAAAAGTATAACAACTTAAAATGCACTAAAGAACAAACTCACATTTTAAAATATGTTATTTACCTATAATACTGATCGGCTCTTAGAAATAGAGTATGAGGCCTGAAGGAGAGGAATTGTGTTTATATATAAAGATGAAAATATGGATATGAAATATCCATAAAGATTTATATCCCCATTTATATTACATATCTGTAAATTGCATTCTATAATTACATTTCACTTTTATTCTTATAATCCTTCCGTAGTCTTATTTTACACAGTCTTAAATTTCAAAGCACAAGAGGATGTTAGAATCTACATCTTTTAGGTTTATAGACATTAAATTGCAGCCAAAAGGGGTTAAATTACTTACACTACAACCTAGCAGTTTCACTTTTCTCCCATCTCTTTCTCAATTACAAATCCAATTTAATGTCTTACTACTGTCAGTTAAATGTAAAAATTTCCCCAGTTCACCTTCTTTAAAGTTTTGCTGACCTCCATAAGAATTACAACCCAATTTCTTTCTTCCTCACTTATATCCAAGCATTGCAGTTACTCTTAGTAATTTCTCAAACTTGGTGCTAGAGCTGGTTAAATGCTAGACTACTGCAGTAGGTTTCTTCTTACTTCTCCTTTCTTTTTTCTAGCCTCTTAATGGTGTCTTCTACTCATAGCAGTGGATGTTTTCTTTTCCAAATTTTGTTTTCATTGCGTTGCCCTGTATTTTAGAGAACTCCATAATATGTTCAGGTAGCCTCTGATATGAGATAAAAACTCCCAATAGGGGAGTTTAAATGTTACCCTCTTTTAGGATACTCTTCTCAACCTCAGCTTGTTTTAAGGAAAACTTTTTACAAACTTTATATTTAAAATACTTCTGCACATTTCCATGTTTTACAAATACAGTAATGACATATATGTTCATTTTATTATCTCAAATACAGACTTCTTGGTCTATATGTAGATTTTTTTGCTCCATGTTAAGATTTTTATACTTACTGACCAGTCATTGTAGATATATCTAAGCAGAGTGGAATGTTCATTTTAGAAAGTGGGATGGGAGAGATTGGTTAGGATTATGTGGAGTCAGGTTTTAGAAGATCTCATCACACAGTAAGGTGATTTTAGAAAGACCAAATCCACCAGAATTTTTTTTTAATTACTCTCTTACCCAAACCCCAGAGTGTTTTAGTGAAAAAACACGTAATAAATATTCAGGATATAACATCATGTCTTTGGAAATTAAACTAAATAAACACAGAGCTAGATTTAAGAGAGAAAGTGTTAAAATAGGAAGGAGGAACTACAGATAATTTTTCAGTGTTTATGTTGTCTCCTACTCATAGCATCTGTCAGTAAAAGGTCAGCAAAAATTTAATTTTTTTTAATCTTTCAGGCATAAGATTCTCAACATGTTGACTAAGAACCCACCATTTACTAAGAACATGGAGTCTCCCTTATGCAATGAAGCCCTGGTAGATCAACTTTGGAAACTTATGAATTCTGGTGAGAGAGCAGGGATTTAAATTGTTTTTATTATTACTAGAGTATTTTGATTTTACAACAGATTTTCAATTCAATAGCATTTAGAACTAAAGGTAAAAGTTGAGATTTTTTTTTTTCTTTTAAGTAGACTATCACACCTTCACAGTGGTGGCTGTGATAACATTTATTAAGGATATACTCACTTTACTCCATAGTGTGGTTGAGGAAACAAAACTCTTTATTTGTATGAAAGTGTCAAATGGTTAAGGTGCTATAAACATGAGCCTGCAAAGTATTATTATTATTTCAGAAAGTTACAAAGGAGTGAAAAGTAAGTCTCACGTCTTTCCCTGGCCATCTAGTGGCCTTTTCCAGGGGTAACCAATTTCTTGTGTATCCTTCCAGAGGCAGGTAGTGCATATAGAATAACATACAGACTGTATTTTTTCAAAATACTTATTATTATTGTTCTATACTGTGGAGATCATGATATCTCATCACAGTTTTTATTTTTTAATTTATTTTTATTTTTTTGAGATAGAGTTTCTGTCGCCCAGGTTGGAGTGCAGTGGTGTGGCCTCGGCTCACTGCAACCTCCACCTCCTAGGTTCAAGCGATTCTCCTGCCTTACCCTCCCGAGTAGCTGGGATTACAGGCATGTGCCACCATGCCCGGCTAATTTTTGTATTTTTAGTAGAGACAGAGTTTCACTATGTTGGCCAGGCTGGTCTCAAACTCCTGATCCACCCGCCTTGGCCTTCCAAAGTGGTGGGATTACAGGTGTGAAACACTGTACCCAGCCTTATCACAGTTTTAATTTATTACTTGAGTGAGGTCAAGAGGTAAGAAAACAGTGTTTAGGAGTGCTAGCTCTGGAACCATTTTGCTAAGGGTTGAATCTTAGCTCAATTATTTACTTAATGTGTGATTTGTCTGAACTGTTTTCATTTGTAAAATGTAGGTGATAATGATACCTACTACAAATAGAATTAAATGAGTGTCTGTAAAACACAGTGTCTGGCTCATATGAAATACTCAAAAATGTTATGCTAGCTTAATGATAGTTACGCTTCTCAATATTTGAGCTATTTGTATTTCTGTTTTTCCAAATTACTCATATTCTTTGCCATTTTATTTAATTGAATTATTGATTCTTTCCTATTGATTTATAAATGTGTACCTTTAAAGAAAATTTGCCTTATGTCTGTGATAGGTTGAAATTGTAATAATGGTTTAAAGATTCAGTCAGAAGCTAGGCTGAAATGTCTTTTGCTTAAAGAGAGCAAGAGTTGTTGCAGATAGATAGTGGGAGAGCAGTGGATATTTATCCATTTTTTTTTTTTTTTGAGACAGTCTTGCTCTGTCACCCAGGCTGGAGTGCAATGGCACGATCTCAGCTTACTGCAACCTCCGCCTCCCAAGTTCAGGCGATTGTGCTGCCTCAGCCTCCCATGTAGCTGGGATTACAGGCGCCTACCACCATGCCCAGCTAACTTCTGTATTTTTAGTAGAGATGGGGTTTCACCATGTTGGCCAGGCTGGTCTTGAACTCCTGACCTTGTGATCCGCCGCCTCATCTTCCCAAAATGCTGGGATTACAGGCATGAGCCACCACGCCTGGCCTATCCAAATATTTAAAAGGTTTGAGTATGTCACTTTATTTGCTCTCTATGATATTGGAAAATAAGTTGTCCTGCCTATCTCATTAGTAGCTACTTCACTGGCTCACAATTAAATACCAAATTTTAATTCTTTTATTTTATTACTTAGTTCACTAATATTGAGATGTTAAGTGGTTGTATAACTTCTGTTTTTCTGTTTCATAATAACAGTGCAATACCACCGAGTAAAGGCACCATAGTAGGTATTTATGTGAAATATAATAAAATTGAAAATAGGATGGACCTTGTCCTCAGGGTCTTTAGAAAATAACACATAAAACCAGTTTATACTAAAATATTGCTAATTTTTTTTCTAATGTTTTCTTTAATCTCTGAAAGAATGATTGCTGCTTTTTACATAATGTTTTATATTTGCTTCCTTTGGCTACCTTAAAAGATATTATTATTTCTGCTATTTAGACCCAGGGAATTAACACTTAAGTTCAGGAACTTATAAAGGTTCATTCAACAGTTCATATGTGGCACTCACTCTGCTGTATTGAATACCTTTTTAACCAGAATACATGATTCCTTGACCATGATAGGTTACAAATTTGAAGAAAGCATAGTGAAATATGAAGAATTATTTTATTATTTTCTAAAGAAGATGTTTTGGACAAAATAAATATGTGTTCAAGATTAATGAGACAATTTTTATAAAACATTTGAAGCTCATTGGAAGGTTTGATTGTACAAATTCAAGCTGTGACTGATGTTTAGTATTTAATTTTGATAGTGTGCAGTACAGTAAAGTTCTGCTTTGGTTTAAAATTCTCTGCCAGTATTTAAACCAGTGAGATCAGTGAGGCTATAGTCATAAACAGTTTATTACTTAGTTTTTCAGATTTATAAATAAATGAGAACAATATGAACAATGGGAGTGGCATGAATAATTGGGAGGGTTAAAAAAATGTTTTTATAGAACATTGGACAATAGATACCGAAGATGGACTACAGAGTATTGTCATTTCCTTTCCAAGCCTGAACCTTTGGGATAAATGAATGAATCTGATCTAAGAAATACTTTTTTTATTTGATTTAAAAAAATTTAATGGCAAAAGTAATATAATCATGTTACAGAGTTTATCTGAAAAAAACTACAAAAAGAAATATTACATAATTCTTGAGAAGAAAAATAAACTGGCTGGGCATGGTTTATTAAGATTTGGGTATATTTGGCCTTTAGGAAAAAATAATTGTGTGTGTGTTGTGTTATATAGTTATAGTTGAAAGAAAAGTTTTAAAATAGCATTTTATCATGAGAATTTTTCACACTGCTATATTATCTTCTTAATGGTTATTGTTTTAAGAAATGGTAATGAGGATTGTTTTAAGAAATGGTAATGAGGATTCATCAATAACAAAAGGAGCTAGAGCATCATTTAAGTCCCCAAATCCGCTGGAACCCTGCCTGCTCCTCATTTTGGGGCTTCTGGGCTATCTGGTCACTTGAGATAAGCGTTATCTGGAAAACAAAAACTGTGAACAACATAGATGTAATTATATTAATTTATTTCTCTCCACAAAGTGGATTTGAGGTATATTGACTTTGCATAGTTACAAAATTTACTGAACCAATTTAAAATATCTAGGTAAGAATATCATGGCAGTTCAGAAGGATCATCTTATCATGTACTTTTGAAGAATTAGAGTTTGTTTTCTTATTCTGAAGAATCAAACTTTTCAACGAGAGAGAAATTGTGGTTGGATTTATAGAAACAGGATTTGAAAAACTGAAATCAATTTGAGAGTGAGACAGAATGATACTCATGACTTTTAAAAATTCATGTGCCGTTCAGTTAATACTGGTACTCATTTTAGAAATATGCTAGGGGAATTTGGAGCTGAGAGACAGGTACAGAAACTGAGGGCTCTTGGTAGCTGAATCACTTTAGTGACCATATCCCAGAGGGAAGGTTGTCAGACAAACTTTTTGAGATCTCAGGGCTGCCTGGTCTCTGCCTGCTTCTTGGTGTGTAGTAACTCCACTTAGCCTTAAATTCTGGGAGGTACTCTAGTATCTTTCCAACAGTTTTTGCTTTGTAAATATATACACACACTGACCTATATATGTGTATATTCACTCATACACGTATCAGATATCTTAACCCATTCTATATGTAGTTTAATTTTTCATATATTTTTATCTTCAGCATTTTGTTTCTAAAATTTTTAAAGCTTAAAAATTTTAAGAATAATACAATGCATAATCATATACTTTCAGTTTGATTCACCAGTTAAAATTTTACCATTTACTTTATCTCCTTTTCCTTCTCTTTCTTTATATTATATTTATATCTGGTTGTTTTCTCAATCATTTTAAAATAAATGGGATCATTACCCTCTTTCCAAATACTTTAGTATATACTCCTGAGAATAAGGTCATTCTACATATCGACAATATGATCATTAAACCCCACCCAGTATATAGCCCATATTCACAGTTCCCCAGTTGTTTCCAAAAATGCTCTTTGCAATTCCCATGACAGCTTTTAAACTAATGCTCCACAGAAAGATAGTAAACATTTTTAAAGACAAGGACCTTTTACATTATATGGTCTTTGTCCATGGTTGCTTAAGATTCTTAAATAAATAGGTTTATTTTTAATTGAAAATATCTCATTTGCCAGGGGCAGTCGTTTTTAAAGGTTTCACATATTAATTCACTGTTTTTTTCTTGAGCACTTTCTGTTTGTTACTATGCTATGTTTTCTGTGTATTAACTAAGTATAATGGAAAGAGAGACATAGGAACAGATAAATTATAATATGAAGAGATAGTTGCTAAAGTAAAGAGAACAAACTATTTGGGGAACCCAAAGAAAGGAGTCATGAACCCTGTCTGGAATGCTAGAATGTTCATGGAGAGGTAGCATTTGAGGTAACTCTTGATGAATGTAAAGAAGTTTTCCAGCAGGATAAATACATTTTTAGGTAGTAGAATTATATATAAAAGCCTTATGTTCTGAAGGAGTGTTTAGAAAATAGTATTATCTGGAAAGATAGATTAGGATCTAAATGCGAAGGGCCTCAGGAATTTAGATTTTATGCTCTGGGCAATGAGGGACAGGTGTTGCTAGAACCAGGCTGACTTTTGTTAGCGGTGTGGTAGCTTTTTTCCACACTGAAAGAAATAATTTTCCTCTTCCAAAGGAATATGTATCAAAATTCAGAATATATGTGATCCTGCCTTTATAGCTTCAAGTAAGATACTGAATTACAGGCCAAAATGACAATAATTTTAAAATACATTAAAAAAATTAAAACCTAAGAATTGGAGATTTTTATTGGGGCTCCATATTTTATTTAAGACTTAAATACTTTTGCTTGTCTTGCCTAATAGAGTGTTTTTTTTATTTCTGAAGAAACAGATCTTCATTGAGGAGATGGTATCTTTGACTCTTTATCATTATGAAGGAAATTTTAGCTGTTGCTTCCACATTGACCTTTAGTGTCTGGCATATTACTATAAGAATGACATAAAAATATTAATTGTTCAAGTCATTGAATGCTGTTTATTTACATCATAATTTTTAATGTTTGGAAATTTACAACTACACTCAAGGGAGTAGAATGAGGGACAACTTCTAATTCAGTTTGATAGGATTTGCCAGGTTTCAGAGTAAGAAAATAAACAGTTTTGATATTAACATCAGAAGGTTTCAAAGCTCTGTCCCACCGTCTCTCTCCCTAATACCTTCTTTCTTAGGAATGGAAATGGTTGAAGAAAATGAAAACATATTGATTCATCTGCTTAGGAAATTATATATATATACACACACACACATAAATAGAAATGAGTTTGCTGTTTTTGTTTATTGTAAGATGGACAGAACAGTCAGGACAATAATACCCAGTGAGAGTTGTATTTCTGGCTTAACTGTGTACAAATTTCTAAGCTTCAGCCATCAATAAGGAGTGCTGGGTTTATTCAGAAGTGTCCTGAAAACAGTGGCTTTCAAAGTGAATTTTCTTCTTAGCAGCTTTTTTAGTTGATCAGTTTTTTTTGTTTGTGTTTGTTTTTTTGAGACGGAGTCTCACTCTGTCACCCAGGGTGGGGTGCAGTGGTGCGATCTTGGCTCACTGCAAGCTCCGCTTCCCAGGTTCATGCCATTCTCCTGCCTCAGCCTCCCGAGTAGCTGGGACTACAGGCGCCTGCCACCATGCCCGGCTAATTTTTGTATTTTTAGTAGAGACTGGGTTTCACTGTGTTAACCAGGATGGTCTCGATCTCCTGACCTTGTGATCCTCCTGCCTCGGCCTAGTTGATCAGTTTTAATAGCAGTTACCTCAGAAAATGAAGAGATGATTTTTCGGTAGGATCAGATTTACTACTTTGGTGGTGTTTGTCTCAAGGCACTTTCTGATTTGAACAGACAACATTAATACTGGGTTTCCTACTTCTTGAGTGTTGTTGTTCTAATTCAGATAAACAGGCTTGGTCTCAGAGTATAACTGCTAATGAAGACAGGATGAATAGCAATTTTCCTGGGAGGAGAGACTAGTGACTGTCATTTTGTCATGTGATCATTCGTTGCCATAAGTGATGGGGAAAGGGGAGGTAGCTGGAAGATTAAAGATGGGTCTTCAGAATACTGTAACTGAAGGCAGAAATCAGAGGCTGTTCAGGGCCTCTCTCCAATGGGATTGATTGACTTGGAATCATCAGATTTTAGACCTGATGAGGGGAGTCTTAAAGATCATCTGAGTGAACTACTCTGATCATCTCAGTTATAGCCCAGACAGCTGACTTGCCCAAGGTCACAGAGCTAACAGGCAATTAATTAGAAGTGTTTTTTTCCCATTCTGTCTCTCAACTTAAGTGAAATATACTAATGTACTAACGTGACAACCATCTTAAGATTTTATTCCATGATTTTGAAATACAATGAAATTTTGGCTTTTATCTCTATTTTTTGCTCTCTTTTGTACTTTTAACAAAAGTACTGTTATTCATTTTTTAGCTCCCTTGTCTCCAATTTTAATATGTAAGTTCATTTTTAGAAGACAGAAAACACTATCAAGAACCTCCCTTAGGAACAAAACAGTGGTGTTCATTCCTTTGTCCAAATTAAAGGTCTAGCAAAACCAAAAAGCCCACATAGAAATAAAAAGTAACCAAAATCATATTCGAGGGCTTCAGTGCACTTAGCAGCCTTTACTGTGCTGCCTAATCATCCTTAAGCTGACGTTCAAAAACAAAATAAAAGCCCTAGCTCATCAAAATACACATACTCAATTTGTCTTTTAAAATTAACATATATTTTTTAAATGTTAAGGGATTCACAATTGAATGACTCATTTTGAGATCATCGACAGCATACAAAAGTTCAGGCTGGTTTTTGTAGCACACATAATCATGGCGACATTGATCTTCAGGGTTTAGTTTTCTTCCAAACAGCAAATGTACTCTAAACTGTTCTGTTCTGTTTTTTGTTTTTTTTTTTTTAACTGATAAAATGCCTAAGATTCACTCCTTTTCTTGCTATACCCATGGATAGAGAGATACAGGGCCAGCTGCTCTGGGTTGCCAGACTTTTTATTGCTCACTCCTGGCATTTCTTCCCTTCCCTCAGAGGGTTGAGACCCTCTAGCCTTTGCTAATAGAAGCCCCAGGAATCTGATAACCTCCTCTTTGTGGAACTTTTCTATATGTAAAATGCTTTGAGGAGGAGAAATGAATGCCTACAAAATAATACTACCTCAAGCTATTGAAGTGTCCACATATGCATATTCCAGGAAGGGAAAATGGGTTTCCAGTGTAAAATTCTTGCTTTTACTATGTAATGTTTTTTCCATTACTTGGTTGTCTGTAGCTCTTGCCTGTCTCTTGCTTCTACCAGTGTTGTATGTCACACAGCAGCAAAACTGAAAATGTCTGAAGTAGGAATGATGAGAGCTCTTTCACAACATTATAGCATGCACAGTGGCCTAGTACAATGCACTATCTAGTATGAAAGTGAGTTTACAATTTTTCCCATTGCAGATTTGCGTATAATTAATAGTTACCTGTTAGAGTAAATCTGATAAGAATTACTATTAGTTGATAATTTATTTACTTATATTAATATTTGTTGTGGAAAACCACAAAGTTTAATATTTATGATATCCAAATTTTTTCCTTTTTGTTTCTCCTTTTTAAATGTGGTACTCTTTTGAAACAACAGTTCTTGGTAAAAATTAGGTATTTAAGGGCCTTCCCTCCCCCTTCCCTCCCTCCCTTCCTTCCTTTCTTTATTTTTTGAGACAAGGCCTCACTCTGTTGCCCAGGTTCGAGTGCAGTGGTGCAATCTTGGCTCACTGCAGCCTCTGCCTCCTGGGTTTAAGCGATTCTCCTGCCTCACCCAGCCAAGTAGCTGGGATTACAGTCATGCACCACCACACCCAGCTAATTTTTGTATTTTTAGTAGAGAGTGGGCTTCGCCATGTTACCCAGGCTTGTTTTGAACTTCTGAGCTCAAGCGATCTGCCCACCCCGGCCTCCCAGAGTGCTGGGATTACAGGCATGAGCCACCATGCCTAGCCGGGGTTTTTTTTCTTCTCAAGAAGAATATCCACTTTTCTTCTGTTCATTTGTTCTATACTCTTCAAGTCATTTAAAATTCTGACTAGAAACCATATAGATTGTGTAACCCTAGCTGACAAATTTCATCTTTTTAGTCAGTTCTATTTGATGACAATATCTACTGGAGTGTTGTACTGGGGAGAAAAGGAAGGCGGGAAAACCCTGGTATCAATGTGCTCTGATCTGTCATTGCTGTGGGGTACGGTATGACTTGAGACCAAAACTCCTATTTTGGAGAAGAAAAAACTGAGACTCAGAGAAATGGAAAGAACTTGCCTCTAGTGTGTCAACCAGGAGAAACTGAACTTCTACCCAGGCAGTTATTTTCTGGTCAAGTCCACGTCTACTGCCCATTGTCATGCTTGTGGTTTGCTTATTTCTGTTATTTAAAAATCATAAATAAGTTCTCACTGCAGTAACACAAATACAAAGGTGTTTAGCAAAATATTTTCCTCCTTTACAATAAGTCCAATAGTAGTTGTATGGTTTCTTACTATATGTAAAACCTGAAAGTAGTAAGTTCTAGAGATCAGAAAATGTGTTTCCATGATAGGGAATGCAAAGGCTCATGGAGGCTGTCTTCCTAACAGGCTGTTAATGAAGAGAATCAGACACGATGAACAGAGAATGAATGAATGTGGGATAATTACTGAGGAGAAAGAATAAAAAGGAAGAATTAAGGCTATAAAAATACAGTTTTTGGAATGTTAGATTTTTGGTTGATGTCTAGTATTCATTTTGTAAGATGAAAGGTGTGATAAAGGTTTTTCCAGTTATAAAGTTCCTTTTGTTGTTCAGGTTCTGGGACAGTTAAAATGTATGAATCAATGTGCATATTGACTCATTTCTTTATTACTTACTTTTTAGGTACTTCACATGACTGGAGGTTACGGTGTGGTGCTGTGGACTTGTACTTCACACTTTTTGGCCTCAGTAGACCTTCCTGTTTACCCTTGCCAGAGCTTGGGTTGGTTCTTAATCTAAAGGAGAAAAAAGCTGTCTTGAATCCTACCATAATTCCAGAGTCAGTAGCAGGCAACCAAGAAGCTGCAAATAATCCAAGCAGTCACCCACAGCTAGTTGGATTTCAGAACCCTGTAAGAATCACATGTATTACAGAAGACGTAGTTTCATTATATAGAGGATCTAGAGAAGAGAATTGTTTCCTGTGAACTAGTGAATTTTATAGCCACTAACACAGTTTCTTGTGTCCTTTTAAAAAATGCTGGCTGACATTTGATTAGTACTGTGCCAATTATAAAATGCTACTGGCAACTATAAAACTGCACATAACGAATGATGTGCTCCCGGTCCTGTTACTCGTATTGTGATAACCTAGTTATTTTTTTTATACTTGAGCATAGAATTTCTTCTCTGAGTAGCAAAAGATAGAAACGAATAACCTTTTTTTTTTTTTTTTTTTTTTTTGAGACAGAGTTCCACTCTTGTTCCCCAGGCTGGAGTGCAATGACTCACTCTCAGCTCACTGCAACCTCTGCCTCCCAGGTTCAAGCAATTCTCCTGCCTTAGCCTCCTGAGTAGCTGGGATTACAGGTGACTGCCACCATGCCTGGCTAATTTTTTGTATTTTTAGTAGAAACGGAATTTCACCATGTTGGCCAGGCTGGTCTCAAACACCTGACCTCAGGTGATCCACCCACCGTGGCCTCCCAAAGTGCTAGGATTACAGGCGTGAGCCACCACACCCAGCTGAATATTTAACCTATTACATATTAACCCATCTTGTCCCATATGTGTTAATGGTAAGCCACGTGAAAACAGGGGCCTTGTCTTTTTAAAATTGTTGCTCTGTGTAATACCTAGCACAGTTCTAAACATATGATAAATGCCTGGCAAATGCTTGTTGAATGAAATAAATAATGAATGAATGAATGACTAGGTAAATTAATAATCTGCTGATTTGGGAGGAGACTGTGTGTTACATTTTAAAACATTTTATATCACACACACACACACACACACACACACACACACACACACACACATTCGTTTGCCTTTAGAGAAGCTTTTATTTCTACCTTTGTATTATAAAATTACCAGACATTTTGTAGAAAGACTTATAGGATACATATTAATCATTTTACTGTAATTTAAATAAATTTTTCCTGAAATGTTTTTTTATTGATGACAAAATGTCTCCAATACTTCAAGCTTCATTTTTCACCAATATTTAGACCAGATTACTTGCCTGGCAATTCCCTACTGGTGTTTTGACACTTTAAAATGCAGATTCTCTCTATGCTAGTTAGTAATAGTTCATTTTAAATTTGCTTATTCACCTAAATTTTCTGAAGTATCATCATACTTATTTGTTGTCAATTTAAAATATGTCCTAGAGTTTGGGTTATGAAGAAGTAAGACAGACATTTACATAGAAAAAAAAGAGTCTCATTAAAGAGCTCTTTCAGATCTACATACTCATCAACCTGTGAAAATTGATATATTTATAATTCTTGCTCATATATGTTAATTTATCCACATTCACACTGCAGGCTAAGAGGAGAAAATGGCATCAAAGGACATGTTCTTTTGGGAAACCTCTAAAAGTTCACTTAAATACCTCCCTTCTCCCCCCAAAAAGACCAGCAGACAAGAAAAGATTACATTTATTTTAAGCCCATTGCTGATAATTTCTAGCACTGGGCATGCTCTAATCTGCATGGTTGCTATAGCTATTAGTTTTCAGCTATAATATGAGCTACTCGTCTTCAGAAATCTAATTTTGATCTTGAATATTGCCGCAGGAAGATGATCACCTTGCCAAGGAAGCATCATGTAATATATCAGCTCATCAGCAGGGAGTGAAGAGGAAGTCTGATACACCACTGGGGTCCCCACTAGAACCTGGTCAAATACTGGAGAAGAATGAGGATAGCAGTAAAGTCAAACTCAAAATCAGAGTAAGAAATACAGGTTAAACCTGTATTAACAGTGTAGGATATTCACCTTCTTGTAAATCTTTTTGAATACTTGCAGTGGTTTTTCCTTAGCAGGAACACACGCAACAGACTGCATTATAAAACTCAAAGGTCCTTCTGAGACATTCGAACCAAGTATTTAACTTATATTATCACATAATTCTTCTCTGTTTGGGGGAGGAACTATGTGTGCACGTTCCACCACAACTCACTACTTTTTCTCACAAAATAGGAGTAGATTTTAGTTGCTATTACATTTCCAGTAATTTCTAATTGGCTTCTTTTAGAGGCTGGACCACATAATCTTTTCTTTCTCTTAATATCTTTGAAGAAAGAAACTACTTTTTATTTTAAGATTATATGGGGGTATATCCTATGGCCTCTCTGCTACTTTTCCTAAGAGCTAATATCCAAACATAACATGATGTAATGGTTCTTTTATCCTCTGTTTTATGTGTGTGTGTTTTAGTTTTCCAGTTCTCAAGATGAGGAGGAGATTGATATGGATACTGTTCATGATAGCCAGGCCTTCATTTCCCATCATTTAAACATGCTTGAAAGGCCGTCAACTCCAGGTAAGATTAGTATTCTGCAATCATTGAGGAGATGGAGACATTGGTTGATGTCAGTATTCTAATGTGTGTTACTTTATTTTCAAATGAACAACTATACAGTTTAAAATTAGCCAGCTTAAAATATTAAATTGTAGCAGATTATAACATAAATTGGCAAAATAACAAATAGAAAAAGTGCTTCTTTTGGCTTTTTTATTTTGGTCCTTTTTAAGTATTTGCTTGTATAAAATCCATCATTCAGATTCTTTCTAGTAGCTCTGATTTCTCTTTTGTGTGTGTATGTGGTAGACTTGACTTCATGTAACCATAGTTACATTAATTTTTTTAACTGCAGTTAAAGCTGCTTGTAGCACCACTTTCTCTTTTTGCCTGCCTATCTCATATAATATTATGTCAGTCATTTTCCTACATCATTCAAAAAGCATGTTTTCTTTTGAAAATACTACCTAAGACAACATAGAGTCAATATATTAAGATTTACCTTGTCATTTCCTTATTGATAGGCATTAGGTTGTTTTTCATTTTTATGTATTGTAGGTAATTCTGCACTTTATTTTTTTGTTAATTTATGTTTCTTGGATAAATTTCCCGAAATGTATTATTAGTGAAAAGATTAATGTTAGCTATATTGTGAGATACATGTCTTTAGATTTTCATAGCTCTTGATATGTATTGCCATGTTTTTTGAGAGATTATACCAGTTTATATCATAAGCTTTTTCTAATTTTTAAGGAATAAAAGCCTTTGATAAAAGTTGTGACATATAGTAATAAAGCAAGTATCTGTGTACCTGCCACCAAAGTTAACATGTACATTATATATCATGCACAGATGTTTCGTATATGCTTTTTCCCTGGTCCTGTTCTACTGCCTTTCCACTACAAGTAACTACTATATTGCATTTTCTTTTTTTTTTTTAATTTCATTCTGTTGCTTTTCTTTATAGTGTTCCACATAGGTATGTGATCCTGTATATTTAGTTGCACTTCTTTTTTGAATTTTTTAAGAAATGGTATAACATGACTTGCTTTTTTTCACTTAGCGTTATGTTTCTAAAATTCTTATTGGTATATAAGTTGTAATTCATTAATTTTCATTTATGACCATTATCTGTCATAGCACTTGTCATCAGTGTAATAATTCAGAACTTTTAGAGTAACTGTAAAATAACTCAGGTTTACTGTTTTTGTTTTTTGGGGTTTTTTTAAATTTTTTTTTTAAGATGGAGTCTCACTCTGTTTCCCAGGCTGGAGTGCGGTAGTGCCATCTCTGCTAACTGCAGCCTTTGCCTCCCGGGTTCAAGTGACTCTCTTGCCTCAGCCTCCCAAGTAGCTGGGACTACAGGCGCGCACCACCATGCCCGGCTAATTTTTGTATTTTTAGTAGAGACGGGGTCTAGGCTGGTCTTGAACTCCTGGCATCAAGCGATCCTCCCTCCTCAGCCTCCCAAAGCATTGGGATTAAAGATGTGAGCCACTCCACCCAGCTAGTATTCTTTCAATTGTTAGAATTTTACTGTGGATGAATTGCTTCTGTCTTTAAGGCTAGCTTATAAAAACCTGTCAGCCTTTTTTTTTCTTTTGGGAAACAAAGAAATAAATCCCTCTTTTTTCTCTTGTTTGGCATTTTAGGGCTCTCGAAATATCGGCCAGCTAGCTCCCGATCTGCTTTAATACCCCAGCACTCAGCAGGCTGTGACAGCACACCCACCACAAAACCCCAGTGGAGTTTGGAACTTGCACGGAAGGGAACAGGTAAAAATAATTAATCAGAATTAATATTATTTTGTTCAAGAACAAATCTATAAATGTAATAGAGTTACTTCATCAACTTTAAAAAACCCTTTAAAAATACAGATCTTAGGACTTGGCTTTTCTTGTAATACATTGAGCTTATATTGTCTAACTTTAAAGACTATTTTAAAATAGACTTCTTTTTCAAAAGTAATGTATTCCTATTATAGAAAACTTGGAAATAAAAGAAAATTAGGTGAGAAAAAAATTATCCCCCATATGCCATTGAAAGATAATTTAAAAGATAATGCCATTTAATTATAATGAACATTTTGCTCTTTCTTTGCCATGCTTTTTCTAAGAATATTATGACAAATGCCAACTTCAATAGAAACCATCTAATTTGTACCTTTATAAAAAAGATATAAACGCATAAAATAAAAAATCAACCACTTATCCCCCACTCGTGTATATAATTGGTGATTCACTCCTGAAGACTTGATGCTATATTCTCTTATATCATTTCACAGTAATTGGGCTTAAGTTTGTGAAAAGTAATTTAATTCAGATGTGTTTGTTACCTATTCTGTTTCACATTGTTTTCTGCTTATTCTGTTTCATCACTTACAAAGAGAGGATTATAATCCAAATGAAGTGCAAACATTTGATGCTGATGAACTACCGTGAAACAAAGATTCAGTCCTCAAATTCTCAAGGAACAGGGAGTGAAAAAACAAGATACATAAACAAAATCATTTTTAAAGAATAGTTTTTCCAGAAGTAGACAGACTTTACAGTCTGTGAACTTCTGATTATATTCCAGTTGATGGACTTTGCTTATATAAATTATGTTTTTATCTGATATTTTAAAGAGTGCTGTTTATTGCTTTGAGAAGCTTATAAATTAACTGTTATTAACAGGGGACTTCAAACAAAAGCAGCACATTAAACTGTTTTGATGTTGAGACCCCAGACTGTTGATTGCTTACCGTTGTGTGTTCTGTGCATTTATTGGAATAGATTCACCTAAAATATGTTTCAGAAAGAAATCAGTTGGGGACTTATTGCACTTAATGAGTGAGTTTTGATATTTCTTGGCCCTTCCTGATTTTTTGTATTCTTTTGGTTTTGGTGTAATTTTGAAATTTTACTAGATGTAAATAATTTTCTACATTTTTAAAAATTATAAAGCTTAGAGAATTTCAAACTCCTTCATACAGTTTGAGGATGATGCTTCTGCTTACCTTTAAAAAAAAATTCTCTCTAAATTTCCGAGAGTCTAATCAATTACTGTTCCAAAAAGAGTCAGAATACATTTGGTTTTTCTTAGCGGTGTGGCACATTAACCTATGTAGAAGCAAATCTGAACACTTTTTTTTGTGCCCACCAGTGTGCCTTTTTATCATTGATCCTTATTGCTTTTAAAAATACATTTTCACTTTTTTTCAGTTCTTTCTTTATAGGCTTTTAGTTCTCATGGCATCATATGGGAAGACTGGGGAGAAAGAAACACAGCCCTAATGGTGGGGAATAGGAATGCATTAACATTTGAGTTTTGGCTGCTATTAGTGTCGGGTCCTTTCTTGGCATGAGGCAAAAATGTATACCAGTTAGATGGACTGATCTAGTAATCTTAACTTTGAATATATTCTTTAATGTGACTGTAATTTCCTTTAAATGTGTTTTTGCTGTTCAGTACTCTGAGGTCACTGAGCAAGTCTTAAAATTCAACAGTGATATTACAAGAATGTAGAAAACCTTCATTTTACAAATAATAGTGTTTTGAAGGTTTATTTATAAATATATTTATTTTGGAATTTTGAATGCAGTTTTTCTATAGGTAGTTTCTTCTTCTTCTTCTTTTCTTTTCTTTTCTTTTTTTTTTTTTTTTTGAGACAGTCTCACTCTGTCATCCAGGCTGGAGTGCAGTGATGCGATCTTGGCTCACTGCAACCTCCACCTCCTGGGTTCAAGTGATTCTCGTACCTCAGCTTCCTAAGTAGCTGGGATTACAGGCATGCATCACCACACCCGGCTAATTTTTTTTTTTTTTTTTTTTTTTTAGTAGAGACAGGATTTCACCATATTGGCCAGGCTCATCTCAAACTCCTGGCCTCAAGTGATCACCAGCCTCAGCCTCCCAAAGTGCTAGGATCACAGGCGTGAGCCACCAGGCCTGGCGACATTGTTTTATTTGTTAAGTAACTTTTCCAAACTAGCCAACAAAAGCTTTACAACTCCTACCATACATCAGGAATACAAATATCAAACCTAGCCCTTGTGTGTATCAACGTTTCTGTGAGAAGATTCACTCAGAGCTCCAACTTTTGGCATGTGGGAAGCATAACTTTAGCCTAACCCAAGTCAAGTCAAATTGGCAGTGAAAAAGGAATTTCTTGTCTTCCTGCCTCCCAGCAGAAGCTGAAGATCTCTTACCATGGCAGCCACCTTTCTTGGGGTTGAGAGTTGCGGGTTTAGGAGGGAGACAGCACTGGTGAGGGAAGCTGTGACCTCTCTTCAGTCTCTAGGGATTCTAGATTAGAGATCACAAATGAGGTTTTTTGGCCTATATCCAGTTCATCAAGCTGAGGCATCTTCTTATAAGTCTCACAAAAGTTTTTGAAGTAGATAACTAAAAATGAAGAGGTTACACATAAAAATATGGATTTCCTTTTACTCTGATAGAGACATTCAGGAAACAAAGAAAAAAAGCAATTCTGGATTTCTAGCTTTTCTTGAAAAAGTGTGAGAGGCTTTTTAGTAAGGCGTGTGATCTCTTATGCCGCACCCAGTAGTCTGTTTACTCATTTATGCTGTTCCTCAGGACAAGGCTTTTGAGTTTCTGGCCTCTGCTTTTTATTTTATTTTATTCATGAGCTGAGATGAAGTCCTAGATGGCCCCCTTAGAGCCAAGGAGCCCGATGATAATTGAGAACTGGAATGTGTTACAGACCTTGTCTAGGAGGGATAGAAAAAGAATATGGGTTTAAAGAAGAGATGGAAACTGTTAAGTAGAGGACACATTATGGTTTACTTTTTAACCTTGCTTCCCCAGTTTTCCCTTTCCTTGCATTTGATAGTAGAATATTTTAGGGCAGGATCATATGTGGGTGTTAGATTAAGCCATTGGGATGAGAAGGGAGAAATGGCAAGAGTATTTTCCTTCATTACTTTATTATTTATTTTCCTTTTCCTGAGGTAAGGAAGGGGATATAAAGAAATGGCCTTTATGGTTCCCACGGTGATAGGGATGAACATACAATATTCTCTCCCTTCTCACCACAGCAGCTCCCTGTCTGTTACTGCAGAGCTTGAGGTGACTGGACTGTCTCCCAGGTTACTGTAGGGATTGCAGTGCTGGAGAAGAGAGGCCGGGCAAGGGGAACAAGGAGCAAGGGAATTCCCTAGTGGTTTTTGTGGGAAAGAAGCGGAGAGTTTCTGCAGCTGCCTAGCTAGGGCTGCAGTATTATGTAATGCCTTCTTGCATAAGTCAGAAAAACACAATTCTGGTAAATTTTTTAATTTAAAAAAAAAAAAAAAAAAACTTCTTTAAAGCTTGAGAGCTTGCCCTAGAGGTCTTTCTTTTGAAACCAGTACAAAAAACAGACTTTGATTTTTTTATCCTTAAATTATAATGATATAATTCTACTTTTTTTTTACAGTGATCTAAACAATCTGAAGAACAGAACTTACACCTTTCCTAATAAAAACTGCAGGTTTTGTGTTAAATTTAAACATATACCTAAGGTGAATGAATTTAGTAGAATTAGCAGGTTATTCACAGTTTCTTATCAGCACTTTCATCACATGGGCTGAAATCCTTCCACATTAGACTTACATTAAGTACCTCTTTCTATTTGTTTTACATTTGTTAACTTGACTGCAGGTAACCCTTATCCATGGTGCATTTTGTTTGGTCTCCAGGAAAGAGTTTACATTGAGTAGAACAATACAACTCTGAACATCTCTTTTGTTCTTTCCATATAACATGAAATAGGAAAATTTTTTTATTGTGAATTAAATGTATCTCCTTTCTCTGATATATTTGCTGTTTAGAAGAGTGACATGTATTTCAGTTTACTAAAAGGACTTTTATTAGCCTAAAGATGAGTGGTGCCTGTGAATGGACAATTTAGCAGACGTCTTGTAAATCCCTGAAAGGATATGTGAAATTATCTGTGTAAATGTTTGTATCAAGGGATGGTAATATATGTATTGTCTTGATAGAGTTCTATAGATGACCTCATTATGCTCCTATGAAAGTAAACTTGTGTGTCCCAAATCTGATTATAAGGAAATTATGCTTTCTTACCACGTTAGATTAGAGCTGGTAAACATTATTTAGGAGAGATAGATAATAAGCAAAACATACATACGTACATATATAGAGAGAGAAAAAGAATATATAAACATATATTCTCTAGAGAGAATAAATAAAACATACTATATATATACAACTGTATATATATAGTATACTTATATTCAATTATAGTATATAGTATGCAATTATAGTTTATAGTATAAGTGAAAACTTAAGAGCTAAAGGTTGTTGGTGATGATAGGGTAGCATAGATGATTTGTTCTCCTGTTACTGCCAATTAACATATTTGTGTATGTGTCTTTTCACATATGCATGAGCATATTAATGGGATTAAATTCTTGGAAAACTTTCTAAAGGAATATAGGCATGTAACACTTTCATGGTATTGCCAGATTGCTTTAATTTCTCCTTTAAAAAAAAGCTTTAGGCCAGGCACGGTGGCTCACGCCTGTAATCCTAGCACTTTGGGAGGCCAAGGTGGGGGATCATTTGAGGTCAGGAGTTCAAGACCAGCCTGGCCAACATGGTGAAATCCTGCTTCTACTAAAAATACAAAAATTAGCTGGGCATGGTGGTACGCACCTGTAATCCTAGCTACTCGGGAGGCTGAGGCAGGAGATTCGCTTGAACCTGGGAAGCAGAGGTTGTAGTAAGCCAAAATCATGCCACTGTACTCCAGCCTGGGCGACAGAGTGAGACTCTGTCTCAAAAAAAAAAAAAAAGAAAAAGAAAAAGATGAAAGCTTTATTATAGAGAACTGTAAAGTAGTCAGACAAGTATAATGAGGCCCCTGTATCTGTTACTCAGCTTCAATAATAATTGGTTCATGGTCAGTCTTATTTAATCTTACCCATTTCTACCCTTCTGAATTATTTTGAAGTGAATCCCAAATATAATATAATTTTATTCATAAATTATTTAGTATGTATCTGTAAAAGGTAGCACATTAAAAAGTCATAACCACAGTAATGTTATACCTAAAAAACTTACTAATTCTTTTATGTCATTAAATATCCAGTCACTGTTTAAGTTTCAGTTGACTCTAAATGCCGTTATTTATTTTTATTTTTAACAATTTATTTGTTTAAATCAGTGTCCACGTAGGGTCCACATTGCAGTTGGCTGATATAGCCTTTGTATCTTTTTGAATCTAACATTTCCAGTTCATACCTCTTTTCTTCTCCCTTACAATGTATTTGTTAAAGAAGCCAGGTTTTTGTTCTGTACTTTTCATTCTAGTGTTTCCAACTCATACCTCTTTTCTTTTCCTCTTTTACATTTGTTAAAGAAACTAGGTTTTGTTCTGTGCTTTTCAAGTCTGTATTTTATTAATTTTATACCCATGATGTAATTAACATGTTAAGTTCTCTAGTTTCTGTAAATTTGTAGTTGTATCTAGAATTCTAATTGGATTCAGGTTTACAGAGGGTGTGTGTTCTTTAGTCTGGAAGCATACAATGTCTGGTCGACTCTTTTTGAGGTTAACCACTATAGATGTTCAAACTAGATTCCTTAATTCATTAAGTTGCAAGATAGTGATATTTCAATTTATACTTTCATTTTTATTTGTAAGCTGGATTACTTCTATAAAGCTAAATTTCTCTTCATTTACTATTACCCAGTGGTATAAGTCTATAGGAAAACAAAGATAAATGCTTAATTTTTCTATGTATTTAATAATTTTCAAAGTAATGAGTTGTTGACTAGCAATCTCCAATGGTGAGCAGTCATTTTCAGTCTATCACAATTATTGTCCTTATCAGTATTCAATTTGTTCCATCTTTGGACTGAGTTCATTTGACAAGATTTTAACTTCCTTGCAGTTAGACCCTGTGTTTCAAGCTCATCTTGTAAATATTCTGTCATAGACCTGGAATTAGCCATTTGTCCTAGGAGCCCTGGTTTCTAACTCCTTTGTCCTTGGTGCTAACTAATCCATTGTCTTCTTAGTAGACTTCATGTACCTCAAGAGAAATGCAAGATTTATTACCAATATTTCTTTAATGCAAAGTGTAAGGCTACTGTCTAGACAAAAAATTGGATTCACTTTTGAAGTGGTTGTAAGTATTCTTTTAAAAGATTACACCTACAAATGCTCAGTTGCCCATTAGGCAGTTGCCTGTGCTGAGAAGTACAGGTTCCAACATAATGACTGGCTTTCTGCAATCCAAGTAGTTTGGTAGGTGTTTAGGATTAAAGGATAAAACTTCTTTCTCCTCTGAAATGCAGAAGAGAACCTCAAGCTCCCAAGAGTGCAGACAGCCAACAAGAAAGCTGCAAAGTCTGTTGATATAGAATGATTAAATAATGAGATGGAAGCTAAAAGAATTTGTTCATGAGACTTTAAAGCTTCTTATTACTTCTTATCACCCGCCTGTGTATTCTGTTAGGTATTGGCCTATTCCCATATTCATAGAATCAGGAACATATTCAAGCAATTTATGTATTAAAATCTGAATTAAAATATGGTAGCATATATGGCTGAAACTAAATCAGATAATCTCAATATTTTTGTCCTTTTAAAGAATATCTGGGTACCAGTTATTACAGAAGATACAGTTCTCCAAACTTGTCTGTATATATAAATAATATGTTTAGCTTTTACTTGAGTATTAGTGTTGGCTTTATTACAAAGTTTATGAATATAAGAAATAGAATTTTGGGATACTAAAATGTGAATAATAAGTGAGCACAGAAACTTTGATTTGTTCACGTGTTCTAAAATATTGGAGCAGTGCCTGACAAAGAGGAAGTACAGGAGTCAAATACCACTTGAATGGATGAGCTATAATAGTTTTTGTGCATTATTCTTCTCTCCTCAAAATCAGTGACCTTCAAGTTATATTTAGTTGGACTAAGTTCACCTGACATTTAAAAAGAAACACAACTGTATAATTCTGTTATAGTCATTCATTCATTCATTTAGCAAGCTTTGTTAGAGGGGGCGGGGTAGGGGATGATAGATACTGTGCTATATGTTGGGACACAAAGACGAAAAAGACAAACTTCCTGTCCTCAAGAGGCTATCAGTTTAATGGAAGAGACTCAAAGACAAAAGAAATACAGCAGTCCATCTTGGGGTAGATGAACACTGTAGCATCGTGGTTAAGAGTAAGACTCTGGAGTCAGGCTCTTTAGATTTGTGCCTCAGACCTGCCAGTACCACCTTGGGCAAATTACTTAAATCTCTCTTTGACTTAATTCCCTTATCTGTATTATGCTGTGGAAACATGAACGAACCAGTTCCTTTGGGAAATTTGAAGAAAACCGTCCAAAGAAACATTTGAATTAGGTTTTAAATTATTGAAGAAACTAAGATGTTCTTTGTTTCCTTATTTCTTCCTTTAGGTTGCAGCTTAACCATTACTTTCCTGGAGAACTTTGCTTCTCTAATCCCCCTCTTCCCCCAACTAATTTAAGTGCCCTGTTGTGCTCCTGTTTCACTTTATGTTTTGCCTTTTTATTACTCAGGTTCACTTACTCAATTTATTTCTTCTTTGCTAGTCTGTAAGCTCCTAGGAGGGATGAGGGCTGATATCTGTCTAGTTTATCAATATTTTCCCCAGTCCCAATATAGTTTCTGATGTTTATTAAATGAGTGTATCAGTTAGACAAGAAATAAGGAAAGAAGGACATCCCAAGCATAGGGAATAGCATTTAGAAATACACAGTGTTATGAAAGGTTTAGCCTAGAGTAGTATATAGAAAGGAAGAATGGAAGGCTGGAAAGGTAACTTCAGGACAGATTATGAACTGTCAATAAATAAAATTAGTACTGCAATGTAATTTTTAGAAAGCTTCTGTGGTGATGTCTGTTTTGGTGAAAACCATGATTTGGGGGCTGGTTTGGATCAAACTTAGTGATGAGAAATTTACTTTTTTAAAAAAAGAAACTACATTGAAATCTATTTTAGTGAAAAGCCTTTTCTTTTTTCTTAGCTAGTTTGGATTAATATATATAATATATTTTTTCAGAAATTCCTTCACTGAAGTCCAAGGAGTTTATCTTTTGTACTGTCAGTAGAACCAACCGGGTTTTTAAGCAGATAAAAAGCAGCTTTGTTTAGGAAGACCACGATGCAGCAGGGTTTCCCAGCCTGGACACTGTTGACATTTTAGGCATAATTCGTTGTTGGGGGTATAGGGGTGTCTTGTGCATTTTAAGATGTTTGCCAGCATCTCTGGCCTCTACTCGTAGGATGTCAGTAACAAAATGTCTCTGAACATTGCCAAGTAACCCTTTGGGGGCAAAATCACCCCTGGTGTTCTGAGAACCACTGCTGTGAACTACATATACATTAGACACTTAATCCATAAGATACTTCAGGCAGAGAAACCTTAGTGACTAGGAGGAGACTAGTACCTAGTATCTATAATACTAGTACCCATAATCCAGATGAGGTGAGGTGGTCTGAATTAATACAGTTGCAGACAGGATTAGGATGGGGGGGGGCGGATTTAAGAGATATTTATGAGAATCAACAATATTTGGTAACCACGTATCTCTGGAAGGGAGGGAATCTGAAATGAATCTTAGGCTTAAGTTGGCTGCATGTAAAGCAATACCATTAACCTATAAATATAGAGAGAGATTTGTTTCTCAGAGTATGGCCCAAGGATTATAGGCCTGTGGGTCTGGAGGAAAAAGCAAATCTGTACACTAGAGTTGGAGAACTACTGTTATAGATTCCTAGACGGATAGAATGTTAAAACTGTAGAGAACCTTTGAGGACATTTGATCTAGATTTTTAGATGATGAACTAGACCCAGAGAGATGAAGTATAGCTAAAGGCTAACAGGACAACCTAGTCTAGAGTATGGGCCTTCTAATTCTGTTTCTTTCTTTGTACTGACACTACTCTCATCTGTGTAGAGAGACAGATGTTCCCTTTATAGACTCCCCACCTTTTCTGGGTTTCTTAAGCTGTGCATTCTGAATCTTCTTAGAGTTCATTTGTCTATCCCTAGAAATTGTCTTAAGGAGCTATACAAATGTTTGATTTTCACTGAGATACCATTATCAGTAGCTAGAATAGCATGTTTATGGGTATATCAGTTGTTCTCCAGATGGCACAAAGAAAATAGAGTCATCCTTTGGTATACGCAGAGGGGATTAGTTCCAAGATCCCTCCCTGGTATACGAAAATCCATGCATACTCAAGTCCTGCAGTCAGCCCATATGAAAAACCAGCTCTTCTATCTATATGCAGGTTTTGCATCCTTCAAATCTGTATTTTCAATCTGTGTTTGGTTAAAAAAAAAAGTTCACATATAAATGGGCTCACGCAGTTCAAACCCATGTTGTTCAAGGGTCAACTGTACTGTCATCTTCCCCTCCCCCATACCTTAGAGCAATTGAGTGAGTTATGTAATTGAGTGAGTTATGTTTTCATTGACCAATGTTGGTCGTTTTTTGTTTGTTTGTTTATTAAGATGGAGTCTCACTCTATCACCCAGGCTGGAGTGCAGTGACACGATCTCAGCTCACTGCAACCTCGGCCTCCCAGGTTCAAGTGATTCTCCTACCTCAGCCTCCCAAGTACCTGGGATTACAGGCACCCGCCACCATGCCCGGCTAATTTTTGTATTTTTGGTAAAGATGGAGTTTGACCACGTTGGCCAGGCTGGTTTCGAACTCCTGACCTCAAGTGATCTACCCGCCTTGGCCTCCCAAAGTGCTGGGATTACAGGAGTGAGCCACCGCCCCCGGACCCAGTGTGGGTCTTAACCTATAACACCGTGTGTAATATTGTTTTTTCATAATACTTAGAAAATATTAATTTTTAAAAGATGATTTGGTAACACACTGGTATATGGCCAAATTTGTATAGACTATAAGGAACTATATATTCAACTTCCTGGCCACAATGCTGAAAAACTCTGTGTGTAACTAATTACATGTCTTATTTAGATACTTCTCCCATTCCTGATAGAAGTGATAAAAACTTAGGAATCCCTCTTTACATACTGTCATCAGCTTCCTCTTTCTTTAGTCTGGCTTTCCGTATCATCAGCAGGAATTCATTTGGGTATTTTTAATCTTGAAGGTAAAGAACAAGCACCTTTGGAGATGAGTATGCATCCAGCGGCAAGCGCTCCACTCTCAGTCTTTACTAAGGAATCTACAGCCTCCAAACACAGTGACCACCATCACCACCATCACCATGAGCACAAGAAAAAGAAGAAGAAGCATAAACATAAGCACAAACACAAGCATAAGCATGACAGTAAAGAAAAGGACAAGGAGCCTTTCACTTTCTCCAGCCCTGCCAGTGGCAGGTCTATTCGTTCTCCTTCCCTTTCAGACTGAGAAGGGGACAAAAAGACCTTTCCTTTCATGTCCAGAAGAATGTATGTAACTAAAGCTTTGTCCTCTGTGAAGAATTATAAAAGGGAGGGGGGAAAGGATTCGCCTCTCCTACAGAAATTCTGAATTCATTTAAGTTCTAAGCATTTGATTTATGTTATTTATACAGTTGGGATCTAATTAGGAAAATGTGTTTTGTAGTTCTGGATAAACTATTTCATCCGCTGTTTCCTCCCCAAAACACACACACAGAGCAAACTCCCTTTCATAAAAGCCCTCATATCCACTGGCAGTCCCCGTTCGCATCATGGTCTCCATGTGTACCGCCAAAGTCAATTATGTTTGAAAGCCTTTGGTGGATGTTATGGGGCAAAGTTATGATTTACACAGAAGCAACTGCCAAATCTGTGGTGCAACCACTATCTCCAGTGAAATATTGTATAACACCATTTGGAACTACTGAAAAGACAGTGGCTTTTCTACAGTACTCTTCCTTATTGCACCATTTTTGTATTAACGTAGAAACTAAGCATCAGAATTTATGAACAAAGAATATGTTATTTTTCCTTTTGCTCTAAAATACTGAGATTTGGGGAAGCAATTCTTTTTTAAAAAAATTTTGAATAACTATCTTTTGATAACACATTCGGCGGTTACGATGTTGGAATTTAGCAGAACTATCAAATCCAAAATTATTTTCAAATCAAGATGTTTAAATTATAAGTTTTTTTGTTTTGTTTTCCAGTAAGTATAAATGAAAATATTCATATGTAAAATATGTTTTGCTTAATGTGGACAATTTACACACCCAACACATACTGTTTCCAAAATTATTTCTATATGACACAAAGTATGATACCTTTAAAAAGGTGAGCTTATATATTGTTTATTAACCTGGAAATAGACAATTTGGCTCTCATACCATAAGCATTTAAAAACATATGAAATATTTTGATTTCTTTATATGGTGGTGTGTTTTTATTTCTGAATTTTCCATGTGCTTTAATATTTGTTTAAGAATATTTTTTATATCTGTTCAATTTTTATCATTCCCCTTATCATTAGAAAGTTTGACAAAAATACTTGAATCTTGGACCTCTAAATATACTTTTAGTTGTGTTTAACTTGTTTAATAAATAACTTTTTAAGTTGATCATTCTGTCTTTGTAGCTTTTTATATTTTGTGTTACCTTCTTGTGTGTGTATATATAATAAACCTGTCCACATAGTTTGCAGAGAGCTTTGTGAATAGGTGGGATTTTTAGCTGGCCTCACTAGGAGGAATGATTTCAGTAGGCTGAGATGGGGTAAAGTTCTCTCAGCAGAAGAAACAGTATCTTCAAAGGTATGTAGGAAAGCAAGGGTGTATTCAGGAATTAGAAGGCTGTGCAGTTGGCCTGGAGTATAAGTGCAAAGGGAATATTATCAGATGTTGAAGGGCCTAAATGACAGTTATTTAAAGTTTCAATTAATTGAATGTTGTCCAACTGAAATTATTTTTGGAAAATAGGATATTTTAGAGTGTATAGTGATACCATATATAGAATTCCCAACTTTGAAAATTCAAAGCACACATTTCAAAATAATTACTTGTGTTATAGGAAGACATTGATAAATAATAGCTAGCTATTATAATTCAGGCACCTCTTGTATGCTAGACATTGTACCAGGAACCTTATGTATATTATTTCTTTATCAGATGTTTATATTAGATGTTTCTTCCAGGGAACTTCTTTTTATGGTGAACTCTTGATTATTTATGCTTCTGGTTGGGAGCAGACAACGCAAAAGGTATTTTATTCACATTTTTGAAATAGATAATTAAACACAATGCAGTTTCAGTCTAAGTCTCCCAGTCTCCTTTCCCAGAGGCAGTAATTTTTGACAGTATTATATATATCTTTCCAGCACATGTCTATATATATATTTCCATGTATTTTTACAGTATGTACAGATTTTTTAAAACAAGCAGTAGCATATAATACAGACTTGCAGAAATTGTTTTTTTTTAAATTATGCTTTATCTTTTATGGCTTTTGCATATTATGTCATAGTTACTAAGATCTTCCTCATTCTACAATTATATAATAATTCACTTTTTTGGAATGTTCTTAAAATTTTATGTTTCAGGTTTACGTTCTTCATCCAACTTGAATCCATCTGCAGTTTATTTTAACAAAAAAATAGGGGTTCAACTTTTTTTTTCCTTCTATTTAATTTTTTTTTTTTTTTTTTGGTAGAGACAGGGTCTCACCGTGTTGCCCAGGCTGGTCTTGAACTTCTGGCCACAAGCCGTCCTCCCACCTCAACCTCCCAAAGCATTGGGATTACAGGCATGAACCACCACACCCAGCCTTGTCTGAACATATTTTTTAAGTTCCCTTTTAATTTCTTCATTGACTCATTGGTAGTTCATGCGTTCAAGAGCATGTTGTTTAATTCCCATATACTTATGAATTTTCTGAAGTTCTCGTTTTGACTTCTAGTTTCATAATTGTGGTCAGAAAAATATGATTTCAAGTAGAATTTTCAGAATTTTGAAATGAACTGAAATTTAATTGAATTGACAGAAATCAAGAAGATTTCAGTCTTCTTAAATTTGCTGAAGCTTGTTTTGTGCCCTAACATGTTAGATTCTGGAGAATGGTTCATATGTGCTCCAGAAGAATGTATACTCTGTTGCTGTTGGATTGAATGTTTTGTATATGTCTGTTAGGTACATTTGGTCTAAAGTGTTAAAGTTCAGTGTTTCCTTGTTACATGTCTGAATGATCTGTCCATTGTTGAAAGTGGGGTATTGAAGGCTCCTTCAGTATCTCCTGCAATATTGTATTGCAGTCTATCTCTCCTTCAGATCCTTTAATATTTCTCTTATATATAGTATTAAGATGCTTTGAGGTTGAGTGCATATATGTTTACAATTGTAATACCCTCTGAATGAATTGGTCCTTTTGTCATTGTGTCCTTTGCCTCTTTTTTATAGTTTTTGGCTTAAATTCTATATTGTCTGATATGATTTTTCATGTCACCCTGATATGCATACTATTTGGACTATTTTTATCATCAAAGTATGGTTTTCTTAACAATTATATATTATTCTAGAAATTTTATTACTACTTAAAAATCAGGGCTTAAAAGTATTCTTACTGTGCCGGGCGTAGTGGCTTACGCCTGTAATCCCAGCACTTTGGGAGGCTGAGGCGGGCAGATCACAAGGTCAGGAGTTTGAGACCAGCCTGACCAACATGGTGAAACCCCGTCTCTACTAAAAATACAAAAATTAGCCGAGCATGGTGGCCCGTGCCTGTAATCCCAGCTCCTCAGGAGGCTGAGGCAGGAAAATCGCTTGAACCCGGGAGGCAGAGGTTACAGTGAGCCGAGATTGTGCCACTGCACTCTGGCCTGGGCGACAGAGCGAAGAGCGAGACTCCATCTCAAGATGTGTGTGTGTGTGTGTGTGTGTGTGTGTGTGTGTGTATGTGTATATTTTTTACTGTTTAGTAAAATGACACATAATTAATGAGACCTCCTTTGTTCATCATACTAGAATATTGTGGCCTTATAAAATTTCCGAGCAACTGCTGTTCCATATGCAAATTTTTTAACTTATTATCTGTGTAACTTAACCACAGTAATTGAATGCCAATCCACTCAGCATTGCTTCTTCCTGAAACAAACTCACTTTACTTGGTTTAGCCCAGTAATCTCTAAACATTTTTGGTTTTTTATTCCATTTATTTTCTTTAAAAAATGAATGTACATATCTAATGTATGTATATTTATTATATGTAAGTATATATGTATTAATATAGTATGTTCGTTATAAAGTATATGTAAGGCTGAGCATGGTGGCTCATGCCTGTAATTCCAGCACCTTGGGAGGCTGAGGTGGGAGGACGGCTGATGCCAGGAGTTCAATATCAGCCTGGGCAACATAGCAAGACCCCATTTCTACAAAAAAATGAAAATGAAATTAACCAGGCATGGTGGCATGAGCCTATAGTCTCAGCTACTCAGGAGACTGAGGTGGGAGGTTTGCTTGTGCTCAGGAGTTTGAGGTTGTAGTGAGCTATGATCATGCCAGTGCATTCCATTCTGGGCGACAGCACAAGAGCCAGTCTTTAAAAAATTTTATTTTTTTCTTGAGACAGAGTCTCGCTCTGTTGCCCAGGATGGCGTACAGTGGCATGATCTCAGCTCACTGCATCCTCTACCTCCCGGAGTCAAGCAATTCTTGTACATCAGCCTCCCGAGTAGCTGGGACTACAGGCATGCACCACTATGCCCAACTAATTTTTGTATTTATAGTAGAGACAGGATTTTTCACCATGTTGGCCAGGCTGGTTTCAAACTCCTGACCTCAGGTGATCCACCCGCCTCAGCCTCCCAAAGTGCTGGGATTACAGGCGTGAGCCACTGGGCCTGGCAAAAAAAAAAATTTTTTTTTTAAATATTTTTCATTTTCATTTATTTACTTTTGAGGCAGGGTCTTCGTTTGTCACCCAGGCTGAAGTACAGTAGCACAAGCACAGCTCACTGCAGCCTTGACCTCCTGGGCTCAAGCGGTCCTCCCACCTCAGCAACCCAAGTAGCTGGGACTACAGGTGCTACTTGGCTAATTTGTATTTGTATTCACACTTGGCTAATTTGTATTTTTGTATTTTTTTGTAGAGATGGGGTTTCGCCATGTTGTCCATGATCTCGAACTCCTGAGCTCAAGCGATCCACCCACCTCGGCCTCCCAGAATGCTAGGATTACAGGTGTGAGCCACAGTGCCCAGTGAAATAATAATTAAAAAAAAAAAAAGTGTCAGAAAGGATAGGATAAAGATGAAGTATTAGGTTGGTGCAAACATAATTGTGGTTTTTGCATTACTTTCAATGGCAAAAACCACAAATACATTTGTACCAACCTAATAAATTATTTGTTAATGTCCTGCAGTTTGTGATAGCTTCATACTAAGTACTGAATTTATGAAGCCCCAGTGTAGACTTAGTTCAAGGTTCATTAGTAACAAGAGTTTGTCAATTCATATTTCAAATTATTTTAATTTTTTTTTTGCTTTTTTTCCTCAAATCTGACTAGGAGATTTATCTTGTAATATTTAAATACTTTTTATGCATTAACTTACCATTTATCTTGCAATATTTAAGTACTTTTTATGCATTAACTTACCATTTGTCTTGAAATATTTAAGTACTTTTTATGCATTAACTATTTAATTTTAGGCCAGGCACGGTGGCTCACACCTATAATGCCAGCACTTTGGAAGGCTGAGGCAGGCAGATCACCTGAGCTCGAGAGTTTGAGACCAGCTTGGCCAACATGGAGAAACCACATCTCTACTAAAAATACAAAATTAGCCAGGTGTGGTGGTGCATGCCTGTAATCCCAGCTTCTCAGGAGGCTGAGGCAGGAGAACTGCTTGAACTCGGGAAGCAGAGGTTGCAGTGAGCCAAGATCATGCCATTGCACTCAAGCCTGGGCAACAAGAGCGAAACTCCATCTCAAAAAAAAAAAAAAAAATTTAATTTTAGCAACAGCCATATGAGGTAGGTATTATGATAAAGAATTTGAGGCACAGGAAAGTTAAGCCAAAGGTCATACAGCTTGTATGTGATAGCATTTGGATTCAAACCCAAGGGCCTGGCTCTATTTGTGTCTCCTAGATGTGTGCTGTCCAATGTGGTAGCCACTAGCCTACGTGGCTGTTTAAATAATTATATTTTTAAAATAAAACTTTAGCCCACTTGGCTATATTTTAAGTGTTCAGAAACCAGATAAGCCTAGTGACTATCGGCGTTGGATAGTGCCAATCTAGAACACTTCCAGCATCACAGTAAGTTCTATTGAATTAATTGGTTACCATGTTTTATCTTTTAATGTAGCTTTGGAAGAGCTCATCCTATGAAATGAGCATTAGTTTAACTTTTTTCAGTTGTTTGTCCATGCATGCATGATTGTTATTGTTTTCAATCCACTGTTTGTAGGAATCTTTGAAATACTGTTGTCTATTTTGTAGTGTTTAATTAAAACAGATGATACAGACCAGACATGGTGGCTCATGCCTGTAATCCCAGCACTGTGGGAGGCCGAGGCGGGCGGATCACTTGAAGTCAGGAGAGACCAGCCTGGCCAACATGGCAAAACCCATCCCTACTAAAAATTCAAAAATTAGCTGGGCATGGTGGCATGAGCCTGTAGTCCCAGCTACTCAGGAGGCTGAGGCAGGAGAATCACTTGAACCTGGGAGGTGGAGGTTGCAAGTGAGCCAAGATCGCACCACTGCACTCCAGCCTGGGTGACAGAGTGAGACTCTTAAAAAAAAAAAAAAAAAGTAGATGATAGGCCAAGTGCAGTGGCTCATGCCTGTACTCCCAGCACTTTCCAAGGCCAAGGCAGGAGGATTGCTTGAGTCCAGGAGTTCAAGACAAGTCTGGGCAACATAGAGACTCCTTGTCTCTACAAAAAGTTTTTAAAAAATTAGCCAAGCATGAGGCACATGCTGTGGTCCCGGCTACTTGGGAGGCTGAGGTGGGAGGATTGCTTGAGCCTGGGAGATCAAGGCTGTAGAGAGCTATGATCATGCCACTGCACTATAATTAATTCATTAATTAAATGTAAATATTAAAACCCAGATGATATCTATAAGTTTATTTAGCTAGACACATAAACTGCAATATGCCAAATACTGGAATAATATTAAAATCCAGATGATATCTATAAGTTTATTTAGCTAGACACATAAACTGCAATATGCCAAATACTGGAATGGGTGAGAGCACCACTGTCACCAACCCCTTGATACTGGAAAATACCTAAAGTAAATAAATGAATGAAAAAAATGTAAATAGTAAAAAGAAAAACCAGATATCTTTGAGTTCATTTAGCTGGACACATATAAACTGCAATATGCAAAATAAAAAATGGGTGAGAACACTGTCACCAACCCCTTGATACTGGGAAATACATAGTCTGATGCATGATTCAGGTGAGAACCTCAGTGTCAATTTTCAGAAATAAAGCAGAGGTTCTATTATAGTCTCCCTTTGTCTCCTGGATGCTTCTCGGAGGTCACTATTCTAAATCCTTTTCCTTACATTCCTGACGTATTTATTTCCCTCTTCAGTGTTTTGCCATTTTATCATTTGTCTGTCTTCATCTTTGCAAAGGAATAAGCAAATCTTCTAGCAAGCCCAGCAGAACTATTGCTCAGCAGGGGAACGGAAATCTTATAGGAACACAGATGTTTACTATGTGGAATACAGGGCCAGGAGACAATACAGAAAGGATGAAAATAGTTCTTCAAGTTGCTTTGTTTGATTTCCTTAAAATATTGTCTTGGTTGTTTCTGTGATCAGGTAAAATTCTTTGTAATGGTTTTTGCAAACATATTTTCTGCATATAGTGCCACATTTTCTGCACCATTTTCATTAGAACTTAAAAAATTTTATGCATTTATAAAAATTGCATTTTACTTGATTTTATTGAACAAGATAAGACCTGATATCTATCTGTTCATGTATGTGAGACAACAGAATGGAGGTAAATGTAGTTTCTTGTGCAAGTACTTTTCTAACAGCCTTGCAGTTTTGTATGTTTGTGTTAAAGTGAAAGATGGCAGGAAACTAATAGATGTCATGATGTCATGACTTCTAAGACAATGCTGTCCTTTTTGTTTTTTTTTTTTTTTGAGGCAAGGTCTTTGCTTTGCTCCCCAGGCTGGAATGCAGTGGCACAAACACGGCTCACTGCAGCCTTGACCTCTCCAGCTCAAGGGATCCTCCTGCCTCAGCCTCCCAAGTAGCTAACACTACAGGTGCCTGGCATCACACCTGGCTAATTTTTTGTATTTTTTGTAGAGGTGGGATTTTGCCATGTTGCCCAGGCTGGTCTCAAACTCCTGGGCTCAAGCAATCTGCCCTCTTCGGCCTCCTAAAGTGCTAGGATTCCAGGCATGAGCCACCATGCCCAACAATGTTGTGCTTTTCAATGAGAGCACAATTGGGCATTTTAAATTGCCTTAAGACAATCTCATTTTATATTTTTCAAGGAAACTGGCTTAGGTATTTTGTGTAGAACTGTCCCACACTTTACTGGACAATTAACATCTCTGGTCTGGTCCCTGCCCACCAATCATCATTAACATGTCCAGTGATTAGACAACCATAAACTCCTCACCTGTCTTCAAATGCCCCTCCTAGTGATGGGTACTGCTCAAGTTGAGAAATACCGGGCTAACCACATTCCCTTCCGACTCTCATTACTGTCCCTCAGCTTTTAATACAGAGGATTATACTGTTATAAAATTGGATTAAACATTTTCATTCCAAAAAACAAAGTCCTTCTGTTTCTAATAATAGCTTTGATTCATAAGCATTCACCGTGTGCCTGTGCTGTGCTACACGCTTCACACCATATTCTCATATGCTTATTGTACCAGGTCAAATGAGTGCCAGCATCCTCATTTTACAGACAAGAAAACTCTCAAGTGCACCATATGTGATTAAAATTTATCACCCAATATTTATTGAGTACATTCTATGTGCATGATACTGAGATAAATTCAGAACAAGGTAGGCAGATTTTGTCCTCAAGGAGCTTGAAGTTGCACAGCTAAGTGGAAAGGCCAAAATTTTAACCCAGGTCTGTCATTTCTAAAACAGCATACTGCCTCCTATTTCTACCACTACCTCCACCTAAATTATCTTGAAGAAAAACTTAGCCAAATTAATCATAATTGATGAACTGTAAATAGATTTAGAAGAAGACATCTACCACTATGCAGTAATTTTTCTAGTCTTTCCCCTCCTCGGGGCTGCTGGAGTCTATATATAAACAGGCCCCTCTAGAGTAGCACAGTGCATTCCCTGAGTGGCCATAAATAAGAAAGAGCCCAGTCTCTGCCTAGAATACTTTCTCCACTCTCAGCGTCATGCTTTGCCTAGAGACCACTCAAATACCTGCTCTGACACATGAGTTTTTCAGCTTCTAACCAACCAGCCATCATTTCTTCCTCCCTCCATCCCTCTCTTTTTCCTCCTTCCCGGCTCCCATTTTTCCTTCCTTCATTCCCTCCACTCATGCATATGATATTTTGGAATGCCCACTGTTTTTCCATGTTCTAGGAAAATGATAAAATATTCAATAAAACATACAGTCCCTTTCCTCAAGGATCGTACCACTCAGAATTAACCCTCTCACTCCTTTTTCACTGTATGTATAACTCTCATAGTATTCACCATAGTGTGTCTTTCAGTGCTTTTACCATGATATTTGTTTGGAACATTAGATTAACACTGATGTGTATTGACTTGAGTGACATCCTTATCTTGTTTGGTGTGATAACTATAAGTTTGCATGCTAGTGTATAAGCTGATAAGCAGGGTTTTGTACAGCAGACAATTTGATAAAATATTTTATTTTCCTTCTCTCAAACATTGAAGAGCAGCCTCTAGAGGCCTTTTTTGATTTTTGAACAAGGATATCTAGTTGCCTATACCAGATATTCTATGTAATATGCATATTAGATATTAAGAATACAGTAGAAAAAAAGAGCAAAAGGCTCAGCAAATTGGGTAGATCAAAAAGGTTGAAAAAATGTTATTATTTCTCAAGATAAACTTTTACCCCAAAACATGTTACTTGAATGTGTGAGTGCTCTTTTCCATTCAATTATGAGTCACCGAGGACAGGGGTCATGTCATTAGCCTGTTTATGATGTTTATTCTGTCTTCACCATCTGGTGCCACTGCCAGTCACTGTTTGCACTTTTGAACTGAATATGAAAGCAGAAGGTGACTTTTATCAGCCAGAGGAGTAAACAATGTTGTGGAGAGATCATGGCTCTGGAAAACAGGAAACCTGTGTTCTATGCCCAAGTCCGTGAGCACTCAGTGCTGTGTCCTGAATAGATTACTCAGCCTCACTAGAGCCAGTTTCCTTGAAAAATATAAAACAAGATTGTCTTAAAGTTTCTTGCTAGTTGCCAAACTCTTGTGATTATTCCTTTGACACTAGGTAGTAAGTACATAGACAAGACTACATGTTGCATAAGAAAATCTAGGTTATAAAGTCCTTATTTCAGGACTTCAATATAGACAGCCTTGATTGTTTTTATTTGAGTTTTGTTAAAAGACATATTTTAGCTGCAGACCACCTTCCTATACTCTGAGCATAGGCACAAGGTACTGTGTAGTTAGATATATGAACATGAACACTTCCAATTAACTGTAAACCGTTTTTTCTTACCTCTTTGGACAGGTCCATTTTCCCCCCAGGATCAATTCACAATGATGTTCATCTGCTGCTGAGTGGCTTTTAGAACTTTTACAGACTCCAGAGTCATCAAGGCTCACACCCTAAATGCCTGCTGAGTGGCAGATCCTGTGGAGAATATAGCCCCTGCCTGCAAGGAGGCTAGGTTCTAGTAGTAGAGTTAAGATGTATACGTAAGTGGCAATCATGGGAACTTGAATCTGTAGTCTAATCTTAAACTGATCGTAAGGAATGAGAGACTTCAAACAAAACCATGAGGGATGAAGAGGGAAGCCTTGCCAAGTTCTCTGCTCCAATTATAAATATGCTCTAGAATTTCTAGTGAAGATTTTTCATTGCACACCTCTTGAAACTCTTGGATCCTGCCTGCAATCCTATACCAGAGAACCTTCTTGTCCTTGAAATCCAGTGCCCAGAAAGTGAATCCAGGACTCAGAGAACAATGCCAAGACTGACCCTGTGAATCCCAGGTGCTAATCTGTCCATACCAAATGAGAAAAATTAGGATAAGGGAGTGAGATTTTGATAAAACTCATTCCACTTAAATAGTGCTGTTTACCTTGAAAAATATTTCATCCTCCTTGCTTGGTGTTAAGAAGTCCTTTTATGAAGTTATGTCAGTGGTAGGTGGTTGGATGGTTGGTCATTATGATGATGTATGTATCTTGACATACATTATGACTTTAATGTTCCTACTTGGCAAGGTCAAAGTTGATCATATTGATTTTATTTTTTTAAATATTTTTGAGATGGAGTCTCCCTCTGTCACCCAGGCTGAAGTGCAATGGCTCAGTCTCAGTTCACCGCAACCTCCGCCTCCCAGGTTTAAGTAAATTCTCCTGCCTTAGCCTCCCAAGTAGCTGGGATTACAGGCATCTGCCACCACGCCCAGCTACAAAGTTGATCATCTTCAAATTGCCCAAGTCTAGCAACTAATGCTATCAGGCTTTGTAGACATAGCTGATGTCTTCATGGAGCTTATCTTCTGTTTTTTTTTTACCCTCTGGGAAGAAGTAATACTCTGCCCATTGTATGGTTGAGCATGGAAGACAGAAAATAATAAGATTTTCTGGAGGCCAAAGGTAAAGCAAAAACAGCTCATGGAAGGGGTTGGTGGTAAAGTTATGACCACAACCATATTACTGGAGTGATAATCTTGGACAAGAAAAATACTTTCTTTTTTTAGAAGCCAGGAATTAGTGGAGACCCCAAGAAAATGAGTAAAATCAGTAATACTCTGCTCATTGTATGGTTGAGCAAACAGACTTGGAACCCTGTGTTCTACATTTTCTATTAATGTAATACAGGCTTTTCCTGGCATTGATTAAAAATCTGCTCTCCAGACACCTCTGTACACAGTAATGATATCCATAGAGTTATTCTATATGAAGTCACCAACTCACATGTTTCTCACACCTTGCAAATGCGGAGCTAAGTCCTTTCATGCAGTGGTGGGCATGAAGGGAGGCATCATTCTCTAAATGTTGTGGTTTTCATTAGTAATGGTAAGTTTTTTTAAGTGAAAAGTAGAGATGTCTATTTTTCTGGCAAAAGCTTCTAACATCTTTAGAATATCTTGCTTTGAAGGGACAGTTCACACATCAGGTTTTGATTATCATTCAGTTATTTTCCAGTCTGAGAGGAGCCAAGTATTGTCCTGAAAGGTCAATATTCCATTTTCATGATTAATTGAACGATTGTGCTTCATGGCTATTTTTCTGTTAAATACAGTTTTCTCTTAAATACAGATTTTTTTTTTTTGCCTGGTGATTCAGAAGACTTAGCCCCAGAGTTGGCCATTTGTCCACTTCTTATTGCCCTAATTCAGCTGCAGGGGCTCCAGCTGAGCCATACTTTAGTATATTTATGAAGGAAAAAATGTGTGAATCTTAAGTAAAGTGTAAAAAGAGGAACTCAGGAACAATGGAACCCTTTAACAGCCTCTACCCAGAGGTCCTAATGAATTTTTATATTATTAATTTTATATTATCTAATTTGGTTTTAGAGTCCACAGGACTGCCTTTGACTCTTGTCTTTCTTGAATAGAAACCACGTGATTCAGGGTAAGTTGTTTAACCTCTTCATTTGCAGAAGAAAAGAGCTAATATTTATTGGCAGTGGATGAGGACATGATCTGTGTTAAAAGCCTGGCATGAATGCTGTCAATTCTCACAATGCCATGAGGTAACGTAGGAGACACTGTTTAGATGCTTACCAACAATATTCATTCTTCCCTCCCTTGCTTACAGAACCCCAATTTTGTGTGGGTAAAATGTGGCTCCTACATACTTCCAGTTTGGGTGGCTGTATATGATAGTACTGGCTATGGAGACATAAGCAGAAATCTGCTGGGGTTCTGCCTTGACTTTCCCAATCAAAAGAGGGCTCCTGGAGCCTGGTAAGCAATTCTGCTCCTCTTGCTGCCCTAAACACTGACATGATGCCCGAGATGCATCTGCTATCTTGTGCTCCCAAAGAAAGGGCAGAAGGAATCATAGATACCATCCCTGACACTGTTGAAATGCTAAACCAACATTTACAGTCACTATTCTCCAGAATTTTGATTATGTAAGAAAAATAAACTCTTATTTGTTTACACCACTATTGTTACAGGAAAGGGGTCCCAATCCAGACCCCCAGAGAGGGTTCTTGGACCTCATGCAAGAAAGAATTCAGGGTGCGTCCATAAAGTGAAAGCAAGTTTATTAAGAAAGTAAAGGAATAAAAGAATGGCTACTCCATAGAGAGAGCAGCCCTGAGGGCTGCTGGTTGCTCGGTTTTATGGTTATTTCTTGATTATATGCTAAACAAGGGGTGGACTATTCATGCCTCCCCTTTTTAGACAATATAGGGTAACTTCCTGATGTTGCCATGGCATTTGTAAACTGTCATGGCGCTGGTGGGAGTGTAGCAGTGGGGTCAACCAGAGGTCACTCTCTGGTCCTTGGTTTTGGTGGGTTTTGGCCAGCTTCTTTACCGTGACCTGTTTTATCAGCAAGATCTTGGTGACCTGTATCTTTTGCTGACCTCCTGTCTCATCCTGTGGCTTAGAGTGCCTTAACCATCTGGGAATGCAGCCCAGTAGGACTCAGCCTCATTTTACCCAGCTCCTATTCAAGATGGTTCACACACCTTTGACACTTTGGCCAGGTGTTCGTTTACTTGTAGCTGAACACATTCCTAGCTGCTACAGGAATTACCCATCGCCAGATGAAGAAACTGAGGCCCAGAGATTTTAAATAATTTGTCTGATTGACACAGCAGGTCAGTGATGGAATTGGATGTCAGCCCCACAAGGCTGACTTCAGATCCTGCATTATTAACCACTTACCTTGTGTTGTTTGGTAGGATGAAATGAAATTACTTCTATAAAGCACTTTGGCATTAGCATGATGTCTGGCATGTGGTACATGCTTATTAAACTGTTAAGACCTTTCCCACAGTCACAGCTTTGTGTTAGTGCTTAACAATGTGTTTCCCATGGGAAACAATGAGATGCAAACCAGAGCTGTCCATGCTTAAACAATCCAGCTTAATGGCTATAGTAGGTGCTCAGTATGTTTGCTGAGTGAGTAAATGAGTAATTCTCTTAAATAAAGAAAATTTTCTAAGCATCACCCTTAGGAGGTTACTGTATGCATTTTTTATGAGGATGCTAAAATTTTGTTACGTATTAGGGTAGATCAGAAGTTCGGTGTGTGAACCCTAAATATCTGAGATAGGTCTCAATTAATTTAGAAAGTTTATTTTGCCAAGGTTGAGGACATGCACCCGTGATACAGCCTCAGGAGGTCCTTACGACATGTGCCTAAGGAGGTCAGAGCACAATTTGGTTTTATACATTTTAGGGAGACATGAGACATCAATCAACATATTAAGATGGAAATTGGTTCAGTCTGGAAAGGCAGGACAACTCGAAGCAAAGGCAGGAGAACTCAAGCTAAGTGGGAAAGGGGCTTCCAGGTCATGGGTAGAGAAGAGACAAATGGTTGCATTCTTTTGAGTTTCTGATTAGCCTCTCCAAGGGAGGCAATCAGATATGCCTTTATCTCAGTGAGCAGAGAGGTGACTTTGAATAGAATAGGAGGCAGGTTTTGCCCTAAGCAGTTCCCAGCTTGATCTTAGCTTAGTGATTTGGGGCGCCAAGATTTATTTTCCTTTCATAGGTGAAAGCTCTGGAAACGAGAGTAACTCGGGTTCAAATCTGGCCTCCACCACTGACTAAAGAACTGTGTGACATTGGACAAATAGCTTACCTCTCAATGCCCATTTCTTTATCTGTGAGATGGAGAAAATCATCTGAATTGCCTCATAGTAGTATTGTTAGAATTAATTTAAATAATACATTCAAAAATATTAAAAGGGATTGGCAAAGCACTTGATAAATGTTAGCTGTTATAACAATAATTATTAATTGTTTTCTCTTTTTTTTTTTTTTTTGAGATGGAGTCTTGCTCTGTGGCCCAGGCTGGAGTGCAGTGGCGTGATCTTGGCTCACTGCAACCTCCACCTCCCGGGTTCAAGCAGTTCTCTGCCTCAGCCTCCAGAGTAGCTGGGATTACAGGTGCCTGCCACCATGCCCGGCTAATTTTTTTTTTTTTTTTTTTTTTTTTTGAGACGGAGTCTCGCTCTGTCACCCAAGCTGGAGTCACCCAGGCTGGAGTGTAGTGGCAGGATCTCGGCTCACTGCAAGCTCCGCCTCCCGGGTTCACGCCATTCTCCTGCCTCAGCCTCCCGAGTAGCTGGGACTACAGGCGCCCGCCATCACGCCCACCTAATTTTTTGTATTTTTAGTAGAGGCGAGGTTTCACCGTATTAGCCAGGATGGTCTCCATCTCCTGACCTCGTGATCCACCCGCCTTGGCCTCCCAAAGTGCTGGGATTACAGGCGTGAGCCACTGCGCCCAGCCTTGGCTGATTTTTTTTTTTTTTTTTTTTTTTTTAATTTTTTGTAGAGATGGGGTTTCACCATCTTGGCCAGGCTGGTCTTGAACTCCTGACCTCGTGATCCGCCTACCTTGGCCTCCCAAAGTGCTGGGATTACAGGCGTGAGCCACCGCGCCCAGCCAATTAATTGTTTTTGCGGATTCGTATGTATACTACCAAAAGTGGTTCTGTTGAATGAAGACAAGTTGAAAATAAGATCCTCATGTGATAGGTCCAGTAACTCAAATGTGAATTTATGATACCTTACCCATATTCAAATATAGCTGGGTCAAAATAAAAACTCAGGTATCTCAGCTTGGTAGCTAGTACCTACATGCTTGCTTCTCATTATAAAATGTAAATTCACTTTGAGTCTTGGTGGTTGCCCTTTTTTTTTGTTTGTTTTTTTGGTAGAGACAGGGTCTAACTATGTTGCCCAGGTTTGTCTCGAATCCCTGGGCTCAAGCAATCCACCCACCTAGGCCTCCAAAGTGCTGGGATTACAGGCATGAGTCACTGCGCCAGGCCAGTGGTTGCCTTTTAAAACCAAAAAGAAAGAAAATGTATACTCTTACCTTGACAACTTATAAAATGTCTCTCCCATCTGGTTTCCTCTCCCCATTCTGTTTTTATATTTGCATATAAATTTATTTATTTGAAAGGAGTCAAGTCAACTTGATCAGGAAGAAATAATGTCACTCCGCCTTACTGGCTATTGTTACAACTTAAAAATGAAACAGTCAACAATGACAACAAAAACTAGCAATTATAATGTTAACTTATGGAATTCAATTTTTAAGAAGGGACTAAGACTTCTGGAAAGGTATAAAGAGATCTACAGACCCATTCTCCAGTGAAACAACCATGCTGGTAAACATTATACAAACACAACAATTTAAAGCCTCTGAAAATTGTTCTAAGAACATACAGCAAATGAAGCAATATTTATTCAACAAAATCTACTAAATATGTAAAACAGCAAGAGTCAGTGACATTTGAACCATGACCTGCTCTCTCCCTCCCTCTCCCACCAGCTGAGTTTGATGGAAGCTCCACTCCAGGCAAATGTGGCCAAAAAAGACACTATATCACTTGATTGGTTTCCAGTCAAGAGATATAGTATCTCACAAGGAGGGGCAGGTCAAGAGCATTTTTAATCTCCTCTAACTTCAGTTGACACAGGTTCACCATCTCCTGAGTAGTGCAGCCAAGAGACTGGGAGCTCGCTTCCTCAATCCAGCCCCCACTCATAGCTCAGGGGCTATTTCCCCCACCCCATCCAGGACTCTGCTTGTAAAGCAGAGGTGTCATTCCAAGGGAGGCAGGCCACTTGTTACTGTTCAGCACCTGGATCAATGGCTCCGTGATTTTGTTCAAGGTAGGAGAGGTAGTCATAAAGAACAGAGAGTACTAATGCTCTCTCCCAAAGGAGTTGGCTTTATTTGAAAAAGGGGAAGTTCAAGCCTAAGGGCTCCCTCTAAAACAATGGTGATTTGGTGAGAGGAGATTAAGAGGGGTCTGGTAGCTCTATGAGAACAATCTAAACTATAGGCCATATTTATGGGAGAGAACCAGAAAAAGAGATAGCTACTAAGAGCCCTCCTGAAATGAGGGAAGAAAAAATAAAAAATTTTGCTTGAATTTAATTAGATCAAACTGTGTCACAATTTATGTCCCAGGGCATTGATGGAAAGATTAGAACAATCAGCAGTCAATTAGTGGAGCCTAACAGCTGGGTGTGATGTAATAGGGATAGACAACTAAACAGAATCAGGGAAAGAGATAGTCAAAGAGAGCTCTGCTAAGCCCACTTTTATCCTAGGGTGTCATCCCATACGGGGAAAATTAGATTTTATTAAAATAGTGTAACCAAGTCACCAAACAAACAAGCAAAAAAAAAAAAAAAAAAAAAAAAAAGAGGGGGAAAAATCAGTATTCAGAATTGCTGCTGTGTATTACCTAAAATGTACTGTTTATTAAAAGAAAAAAAGGCAAAGAAACAAACAAAAATAACTCATATATGGGAAAAAAGCAGGCAACAAGACTGCCTGTGAGGGTGTCTAGATGTCAAATTTAACAGATGGAGACCTCAAAGCAGTCATTATAAATATGTTTTAAAAACTAAAGAAACAATGCTTAAAGGGAGCCCCTCCAGCCTTTTTTTGTAATCATTGCTCTTTGCACTATGTATCTTCTTTCATTCTTTTACTTTTTATCTGTTTGTAAGTATCTTTTTTTTTTTTTTTTGAGACAAAGTTTTGCTCTTGTCACCCAGGCTGGAGTTCAATGGTGCGATTTTGGCTCACTGCAACCTCTGCCTCCTAGGTTCAAGCGATACTCCTGCCTCAGCCTCCCGAGTAGCTGGGATTACAGGCATCCACCACTATGCCCGGCTAATTTTTGTATTTTTAGTAGAGATGGGGTTTTACCATGTTGGCCAGGCTGGTCTTGAACTCCTGACCTCAAGTGATCTGCCCACCTTGGCCTCCCAAAGTGCTAAGACTACAGGAGTGAGCCACTGTACCCAGCCTGTATCTTTGAATTGAAACTCTGTCTCCTGTAGCAAAAGAGGCTTTAAAATAGACAAAAAGTTACTAGATATATAAGGTCCCTCTTTATCTCTAGTACATTTTTTAATGTATCAGGAAAATATAATAATTATAAACATGTATGTACCTAACAATAGAACTTCAAAATACATGAAGCAAAAATGGATGGAATTGAAAGGACAATTCAACAGTAGTAGTTGGAGCTATAAATAACCCACTTCCAATAATGGATAGAACCACTGGGCAGAAGATCAGTAGGTAATAAAAGACTGAACAGCACTATAACCATCTAGAGCTAACAGACATCTTTATTTATTTTTATTTATTTAGTTTTGAGACAGGGTCTTGCTCTGTCACGGAGGCTGGAGTGCAGTTGTGTGATCTCGGCTCACTGCAACCTCCGCCTCCCAGGCTCAAGCAATTTTTCTGCCTCAGCCTCCCAAGCTGGGACTACAGGCACGTGCCACCACGCCCAGCTAATTTTTGTAGTTTTGGTAGAGATGGGGTTTCACCATGTTGCCCAAGGCCAGTCTCAAACTCCTGGGCTCAAGCAATTTGCCCGTCTTGGCCTCCCAAAGCACCGGCATTACAGGCATGAGAACCTGTCTGTGCACCCAGCCACAGACATCTTTAGAACACTCTACCCAACAAAAGCAGAATATGTATTCTTCTCAAGTGCACTTGGAACATTCTCCAGGATAGATTATATGTTAGACCATAAAACAGCCTCAATAAATGTATAAGGATTGAAATTATACGAAGTATATTCTCTAATACAGTGAAGTGACATGAAAATTTAATAATAGAAAGAAATTTGGAAAATTCGCAAATAGGTGAAAATGAAATAACACCCACCTAAATAACCAATTGGTCAAAGAAGAAAGTACAAATAAAGTTAGAAATACTGTGAAATGCCGGGCATGGTGGCTCATGCCTCTAATCCCAGCACTTTGGGAGGCTGAGGCAGGTGGATGACCTGAGTTCAGGAGTTCAAGACAAGCCTGGCCAACATAGCGAAACCCCATCTCTACTAAAAATACAAAAATTAGCCGGGAGCAGTGGTGCGCACCTGAAATCCCAGCTACTTGGGAGGTTGAGGCAGGAGAATCACTTGAACCTGGGAGGTGGAGGTTGCAGTGAGCTGAGATAGCACCACTACACTCCAGCCTGGGCAACAGAGCGAGACGCCGTCTCAAAAAAAAAAAAAAAAATTAAATACTGTGAAGTGAATGAAACTGAAGGCTCACATACCAAAACTTATGGGATAGAGCTAAACATTGCCTAGATGAAAATTTATATCTGTAAGTGTCCACCTCAAAAGAAGAAAGATCTCAATAACCTTCCAACTTAAGACATTGGAGAAAAAAGAAAAACTAAACCTAAGTCAAGCGTAAGTAAGGCAAGAATAAAGATTATAAAGATTAGAGTAGAAATTAATGAAATGGGAAATAGAAAAACAATAGAGAAAATCAACAAAATCAAAAGTTGGTTCTTTGAAAAGTTCAACAAAATTTTCAAACCTTTAGCTAGATTGACCAAGGAATTAAAAAAATTCAGTTACTAAAATCAGAAATAAAAAGAGGAGACATCTCTACAAATGTTACAGAAGTAAAAAGGATTAATCGTAAGGAAAGACTATGAACAATTGTATGTCAACGAATTAGCCTAAAAGAAATGGAAGATTCCTAAAAGACACAAACTATCAAAACTTCTTTTTTTTTTTCAGGTGGAGTCTTGCTATGTTGCTCAGGCTGGTCTCTAACTCCTCAACTCAAGCAATCCTCCCACCTCACTCTTCTGAGTAGCTGGGATTACAGATGTGAACCACCACTGTCTCAAAACTATTAAACTGACCCAAAAGAAATGGAAATCTGAATAGACTATAACATGAGATTGAATTAGCAACCAAAACACTACACACACACACACACACACACACACACACACAAACACACATGCCCAGTCCCAGATGACTTTACAGGTGATATCTAGCAATCATTTTTTAAAGAGTAATGAAAACCATTCCTGGATGTGAGAGTGATCTAGCTGCAACATCTGTTACCCCATTAATCGCCAGGGTTGATTCGGCTGATCTAGCTGGCTAAGCGGGTATCCCCTTCCTCCCTCACTGCTCCATGTGCATCCCTCCCAAATACTGCACGCTCGATGGAAGAGGACGACCATCCCCAATAGAGGAGGACTGATCTTCCGTCAAGGGTATAGGAGTAGCTGCGCTTCCCTGCTGGAACCCCCAAACAAGCTCTTAAAGAGGAATGAAGACCAATCTTCAAAAACTCTTCCAAAAAAATACAAGAAGAGGGAACACTTCACAACTTATTCTTTGAGGCCAGTATTTCCCTAACACAAAGAAACACACAAAGACTTCACAGAACCATCCGCCAATATCTCCTATAAATAGAAATGCAAAAATCCTCAACAAAATACTTGTAAACTGAATCTGGCAATGTATAAAATGTATTCTACATCAAGACCAAGTAGGATGCAAGGTTTGTTTAACATCTCAAGACTAATCAATGTAATATACCACATCAACGGAAGAACAAAAAACACACGGTCATTTCAATAGATGTAAAATATTTAAGAACATTCAGCACTTTTTCCTAATAAAAACACCTAGGAAACCAGAAATCCATGGGAACTAGTTGATCCGATAAAGAATATTTATGAAAAATCAATAGCTTGCATCGTACTTAATGGTTAAAAAGTAAAAGCACTTCCTCCTAAGATTCAGAAAAAGAAAAAGTGTCCACTCTATTTCTGCTCAGCATTTTGGTGGAGGCTGTAGCCAAGACCATTAGGCAAGAAAATAAAATAAAAGACGTTCAAATTGGAAAGAAAGAAGTAAAACTGTCTCCATTTGCAGATGACATGATCTTGTATATATATAGGAAATTAAAAGGAATTCACTAAATATTATTGAAATTACTAAACGACATTGTAGGCTATAAGATCATATACAAAACTCAATTGTATATGCTTGCAATGAACAATCTGAATATATATTTCAAATTCCATGTATTTATTTATGAGACAGAGTCTCACTCTATTACTAAGGCTGGAGTGCAGTGGCGCGGTCTCAGCTCACTGCAACCTCTGCCTTCCAGGTTCAAGCGATTCTCATGCCTCAGCCTCACGAGTAGCAGGGATTACAGGCGCCCACCACAGTGCCTGGCTAATTTTTGTATTTTTAGTAGAGACGGGGTTTCACCTTGTCAGCCAGGCTGGTCGCTAACTCCTGACCTCACGTGTTCCACCCACCTCAGCCTCCCAAAGTGCTGAGATTACTGGCGTCAGCCACTGCACCTGGCCAAAATCTATTTATAATATCACTAAAAATGTATTAATTTAACAAAATAAGTGTGAAACACATTCTGAAAACTACAAAATATTGTTGAAGAGTGTTGAAAGGTTAATATTGTTAATAATATCTTCTGAATCGATCTATAGATTCAATAGACTCTCTATCAGAATTCTAGCTGAATTCTTTGCAGAAATTGACAAGCTGATCCAAAAATTCACATGGAAATGCCAGGGGCCCAGAATATATACTTTTTCCAATATAAAGAAGAACAAAGTTGAAGGACTCTGATTTCAAAGCATACTACAAAAATATAATAAGGCAATGTGGTAGTATTATAAGTATAGATATATAGTTCAATGGTAGCAAATCAAGAGTCCAGAAATAAACCCTCATATTTACAGGCAATTGAATTTCAACAAGGGTGGTGAGTATAGTCTTTTCAACAAATGAGCTGGGATAATTGGATAGCCACATGCAAAGTAATGAAGTTTGACCTCTACCGCTCACCATATACAAAACTTAAATTGGATCAAAGACTTTAATGTATGAGCTGTAACTATAAAACCCATAGAAGAGTAATGTAAGATTAAATCTTCATGACCTTGGATTTGACAATAATATCACAACAAAATCACAAGAAGCCAAAAAAAAAAAAAAGGTGAACTGGATTTGATCAAAATTTAAAACTTTTATGCTTCAAAAGACATTTCAAGGAAATGAAAAAGCAACCTACAGAATGGGAGAAAATTTTTGCAAACGGGATATATCGAAAATATGTAAAGAACTCTTACAACTACATAATAAGAAGACATAACCTAGTTATAAAGTGGGCAAAGGATATGAACAGGCATTTTGACAAAGGAAATATGCAAATGGCCAATAAGCACATGAAAAGATGCTCAACATCATTAACCATCAGGAAACACAAACCACAGTCATAATGAGATAGCCCTTCACACCCACTAGGATGACTAAAATTAAAAAGACAGACAATAATGAGTGTGGACAAGGATGTGGAGAAATTGGAACCCTCATACACTACTGGCGGAAATGTAAAATAGGGCAGCCACTTTGGAAAAGCTTGTCAGTTCATCAAAAGATTAAACATAGGCTGGGCACGGTGGCTCATGCCTGCAATCCCAGCACTTTGGGAGGCCGAGATGGGCAGATTGCTTGAGCCCAGGATTTCAAGACCAGCCTGGGCAACATGGCAAAACCCCGTCTCTAAAAAAAATACAAAAATTAGCCGGGCATGGGGCCACGTGCCTGTGGTCTCAGCTATTTGGGACACTGAGGTCGGAGAATCATCTGAGCCCAGGAAATTGAGGCTGCAATGAGCCGCGATTGCGCCACTGCACTCCAAGCCTGAGCAACAGAGCAAGACTCTGTCTCAAAAAAAAAAAAGAAGAAGAAAAAAAGATTAAACATAGAGTTACTACATGACCCAGCAGTTACAATCCTCTGTAATATATCCAAGAGAAATGAAAATCTATCACTCTATGACTTGTATGAAAATGTTCATAACACCTTTATTTATAACGACCCAAACAAAAGTGGATACAACCCAAATGTCTATCAACTTATGAATGGACAAATAAAATATGGCACATAAATACAGTGGAATATTACCTAGCAAGAAAAAGAAAATCCTGGTGCATGCTACAACATGGATAAACCTTGAAAACATCATGCTAAATGGAAGAGGCCAATTACAAAAGACCACACATTGTGTAATTCCATTTAAATTAAATGCCCAGGAGAGGCAAATCTATAAAGAGAGAAAGTTGATTAGTAGTTGCCTAGGGATGGGTTGGGTGTCAGGGAAGGAGATGAGGGTTCACTGCTAATGGGTGCAGGGTTTTTGGTTTGTTTGGTTATTTTTTTTTGGTGTAATAAAAACTTCAAAATTGATTGTGACAGTTGCACAACTTTTTGTATATATACTTTTAGTATATATTACTAAGAACTGTTGAATTTTACACTTTAATTGGGTGCATTGTATGTTATGTGAATATATCTCAGCCAGGCATGGTGCCTCACATCTGTAATCTCAGCACTTTGGGAGGCTGAGGTGGGAGGATTACTTGAGTCTAGGAGTTCGAGACCAGCCTGGGCAACACAGTGAGACATCACGTCTACAAAAAATTCTAAAATTAGTTGAGTATGGTGGCATGTGCCTGTAGTCCCAGTTACTCGGGAGGCTGAGATGGGAGGATTGCTTGAGCCCAGGAATCTGAGGCAGGAGTGAGCTATGACTGCACCACTGTACTCCAGCCTGGACAACAAAATGAGACTCAGTATCAAAAAATAAAATAATAATGAATATATCTCAATAAAGAGATTATTAAAAGGGGGCATTGCTAAGAGATACATGCCTGTCAGATGGCAGAGACAATTATGGGAAAGAGCTAGGGAAGGCTTCGTCAAGAAGTGGGATGATAAACTAGAAAAGGAAGAAGCCTGGTAATCTGCAGAGTGACAGGATTTTGCTAAAGAAGCAATAGGACTGGGAATTTCACAAGTATCCAAAGAGAGTTGAGTGATGGGGGGAGGACAAGGAATGTTAAGGATCTGAGGAAATGCAAAATATTCCCATACAGTGTTTGCCAATGTTCACCTGCTTGCAGTGATTTTAATTGCTTGTTTTCCTGTTTGCAAATTGGAAAATGTCATATTTGATTTAATATCTGCTCATGTCCCCGAACACAAACATTTTTTTGACATTGAAATGCAGCCAATTGGAATCAATGGTCACTCAGGATCTGTGATTGCACCAGAGCTTGGTTTGCTCCTCAAGGAGAAAAACTACTGGAAATGTATTGACCTCAAACCATTTCATGCAAAAATGAACCATATTTTAAAAAATCTTTTGATGCGATATTACAAAATTTCACAACCATAAATTAAGATTTATTTGCCAGAATATGTTCTTATAATTTGAACTTTCTTGAGAGTTACTTAAAATTAATGACATTGGTCTGCTATTTTAGGGTAGTTTTGACTTGGCAACCTTTCAGCAATTCCATTTTTGAAAAATTTACTCTAGTCAACTGGATGGTGATGCTTTAATTTATCATCACTTTAGTTTTGTAGTTTCCACTTCCAAGGTCACTTGATTTGTTTGCTATATTCCAAAGGAAACAGAAGAGTAATTTAACCCTCTACCACGAGGTGGTGATAAAAAGTTGTAGGTGCATATTTGTAGCACTAGATTTAATACAATCATTTTTATTCACCCAGCAGGGAGTTAAGTACTGGAGACATGAGGGTTAAAGGTAGGACAAGGATCGTCCGTAGTCCTTAAGGAAATTGTCATCTAAAGGGACAGGTACTCCTAGAAACAGGTCATTTCAATACAGTATGGTAAGTATTATGTTAGAAAGGTGCTGGACACTCTAATAAAGAGAAGGGCATCAAGCAGGCAATGGTAGACAGAGATAGTGGGAAAAAAATATTTGTCAGGGAGAACTTTTCAGAGGAGATAACCCAGACTTTGAAATTATGTGTTTGAGGCAGAGATAGACACACAGTCTCTCCTTTTCACACCAGACGTTAATCTTTATTAAGTGGTAAATAACATTTTAGAACAATTTTAAAGAAAACAATGACAATGTTTTAAAGAGACAATGATACAAATTTTAGTTGGGAATTTCAAATGCAACAAAAACCAACTGAAGGCCGGGAATGGTGGTTTACATAATCCCAGCACTTCGGGAGGCTGAGGTGGGAGGATTGTTTAAGCCCAGGTTGCGAGACCAGCCTGGGCAACATAAGAAGACCCCATCTCTACCAAACATTTAAAAATTAGTCAGGTGTGGTGGTGCATGCCTGTGGGCCCAGCTAGCTGCTCAGGAGGCTGAGGTGGAAAGATCACTTCAGCCTGAGAGGTCACCACTGCATTCCAGCCTAGGAGACAGAGTGAGGCCCTGTCTCAAAAGAAAGAGAGAGAGAGAGAAGAAAAGAAAAAGAAAGAAGAAAGAGAGAGAGGAAGGAAGGAGGGAAGGAAGGGAAAGAAATAAAGAGAGGAAAGAAGAAAGAAAGAGAGGAAAAGGAAAGAAACAGAAAGAGAAGAAAGAAAGAAAGAAAGAAAAAGAAAGAAAGAAAGAAAGAAAAGAAAGAAAGAAAGATAGAAAGAAAGAAAGAAAAGAAAGAAAGAAAGGCCAACTTAAGCAAAACATAAAACATAAAGAATTTACTGGATCTCATACCTGAGACATCAGGCTTCAGGCACACTTGGATCCAAGAATTGATAACATTGTTATTTCTCCACTCTATGGATCTGCTTGTCTTTGTGTGTTAGCCTCATTCTCTCCTATTGCAGATAGAACATATTTCATGTAGCTGAGGTGAGATGAATGTCAGTGGTCCTGGATTCATGAATTCCCAGCTTAGCATCCCCAAGACAAAAAGGTTTGATCTTTCATCCTTCATATGGAAATCTTACAGGTAGATCTGTGTGTCCATGTCTGCCCATTCCCGGCCTTGCTTGGGTCATGTGGTCATCTCTGGATTGATCAATGGGTCGAGAGGATAGGATATGATAACTCACATAGTCTGGGTCACTTTTTCATGTCTAGCAAAGGAAGTACTGTGCAGATATTGCCAGGACCACAAGAAATGATACAGAGTGGGGAAGAGTTCCTTAATGGAAAAGGAATTCCATTACCGGAATTGTGCAGACAATACAATACCTACCTATAGCAGAGACTGCTGATGGCCTCCTTTCCTCTATGGAACCATCCCCAACATTTTCGTTATGTGTGTGTCCACTCAGATTAAAAGCGTATTTCTCAGACTCACTTGCAACCAGGTATGGTAATTTGACTAAATCTGGCAAATGAATGTAGGCAGGATTGTTGAGTGGCAGGATTGTTGAGTGGCAGCTTCTGAAAATCTTTCTTTAAAGGTAACGATTATGCACCCTTTACTTCGCTTTTTTTCCCAGTCCTTTTCTTTGAGAATAAGGATATGATGTCTGGCTCTACCTGACATACTGAACCATGAAGAAAGGGTCACACCATAGAGTTCCTGAGAACTTTGTAAACCCGTCACCATACCTTCCCTGTACTGTCTAGCTCTAGACTTTTAGTTGAAAGAAAGAAATGTCTGCCTTGTTTAAAGCACTGTGTTTGATACATACACATTACAATTCACCTCAGGGCAGTTCGATCCTTTCTCCCTATTAACGTTCTTTCCTCAAACCTTAATTGTAGTCTTAAGTCTACATAAGTAGTATGATGCATTTATTCATTTCATCAATAAATATTTATTAAGACCTACTATGTGCCAGTTCTAGGCACTGGGAATACAACAAGGAACTAAACTGTTCAAGCAGCCTAAGAAGCTAATATTATAGTAGGGGAAGAAGAAACAAAATGATACATATATAATTTATAAATGGTGATACATGCAAAGAAAACTGAATCATGGTTAGGGAGACAGAGGGGATATGAAGTGTTTGGTGTTATTTTATACAGGATGCTATAGGGAAACCTCTCTCTGATAAAATATTTGAGCAGTGACCTAAATGAATGGAGGATGTGATGCTTAGTTTTGTGTGTCAACTTGACCGGACCATGAGGTGCCAGATATTTGGTTAAACATTTTTTTCTGGGTGTACCCATGAGGGTGTTTCTGGTTGAGATTAACATTTGAGTTGATAGAGGGAGTAAAGCAGATTCCCCTTTCCAATGTAGGTGGGCCTCATCTAATCCACTGAAGGCCTGAATAGAATAAACGGCTGAGCAAGAAAGAATGCTTTCTGTCTGCCTGTGTTTGAGCTGGGACATCAGTCTTATCCTGCCTTCAGATGTGAACTGAAACTTATACTGTCAGCTCTCCCAAGTCTCCAGGTTGCCAACTGGAGATCTTGGACTTCTCAGCCCTCCATAATTACGTGAGACAATTACTTGATCTCCTTTTGGCATGGAGAAGAACAATTAGAAGGCCAATGAGTTTAGAGCAGTAGTTCTCAAATTTTTTGCTATCAGGCCCCCTTTACACACCTAAAAATTGTTGAAGACCTTGAAGAGCATTGGTCATACGGATTCTATTGATATTTATCAATATTTTCTTGCTCTAGTTAATTCTGAAGGCATATTAGAAATTAAAACTCAGAAAATTAGAAAACAGTTACTGATTCACTTAAAATTACTATAATAGACATACTATGTGTTAATATAAGTAATCTTTTTATTTAAAATAAATTATATTTTCCAAAATAAAAATGAGAAGACTAACATTGTCTTGCATTTTTGCAAACCTCTTCAATGTCTGACTTATTGGAGGATAGTTAGATTCTCATAGCTGCTTCTGTATCCAATCTGTTTTAGGATTTTTTTTGGTTTTAGTATATTTTTTAAAATCTGACTTCACACAGATTCATGGCTGGAAAAATGGAAGAATATTTTAACAGCCTTTTCAGATCTTTGTAGTTATTCTTCCCTTTAATACTACCTCAAAACTCAATAAGTGGTAGTCTTTTGAAGAGTAGATGCAGTGTGGAATTGAAAACTATATCGATAAACTATTTGTGCTCTGAGAAAATGAGCATGAAAGCAACATCTAATATTAGAATAAAAGTAATTTTGACCTCCCAGATCCCTGAAAGGTCATGAGAAATTGCACTTTGCAAAGCACTGCCCTAGAGCGTAGTGAGGAAAGAGTGAATAAAAATGTCATCAGACAGGACAGTTCCAGCAGGTACCTGCAGGGACTTGCAGGTTGTGATGAGGACTTGGAGATTTATTCTGAATAAAATGGGAAGTCACTGTAGGGTTTGAGCAGAGAAGTGAGTTGATTTAACATGGAGAGGGTCCACTCTCTGTGTCCTCATTCATCTGGTGGATAGATAATGGGGGGTAAGGGCAAAGCAGAGAGGCCAGCCAGGAGGCACTTGCAATAATCCAGTTGAGAGATGATGGCAGCTCGGACTACAGAGAACACGGCAGAGGTGTGTCTGACTTGCCAGATAAACATCCGTGCAATGACAGAAATGGAAATGTATCTTTGCCTGAGGTGAGTTTGACCCTGTGTTAAAGTTGATTTAATAATTTAAGCAAAAGCCTCCATTTTCCTTTTTTTTTTTTTTTTTGAGACAGGGTCTCACTGTCGCCCAGGTTGGAGTGCAGTGGCTCAATCATGGCTCACTGCAACCTCCACTTCTTGGGTTCAAGTGATTCTCATACCTCAGCCTCCAGAGTAACTGGGATTACAGGCGACCACCACCGCGCCCAGCTAATTTTTTATTTTTAGTAGATGTTTCACCATGTTGGCCAGGCTGGTCTCAAACTCCTGACCTCAAGTGATCAGCCTGCCTCGGCCTCCCCAAGTGCTGGGATTACAGGCCTGAGCCATAGCGCTCAGCCCATTTTCCTTTGTGATGCTCCTGATTATCTACTTTATTTTATTTTATTTTTTTTGAGACAGAGTCTGGCTCTGTTGCCCCTGCTGGAGTGCAGTGGTGTGATCTCAGTTCACTGCAACCTCCCTCCGCCTCCCCAGTTCAAGGGATTCTCCTGCCTCAGCCTCCTGAGTAGCTGGGATTACAGACATGCACCACCACACCCAGCTAATTTTTGTATTTTTAGTAGAGATGGGGTTTCACCATTTTTTGGCCATGCTGGTCTTGAACACCTGACCTCAGATGATCCACCCACCTTGGCCTCCCAAACTGCTGGGATTACAGGCATGAGCCACTGCACCCAGACCTGATTATCTACAAAGGTTCTTGACATCTCAAGAAATCAGAGTATGTCAGAGTATAACAGAACCTCTGAGAATGTCTTTGTCAATAATTTAAACATTTTTCTCTAGGGAGCCATAGGATCTCAATGAAGGTAGCATATCAATAATTATAGTGGATTAAAGCAGGGTAGTACATCAGGGGACTCCGTAACTCCACTTTCATCTGTTTTATTAATGGGATCTTTAAAAGCTTTTGTTTAAGAAAAGTGATCTGGAGCCAATGCAGTGGCATGCACCTGTAGTCTCAGTTACTTGCAAGTCTGAGGCAGGCAGATGGCTTGAGCCCAGGAGTTCGAATCCAGCCTGGGCAACATAATGAGATGCTGTCTCTAAACATAACACAACCAAAACATAAAAAAGGAGAAGAAGAAGAAAGGGAAAGGAAAGGAAGAAAAATGTTCCGTTGCTACAACGACTTCATGACTCAGTCGGCATTCCGCTGTGTCGAGGTACAGCCTCAGAATCCTTCTCAACACCTTATTCCATTTATCTACTAAACATGGATCAGAATGGGCATTTCAGATGAATAATCTTTGCCATTTCTCATGTAAGCCCAATCTCGGTATCTTATCATGTAGTTAATTTCAATGTCTCTCACTTTGACTTCGCTAGTTTCTGCTTTATACCCAACCTGCTTTTATGACTATTGATCTTTCAGTGATGTAGAGATTATAAATGGTCAAGATAAAGAAATATTTATAGAGTGTTCAGGGGTTGAAAACTCAAATGCTTTCAGAAAACAAACAGGCAGCAGGCAAAGAGCAGAGTCTAACGTGGGAAGACAGGCGAGCCCTGGATTAATTGAGGGGCAGATGTCTCGGCTAATGATATTCAAGTTGAAACTTGAAACAAAAAATTTCTTGGCAAACAATTACAATAACTCAAAGGAATGAACAAAAAATTCCATAATACCTATGGGCTCTTTTTTGACCCTCTAAAGTCTCAAACTGGTCCAACACACCTATTTTACTGATTGATCTCATAGAGGTGCCGTGACTTGGAAGGTAGTGCAGTTTGGGGCTTTAGAGCTTAGATCTTAGAGTCAAACTGATCTGGTTTGTATCCTAGGACCATAGCTGGCTAGGTGCATAATCTTGGAAATAACAACCTCTGTAAGCCTCCATTTCCTCAGATACACATCTACAGGAAGCACCTTGCCCAGGGCCTGCTAGAGTTAAGTTTTCAATAATGGCAGGTGTGTGTGCTGTTATTGGATAGGATCACACAAATTGCTTGTTGCAAAGCTGGAAGATTTTCCATTATTCTGAGATTTTAGTATGCACTGAGTAAGTCTACCACTGGATTTCTGACCACTGTGTGTGTGTGTGTGTATGTGTGCGTGTGTGTGCGCCTGCACACATATGTATGCATCATGTGCACGTGCCTGGATACTGCTTTTAAGATATAAAAATGAAGAAGATTGGAAAAACAGAGGACATGACCAAGGGGATGATCTGAATTTTGGGATGGCTGTGGCAGGACACAAGGCTCCCTTTAGCCTGATGTTTCTCAGGAACATCTGTTTTGCCTTAAGCGTGGGGTCCCTTTGGGGAATGTTTTTAAAGGAAGTTGATCTTTTCCTCAGGTTTCTCCCAACTCTGCCATGTGATTAGGCAGAGGCCAGCGGCATTCAGTTTGTGCACAGGCACCTCTGCCTCTTGGGAACACCAATTTACTGAGAATAAGCATGGACGGCTGAATGGCTGTCAGGAGGGAATAATTTTCCATCAATTCAAAGCTAGAACAGATTTGAACTAATGCACTGGAATTAAAAAGCCATCCTGTCTCTGGCTGAATAGAGAATGCAGTTCTGAAATGCAGTGTTCAGCATGCTGCCCAGATAGGTTTTATATTGCAGCATACCCTTCTCTAGAGCGTTAAACACTTTATGAATAGCTGTTGGTTGTTTGGGTACAATATGGCCTTGATTAAATCATATTCACAATTCTGGGAAATATTGTCCCATAAGTATTCATATAGTGTGGGCTTTTGGTTTCTAAAAGGACACGCTTTTACCAAGTGCCCACTCAATCAATTCAGGGTGTGGGTACTTAACGATTAATCACTTATAATTAAATCATTTTTAATGTGCTCAATGGAGGGAGACAGTGTGGTGTAATACAGTGAGGACATCGGAATTAGAAGGGCAAATTCCAGCTCTCTGCTTTCTAGGTGTATGACTTCACCATGTCATTTAAGTTTCTCTTTCTGTGTCTATTAAATGGTCATAATCAACACCTCCTAGGCGGGCTGTTAGGAGGTTTAAACTGTATAAAGTGTGCTGAGGACCCAGCTCCATGTCTGGGACTTGGTAGGTGTTCTGAACACCATATTACCATCCTTTACTCTCTAATGCCCTGATGAACAAAAATAATGAGTCGCATTTATACAGCTTGAATCAGCAATGCGTGCATTAGGTTTCTTCAGTTGAGAAAGAGCAATTGTCATTAGTTTTTCTATAACATCGCAAGTACTAAGAAGGGAGTCCAACAGAGATCTGAGGAACCTTTTTAACTTTCCAGGCTTTCCAGTGATCAATGATAGTCTGCTTTGGAAAAGTGCAAAAAATTTAAAAAACTGCAAAGACAGTCAATAACTGATGATGCCAAACACATGAGGATAGAGTCACAATTCTAGCAGGTAGAAAGTCAGATGGGACAAACTTTAGAGTGGGCTTAAGTCTGTTGAGGAACTTTTATTGAGAATCAAGAAAGGGAAGTTTGAGATTCCTGGTCAGATCTGGAGAAATTCCAAAGAGCCAGGCACGATGGCTCCCTTGGAGTTCCTGGGACCCAGGCTGCCTGGGAGGGTCACAAGTCCTGGACTCCACTGACAGACCCTGGCGTGGGCTTTCTGTGTTCACCTATTCTTCTAAATGGAGCTGAGCCCACAGTGATTTGAAAGCAGATACCCGCTAACGACTGCGCTCAGGCCCAAATTGTCCCCTTTCCTCACCTCCTGAAATGCTCATGATTGCCTCAGTGTCTATCTTTCCTTTATGTGAAAGCACTTTTTAAATTATTTTTTTGAAACAGAGTCTCACTCTGTTGCCCAGGCTGGAGTGCAGTGGTGTAATCTTGGTTCACTGCAACCTCCACCTCCTGGGTTCCAGTGATTCTCCCGCCTCAGCCTCCTGATTAGCTGGGATTGCAAGCACGTGCCACTGCACCTAATTTTTGTATTTTTTGTAGAGATGGGTTTTCACCATGTTGCCCAGGTTGGTTTTGAATTCCTGGCCTCAGGTGATCTGCTTATCTCAGCCTCCCAAAGTGCTGGGATTACAGGCATGAGGCACTGCACCCAACCTGAAAGTATTTTTCTAAACTACCACTTTCTTCTTCTCCCTCACCAAAATAAAAAAATTAAAATTAAAATTAAAAAAAACTTTTCTGGGAGAGAAAAGTTTTCCAGTTATTACCTCCTATGTCAGATTTCAGGTTTCCAGTGAGACAGCTCCAGGGTGAAGATGAAAACATGGGGCTGGTGAGTTCTGAAGCAGGAGGTGCCTGGTGCCCAACACACTCTCCTGGGAAGTGCTTCAGTAGGTGTGGTCTGAACATCTACATCACAATCCCACCTGGACTGCTTACTACAAATTCAAATTTCTGGACATCATCCTGCACTCCCTAAACAACCTCTCAGGGGCAAAATATGGGAATGCGCCTGTTTAACAAGCTCTTGGTGTGATCTGATCGCAGTAGTGTTTGAGGGCCGCTGTCCCTGTGGAGGGGTCCTGGGGGTGAACCACGTGCAGTTTTTTTTTTTTTTTGAGACAGAGTCTAGCTCTGTCACCCAGGCTGGTGTGCAGTGGCACGATCTCGGCTCACTGCAATCTCCACCTCCTGGGTTCATGCCACTCTCCTGCCTCAGCCTCCCGAGTAGCTGGGACTACAGGCGCCTGCCACCACACTTGGCTAATTTGTTGTGTTTTTCGTACAGACGGGGTTTCACCGTGTTAGCCAGGATGGTCTTGATCTCCTAACCTTGTGATCCGCCCGCCTTGGCCTCCCAAAGTGCTGGGATTACAGGCGTGAGCCACCGCGCCAGGCCCACATGTGCAATTTTAAGCAGGCAAATATATGATACTTTTGCTTACATGGTTGCCCCTGAAGACAAAATCCCTCTGTTGTAGTTCACCACTTTGCTAGAGACATCCTGCTACCACTTGTCTCCACCAGGTAAGGAGGGCCTGCTCTAACTGACTGAGATGGAGAGACAGAAACAGAAGGGAGGATGTCCTTTCTCACTTCCTCTGCACCCACTTCTTATTCTACCCTAACAAAAGCACTAGTTACTCCCAGGTAGAAACCTATAGACTCTTTGATCCCGATTGCATTCTATGAACACTTCTGAATCCTGTTGTTTGGAGATTCAAGGAGAAGAGAAAAGGCAGTTAGCAGCTTCCCGCAAGGTCATCAGTACAAGGCAGAAAGATCTCCAGCCAGAGCATTAGCACAATCGGCTGTAACTCAGAGACTCACTAAATTCCTTTCCAATTTTGCAGGAATGGTTTGGGTATTCCGTAAGTTCTGTGGCAACCTCTTCTTTGTTTTGTCTTGGCAGAGCTGAAGGAAAACTACAGTGGGGGTAATTTTCCGTATTTTTACCATAAATTTTAAACTATCCACCAGGAAAGAAAAAGAGCAGTAAATTGAATGTTCTGCTCTTAAGAGAGACTCATGCAGAGAGGAAGGAAACTCACAAGGCCCTAATGACATCATTTACTAAGAAAGTCCTTAGAAACTGTCAGCGCTGCCAATGGACTCAACTGAGAAGGTATCTGAAGGAAATTAATTGATTCCTGTTTTTGTGTTAGAGTGGAAAGGGGATTAGAAATAATGAATAGCTACTTTTACCTTGCCACTCGTCCTCAGATTTGCAAACAGCAATAAATGCCCTGAAGTATCTTCTGAGAGAACTAGTTCAAATAAGTGAAGAGATATCTCTGGTGGTCTTAATTTCTAATCAGAAGGCAAGGATTTTGTACTTTTTTTTTTTTTTTTTTAGAAAAGCAGTAATATTCAATAGGAATGGCACAATCTAAACAAAAAAATAAGAAAAGTGGTAATATATATGCTGAGGTTTGAATTGTATAACTGCAACTGCACATGAAGAATTTAATGATGGCTTGTATACGTTGTGAGCTTTCTTACAGTTTTTGACTCTACCTTTCATGTTAGTCAAATCAAGATTGCATTAAAGTCTGTGCATTTTATTTCATAATAGTCATAATTTCATATATGGAGCATTGACTTTGTGTCAGGCATTGTACTAACACTTCACAAGAGATCAAAAGAAATCGGTATTCTAATTTTTATTTTACAGGCAAGAGGAAACTGAGATTTGGAGATGCCTAAAGGAAAAAAAAAGTAAGTAGAAGATTTGTGATTTGAAGCCAAACCACCTAATTCTGAAGTTTGTAGAGTTGAGACAACTTTAACCCTATACTTTCCTTAGGGATAAAATACTTCTTTATTTTATAGGGACTAAGATCAAGAGAGATAGAGATTTTCTTTCTTTTTTTTTTTTTTTTTTGAGACAGAGTTCTGCTCTGTTGTCCAGGCTGGAGTGCAGTGGCACGATCTCAGCTCATTGCAACCAATGCCTCCCGTGTTCAAGTGATTCTCCTGCCTCAGCCTCCCAAGTAGCTAGGATTACAGGCACATGCCACCACACTTGGCTAATTTTTGTATTTTTAGTAGAGATGGGGTTTTGCCATGTTAGCCAGGCTGGTCTCGAACTCCTGACCTCAGGTGATCCACCTGCCTTGGCCTCCCAAAGTGCTGGGATTACAGGTGTGAGCCACCATGCCTGGCTGAGATAGAGAATATTAAAGGGAGGAAACAAAAATTAAAAAAGATGTCATTCGAAAAAATGGGCTGGGACTGTTAGTGTCTGATACCTCTTTTCAAATCATTTTAGCTTTGCATTTTAGTGGTATTCTTTCCCTAACTATGTATGTTCTTATAGGCAAAGTACAGTATACTTGAATCTGGGTTTTCTTACCTATAAAAGATGGAGTTGGATGAAATTAACATTAAATTCTTTCAGTTTCCTACATGCTATAAGAATACGTGGTCCTGCCTTCAAGAAACCTGCCAACTCAGGTCAGGAGCAGTGGCTCAGGCCTGTAATCCCAGAACTTTGGGAGGCCGAGGCAGACAGATCGCTTGAGGCCAGGAGCTCGAGACAAGCCTGGCCATCATGGCAAAACCCCATCTCTACTAAAAATACAAAAATTAGCCAGGTGTGGTGGCACATGCCTGTAATCCCAGCTGCTCGAGAGGCTGAGGCAGGAGAATCACTTGAACTTAGCAGGTGGAGGTTGCAGTGAGCCAAGATCCTGCCACTGTACTCCAGCCTGGGTGACAGAGTGAGACTCTGTCATCAAAAAAAAAAAAAGAAAGAAAGAAAAAAAGAAAGAAAGATTCTCTAGTCTCTAGGCAGGTAAAAAGATAAAAAGATACTAGCAAAGCATGATGCAAATAGAAGTTCAGGGTAATAATTGAAATATCTCTTAAGGTGGTCTTGGAGTCATTGCTAAATGAATGGTAAAAACTAAGGAAGGCATAACACTGAGAAATGACAACAGTACTGTCATCAGAAAAATTTCTCCAAGGGGATAAAACTGAAACTGGGTTTTAAAAAAGTTCAGCCCAATTTGGAACTTCAAAAAATTTAGAAGATGGATACATACTGTCTGTAATAAATCACATACTGCAGGAGTAGGTGAAATTGAAGAAGATCTAAAATAGGTGGGGAAAAAGATGAGAACAAAGGTATGCAGGGAAGCCCTTGCCCTAATATAGGATAGTTTTTCATTTTGCATATTCCCATTTATATTTCATACACGTTTATCTAACATCACACTGTATCATCACCATCTACTTATGGTCCCTTTATTTAGTCTGCAGCTCTTTGTCAATAATTCTCTATCTCCATACTTGGCACAGCGCCTGCATTGATGATTCACTTAATAAATAACTGACTGAATGAATGTTGGCACCATTTGGAGATATTTATTCATTCATTAAAAGAAGACAACTTTATTGAGCATTTTGTGGGTTAGGTATACCATGCAAAGGTTTAAGCAAAATTGGTCCTGCCCTCACGTTTCTCCATAGTCCCATTCATAAATATCTGAAATGTGAAGTAAGAAGGGAAGAATGCCTCGAGGGAAATTTTGTGATTGAAACTCTGCCAATTTGGATGGACCAGAAGGAAGAGTTCAAGTAACTTTTCAACTCATAGTGCCTAAAGAGAAGAGAGAACAGGCAAATACGATCCTGAACAGCTAATTTTTTGGTCTTGTTTCTCTATTTTCAGGATAGATTAGTTTCCTCAGGCCTTGCATATTTCCTCTACTATTCTAGCCTCTTGTAAGGCTATAAACAAGAGACTAAGATCATGTTCTGACTTTTTGGTAGAGGTGTATCTAATTCTAGAAGAATGCAGAACATATATAAAAGCAATGCAATAAGAGCATTGCTTTCCATCATTGACTGGAAAAAAACTTGAATGTAAATGCTGGCCTTGAGATTGGGAGGAAAAGGAGAGAGGAGGCTGAAGGAAAAATAGGTTGGTGTTTTAATTTCCATTCGTCACTTCATAGAGAGTTAAAGCATAGGAAGTCTAGATAAGTGATGGTTTCATTTTAAAATTAATCCACTCATTTTATTACAAACACAAATGGTGTGCTTACATAGTGTCCAAGGCACTATACTAAGCTTTCAGAGAGCCAACCTGGAGACTCAACATTTGTGTAAATCTGAGACAGAATATACAAAGTGTATACATTTGCTCAAATGGCCATAACAAAGTATTACAGACTGGATGGCTTATATAAGAGCAGTTTGTTTTCTCACAGCACTGGAAGCTAGATGCCTGAGATCAAGATGGCGGCAGGGCCAAGTTCTTCTGAGGCCTCTTTGGCTTTTTGATGGCCATTTTCCCCTTCTATTTTCACCTACATTTCCTCTGTATGTTGTCAGCGTCCTAATTTCCTCTTCTAAGAAGGATGCCAGGCATTTTGGCTTAGGGCCCACCTGTATGACCTCATTTTACCTTAATTACCTCTTTAAAGTCCCTAACTCCAAATCCCATCATATTCTGCAATACTAGGGGTTAGGGCTTCAACATACGAATTTTAGGGAGACACAATTCAGCCCATAATACTAAAGCTTCAAACGTCCAGTCTTAATTCCAGAAGGGGAAGAGCTTAGGGCTTTAAATTTTATTCAAGTTGTTCTTTTCCAGCTTTAAAAGGTAAATAAATATATGTTCTTCTCAAAAATTAAAAACCAATTCAAAACATTCAAAGCATTAACATTTTCCATTCACTCAGGATTTTGCTGTTTGATAAAGATGGTGATTTTTCAATTTTTTGGCACTAGGCAGTGTTAACCAACCCTGACTGTTTTGTTTACTAAGTCCTTAGTTACAGCTTGGGGTTGACGTAGAATGTCTTGCTCTGGAAGTGTGTACACATTGTACAAGCCCTAAAAGAGAAAAAAAACATGATACTTTGCTGGCCTTAGGTTAAGATTTACTATAAAGGAGGACTTCAAGGGTATTAAGAAAGGGGATACATGATGCTGAACAATTCCTTTCCAATGGGCACAGATTAATTGTTTGGACTTGGATAAGAGAAAACATTGTTATTTGGAATTAAGGGGAACAATGTGACATTAATATTGTTGGTTGTGCTTATCAACAGGAACCTACATGCTTGTTAAAGTCACTTCTGTTCCCATAGAGGACAATTCCATTTTTGAACTTAACAACAATATAAGAGATGTCATGAGGTTCTTGTATTGGTTGGAATTAAACTGAACTGTGGGAAACAGGAAATAAAGGCAATAGCTTAAACAAGTAGAAATGCGTGTCTACCACACATTCAAGAGGTCTGTAGGCAGGAGCCAGTGATCCATGGTGCAAGTGGCCTAGACAAGCTTTTTTTTCTGATTGTAATGCTGAGTACAGCTTCTATTCCAAAATGGCCTCTGGAACCGTAGTGATTACATGTAAACTCTAGCCAATAGGAAGGAAAATGTAATGAAGAATGATGTGTCACCTCCTGTTAGGAATACTTCCCAGAAATGTTATATGCCACTTTTGCTTATATCACATTGCCAAAATGTAGTTGTAGCCATAGATAGCTGCAAGGGAGGCTGGGGAATGCAGACTTTTTTCTGGGGAGCCACTGGCCTCCCTAAATATGAAGGTTTCAATTACTGATGAAGAGGAAAAATCAGGGAGAAAATGGGCAGGAACTGACACAACTCCAAGCTCCTAAAAACAAATTTCACTGCTGATATTTCAGTATGTATTTTTTTTTTTAAATACAAGTTGTGGGTTGGGGGGGCAGTCCCCTGGTCTCTGATCTTATGATTACAATTGCAGACTTTATAATAAAGATACCTGATTGTGCACTGGCACTGCAAATTACTCCGTGTGTGAGTTTGGCACACACATGGAGTGATTAAGGCACATAACACATAGGGGTATTGGAAGAGTTAAGCCACATTCCCTGGCACATGTGCAGTATGGAATAAATGATGGTGTTTATTGCTATTGTTGTTCTTTTTAATTTCCCTGTTGAAAAAATGTATACCCCGAAACATGTCCAATAAAAGATATGCCATCTGGGCTGGGCGTGGTGGCTCACACCTGTAATCCCAGCACTTTGAGAGGCCGAGGCAGGCGGATCACAAGGTCAATAGATCAAGACCATCCTGGCCAACATGGTGAAACCCTGTCTCTACTAAAAATACAAAAAAATTAGCTGGGTGTGGTGGTGTGTGCCTGTAGTCTCAGCTACTTGAGAGGCTGAGACAGGAGAATCTCTTGAATCTGGGAGGTGGAGGTTGCGGTGAGCCAAGATTGCACCACTGCACTCCAGCCTGGTGACAGAGTGAGACTCCGTCTCAAAAAAAAAAAAAAAGATATGCCATCTGTATTAGTTCATTCTCATGCTGCTATAAGTAACTGCCTGAGACTGGGTAATTTATAAAGGAAGGAGGTTTAATTGACTCACAGTTCCGCAAGGCTGGGGAGGCCTCAGGAAACTTACAATCATGGCAGAAGGGGAAGCAAACACATTCTTCTTCACATGGTAGCAGGAGAGAGAAGTGCTGAGCAAAAGAGGGAAAAGCCCCTTATAAAGCCATCAGATCTTATGAGAATTCACTCACTATCAAGAGAACAGCAGCATGGGGGTAACTTCCCCCATGATTCAATTACCTCCCACCAAGTCCCTCCTGTGACACATGGGGATTATAGGAACTCAAATCTCATGTACTCACGTTTCAAAACACAATCATGCCTCCCCAACAGTCCCCCAAAGTCTTAACTCATTCCAGCATTAACCCCAAACTCCAAGTCCAAAGTCTCATCTGAGACAAGACAAGTCCCTTCTTCCTTTGAGTCAGTAAAATCAAAAGCAAGTTAGTTACTTCCTACACACAATGTGGGTACAGGCATTGGGTAAATACACCCATTCTAAATGGGATAAATTGGCCAAAACAAAGGGGCTATATGCCCTGTGCAAGTCTGAAATCCTATTGAGCAGTCATTAAACCTTAAAGTTCCAAAATGATCTCCTTTGACTCCATGTCTCACAACCACGTCACACTGATGCAAGAAGTGGTCTCCTACAGCCTTGGGAAGCTCCACCCCTAGGTTTGCAGCCCCTCTCCTGGCTGCTTTCATGGGCTGGCATTGAGGGCCGCTTTTCCAAGGGCACAGTGCAAGCTGTTCGTGGATCTACCATTTTGGAGTCTGGAGGATGGTGGCCCTCTTCTCACAGCTCCACTAGGCAGTGTCCCAGTGGGGACTTTGTGTGGGGGCTCGTATCCCACATTTCCCTCCCACACTGCCCTAGGAGAGGTTCTCCATGAGGGCTTGTCCCTGCAGCAAACTTCTGCCTGGACATGCAGGCGTTTCCATACATCCTCTGAAATGTGGGTGGACGTTCCCAAACCTCAATTCTTGTCTTCTAGTACCCACAGGACCAACAAGTGGAAACTGCCAAGGCTCTGGGGCTTGCACCCTCTGAAGCAATGTCCTGAGCTGTATGTTGGTTCCTTTTAGCCACAGCTGGAGCTGAAACAGCTGGGATGCAGGGCACCAAGTCCCAAGGCTGCACACAGCAGGGGGTCCCTGGACCATTTTTCCCTCCTAGGCTCTGCCACTACCCATCATGTCTCTGACATACCCTGGAGACATTTTCCCCATTGTTTTGGTGATTAGCATTTGGCTCCTCATTATTTATGCAAATTTCTGTAGATGGCTTGAATTTCTCCCTGGGTTTTTCTTTTCTACTGCATTGTCAGGCTGCAAATTTTCCAAATTTTTATTCTCTGTTACCTCTTGAATGCTTTGCTGCTTAGAAATTTCTTCTGCTAGATACCCTAAATCATCTCTCTCAAGTTCAAAGTTCCATAAATCTCTAGGGCAGAGGCAAAAAGCTGCCAGTCTCTTTGCTAAAGCATAGTAAGAGTCAAGAGTCACCTTTTTTCAAGTTCCCGACGAGTTCCTCATCTCCATCTGGGACCTCCTCAGCCTGTACTTCAGTGTCCATATCACCAATGGCATTTTGGTCAAAACCATTCAACAAGTCTCCAGGAAGTTCCAAACTTTCCCACATTTTCCTGTATTCTTCTGAGCCTTCCAAGCTGTTCCAACTTCTGCCTGTTACCTAGTTCCAAAGTTGCTTCCACATTTTCAGATATCCTTATAGCAGCACCCCACTAATGGTGCCAATTTACTATATTTGTTCATTTTCATGCTGCTATAAATAACTGCCTGAGACTGGGTAATTTATAAAGGAAAAAGGTTTTATTGACTCACAGTTGCACATGGCTGGACAGGCCTCAGGAAATTTACAATCATGGTGGAAGGGGAAAGAAACACATCCTTCTTCACATGGCAGCAGGAGAGAGAAGTGTCAAGCAAAGAGGGAAAAGTCCCTTATAAAACCATCAGATCACGTGAGAACTCACTCACTATCAAGAGAACAGCAGCATGGGGGTAACTGCCCCCATGATTCAATTACCTCCCACCAAGTCCCTCCTATGACACGTGGGTATTATGGGAACTACAATTCAAGATGAGATTTGGGTGGGGACACAGCCAAACCATATCGCCATCCAATCAGCTAGAGGAGACCACATGCCTTGCAAGCTGCAGTCACTACAGTGCCAAAACAAGGAGTTTCTCTTTGTTTCTAATTAAGTTGGTTTGGGGACCTATGGCTGTGAATATTCTGTATATATAAATCCTGGTCCTGTGGCCCCATGGAATAGCCTTTTCCTCTTAGAATTCTCTGTGAAGAGGGGCTAGGTGCCCTGGATAGAAATAGCATAGAGAAATTCCAGAATCTTTAAATATCTTCCCATCGTACATTCATAAAACATCTTTTTCCCCTATTTAGGAAAACTGGAAAGTTGCTGGTACCCCTTCCCACCAATATCACTGGTTGATTGGTTTTGAATCGGTTGAGCCACAAAATTGAGCATCAGTTCTGTATTCCAGCCTTGGTGTGTTCTTGGGCTCTTTTTTAAAGAGGCACATGAGTTATGAATCTACCTGCAGTGACCTCAGCCTGGAAAAAACAGCTTGGTAGAATGAACATTCATTGACCATCTGTTATGTGATAGGCATTTTACTGAGCAGCAAAAAGCACTGATGTCTTGTGGGAGAGACAGGAGCTGAAAAAATAATCCAAGAGATTAGATGATACCCTCAGAAAGAGTACTTATGATATCATCTCCCACATCAAGGAATTTTGTGTATTCATCAACATACAGAAGTTGGAAATGAATAAACACAACTCGGTATGGAGAAATTTCTGTTAAAGAAAGTACAGGGGAAGCATAAAGAGATTTTCGTTGTTGCCCTTCTTTTGGTACCAATTTTGTGACCTCTATTAGTTTAGTTTCCATTCATTGGTACTTACCATTGCCAAGAATGGTACCAGTGCAGTCTGGCTAATTTGCAGGACAGAGGCTGATAAGCTAACATTATACCAAAACAGTCCTAGGTAGAATAATTACGTTTTGCATGGAAGCCAGAATTTGTAAAAGGAATCCAGCCACAGTTTTCTAATAGGAGTCCCTAGGAAACTATTATCTAAAAGCATGACTTTTTTTTTTTAGCTTAAGGCATTTGTTAATTTAATATAATCTGACTTGAAAGTTAGCATAATGGAAATAGGATAGCGCTTTGAATCCAGGATAGGATTGTATGTAAATCTAGCTTTCTCTACTAGTTTCAGCATGATTGTGCAAGGGTTACTGAATGTCTCTTAGCCTCTGTTTCCTCTTCTGGAGGATTTTTCTGAAGATTAAGTAAAATGGAATATGCAAAACACTAGTGTATTTCCTGGTATGTATTAGATTCTTACTTAATATTCGTTTGTCATCTTCCCTTCCACTCTCCTTTCTTCCTCCCCATATTGCTGTTGTCAATTGCCAAATTCAGTGGGCGACTTTTAGTGCCTGTTTTATGACACTTTTCAACATTTGACCCTGTAGACTAAATCCTTTCTTTTTTCTTTTTGTTTTTTTTTGGAGATGGAGTCCTACTCTGTGACCCAGGCTGGAGTGTAGTGGTACTATCTTGGCTCACTGCACCCTCTGCCTCCCAGGTTCAAGCAATTCTCCTGCCTCAGCCTCCCGAGTAGCTGGGATTACAGGTGCCCACTACCATGCCCGGCTTATTTTTGTATTTTTAGTAGAGACGGGGTTTCACCACGTTAGCCAGGCTGGTCTTGAACTCCTGACCTCAGGTGATCTGCCCACTTCTGCCTCCCAAAGTGCTGGGATTACAGGCGTGAGCCACTGTGCCTGGCCTACAAATCCTTTCTTGGTACTCTTTCTTCTATTATTTTTCACAACGTGACTGTCTCTGCGTTTTCTTCCCACCTTTGAAATGCTACCCTTCGTGAACTCAGCTTTCCCCACAAGTGCTTTAAAGACTGTTGTTCTTTAGCTTACATCTTAACCCTCCTCTCACTTCATACTGTCTTTCTTGTCAAATTAATCGTGGTTCCAGTCACCACAACTTTCAATCTATTGGTGACTTCCAAATTCATACCTGCTGCCCTGACTCCTTCTTGAATCCCAGTTCCATGTTCCGAACAGCCTGATTGATAACTTCCTCGGAAGGTCCCAGGCCCTTCAACATATTAAAAAATGAATTTGTTCCCTCTGCTGTATTTCCTGTCTCAGTTAAGGCATGGCATTTACTAAGTTACTTCTTCTTTTCCACTAACCCTAAACTTCCCTTTCAATCAGTCAAAAAGTCTTGTCAATTTGGTCTGCAAAATTTTTTCCAGACTTTTCTTCCTGTCATTACTGGTACCCCCACCCCCCGCCCAGTTCAGTTTTGCTTCATCTCTGTTCTTATTTTTGATGGCTACATTAGCTTCCTAATTGATTTCCCTGCCTCCATTCTCTTTCCCCTTCTAGTCTCTCTGTTGATTAGTTTTACATCAGTATATTCTCTCCTGCTTAACTGTTTTAAAGGGATAAATGCTGGTTAGAAACAAAGAATTAAAGCCATTTCCACCCTAACTCTACCTTCTAAAACGAACTGAACAAAAGAAAAGAACATTTCATCTTCAAAGAACTTAGAAAATACCTACAATCCCCAAACTCTGAACAATAATTGCTAAACATAGTCAAATTTGGATCTAATGGGAGGAAGACACTTATAGTTGTTGAAGTCGAATAAAAGAGAAAGACGAATCTTTGAAATTTAAACATTTTATTTGGGAAGAAAGAATTTCAATTCTAAGGCCAAGTGTGGTGGCTCACACCTATAATTCCAGCACTTTGAGAGGCTGAGGGAGGTGGATCACCTGAGGTCAGGAGTTCAAGACCAGCTTGGCTAACATGGTGAAACTCTACCAAAAATATAAAAATTAGCCAGGAGTGGCTGGGCGTGGTGGCTTACACCTGTAATCCCAGCACTTTGGGAGGCCGAGGTGGGCAGATCACAAGTTCAGGAAATCAAGACCATCCTGGCTAACACGGTGAAACCCCGTCTCTACTAAAAATACAAAAAAATTAGCTGGGCGTGGTGGCTGGCGCCTATAGTCCCAGCTACTGGGGAGGCTGAGGCAGGAGAATGGCATGAATTGGGAGGCGGAGCTTGCAGTGAGCGGAGGTCACGCCACTGCACTCCAGCCTGGGCGACAGAGCGAGACTCCATCTCAAAAAAAAAAAAAAAAAAAAAAAAATAGCCAGGAGTGGTGGTGCATGCCTGTAATCCCAGCTACTTGGGAGGCGGAAGCAGGAGAATTGTTTGAGCCTAGGGGTGGAGGTTGCAGTGAACTAAGATCATGCCACTAAGTCATGCCACAGCCTAGGTGGCAGAGCAAGACTGTCTCAAAAAAAAAAAAAAAATTTAATTCCAGGCAAACATGCAGACCAGGTGGTTTTCGGTATGTCAAAAGAATAAAGAGAAGGTCGGAAGTTTTATTTTTTTAAAAAGATAAGTGTTATGTATTTCTCTTTGACAAAGTTCATTGGCACTAGTAAGGTTTTGGTAAGCTTTGCAAGTTTTGATTGGTAGGTGATGGCAATGGGTAAGACTATTCTTAGAGTCACAAGCAGGTTGTTTCATCAGCTGTTAGATAAAACCGCTTTCAGCTTACAGCAGAGAGTTTCAGCAGCCAAGCTCACAGAGAATTACATTCTTGGAGCAACGTTATGTGCCCTGAGTGTTTTTTCCTCCTGATCCTTCGACTCTGATTTAGTTGGGTGTGACCAGGAAGACCCAATTTGCATAATCAACTTTCACATCGTAAATCCACAGTTCCACAGAGGTCTCCAAAAGGAGGCAGCACATCTCTGAAAAGCCAGTTGTGCCTGAAACAGCAACACATGTGGTTGTGCGTAGACTGGGAGAGCATCCTTGTCCCTGTTCCATACTGCAGAGCAACATGGGAAGCAGAGTCAAAAGAGAATCCTGCTACCATGCCATCCTTATGGGAATTCTCAGTGAGAGAGAACATCATAACCCTCTCAGAGGGTGGATGTCATCATATCAGAGTCAACTGAACAACACAGGCAGATGCATAAACACACACTTGTGATAGAGGAGGCTTTACTGTGTGCCAGGTAGAGCTCCTGTTCTTCCATCAAATAATTCTCCATAAAGAAAAACAAATTGCAGATAGATCAAAGAAGACGAAAACAGACCATGTAACCAAAAAATGAAAATCTGAGAAAGAATAAAAAAAGAAGAAAACAAATAAGAGAACAGAACTAAGAACAAACATACGTATTATGACAATTTTAGTGAGGGTAAAATAATCTATTAAAAGAAAGACATAAAGAAGGAATAATAAAATAAAATCCAGATCTCATACCCTACAGCAAAACAAGATCTTAGTTTATCAAAAACATAAACATGAACTAGGAAGTCATAAAAGTGTGAAAGAAAACATGAGTGGATTTAAAAATAACATTGGCGTGGAAGAGATCTTTCTAAGCATTGGATAGAGCCCAGAAGCCGTAAATGAAATGGTGGTCAATTTTCTTATTTCTGTAAAATATAAATAGCTGTTATAAATCAGGGAGGAAAATATAACAAACTAATAGAAAAATTGGCAAGGAAAAATAAAAAAAGTTGTTCTTAGACAAAGAAGTGCAAATGGTTTATAAACATATGAGCCATTGGTTATCTTCACTCAGTTAAAGAAATGTAAGTCAAAACAAGGAAATAAACAATGTTCAGTTATCAGATTGGCCAAGACTTAAAGTTTGATAACAGAGTGATGTAAAGAGTATACAGAAGTAGATACAGTCATATTCTAGTTGTGGGAATATAAATTGGTATTTTTTTAAATGGGCAAGTTGAAAATAGCTCTCAGATTTAAAAAGCACATACCCTTTGATCCAGCAATTCTCCTTTTAGGAGTTTTTTTCCTACAGTGATACTCCCACATGGTTGCAAAGGGTAGATAGTGCAAGAATGGATTGAAGCCTTGTTTGTAATAATCAACAATTGGGGACTGTTGATTATCTGCCAACTGGGGACTACTGAGAAGATGATGTAACAATCTGATGTGTGGAATACCATATAGCTATTTAAAATAATGAGGTGAAATTATACATACTGAAATGGAAAGATCTCTGTGCTATATTGCAAAGTGGAAAAGAAGCAAGTGTGATAGTGTATAAATATTTATTCACTAAAAAGGCTTATAACAGTATTTATTATACATGGACAATTTCTTGAAGGAGAAGGAATAAAGATTTGACACTAGTTACCTCTGAACAATAGACCCCATAGTCTGGGATAAAGAGAGGGATTGATTTTTAAAAGTATATCTTTTTGTACTGCTTGAAATTTTTTTTTACTACATGCATGGTTTTTATAATGAGGATAGAAAATACTAAAAAGAAAATATAATAAAATACAAAAGAGAAAATTTCAAAGCTTTTTAATGAGATTTGCGTTAAGCCTGCATTATTTATAGACCTCAGTCTAGATGCTCTGCCTGATAAGAGCTTGGTGAACTAGCCCAGTTCACCTTGCCAGCCCCATCTCTCAGCATTTCTTACCATACTTAACCAGTTATTGTTTCTTGAGCACATCATGGCCTCCGTGTATTTATTCATCTACCTCTTTTGTATAAAATTTCTCTTATTCCCCCCCCAGAAAATGTTACTCATCCATTAAATCCTAGTTCAAATGATACCTCATCTATGAGGTCTGAGCTGATTATTCTAGACTATTCCATTGTCCTTGCTCTTGTAGGGGAGACCAGATTTGTTTTTGTCTCATGCACTCTGAGTCAAAGGACAATTGGATGAAACTAAGCCCTCTACAGAGCACTCTGATCAGGTCATCAGTTGCTGTGTAAATTGGCTCCAGTTCCTTGGGACTTCTGGGTATGAGAGTTGCGTTCAGTGAGAGTTTGGCTTTAAACTTGCTTTGGCAGGTCATCAGACAGAAGGAAGAAGGGTCAAACACATTTGTTAACATCACGTATGTGTATGTGTTTTACATAAACTATTGCATTCAGTCTTTATAGCCCTCCTTCAAAGTAGGTCTTATCCTTGTTTTGCAAACAAAAAAACCTGAGGCTCAAAGAGGTTAAGTGAATTACTCAAAGTCAATGGGGAAATTTGGTTTCAAATTTAGGACTTCCTGTTTCCAAAACCTGTGTTTGTTCCACTCTGGAATTTGTGTTTGGATAGGAGGCAACGGTGCTCTCATGTGAGAGGCTCCATCCTCCAATTTCCTCTGATATGAAGGTGAGCAGAGACCAGGCTGAGGGCAGGGGCATGAAGGCAGCATTGGCAGCAGGGTAGGGAAGCTGGAGGAAGTAGGTGTGGTGATCTCCATTCTGCATGCCATTTATTTGTTAATTTTCTCTCTATGAAAATTCTGGATTTGTTGGATGCTCTCCTGACCCAGGTTCTGTCCTTCCAAGGGCCAGCTGGGGTAATACCGTTTTCTGGAATATCGTAGGGCATATGATTATTAATACTTGGCAAACTTTGGCCTAGGAAATGTGAAACACGTGCCTGTTTGTGAGGTTTCTTCACATGTTTCTAATCAACCAACCAGATTTCACTTGAATCTTTTATGGCTTCCCTGAAATTTGCAGTGAAACTGGAAGCCAAGTGTAGCTCTGGGCCAATTTGTGGTTGCTGTAATAACCATCCCTTTTCGTGACTCCTTCAACCACTTAGTGAAAATTATTATTGCAGGAAAATTTTTTAGTCATACTTTCCAGGGGGTTGCAATTTCTTTACTTGTCCTATGGATAAATATTATATTAGAGCAGTATGGTTGGATAGGTCTTTGCATGTTTTGCGAAAGACACACCACTGACAGTAGGAATTAAATATATTGAAAATTTTATAAGTAGGATGAACTGCACCTTCAATTCAATTCAAGAAACATTTTGAATACCTCCTATGTATAAATTCATCTCCATGAATTTAAGGCATACCAAAGAGGGGTATATAGACACAGTTACTACCTTTGTTTCTTATGAAAGTTCACAACTTAAACTGAACACATCTTAAAGAGAACTCAATATTTTTTGCACAGTTCTGAGTTTGGATGATAGCACCACCAGGGACCCAGTGCTGAAACTAGAAACTCTGGAATCATTTCCAATTTTTCTCCTCCCCTTACATCCATCAAGTCCAAGAGATTTTGATCTCCTAAGTGTTTCTTGATTCTGCATTTTCATGTTCACTGCCATGATCCCTTCCCCGGTCCAGACCTTTATCATGTCTTGCCTGGACTGTTCCAGTGGCTTTCTCTGTGCCTTCCCTGGCCTCAGGCTCTCATATTTCTTACTCTGCCAGAGTGATTACTCAAAACACAAGTATGAGCATGTCACTCTCCTGCTCAAAATGCTTCATGAACTCCCTATCCCCGATAGGGTGAAAACCAAACTCCTCAGTAAGACATTCAAGGCCTTTTACTATATTGCCTTGGCTGCCATGTTGGGGAAGGGTGGGTAGACCTGTGAGTGAAGACGTCTTAGAAAGACTGTTATCTTTTCATATAAAAATATCAAGACTCAAAGGAAAGAAATTTGACATTTTTTCATCTGTAAAATCTGAAAGTTGTGGTTTTGGATGAACTAAGACAGATTCTCAGTCCCTAGAACTGCACCTCTGCAAGGGCATTCTGTAAGGGTAGAGAAAAAAACTCTTAAGATGAATATCGGACAGTAGGTATGAAGAAACAGAAGTTCAAAATTTTTAACATATTTATGCATCCATCCATTTATTCATTCATTCCTTTGATCAACAGATATCTGTTGAATATTTAGACAAAGAGATTACAAAAGAAACATGGTACAGACCCACTCTCAAAGGAAGACAGATAAATAGGCAATTAAAAGACTATAAAGGCTGGGCGCGGTGGCTCACACCTGCAATCCCAGCACTGTGGGATGTCAAGGCGGGTGGATCATGAGGTCAGGAGATGGAGACCATCCTGGCCAACATGGTGAAACCCTGTCTCTATTAAAAATACAAAAATTAGCTGGGCGTGGCGGTGCGGGCCTATAATCCCAGCTACTCGGGAGGCTGAGGCAGATTGCTTGGACCCAGGAGGCAGAGGTTGCAGTGAGTTGGACCCAGGAGGCAGAGGTTGCAGTGAGTTGAGATCATGCCACTGCACTCCAGCCTGGTGACAGAGAGCTAAACTCTGTCTCAAAAAAAAAAAAAAAAAAAAAAAGGACTATAGCATGATCTCTCTGTATGAAAAACAAAAACACTTGGTGCTTTGGGAACATGTATTTGAGGCACCTAACCTATTCCAAGAGGATGTGGGAAGATGATATTTAAGTGGAGAGCAGGAAGAAGAATGTGACTTACCCAGGTGAAGAGAGAAAGAAAAAGAAGTTAAAGCAGAGGAGAACATGGGTAAAGCATCAGAAAGAAGATAGAGAGAAATTTTGAGATGCTAATATGGTGGATTATAGTGCTGAGGTTAGGATGGAAGCAAGCATAGGGACGACTAGATCTGAGTTAACAACAGTACGTAATAAACCCTCTGGGGAACCTCTAGTTCTCACTAGATCTTAGGCAAAAGTAGGCCATTGCCCGGGTTCATGGCTTAGCATGTGGATTCCAGCCCCACTCAAATTCTTAGCCAGGTGCCTGTGTCTGTAGGCAGCAATCTTGGCCAGATGACTGCTAACCTATATTAAGGAGTTGATGCTTTCTCTTCAGGACAGTGGGAAACCCTGCAGGGCATGACTCAGAGGAACTAGGTGGTCAGATTAGAATTTTAGGATGATCTCTCCGGCTACAGCATGGAAAGTTTCTTAGAAGATTTCAAACTGGAGTCAAGGAGAATGGTTAGGAGACCTACTCGGTGGTCCAAATGAGAGATAATTGTGGCCTGACCTAAAGTTGTGGCATTCATTGGCGTTGGTGCCATCATGACTAATTAAGAGAAGTGTATCAGCAGCCTTCAAGAGGCAAAAGTCTTGCTCTTTCTCACCAAAGCCTGTCTTGGTGAGAGACACAAAATAATGGATTTGCTGAACCATTATTTAGACTCAGTGAGAAAATAGATTCTTCTATTTTTTAAAAACAACTTTATTGAGGTATAAATAATATATAAAAACTACACTTATTTAATGTATACAATTTGATGTGTTTGGACATATGCAAATATCCATAAAACCATTACTACAACCAAAGTAATGAATGTATCCATCACCTCTATCCAAAGGGAAATAGGTTCTACTTTTTTTTTGAGACAGAGCCTGGCTCTGTCACCCAGGCTGGAGTGCACTGGCGCCATCACAGCTCACTGCAGCCTTGACCTCCTGGGCTCAAGGGATCCTCCCACCTCAGCCTCCTGAGTAGATGGGACTACGGGTATGTGCCACCACACCTGGCTAATTTTTAATTTTTTTTTTTTTTTATAGAAACAGTCTGACTTTGTTGCCCAGCCTGGTCTGGAACTCCTGGGCTCAAGTGATCTTCCCAAAGTGCTGGGATTACAGACATGAGGCACTGTGCCCAGCCTGGAAATCGGTTCTTAACAATAGAAATTACAAAGAGCAGTAGGAAGAGAAACAGAAAGAGATTTCATCTGTCTCCTAAGCTGGCCCAAAGGAGCATCCCCTTTCCTTCCTTCATTTGTGTAATAACCTCGCTTGAGCCTGACAAAAACATTTATGTTTGTGACAACTTATTCCATTCTTTCTCTCCAAGGGCATATTGAAGACTTTCATTCATTGCCTCAAAAAGCAATTCATGCTTTCAAGATTGTGCAATTGCACCGAGTTAAGTTTTTACAGGCCCTGGCGTGGGTGAGACATGAGCCTGCAGGATGAAGGTGTGAAAAGTGCAGAGAGTCAGGCAACAGTGCGATTAGCCACAGGGAGAATTTGGGTTGCTATGTGTAAATATCCATAGCCACCAGCCCAGGGGTGCTTGCAGGGCTAGTCCTTGAGCTGGAAAAACCACTAATGAACACAATCACTCAGGTTTTTCTCTAGTTTTCTTTTTTTTTGAGACAGAGTCTTGCTCTGTTGCCCAGGCTGAATTGCAGTGGTGCAATCTCAGCTCACTGCAACCTCCGCCTCCTGGGTTCAAGAGATTCTCCTGCCTCAGCCTCCCTAGTAGCGGGGATTACAGGCACGCACCACCACACCTGGCCAATTTTTCTATTTTGGTAGAGATGGGGTTTTGCCATGTTGGCCAGGCTGGTCTCGAATTCCTGACCTCAAGTGATCCACCCACCTCAGCCTCCCAAAGTGCTGGGATTACAGGTGTCAGCCAGTGCATCCGGCCTTTAGATGTTTCTCTAATTTTCTAACCAAGTTATTAAAATTCTGTTATTTTAGCCAAAGGAAAAATCCCTGCCATAAAAGAGCAAGGTGTATTCCTAGAGTTTTCCCCACCTAGGCATTGGGACGCTCAATAAGACCTACTTTCTCTGGGGCCTCCTTTGGTCTCTCGAAATTCCTTTCAGAGTTAAAATTCCATGCTTTCATGAAATGTTTGCATTTTGAAGTTTCAGCCCACAATAGGATCTCAATGCATATCTGTCAAAGGGAGGAATGAGCATTTTTTGTGCTAGACCCAAGGCTAGACTGGGAGACACAAAGATAAAGGAAAAAGGTCCTTACTAATGCTCACAGTGCAGCAGCAGAGTTGGTCTTATACACAGGTGACAACCGGGCACTGTCCTAGGAGCTGTCCTAGCTGGGGAATCATAGAGAAGGGAACGTCATGAGGGATGGTGGAGCGGAATCTGAGCAAAGGTTTGCCAGATGTGCAGGCAAGCCCATTCAAAGCAGTGGAAGTGAGACAAAGGTCCACTAATTATGCTACACAACTTGAAATAGACATGTGAGGCTTACATGCAAGAACAGCTCCCCGGGAGCTTGCAGGATAATTGTCTGACCAGCTGACAGCAAAATCAAGATACCCTGTGGCTCCTTGCTGCACTGTCTGATGCAGACAGATGGTTGTATCTGACCAGTAGATTGCCTACGGAGGGTCAGCACCCCAAGGGCCGATTTCAGGTGTATTTTGGAGACACCTCCTGAGGGCTTGTATTCAGATCTATTTAGGAGACAGCACATACAGGTCTGGCACATAAAAATAGTACAAAGAAAATAAAGAAATTGTGGGAGAGGGGTGCAGGTGAATAGATGATCTGCCCTTGGTGAACTGAACCAAGTTCCATAAAGCCAACAGACTCTGCCTACTAGTGGTACTGGTGAATATATGGTAGGAAGAATTAGATGCTTTCCATCAACTTTAAAAAAAAATTTATTTAGACGGAGTCTCACTCTGTCACCCAAGCTGGAGTGCACTGGCACAATCTTGGCTCACTATAACTTCCACCTCCTGGGTTCAAGCAATTCTTGTGCCTCAGCCTCCCAAGTAGCTGGGACTACAGGTGCTCACCACCATGCCTGGCTTTTTTTTTTTTTTTTAATTTTGTATTTTTAATAGAGATGGGGTTTCTTCAAGTTGGCCAGGCTGGTCTCTAACTCCTGGCCTCAGGCAAGCCACCCACCTAGGCCTCCCAAAATGTTGGGATTACAGGCGTGAGCCACCCTACCCAGCCTTCATCAACTTTTTGTGCTAGGAATGAACGTAACCTATCTCTCCCTTCACTTTCTGTGAATTACTCTTCAACTTCATCTAAATCTTTCCACTGTCCTAGCTCATAGCAAGCAGAACACAGATGATCATCTGGCAGAAGAATCCTGCATGGTATGTGAAGTTTTCCTAGAATAATGGTTTGCAGTACTTTTTAAAGCATCAGAACCCCCTTTCGATATTAAATATTGCTTAGAAGAACAATATACAAACAGCTGTGATCAAGCAACAAGTGTAAACATGCATTGGTATTTACAATGTCCCAGGTGCTGTGCTATGCACTTGTATGTGTGTTTTTTCATTAAATCTTCACAATTCTATGATGTGGTATCTATAAAATAGGAATTACTTCTATCCTTTTTTAAGAGATGAGGAAGCAGGACATCAAAAGTTACAGGTAATGTGTGGCAAATCTAGATTTTGACTCTGGAAGTTTGCCCTCAATGTGGGGGTCCTGATGGTGCAGGAGGTCCTGTTCATATGGCCCAGCTGGGACAGGCTGGGGCGGTAGGAGGCACAGCTGAGCCCTGTTGAAATCCATCTCTCTTTCCTGCTCTTCTGGGGTAACAGGTGTAGCTAAGTGTCTCCATTCTCCTTCCTCCTTATACTCTCTCACCTTGGGGCTCAAGAATTTGGATGATTTACCAGGCTGCTGTGAAATTTGGTCTAAGAAACATTGCCTTGGTTCATCCTTCAAGATCTCTACCAGAGTCCATATTCCATCGTATACACTCAATAGGAGAGTGATGCTTATAGACAAATAGGTCTTCAAAAGTGGAAGTTAATACCAATCACAACAGACAAGGTGTTGTATGATTCTATTTATATGAAATGACCAGAATAGGCAAACCTATAGAAACAGAATTCTGTCTCTATGAATGGTTACTGAGGCCTGGGAGAATGAGGGGTACAAGGGGAATGACTGTTAATAAGTACGGGGTTCCTTTTGGATTTGGAGTGATGAAATATTCTAAAATTGATTGTGGTGATGGTTATATACTTTTGTGACTATCCTAAAAACCATGGAATGGTACCATTTAAATTGGTGAATTGTACATTATGTGACTAGGTCTCAATAATGCTGTTAAAAACAACAACAACAACAAAAATCACCCAGAAATGAAAGCAGAGCATCTCGTTTAAAGTTCATTAAGTGTGTTACTTCATTTCCTTCTACAACGTCTGTGGAATGCCATTGCTGACTAGGCAGCCTGCCACACATGGGGCACAGGAGAAAAGAGCTCTTGGTCAAGAATAATCATGACACAGCAGCAGGAAGCAGCCTTGACTGCACTAATAGCATGTCATGAGCAAGCAGAGAAGAGGCCCAGAGCCTGGCAGAGGAGCTTGTGTTGAACCCAAACCCAGATTTTACCAGTAGGGAAACTCCTTAGGGAGCCAGGCTGGGGCATGGATGTTTTAGTAGAGCTAGCACCACTTGAAAGGTTGGAAAAATGAGAGGGCAGGGCTTGTTTGGGGCTTTGCATGCCTAGATAACAGATTATGTGGGGAGAGACCAAGGAGAAGAGGACTAAAGATAAGCAGAAGCTGAATGACCCCATTCCCTGAACATTCATTCATCTCTTCACTCCTTTATTGAGCCTCACTTGTGTCATGCAGAGGCTAGGTCAGTTGTTCTCAAGCTTGGCTTTTGGAATTACCTAAATCTCACCTCAGTGATAGCTGGTCTGAGTGTGCTTTGGGCATGAAGATTGTTAAGAGCCTGGGAGATTCTAATTTTAGTTGATGTTGAAATTCAGTAGGCTGTATGATAGAGATAAAGAAAAAATTAAAAAAAAGATTAAGGCAGATATGGTGCTGGCACCTGGTGTGTACAATCAACAATGCTTTCTGAGTTGCCTACTAGGTACGAGATACTGTGCTGAGTAAAACATAAGAGTCTCAGTTCTCATGAAGGTTCAGACTAGTGGAAACAACAGAAAATAAGCAAGTGGGCAGACTGAGAAGCTTTTCATCACAACATCAGATAACTGATATGAAGGAAACAGGAAAGGTTAAAAGATAGCCAATAACGAAGAAAAAGATGGCTCATTAGATTGGCTGGTCAAGGAAGAACTCTTTCTTTTTTTAACATTTACTTACATATGTACATATAAATGCATACATATATATGTACAATCATCAACACAAATTACCATCTCCAAAAATTCCTCATGCCCCACTGTAATTTTTTTTTTAATTTTACTTCACGTTCTGGGATACCTGTGCTGAATGTGCAGATTTGTTACATTGGTATACATGTGCCATGGTGGTTTGCGGCACCTATCAACCTGTCATTTAGTTTTTAAGCCCCGCATGCATCAGGTATTTGTCCTACTGCTCTCCCTCCCCTTGTCCCCCAACCCCCAACAGGCCTCGGTGAGTGATGTTCCCCTCCCTGTGTCCGTGTGTTCTCATTGTTCACCTGTCACTTATGAGTGAGAACATGCAGTGTTTGGTTTTCTGTTCCTGTGTTAGTTTGCTGAGAATGATGGTTTCCAGCTTCATCCATGTCCCTGCAAAGGACATGAACTTATTATTTTTATGACTGCATAGTATTCCATGGTATATATGTGCTATATTTTCTTTATCCAGTTTATCATTGATGGACATTTGGATTGGTTCCAAGTCTTTGCTATTGTGAATAGTGCTGCAATAAACATGCGTGTGCATGTGTCTTTATAGTAGAATGATTTATAATCCTTTGGGTATATACCCAGTAATGGGATGGCTGGGTCAAATGGTATTTCTAGCTCTGGATCCTTGAGGAATCACCACACTGTCTTCCACAGTAGTTGAACTAATTTACACTCCCACCAACAGTGTAAAAGCGTTCTTATTTCTCCACATCCTCGCCAGCATCTGTTGTTTCCTGACTTTTTAATGATCACCATTCTAACTGGCATGAGATGGTATCTCACTGTGGTTTTGATTTTTGTTTCTCTAATAACCAGTGATGATGAGTTTTTTTCATATGTTTGCTGGCTGCATAAATGTCTTTTTTTTGAGAAGTGTCTGTTCATATCCTAGGAAGAACTCTTTGAGCAGGTGACATTAAGCCAGCACCTAAAGTATGAGTAGAAACTGGCCTTGGAAGATCTATGGAAGAATGTTCCTGGCAGTGGGCACATGCTGGGTGCACGTGCTGTTGTTGTTGTTACTGTTGCAAGGAACTGGCACATATTCAGACTCCATGAGGAAACATGGTGTGTGGGAGGGACTTTAATGTGTTTATAGGCTGTAATGTTTTATTTATCCGTGTATGTGAAGAATCAAAGACGCTTGATTATAGTTGCTTTATAAATGCCTATGGAATAAATGAACTGATGTTATCAGTAGAGAAGAAGTTGAAAGGAAAGGCGATGGTTGATGAGTTTTCCATAGGAAGTGGGAAGAGAGGGAATCTACAGTGCACAGAAAAAGAGGTACCTCTGAGGTAGGAAGGGAGAAGTGGAGAATAGATATATTTTTCTGGTGCAGGGACAGGAAATAGAATTTCCTTCTGATAGCTACTGTGTTCTTTATTGGGGGAAAAGAGTTTGTTTGCTGAAAGCAAGCCAGGTGGGAGTGGGATCAGGGTTCTAAAGAGGTGGGAAGTGTTACTTTGCATAATTAGAGAAGTGAGCTGGCTGGGGACATTTGTAAGAACTGAGGTGGTGCTGAGTGCCCAGCCAGGGGTAGGCCAGACATCAATGGTGGTGCCAATGGCCATGATTTTGGAATGATGTTTACCTCTAGCAGATAGCTACATCTTCGGTGGAGAATTTGCAGATGGGTATGGCAATGGTAGGACAAAGAAATGAACAAATTGAAGTGGAAGGAGAGACAGATCTAAATTGATATTAAAGACTAGTCGGAGACATAGAGGAAGTATTGTCAAGAAGGAGCTGAGGTCAGACGCAGTGGCTCACACCTGTAATCCCAGCTCTTTGGGAGGCCAGGGCAGGTGGATCACTTCAGGTCAGGAGTTCGAGACCAGCCTGGCAAATATAGTGAAACTCCACCTCTACTAAAAATAGAAAAATTACCCAGTTGTAGTAGTGGGCTCCTGTAAACTCAGCTACATGGGAGGCTGAGACAGGAGAATCGCTTGAATTCAGGAGATGGAGGTTGCAGTGAGCAGAGATTGTGCCACTGCACTTCAGCCTGGGCGGTAGAGCAAGACTCCGTCTGAAAACAAACAAACAAAAGAAAACCCTGAATATAAGAAGAGGAAGGAACAAGGGATAAACTTCTAATGAGTCCAAAGCCAGATGTATGATGAGAATGAGGGAGTGAGAGGACTGGGAGAAAGAGAGTGCCTTGTTATTCCATGGTAAGCACTGCACATATTAAAGTACTTTAAAATATAATAGCTATCTTTTACTGAGTATAACTCCATGCCTGCAGAAAGGCTAAGGGTTTTATCTACAGAATTTCATTTAATCCTCATAGTATATATTACAACTCCAGTTTTACTGATGAGAAAACTGAGGCTTGGTGAGGTTAAATGTATTGCTCACATTTTCGCAGCTAGGAAGAAGAAATTGCCTCTGTCTGATGAAGCAAATGCCCCTAACTACCGAGCTAGGTGATGTTGATCTATATCTTTTTGTTGTTGTTGGAGAACAATGCATGACTCCTGTATCCTCCTCTTGTGAGTTGATGCCCCAGAGCCAGTTATATTAACACATTCAGCGCTGCAAGATGAAGTCCACATCCCCTAGAGTGACACAGGAGGCTGGTCAGAGTCCATCCCGCACCCCCTTCTCTAGATTCACCCTCCCACACCGTCTGCTCCTGCTTGCCCCGACTATTTTCAAGTTCACTGAACACACCACAGCAGTTTGTACCTGGTGCTGTCTGGGTCGGTGATGTCCTTCCCCCTCTTCTTCTCCTGGCTGGCTCCTCCAAGTCCTTCAAAATTGAGAGTGAGTGTCACCCCCTTTCCACTTTTCTGAGCTGAAAACAGTGAAAGTACTATTGCTTTTCACACTGGGCAGGTCTAGGTCTAGGGCTTCTCTGCAGACCTCCACCATAACTCTCTGCCATCCCTCAACTCCGCCTCCGTCACATTAAAATTCTGTGATGCTGACTGCTTGTCCATTGTTCATTTCACAAGCTCACAGCCCCTTCCCTTTTGTTTAGTATTTCACTGTCTGGAAGGACCCAGAAATAAGATAGAAAGAGGTGCTGATAGTAGTTAGTGATAGACTTTGCTAGCAGCCCGGGGAACACCTGGCTTGTACCTCTAAGTGGCTAGTCTGGTTACCACAGCATCCTTTTAGCAGTAGACTATTTTTTTTTTAATGTAGCCAGTAAATTCAAGATATCTGTGAATATCAAGGAACAAAACATCTATTATCTAATAAAACAATTTCTGACACTCACTTTTGTAATTCAAAAATTAAAATAACTGTAGCTACTATTGCTTTATATTAATTGTGTTCTCGTTAGTAGTGTGGGTCACTCAGCAGGGTGGTGGGTGGTTTCGTGGATGTGGACTGGATGCCAATTAAGAAGACCTGGATTTCACTTTCTGGTTGGGTGATGGGGCAAATATTTTTCTGAGCTTCTAATTCTTTATGTGTAAAATGGCAGTAGTAGGAGAGCCTCCTCGGCATTGTTTGGGAGGCCAAATGACAGCATGATCGTGAAAAGCCCTTTGTAAACTGTAGCGTGTTTTAGAAAAAAAAATGGTGGTGATATTTTCCAGAGCGTCAGAGGAACTTAAACAGCATAGGCCTGCCCCTGTTTGACCTGGAAATGCTAGTTCAGGGAATGCATTAACAACACAGCAGGAAACTTGTGCTGCGAACTCCTTTTGGAAACAGACTGAATCCTACAGAATGAAAGAGAAACAGCAAACCAAACCTCACAGAGGTTCTCCTTGAAAGATGAAAAATTAACTAGGCACTGTCGGGGGTGGGAATGTGGATGGCGGCGCTGGACGCCCCGTCTTCAGCCTCCCGACACTTTCCTTCCCCAAAGCCATTTTAGTCAAAGGTCATGTGTGTGTCTTGTCAAAGGCCAGCTTCCAATGGAATCATTGTCCCCCGGGACAGCGGCCCCCTGACTACATCTGCACTGGAGAAATCCCAAAAGCAAACGGCCAGTGCAAACAAGAGCAGTCCGCAGCAGCCGTCCCGAGCACAGCTCCCAGGTCGCGGGGCTGCAGCCCAGGCCGCGTCCGCAGCGCCCGGGCAGGAACAGACGCCGAGACTCCCGCAGCATGACCCGCCACGCCGATCGGGTACGGTATGCGCCTCTCTCTACCCGTCCTCCATTGCTTGGGCTCCCAGGTCACAGCTGCCATTCTGTCAAGCAGAAAAACCTTGCAAAGGGCCTCCAGGTTTGCCGGAAAGCAGTCCCTGTTGGGCTGTGTTCCCGTGCACTCAGCTGGAGCAATTTGCAGGCGCGCAAATGCGGAGCTCAACTCATTTCAAGTTTTCATTGCCAGAGAATGAGTTTGTAAATATCGAGTTTGTCTCTGGTTTCTGGAAAGCGAGCCCGTCCAACTTGCAGGACTCTCGGTTCACCACGGCTCGACTGCAAGCGGGCGACCCTCAGCCTTACCAGCCGCAGGGCACTGCAAGCTCTGCCCTCCTGGGCGGCGAGACGGGCCCGGCTTCTTGTTTATTACCTGTGGGACAGGGGCTTGGCAAGAAGGACGGGGATTTTTAAAACAATATGTTTAGTAAAGTCCTCTGAACTCCCACACTTGCCTCCAGGAGACAGAATCATCTCCCTGAAGGAGGGAGCCCCTTCCCCACAACGCGCCGATCGCAGGCTCCACAAAGATGTTGATTGACGTGCACAATTCGGCACAGCCAGTTTCTTGGTCCTTTGTCCTTTTCTATTTGAACAAGCCTTTCAAACGGATAGGGCTAATTTTGGATAAGACTAGAGGGAGCCCTGGGTCTTAACTGATTATGGGTGCTTTAGATCTGGACTTGGAAATCTCCAAGGGCGAACACTGGGGAGCGTCCGCAGGGGCAGTGGGCACAGCCGGTCTTCAGGTGCGGAGAGGGGGTCAAAGGGTTCCAGCGATTGCTGGGCTTCCACACTCTGGTTTCATTTTAACAAGTGAAGCAAGAGCCGCTTCTCACTGATAGAGGGAATGGAAACAAAAGCCGCTCTAGTGCCCAGCAGGATGGAGAGGGAACCCGATTCTGGTATTGCTTATGTATTTATCACATACCCAGTTCCACGGAGCACAGGTTTTCTGCACTTCTGCTCATCAGGTATTTAATGGAGCTTCCGGTTTCCCCCGCAGTGGTCACCTCTGGCTGCCACCTCAGTTTTCTGCTCCTCTTCCCACCAAATTCCTTGAAAGAGTGGGTGGCATTTGCTGTCTCCCGACATCTCCTCACTACCGGTTTGCTCCTTCACACCCAGTCACCTGGCGTCCGCCCTCACCTCTGAGGGCCAACCTTTGGCAAGGCCGCCGAAGACCTCCTTGTAGCAAAACCATAGAGCATTTTCAACTCCCCCCCTCCCACGCACACACACAGCCTCTGTGTCATTTTGAACTATTGGTCCTTTCCTTTCTCTTTTTGACTCTGTCCTGGATCCTGCAATCCCATGCTTCCCGGGCTTCCTTCTGACCTTTGAGTTACAATTTAATACTTAAAGGGCTTCACTTCATAAGTGTTTGTGTGCACTGCTCTTTCTTCTTGACTCTCTTCCCTTGTCATCCTGCAGTCTCTCTGGATAATCTCATTCACTCCAGCGGCTTTAACCACTACATATACATGGTGTCTCCCAAACGTAGCCTAATCTTTCTCCTAAAATTCCAGTCTCTACTTTGATGTTCCATAGAGCACCTTAAAATCACCGAGTTAGGACCTGGATCTGTCTTCTCCCTTCTTCTCCCAGGCCTGCTCTTCCTCTTTTCTTTGCCACTGCTTAAATGGCATTTCTCAAGTTGTCCAAGTCAGACACAACAGAATCACCCTAGGTGACTTCTTCCCTTTCATTCATGACAATCATCACCAAACCCTGTCTGATCTCATTGCTGAGTATAATTCATACACATACCTGTGTCTCCACCTCCCCCACCACTGTTATACTTATGGCCAGTATTCCCTCAAATTCCATTCTGGCCACAACTTCCCATTAGTCTCATCTGGGGCCAGTCCTGCCCAGCCCATACCTCCACTTTGTTTCTGCACTGTGTCAAATGATCTTTCTTTCTTTTTTTTGAGATGTAGTCTTGCTCTGTTGCCCAGACTGGAGTGCAGTGGCGCAATCTCAGCTCACTGCAACTTCCACCTCCCGGGTTCAAGCAATTCTCCTGCCTCAGCCTCCCAAGTAGCTGGGATTACGGGTGCCTGCCACCATGCCAGGCTAATTTTTTTTTTTTTTTTTTTGTATTTTTAGTAGAGGAGGGGTTTCACCATGTTAGCCAGGCTGGTTTTGAACTCTTGACCTCAAGTGATCTGCCTGCCTCGGCCTCCCAAAATGCTAGGATTACAGGCGTGAGCCACTGTGCCCAGACTGTGTCAAATGATCTTTCTAAAATATAATATGATCATGCAGTTCATTTTGGAAAAGTCTTCAGCAGATTCCCATTTTTATTTTCTTTCAAGAATAATTTTGGTGGATACACATTGTCCACAACTTGCCTTTTACCTTCCTCTTCATTGTTATATCTTACTACTCACTCCCTCTCCACATTTTATGTACCATTTTTGTACATTTTATATACATTTTGTCCATATCATATATGAATTTAGGCGTGTTAAACTATTTATTAAATAAGACTTTCTTTCTGTACATCTGTGAGGTCTGTGTCTAACCTCTGTTTTTATTTAGACCCAGCTGAAAGCCCCTTTCTCTTGGAAACGATGCAGATCATCCTTCCTAATGGGTTAGGTGGCCCTCTCTTGTTCCCCCAGAGCTTCCTTTATTTCTGTGGGTCAGAGCACTTACCATTCTTTATTACAAATATCTATTTACTTGTCCATCCCACACCAGTCCTTAGGGATCAACTCTTTTTGTCTTAGTATGATTACAGTTAGTGCTTAGACCCAGGTGGGATGCTCAATGAATTTTTGTGCAATTTTTGTGAATGACCATTTATGTTTAAGCATTGAATTAGATGACAGAGATACAGAAGCTTTCAGGAAATTATCATCTATAATATGCTAAGGAATAAAGGTTAAGCATGATTATCAGGGAAAACATAGTTTTCTACTTATTTAGCAATGGAAGGCTTTAGACTTTCTGGATATTTGAGAATAATGCCTCGAGTCTGTGGGTCTATCAGCTCCCTCTCTAATTCACATCTCAACAGGTGGGCTTCTCCTATTGCTACTGCACCTATCCTAACCTTCCCCAAGAAAGAGCTGCAAGAAAGGCCTTTTGCAGTTTTGGCTCTGTTGACTTTGTGAAGGCAAAGGAATCCTCTTTAGCCTGGAACCTGGCATGGGACAAGGACACTAAAGGCCTAGATAGGTGGGCTTGTAAGAGTCCTTGGATAAGCTTGATCCAGAGAAGGCATCCAGAACCTCAGAATGGGCCAGTGGGCAAGCAAGCCCTCTAAAAACTCTGTAGAAAGTGATGGAGAATTTGGGATGCTAGAGATAAGAAAATGCAGTTTTGATTTCCTAAAAAGAGATGTGTGCAATCTAAACCTTCAGACAGAAAGGTGAATGATGATTAACTTTGATAGGGAGTTATTTAAACTTGAAGTTGTTCTCAAGCTCTTTGAGACCAAGGTCCTTCTCAGGTATAGATACACACTACTCTTCTCAGAAAAAAATGCAGGATACACCACATATTGCACTTTGTATGAACTTTCAGTGGGTTCATGACAAGTCAACTCTGAGACTCCTTTGAGTTGTAATGAACCTCCAGTTAGGAATCTCTAATCAAAGGAATTAATTAATTCCACAGACATTTGGGAGAGTGAAGTAGGTGGCGAATAGTGGAGCCAGCATAAGTCAAATTAGGCATGCTTTCTTTTTTGAGATGATCCCAATATCATGTGTGCTGATGACCATGAACTTGGAGTCACAGGACCTGGGCTCACATCCCTGCTCTGGCAATTGCTACTTGTGTAATTTTCTAAGAGATGATTTTATTATCTATTAAAAAACAGTAATAGGTGCTGGAGGATTTAACTAAAATAAAGTATGTGAATGCACCTGAAACATGGTTATACTCAATAAACTTTAATCAGTTCACAACATTGATTTCAGGAAGGCACAGATTTCTGTGATCTTCTTCTAGATTAGAAAAGTGCATATGGGCTGGATTAATGACTGGTTGAATGCATTTATTAAAGGAGAGCTGATTAACAGATGGATTGACATGTGAATGTCTTTAGTGGCATGCTACTGGCCTCTGTCTTCATTCCTGTTTATTCAGCATCATTGATATCTATAAAGGCATAATATAAGGCTCCCATTTGCTAAGAGAAAAGGCATAAGGATTAGGAGTCCAAAAGTTATCAATAAGTTATAATCTGTTTTGACTTTTAATTTTTGGGGTGTATGTGTGCAGAGATGGATATAAAAAGTCTTATGCATGGATCCCAAAATTAAATTGCAAATTACTAGGTATGTGTGTATGTGTATGACAGAGGCAGATGGGAAGTAGAGGGAGAGGGAAAGCGGATTGAGAAAGGAAGAGACAGAGAGAGGAAGAGACAGAAAGTTAGAGAGAAGTGGCAGCTTTATATAGTTAAGGTTTAGAGATTTAAACGGATGATAAAATCAATAGTGATATGTTTCTTTTAAAATAGAATTTTGTTGTAGTAAAAGAAGTCTAGAGGCTGGGTGCAGTGGCTCATGCCTGTAATCCCAGCACTTTGGGAGGCCGAGGCGGGTGGATCACAAGGTCAAGAGATGGAGACCATCCTGGCCAACATGGTGAAACCCTGTCTCTCCTAAAAATAGAAAAATTAGCTGGGCATGGTGGCAAGTGCCTGTAGTCCCAGGTACTCGGGAGGCTGAGGAAGGAGAATTGCTTGAACCGGGAGGTGGAGGTTGCAGTGAGCTGAGATTGCACCACTGCACTCCAGCCTGGGCAACAGAGTGAGACTCTGTCTCAAAAAAAAAAAAAAAAAAGAAAAAGAAAAAGAAAAAGAAAAAGAAAAAAAAAGTATAGAACATGAGACATGATAGTCATCGTACTCTGTATTGTTCAGACCATATTTAGAACAATTGTATCTAGTTCTGGGTGCTACACATTAATTTATTAGCAACTGTATTGGCTATTATTATTTGAGCACCTAATATGTGGCAACCACTCTGCTAGATGTTGGAGACAACAGTGCTGAAGAAGACCTGATCTCACGGTATTTACAAAGGAGCAGAGGTGTTAGGTGAGGAACCAGGTGATTTTAATTCAATATTATACTTGCTTTGATAGGGGAAGCTTAGGTCCTCGTGAAACCACCTGAGAAGGGATATTTAATCTAGACTTAATGGGACCAGGGTAAACATTCTTTAGGAAGTGATGTCTAAATTGAGACCCAAAGGCTGAGTAAAGATGAGGAAGGTGAAGGTGATGGAGGGAAGAGAGCTTCAAGCAGAGGTGTCAGTACCTTCAGTGAGCTGTGCAAGGGACTAAAGAAGGAATGCAAGAGAGGGGATGAGAGAAATGAGACTGGAGTGGTGGCTGAGGCCAGAATGGCATGACACTGTCCTACTTGAAGCTGTAATTGATCTTTACGAAAATGGGGAGCCAATGAAGCTTGTAAGCAGGGCAGTGTCATAATCGGTTTGGGGTCTTGGAAAGATCAATCTGGCTGCAGTATGAACAATGAGTTGGAAGGATGGCTGGTAAGACAGAGACCACTTAGGAGGCACTGTGTCATATAAGCAAGAAAAGATGGTGGCCCTAAACCAAAGGGTAGCAGGGAAGATGACAAGAGTGGATTAATTCAAAAGTGAATTAGGAGTTATAAGAGTATGGTGACAGACTGCAGGAATGCTCTAGGAAAGATGGGTACGGATATTTAACCTGCAAAAGAGAAGATTTAGAAGGTCACAATGTCTGTCTTTCCCTCTAATGTGGAGGGAGATAATCATTGTGTTTGTCTTTGAGAGGGCAGGATGAATGAATGAAAGAGCCAAATGAATAAGAGACACAAGGAGATACATTTCAGCTCAATACAATAAAGAATTTTCTAACAGGCATCCCAAGGCAATGAGTTCTTTGTCACAGAGAAATTTAAGCAAAGGCTTGATAGCAATTCTTGGAAAAGTTGGAGAGGCAGGAATATGGTTAGCCAGGCTGGAAGGCATTGACATTTCTTTTCAACCCTAGGATTTCAAGATTCTGTGTATAAAGTTCACATATCTGAGCTTGGTATTTAAGGCATCCTGGGATCCAGTCCTTTGTTGGGTGGCCATATGTCCTGGTTTCCTGGTATGGTCCTAGCTGTTTCCTGCAGCTATTAACAGCAGCCTTTTTCATGCTTGAAGGGGTCTTAGTTTGAACAATAAATTTTATGACCATCCAGCCCTACGACTTGATTTTCCTACCTCGACCCCTGACATTCTTTTAGAACTCCCATGAACTACTCATACTAAACTATTTGTTGCTCTCAGAGTAGACCAGGCATTTTACTACAAGTTGGTTTACTTATGCCATTTCCTGTGTCAGGAATACCCTTCCTCTCCATTGTCTGTGTACCTCCTGGAAAATATACCTTTTCATTAAGTCCTAATCTAAATCAAATGCTAAGTCCTTCATTAAGCTTTTTTTTTTTTTTAGACAGTTTTGCTCTTTTTGCCCAGGCTGGAATGTAATGGCCTGATCTCGGCTCACCACAACCTCCGCCTCCTGGGTTCAAGTGATGCTCCTGCCTCAGCCTCCCAAGTAGCTGGGATTACAGGCATGTGCCACCACGCCTGGCTAATTTTGTATTTTTAGTAGAGATGGGTTTTCTCCATGTTGGTCAGGCTGGTCTCGAACTCCTGACCTTGGGTGATCTGCCCGCCTCGGCCTCCCAAAGTGCTAGGATAACAGGTGTGAGCCATCACGCCCAGCCTTTTTTCTTTTTAAATTGTCTTTTTATAATGTGATAGGTTGCATTATATTACTGAATATATAATTATTTTTATACTTTTTTGAGCCCTTTCCCTAAATTATCATCTCCTAGGAGTAAGATACTAAGATCTTTGAAAAATACAGTAACCCATTGGAATGAATGGTGCTTTGTTTGAAGCAATAATCTTTCAGAGGCAAATTTTCGATTTTTAAAAAAGGTCATATTTTCATTATATGAGTGATGGATGCATTTTGTGGAAAAAAAATCAAAAAAGGAAAGTACAAAGAAGAAACAAAAATTATCTACAATCTCACTATTTAGAGATAAGTATATTAACTCATTAATGAATATCCCGTCTATATTCTTTTATGTGTATGTAGTCTTAAAATTGGAATTGTCCATAGCCTTGTGTAACCTGCTTGTCTTTAACAGCATACCACGAATATTGCCCCATGCCATTATATATTTTTCAAAAACATAATCTTCAATGGGTGTATTGTATTCTAGATGTAGCTGCCTCATGATTTGTTTGGCAAACTCCTGCTTGATATCAGGCTATTTCCACATTTTTGATGTTGCAAAAAGAGCTATAATGACCAACTCCCAAGACAAACATTTATGCATCCATTTGGTCTGGGACATTTATATTTTTCTAAGATGGCAAGGCAATTATTGATGGAAAGAAGGATATTGAGTCACTAAGAAAGCATGAGTTAAAAAAAGGCTAACTTTGCTTTTAAAATGTCATTTTTATTTTATGTTACATATATCAATTACATATGAGATTTTTACATATGTGTATATACTTATTAGTCCTATAAATTAATGAAGGTGCCTTGTCCAATTTGGAAATGTGTCAACAATCTGTAGGCTTAGTACAGAAGGGATTGATAACTGATAAGTAAACTTCTTGAACAAAAAATTGAGTTTGAAATCTAAAAACTTCAGTGCCTTTGTATCAATGTGAGACATAATTTCATTCATAAGCTAAATATAAGGGAAAATGACATGTTTGCCACAGAATAAAGGCATTTCTGTGAAAAGAGGGGCATTGCACTGCCTAGTGTTTTGGTGTTTGGAGAAGGTATGAGGCCACAGACTTGAAACCTTATTCCAAAGTAAATAATTTATCGTCTTAAAGACCCAACAAGCAGGAAGGTGTCCATTGTAGAGTGGAATATTTTTATCTGAGGAGAAGCAGGCTTTGGGATACACTGTGAACCCATTTGACCACTTTTTAATAGAATAAACGAAAGATGTTGTTATGGGTTGAATTGAATCCTCTCCCAATTCAAATGTTGAAATCATAATCCCCAGTTCCTTAGAAGGTGACCTTATTTAGAGACAGAGTCTTCAGAGAGGTATTCAAATTAAAGCAGGTCATGAGGATGGGTCCTAACCCAATATGACTGATGTCTGTATAAAAAGGAGAGATTTAAACACGGGAACATACACAGGGAATAGATGGCCATCTACCAAGCCATGGAGTGAAGCCTCAGAAGAAACCAATCCTGCTGCCCGACACCTTGATCTCAGACTTCTCATCTCCAGAATGTGAGATGATACATTTCATTGTCTTTTTTTGTTGTTATTGTTTTGTTTTTGTTTTGGCTCACTGCAACCTCCACCTCCTAGGTTTAAGCGATTCTCCTGCCTTAGCCTCCCAAGTAGCTGGGACTACAGGCGTGTTCCACCACACCCGGCTATTTTTTGTATTTTTAGTAGAGATGGGGTTTTACCATGTTGGCCAGGTTGGTCTTGAACTGTGACCTCAAGTGATCTGCCTACCTCTTTCTCCCAAAGTGCTGGGGTAACAGGTGTGAGCCACCGTGCCTAGCTGATACATTTCATTGTGTAAGCCACCCACTACTTTGTTATATGGAGTTAACTAACCCACATTTCTTGAAAGCATAATGTCCTTAGCATGGTTTCAGCTGGTAACACTCAGTACAACATTATTTCACTTTCTAGTCACCACAGAGTTTGCTCTTCGTCATGGAAATGATCGGGACAGACAGTGCTTTGCAGTTTCACGGCTTGCAAATCATTTTCATTTCCATTATCTCCTTGACCCTGACCAAAGCGTGTGAGATGGGAATTCTCATCCTTTCTGTTTTAGAGAGAGACAACAGAGGTTCAGAGAGGCTAAGTGAATTGTTCAAGGCTGCACAGCTTGGAAGTGGTAGCGCTGAAACTCAAACATGGATCTCCTGATGCGAAATACTGTGCTCTTTTAATTAAAACTTAATGTGTTCGTCTTCATGAACATGTCAAATATCATCTTCCTTCTCTGAAGTTTGAAAAGACATAGTTTGTAGCATGCTGAGCCACTTTTCCCCATTTTTATAACTTTCATAAGAATGATTTTATAAGCCCTCTTGTTGGACTATATGTGAAGCCTGAGGGCACCTACTCTGCCTCCGTCATCATTATCAAATATTTACCAGGAATCCTTGATTTATGCTCCTGTGTTTACTTGCAAAGAAAATTTCGTCTCCACTTAGGAGCTTTGTTTACTAACAAAATAGGCTTTCTCAGTACACAGTTTGACTACCCACAAATCCAACTGCAAAACTTTGGATATTTTGGATATATTCGAGTTTTTCCATCATTAATACTCTTCAGATATTAATTCAACATAGTGGCATGAGGGACGCCTACATTTTCCTGGAAGCTGCTTGACTTTAATCAGCAGGTACAAATGCAAGATTATCGTACTTTTCCCTTGGGTGACCTAAGCTTTTTCTTGGCACCCGTGAGTGCAGAGCACTTGGTTGTCTCAGAGTGTTTCAGTGGCTTCTACACAGGGGAGTTATTAGTTTTTAACCTTGGGGATAATTCCATAAGAATGCAATTCTTTTCCTCCCTGACAGAACAAAATATTGCTTGTGTTAGGTTATCCCTGTTATGCAATAAAACCAGTGGTTCCCAGATGGTGAAACTATAAGAGATCTATAGGTAGGGCTGTTAGATTTAGCAAAAAACAACAAAACAAAAGAGACAAAAACAATAAAATCCCAGGATGCCCCAGTTAAATTTCAGTTTCAGATAAACAATGTATACTTTTTTAGGATAAATGCATCCCTGATATTGAAAATACTAAAAAAGTATTGTACCTGGCAGCCCTATCTGTAAGATAATTTTGTGGGTGGAGTCTTAATAATTTTTCGATATTTTAAAAGTCTATGAAAATTATGCATTTACCTAAGTAAGACTTCAGAGGTTACTGACAATGTGTTAAATTTCCTCGAGTTTGGTTGGGATTTTGTTTTTTGACCTAACTTGAAAAAGCACTGCTCATCTCGTGGGAACCACGACAATTATACTACCCATTTTCTTTTCTTTTCTTTTTTCTTTCTTTCTTTTTTTTTTTTTTTTTGAGACAAGAGTCTCTCACTGTGTTGCCCAGGCTGGAGTGCAGCGGCGTGATTTTGGCTCGCTGGAACCTCCACCTCCCAGGTTCAAGTGATTCTCCTGCCTCAGCCTCCTGAGCAGCTGGGATTACAGGTGTGTGCCATCACACCTGGCCAATTTAAAAAAATATATTTTTGGTAGAGACGGGGTTTCACCATGTTGGCCAGGCTGATCTCGAACTCCTGACCTCAAGTGATCCTCCCGCCTTGGCCTCCCAAAGTCCTGGGATTAAGGCATGAGGCACTGCGCCTGGCCTATACTACCCGTTTTCAATGACTTAGATTCTAGGGGTCATGCAAAGCCCATGCATTATCTCTTGCAACGCTCAAAATCAGGGATTGGTTAACTATGGCCTGCAGGCCAGATATTGTCCTGCCTGTTTTTGTTGTTTTCTCCAGCACGTGTCAAAGTTTTGTTTCACACTTGCAAAGCAAAAGACAGTGAAAAGAAAAAGCTGGTTCACAGAAACAGTCTTAGGAAAGGGCCCTATTAGAAATAGAAATATGTAGATCTGTAAATCTCAAATTTCAGCTGCATCAGAATCACCCGGAGGGCTTGTTTGAACACCTGCTGCTGAGCCCCACCCCTAAAGTTTCTGATCCAGTAGGTCTGGTGTGGGCAGAGGATTTGCGTTTCGAACTAGTTCCCAGGTAGTGCTATTTTGACTGGTTTGGGTTCACACTTTGAGACCCATTGGTCTAGATTCTAAATAAAATTATTTATTTATATATCTATGCAATTTACTTTATTGTTTATTTATTTAATTGACAAATAAAACATTGTATGTATTTACGAGATACAACATGATGTTTTGATACATGTATACACTGTTGAATGTATACATATAAAACAAACTAACATTAGTTTATCACCTCACATCCTTATCATTGGTGATGAGAATATTTATAATCTGTTCCCTTAGCAATTTTCAAGTATATAATACATTATTATGCCCTAGTCACCATGCTGTATAATAGAGTTTGAGAACCTAGTCCTCCTGGAGGAATAAGATATCTTTTCTAACTAAAACTTTGTACCCTTTGACCATCAACTTCCCATTTCTCCCACCCCTAGGCTCTGTAACCACCATCCTATTCTCTGCTTGTATAAGTTTGATTTTTTTAGATTCCACATATAAATGCAATCATGTGGTATTTGTCTTTCTGTGCCTGGCTTATTTCATTAAGTATCATGACCTCCAGGTTCATCCAGATTGTCGCAAATGACAGGCTGTCATTCTTGTTTAAGGCTGCCTAGTATTCCATTGTGTATATATACCACATTTTCTTTATCAATTCATCTGTTGATGGACACTTAACTTGATTCCATATTTTGGCTATTGTGAATAATGCTGCAATAAACATAGGAGTGCAGATATCTCTTCAACGTGCTGATTTCATTTCCTTTGGACATACACCTGGTAGTGGGATTGCTAGATCATATGGCAGTTCTATTTTTGATTGTTTGTGAAGTCCCTACACCGTTTTCCTTAATGATTGCACTAATTTACAATTCCATGAAGAGTGCACAAGGGTTTCCTTTTCTCCACACCCTTGCCAACACTTGTTGTCTTTCTTTGTTGTTGTTTTTGATAGCAGATATTCTAACAGGTCCGAGGTGATATTTCATTGTGGTTTTGCTTTGCATTTCCCTGATGATTAGTGATGTTGAGCAGCTTTCCTGTACCTGTTGACCTTTTGTATATCTTCTTTTGAGAAATGTCTATTCAGGTTCTTCAACCATTATTTTTTATTTTACTTTAAGTTCTGGGATATCTGTGCTGAACGTGCAGGTTTGTTACATAGGTATACATGTGACCTGGTGGTTTGCTGCAACTATCAACCCGTTATCTAGGTTTTAAGCCCCACAAGCATGAGGTATTTGTCCTAATGCTCTCCCTCCCCTTACCCCTCAGCCCCCAACAGGCCCCAGTGTGTGATGTTCCCCTCCCTGTGTCCATGTATTCTCATTGTTCAACCCTCATTTAGGAGTGAGAACATGCGGTGTTTGGTTTTCTGTTCCTGTGTTAGTTTGCTGAGGATGATGGTTTCCAGCTTCATCTTTAAATCAGGTTGTTTTCTTGCTATTGTATATTTTGGATCTTAGGCCCTTATCAGATGTATGGCTTACAAATATTTTCTGTGAATATTTCCTTGGGTTGTCTTCTCACTCTGTTGAAGGTTTCCTTTGTTGTGCGGCTGCCTTCTGTTTGTGTAAATAAAATTTTAATGGAACATAGCTACCCAATTTGTTTCCATACAGTTCATGACCACTTTCGCACTACAACAGCAAGTTGAGTCATTGTGACAGAGATTGCTGGATGGCACACAAGACCTAAAATGCTTTTCTGGTCCTTTACAGAAACTTTGCCTACAACTGCTCAAAACTCTCATTGAAGCTGTACTGTTATTCTCATTTTTAGAATGAAACAAGTGGAAAACTGAAACTTGAGAAAGGTCTCACGGTTCTTAGAATTCAAACTAAGATCTGTTTGAATTCCAAAGCTTCTGCTCAGAAGCTGACCCAAGAGGGGCTGGTTGTTTGTTACCTTTGTCCTAAATTGATAAACAAAGGGGAAACTGATTTGTGACTTCTTGTTAAATACTGTCCTTTTCAAAGACAAGACAGATGGTATGGTGTAGTGGTAAAGTGCTCAGGCTCTGGGGCCACACTGCTTACATCCCAGCTCCCCCAATACATTCCTCTATATCTCAGCTTCTACCCCTATGAATTACAGATAATGATAGTACCTATTTGCATGATTGTTGCCAGGTTTAAATGAGATCATGTCTGAAAAGAAATTACAAGAGCACTTGACATGTGGTCCACAAGACATTTGTTATTTTAATTTCAAATAACTGTTTTTTCAAAGTAAGGACGTCTATGGAAATGAAAACAAAGAGTGTGGAAAGGTTGTTAACCAAAGCATCTCCTGTGGCTGGTTGTTAGAACATCTCCACTAGGAAGTTTCTACAGCACAGTGGCCCCTCCTTTTTAGACGATAGCTAGGAGAGATACATTTTCAGCTTCTCAATATTTATATTTATACTTATACTTTGGCCTGTCCACATTTCTTAGTCCCTTGGCCAGCCAGGGTTGCCTTGAAAAGGCCTGTGGTGAGATAAGATGTTTATCCAGTGATTGCTGGACCCTGAACCTCTTATTATTGTTACCCCTGATATTTATAGTCCCAATATCCATTCCCAGTGACTCCAGATTGATTAAAAATGTAGTCAGGGCTGCCAGAAAATGGCCTTCTTAATACAAGACAAGCAATTTTCCTCAGAAACACCTCCATCTATAATTTGATCCTTAGGCAAAAGAAAGAAAAGCAATCAGTTTTTTCACCAATATTCTTCACCCTTTGAAGCATATTTTCTTATGGAATCACTAGGAATAAAATCTGTGTGTGGTGTGTTAAGCATATTAGAATGGCCTTGATCATCTGACCAGATTAGGAGATAAAGTTGTTCCCTGAGAGGGATGGGAATGGAAGGCTCAAGACATTGTCCATGAACTAGTCAATGGATGGATATGATGTAGTCAAAGTCCTGGCAGGGAAGCCTGGAGGCTTTGCTGAAGTGAAGCCTCATGAATGCATGAATGTGTGTGGATAACATCAGCAGGGTTTTGTAATTTTTCCAGCATGTTTTGGGTGCCTTGGAACAGGGGTAAGAAAATAGTGTTATTTTTCTAGGGTTAGGGATTAGTACCACTAGGAAGTGAGAAAATTCTTAAGAACTCTGGTTTTTTTTTTTTTTTTTAATTGAGACAGAGTCTTGTCCTGTAGTCCAGGCTGGAGTGCAGTGGCACCACCTCGGTTCACTGCAACCTCCCTCTCCTAGGTACAAGCAATTCTTATATCTCAGCCTCCTGAGTAGCTGGGATTACAGGTGCACGCTACCACATCTGGCTAACTTTTGTGTTTTTTTTGTAGAGATGGGGTTTTGCCATGTTGCCCAGGCTGGTCTTGAACTCCTGGCCTCAAGCAATCTGCCTGCCTTGGCCTTCCAAAGTGCTGGGACTACAGGTGTGAGCCACTGTGCCCAGCCAAGAAGTCTGGTCTTGGGTGCCTAGGTTGGGGAGGGATGGAGGTAGAAGGGCCCAGCAACCCTGCTGCCACTGACAGAGAATAAAGCTGCAGGCAGTTGCCTGATCCCTTTTCTCCTCTGCCTCAACCCTCCACACTCCAGTTATATTTTCCTTCCCTTTTCTTCGGCATTCTCTTCCTTTGTTAAATTGTTCAAGCAATATTAGTTGAACATCCCTGTGTGCCAGGGACAGTGCTGGGGTTTGGGGACTTAATGGGAGGGACATAGACTTGGTGTCTACACTGGTGGGGCTTATAGTCCTGTGGCCTGGGGTGCAGAATGTCAGGAGTTGGGTAAGTGCTCAAGGCATAAGCATAGGGGAGAGAAGGATGAATGGGAGGGGATAAGGTGGTCAGGGAAGGTCTCTGTCTGGTCTGAGAACTGAGGATCCTCTGAAAGCAGAGGTGGAGAAATAGGAGGAGTTATATTTTCCAAAATTAGCCAGCTAGTAAAGTGGCAGTGCTGAGGTTTGAACCTAGATGTGCCTGACTCTAGGAAATGTCTGCTTTTAGCCTGGGCAATACAGTGAAACCTCTTCTCTACAAAAAATTAAAAAATTAGCTGGCATGGTGGCACATGTCTGTAGTCCTAGCTACTCAGAAGGCCGAGGCAGGAGGATCCCTTGAGCCCAGGAGTTTGAGGCTGAAGTTAGCTATGATTGCACCACTGCACTCCAGCTTGCGCGACAGAGCTGAGACTCTGCCTAAAAGAACAACAAAAACAGAAGCCCCAGTCCCTACCATTACACAGGCAATATCCACATAACAAACAAGCACGTGGACCCCCTGAATCTGAAATACAATTTTTGAAAAAAGAAATATAAAGTATTTAAAACAATACCTGGCACATAGTAAACACATAATCAATATTACGTGTTATTATTTTAAAAACTGTTTACTTTTCACTAAATCTTAACAAAAACATTAAACTTCCTCTGCAAGCATCTATATGTAACTGTATTGTGTTGCCGTGAAGGAACTTGAACAGCAACAAGACAAAAAATCATTCATTCACCCATTCTAATCATTTACTATGGATGAGCCACGTTGTGTGTGTAAATGCACAAGGCAAAATCCTATTGTGCAGCTGTGAGCACCAATGCTGAGGAATGCTGAGAAAAGCATTGTTAGCCTGAGGTTGGGGCAAGACAGCAAGAGTCCACACACTCTTCCAATTCATCACAATGACCCCTTCACGCCATAGGATGACAGCTCTCATTGAAATGCAGGGCATGTACATCCCACTTGTTGATTCCTTTCATTCCTAGACAAACACACGTCTAATAAAGAGGCACACATGTCTGTCCAGGTCACAAGCCTGGTTGGGAATGCGGGTATTTCAGAGAGGTTAGGCTGATGCTAGCATGTTGCTATTGCATCGTGAACTTTGAAAGTCCTTTAGCACTAAGTCATGTTGACCGCATCGCTAATTACATGCTGCAGCCCACTGCTAAGGGACGATGAGAAGAACTGGAAATTAGAATTGGCAGACTTCGACATACAAAGTTCAACACTTTCTAAGCCAGATATTGTAGAACTTTCGGGAGATGATGGAGATGAAATCTCTGTTCTTGGGAAACTTTCAGTTTAGTAAGAAGAATTTCCAATAGAACAAACTCAATAGAGGAGGCATGGTATGGTGTAAAAATCATGGACTTTGAACGATGCAGACTGGGTTTAAATCATTTCTCTACCACAGACTATGTGGCCTTGATCAAATTATTTCATCTTTCTGCGTCTTGGTTTCTTCACTCATAAAACGAGATTATAGTCTAGCAGCGGTGGCTCATGCCTGTGATCCCAGCACTTTGGGAGGCCGAGGAGGGTGGATCACCTGAGGTCAGGAGTTCGAGACCAGACTGGCCAACATGGTGAAACCCTGACTCTACTAAAAATACAGAAATTAGCCGGGCATGGTGGGTGCCTGTAATCCCAGCTACTCGGGAGGCTGAGGCAGGAGAATCGCTTGAAACTGGGAGGCAGAGGTTGCACTGAGCCAAGATAGTGCCATTGCACTCTAGCCTGGGCAACGGAATGAGACTCCATCTCAAAAAATAATAAAAATAAAATAAAATAAAAAACGATATTATATAAATACTTCATGCAATTCTATAACTACCTTAATAGATGGTAACTATTATAATCATTGCTGTGATATTGATTACTGTTATTATCAGAATATAGCAAATTCCTGCTGTATCACTGATGTGGTGACTGCACAAATTACTCAAACTCTTCACCTATAAAATATGATAATTCTAACTGCCTTATTTGTGTAATTCAGGAGATAACTGTATTCTGCCATTACCAACTAATATATTTATATATTTTCTGTTTTATTCCATCCAATAAAATGTAAGCTCTCTGAGCAGGGACTTGGATTCTTGTGTTAGTTACTGGACTCTTGTGCCTAGAACAGTGCCTAGGCCATAGTAGATTCTCAATAAAGTATGCTGCTGTTTAAATAAGTGGACAAGGAAATAAATGAATGGTCAATCTTATGTTAAATGTTCAGCAAATGGTAGGCTCTTGGTACATGGTAGTTGTTACTGCGCTTAGTATCATTATTATGATTAGAATGTGGTGGGTGCCGTGAGAGGAACGAATACAGAGAGATCGCTCCCAGCTCTGTCAGTTGGTGATCCTTGTTCTTAGCACTGGCATGTCATCAATTGTGTTGTAGTTGGGAGAAACAACCAGGCCATTGTCAATAGTAAGGTCACATGAGATTAATTGCAAAAATAAGGGTTTCTGAATTTTTATCAGTTCTTAGGAGGAAAGGGAAATAGCTGCAGAAAGGGAGGGAAGATTGAAAAAAGGAGAAAAACATCATCTTTTGCAAAATATTTTATTACATGAGGCCATAGGCTACAAGTCTGTGATCAGGATTTACCCAGCCCCAAACTTAGAAGGCATGCAAAACCAGCTGCACCAGTCAGATGACACAAAGACAGTATTGGTATAGTGGCTCCAACCTGCAGCTGGGAGCAAAATGAGAAACTGTCCGTAAGAGAATCAGTTCTGCTTCTGAACTTTTAAAGTGACTAGGGAAAAACTTCTCAACTGCCCCTCACTTGAGAGATTGGAGGAGTTTCTTTTAATAGTAATAAAACTAAATGTCCCATTGCATAGTGTGCTGTTGCAAGAAATACCTAGAAACTGGGCTCTGGCTGGGCGGACCTGAATTTGAATGACCTGAATCTGTCCCGTGCTAGGTATGTAAATTTGGGCCAGTTACTTAAACTTTTGTGAGCCCCTGCAAAAAGAGAAACCAGTATGTATTTTGTAAGACTGTTGAGAGAATTCAGTAAGATAATCTCTGTACAACATCTGTGACATTTTAGTTCTTCGAAATATGGTGGCTACTATTATTAGCAATTAGTGCTACATGGATTATTGTATTTAATTCCCACAGCAACCCTATGAGGAAGGGATTATATGCATTCTCATTTACATATGAAGAAATGAAGGTCCAGAGAGGGTTCCTAACTCAGTCAAGTCCATAGAGCTAGTGAGCATCCAAGTCATGATTCTAAACAAGCCAGAGAGTCCAGATTTTCAGCAATTAACAAGTTGTATAGCATCTCTCATAAGAGCAATGGAAGCTTAGCAGGGCAACATAAGGTCCAGAACTTCCGGCATTCTCTTGCATAATACTCTGTTGGCAATCTGAGGTAATTGTATTTCAAATATGCGGTGACTCTCTGTTTACAAAGGATTATGAGAGACACAGACGTGTCAGAGAGGCAATGTCAGGTCAACTTGGTCAGCTTATCGTATGTCTGTCTTCTTGATCAATCCAAAAAACCATTGCTTCATCTCTTGCTTAAGTCCATCATAGGATTTTGTGAAATGTGTTTCTTTCTTCTTTTCTTAGCTTACCCTTGACAAGTGTTCTGTGTATTTGGCATACATTAAATTGTGCATACCAATATTTTCTTTCTCTCTCTGTTTCCTTCAGGAGGTGAAATAGTAAGAACAAGGTATGTATAAAGATCCTTACCTTTCCTTTTGATTTATCCAGGAAAAAGTAAGACCAAATTCTGATTATTTAATTGAATTTGAGTAACTCTTTTTTGGTTATTATAGGGAGAGGACTCAGCTCTCTGAGAGAGTTTAAAGAAGACAGAGAAATAGTAGATGCTTAGAGTTGGAAAGAAGCTTAGATGTTGTATAGCCAAAGTGCTTCTGAATTCAGATACTTTTTAAGAAATCCTGACTACCACCACCTAGCCTTTGCTGAATAGTGACTGTTAGTTCATTTTTTATAACTATTTCATTATCTCTTTCATGAGACAAAATATGCTTCTCTGTAACTTCTAGTTTTGCCTAGAAAAAGCATGCATGGGAGCCTGGGTATGGTGGCTCATGCCTGTTATTCCAGCACTTTGTGGGGCTGAGGCGGGAACATTGCTTGAGGCCAGGAGTTGTAGACAAGTCTGGACAACATAGCAAGACCCTCTCTCTCACTCTAATATTTATTATATATATTAAATATATAACATATTATATATAATAATATAAATTTATATTAAGTTTATAAATATAACAATATAAATTTATACTATAAATATTTTATATTATATATCTAGATATTAATATCTAGATATATCTCTCTATATAATATAATTATATATTAAATATTATACAGAGATATATCTCTATATATAATTATATATTAAGTATTATATATAGATACATCTATATAATATTGGTATTAGTATTATAATATAATATAGATATAGATATATAGCTATATCTTTTATATCTATACATAATAGTTATATATCTAGATATATAATACATGTAATATATATAGAATACCTAATATTATATATAGATACTTATATATTATATCTCTGTATATAATATTATATATCTCTGTACATGTTATATAGATATATAACACATAATATATAATATAATATATAATATGTCTCTCTAGATAATATAACATATAATAAAATATTATACATATATAATATATTTAATATATAATATTTTCTATAGATATATAATAATATGTAATCTATTATATTACATATTATATATAGAGATAAAAAATATATAGAGAGATGCATAATAAAGCCTGTGCATTTTGCATTAACTTTCAAACGTTTGAGGAAGGGCAATGCACACCCACCTTCTCCCCTCATCTACGCCACACGTTCAGGCTGCACAGTCACAAGCGTGCTCATTAAATATCCATTTCCTGAACAGCAGTAAGAGTGAGACTTTTGAAACATAAATTGGACCATGTCATTGTCTGATTAAATCCCTCCAGTGGCTTTTCATTACATCCAACATGAAACATGAAGCCTCCATTATGGCCTGTAGGGTCCTGCATAAACTAGCTCCCAATTACTTCTTTGACATTGTCTCTTACTGCTGCCTCGTCTCTCACTCTGCTCCAGCCACACTGGCCTCACTGAGCACATTGGGCTGCTCCTACTTCAGGGCCTTTGCACCTGCTATTTTTTCCAAGACACCTGGCTTCCCCCTCATGTCATCCGGGTCTCTGTTCATATGTCATCCCTTTGGAGAGATCTTTGTTGCTGCCTAACTGAAAATAGCTCCACTCGTTACTCCTCTGTTTTCTTGCTCTTGTGCTCTTTTTTCTTTATCGTTTATCAGCTACTTGACGTTATTTTCTTCTCCTACTAAAATGTGGGATTGCTGGGGCAGAGGCTGCATCCTCAATGCTTGACGTATACTAGGTGCTCAATAGAAGTTTGCTGAGTAAATAAACAAATGAATGAGTGAATTAATGAATTGGTTGGGTGATAAGGACCTCTCCTCATCCTGGTCATGCCTCTCTTAATGCTGTCCAGTTTTGTAGTGACCTCTTAAAACGAGCTATCCAGAGGTGAACACAATCTAGACGGAGTCTGGCTAGGCTCAGCTGAAACATTCCCCTCCTGGATGTGGGCAGGAATCATTATTAAAGAAGCCTAGGATAAAATGAAGTCATTTAGGGTGGTAGCCAAACATGGGCTTCTATAGAGCTTGCAGGTAACCCAAATGCCTGGGTTTCTTTTACAAGAATTGCTGTTAGTGCTGGTCTCTCCTAGTGCAAAGTTGTATACCTAAATTTTGTATTCTGCTTCAAGAATGTTGTCCCAGATAGATAGATCTGGCTGTCTCGCTCAGATCTTATTTTTTAAACTCTTGATTTCAACCTGTTGATATATTTTTGAATTTTGATACAGTCCATGGTACATTGTATGTGGCAGCTACCTATCACTGGAATATTGAGTTCAAGAACATATCTTACATCTGTGATTCAGGAATCAGGAGGCTACCATCTGTGTCACCTCCACAGGTGTCTCTTGATGCTTAGGAAGCTGGAGAATAGATACTGAAATAATATTGCAGAAAACCTATCATTTCTGATCTTGTTTGCACAGATAACCAGCTGAAAGGGACAGGAAGAGGGATCTCAATTCTGCTGTCCAAATCTCATGTGCATAATGACAATCTCAGGAGCATAGTTGGCAGAGTCTATAAACTGTTTCTATAACGATTTCTGCAAAAAATCTGCAGGACACTAAGGCAGCCTGGATGTGGGATGAATAGATTGAGGGAGCCAATTCTCAGGATATGGCATCTTAACAAACTGCTGACTTCCTGCTATGATGTGAATGTTTATGTCCTTCCCAAATTCATACGTTGAAATCCTAACTCCCAAGGTGATGATATAAGGAGGTGGGGACTTTGGGAGGTGATTAAATCATGAGGGTAGAGGCTTCATGAATGGGTCAATGTTCTTATATAAAAGACCCCACAGAGACCCTTACCCTTCCATAATGTGAGGTTACAGTGAGAAGACAGCTTTCTATGAGGAAGTGGGGTCCTTACCAGACACAGAATCTGCTGGTGCCTTGATCGTAAACCTCCCAGCCTCCAGAACTATGAAAAATACATTTATGTTATATATAAGCCACCCAGTTTATGGTATTTTTTTATAGAAGCATGAATGGACTAAGATACTTTACCATCTCCCAATTAAAACACACCTTTCATCTCACTATCCTTGATATCAAGCGGTACTTGACACAGCGTAAGCTTTCAATAAGCATTAGCTAATACTGCAGTGGATGCTTACTAAATCTGTATTGAACCACTATTATTTGAATTTGGAAAACTCTGGTTTCCAAAATTTAGGCAATTGTCTGATAATGACCAGCATTCTCTCTGAGATCTTAGGATTTTGAAATGACATGTCCAGGATGCCCAAGGTTCTGGTCACTTTTTCATTTGCAACCTATTCTTTTTGGGGGTCACAAGAAGGTCAGCTTACAACAAAGGTTAATCTGTGGCTCCTATTATCTTCTGAATTAGGAAACATTATCAAGTATCAAGACTCATCAAACATTTACTAGATCCTCTGCCTTTAGTAGACTCAGGTTTCTTTCAGCACACAGTTGAAATTCCCATTCCTTTGAGGTCTTCCCAGTTTTGTAATTCTTATTGGGAAATCAAGAGAAAAGATGATTCCCCCACTTAATAGGCACTTGAACTTGGGCAAGTTGTTTGATATATTTGAAGTTGTTTTCATATCTATTCACAATGATAATACTGTGAAGATTTTATAAATATTAAATTATGCACTATGTAAATGTCCCCAGTAGGTTGCCTGGCAAAGTGCAAACAATTACCGAATACTAGCTACCACTTAAAAGAATGTCTGTTCCATGTCAAATGTGGTACTATGTATACATGTTTGCTTTTTCCTTTCTCTACTCCCTTTCTGAAATTTTTGAGACTTTGCTCCTGGAATTTCCTCTGCTTGCAATGCCCTTCCCCTCTTTATCAACTTAAAAATCCCCTATCTATAATTTAACCATTATAATACATGCCCATCTGCCATATGAGCTGTCCTGATCTCCCTGTCAGAGGTCCTTTAGCTCTGTGACATATCTATGGACAGCCTTTCTGTTTTATTGATTGCAAAGTTGGAAGAGTGAGTGAGCCTTGATCTATCTGACATTAACTCTAGTTCATAGGGCTTTTTTTTTTTTAAAGAAGTATTCTCCAAATGAAAGGTATTATTGTTCTTAAATTCTCACAACTGCCCCACAAACTCTGTTTACAGTTTGTTGCCATTAAGTTTCAGGATACTTGAGATGTGTACGCAAGAACTAGGGTCTCTTCTAGGCTGTTTTATTTAAAAGTAAAATGAAACAGAAAACCTGATGAAAGAGATATGGCAGAGGGCCAAGTTGCTCTGACAAACTCCCAGTTCTTCTAATTCTGGGGGATGCAGAGGGTTTCATCACACACACAGGGGCTCGTTAAGAGCAGTCCACACCATGACTCAAATGCATCAGTCCTCCTGTTAATCATCAGGTTCAGAGGATAACCGGGTTGACTCTGGGGACAACGTTGAATGCATGAACCTGAGAACTGAAAATCAGGGTTAATGTTCCTTTTCTGTGCATCCAGATGCTTTGGAATTTGCTTCTCTGCAGGTATAATCTCGGTTCTTTTTTAAAATAGCTTTTTTGGGATATAATTTATATATTATACAATTCACTCTTTTAAACTGTACATTTCAGTGGTTTTAAATATATTTACAGAGACGTGCAAACATCACCATTATGCAATTTTAGGACATTTCATCACTCCAAAACAAAAACTCATACCCGATATCGGTCAATACCCCATCATCTGACAACTGCTAATTGACCTTTTATCCCCTGTGGGTTTGCCTCTTCTAGATGTTTTATATAAACGGAATCATAAAACATGTGGCTTTTGTGGCTAGCTTCTTTCACCCAGCGTAATGTTTTCAAGGTTTGTGATGCTGAAGCACATATAAGGGCTTCATTCCTTTTTATTGCTGAGTAATATTTCACCGTATGGATATACCCCATTTCGTTTATCCATTCATCAGTTGGTAATGCTGCTGTGAACATTTGTGTTCAAGTTTTGTGTGGATGTATGTTTACTTCCTCTTGGGTATATACATAAGAGTGGAACTTTTGAGTTATATGTGTAACTCTATATTTAACATTTTAAGAAACTGCCAAACTGCTTTCCAAAGTGACTGCATCATTTTACAGTTCATGTTTCCACATCCTTCCTAACAGTTTGTATTAACTATCTTTTAAATTTTAGCATCCTAGTGGGGGTAAAGTGGTATCTCACAGTTTTGACTTGCATTTTCCTAATGATGTTGAACAAACTTTCATTTGCTTATTGTTCATTTGTGTATCTTCTTTGGAGAAATGTCTATTCTAATCCATTGATCATTTTTTAAAAATTGGATTATATGTCTTTTTATTGCTGAGTTGTAAGTGTTCTTTAAATGTTCTAGATATTTGAACATTATCAGTTATATGATTTGTAAATATTTTCTTCCAACCCGTAGGTCATCGTTTCACTTTCTTGCCATATTGACAATAATGTCTTCCGATCATGAAAAAGCAGATCTTCCCAAATTTAGGTCTTCTTTAATATATCTCAGTGATTCTCTCTAATGGTTAGTGTGCAAATCTCACTTATTTTGTCAAATTTATTTCTAAGTATTTTAGACCTTTGACTATTATAAATGCAATTTTCTTTTCTTTTCTTTTCTTTTTTTTTTTTTTGAGATGGAGTCTTGCTCTGTTATCCAGGCTGGAGTGCATTGGCACGATCTCGGCTCACTGCAAGCTCCGCCTCCCAGGTTCACGCCATTCTCCTGCCTCAGCCTCCTGAGTAGCTGGGACTACAGGTGCCCACGACCACACCCGGCTATTTTTTTTTTTTTTTTGTATTTTTAGTAGAGACGGGGTTTCACCGTGTTAGCCAGGATGCTCCCGATCTCCTGACCTTGTGATCCGCCCACCTCCGCCTCCCAAATTGCTGGGATTACAGGCATGAGCCACCGTGCCCGGCCATAAATGCAATTTTCTTCTTAACTTTTAGATTGTCTATTGTTAGTGTATAAAAATACAACTGATTTTTGTATTTTTGTCTTATATCAAGCAACATTCATGAACTCATTAGTTTCACTTTTTATTTTTGGTAGATTCATTAGGATTTTCTATATACAAGATCTGTGAATGGAGATAGCTTTATTTCTTCCTTCCCAATTTGGATGGCATTCATTTATTTACTTATTTGCCTAATTCCTCAGGCTGGAAGTACAAAGTTGACTAGAAGTGGTAAAAACAGACATTTTTGTCTTGCTCCTGATCTTAGGGGAAAGCATTCAGTCTTTCACCATTAAATATGATGATGTTAGCTCTGGACTTTTTGTAGAAGCCTTTTATCAGGCAGAGGAAGTTGTCCTCTCTTCCTAGTTTGTTGAATGCCCTTCACTGTTGTATGATTGCAAGGGGAATCACAGAAATGGCAGTTTTGCTTCCTCCCTGAGAGAGTTCCATTGTGCTGGTAAGCACGTGATGACACCTTTGCAGCGGCAAGTGTAAACTTCCTTTTAGATTTGAATCGAAACACATTCATTGAGTTAAATCTCAACTTTTTGGGGCTTTCCAATCCAAGTAGAGGGGCTTTATTATTGTGGTTGAAATGTGTCCTTCAAAGCTGTTTCCAGAATCACCCTACCCTTTGCCACATAAGAGCTGCTCATTTTCTCATAAGGTTAAAAAGAATGTGAAAAAGGTGGATTGAAACATTTTTAACTTTACTTACATATAATCTCTCCATAAATAAAGGGATTTTCTTAGAACCCATGTCACTACTAAGCACTCTATGCCCAGCACTTTAGAAGATGCTGAGAGCACGATAGCAGATGACACAGACCTTGCTCTCTTATATATAGAGTAATGGGGAATATTTGTTTATTTTGTGTGTTTTAGCACTGAGGTACTTGCTTAACATGCATTATTACATCATTTGGTCTTCATATCAACCCTGTGTGAAAAGAACAATTATTTTTTAAAAGAAACTCATGTTTTAGAGAAGTTAAGCAAGGTCTCATGCTTGAAACAGGCAGACTCAAGTCAGTGGGACTCCAGAATCCAAACTTTTCTTTTTTTGGGGATGGAATTTTGTTCTTGTTGCCCAGGCTGGAGTGCAGTGGCATGATCTTGGCTCACTGCAACCTCTGCCTCCTGGGTTCAAGTGATTCTCCTGCCTCAGCCTTCCAAGTAGCCGGGATTACAGGCGCCCACCACCATGCCCAGCTAATTTTTGTATTTTTAGTAAAGACGGGATTTTGCCATGTTGGCCAGGTCGGCATCGATCTCCTGACCTCAGGTAATCCACCCGCCTCTGCCTCCCAAAGTGCTAGGATTACAGGTGTGAGCCACTGCGCCCGGCCACAGAATCCAAACCCTTATTCTCTATAGCACATTGCTTTTTTCCCCTGCTCTCTAAGAATTTATGCTCTTATTCCTGAGACAAGAAATACTGAAAAAACAGGGAACCCTAAGAGAGAAAAGTATTCATTTTAAGATTTTATTTGGAAACAAAGTTTTAATGTTAAAAAATATGGCTAAAAGCCACTTAGCCTGCTAACTCTCCTTTACAAGTGAAGAGGCTTGGGTTTGCAGTGACAAAGCTAGTGAATAACAGAGGAAGTACTACAAGTCAAATTTCTTTGTGCCAAGTAGTTCACTTGGGAAATATTTATTGTGTTCCTATTATATTCCAGGCAGGGTGAAAAGCTCTGTGTAGTGCAAGGATAATTGGTCCCTGCATTTGGAGAGATCAAAAGGGATGGAGCTGCCTTAAAAGAGGTTGCAGACGGGCTGGGCGCAGTGGCTCACCCCTGTAATCTTAGCACTTTGGGAGGCTGAGGTGGGTGGATCACAAGGTCAGGAGTTCAAGACCAGCCTGGCCAAGATGGTGAAACCTCGTCTCTACTAAAAATACAAAAATCAGCTGGGTGTTGTGGTGGGTGCCGGTGATCCCAGCTACTTCAGAGGCTGAGGCAGAGAATTGCTTGAACCCGGGAGGCGGAGGTTGCAGTGAGCCAAGATTGTGCCACTGCACTCCAGCCTGGGCGACAGAGCCAAACTCTGTCTCAAAAAAAAAAAAAAAAAGAGAGAGATTACAGACAATATGGTAACACAGTTCATTGTTGTTCTGTGTGAAGATGAGGGCAAAACTGGGGAGGCTCACAGCGGAGTGACACCTGACTTGAATTTTCATAAATATGTTGGTATTTGCCAGGGAAATTAGGTGGAGAAGGGCATTCTAGGCCAAAGCAACAATGTATGTTAAGGAATGGAGGTATGAAAGAGCACAACTTAATCAAGGAACAGAAAATAGTTCTCTAATTAAGAAAATTTAACATTTATGAACACTATTCTATGCTGGGCATTGTGCTAGGTGATTTACATGGATTATTTCATGTAATACTCTCAAGAATCCTATGAGATGGAAACAGACAAGAAAACTGAGTTTTAGGATGGAGAAGTAATTTGCCTAAGGGTCATATAAGGTCTCACAGTTAAACTGTGGTCGAGCTGGGATTTGAATTTAGGGAGTTTAGTTTTGGATCTAGGGTCCTATGAGCCTGGTTAAGCAGCTTGAATTTACCCTCTAGGTCAGTGGTCCTCAAACTCGCATCAGAAGCACCTGGTGGAGTTGCGAAAACAGATTCTGGGCTTTAACCCAGAGTTTCTCATTCAGTAGGTATGAGGCAGGCTCCAAGCATTTGCACTTCTAACAAGTTTCCAGGTCATTCTAACCCTGCTCATCCAGGGACCATACTTTGAGAACTGCTTTGATAGGAAGCCAAACAGAAAAGTTTTAAGTTTAGGAGGAAAAGGCTGGATGCGCTGGCTCATGCCTGTAATCCCAGAACTTTGGGAGGCCGAGGTGGGTGGATCACGAGGTCAGGAGATCGAGACCATCCTGGCTAACACAGTGAAACCCCGTCTCTACTAAAAATACAAAAAAATTAGCCGGGTATGGTGACACATGCCTGTAATCCCAGCTACTTGAGAGGCTGAGGCAGGAGAATCGCTTGAACCCAGGAGGCGGAGGCTGCGGTGAGCCGAGATCGTGCCATTGCGCTCCAGCCTGGGCAACAAGAGTGAAACTCCATCTCAAAAAAAAAAAGTTTAGAAGGAAAATCATTAGATTTGCATATTGTTTAGGGCTTTCTGGGTAATGAATGGGAATAAATTATAAAAGAGAACTTAATGAAATGGTGGTCAGAGGGGACAGAGAGTACAAACAGGAAGAGCAGTTATGAAAAGACCTTTTTTTTTTTTTTTTGAGATTGAGTTTCGCTCCTGTTGCCTAGGCTGGAGTGCAATGGTGCGATCTCAGCTCAGCTCAACCTCCACTCCCCGGGTTCAAGCGATTCTCCTGCCTCAGCCTCCCAAGTAGCTGGAATGACAGGCATGTGCCACCACGCCCGCCTAATTTTGTATTAGAGATGGGGTTTCTCCATGTTGGTCAGGGTGGTCTTGAACTCCCAACCTCAGGTCCACCTGCCTCGGCCTCCCAAAGTACTGGGATTACAGGCGTGAGCCACCGTGCCCGGCTATGAGAGGACCTTCTAATGTGTGTCCAGAATAATGAAGCTGAAGGGATGAACCTAAACATTATCACATAGGAAGAAAATTTAGGAACTAACAGCACCTGATAAAGGATGGCAGTAGTTGTCATTATTAACTAGAATCTGTAGATATGGTGTCTGGCAAGAAACAAGAGAGGAAAGGATTGAAATGAACAAAAAGTGAGTTGAGTTTAAGGTTTTCCTGAAAAGAAATGAAATTGGGAGGGTGAACTTGTTGTGTAGGTAGCTGCGTTTTGGACGTGTTGAGTGGAGGCCCTCGTGTGGTGTAGTAGAGAGGCATCACGCTGCGGCGGAAAGAGGACTGAGCTGGCATAGGAGACCTGGTTTTTAGAACTGGCTCAGTCAATTATCTGACCGTTCTGGAGATGCCCCATACTCTTCGAACCTCCATTTCTTTCTCTGCAAGTGGAGTTTGTAGCCTGCCTATGTGAGTGAGACTGGAGGGTAAAATATGGGAGTCGTCAACCCTAGGGTAAAACTTTTGGTAAAACAGTTGTTTTTCCTAATTATCCTGTCACTCATTTGTGTTCATATATCACATAGTCACATTATAAAGTAGACTCAAAAATGAAAACCTTCATGTGGTTTACAAGCCTGCTAGCGACTCAGCCCTTCTGAAAGGGGAAATTTTCTCCATTCATCTGGACACTTAGCATGCAGGGTTTAGAGTAGCTGAAAAGAAATAGTTACATTGAGTTTTGAATTTTAAAATGTTTTATTATGAGCTAGAGTTAGGAACAAAGCTGAGTTATTTCCTAGGGGGAATGCTTTTTAAAACCTCAATATGAATAAATGCATTTTTAGTGTTTAAAGTCCAGTATATATATATGTGTGTGTGTATATATATATATATATCTATATGTGTGTGTGTGTGTGTGTGTGTATATATATATATATATATATATATATATATATATATATTTTAGTAATCTCCAGTCACAGCAGAAAATGGTTTAAAGCTATTAGCTCTGTCCCTTATTGTAACTATTTAATTCTAGGGTGTTAGCAAATGGATACCTATCCCCATGTCTTTCTTATGATCTAATTGAAAAGAAGTGACTTCACTGAGTATATATATGGTCATCATAATCATTAAGTATCTATTAATTCAGGAGTCATACTTAATACCTTCCTGCCCCTCAACTCCCATATCCAGTTCATTAAAAAGTCTTTTTTCCTAACTCCCCCACTTGTCTTCCTCTCCACGCCGCCATAGCCTCCTCTGTGTAAGCTGTCATGATCTTTTGTCTGGCTTACTGCCAGAGTTTCCAAACTGATCTGCTATATCCATTCTTGACTCCCTCTGATTCATATCTACACCGTGCAGAGATTAATGCTTCAAAATCTGATTAAGCCTCCCCCTGCTTAAGCCTTTTAAGGGCTTTTTGTTGCCTTTAGGGTAAAGACAATATCACCTAACATGACCTCGGAGGCCCCACATGACCGGCCTCTGTTAACCTCTCCAGTCTCACTTCTCTCTATACTCACTTCTGCTCTCCCTGCACTAGTCAAACTGGCTGCCTTTTTGTCTCGTGGATGTGCCATACCTCCATCTTACACAGGATCTTTGCCTGTTCTCTCTCCTCTGTCTAGAAGTCTTTGCTCCTTTCTTAATCTGGTTACTCACTCCCACACACCCTTCCAATCGCAGCTCAATGAACACTTACTCCACAAATTCTTCTCTGACCCTCTTGACTAGGTAATCTGAATGATATTTGCTCAAATCATGATTTACCTCTATATTTCTTCATTTTCCACAGTTGTAATTTTACATTTATTTCTGTGTCTACTTGATTAATGTGGAGAGCAGGAGCTATGTGTGGGTCAGCTCCCTATGTAGTACGACCAGTTCCCAGAAGAGTGCTTGGTACCTTGTAGAAGCTAATGAATATTTGTGCAACATTCATACAGGGCAGAGATTATTCTGGTGTCGGGGCTCATGTGTAGATTCCATAGGGAGTAAATGTAATGCATAAAATTTATGCCATAAGTTAAAGTCATTGAAAGTTGCAACAGTGTTGATGTCAGCTTTCGACTGTGTAACAATTAATAGCACAAGTCTAGTTTGCATTTGAACAGGTATATGCTGTTCTTCTACTGGAGAATCCTGTGGGACCATAGACTACCCATAAAACTTTGCTTTTGTGGTTTAGAATTGTAACTGTAAGACTTATACATGTTTGCAGTCCTGGATTGTGGGAGCAATTGAGCCAGCTTGTTCCTCTATTAGCCATCAAAATTTTCTGCTCAGTTTAGACTAGTAAATCCTTTTGCAAAGACTGTTGTCCAGTTTTTATCTGAATTTTCTAATAGTTCTCAACCACAGCAAAACTTAAAAACAGGACAACAGACTTTTAAGATAGAATAAGAAGAATATATATGGTGTTTTCTTACTTTTGTAGTGTATGCGCTATAGTTACTGCTAAATGATACTACAGAAAATGACATGGTTAATAATTATCTAACATCATACATAATCTTAGGATTATTCTGGGAATAATGTTAAATCTAGTGATGTCAGTTCTGCATAATGAGAAACTCTGGGTGTAGATACAGTTTCAATCAGTTCATGACAATTAATTACTTCAGGAAGCAAGAACGACAACCTTCTATCACTTATCTTTCAAATCTCACTGTTAACCTCAAGCCTTCTTATCTTCATCAGGGCTAGGGAACAAGGACGCATAGAATAATTTCATGAAAAGATAGACTGTGCATTTATATAAATGCAACTACTGTATTACAATTAAGCAATACACACACTACTGCTTTGTGTCACCAGCAAAGTAAATAAAATACTACTCTGCTTCTTACAGTTTGGAGATGAGTCCCCTGGAAGAAAAGCCACAGTTTGTTTTTAAGAGATCTAAACTTTAATGTCCAATTAATAGTGAATGTTATTAATAACATATTAAAATTCCATATGAATTAGGCCAAACAATTCAACATGCAGGGCATAAATACATTAATTCAGAGTAATTTATTATAATGCTCTACTTCTCCAAATGTGGTACTTATCTTTTTTTTGAGGAAACATAGATATTGTATTTATTAGACAAAGGCTTTATGTCAACCATCGTTAGCATATTAAAAAAACTAAAAATAAAAACATGAACAAAAAGTAAAGCAAATGAAGAGAACAATGTTTCCCTAAACAAAGTATGTCAGTAAACAAATAATTCAAAAAATAAACAAATAGAAATTCTGGAGCAGAAAAGTACACTAACTTAAATAAAAAAATTTACTAGAGTGATTTAACAGTACATTTGAGCAGGCAGAAGAAAGAAGTGGTGAGCTTGAAAATGGGTATTCAAAAGAGTATACCAAAAAGTCGTTTAAACCCCAAAGAAGGAAGTAACGGAGAAATTGAGAAGCAAAACTTCTAGATTTCCTAGAAGTCTCAGGTCATCATCCAGTTATAAATAGATCAAGGCATCAAGTGGAGCATGGCCTAAAATTAAAGCTCTATATTATGCGTTGCCTGGATGTCTGAAATCAGGAGGACCTTAAATGATCTAACTGCAAGTTCCTCCTCTCAGTGGATAAGATCCTCTAGCCATCAGTTTTTCCTATCTGGGAATCATAGTTTTTTGTTTATCCCTATGTTGAATTTTCCTGCCAGACCACAATTATTGAAGCCAGTCAATCACGTCTGCTGCAGGAACCAGGTCTTATCTCCATAAACGTGGTTCTTATCTGACTTTCATCAAAGTAACCTATTGTGCCAGTTCTTGTCTGACCTCTAAACTCCTCTTTCTTCTCCCCACCTGCCAGACCTAATGAATCAGGATCTTGATACGCAGGACATAAACATCAGCATTTTAAACAAGGCTCCAGGGTGATTCTGATACCCAATAAAATTTGAAAACCACAGAATGATTTCTAGGGACTGAGACTGTTGACAAATATTTGTTTCTAGTTCTAGGTTTTCTTCTGCCAGGGGGCAGTGTTCTCTGAAATATGGCTGGGCTAATAAACCATGTTGGAATTTAATTTTTCAGTCTTTCTTATGCACTTCTTGTTTACTGAGCCAGCCACATGTGTCCTTATTACAAAATCTTAAACACCATAGCAAGTGAACTTCTCATAATTTAGTTTTCTTACAAAAGGTTTTGGACTAATTCCAGTCATTTTAGTTGAATTTCTTAACCTACTTTATGCACTGTGAAGCTTTTTTTTGTTTTTTTTTTTCAGCTTTAGGTAATGAGGGATAATTTTATTTTGTAGTTAATTTGATAGCCGAGGTAGGGACTTTGGTCATCTTGGTCATTCTCCTGACAGTTAATTTATAACAATAATCTTGTAGTAAAAATCTGTTTAACTGTGGCAAAATGATGTGTGTATGCACATATATGCTTGTGTGTGTGCGTGTATGTGTTCATGTTAACATGTTCCTTATGCACAACAAGCTGGTAAAAGACAAAGTTCTTTGGCAGAACGGTTAACAGAAATAGTGGCTGAGGGCCAGGCACGGTGGTTCACACCTGTAATCCCAGCACTTTGGGAGGCTGAGATGGGCGGATCACCTGAGGTCAGGAGTTCGAGACCATCCTGACCAACATGGTGAAACCCTGTCTGTATTAAAAATACAAAAATTAGCCAGGCGTGTTGGCATGCACCTGTAATCCCAGCTACTCGGGAGGCTGAGACAGGAATCACTTGAACCCGGGAGGTGGAGGCTGCAGTGAGCCGAGATCGAGCCATTGCACTCCAGCCTGGGCAACAAGAGTGAAACTCCATCTCAAAATAAACAAATAAACAAACAAAAACAAAAAAACAAAGAAATAGTGGCTGAGGTCAACTCTTTTGGATATTGGGTAACAAGCAGATCAACTTGGCTATTACAGCTTTTCCCCCTGCCCAGCTAGTCTGCATATAAGAGAAAAATAAATGGATGATGTTCAGCTCCTGAACCCTAACTTTTTTTCCAAGGGAACCCTCATTGTCTTCTAGCTAGGTTTATACAATCAAATATCAGACAAAGTCAAAAGTTGTTAGACTCTGGCAAGGCAAAAGAAGAGGCTGTTTTTGTTTTTAGAACATTTAGAGCACTGTGGCATATAATGAAATAACAGGATTGCCTTGATATTTTTCTTTGGGGTTTATTGTTTTCCTCTATCATGTCTGGCTTGTATCTTGAAATTTAACATAAATTATAGGAAAATCTTTCATGGAGTTAACATCTTTTATAAGCCTTGCTAAATACCCTACTCCAAATTTGTTCAGTATGGCATACAGACAAAAGCAAGAGGCTTACATATAAAAATGTATAAGCCTGTCCTCTTTGCAACAGTGCAAAACTAAAAGGATTTTAGAAAGGCAATTAACAGTTTGGCAGTATGTGTATTTTCTTTTTTTCAATTAGATATTACTAGATTCTAAGAATCTGTAATGAAACCCAGGCCTACTGTACAACCCCCTATAAACAAGTTTTTGCTTTTGTGCTATCATGTTTTATTTGAGCAGAGCCACTACTCTGTTACTAATTTGTTGCATGGTAAGTCTCGTATTTGTTTACGCACGAACACATGTGCTGCGGAAGAAAAGATGGTCACTGGACCTGCTGAGGAAGAGGCCAAAAACAAATCTTTTTCCCTCATTTGAATCCTGAAGGCATGTAATATTTAAACAACTTTCAGATTTAGAGCCCTTGATTTTTTCTTTTGAAAGTGTGCTGGTTGCCAAATTGCTTAGTAAAGAAACTTTAGTACCCACAATAGCCTCAAAGGACACAGTATTTGGTGGCTACATTTAACCAAGAAATAACTAGGGAAACAATTCTTGACATTTCAATTCTTGCTGCCATTGAGATTTCCTTCCTAAATTCAATTGCTAATAAAGCTTCCCATGCCATCCCCTTCCCCCACCCATCTGCCTCTCAAAAACCGCCCCCTCCTCCGCCCCGCCCGAAACAAGCTGACAGTCTTTACGGGAAGAAGAGGCAGAGACTGAAGTTATTTTGTCCGTCCTCCCAGGGCAGAAGGACTTTATGCTGCGTGGCTGGCATTTCCAGTATTTTGATAAAAGTTACTTCTCTAAACTTGAACCACAGCATGGGGAAAATAATGTTATCTTTTATGTTAGTTACAATTTTGCGAAATTTCATCATGAGAAACTTTCAAGGAGGCAGAAGTAGCTGAGAATGTGATACTAGGGACAGGGTCGCTCAAACTGCCAGCAAAATAAATAGATGGGAAAGACAGGAACGTTATTAGGTTTATAAATGATAAAACTTTCCTTGCTTAAAAAAATAAAGTGGTGAGGTTGACGCCATTGAATGACTGCATTGTAAACCTTAAAAGCTTAAAGCTGGTGGAAAGCCCTTGCACAGCCCTGTTTTCATTTTTATCGGATGAAATGCATTTGGTTTCTTTTTGACAAACCATGTTTTTGTGAGGAAAGGAAAATGAACATGCACTGTTATGGGCCACGGCAATGTAACAAACCCTCCTGTTGCCAGAGGATACCACATGAAAGTGTCTGTGGGTTAGGGGAGGGACCTGTAAGGGGGCGGGGATAAGGGGGATGATAGCTTAAGCCTCTTAGGCTCAGAGCTGCGATTTGTGAACACCCTGTGATGTAATCAAGCTCTGGACAAATCAGAGGAGTCTGTCAACCTCCCAGGTGGGATTGCTTATAGTTAATAGACTAAACCCAGAGCCTCAAAGCAGTGCACTCCGTGAAGGCAAAGAGAACACGCTGCAAAAGGCTTTCCAAGAATCCTCGACATGGCAAGGAGGAGCTCGTTCCAGTCGTGTCAGGTGGGAGAACGGAGGAATGACGGGGGACATGCTTGATCTTCAGAATCAGTGACTGATTGGCATTTTCCTTTTTGTTGTGCAAATTAAGATAGCACCTTATTATGCATTTTGGAAGTGGTAGGATTGGGTGTTGATATTGAAGCCATTTGAATCACCTTTGTGTAATTTGATTTAGTCTTCTCCAGCTGTATTTGACAACTTGGTCTCTTTATTCTCTTAGATAATATCCCTGTTCACTTTTGCCGTTGGAGTCAATATCTGCTTAGGATTCACTGCACATCGAATTAAGAGAGCAGAAGGATGGGAGGAAGGTCCTCCTACAGGTAAGTGTCAAAACTATTTGCATTTTCAATTTTTTAAAAATATTACATACGGGGTAATCAATGTAAGCTTATTAAAATATTTATTTTTAATACAATCTTGCAGTATAACTAAGTTAGTCCTAAATTTCTCTGGGTAAAACCACCTATGTGTATAATTCAGGTGGGAGAGTGTGGTTTTCATTAGAGAACATTTATGATTGTTTCATAACTGGCTATTTCCATTTTTGTACTCAAATTTGTAAATGTTAGGATACAATTAAAACTCTTGTTCACAGACAAGGCTAAAGTAGAAGTGGTGAGAACAGGTGTTGGTTTAATATTGGAGCTACCCAAATCTGATTTGCTGTCACATGATATAGGATGTAGTATTTGCCACTAGAAAGTTCTGATGTAGGAAAAAGGAATGGAAGTAAAAAAGGCAGTGAGCTATCTTTATGAAACTTCAGAAATTTAGGACTTTAAGATTTACTTAAAATTGGAAAAACATAAAAGAGAGGAGGTGTTTAAAGAGTTTTCAGGATTGATTTGTCCTCATTGTGTGTCCTTATGGCAAAGGAAAGGTAAGTTTTAATAGTGTACCTTGACTTAAATAATAGAACCAAAGTGAAAGAGTTTCTTTTTACAATACACTACACCATAAGTAGTGTTCCCATACAGTGTTCTTATAAAGGAGCTCCTTGTGCAGACAGAGGGGGCTTAACTGACCAGGTCTTAAGCAATGAGTTGGTTAATTTCCTGGAAATTGGAGCTGCTGATGGTTTTAGAAATAAAAAATTACATTTTAAGTAATGGGCACTCTAGGGAACAATATTTTCTGGACTTTTCCTGACATTCCAGCATGTTTGTCTGTCTTCCTGTGAATTTTGTGTTTCTCTGTATGTCTTGATCTGATTGTTATGAAAGACCATCACTTGCCTCTGTTTAGCCAGCTTGAAATTTTATTATCAACCGGGTTAGGACACATACATTGATGGAATACTAAATCTTCCTTACATCAATTAAGTTACTTTTGAATCATGCCAGTAGGTTGAAAGAATAATATTAGAAGTGAATTAGTGAATTGAAGTGGGGTGTGGCGGGGTTAAGAGTGAGAAAATAGATCACAAAACTTGCAGCCCCAGGGAGCCAAATGGACAAAATGAGTCGTCTTCTGTTGGGGAGGCAGAGGACAGTGGATCACTGAGCTAGAGAATGCTGTTTTTATTTGCAGCAAATGCTCTCTTCAAAGGCCTCTTTTTCACTCCCATTAACACTGACTGTGACTGAACAGACAGGGGAATCAGATCCTTAGCATGGTCATGTGGGAAAGCTAGCAACTTGAGAGCCAACTGCTGGTTCTTTTCAATGAACACTAAAGGGAACTTTTTTTTTCTGTTTCCTCTTAATATATTACTCTGGCTAAAACTGAGATTGAAAGAATTAAATGCTGTTTCCTTAATGAATGTAAAATTGAGTCACTCATTATTTTTAAAGGTGACTTCTTTTGGAAAACAGTCATTAAAATCCTAGGCTGGTACCCTGGAGTCCTGTAACTTGCTGTGTGGTGTTGGGCAAGTCACTTGTGAAGTCTGTTTCCTTAGCTGTACAATGAGGAGCAGACTTAGATGATTTCTACTTTTCTTTCTGGATTAAAAAAAAAAAATCCCAGGAATTATTCTGTTTCATTGCCTCTTGAATTTCTGTGCTCACTACTGGAAAACTTGAAAAGTATAGATTGGATTTATTAGTCTTTGAAAATATTTTGTGTATAGTAAATTATTTCCATGTTATAAGAATAGCTATATGAACTAATGAATAAATGCCACTTCTAGAAAAGTAGTATGGTCTATATTATAATTTATAAACCTAAATGGTCTTAAGTGGGCTACACGAATTTGCTCCTTGAATTATTTAATTAAGTCGTTGGTTATTTTAGGCCTTTATGATATCATCTAAAATAATTTATTAAACTTCTAACCACGTGAAGCTTAGTCTTAGAATACAATGCAACCTAACTCTGAATTTTATGGTTTGGATATGCCTGAATAATTTTTCTTTTGATGTAGCTTATGTGCTTTTTAGGAACTGTGGTTGATTTCTCCTGAATAAAAATCAAGGATGTACTTAGTAAACTAGGTAAAAGCATCCTGTAGACAGTGGAAATATCTTTATGCGTTTAAATGCTGCATATGCTTAGAAAGGATCTCTCTCGATTGACACATGTGACTGGTTATTCTGACCATTAGAAAAGCCTTCCCATCAGAAAATACTGGGTGAATTTTATAAGCCTGTAAGAATAAGACACTAGGTGGGGAGGAGGCAGCCATGCCTATTTCCAACAACATTTTTAGGCGCCAAAGAAATCCTGGGAAGCTCAGTGCTCCAAGGGTGCAACAAATAGAAGGAACACAAAGGGTATTGATATATGGCTAGCTTCGGATTGATCAGAGTGAGATCCACCATTCAAAAGCATGCAGTTGTTTAGTAACCATAGCTTCTCAGAGTCCTCAACAATAGCTGAGAATGTTCTGTACACATGGATGCCCTCGCTGCTGTACTATGGACTGGGGTGTTAGTTTCAAGGTTGTGGCAGTGCAAACAGACTGTCATAATTAATTAACTAACACACTTGTTACCTGGATTTATTGTTAGCGTAGGAAATAATGGCTGAACAGGATTTTTTATACCAGGTCATAAAAGATTTATAGATTTATTAGGAGATATGAAATGAGAAAAGCTACTTATAATTCTGTTGGGTAAATACAATGGGCATTCAGGTTAATGAGACGGTGAGATGGGTGGAATAAATTTTCTAAGAAAATATAAGCCATAACTGTGATTTAGTTTGACATCTTTTTCTCATATGTCTGATGTGGCCCACTTGATTTGCCTTTAAGACTGCAAGAGACTTTATATGTCTACAGGTGTCTGTGCACTCATGTGCACTTGCAGTGTGTATGTTTGTGGTGTTATGCAGGAGTCTATTTTATTGAAACTTGTGATTTAGAAACTGTCTCCAGGTGGAAATAGAATATCCTCTTTGATATGTAAGTAATTTAATTCTTAAAAGACAAAAGGAAATTTGTGAGCTTGTGAATAGCTGGCTAACAGAGACTTAAAAGCTCAGTTTAATTCATCATTGTTTTTAGTGGCTTGAAAGGAAAGTTGAAAAGTATGTGAATGAAATTCATAGGTTCATATGAAATGTAGACTGTCACTAACAACTTTATGGATAAAGCTTTTCTTTGAGAATCATAGGGAAATCAGAAAATGGAACTAGAAGTGAGAAGGTTTATGTTCATTTGATAATTTTAGAAATTTTGCTCTGCAATGAAAAGCTATTTAAATGTTGGCATGGGAGAATGCAGGAAACTGTAAAGGGGACGTAGATCAGCCATTTGCTCTGTGAGCAAAACTCGGTCATTAGGATTATCCTGTCATGGGGCTTTATGTGAAATTTCAGGTAGAAATTGGGGAGTTTGAGTCAATGGAATGAAATTATCTGAACTGGAAGCTAAGGAGGGTACAGATTTTTCAGTTCTTTGTTAAATGGGGCTGTAGTGTAGTGATTTTTCATCTATCTGAAAACTGTAGAGACTCCTCTATCTAGTTTACATACTCAGAAATCTCAGTCTTCCATGAACTTCAGCCTAGATTTTTGAATCAATAAAATCAGCAAATCTTCCCCAAAATTATATTTTGAAAAGAACTTCTAAAATTTGAAAACTATGTACAAAAGTTTGAAAAACCTTTCATTAATGAAAAAAATACTGTAGTTACAGTGAGATGATCTAAAATTTTATCCAGGCCTTGGCTAACTCATACAAGGCCTAGAGATCTAATTTTCCAACCAGGAAAATGGGGATAAAGTCGCTTTTATTTATCTGAAAAAGTTTTTGAAAATGCCTTTAAGGCTGATGAGAACTATAAGGTGTTAAGTATATGATAATTCATTTAATTAATCTTCAATTAGGTTTGAAGGCCAGTGTTTAAACTTATACCTTATTGAGTTAACAATACCTTTAATTTTAAATGACAACATTTTATTGTTTGGTAGCAGATGTGCAAATCATTCAGATTTATGCTACTGATGGCCATTAAATTCTATTTAAGTGGTTTAGATGTTGAAGTAAAGTTTTTAACTTTTAACTTCAATTACGTAGAAATCTTTTTTTTTCCTTCTAGTTTGTGAGCTCTATATGAGGACATTGTGTGTATGTATGTATGTATGTATGTATGTATGTATGTATGTATTTATTTTTTGAGAGAGAGTCTCATTCTGTCACCCAGACTGGAGTGCAGTGGCGTGATCTCAGCTAACTGCAACCTCCACCTCCCAGGTTCAAGTGATTCTCCTGCCTCAGCCTCCCGAGTAGCTGAGATTACAGGCGCCCACCACCGCGCCAGGCTAATTTTTGTATTTTTAGTAGAGATGAGGTTTCACCATGTTAGCCAGGCTGCTCTCGAACTCCTGACCTCAGGTGATCCACTCGCCTCAGCCTCCCAAATTGCTAGGATTACAGGCATGAGTCACCGAGGCAGGTCAGACCATTGTGTTTATAAATGTTTTGAAAGCACAGGTGTTTAAAAACTTCCCAGGTGGACCTCTTTATTAAAAAAAAAAAAGTTTATGAAATCTGGCCTAGCAGCTGTGAAGAGGAGAGAACAGTGATGTTGCAGTAATGGATATTTATAAAAAGTTATGTATTTAGGAAGCAAAGATACTGACATGTAGACCTGTGTGTAAGTTCTATTTACTAAAAAATGAGGTCAGAAGCATCAATAAAAAATGGCAAATTCAATACGAAAAAAGTATGACCAGAAAGAACGAACCATATACTCCAGAAGAGGCATAATACAGTATTAACTCTAGAGCTGGGCAGCATCTTGAATGCCACGCACACTGTCCTCTGCCTTGCCCTGTGGGTTATGCTTCAAACAGGGCAGCAGACATAAGGGAACTTGTCCTGTTTTAACGCTCTTGAGAAAAGGAGCTGGTATAACCACAGCTGGTAACACATTTTAAGGTTTTGCTCTCACTTTCAGGAAATACCTGGGCTAAGAACCAAGGAGAATGGGAGGAACAGATAGAGAGCAGTATCATAAACAGGAGCAGACAAAGCTTAGAAGAACCTTCCCCCTTTAGGCTAAGCTAAATGTTTCCAAACTTAAATACTGCCTCTTCTATTGGCCATCATCCAGATTTGAGTATTTGCATCTTTACGGGGGACATTTAGAGGGAAATATGATTGGGAGCCTTAGATCAAGTAATGTTTTGGCCATAACTTTTGTCATCGGTTAGGCTCCTTCCAAAAATTTAAATCATCAATAGTTTTGTTGTATCTTATGGAACAGATGGCACTAGAATTCTTTTGTTGTTGTTGTTTTTTGAGATGGAGTTTCGCTCTTGTTGCCCAGGCTGGAGTGCAATGGCATGATCTCGGCTCACTGCAACCTCCACCTCAAGCAATTCTCTTGCCTCAGCCCTAGCTGAGATTACAGGTGTGCACCCCCATGCCTGGCTAATTTTGTATTTTTAGTAAAGATGGGTTTTCTCCATGTTTGTCAGGCTGGTCTTGAACTCCCAACCTCAGGTGATCGGCCCACCTTGGCCTCCCAAAGTCTTGGGATTACAGGCGTGAGCCACCGTGCCCGGCCGGCACTAGAATTCTACAACCCTACCTCTCTATACATATTGTAAGATGGAATATTTTAGACATAAAGTTGACTTAAGTAAAAGTAATTGTACCTGTTTCTGTCAGAATTATGAATTTGAATGAAATAACGTATGTTTTACATTGGTGTTTCTTTAAATCATGAAATTATGCTTCTGTGAAAAATAAGAAATGCATTGCATTGTTGTTATACATGTCATATATGTACCTATGTGTATTTTAAAATTTGAGGTTTCTATTTTTTAAAAGAACACTATATAAAGCTATGAACATTTGTTTTTCAAGATTCTGGAACTGACTTGCATCTTTGAAGTAAAATAACATCATTTGAATATGTATTTTAAAAGGCGGCAATAGAATTTGAATCTCATAAAGGTATTAGCAAATGCCTCATAAGAAATTTCAAGCCTCCATCATACTTATCACATATTTCTGCCTTGATACATTTGGAGAGTACTTTTTGTTTGTTTTAGTTGTTTTCTGCGCTGTTACGGCCATCTCAGTAATGATGAAAAATTTGGGATACCACAAGTTTGTTGATGTTTCAGTTTTCATCCCGCCTCTCAATAAGTTACACATCTGAAGTGCTTACATCAATGTTCTCTTGATTTAGGTCAAGTAAAGGAAGACAACAGATTTTAAAACTCAGACTTCTAACAAATCGGATAATCTTTCCCTATTTGACATTACGTCAGGTACAATAAAGAGAGAAGTCCTAAAAACTTCAAATGCATGCAGGAACAAAGGACTGAGGGATGAGCAGAATGTTCAGATAAATGGCTTGGGCGAGCCTGGAAATGACATTTAACATCGTTCTCCTTCTGCTTCTTGATTTTTCTTGATTTTAAACATCTTAGGCTGGGTGTAGGGAGAAGGACAGGGAACGTGAAGACTCCAAGTATACTGACTTGATTTTTATCAACTACATGAATGTATTATCACCCCAAAACTATGTACCTCTATTATTCATCCATAAAAAATGATTAAAAAAAGAATATGAAGGTGGATTGCAGAACTCCTAGGAAAACAGTTGGGACTAGAGCTTGTCGTGAAAGAAGATGGCTGGGACGGAATAGACCCTGGAAAGGCAGAGTGAATATTCCACTCTATTGTTCTATTTTATTTATTTGTTAATTTAATCATTTTGTTTATTTTTTTTGTACACTCATCAAGATGGTCTTTTCCATTGCACACAGGAGTGTGTGGCATTACTGAGTGTCATCATACACTCACTGTATTTTATTTAAAAGAGATAGACTGGGCGTGGTGGCTCACGCCTGTAATCCCAGCACTTTGGAAGGCCAAGGTGGGCGGATCACAATGTCAGGAGATCGAGACCATCCTGGCTAACACGGTGAAACCCGGTCTGTACTAAAAATACAAAAAATTAGCCGGGCATGGTGGTGGGCACCTGTAGTCCCAGCTACTCAGGAGGCTGAGGCAGGAGAATGGTGTGAACCCAGAAGACAGAGCTTGTAGTGAGCCAAGATTGCGCCACTGCACTCCAGCCTGGGTGACAGAGCAAGACTCCGTCTCAAAAAAAAAAAAAAAAAAAAAAAAAAAAAAGATAGCAGCATGGCTGGGCGCAGTGGCTCACACCTGTAATCCCAGCACTTTGGGAGGCCAAGGCAGGCGGATCACGAGGTCAGGAGTTCAAGACCAGCCTGACCAACATGGTGAAACCCCGTCTCTACCAAAAATACAAAAAATTAGCCGGGCATAGTGGCGGGTGCCTGTTATTCCAGCTACTCGGGAGGCTGAGGCAGGAGAATCACTTGAACCCAGGAGGCGGGGGTTGCAGTGAGCCGAGATCGCACCATTACACTCCAGCCTGGGTGACAAGAGCAAAACTCCGTCTCAGAAAAGAAAAAAAAGAAAAAAAAAAAGAGATAGCAGCTCAAATTTATTTGGGTTATTGGTTTATAAGAGGTTCTATATGGCTCAAACTACCTTCCCTTTTTCTTTCCTGTCATTCTCAGCTGAATTCAAATCATCCGAGAATGAATTTTGACATAGGTATATCCTAATCCACCCAGCCCCAGGAGTATACCCTAATTTGAAGCTGTCAATAACTTGATCTTAAGTACAGTACTTCTTTTGAGATACATCTTGGCATTATGAGTGTAAGGCTAACTCTAACAAAGTTGTCTTTAGTTTTGCTTGTCTTTAGGTTTGGCAAGAACTGTAACTGATAGGGACCGACTATTAAGTGAGATTCAATTATTTTCCAAAAACAAAGCAAAGGACAAATTTAGAGAATGATTAATGTTGTAAGAAAATAGTAAAAATCAGGTGAATGAGTGAAGAAAGATTAAATGTGGCTAAAAATTCACACAGATACTCTGAAAGTAAAGAAAGAAATAGGCCGGATGTGGTGGCTTAAGCCTGTAACCCCAGCACTTTGGAAGGCCAAAGTAGGTGGATCACCTGAGGTCAGGAGTTAAAGACCAGCCTGACCAACATGGTGAAACCCTGTCTCTACTAAAAATACGAAAATTGCTGGACATGGTGGTGGGTGCCTCTAATCCCAGCTACTCAGGAGGCTGAGGCAGGAGAACCCTTTGAACCCGGGAGGCAGAGGTTGCAGTGAGCCGAGATCACACCATTGCACTCCAGCCTGGGCAACAAGAGCAAAACTCCGTCTCAAAAAAAAAAAAGAAAGAAATAGGGAAGAAATGATGATGAAGGAAAGCAAGGCGCGTGGTTGCAGGACAATTTCAAATGCATGCAGGAACACCGCACATCTGTAAACAAATTGCCTTTAGATCTCTTTGAAGTATCTCAGCTATCAGCATAGCTAAGCTTATTTATTTAAGCAGCTCGTGGGAATGAATTCTACTGAAAATTTACTAGAACGCTGTTGAAATGAGTCTATCTAAGCAGTATCCTTAAGGAATATTCAATTGTAAGTACTTTCCTTATATTTATTTTTACTGTAGGACTTTCTCTATTTTTTTCTGTTTTGTAATTTTTTTTTTGTTTTACTTCTCAACCCCTCCTGCCTCCATGGTTTCTTATGGTTCAGCATGCACTGTTGATAGGTTGGTCAAAGACAATAGAAAAATGTGCTTTATGGACCACTGCATTGGAAATGAATATTATTTTCTAAACTGAACTCGTACGGTTTGTATGTCTTTCAAAATCCTAGGAGCAACCATGCAAAAGTGTTTCACATCTCATGATCTGGTAAATCTGTTTGCTTTAGTTGAACTGATCTGATGCCATAAAGGCTGGGATTGGATGACTCTGACTTTAAGACTTTAACGAGGACAAAGGACTAAGGGATGAGCAGAATGTTCAGATAAATGGCTTGGGTGAACCTAGAAGTGACATTTAACATCTGTTCTTCTCCTGCTTCTTGCTTTTTCTTGATTTTAAAAGTAAAACATGAATTATAAAAAATGAAAAATTCATAAGCATGTAAATAAGAAAATAAAATTATAAATCGCATGTCAATAATATTTGTTAGGATATTTACATATATGGTATATTTTATACATATATACACATACCCACACACACATATATTATATGGTATATATTTTGTACATATATATACATACCCACACACACATCTATTATACGGTATATATTTTGTACATATACACATACCCACACATACATATATGACATATATTTTGTGCATATGTATACATACCCACACAGACATATATTATACAGTATATATTTTGTACATAAATATACATACCCACACGCACATATATTGTATGGTATTTATATATAATGAGAGAGAAGGAAAGAGAAAGTAAGTAAGCAAACAAAAAGACCAGGCAACTACCTGTGAATTTGTAGAATGTTAGAAATTTCAAACATCAGGAAGGTAAAAATCTTCTTCCTCTTTCTTTCTCATTTTCCCTAAATGTAATTCCATAACCTGTTTCTTACAGAAGGAAAAAGTTTGTTCACACCTGCATTTTAAAAACGTGATGCAAACTTGGACATTTTCTCCCTCCTTCTGCCCTACCCTGTCTCTCACTCGTCTCTAGTTTTGGCTCTGTTTTTATTTCTATCTTCATTTCTATCCTTATTGCCCTGTTTATCTCTATTTTTAAACACAAAGTCTAATATATAACACTCTATCCTGTATTTATTCTTTAAACAACTTATTTATATATTTTGTAGATCTTTCCATATTAGCCTACACCGATCTGACTCATTCTTTTTAAGGAGTGTGCAATAGTCCTCTTACGGTGCAATAGTCCACTTATGGATATAGCGATTCTTTCTTTCTTGACGGGAAAAACAACTTTGGTTGATTTCAGGATCTCTTTACCTGTAATAAAAGGACTGCAATGAACAATGGACATTTTTTGTACATGTAGCTTGGCAAACTTTTGCAAATATGTGTAAATGGTAAATTTCTAGTAATAGAATTTCTGGGTGAAACATTTATAAGCATTTAAACATGTTGATAGGTCTTTCTAAATTATATTCTACTTTACAAAAATTTTAATTCCTGGAAACAGTTATGAGGCTGTTTATATTTTCCATTTAGCAGAAATTATTTTGTATATTGAGATGAGACCCTAACTTAATTATTTATAGTCCCTACTTACTGATTGGCTCCCATCCACAACATTAATCTACTTATTTTCTAGTATCAGACTACTTTGATTATTTAACTTCAGAATATACTTTGCTATCTAGTCTTTATCAAATTACTTTTCCTTTTCAGAGGTTTTCTATTTTAAAATATTTTATTTTTAAATAAGTGTTTAAAATTTTTTCAAGTTTCATGAACTCTCAGTATTTTTGGCTGTGATTGCACTGAGTCTTCTGGTTTGTTTAGGAAGAATTAATATTTTTATAATATTGATATTTTTACCTTTAAGGTGGTATGTCTTTCATTTTAATTAGATCATATATATATATATATATATATATTTTTAAGACGGAGTTTCACTCTGTTACCCAGGCTGGAGTGCAATAGTGCGATCTCTGCTCACTGCAACCTCTGCCTCCCAGGTTCGGGCAATTCTCCTGCCTCAGCCTCCCGAGTAGCTGATATTACAGGCACCTGCCACCACGCTGGGCTAATTTTTGTATTTTTAGTAGAGACTGGGTTTTACTGTGTTGGCCAGGCTGGTCTCGAACTCCTGACCTCAGATGATCCACCGACCTCGGCCTCCCAAAGTGCTGGGATTACAGGTATGAGGCACCTTGCCCCCACCTTAATTAGATCTTAAAAATTTTTTTTTTGGTAGACTTTTCTCATGTATGTTGGTTCTACATACATATGATTAAATTTATACCAAATAAAATACCTAGCTATTTTATCATTTAGGCCCTATTGAGAATGAAACTTCTGTTTAATTTTGAAACTATATTGTGTGCATATTACAAATTTGTGGAATTTTGATCTCACTGAATTCTTTTTTTCCCCAAATTTTAGTTGATTCTTTTGATTTCTGATATACACCTATATCATGTGAAAATATTGATGGAGGAGTTTTTTGAGAAGCCCAGATTATAGAGCTTGTATTTGTAAAACACTAGCTGAAACTGTAAAAGTCTTCTATTCCAATCTCATATATTCGTTCTGTTCTTGGAACATTTGAGCTGAATTTTCCTTGTAAAAAGTTTTGGATTTTTAAATAGGGACATGCTCTCTTGTTTCTAAGGATATAGATCAAGGTACTGTTCTCTGTGGTCATCGTTAGCACCCACAGGGGCACTAATCATCACAGATTTGCAGTAATAATAATTATAAATAGTAATTGAACAAATCACCAACACTTGTTACTCTTTCTATATGTCTGACATGCGGCTAAGTGTTTTACATGGATTGATTCATTTAATTCTCTTTTCAACATAGAGTTACTTTTATGAGTCCCCCACTTTACAGATGAGGAAATCGTAGAACAAGGAAGTTGGGCAACCTGCCCAGAGTACATGGGTAGTAAGTAATGGAGCCAGTGTTCTCCTCCAGAGTCCACTGCAGCATCACACCGCACAGCTTCCCAGTGCCACCTTTCCATGGTGACATGACCACTCTCCAGTCCATTGTTTTTGCCTCTTGTTCTTTGCAGTGCTATCAGACTCCCCCTGGACCAACATCTCCGGATCTTGCAAGGGCAGGTGCTTTGAACTTCAAGAGGCTGGACCTCCTGATTGTCGCTGTGACAACTTGTGTAAGAGCTATACCAGTTGCTGCCATGACTTTGATGAGCTGTGTTTGAAGACAGGTACGTAACTTATGAGTCCTCTCTACCTTCAAGTAGATGGCTTAAAGACTGCCTGCTATTGTATGCATCCTGGAGTGGCCACCCTGCTTTGGTCTATCCAAACTGTGGATTCTAGTTTTGTTTGTTGAATGATTATTGGTTCTTTGAAGAGCATACCCTATGTCAATGACCATTGTTTCCACATAGGTTCCAGCAGAGAAAGGTTCTTTGCAGCTGCAGTCATGATGTGCTGGTTTTGCAAATGTTTTTTGTTTTTGTTTTTGTTTCTTCACCTTCATCCTTTCTATATCTTTCTGTCAATTCCCACATTCACTGCTAGGGCTTGTGGGCTAAAATTGTGTATGTTCTTTTTTATTACTTATTTATTTATTAAGAGATAGCATCTCACTGTGTTGGTCAGGTTGGTCTTGAACTCCTGGCTTCAAGCCATCTTCCCGCCTCAGCCTCCCAAAGTGCTAGGATTATAGGAGTGAGCCACTGTGCCTGGCCTAATTGTGTACATTCTTTAAAAAAATTTTTTTTCTTGCTTTCCCAGCTTCTAGCATTTGTTTCACTTCATCTTATCGTACAGTAACTGTTAGTGTGCCTGTCATTCCCTGCCGTCTGCAAATGGAAAATTGTTATGGAATTCTGTTTGGAGTCTCACGCTCTGGGTAGCTCTAAAATCTTCCTCCACACTTTTTGTGACTTTCTTTACATTTCTTTTGTGCTGGAACAGTTACTAGGATGTACAGGCTTCTGTATGAATGCACATGAGTTGAGAAAAACACCTCTGGGGACTTCTGCCATCCCACCTACTCTGTTTTCAAAGCACAATATTTCAGATAGGATTTTTGAGATATCTTGTAAGCTATCCACCATGCTTCTGGACAACACCATACACAAACTATCTGAGAAAGACAACCGTCAATGCTGTTCTTGACATCACCAGAAGCAGTTTCCATGGTTTCCTTGGCAGGTTATTTCTTGTTTTTGGACTTTTATGCTTAGACAATTCTTTCAAAGACCTAACTCTTACTATCATTGCTATTAGTTTGATCTTTCAAATTTTATCATTAGAAACAGTTATTACTGTGTTTTGCCTAAGTGGTAGCTCTTGATTTATATGAAATCCAACATAAACTTCCTTACTAGTTCTGATTTGTTTTCCTCCTGCGTCCCTGCAATAAGAACAGCTTCATTAGGCTGTTTTTTGCAGAACACATTTTCCAACCATTTAACCACTTTTTTGGGGGTTGCTTTCCTTTGGAACTTCTCCCAGTTTCTTTTAATTGTGGATCTGCAAACTAAATTGCTGAGACTATTGTAAACTGAATGTATAGATGGAACAGATGTTCCAGCAGAGTTTTTTTGGCTCTAAAACATTATTTCAAGCCAGCAATCTGTGTTTGCTTGGCACTGAGGAATTTACTAATGTTTTATGTTTCCTCCTTACCTTGAATATCTTGTCTGTGGCATGTCATATCAAACTTCTGGATTCCTGGTCTTAGAATTCTTTGCAAAATGTAATGAATCCCTGACTCTAGCTTAGCTCTCTTTTGAATGTAGTTCATGCCTTTGTTCCTCAATTTATTAAGGATGGGATATAATATCTTATAGTCCATTTCCCTGTGTACAAAGATAACATATCCTGAATGTGAAGGAATCAAATATCAAATAATAATAAAAGGATGAATAGAAAAACAAAAGGCTCTGAGATTCTCCTTTGTTGAGGGAGCACTGCCGAGAAACAACCACAATGTTTCAGCGAAACTTTGATAACTCTGTGTGTGTGTGTTTTCAGTATGTATCTATGTGTGCATGTATACTCTTCCAACTGTGTGTATATATATGCATGTGTGCGAAAGTATCTGTATTAATAAATCTTTATACAAATCGTCCTTTTGAATGGCTATGTAATATTCCATTGAACTGTTGCAACCTAATTCATTGAGTAATTAAATGAATATTTCCCTGAGTTTTACTATTATGAATGATGTATCAATGAATATAATTGATGCATATTCATACTTTTGCCTATTCTCCTTAAGATAAATTTTTGGAAGTGGGATTTTGGGGTCAAAGTATATGTGCATTTTTTTTAAATTTAAATATACATTACTAAATTATACTTCTGAAAGTTTATGTTTCTACTAAAGGACACAAGGACCTTTCATCACTTCCTTTTCAGCATTGAATACTCTTATTTTTAAAAATATTTTTAAAATAATCTGGTAGGTGACCTCCTCCTTATTTTCCAATAAGGTTAAATATTTTTTATGTTTATTCCCATGTTTGCTTTGAAAATTACACAGATGACTGACTTGTCCTTTGTGTATAGTTCACTTTAAACTCTGGATTTATTTTATATTTCATTTGTACATAAAGACAATAGTTCCTCAATAAACATAGCTTATTAATAATGATATTCTTTTGTAAGTAATGTAGATGTGATTTTCTTATGGAATTAGGAGTGGAATAAAAGTTTATTGGTGGATAGAATCACCTTGAATTGAAAAAACCCCACAATATCTAGAGTCAAAGCAACCTTAGAAGATTGCTCATCATTGGGAAGAGCAGGTCATGGGAAAAGCAATTCTAAGCACTTAATCTCCTCGAGAAGAGATAGGAATGGAAACGGGATATTAAAAAATTAGAATGGCTGGGCATAGTGGCTCATGCCTGTAATCTCAGCACTTTGGGAGGCTGAGGGAGGCAGATCACTTGAAGTCAGGAGTTCGAGACCAGCCTGGCCAGCATGATGAAATCCCATCTCTACTAAAAATACAAAAATTACCCAGGCATGGGGGGAGGCACCTGTAATCCCAGTTTCTTGGGAAGCTGAGTCAGGAGAATCACTTGAACCTGAAAGGTAGAGGTTGCAGTGAGCTGAGATTATGCCACTGCACTCTAGCCCAGGCGACAGAGTGAGACTCTGTCTCAAAAAAACAAAACAAAACAACAAAAAATATCAGACAGCAGAATCAGGATGCAAAGGTAATTCTAAAAGAATAAAAATTAAATAGTAATTGCATGGTTTTCTGGCTAATGATTTACCAAAAGGGGCAGGGGTAGCAGTTATGCCAAACAACTAATATCTCTCTCTCTTTTTTAATCTTTTTAGATGGAGTCTCCTCCTGTCACCCATGCTGGAGTGCAATGGCATGATCTTGGCTCACTGCAACCTCTGCCTCCTGGGTTCAAGCGATTCTCCTGCCTCAGCCTCCTGAGTAGCTGGGATTACAGGCATGCACCACCATGCCCGGCTAATTTTTTGTATCTTTAGTAGAGACGGGGTTTCACCATGTTGGCCAGGCTGGTCTCGAACTCCTGACCTCACGATCCACCTGCCTCGGCCTCCCAAAGTGCTGGGATTACAGACATGAGCCACTGAGCCTGGCCCGTAATATCTCTTTATTAATGTATTCACCTAACAATAGTTGTTTCTCTTGGTAGAATATTACTAAGAGGCAGGATTGCTTTAAAAATCATTTCTTTCCACTTATCACATATTTTAAGAGATAAAGACCTGAAGTGTTCATATGTATTTTAGCTCAGTGACACCTTTCTTGACCATTCTACTTCCTGGAGTAGCACCTATTTCACCCTATCTTTCTCTATCAATGCCACCTGTTACTTCCTTCACAACATTTGGCATAAGCTGAAATGATCTTGCTTATTGATTTACTTGCCTATGATCTGTCTTTTCCAATTGGAATGTAAGCTCCATGAAGACAGACCTAGTCTCTCCTGTTCTTTATGACATCCTGGCACCGAGAACACGGAAAACATGGTATAAGAGTCAATGAGTAAATGAGTTAACTATGAAAGTTCTCAATAGAGTAGTTCTGAATTTAAAGAGTTATATTTTATCTCCATGGTCATTTCCAATTCAATTTAATACATATTGATTGAACACCTAGCATGTGCCAGGCGCAGTCTCCCAGGCTTACAGTCTGCCACTGGAAATAGAAGAGCGAAGAGAGAGGTGTCACTTTTCCTGCCATGGCGCTTACACTCTAGCAGATGAAAAAGTCAAAAAACACAGCACTCCTTTTAAAATGGAAAGGTTGTTTTTCTGAAATGTAAGAATTAAGCAGTGAGCTGTCAATCAGGTATGTTCAGAGGGAAATCTGTAACCCATTTACTTGGCTTGAAAGTAGGAACTCTGACCTGTCATTGTAGGTAGGACCACAATGGGTCAGTGGTTAGAATCTTGAGCAAACATTGTAATGCCCCCTTTATACTCTTCACATCCTATTTAGGACTTTAACCTCCAGGTGCAGATAGAAACCATGTAGTTGTCCTGTTATTTGTGTTTGAATCACACTGATTAACGCTAAGCACAGCTACTTTAGGCTAGGTGCTGTGGCTCATGCCTGTAATCCCAGCACATTGGGAGGCCAAGGTGGGAGGATCACCTGAGGTCAGGAGTTTGAGACCAGCCTGGCCACCATGGTGAAACCCCGTCTCTACTAAAAATACAAAAATTAGCCAGACGTGATGGCATATGTTTGTAATCCCAGCTACTCAGGAGGCTGAGGCGGGATAATCGCTTGAACCAGGGAGGCGGAGGTTACAGTGAGCCGAGATTGCGCCACAGCACTCCAGAGTGGGCAAGAGAGCAAGACTCTGTCAAAAATAAATAAATAAATAAAATAAAAATAAAGCTAAGCACACCCACTTCAGAAATTAAAAGAGCCAAGCTATAGAGGCTGTCCCTACAACAGTAGATAGCCCTATCATAAACCTTTGATGTCATAAATTTGTTGGGTCCTTTAGGACAATTCGAGAATCGTAGGGATACTTGCTTGCCTTTCAGGGCCCCATTTTTCCAAAGGAACCCAATTGCATTTTGATGTTGTTCTCTGATTTGAAAACTTAGAAATTCATCTTATCTGTAAATTCTCCAAATGTCCTCTGGGCCTCAAGCCAACTCAAATTTCACAAGCAGAGTAAATGATGTGAGATTTTAGCTTTCTTCATTGGAAATCCTGTAAGCAATTGTGGCTTCTTTCATTTGGTTAGTGTGCAGCAGTGAAAATGTTTTATTGGGATGATTTTAGCCCGTGGCTGGGAGTGTACTAAGGACAGATGTGGAGAAGTCAGAAATGAAGAAAATGCCTGTCACTGCTCAGAGGACTGCTTGGCCAGGGGAGACTGCTGTACCAATTACCAAGTGGTTTGCAAAGGTACGTGTTTCTTTGGATTGGCCTGAGCTTTAAAAGAATAAAAACTGGAGGTGCTCCAGGAGATCCTGGATGCTAGGAATAGACCACACTGGATATGAGTTTGGGAGGAAGGAATGAATTGTCCTTTTTAATTTCTCATGCTTCTTCATTAGTTTTGCTACTCTGTATTTCACTGATCTGAAGTAACAAGGGAAGAAACCAGAATTTCTTAATTAGACAGAAACATAATAATGAAGAGATTTCTAAATTTCCTATCTTGGTTTTAGGTCAAGTTTTCTAGAAGCAGATCCTGAGACAGGAATTCGGTACATGCAGTTTATTGAGGAAACGGATATACTGCAGGAAAACCATGTCGGAGGAAAGGGAAGCAGGATAGGGAAGGAGGAGTGTGGAGAGACAAGTGAGGACATGCTCTCAGTTAGCCTCGCCTCCCTCTATTGCTTGCTCTGAAAAGTAAATCCAGGTCACTACTCTTGAGGCAAGGAACCAGGGCTTTTTTATCTATTGGATGTACACTGTTCACCAAGGCATTGGCAACTGCCCAGGGATGGGGGTACTTGCTGGTAAAGGGGATGAGGGGGCCAGCATTTCCTGTTATACCCCAAAGCCATATATGCATGAGTGTTGGCTTTGTCTGGTTGATTGTAGAATATGATGCTTTTATTCCAACAATTAACAATAGTTAATGGACTACAGAAAATATAAAAGATGCAGTTATTCTCTTTAATGGGTTTAAGTTGCCGTGCAACCCACTTATAGAAGTTGATGGGAAGATCCAAGAATCTTTATCTATTGTTTGTAAGTCACTTTTTAAATTTCAAAATCAAGTCCTTTTCATTATCTCTGATGTGGAACATTTAAGAAGAAGTTCATTAAAAGATTTCAGGAAAAAAATCAAGTTACTTCTGCAATATGTAAGGTGTTTAGTTGTGGCAAGAGGGTGTTATATTAATATATTTGAAGAATTTCCCCATACCCAAACAATTATTGTATTGTTAATTTCCCCTACCCAATAATTATGCTTTTATTTTGAAGCATAAAATTGGTTGAGAATTTATTTCCCTTTCCTTTTTAATTTGCCTGTGCAGTAAGTGTACCAGGAAGCCACAAAGGCTGTTAGAAATAAAATTTTTTTTAAAAAAAGAAGCCCTTGGAATCATTGATCATTGAATCATTAAGCATTGGCTTTTACTGGTTTAAAATTCTAGTTTCAGTACTTTTGTGAGGCCCACGTGTGTGCTCTGGGTTACTATATGTGTAGCAAATCTTCTTTATTTTAAGGAGCATAATAGTTACCCCATTGTCCAGTAGTTAGAGTCTTATTGACCAGAGAAGATTTCCAGTTCTCTTTACATGGGAGCAATTTCTCCAATGTGTTGGTTACAAATTTTACTTCTGTTCAGGATATGTAACTTTTGTTTGTCTTAAAATAATTTAAGGCAAATTCTTTTTGATAACTTGTATTTTCTTCAAAGCAAAGCTTATGTTTTTATCTGAGGCCTTTTCTGTTCTCTATTCTCGACATTATGCTCTTAGATCTTGGTGGAAGATAAAAAGTGAAATTTAGCATTTTTTTCTTTCTAAATTCAAGGGCTGTATGGAGATTTATTGGCAAATAATCTTTCTATTGTAATCTTCCACTTATTATCTCTGTAGATTCTAAGACTTTTTTTTTTTTTTTTAGCATCTAAAGGGAAGTTTTGCCATGCTTTCTATGGCTTTGAGATCTCCAGTGGTGGAGAAAAGAATGTTCCATCTAATGACCAAACAGTTTATTTCTGGAGGGATACAAACATGAAATTTTGTTCACTGACGCCACTGGTTTTTTTAATCTACAAACCATTTAGACTCGGAAGGCTCAAATAAACACCTCACCACTTGTGGTTATTAAATCTTAGCTTTCCCATCATGTATGGGTGTACTTTATAAGCCAAACCAGACACTAGATTTTTTTTTCAGAATTTTTTTTTTTTTTTGTTATATCCCATAAAGAAAGTATCAAACAGGACACAGATCCTGGAATTGTGAGCTTCAAGGCATGGCATTTGTAATTAGATTCAACAATACATTTACCCATTTTTCCTTATAGGAGAGTCGCATTGGGTTGATGATGACTGTGAGGAAATAAAGGCCGCAGAATGCCCTGCAGGGTAAGTGTATTTTATGACTATTTTGAAGTTTTATGTATTAGCTGATAAACTCTCACAGGAAATGAAAAGAGAAGTATTTAGAAACAATGTGGAACTGAAATTCTCTTATACAGGCAAACTTATGAGTACTTAGGAGTAATTCATGAGTCGAAAGGTTGAAGGTAGGTCTTGAAATGGTGATAGTTTTCTTCCCCCCAGTTTTCTCCAATCACCTCTGCACATATTGGGGTCTGAACATCCCCTATATTCCACCTCAGCTGAGGATTTTACAAAGTGCATCTGAATATTCTGGCTAAGACTTTTTTTCAGTATTGTTTTTCCTGGAGTTCTTGTTTTGCCTACTTTGCGGGGAGTGGGGAATGAAAGAGGAAGTCCTGAGAACCTTTAAAACTGTGTTATCCAATAAGTAATTATTACTTATTGATTACACACCTGTAATCCCAGCACTTGGGAGGCTGAGGCGGGCATATCATTTGAGGTCAGGAGTTTGAGACCAGCCTGGCCAACATGGTGACACCCCGCCTCTACTAAAAAAAAAATACAAAAAAAATTAGCCAGCGCTTGTAATCCCAGCTACTTGGGAGGCAGAGGCATGAGAATCGCTTGAACCCAGGAGGCAGAGGTTGCATTGAGCCCAGATTGTGCCACTGGACTCCAGCCTGGATGAAAGAGACCCCCTCTAAAAAAAAAAAAGGCATCCAAGGCAGTGGGACATCTGGCTTCTGAATGGGAACCTTTATAGCACCAGCAACCAAAGAGAGAATTAAATATGGGTGATGTTGAAAAAGGCAAGAGAATTTTTGTTCAGAAGTGTGCCCAGTTCCACACTGTTGAAAAGGGAGGCAAACAGGTGGCTGGGTCAAATCTCCATGGTCTCTTTGTGGGGAAGACAGATCAGGCCATTGGATTCTCTTATACAGAGGCCCATAAGAACAAAAGCATCTCCTGGGGAGAGGATACACTCATGGAGTATTTGGAGAATCCCAAGAAGCACATCCCCGGAACAAAAATGATCTTCGCAGGCATGAAGAACAAGGCAGAAAGGGCAGCCTTGATAGCTCATCTCAAAAAAAGCTACCAATGAATAATAACAGGTCACTGTGTTATTTGTTACAAAACAGAAATGTTTCATGACTTCTTAATCTGTACCTTAACAGATCTCATACACAAGAATTCAGATAATGAATGACTGACAGAGTATTTTTGTTGGGCAGTCTTGATTTAACCATGACTGGCTTGTGGTTAAATGGTTAAATGAATATGTTCGGTTATTTTATTTTATTATATTTTTTTTGAGATGGAGTTTCACTCTTGTCGCCCAGGCTGGAGTGCAATGGTGCGATCTCAGCTCACTGCAACATCTGTCTCCCCTGTTCAAGTGATTCTCCTGCCTCAGCATTCCAAGTAGCTGGGATTACAGGTGCCCGCCACCACGTGCAGCTGATTTTTGTATTTGTAGTAGAGATGGGGGTTTCACCATGTTGCCAGGCTGGTCTCGAACTCCTGACCTCAGGTGATCAGCCCGCCTCGGACTCCCAAAGTGCTGGGATTATAAGCGTAAGCCATCACGCCCGGTGAAATTTTTTCTTGGAAATTATTGCTCCCATTATTGAGAATCACTAGGCGTAATGGCAACTCTGGTAATAATGTTTCTAAAAGCTTAATGTGTTACTGTTTAAGGTTTGTTCGCCCTCCATTAATCATCTTCTCCGTGGATGGCTTCCGTGCATCATACATGAAGAAAGGCAGCAAAGTCATGCCTAATATTGAAAAACTAAGTAAGTAATTTCCATACTCTGTGTTCTTATCTGTAATCTAGGATCTCCACACTAACCAGTGGGCTGTGGGCTTTGAGATCTATGGGCACGTAGTTTTAAATGTGTTTTATTATTTGAAATACAGAAGTGAAGGTAACACATGTCTGAGTGTTTATAAAATGGATTTTCTATAAGCAATTCCTGTTGGTTCTCTTGTTCTAATATTTGCAATTCTCTTTCCAGGGTCTTGTGGCACACACTCTCCCTACATGAGGCCGGTGTACCCAACTAAAACCTTTCCTAACTTATACACTTTGGCCACTGTAAGTATTTTTTCGAATGATACACATTCAAAGGGCTGATTTCATCCTGGAATGACTTTAAAGGAGAGACTTTACTTTTAAAACGTGTTCCTTAGTGTTCAAAGAAAATCTTTCTGTTTTCCATCTTAACTGGGTCATTTGTTCACAGCAAATGCCTTTTACAACTTTGTGGGTGATGGAACTTCATTCCAACTTTAAAGCTGAAAACTTTTTTCAGGTGCAGTTCTGTTTGAACACATACATTAAACTTCTCTCAAATACCAGAGGGTCTATTGTTTATTTTCTGAATTTGCAAATAAAAATGTTGACTTCAGGGCTATATTTTAATTTTCAGGTACTTCAAATTCTACCACTCTTCCTTCTTTAAAACATAATTTATTTATATATTTTTATTGATTCGGGGAGCAATAGAATTTAGAAAGAAAGAAAAGTGTATTTAGAAATAGAAGCTTCTTTGGAGGCACATGTATACATTCCAAACTAAAGGTTAATTTATTGTAATGAAAATTATTGTCATCTTCTTAAATTACAGCAGAAAAAAACCCCAATGTTAAATTTCTTATAATCATATTAAGTTTCTCAGATGGCTTATAATTTGTCCCATAGATATTATTCATGTTTGCTCAAACAGATACACAGTGAAGGTTATACATGTCTTATATAATTTTGGAAATTAAGTATTGCTATAAAACCTTCTATGCTAAGAAAATTCATACTAGAACTAATGTATGTGGATTATTGTATTGTTATTTTAACAATAAATTTGCTTTTACAAAAAGGGGCTATATCCAGAATCACATGGAATTGTTGGCAATTCAATGTATGATCCTGTATTTGATGCCACTTTTCATCTGCGAGGGCGAGAGAAATTTAATCATAGATGGTGGGGAGGTCAACCGGTAAGTTTTGCATTTATTGTGTGTCTATGTGTTTGTGTGTTCATGTATTGAGACATTTCATCCCCAAATTTGTTAGATGTGGAAAAAATGCGTATAATTTCCTCATACTTGGCAATGTTTCTGTCTTTTGATACTTTTAATATACATACAAACATGAAATATGTGTATATATGCATTATATATATATCTGAAATATGTGTATATATGCATTATATATCTGATATATGTATATATTATATATTTATGTATGTGTACATACATATGTGCACATAGAATATACATGTATGTATACATATGTGTATGTGTCTCTGTGTGTATATATGCATGCATCTTTGTGAGGCTATGATTATAAAAGTGAGATGATATGAATGTCTTCCCTAGGATTATGGTGGTGACAATGGTGATGAGGTGAATTTCAGAACCATTTTGACAAAGAAATAGTCAGATCTCATTGATTTCCCAGATTTAGGCGTATAATAAAAAAGAGAAGTGTATGACTGTGACTTCCCCAATATGCTAGCCCTGATGCTATAATAACAGAAACAGGGAAACTTGCTGGAAAAAAAGGGAACTCACTGAAATCCACAGTAAATTCATGAATTTTTTTATTTAATCTATTTTTTAAAAATCATGAAGTTAAATACAAAAAGCAGAATCCTACCTTGATACTGAAATAGCAAATTAATACTTTGAAAAGAAATCACCCTGTTTACTTCAGATCAAATGACTGGGCAGAAAATAAAAAGGGTTGTAGGTGGCTTTCTACCTAATGTTTTTCCTGTGACCGTGTGTATGGTTACGCAACTTGCTTTGGTCAGACATGAGCAAAGCAGCATAAAGCCACAGTTGTTGAATGTGCAGAGCTGGGCTGAAGTGTACAAGCTTCTGGCCAGAAGTATCAGAATCACCTAGGAACATAACCCAGGGCACACAGGCAATCAGAAACATGTAGAAGTAAGATGGTAAGTGGTTCCATCTCATGCCAATTCTGATTGGAGACAGTGGCTTCCTGCAGCACTGGTTAGAGAAGAGGGCTGGGAGAACTTTGTGCACTCAACCGTGGCATGACTGGTGGGCAGTGTCTGCACACATCCATGTATCCACCATGCCTCAATGATCTTGTACCTGGAAATCTTTTGCTGCAATTTATGGACAAAATAAGGACTATAAATAGAAATTTTTTCTTAAGGTATCTCACTTTAAGAAAAGGTCATTTGTGATCAAAATATTTATATTGCATAATAGGTAAATCAGTATGCAAGGATAAATATGAGCTTTTTATTAAAAAAATAAACATTGAAAGACTTCTTGTACATCTGCAGATAAGTTTCTTTATAATAGATGCTCTGATTCTGCTGTCTTTATTCAGGCTGGACTCCCAGAAGTCCATAATGGCCTAGGGTGTGATCATAGTGAAATTTGTTGACAGGGTGGATTATTCAAAGTTTATGATAGGGGAATATTTTATGAGTACACAAAATGATTGAAATTAGAGCTCCATTAAGCTTTCACTAGTGGGTCTTTTATATTAATTTGATTATGGAAGCAAACTTACCTGAAGAACCTTAAAGGATTAGAGATAAATAGTAATTTTATCAAATTGGATCACCTTACACCAAGTGTTGACATAAGGTTTGCTTTGGGTTAGGATGACTCAGAAGAAGATGAGGCCACATATTCATTAACTTCTGCAAAAGCAGAGCAGAGGAAATGCTGTTAACCTGCCCAATGAAGTGAAGTCTCTGTTTCAGCTCTGTTTACCTGTTTCCTCACTAACTCCCAAAGTTGACGCATCTGACCAAGTTTAGTACTCTCCTCATGCTGACCAAGATTTGTGGTGAAACTGACTAGTGTTTCTGTCATCTTGGGCAAGATGGCCACCATAAGAATTCCTAGGAGGGGCCGGGCGTGGTGGCTCATGTGCGATGGCTCAGCACTTTGGGAGGCTGAGGTGGGTGGATCATGAGGTCAGGAGTTTGAGACCAGCCTGGCCAACATAGTGAAACTCCATCTCTACTAAAGATACAAAAAATTAGCCAGGTGTGGTGGCAGGCACCTGTAATCCTAGCTACTCGGGAGGCTGAGGCAGGAAAATTGCTTGAAGCTGGAGGTGGAGGTTGCAGTGAGTTGAGATCACACCATTGCACTCCAGCCCGGGTGACAGTGCGAGACTCCATCTCAAAAAAAAAAAAAAAAAAAAAAGATTTCCCAGGAGCATAGTAACTACAATTTAAAAACACATTTTATTGAAATTTGGCATATTGGAAAAACATATAGACAAAGTATTGTTCTATTCTATTATACAGTAGGGTGTTCTATTATACAGTAGGGTGACTATAGCAAATAACAATGTAGTGTATTTAAGATGGAAAATTTTAAATGTTGTCACCAAAAAGAAATGATAAATGTTTAAAGTTATGGATATGGTAATTACCCTGATTTGATCATTATACAATGTACACATGCATTGAAACATCACACTGTATCCCATAAATATGCACAATTATTATATGTCAGTTATAAATAAAAAGTAATTAAAAAGAAACTTTAGTCAAAGTATAAGAGTATAAGCAACTAAAAGTACTATAAGAAAAAATTAATGAATATTCTACAAGCATTTATACCATCCTCTCAGAGGCTTCGTTTTAAAATCACCAGTGAAAAAATATTTATAAAAGTCTTATAATTTTTTATACATTTATAAGAGAAAATATTTATACAAATCTTAGATTGATAATTAAATTAAACTCAATTTATTTTTACTGAGGGACTAAACCATGCAAGACATTTAGCCAAATGGCATAGGGGTCAGATTACATGGTGAATAAAAGCCACTTCTTGTCCTAGCATAAACTCTAGTAGATGGGATGAGGCAATTGTACAATGGCCATTTGAAAATTTGAATCTAAATAGGCGTCTTCCGAAAATAATTTAATTTAGTCTTTTATAATTTAATTTAATCTTTGTTTTTTAGCCTTGATATAGTCAATTAAAGTCTAGTCTGCTTTTAATTTGTTAATACTCAACATGCATTGCTAGAAGCAGTCGTTTGCTGTAGGACCCTGCATTTCTCATACGTAGTTTAATGGAGTTCCTTAAGTGGGTTGGTTTCTTTGGAAATTCTCTCTGCTACGGTCCTGCAATTTCTAATACAAAGATACTTCCATGGGGTTGTTCCCTGTTCTGTTTAAATCTGGATTCTCAGCAATGGGAGGAATGAATGGGATTCCTAGGAGTTGACTAAATGTGGAGATTTGAGAAACAAGTTTAATACCCCATCATGATCCAAGTCTCCTGAAGTCAGCATTTCTGGAGTAAGGTGTTTCTAAGAGAAGCAGATTATTATTTTTTAAAAATTTATTATTATATTTAATGAGACAACATCTTAGTATAGTCGCCCAGGCTGGAGTGCAGTGGCATGATTTTGGCTCACTGCAGTCTCAGCCTCTCGGGCTCAAGCAACACTCCCACCTCAGCCTCCTGAGCAGGTGGGACTATAGGCACACACTACCATGCCTGGCTAATTTTTGTATCTTTTGTAGAGACAACATTTCGCCTTGTTGCCCAGGATTGTCTCCAACTTCTGAGCTCAAGCAAGGTGCCTGCCTCAGCCTCTCAAAGTCTTGGTATTACAGGCGTGATCCCAACTGCAACTGTCCAGCAGATGCATTCTTATCACTTAAGTTGCTTGACCTAGAATTGCTCTCTGCCAGTATTGGTGGTACAATGAGTTGGAACAGAAGCCATTTTAGTGAATGACTGCAGTGAAAAAATGCAAGAAATGTGTGTTTAAGACAGAGACAGCAGGAGAAGAAGAATGACACAGAATAGGGGTGACTTTCCAGGCCAAAAGGGGTTGACTTGATGGAAAGTACAAGTCATTGCTAACCTCTTTTTATCTGTTTTATTGTCCTGATAAAGAGACAATATTTCTTTTCAGGAACATTTAACCTATTCTTTATTCTGTTGTTTCTTTTCCATATACTACCGCAGACCTGCAGTTTTTTCTCTTTGTACTGTATCCAAATGTACCTAGTTAGGGCGAGCTCTGCTAACCTGGTGCCTTTGCTTACCAGCCTCTTATTTTTCTTCCAAATTTCAGCTGAAGTGTCTGTCCCGAGGAGGCCTTCCTTCCCCCAGCATTTCCAGCTCTGGCTAAGCAAAGTGACTGTCCTTTGGGCTTTTATATTTTTACTATCATAAATTTGGAAATCTCTTTTTATTTTTATTTTTTTTGAGACAGAGTTTTGCTCTGTCGCCCAGGCTGGAGGGCAGTGGCACAGTCTCGGCTCACAGCAACCTCCGCCTCCCGGGTTCAAGTGATTCTCATACCTCTACCTCCTGGGTAGCTGGGATTACAGGCGTGTGCCACCATGCCCAGATAAAATTTTTTTGTATTTTTAGTAGAGTGGCGTTTCACTATGTCAACCAGTCTGGTCTTGAACTCCTGACCTCAAGTGATCTGTCTGCCTTGGCCTCCCAAAGTGCTGGGATTACAGGTGTGAGCCACGGCGCCCGGCCTGACCACCTCCTTTTGAAGTTGGTTATTCACAGGTCTGCTTTACACTGCGGGTCCCATGCAGGTAGGGACTTGGTGTATTTCTGTTTCGAAGACCCAATCTAGAGCCTGGCTCCGCTATTGTGTTTCGGATGGAACTGTTCTTTGTTTCCTTCGGGGGCATATTTGGCCTGTGCTTCCCCTAGGGTAGGTGGCCTTAAGGACAGCACTCCATCTCAGCCTCGGCAGCTCCGGCCACATGCCAACAGCTTCCTCACTCACCTCCTTCTGGCCCTAATCACGTGGAAACCAGCTGCATTGGGCCCCAGTCTCTTCTGCTGCCTCCCCCAACCCCCACACCCTTAATTTGTTCTGATTCTCAGCGATTGATCTGCTGAAGCAAGTGCTCCACCGATCCCCTGGTCTCCTAGAATTCTGTTTATCCTAGCTCAATGCTTTCGAGTGCAAAGGAATGATTTCCCTTCGAGGAACTGCTAGAAAGACTGCACTAGTAGTTTATGTTTTTTGAAAAAATGTTTTTGGCTAATATTTTTCTTTTTCCAAACTTCTCCTTTTCTCCCAAAGCTACATGCTGAATTTGAGAAAGTGTTGAATTTCATATTTAACCTACTTGGTTCCTGTGGAGGAAGCCTTTTTGATTTCTAATAAATAGCACATCACAAGATACAATGTCATTCCCATTTGTCCCCTTTTCACAAAGCAGCATCTAGGACACAAATGTTGAAAGCTGGGCCTCCAGATAAAGGAAAGCAATGCAGGGAGTTTTGGGATTAGAGGGAGAAAGCCCAAACCCAGTGTTTTCTTAAGCTTATTTTTTTAGTTGTATTTTTTTTTTTTTTTTTAAAGACAGAATCTCACTCTGTCATCCAGGCTGGAGGGCAGTGGTGCAATCTCAGCTCACTACAACCTGTACCTCCTGGGTTTAAGCGATTCTCCTGCCTCAGCCTCCTGAGTAGCTGGGATTACAGGTGCCTATCACGACTCCTGGCTGGTTTTTTGTATCTTTAGTAGAGATGGGTTTCACCATGTTGGCCAGGCTGGTCTCGAACTCCTGACCTCAGGCGATCCACCCTCTTCGGCCTCCCAAAGTGCTGGGATTATAGGCGTGAGCCACCACACCTGGCCTGATTTTTTTTTTTAAACTACCCTCTGAAGAAATTTATATTGCATTCAAATTCAGAGAAACTTTGACACTTATATCTCTGAATTAACAAGGAACCGGGAAGCTTCTCTCTCTCTCTCTCTCTCTCTCTCTTTTATAACCTTATCGGCTTGTATTCACTTTTCTTCTTCTGGACCAATATTTTAGTGCCTTTTTCCCCCCCTTGGGAAAATGTGCTTTTCATTTTAAGTATTTTATCTTTTTTGTTCAGTTTTTATACTTTTCTGATCATGCTCTCAATTTTCTTTTTGAAAATGTGGTCAACCTGACTTTTACCAAGAAACAGGCAGAATTTTTCTGCTTTTTGATTTTGTTTTTAGAAGAAATACAAATTTTACCTTTAAATTGCCTCCATAGTTTACACTGTATGCTTCTAAGACACTGCTTTTTAAAATTGGTTAGTTTTTTTTTTCTGATTACAAGTAAGTTGATTGTCACTGTAAAATTGTTGGAAAGTACAGAAAAATATAAAGAACAAATGATCTTAATTTTGCCATCATAATAATTTTAACATACCCTGTCATTTTCACTCTGTGTGCTCCTTCCTTTTGACACTGTAAAGACCTCTTCCAGTGATCTTTTTTCCCTAAGGATTACTGAGTTAAATTAACTCTCAGAACTTCCTGTTGCCCTAATGATGCCAACATCAGCATGTATTCTACCGTATACTTTTTGAAAGTGCAGGTCATTATTTGAGAAATTTGTATTAAAAGTGTGTTTTCCTTTAGGAAACTCCATATTAATCTTAAATTTCATAGATGCCAAGTATTGCCTAGTACAATCTTCTTGGAAATAGCAAGGCAGTACATCTAGGAAGTTGTTTGGATATTGGAATGTGCTAAGATTGTGTATAAGCAATTAAAATAAGTATGAAAATAGATCCCTTAATATAAGGAACTGGCCTCTTTGGGAACTGGCATGGTTTTATAGTGTGTCCAGCACTTCATTTGAGCTCATCTTCTTGCTGGTGGAGGTGCTGGAACAAGAATGAATGAAAGTCCAGGACACATTCTGAACCCTAGTTGGGCTGGGGTTCCTGGAGGATGCCAGAATTTGTCTTTAAAATAGAAAGAGCTTTGGACTAAATGGAGTGAAGGACTCTCAGAACAATCTGAGATTCTTATGTCTCCAAACATCCCAGGGAACCAAAAGTCTGGCCAAGAAGGTCTGGTCCCTCAGAGCCATGTGAACAGGATGAGGCCCCTACCTCTCCCAGGCTGATGAAATTCACCAGCAGCTCAGAACCCACAGACTGAAGAGTGCTCTGTACGTTCTCCTGCCCCATCCCTCATTTGCCAGCTACAGTAGCTGTTAGTTTGGGGCTGAGGATTTCTAGAGGCTCCAAGGGGGCTGGAACCCTTTTCGAGCTTTCCCAGGGCAGGTATCCCAGGTGATTTTGAAACAATGGTTAAGCTTCTGGATGTTCTCCACCTCCCAGTTACCCATTTCCTCAAAAAATAAGTTGTCACTCTTTAAGGATACTCTCAAAGGCTGGTGACAATGAAACCAGAAAAGGGGCTGGCTACAATTCCCAGATCATTTTTGTTTTGGTCTTAGGCAAACCACAATTCTCTCTCGTATTTGCTTCCATTCTCTTTCTTTAAGTGAGGGGGTTTCTTCTCATAGACTTCTGTTCAGTGGGACACTTGCCATCTTAGGCTGTTTTTAATATTACTAGAATAATTGGATTATTTATTTCCATTATTGCATAACAATAAATATGTAAATTTATCGAGTGTTTGCCAGATGTTAAGACACTGGTTTAAGGACTTTAAATGTATTAACTCATTAAAGCTTAGAATAATCCTATATGCTAGATAAGATTATTTACATTGTAAAGGAAACAGAAACACAAAGATATTAAGTAACTTGCCAAAGGACTACATGGCTGGTAAGTGACAGAAACAAGGCTTAAAATCCAAACTGTCTGATTGCAGAGCCCAGGTTCTAAACTCCTATATCTTATGCCTCCCCAATAGTACACGGTGTAAAGAATATTTTAAAAACCTTGATGAAATGCTTGGTTCACTTAACTTATTCTAGGAACTTTCCTCTAAAATAACATTTACTAAAAGGCTAGGTAAAAGATTTAGGAAAAATCAAAATTAAAAATTAGCCTTTTTCCCCCTTCTCATTCATCTAGTTTAAACTAAAACAAGACAATCTGGATTCCAAAATTCTGACATCTGGATGCCAAATTGGGGCACTCCTCCTTGAGGCTTTCAATAGTAAAGGAAACATATGGCCCACTCTTGGGTCCTTTGATGAGCAGAATTATGCTGCATAAGTTAATTGTTCAAAACAATGATCAGAAAAGACAGGTACAGAAGAGAGAGGCTTTTGAGATAAAATAAGATTTTAAAAAATATGTCACTAGAATCATAGCAGGAGCTTTTGAGAGCTTTTGCAGAGAATATATTGAATAACATTTGTGGAAATAATGATTCTGACTTCCAGATGTGAAAATAAATGGTTGCAAATAATGGAAAATTTATGTTGGGGTGTGAGTAGAGTATAAGATATCTGATCTAATGTATTTTAAAAACTTTTTCTTCTTTGACAAAAACACAGAACACATTTTAAGCCGCTTATATTTTCCTCATTAGCTATGGATTACAGCCACCAAGCAAGGGGTGAAAGCTGGAACATTCTTTTGGTCTGTGTAAGTTACCTTTATTTTGTCAATGTTTATAAAATGACAGCTATGATTCAATTTCTAAAACATCAATTTAAGTTTTATTTTGTTTCAGTTAAATGTGAAAATATAGAACTTTTGAATATTTACTAAATCAAAATAACCTTCCAGGTGTTTTTTTCCTGAGATCCTCCCTCTGTGCCTCATCCTACCTTCTTTTTGTCCTCCAGCTCTCCTTTTTTCCATCCTGTCTCTCTCTATTTTTTTTTTTTTTGAGATGGAGTCTTGCCCTGTCACCCAGGCTAGAGTGCAGTGGCGCAATCTTGGCTCACTGCAACCTCTGCCTCCCGGGTTCAAGTGATTCTCCTGCCTCAGCCTCCCAAGTGGCTGGAATTACAGGCACCTGCTACCACTCCCGGCTAATTTTTTGTATCTTTAGTAGAGACAGGGTTTCACCACGTTTGCGAGGCTGGTCTCAAACTCCTGACCTTGTGATCCTCCCGCCTCTGTCTCCCAAAGTGCTGGGATTACAGGCATGAGCCACCGTGCCCAGCCCCATCCTCTCAACAGAATGTAAGATGGTCTCTCCTCCTTCCGGATGTCCTTTAGATTTTTCTATTCCTGTTTGTAGGTTTTTGGTAACTTGCCATCTAGGACATGTATATTTCTCTTAGACTATTTATGGCAGTGGCTGTCGTTATCATTTTCTATAAATATATGACAACATATTATATTTATTTTGGTTCACAACTTAAAAATATCTAGATGGTCTCAGGCCTCTGGGGAGCCGAAGGAGTCGTCTAGAGATTGAAAGTTCCAGACAGGAGACCAAGGGGAAGCCTCTATTTTCACCTCATTTTCCCACTGAACTCCAGGATTTTTCTAATAAGAAAGTGGGGCTCCTTCCCATCCCTAAAGAAGTGATGGGGGGATAAGCAGTTAATGTTCATAAGCCTTAAGATGAATCTTACCTAATAAAAGTATCAACATGTTGATGATTTTTAAGGTTCCTTAGTAAGAAAAGGAATCTGTTTCAACTTTCACGGGGATTTTGTTCCCACTGAGATGTTCTTTCCATCTTTTTTTTTTTTTTAAACCACCTAAAGCTGTTTCTGTATTTGCCTGTATGCCTAACAAAAATCTGACTATTCTATAATAGCAGTGTGCTGAGAGCTACTGCAGGCTCAAATTAATCCAGAACGGTACTGTCTATACTCTCTAAAATCAGAAATAAAAGTAGCTTTTTCAGATTTGAAGGGCTAAATTGAAATTGGGTTTGGTGATTTGAATCTAGCACACACTGTCCCTTTAAGAGATTTCTTTCTTTCTTTTTTTTTTTTTTAAAGAGGTTTCTGAGCTGAGAAGTAAGTGTAGGTAGGTTGGAAATGATACTGCTTAATATAAACAGCATGTTGATTTACCAGTGTTATCCTATGTGTGACATTTCTTTAACTCTTGACTGTCATAGACGCTCATAGAAGTATTTTCTTCTGTTCTGTAACATATTTGCCTGGCAGAATGGAGAGGAGCCAACAACATAATTAATACTGAGTCCCCACCTTTGCCCCCCTGAAACTGCTGCAAAGCCTCATTGAAAAGGCCCAGTGTTCTGGTTTTGAATGGCAATTTTCTCCACCCATTTGAAATCACTTATAAGAAGGTGGCTTTTGTATGCTCCAAAGATGTCTGTAGCTTTCATTTGCTTCTCAGACTATTATTTTAACTCTGTATCCTGAAAGTGACTTGGATTCATTTTTTCCCCTTTTTTTTGAAGTATTTTACAACTTTAAAAAAATAGGATCACACTTTCAGTTAGTTAAGAGAATATATACGTCAAGGAAATCTACACAGTGTATATTCTGAAAACTTAAAAAAATTTAGAACCTGATTCAAACCATAGACTTAGACTTTGAAGGCCATCTTTTTAACATGGTTCCGTACTGCAACCTAGAATTATTCTTGCCTTTTAAATGATAGTATTTCATTCTGAAATAATCTTCGGCTGATGCTCCATTCTTTTGTGCCAATTCATGTTCAAAGACAGTAATTCCCATTATGTATGATTGTTCACGTTGATTCTCATCCCAGCTTGGCTGCTTATTAGATTGGTGACCTTGGACTAGTGATTTAATCTCTCAACAAATCCATGTCCTCATCTTCAAATAAAAATTACAGTATCTTCGGCTGGGTATGGTGGCTCACGCCTGTAATCCCAGCACTTTGGGGGCTGAGGTGGGCAGATCACCTGAGGTCAGGAGTTCGAGACCAGCCTATTCAACATGGAGAACCCTCGTCTCTCCTAAAAAAAAAAAAATACAAAATTAGCTGGGCATGGGGACACATGTCTGTAATCCCAGCTACCTGGGAGGCTGAGGCAGGAGAATGGCTTGAACCTGGGAGGCAGAGGTTTCGGTGAGCTGAGATCATGCCATTGCACTCCAACCTGGGCAACAAGAGTGAAACTCTGTCTCAAAAAAAAAAATACACACACACACACACACACACACACACACACACATATATGGTATCTTCATCATGGGATGTTGCAAAGATGCAATGAGCTAACATATTTAAAATGCTTATGGCCGGGCCTGGGGGCTCATGCCTGTAGTCTCAGCACTTTGGAAGGCAGGTGGATCGCTTGAGCACAGGAGTTTGAGACCAAGCTGGGCAACATGGCAAAACCCCATCTCTCCAAAATATACGAAAATTAGCCAGGCATGGTGGCACGTGCCTATAGTCCCAGCTACTTGGGAGACTGAGGTGGGAGGATCACCAAGCCCGAGGAGTTTGAGGCTGCAGTGAGCTGAGATGGCACCACTGCACCCCAGCCTGGGCAACAGAGTGAGACCCTGTCTCAAAAATAAAATAAAATAGGCCGGGTGCAGTGGCTCAAGCCTGTAATCCCAGCACTTTGGGAGGCCAAGGTGGGTGGATCACAAGGTCAGGAGATGGAGAACATCCTGGCTAACACGGTGAAACCCCCTCTCTACTAAAAATACAAAAAATTAGCCAGGCGTGGTGGTGGGCGCCTGTAATCCCAGCTACTCAGGAGGCTGAGGCAGGAGAATGGTGTGAACCCAGGAGGCGGAGCTTGCAGTGAGCCGAGACCATGCCACTGCACTCTAGCCTGGGAGACAGAGCAAGACTCCATCTCAAAAAATAAAAAATAAAATAAAATAAAACAACATAAAATGCTTATTAGGGTATTTGGTACACAGAGAACAACTAATAAATGGTATTTGTTTTCTTATTCACATTCTCTCTTTCAACATTGACTAGACAAGGGCTATATATGACTTAAGATAATTTGCTCTCCTTTACTAGTAAATACTTAACTTAGTCTTTTTTTTTTTTTTTTGACCATTTCTAATATACTTGGTCTCATGACAAATTCTGCATCAATCAGTGGTGGTGAAGACAGCAACATGTACCCCATTTCTTTTTTTGCTCTTTCTTGGTCAGATTTATTTGTGCTGTCTGCGCATTGTATTTGAATATTTGAAATGCTAATGGCTAAGGGCCATGTCCTTTTGGTCTCTGAGGTTATTTCATAAAGATAATCTAGAACTCCTAGGAAACAGAGACAACCTTGCCCAACTCCTCATTTAAGAGATTAGAGGCTGGGTGTGGTGGCTCATGCCTGTAATCCCAGCACTTTGGGAGGCTGAAGCGGGTGGATCACTTGAGGTCAGGAGTTCAAAACCAGCCTGGCCAACATGGTGAAACCCCGTCTCTACTAAAAATACAAAAATTAGCCAGGCGTGGTGGCAGGCACCTTTAATCCCAGCTACTTGGGAGGCTGAGGCAGGAGAATAGCTTGAACCGGGGAGGTGGAGGTTGCAGTGAGCCGAGATTGTGTCACTGCACTCCAGCCTAGGCGACAGAGCAAGACTCCATCTCAACAACAACAACCAAAAAAAAAAAAAAAAAAAAGAGAGAGATTGAGAGGTTAGAACACTAAGGCCTAGAGAGGTTAAATGTTGCACCTAAGGTCAGAGGTAGGATGGCTACTCAGACCTCCAGCGTCCTCATCTTATTCTCAACACAAACACAATCAGCCCCTGCCCAGAAAAGAATTATCACTTGCTTATCTTTCCCCCAAGAAAATGACGACCCCTCCATAATAGTCTTTTTGGTAGGAATATCTTTATTTACGTTTACACAAATGCCTTAAACCCAATATGCCCTTAACAAATATTTTGTGAATGAATATATCATCTCTGCAGACCTATACATTTAGTATATAACAATAAAAGCTAACATTTTTCTAAACCCTTTCTATGTGCCCAGCACTATTCTAAATGCTTTTCACTATTCTAAATGTATTCTCTTTTCACCTTTACTACAACTTTATGAGATAGGTACTATTATATTGTCCTCGTTTTCCAGAGGCATCAAAAGTTTAGATAACTTGCCAAGTCTTATCACCAGCATTTGTTGGAGTCAGGATACAAACCCAAGCACTCTGGCCTCATAGCTGGCACTTTTAATTCCCCGTCTACCATTGTTCAAGTACCCCATCCAACGAGGGCATTCAGGGGTGAGCATTCTGAGCTTGACACAGATTCTGTTAGTTTGTATTTTTCCATTAGTATTGAAAGTGGGTTCATTAGGGCCCGTTTCTGTGGCTTAACACCAATTACGTAAAATAAAGCAGCTTTTAGGCAGGTAGTGAAATAAAGTATAATGAAAAGGCTCTGGCATTCACTTTTTTTTTTTAAACAGGAAAGAATTCAAAGTATGCAATTATTTTGCTCAGATACAAAGGATTTCTAAAGCTGAAGAATTAAATTCCTTAAGTGATTAACCTGGCTTTGCTCTGCCTATTTCTAATTCAATTATAGGATATAGTGATCAGGGTCGCATTTATCCAATAGCATTGGAATATGTTTAAATTTGGACTCATTTTATGGCACACATGATTTTCTGGTCTTGTGTGATAGTTCCAGAAAGAGAGGGTGCCTGGGGAATGACAAATCCCTGTGAGCTGGATGGTGATGGGGGAGGAAGAGAAACCACTTGATGAGAGCCCCGGCTTGAGGATTTATCCTTCTCCCAGCTCTCTCACTGCTCATGTCCACTGAGAGTAAAAGTTTAAATGGCTCACCAATGTTCCACAATAATTTTTCCTGACCACATTTAAACTTGTGCTTTAGTTTGAATTCATCATGAACATGCCTCTAATGCCTGGTCTTGGATCGGGGAGTGAAAATGCATTTTGTGCTCCCTGTTGGGAAAGAGTGGGTGAATTTCCCCTGACTAAAGATATCACTCAGCTTGTGAGCATCTGAATGTAACTCAGCCGGGGATGCAATACTGTCATGTTAGCTGTGAGGCCTTAGAGCCCTTAAAGCTAGTGCCAGACTTAGGGTAATTATATTTCAACAGAGGAAAGAGACTTAAACACAAAAGTTATTGTGGATGAAGATTATACCCTTTTTGTCAGTCTCTTAATTATATGTGCCTATTCTTTTTTTTTTTTTTTTTTGAGACAGAGTTTCACTCTTGTTGCCCAGGCTGTAGTGTAATGCTGTAATCTTGGCTCACTGCAACCTCTGCCTCCTGGATTCAAGCGATTCTCTTGCCTCAGCCTCCCAAGTAGCTGGGATTACAGGCATGTGCCACCATGCCTGGCTAATTTTGTATTTTTAGTAGTGACGGGGTTTTGCCATGCTGGTCAGGCTGGTCTCGAACTCCTGACCTCAGGTGATCTGCCTGCCTCGGCTTCCCAAAATGCTGGGATTATAGGCATGAGCCACTGCACCTGGCCTATTCTTGGTAGATTTTTACAGGGCTGGAAGAAAATGGCAAGAATACCTTCCCTAACCCATTATTTTATAGAGGAGGAACTTAAAGTTTCAGGTTAGGTAGTGTTTCTAAAGTCATACCATTATTTAGAGGCAGAATGATAACGCATTATGATCATTAATAAAAATATGTTTTTAAAGAACTTACTGTGTCTTACGCACTGGACATGCCCTTTCCTTGTCTTGTCTCATTTCATCCTTACAACCAAGCTGTACAGTGTTCTTTGCTGTTAGCTTTATCTTACCGATGAGTAAACTGAGACCGAGTGGTCAAGAGAGGTCACACCGCCAGCAAGAGGCGGATTGGGGATGTAAGTACTGATCCCTTTATGGCCACAGCTAAAGGCTCGACAGAATAAATGACAATGATTCTGAAACCAGGGTCCTTTCTGCTTGTAGTGGAGTTTCTGATTAGCAAGACAGGTTCCTCATTCTGACTGTGAATCAGAGTTTCCAGTGTAGTCTTCTGTGGAAGAGGTTGAGCAACGTAATATGTTGCAAATGGAAATAGTAGTTTAAACGCTAATTCGAAAGAGGGCCTTTTACTACAAATGAAGTGAAAACAGATGGTGGTAAATAGAGAGCATTTGGCCTGGGTGCAAGAGCGAGCACTCCTCAGGCTTGAGTTTGCGGAAATGAAACCTAACAACATGCTTTGCTTGCTTTTACCCTCCAGTGTCATCCCTCACGAGCGGAGAATATTAACCATATTGCAGTGGCTCACCCTGCCAGATCATGAGAGGTATTTATTTCTCTCTTTCTTCTTTCTTCAGTACATTTCTATCTTAGTTTAGAATTGCGTGAAACACTAGACTGTGGAATAGAAGCACAGCCAATGTTTGGAATTAAAAGTTTTGTGGTTCTTAGCCTTAAGTGTTACTTCCCTAAGAAGGATACAATAGACTTTGGTTATTGGGACCATTTAATTACTTGGATTACTGCAGCTATTAATTCTGTCCACTACAGCAGAGCCGAAGGGAGTTTCTGGCTTTGATAAATGAACCAGCAGCATCCCAAGGATTGCAGAAGTATAAAGAGAGACGCTTCTCTGTAATGCAGTTAGTTGTTGTTTCAGGCTGCAGATTGCACGGCCCATGTGAATTACCGCCAGGCTCTGTTATCTTGAGGGTCAAGGATCCGAGTACAGGTTCAAGTTTTCCTTTGTGACTTTTGATTCCTGAAGGTGGTTCCAGACAGTTACTACAGATGGGGTGGTGGTCACAGAAGCAACAGAAAAAAAAAAAAGTTTTTCATGCTAACATGAATAGTAGTTAAAGGATAAATTAAACTTGAGAACATTTTTTTTTAAATGCGTTTTTTAAAAATATGTGATATTTTTTGTTACATGTGGTTTAGGAGAGATTCTGAACCTTCCAATTTTCTTATAGGCCTTCGGTCTATGCCTTCTATTCTGAGCAACCTGATTTCTCTGGACACAAATATGGCCCTTTCGGCCCTGAGGTTAGTGGTTTAGCATCTGCCTGAGAAGAATCTGTGGCCCTGGGCTACCTGATCTACTGACTTTATTTCAGGAATTGTATAAAGTCTGGATGGATGTTTGTATCTACAAGGTTTATGCAAAGTCAAATAACTACAAGACTAAAAATTTTTTAAAAAATCTTAAAACGACCTGTTTCTGTTACAGGAGCTTCATTTCAGATTGATTTGATATTTAAATAATAATATATCCTAAACTTGATGTTAACAGGAGATGGGGTGTATTCTAGCCTTGTGGGCGTCAGTTGGAGGGTGAATAATTCGGAAGAGTTGGCATTTGCCTTCAATGGGCTAGGCATGGAAAAAAATCTTGAGATGAAACCTGCAATGCAAAACATTGTAAATGAATTTCAGCACCCTTGAAATGATTAGGCAGTTTAGAGAGGGTAGATCAGCTAAGCAGCTCCAATAACCTTGGCAGATATAATACAATCAACTTGGCATAAGTTATAGTAATGGACCCTTTTGAATTTAATACATTTTGGCATAGGTATATATACTGTGAAATTGTCACCACATTCAAGATATGAACATAGTCATCACCCCCCCAAAGTAACATAAATTCTTGAGAAAAATATACCACTGAATGAATCTGCTTAGCAGAGCAGGCTGACTTTTTTTTTTTTTTTTTTTTTGAGACAGAGTCTTGCTCCGTCACCTAGGCTGGAGTGCAGTGGTGTGATCTTGGCTCACTGCAACCTCCACCTCCCAGGTTCAAGTGATTCTCCTGTCTCAGCCTCCCGAGTAGCTGGGATTACAGGCGTGCACCACCATGCTCGGCTAATTTTTGTATTTTTAGTAGGGACAGGCTTCCGCCATGTTGTGCCAGGCTGGTCTCTAACTCCTGACCTCAGGTGATCCACCAGCCTTGGCCTCCCAAAGTGCTGGGATTGCAGGCGTGAGCCACCACACCCAGCTGAGGGTGACATATTTTTATCAAACACTCAGCCATCATTGTGGAAGACAATCTGTGAGGTAGTATCCAGTATAATTTCAAATTCAGAAGGTGGGAAAGGAATGGTTAGAAATGTTCCCACATTTTCAGCATAGATAGTAAAAAATATGATGGAGTTTGCAAATCTAACCTTTTAAATATTTTTAAATATTTAAGTAGCCTAGTAACCCATAGGACACTGCTGACTATAATTAAGTTCATTGTTTTCAGATGAATTAGAAATACAGGTAAACATATCTTGGTTTAAACATACTTGGTTAAACATACTTGGTTTAAGTATTTTTGACAATACTTAAGTTTTTTGACAATACTTAAGTATTTTGACAATACTTGCAGCATGTGACCAAGGAGTCATAAGTGTTTCTGAATGCTTTGACATCAATTCAGAGGTGATTTATTTAAGCACTAGTAACTAATAGCTACGTAAAACCACTCTTAGTCTTAAATCACTGAAGTTATATAAGTCAGATGCTCTTTTTCTGTCCCTTTGAAGTTTAACCCGTCTTGTATGATTGTGAAACACAAATGATAAAATGAGATAAACATCTGCATACATGATGCCAGTAAAGAACACCAAAGCAAGAATGGCTGTTTTATTTTTAGATTGACTTTCTTTGAGATTAACCTAAAGGGAACAAAAGGAACCACATTTTATCAAAATGTTCACAAAACAAAACAAAACACCTAAGCAGTTCCATGTTCCCTACTTAAAAGTTTGACTTCTTGGGTAATAGCATCCCCTCAAAGAACCTGTGGGGTAGGCAAAACGGATTGGTATAGCCATCCTTTTAAAAGTAGGACTCCGGTACTTTCGCTTGGCTGCTAAGGGGAGAACCTGAAGATAGCACTACAGAACTTTTGACTCCCAGAGCACACTCCCTTCCATGGAACCATTTAACCCTCCTGCAGTCCAGGAGATAAGCAAAGTGGTCAGTTAATAACTATGTTCAAATTATACAGAACATTTTCTTTATGGCAAAAGTTTGGCTTTTAATAATACAGATGAGGTATAACTCAAACCTTAAAAGTTATATGGCTTAATGATAAATGTTCTTAATCAATAAACATCTTTGGGTTTCTAATATGTGTAGTTCAGTTACAATTAAATGCATGAAAGTATATGTTTGTGTGAATTAAGAAACAAATAAGTTTTTTTGAAAGTACTGAGTAGGGAATAAATGAAGCGGCATACAGGATGCTTTAATTTGCTATAATAATTTTTCTATGCCCAGGGTTGCTCACAAATATATAAACAGAGATTTTTCCTATAGTACCTTTGAATTAAGAGTTGAAAGTATTCATGTTATGTTTTTTTCAGTATTACTACTTCTTGCAGCTAGGGTATTTTCATATGCCTACTGGATAAACTCTTAATTGGGTATCTTGGAGTATATCTTCAGTAATGGTAATCTGATAACCTGGTCATTTTCTTCTCATAAGGCAAAGGATATTTTCAGATTTCAATTATTTCTCATCTGGTTCTAGGAATCTTATTTTAACTGAATGAAAAACAAAATAGTTTATGCTTTTAAAACATGAAACCAAAGCAAGTCAGCAAAAATTCTCTTCTATTGTAGGCTAATTGGTTTATACACCTGTGTATCCTATATGCCTACCTATATATCATCATTTACACTTATTATACATGAAAAGATTATAACATACTAGTTGAAAGATTATTTTAAAATCAGTAACGTATCTTTTACATATAAGAAAATAACCTATATTTGAAATTTCATTGAAATGATTTTAACTACCAAAATGCTATATGCTACAATAAGATGAATTCAGTTGAAATTTGTGCTTTATTTGCTAAATATTTGAGTCCACATTTTTTCAGAATGATTCTCAAAAGCTATTAAATGAGATGACCAAACATTGAGTTAATAGTTCAAGAAATGGTGTATTGCTCCTGGTTTCAGAGTGTAATGGTGAATGTTCAAAAATATGCTTGCTTTTGATTATTGGCGCAATCTTTTTCTTTTTGACCTTCTATGCTTTTTCTGTGACCCCTTGTTCGGCTGCTCTTCCGGGCCTACAGGCAGAGCTTTGGCTGGCTAGTCTCTACCTTCAGATGGCAAAGTATCCTGAAATGCAGGGAAATTTGCACCTCTACCTCCCATCCTCTTAATAACCTCAGGCTAAAATTTCTAAATTCAGGCTAAAGTATGGCTGGTCAGTGAAAACTTAGCTTTCATGTACCTCTAACATTTGAAGAAGGAAATACATGCGATATAATCACTGGATGAAAACCCAGTTTGACTAAACCCTACTCTTCTGCTCCTCTAACCTGCTGCAATTGGAAGGGCTCATCTTTGGAGTCTTTGGAATGTTGAGGTCTCTTGCAAATGGCATAGAGTTTGATGGGCCGACTTGAGCGCTAGCAGAATGTATTCAGTGACCATGAAACGGAAAATCCTCTTTTCCTTTTGCTGCTTTTCTTATGGAGATTTGCCTAAAACTAGGAGCATTAAAAAACAAACAAACAAAACCAAAGTCTTTGGGGCTGTGTCTTTTGATTGCTTTGGTGGAGAGAGAGGATGAGACAGAAACAGAAGTGCCTTTGCCATGGCTTGCCCTGGAAACAGTGAAATCGCATGGCAGATGTTCCCCTTCTTGGATACACTAACATTGTTCCTCCTCCCGCCCCTTCCTGCATCTGAATGGCTCTCAAGACATTCCCCCCACCCACCCTCCGAGAGAAGTCAGTGAGGTAGACAGCAAGGCTTGCTGCTTTAATTCACCTTTGCACCATCAGCAAATCAGGGGCCTGTTTTTCCTCCAGCATTTGGAAATCCCAAAAGGTTATCTTCAGTTTATGTGTCAACTTCACTGCTCTCTGGATTTTCAAAACAAAACCCATAGCATGCAACGCCCCTTAAAAGCAGGTTTCTGATAGCAAGAGCATAAGGAGACTCTTTCTTGGTCTGTATATACCAAGACAAAAAAGAGATGACTTTTTGATGACTTTTTAGATTTTACCTAATTTTAAAAGGACTTTAACTTAGAGTTCCTCTGTACTGAAAACCTTAATTGTCAGTGAGTTCTCTCTCCTGCTGAAAGTCCTGATTTGTGGGAGTACGTTTATGATTAAGGAGGATTACTTATTATTTATGTTTCATTCCGTCCTTGGTTTTAAAATTTTTCACTGGATCCTTGCCAATGAAGGTGACAGTTGCTTTGACATAGTTGCTGACGTGAACAGAAAGATAACTGTCAGATTCTGAATTGGAATCACTTACATGAACCTCATTGTCCTCTTGAAATGACCAAGTGGCTAGTATTTAGCCTACTTTTCAGTTAGTTCTTTATAAATGGAGAGCTTTTCATAACCAAAGACCAGTCTCTCCCTAATGCAGGAGTTATGGAATACAGAGCTTGTCTAATGCCACCTTCCCATACATCCATAAATATCAGCCAAAAGAAACCCACATGACTAGATTTTCTTAAATTGGATTCTTGTTCTCAGCGAAGAAGCTGTGACAACAGTATCAACATCAATTTAGGAGGCTTCTCTCCATAGAGTTCCTCTAATCATCCATCCCTCATTCCAATTTTTTCTCACTTAAGGAGCCTTAGTTATTCTGAGACTCTGCTGATCCCAGATGGGAAAGTGTAAGCTTTATATCTGACTCAGAGGGACAGACGACTTCTGAGTCCAGACATCTCTATCCGCCAGTACAGGAGAGTAGTTATGGCTCACCTTTTACTCCGGCTAAGAGACCTAAGAGGAAAGTTGCCCCTAAGAGGAGACAGGAAAGACCAGTTGCTCCTCCAAAGAAAAGAAGAAGAAAAATACATAGGATGGATCATTATGCTGCGGAAACTCGTCAGGACAAAGTAAGTTTATCTATTGTTCCAAAGCTTTGTGGCGGGCAGGTCTGAGTTGAAGGTTGCCTTCAGTGCCTTGGTTGGAAAATCGGCTGAGCAAGTTTTAGAAAAACTCTGGTGCATTGACCTTGGCTTTGAGTCCAGAAGAATGTGGTACTTCAGAGGTTAACACTGATGTGAAGACTGCCTGAACTCAACATGACAGGAAAAAAAGAAGTCTTTTCCTTTTTTTAAGAGTTAGTTGCCCTAAAACTAGTATTAACATTTAGGCTGGAGTGACTATTAAGAGTGCACTTATTCACAGAATCAGTCACATGGTTTGTGGCCCTGGTTCTTGAGAACAACCCTGCAAGGTAAAAGGAGGTATTCTCAAAGACAATGTGGATTAGAACTCAATAGGAAGTTGGCTTAGATTAGGGGTCTGTACCTTCAGAGATCAGAAAAGGTGTAGGTTATAGAGAAGGAAATAGCTAAGACAGAAAGAAAGAGAAAATAATGGGCGGATAGAGTTGTATGTAATTTCCACAAGTAATGTCTACTCTTCCCAGTATGTTCAGAAGAGCCTATCGGTTGTTGCTTTTCCTAAAACCTTTGAATACCTCTGAGGCAGTATCTTATTTGTGATCCTCTGAACTGATCCCTAAGAAGTAGGTTCTGGATTTTACCTGAGTCATCCTGCTGAGTAAAGGAAAATAAGTCATTGCCAAAGATCAAAACACATTGTTCATTTGGTATTTCTTTACCTAGACAGAGATCTTGGAGCAGAGCATGATTTTCTCAGAAGCAAATACCACTTTGTTCCACACCCGTTAGTCCCTTCCGATTATTCTGCACATGTCTTTCTGAAACTTTCAACTGTGGCTTCCTCCTTGGGATAGGACTTGAAATACTGACTCCCGTCATGAAGAAAAAAACAAAAGTTTACACCTGATTTCCCAATGAAATAACAGGAGGAAAGGTCTTGATTCATCTGAGAAGATGCTAGTGGAAGATAATATTATGTGTCCGAGTAAAAATGATATTCACATCCTTTCTGTTCTTATCTTAATCATCTTGGGTATATTTATGTGATTGTTAGCTAAGCTATAAAATTCATCTAAATATACTCCCTGTATCTTTCTATTCTTTGTCTGATCAGATGTTTCTTAAAAATCTTTCCATTGCACAGCTAAAGATGAAAGGGGGATGGAGAGCCTCTAGTATGTGAGGACATTCATGCTGTTAGAAACTTCCATTTGAAGTAAGAAAATGAGATATGGGTAATGTTTTTTAGGCTTTGGAAATGGTCTTCAGAAAAGAATTGAGTTTTCATATTTTGTTAAAGAAGAAACCTTCTAGAACAAACTCATGGTTCACTTCTTTTTAAGTTAGGACTCTTATAGATTCTTGTTTCACTCAAAATCAGCTTTAAAAGAACTAAAGTGAGAAGCAATAACTTGTTTCTTAGAATAGGTTCTTCTGTTAAGAATCTATTGCTTTCAGATGCCAACAGTTAAATTACTTAGAACAAGATGGATCTCATTGTATTAATGATATTCTAATTTATTATCCAGTGCAACGTTGTGATTTTAACCTCAGAACAGCTTTGAATTCACTTAGCGTCTATCTTCTTGCCATAGTTCAAAATCTAATGTGATTTCACTTAGGGACTTTCTGTTTACTCTCAAAACTCTTGGATTTAAAGGATGCTGTCACATATTAGAAAGTCGATTTTCTCTCTTAAAGAATTTTCATTAACAATATTTTTGACATTTTTATATCAAAGAATCTTTAAAGGGATTGGATGAGGAGAGGTTTTAATTCTGTCAAAAGAATACAAATATAACGTGCTTAGACCAGATTTCATTAAGAATGGCAGGCAAATCTCCCCAGACAAAGCTCTGCCTCTGGGCCGGAAGTTTTCTTTCCAAAATGTTCTAGGGGTAGAAGATCTATGAGAGACTGAAAGGGAAAGAAAGAAAACCCTGTGGGGACTAACTTGCTTCTTTTTCCTAGATGACAAATCCTCTGAGGGAAATCGACAAAATTGTGGGGCAATTAATGGATGGACTGAAACAACTAAAACTGCATCGGTGTGTCAACGTCATCTTTGTCGGAGACCATGGTAAAGCTTTGTTTTTTCTTTGCTAATAGGATAGATGGATAATGTTTCTGATCATATTGAGGAAAAGAATCCTTGCCCTTAGAAGCCAAGACTCCATTCTTAACCTCATCCCCGCTTTCTTTAAGATGGGGATAGAAATCAGGCCATGATTGAAAAGTATGAGATGACCTGAGAGATCCCTGGGTTCATTTTGATCAAAAGCTGGGACTTCTTATATATTTCTGTTATTTGCAGGAAAGACCTTTCTACAAAAATCTGTCTCTCTTTAAAGCAACACAGACAGTTTCCTTGTGACATTAATAGCTTCTTCTGTGAATGTGACATATCAGGTGATAATCTCCTATCCCTGCCAGCCACATCCCCAAAACGAGCCCATGGAGTTTATATGGTTAAAAAATACATCTAAATATGATAAAGAAGCAGAGATATGGGATTCTTGTCAAAGAAGTGGCGTGTAAGTCAAATCATTTCCCCGAATCCACTGAGGGAAGTCAAGGTCCAAACCGGAAGGCCCTGCTGTAATTCAGATGACTGTTAAAGAGAGGAAGAAGCATTATAGGAAGTAGTTTTTCTAAATCCCACTTTATGAAGTAGAAAAATTTATGATCAATTCTTTGAGGAGATCAAGAGCATCATAAACATTATATGACTGTAGAGCTGTGCAGGGGGTGGGGGCTCAGAGACATGCAGACTGAGTTCTAAAGGGTATCTCCTGTATTCCGGAACTATTAGATTGAAACAGTAGCATTGGAATTTGGGGCTTCTCCCTTCTAGTGGAGTTCGGAGGATGAAAATTGGCTGACTCTTTGGCAGTTCTGTTAAGAATGGTAGGCAAATCTCCCTAGCTCTGGTCCTGAAGGTCTTTCCAGAATGTCCTAGAAGATCTATGAGAAATTAGAAAAAAAAAAAAAAAAAAAAAAAAAAAAGCCAAAGGGATTAGCTTTCTCCTCTTGAGTGGGCTAGATATAACCCTTTGCGAAGTCATGCTCCATGCATTCGGCTTAGTGGAGAGCTACACACAGGTCAGAGAAGTTGGAGCATGTGTCACAGCTGATTCAATTTAAGTTGCCCAGAGGTGTCAAGAGCATTTGCTCACATGCTGGAGCCAGACATCTAAGTAGAAGGGTCCCAATGATATGTGCTGAGGCATTGTAAAGGTCATGGATAGGTTAAAACCTTGGCTTGTCAGTGTGTAGGCTTCCAAGATGAGTAGATCCATTTGGTTTGGGACAACTACAGCACTTCTTCTTCTTCTTTTTTTTTTTTTTTTTTTTTTTTGAGGTGGAGTTTCACTCTCATCGCCCAAGATGGAATGCAATGGTGCAATCTTGGCTCACTGCAACCTCCACCTCCCGGGTTCAAGTGATTCTCCTGCCTCAGCCTCCTGAGTAGCTGGGATTACAGGCACCTGCCACCAGGCCCGGCTAAATTTTGTATTTTTAGTAGACATGGGCTTTCACCATGTTGGCCAGGCCGGTCTCGAAGTCCTGGCCTCAGGTGATCTGCCTGCCTTGGCCTCCCAAAGTGTACAGCACCTCTCTCTTAAAAGATGGTATGGTTTAGTGTTTTAGGGCATGGTCTTTGGAGTCATAATGAATTTTAGTGGAGTTCAAATTGCACTGTGTCATTTAACAGCTATCTGACACTATACACCTTTTGTGGCAAGTCTCAGTTTCCTCATCTGTCAGGTGAGAACATTAACACCCCTCCACAAAGTTAGTCTGCAGAGTGAAGGCTGATGACGCTTGAGGAGCACTTAGCATAGTGCCTGATGGACTTCAAAAGTAAAGGAGATTGCTCACATTTGGGGTGGCATAAGGGACTTCCTAGAAATATAACAAATGGGAAAGACTTTCAGCCCTCTATTAATAGGTATTTGGGGACTTTCCCTTCCCACGCTAACATTGTACTAAAACATAGTAGCTCTTCATTGCTCTATTTTTCTTCCTAAGGGTTTAACTGTTAAAGTGCAAGATATATAATCCTTATGCTGTGTGTTTTTTCTTGCATTTCATTCCAATTTGTATTAAACAAGGGAAGGTTCTGGATCTGGGATCCTAGGAGGTGATTAGTTAAATTTTACCAGATCTGGGGTACTCTGGGTTGTATTTCCTTATTTTAAAACCTTTGGGCATCCTTTACAGGATATAAATATATGAGTATTCTCCAACAGGGTTATTTTCCCTGTTAGAGAATATGTACATACTGAATTGTACTGAGCAATATATTAAAACGTTCCAGGTCATCTCATACATTTCAATAAGATCTCTAGTAGCCTCCATAGTCTATGATGCTAAGATTTGAGTTTACAACAATGTTTTAAATAAAAGCATTTTAATAAAAGAATTTTCCTTGATGGGGACACACAACAAATCTTGGGGTGGAGGAGAAATATTTGTTGTTTAAAAAAATTCCCTACCTAGAACCTTCTTGCTTTAGTTGCTAGCTTTCAGTTCTGACTAATTACATTGTTTACAACTTGTTTTCAGTGTTATTTTGTTTTTCAGTTTGGGTGGTCATTGGAACTGACATTTTTCTTTCTCATCTCTTGTTGCCAGTATTGTTTTGTCAGTAACATCCAAGGCCACCAGTGGAGACAGTGAGGACTGGTGATTATGTACTCAAGACAGGAGATATATTAGAGAGTTGGAAAATGACATTTTGTAAAAGAGACACAGAACTGTATATTCCATTTATACCACCCCCAGCTGGGAAGAGTTTGATGCAACCTAGGGTTTTTTTTTTTTTTTTTTTTTAAAGAATAGATCTTTTTCATAAAGACTCTGTCAATAGTTATGTTTGTTGTTGTTGTTGTTTAAATCATGGTGACTTCCTTTGTCTTGCTATTCTGGCTGAGTGACTTAAAATGTAATCGAGGTAATGCACTTTCAACCTTCTAGTGCTTGCAAGATGATATGGCTAAGTAAAAGTCTAGAGAAAAGATTATACAGAGAAGCCTTAAACCATTTAAAGTCAAATACAAAAATCTCAAAAGTCAGGGCTCTTCCCATTAAGTTACTAAAAACTAACTAAAGAGATGCCTGGATGTTATCTTTCGTGTCTATGTTAAGATTTTCGTTTTAGTCTTGCCTGAAAATATTCTTTTTCTCCCTCCCCATAGGAATGGAAGATGTCACATGTGATAGAACTGAGTTCTTGAGTAATTACCTAACTAATGTGGATGATATTACTTTAGTGCCTGGAACTCTAGGAAGAATTCGATCCAAATTTAGCAACAATGCTAAATGTAAGTTGATTCTTAAAATATTAAGTGGTTAGAGTGGTAATACAAAGGAATAGGTAAGGGCTTGTTTTCTAAAGCTGAAATACTTGGGTAAAAATTCTGGCTCTGCTACCGCTTAGCTGAGTGACCTTAAATAAGTCATTTAGACTCTAAGCCTCAGTTTTTTCATCTGAAAAATGGGGATGATAAATGCTAGCAGCTACCTGTAGAAATTAATCTATGCATATTGCTTAGAGTGGTTCCTGGCACATAGTAGCATTATATAAATATTTGCTCTTATTCTTATTATGTGGAAATTGCACTTAGTTTGAAGCATATTCATGACCATAAACAGAAGTTTATAAGATAAGAATTTTTTCAATAAGAAGTTCAGGCTGATCATTTTTATAGATGAAACTAGAGGGTCTATGTAAGGGTTGGCAGAACCACATTTGGACTGTGGGGGTTCCTAGGAGCCTTGTGGAATGGAGTCCATTCTCTTTGTAAAAGTGATTGGTAGAACCTAGTAGGAAAAGATATTAAGCCCTTGGGAAGTGGCAGCTGTCCTGAAAGATTAGAAATAAAAATAAACAGGAATAATCTTGTCACTTATGTTTTACATGTTCAGGTTATGATCTACCACTGATACAAACTTAATTTGTGGACTAAGATTTTTAGGTGCTGTCTACCTAGCTTTTGAGAAGTCCATAGTTTTATTGGGGTTATGCCGCACTTTGAAAAAAAAATTCTTTAGAGTTTTTAGCCTTGGGAATAAGAAACCATTGACACCAACCTTACAGCTTTGGAAAATTAAGTTTTTCCCTAATTATGTTCCTGAGTCAACACAACTGGAACTGTTCCAGGGTCAGCTCCAGACCATGTTGTGAAATAAACAAAATGTGGGTGTTTCTGCCCTCTCTCCTCCATGACCTTTCCTGTCCCTGTGTCCTCCCTTTTCTGCCCTCGCATAGACTGGATGCAGTCACTATGGCACCCCTCGATTTTAGTATTTGCACTTCAGGGCTATGCAAAAAAGATTTTCTCTATTTTTAACAATATTTCTGACATTAGTACATGTAATGGGGAGGTTGGTTTGGAGGAGAAAAAAAAACCTTCCCATGGCCCATGAATTCATAACTATCAATGATAAAAATTTTTGTACTTTACAAAAACACTTTCCAATGTGGTTTCATTTTGTGGGAGACAGTAGCATGGGGTGGTGACAGGCACAGATGTCTGGGTTCATATCTCAGCTCTGCTCGGTACTCACCATGTGACGCCCTGTACCTCTGCTTCCTCATCTGCAAGGTAAGGATTGTTAGGAAGATTAAACAAGAGATTGTGTTTACATAATTTAGATCAGTGCTTAGCACATAGTCAAAGCTATATAAAGGTTGGATATGATGATGATGTCTTAGTCATACCACTATTTCAGATAGAGACACACACACATACACATACACTCTTATTTAATCCTTTTAATAGCATTGTGTGATAAGTATCACTATCCCTTTTATAGACAGTAGAAATTGAGGCTCAGAGAGGGGTGAGGGAACTAGCTTCGAGGATGATGGTTAGTAAGTTTCAGATCTGAGATTTGAAGCCAGATTAGCTGAACCACTGCCCTTTCTTCACACAAAATGAGGACTGTTAGCCTGCAAAGACTAAGTTCTTCAGAATTGAAGGATTGATGTCCCCAGTATGGACTCAGGCATTGGATATTCCTAGTAATTCTCTGGGACTTATCTGAGTACATGCTATTTACTTCTCTTCATTGTCAAAGACCATGAACTTACTTTATTTCGTCCCTTTGAGGAATATGATTTATGAGGCCTGGCTTGCTCAATCAGGTTGCTTGAGTGTCAGAGTGCCAACTCCTCCTCCTTCTGAAAACCCATTGGCTTAGTGAGGATTTGAACAGCATTTACCTCCTAGGGTTATTGTGAATGACCAGAGAGAAAGTGCCTGCAAAGCTCTTTTTTTTTTTTTTTTTTTTTTTTGAGGCGGAGTTTTGTTCTGTCGCCCAGGCTGGAGTGCAGTGGCTCCATCTTGGCTCACTGCAACCTCTGCCTCCTGGGTTCAAGCAATTCTCCTGCCTCAGCTTCCCAAGTAGCTGGGACTACAGGCACATGCCACCAAGCCTGGCTAATTTTTTGTATTTTTAGTAGAGACGGGATTTCACCATGTTAGCCAGGATGGTCTCGATCTCCTGAACTTGTGATCCACCCACCCCTGCCTCTCAAAGTGCTGGGATTACAGGCATCACTGTATCTGGCCACCTGCAGAGCTCTTATAGAAAGACAGGCACATAGTATGAAATCTATTCGGGCTATTATTATTACATTATTACTTATTTGCCTTCTAGTAAGAGATGTAATTAAGGCCAATGGAATACACATTTTAGTTTCGGATTTCAAGCTTTAGAGCTAAGATTCTGAAAATAGACTTTGGAGTCTGTATATTTATATCCCAAGGCAAGTTTATTCATACATTTTTAACAAATATGAACAAATATTTATTAACAAATGTATATTGAGTGTCTACTCTGAACAGGCCCAGGGATGCAGCAGCACGTGATACAGATAAGGCCTGCTCCACTGGTATTTAGATGCCAGGGAGGGCTGCCTCATGATAGTTGCTATCTCTTCTGAACACCACTTTCCTTTTCTGCTGATTCTGTAATAACATACTGAAGCAAACTTCCTGAAAACAAAACAAAATCCAAGCAACCTACAATCTCCTCTTTCTCCCCACATTCCGCCCAAAAGGGGAGCTTCAGATAATATAATCCTGTCCACAGTTTATGCACAGCCATCATTTACATAATTTTGCTTTTAGCTAGTTCAGAGTATTGACTAAAATCTTTTACTTGATGCTATTGAAAATAAAGGAGGTGCATGCACGTGTGTGTCTATGGCTGGAGAGGTGCGGCTACCTGTGTAATTACACCCAGGATATAAATAGGGAAACAAACTCCCTTTTAAAAAAATAACTCAATGGATTAGAAGTTTCAACTTAAAGTGGGTGAAGACTTGTTTCAAAAATCTGCAGATAAATAAGAAGTTACATTAAAAGCCCCAAATGCCCAGTTTAGTTCCTGAGGTCAAACTGCAAATAAATTATGTCTCAAGGGGAACCATTAGGGGGAACTTAAAACAAGAAGCAATTTACCTAGCAGTATCCTGGTGCTATGGAAGGAGGAATTCCCTCCAGAAGAGCAGAACTGGACCTAGGAGGGCAGTTTACTATAGGATTTGTTCCACTTGCTTAGCTGCATGTCAATGACTGAAATGTTAAATACCCCTACACAATTATTTATCTTTCAAACAAAACACTAAAGTGATAGTCTTCTGTGGGATGGAAGGAGAAAGAATTGAGTATCTTGCTGCAAAAATGATTTCTCTTGGTAATGGTTGTTATTTCTTTTGAAATCTTTCTCCTCTCTTTGAACAGATGACCCCAAAGCCATTATTGCCAATCTCACGGTAAGTGTTTCCAGTTGTCCCGCCTCTGCCCTGCCCAGGCCTCTGCCCCTGGAGCAGCCTCCCTCCTGTGTGTGCCTCCCCCGGCGGGGAGGGGTGGGAGGAACACTTTCCTCACTGCCCTGCCATCCTGTATATTTGTTTCCTTAAGAACTTTCAAAACTTCTGGCCTGTGGTCAGCTGCAGGCTCCCTAATGGTCTTGGCAATGATACAAATGGAGAATATCTGATCCTTCCATTAGAACTGAAAAGTATTCATTCATGGTTAAACAAATCTTTACTTTCCCTGAACCAGAACTGCCCACCCACTCTGCTCCATTGTTCCCGGATGCTGGGTAGCGACCTTAGTGGTACAAGAGCATCTAATCAGATAAGCCTAAACCCATGTGCTCCTCCCCTCCCACCGACACCCCACCCCCAACTGCTTGACTTGAAGGAGTTGGGAAAGGCCTTGGAGTGTGAATTGCTCTTAGCGATGGTCTCACAAGCCAGGAATGCATCTTAAAATTCCTAACTGTCCTCAGATAGCCTGTCATATCATCTCCAAGGTTACTTAATCTCTTTTGAATCTATTTGTTTTCAGCATACATTATTTAATAGAAATAAATTTCATTTATTCACTCATTAACCTTTGGTTAGGCTTAAAATCTCCTTCAGCTTTCTAGAGAGAGAATTTGTAAGAATTTTTCCAAAAGACATTCCATCTGAAGTCTGATTTCCATTTCTATTTCAGTGTAAAAAACCAGATCAGCACTTTAAGCCTTACTTGAAACAGCACCTTCCCAAACGTTTGCACTATGCCAACAACAGAAGAATTGAGGATATCCATTTATTGGTGGAACGCAGATGGCATGTTGCAAGGTAACTGGTATATGGGCTATTTCTGTTTCTCATTTCCACAACCACCCCTTTGGCAACTGGAAATATTTTATCATCCTTAGTCATCACTGAAAGAAATATCAGTTGGAAATCTCACTGTTTCCAAAGATTTTGTGGGCTACATAAACCATCAGTGCTGAGACAATATATCTCTATGTTCTGGGTCTCAGCATTGTGGTGTCTCTTTGCAGTCTGTCAGTGCATCTGTGTGTGTGTGTGTGTGTGTGTGTGTGTGTGTGTCTCTTTCATCCTTTGAATTTACATTCTAAACTCTATTCTTACTACTTGAGTAAGTCAAAAGTATAAATGGGAGCTTGCCTTAGTATATTGGGCTGATTTGATCTCGGTTGTTGAGACTTTGCTTGTAGCAATATTTATAGAGGACTTTAGAAAATGTTGTTAATGTTAAAAACTCTGTTATTGTGGGCACTTTTTACATTGCTTTAAATATTCCCAATGTTTGCCTTCTATTGAACTACAAAACACTCTCCAATGTTGAAGAGAATGTTCCTTGCTTTTGAATGTGGTCTAGGACATGTCTGGAGGCTCTAACAACTTCCAATGAGTTAATTATTAAGGATTTATCCATTTTCACACAGACCTGGAAGTAGCTGTTCCCACTCACTCTTGCTCCAACTTTCTACTTAAGAAAAGTGCTGTGAATTTGTCTATCTCAATAATTGAACAACTGCCACATGTACTCTAGCTGGGTACTAGTTTGCAAGAGAAAGAAGATAACAAGAAAATATTTAGAAACTCAAGTTCTAAGAAGAACTTAGAACTCTAGAAACTTGTATCAGTATGGGATGTTTAGAGAGACACATTTGACAGATACATAAATATCATGCTGTAATTTTCCAGGGTGTACTTAGAGTTAGATATGTGGGATTATGAAGAAAGATGTACGAAGAACAGGAATTATTGGAGTCTTCTAAAACAGTTGTGGGAAATCCTCATGGAGAATTTACTGGCCTGGTAAATTAATTGGGATGTGACTGAAATTAATTGGCCCGGTATGTGCTCCTGAAGGACCTTTTATGTATGGGGCAGCTTGGAAGGGGTCACACTGGCGCAGGTAGTAGGTTCATATGGCAAAAACATGGGAGCTGAGTAGAAGTTAAGTGAAAGATGATGACAGTTGGGCAAATTAGTGTAGCCCAAAACCAGGCATGTTGGTTAACAATGCATCTTTTAAATTTAACTCATCTTGCATTGTTGAGGTATTGTATGCATATGTCTTATTATCCCAAGCCCTTATTTTTCCAAGGGTGGAGACCCGTATGTTAGATTTTTTGTTTTCCCAAAGCACTTTCAGTGCTATATACCCATAGGTACTTAGGAAATATTTGTATTAAATTAACATGAAAGCTATTTTGGAAAAGGGTCACATGACACTTTTGCAAAAGGTGTCTTCTGTCACAAAAGGAAAGATCAGATGGTCTTGATGTCTAGAGAGCAGTATTTCTGTTTTCTGTTTCTAAATAGAGATATTGTCTAGGTGAGACCATGCTTTTGTCAGATATGTCATGATTACTGTTAAGTTGGCTGCTTAGTTGTACTCTAGTTGTATTGTATATTGATAGATAAATTTGCATGCAAATATTTTTATAGAATATAGATCTCCATTCATTGTTTAAACATCGCAAATTTATTTTATTTTAAATTTTAAATTATTATGGGTATATAATAGGTGAGACATCACATTTTTTTAAAGTGCCAACTATGTCTTGACACTGACCCTAGGGAGGGGTACATAGAAGTGAACCAGACAAACATGGTCCTAGAGTCGAGAATCTTACAGTCTCAGAGCTAGCGAAGCACCTAGACAGGCAGAGCATGACTTTTGACAAGTGCCCTACTTGGTGTAAGCACGAGCTCCAAGGAGGGCATCGTGACTTCAGTTCACAGGTCGCCATTTATCCTGCAATAACTGTCAAAGAAAAGTCACTTGGAGAAATGCATAGGATCCTCTTTTCATCATCACAAGAAGAATGCAATTAAAATAGAGGCAAACTTTCAAAAGCCCCTTCTTAGATATTCTTTGTACCCTGAAATTACCTTTTTATCAAAGTAATTTCATGAGAAATTCTAACTAATCATGAAATTGTTTCAATTTAGGAAACCTTTGGATGTTTATAAGAAACCATCAGGAAAATGCTTTTTCCAGGGAGACCACGGATTTGATAACAAGGTCAACAGCATGCAGGTATGATGGCAGAACTGTGAATTGAAATTGTGTTTTAGTGGTTCTTCGAAAGGATAAGTAATGGTGGTGTGAGTGAAGTTGTACAGTATTCATAAATAGAGGAAGGGTTCCTACCTAACAATGCTTAACTGTTTTTGTTTTTCTTTTCTTTTGGAAGACTGTTTTTGTAGGTTATGGCTCAACATTTAAGTACAAGACTAAAGTGCCTCCATTTGAAAACATTGAACTTTACAATGTTATGTGTGGTAAGTCACTCATTTAATCAGAACCATTGAAACAATCTTTAGTTAGTATATATGATCTTTCTCAATGTCAGAGAAAGAAATGAGGTGTCTATTTTCTGGGACTACCTCCTCTTCCCCACAAAAGGTTGTAACTTGCCCATTGGTTCAAAGACAGAATATTATCCCCTTCTAAGGCTTCTTTGTCTTCCTTCAACAGTTGACTAATGGGGCGTTTTCATAGTGTTGCTGTTGGCAGCCTCTGGCTGGTCTAACATAGCATTACAGTTTGACACCACTGGTCAGAGACCTGATGAAGCAAGAGTTCTGCACAGAGTCCCCTCCACCTCCATCTCTTGCATTGCAGCCCAGTTAAAAATGTTGCCAGCTTGCATCCTGGCCAGCTATTTATGTGCTCTTAATTATTTTTCTTCCTTGAACTTCTAGTTGCTGAATGAGGACAACTTTTCCTATTTAGTAAGGGAGTGCCAGTCTGGTGGTTAGAGGGGGAGTCTGCAAGTCGGGTCTCCTGGGTTCTTTTCCCATCTTGGCTGCTAGCTGTCCCCTGTCCTGCCTCTGAGCTCAAGCAAGTTACTGAATACGCACTTGGCAACCATTCACTTGCTATGAAATCAGCCTGTTCATTGCTCAGTGGCACTTCAGGGGACAGGGCCAAAGCCTCCTCATGTCCCCACACTTCTGTGGAGTCATTAGAGGGCAGACTTCTAGTTAGTTATTGATTATAAGTCTCATTTCAAAACATGGAATTAAATAGTCCCAGAGAAGTGCAGGAAAAAGTGATACTGACATTGATCACCCTTGGGTTGTAACTATCGCAGATACAGGCAATAGTTAATCAAAGTCTTGTTCCTTCACTCTTTCTTTCTGGGAATCTCTCTCTCTCTATTCATGGTCAGGCAATGAACTTGGGTATTTCAGAAAGCTGTGGCAAGATGTAGTTAGTCCAGAATGGTTCAGGAGGTAAGGAGGGGGTGCCTGCCATCTACATTTGGTTTTGTCCAGTTCTGATTTGTGTTCACAGTTTTCAGACCCATAGAAGGTGAAGGGTTTTAAATCTTACCATATCTCATCAAAAAAATATAAGAAGCACCTGCCTCCTTTTCTTAATTTTCATTAGATCTCCTGGGATTGAAGCCAGCTCCTAATAATGGGACCCATGGAAGTTTGAATCATCTCCTGCGCACTAATACCTTCAGGCCAACCATGCCAGAGGAAGTTACCAGACCCAATTATCCAGGGATTATGTACCTTCAGTCTGATTTTGACCTGGGCTGCACTTGTGATGATAAGGTAGAGCCAAAGGTAGAAATAATCTTTATGTTTATTATGGAGAAGTTTGTTGGGTGGCTAACAGTGCTGGCCCATAGAACTTTCTGTGACAATGGACATGGTCTATAATTATGCTGTCCAAAATGGTAGCTACTGGCTAGTGTGACTGAGGAACTCAAATTTTTATTTCATTACTTTATAATTAAAGAGCCCTATGTGGCTTGTGGCTACCATATTGAATAGCACAGGTATAGACCATGAAAGACAAAAAGTAGAATTCATGTTGCTATTCTGTGCAGTCACAGTTCTCAACCAAAATCTTTTTCTGTTTTCTTCAACTGTGGATCACATGTCTATTAGTCATGGTCCCGACGGGAGACAGGTGGCCCATATAGAAGAGGTTTTGAAAGAGAGTTTAGGCCAGGTATGGTGGCTCACGCCTATAATCCCAGCACTTTGGGAGGCTGAGATGGGTGGATGAATTGAGGTCAGGAGTTCCAGACCAGCTTGGTCAACATGGTGAAACCCTGTCTCTACTAAAAACACAAAAAAATTAGCCGGGCATGGTGGCGCTGGGAGGCTGAGGTGGGAGAATCGCTTGAGGCAGAGGTTGCAGTGAGCCGGGATTGTGTCACCACACTCCAGCCTGGAAGACGGAGTGAGACTCTGACTCAAAAAAAAAAAAAAGGAAATGAAAAAAAGAGAGAGTTTAAAGGAATTGTTTCAGTCATGTTTAATGAGTAATTTACCAAGGCTGAGCAGGGTGGATGGAATTCAATGAGGAGTGACGAAGTGCCCTGGGGTTCGCATAGTACCTTCTAAGGTTTAAAGGGTGAGGGGAAGGAGTAAGTTTCCAAAACATGGAGAGACAACCGAATAGGAAGGAACTATTGTATTTGGCCGATGAGTGCAGCTTGTTCATTGCAACCCAGCAGGGAGCACTCCCAGATAGGAGAGTGCTACCGTCATCTTCCTCCCCTGTACTTCCTTTCACATGTTTCCCCTTGGTAGAGCCCAACAGGGAGCCACAGGGCAAGTTTGCTCTTTGATGCCATCCCTAGAGGTCAGCCTCCCAGGCCACAGAGCAGGGTGTGGGAGGGTGCAACAAGGATGCGGTGGTGGTGCAAACAGAGACTACCCCCACACACTATGCTTGGACAGGTTTTCTTTTTTTTTTTTTTTTTTGAGATGGAGTCTCGCTCTGTTGCCCAGGCTGGAGTGCAGTAGTGTGATCTCGGCTTACTGCAACCTCTGCCTCCTGAGTTCAAGTTATTCTCCTGCCTCAGCCTCCTGAGTAGCTGGGATTACAGGCTCCTGCCACCATGCCTGGATAATTTTTGTAGTTTTAGTAGAGACGGGGTTTCACTATGTTGGCCAGGCTGGTCTTCAACTCCTGACTCAGCTGATCCACCCGCCTTGGCCTCCCAATATGTTGAGATTACAGGCGTGAGCCACTGTGCCTGGCCTTATATATTTATTAAATAACGTATGAAGTAATCTTTTGTATAGTTTCCTAAAATAACCTATACTATAGTTTTGCATGTTGTAAAATTTTTAATAAATGCTATTATACTATATGTATCCTGCAATTATTTTATCATTATGTTTTTGAGACTTAATGTATATTAGTACATGAAGTTTTAGCTCACTTATTTTTACTGCTAATACAGTAGTTAATATTTAATTGTATAAATGTACCATAAGAATTTTTTTCCATTTTCCTACTTGAGAACATTTAGTAATTTGCAAATGTTAGCTCTTACAACAATGTTGCCACAGACATTACTGGAAATGTCTTCTTGCACGCATATGCTAGGGTATACAGTGAAGGGTAGAGTTGCTGACTCATGCTGTTTCAGAATTGCTGAGTCATTACGTTTTAGCTTTGGTGAAAAGTGATTTCATAAATTAGTTTGGGAATCACTTCAGTGTGCCTAGAGATTAATCTGAAACATTTAGGCGCTATCCTAATTTACTTACACATATATGCCCAAGTCATCATCAGTACCCACATGGGAAATTGGTACTGTGGTGACTATCCACAGTTTTAAGGAAGGAAACAGAGATTGAAGAAGGTGCTTACAAACATAGAACTGCTAGAGGTGGAGCCCAGAATGTCAGTTTGAGAGAAAACAGTTAATTCCTCGAAAGAATGTATGATATAGATGGAGTTTAGAGTTCGCTTTTGAATTTAGCAGGGTGCTAAGTCGACAGAAGGGCACAGAGGGAAAGAACATTTCTGATTTGCTTTCTTTTTTCCTTTACTGGTTTTCACACATGAAGAACAAGTTGGATGAACTCAACAAACGGCTTCATACAAAAGGGTCTACAGAAGGTAAGGGGTGGTTGCAAAATAATCAGATAAGGTTTTTCTCGTTTTCGAAAATCGAAAAGGCTTCTTATTTACATTATAGTGTAAGCACAATATTGTTTAAAATTAGAATTTGTATTTCAAAGTGACTTTCATACCTATCTGGCAAAGGATATTTGTTTATTCCATGTACACAAGATGCCAGCTGTGTAATAAAAAAATTCCAATAGCTTTTCTCCCCCCTCAATAGCTTTTAAGCCCTCTGAAAAGTACACAATCCATTTTGTATCTGATGAGTCATAAGACACTGTGGGGCACTCCTATAAAGGGAATGATAGTCACAATGATAAATAATAGCAGCTGGTGCCTATCCTGAAGGTATCTACCTCGAGAGTCAGTGTATATATAGATATATATATATTGTGATAGGGAGAGATTCACCGAAGGAATCAAATCAGAACTCCCTCCTCATATGAAGGATCATCTCAAGCCCTAACTCTTACTTTACGTACAATGATAACGAGCACGTATTAGTGAACTTTCGCAAGCTTATGATATGACCAAAAAAAAAAAAATTAGTGATTTGTACTAAGAGGCGTTTCTCGCTCCCATTTTAGTGTGCTGGCTGTAGGCCAAGGGCAGCTTTGCTCCATGTGTATTCTTTATTCTGGAACCCAGGCTGAAGGAGTAGCCTTCATCAGAGACATGTCCTGCTCTTGACAGAGGGAAAAGAGTGGCAGAACTGTGCACTGTGTCTTAATGCTTCTGCTTTTATGAGGCATATGTCACTCCATTCACAGTTTGCTGGCCAAAGCTGAGCACATGATACCAATGGTGTAGGGAAGTACATTTTTTCCACGGGGACTCTATCCTGCAAGTCATATGGCAATGGGTGGAGGCAGTAAATAATGAGGAGCAATAACACAATCTACCATGCAGGCTCTTTTTATCTGATTGTGAAGTTTCACAAAATTGGAGGAAAATAGAAGGGGAGGGGAAGCCTCCTATACATGTTACTAAAGTAGATGGGATAACATGTTGAAACAGCCAGGAAATGACTAAAAGTGTATGGAAAATGCAGAAAGAATTCAAGCATAGCAGCCACAAGTCATGCAGCAAAGATGCACGTGGTCAAATTCTCCTGAGAGCATCGCTTGAGTTATTAGCTTACATATGGTTCTGTTTATCATATATGCTCTTTCCAATCTGATTAAGTAGAGTTGAGGAAACCGGTAGAAGATTTGATTTACTTGACTTATTTTTCCTCTTTTAAAGATCTTCATCTGCCTCCTTCTTCCTTTTCTGTATCTCCATCATCCCACTTCTCCCTTTGATCACAGAACACACAGACTCTGGCACAGAACGGAATGAATCTCACTTTGAAGATAGGCCATTGTTGGTAGAAGGCACACAAATCTTTCACAAACTCTACAAGTGATTTGCAATGTTCGACACCTAACCTCTAGTGGACTATAGTGTCATTATAATTAGAACAATTAGAACATTGCTAGAGTCAAAAGATGGGGAGTCTCATGATTCAAGTTTTTTAGATATTTAGTTGCCAAGGCAGATAAATACTACTCAGATGCTTCTCTTCTAAAAGTCACTAATGAAATTAATTATGGTAACTTCTATTGAACTCCCATGATTTTGCTGATTCAAAGTCTGACTGTTCATGGTACTAAAGCATTTCTGTCTGAGAAAAACATTCCTGCATTTAATTTGTTGGTGGCAGTGTCCTTATATGACAAAACCAGTCTCACAATTCATTATAAACAATAACCTCAGCCGGGCACAGTGGCTCATGCCTGTAATCCCAGCACTCTAGGAGGCTGAGGCAGGTGGATTACCTGAGGTCAGGAGTTTGAGACCAGCCTGGCTAACATGGTGAAACCCCTTCTCTACTAAAAAAATACAAAAATTAGCCGGGCGGCAGTGGCGCGTGCCTGTAATCCCAGCTACGTGGGAGACTGAGGCAGGAGAATTGTTTGAACCTGGGAGGCAGAGGTTGCAGTGAGCTGAGATCGCACCACTGCACTGCAACCTGGGCGACAGAGCGAGACTGTCTCACAAACAAACAAACAACAACAACAACAAAAAAACACACACAATCACCTCAAACTTAAGAGCATAAAAATAAGACACATCTTCTTAGTGAATCACTGACTCTCAGGGCTATAAGGAGCTATAGTTAGTAAGGTTACATCTCCATTGCTCTGCTCTGAGTGGAACGTGAGTTTCTTACTTAAATCCCTGAAGTGTCTTTTTATACCGCTGAAGCTTAAAGTTTGTGTATTTTCATGGAAACAAACCCTCATGGATACATTCAGCAAGCATTTGTTGAATACTGACACTGGGCTGGCACTGGTTACTCTGACACAACTGTACCACTGAGAGTTTCTAATTCATGGCTTCAAAGTGGTGGCATAAAATATTAGGGGGGAATCTAGAATAGCTCATGCTATTCTAAGTCTGCTCATGGCCTAGTGGCACCAACATTTAATGACACAAGAGAGCCTTCAAAAATATTTGTCTTATTATGTGCAATGCATTTCCTTGCTTAGATGCTGGAATATGTATAAACCTCAATGCTCTTTCTCCTGTTGCTCTCTCCTATCGCTGTCTCTTGGGCTTTGTTTCCTTTTGGGCTCTATCTTGGTCATTTCTTCAGTGGCAAAGCGATGTTTTCTTGGTCTGAGTTCTTTCAGGCCTTTATGGTGTTTCCTGTGTCATAAATTTGGCCTCCCATTTAAAATATTCAGTGTCTGCCCTACTGGAGGAGATCCTTGTGAATGTGAACCACCATGTATGTGAGCACACATGTATTATGTTCAGGGCAATTACTTCCCCTTTCTAGGTACCTTTGAATACATATGAAGGCTTTTAAAGTAGTTTGTAAACCTAAACTTCTATACAGATGTAAAGTTGTACTATTTTTATTATTAGTTTTTTAAAACACAGATGTAAGTAGTTGATATTTTTCAGAATATGTCATGAGCTATACACACTTCACCTGTAACATTTATATGTGACTGTTTTAATGGCATATGCTGTAAAATCTGTCATACATCTGTACAAAATACATGAGTAAAAGCTGCATGTTCCAATAGTGAAACGATCACAGGGATATCTGTGATAAAAAAGAGGTATGTTAAACCAATCTTGGGCAATATTTTGCTATAAATATTTAAACTGTTATGGAATCAAATCCTTTACTAAAATAAAGAGAAAGAAAAATGTAATCCTCAAAAATGGCCATCTAAGCTGCTTGCTAAACTTTAATATTTCTAGATAGGTGGTAGACTCCAGGTCTTAATTGCATGCCTGTTGTTATTTCTGGATCTCATATACCTAATGTCTTGGCCGACTTTCCATGCAATGAAAACTCATTTCCTTGTGGCATTGAATTGATGGATGAATTAATGAATGAAAAGAAAATTTAAAAAATCTCTTGTAGCAAGCAATTCTGGCACTATAGCCAAGTATAATTTTCACTGCAAGAATAATTGCACCATTTATTTTCACCTTGGTCTTTACTCTATTTACATTGCTATAAAAATGTTTCATATTTTCTTAGGTTAGCCCTCACCATCATCTTTGTGAAAAAGGAATTAAAAATAATTTTAACACCTATGTATACTTGGCTCCTTATCATACACAATGAGAAGTTAGTTTGGATAGGAAAATGACTTAAACACAGCTGGGTGCGGTCAGTGGCTCACACTTGTAATCCCAGGACTTTGGGAGGCCGAGGTGGGTGGATCACCTGAGGTCAAGAGTTCAAAACCAGCCTGACCAACATGGTGAAACCCCATCTCTACTAAGAATACAAAAATTAGCTGGGCATCGTGGCATCCACCTGTAATCCCAGCTACTAGGGAGACTGGGGCAGGAGAATCGCTTGAACCCAGGAGGTGGAGGTGCAGTGAGTCGAGATCTCGCCATTGTACTCCAGCCTGGGCAACAAGAGTGAAACTCTGTTTCAAAAAAGAAAAAGAAAATTGACTTAAACACTAGTAATTCTTGTTAACTTTAAAGCAGAGTCCTGAATATGGCTACAGAGGGAACATCTTCTTTAGCTCTTGTCAATTCTGGAATGTTTCTCATTTGTGTTATTTCTTTGGAGATATTAGTTGTTCTAGAGAAAGAAGGAGATAGCATTCACTCCTGCTTCTGAGTGTTTGTGTCTGCGTGTGTATCTGTGTGTTTTTGGGAATACTTGGAAGAAATCAATACATAGTAATTGTTTATTGTTTATAGTAGAATTCAAGATGAATTTGATGGTAGATTGAATTTTAACAACTTTTACCTAGCAATATTCTTTGCCAGTATTGAGGTAGAGCCCATACCTTTACTAAACAGTACAACTGCAACTGCTACAACTGCAGTTACTTTGGGTTAAAACTAAACAAGCCACTTCACATATTTTGCCTGTAAACAGTGCAACATTCCAGGGAGATATAAAGCTTTGGGAGATTAAGTTACAGAGTACCACAACTATAAAGAGCTGAGATTAGATTTGAACGCAGTTTTATATGACACTGAAGCCCATGTGCTTTCATCTGAAAATGCTTCTTATTCTAAGAGTGGGAACAAAGGGAATATGTCAAAAGAAAATTTTGCTTTTCATATACATTTTGTGGCCTAAGTAGAGAGACTCTTTGCTCAACAAAAAATTTGTATATCAAAGTTTGGAAGTTGCTTCTGAAATACTAGATGCTTTGACAGAAACTACTGTCCTCATTAGCTTCTCAGTAGGCATTACTCGGGCAGAGTTCCTGCCGGGAAGTAGTTGGATCTTCTTTCCCATACACTCTCCATGAAATAACCCAGCGGCCAGCACCCAACTGGAGACCACCCAAAAGGCCAAGCAGAAGAGTAATGGCCTGGGATTCTAGTGCTGCTATGCAGCTGAATTATTTTGTGCAAATCATAAACCTCCAGTTCCTTCATCAGTAAGTTGGAGATGATACTACTGACCTGCCCAGTGTACCTTTCAGGGTAACATTAGACAGGTCATATGTAGAAAGCCAAGATTTAAAAAAAATATGTATCATTAACTTACCAACAAGTGTTTGCCAAGTAGATATTATGTGATGGGCATTGTTGGAGATGGAAGATACAGTGGTGAGTAAAACAGATGAAGTCCTTGTCCTCATAAAGTTATTGTTCTGTTGTAGGATTTATCCAGTTGATACATTACAGCATAATGTTTTCAAGGTTGGGGTAAGAAAGAACAGGGCACTAAAGAGAGGCCTTAAATCAAATCTCAGAGGAGGTTGAAATGGCAGCAAATGATAATAGGCACTTGTAAGGCAAAGGAGAAAGTATGCAAGAAAAGGAAAGATCTTGGGTAGAGATTTTGTGGTAAGATTTAAGAGCATATTATTGTGGGAGTGTATGTTTTAAAAAAACAAAAAAGAGGAGAGATTTTCATGTGGCTCTCAAGACAGCCTGCTCATCTGTGGGAATCTGAATCAGGAAGCTGAGGAGGGAAAAGGAACACAAACTCCAGTCTCTACGACCCAAATTTGGAATACAAAAAGAATGAGTGCTGGGGAAGTCCACACCACTTAAAAAGATTGGCCTCACAGTATTTTGCCAAGTGTGGTATCTGGAGGAGAACCTTGGCATGTACCAAAACTGCCAGAGACACTATTGTAAACAGGGAACTGGGGTGTGGAATGAAGGCTCGGTCTGGAATTCCATGACAGGCATTCTCAGCCTGGGAAGACCAGGTTATACTAGATCCACGTGAAGAAATCCCAGAAACATATTGCAGAAGCAGAGGCTTGCAGGCTAGTCTCCAGGGTTGCTGGTCTCGAGATAAAGATCTCAATGTGTGCCGAGAACAAGATTCAAGTACATTTTGTGGCCTGAGTAGAGAGACTTTTTGCTCAACAAAAATGCAGTGGGTGGCTCCCCCAAGATGTCATAAAGACTAGGAGAGTCAGGCTATGACTCTGAATCTGTGATTCTTTGATACTTTGATAAACTGAAAAAATAAAATCTAAATTTTGATTCTGGACCTTAAAATCTGTGTTTCTTACTGCAGAGATTATTTCCCCCTCTTTCTTAGATGAAACTGTTAAGCTCCAGGAAGACCCAAGTAGATTTTTTTGGGTCATTGGGGACCTTGGTTGGATTTTTAGGAGGCTGTAAAAACCACTGTATTTTTTCCCCTTATTATGCTATTTTTGCTCAGTAATAATTGAGAAAAAGGCAGTCAGTGATACTTTTGTGTTCCAGCTGTGTGCCAAAACTTGCAGTTATGACAATAGCTTGGAAGCTATGGAACTCAAATTTCTTTCTTTTCTTTTCTTTTTTTTCTGAGACAGAGTCTTGCACTGTTGCCCAGGCTGGAGTGCAGTCGCACGATCTTGGCTCACTGCATCCTCTGCCTCCCAGGTTCAAGCAGTTCTGCCCCAGCCTCCCAAGTAGCTGGGATTACAGGCGTGTGCTACCATGCCTGGCTAATTTTTGTATTTTCAGTAGAGATGGGGTTTCACCATGTTGGCCAGGCTGGCTCAAACTCCTGACCTCAAGTGATCTGCCCACCTCAGCCTCCCAAAGTGCTAGGCTTACAGGCGTGAGCCACTATGCCTGGCCAGAACCCAAATTTCTGAAGCAAGTTGAATCTATATATGTAGAGCAGTAGAGTGAGTAGAGATGGAGAAGCTTTATTGAGGAAACCTTTCAGGAGAAAATGAATCTTTTTTTTTTTTTTTTTTAAGAGACGGAGCCTCGCTCTGTCACCTAGGCTGGAGTGCAGTGGCATGACCTTGGCTAACTGCATCCTCCACATCCTGGGTTCAAGCGATTCTCCTGTCTCAGACTCCCTAGTAGCTGGGATTACAGGTGCGCACCACCGTGCCTGGTTAATTTTTGTATTTTTAGTAGAGACAGGGTTTTGCCATGTTGGCCAGCTAGTCTTGAACTCCTGACCTTAAGCAATCCACCCGCCTTTGCCTCCCAAAGTGTTGTGATTCCAGGCATGATCCACCATGCCCGGCAGAGAAAATGAATCTTAAGATATCTCTGCCCCTCTTGGGCCCCTCGCCCTTTCTTCTTCATGTCTCTTCCATGAGGGCTGAATATTTGTCATACACTTTTGAGCGTGAAAAGGGACACTATTAACAATTATACCAGGGCAACAGGCATAAAACTGTAACATGGGGCCAGCCTGGTTTAACTTCATATGCTCCTTAAAGGACTTTATTGATGCCACCTTCACTCCATTTCCAGTATTCATCATCCTCTGCATTCCCATCACACTCTGTAACTATCTTTAATATGGTGCAGACCACATGGCATCTGTTATTTGTGCTATGTTTGTCTCTCCCTTTGACTTGTGAGCTCTTTGAGGGTAAGAGCTCTATCTTAATCATCTTTGCCCAGTACCTCCATTCTACAGCGCAAGGTCTGGCACAACCAAGGCGCTCAATGTTTGATGATGAAGAATAATGGATACATTTGGAAGGAGATAGGTGACAGACTTGGCGAAGACTGGAGAAGTTATTTCTGGTAGAGAGAAAGGAAATAGCATATATGATAGTGTAATGTTGCTAACAACAATTGTGAAGAGAGTGTTGCAAATACATTAGCCTTTGTGGAATAGAGTGTTACGTTGAATGCTTAGAAATGAGGAGGATTTAGAGGAAGAGCCAGAGTTAGTAGAGACTATAGATTGTCCAAGATTTTTGTTTGGTGGTTGCTCTAGGGAGGGGTATTGCGTATGGGAACATGGCTGCTATTTTATTGTCCCCTAATGGAATCGATTAGATGCCAAGCTTGAATTTGAGTTTGGAGGACTGTGTGTGGTAACCATGAAAACTTAAATGATGAAAAGAGAATAGCTTCTCAAAGAATTTTGATACTTCTGCTTCCAGCTGAAACCAGGAAATTCAGAGGCAGCAGAAATGAAAACAAGGAAAACATTAATGGAAATTTTGAACCTAGAAAAGGTTTGGTTTGAGTTTTGAAGGAAAGTCTGGGTTGTTTTACTGCCCCTAAGTACTACTGTTACGATTTGCTGGTGTTTTATTTGTTTATTATATTTCATTTATTTAATATTGTCAGATTATGTTCTAATCCTTAGGGGTGGGTCCCCAAATTTGGCAGCTTAACTAAGGCTTCTACATTTACTGCAATGCTGGAGCAGCCGAACTACCCAGAACAGGCTTGTGTTGTAATAGTGTGGGCCGCTTTGTCTCAAATCCGCAGTTCTATCTGGGAGGGTCTTGCAAAGTATTCTACGAAGACTTTTCTCCATTACTTGCATAGAATGGTAAGACTTTAATTAAAGCAACATGTATACATTATTTAATAAGTGTTTTTCAGAACTGATTTTCTCTAGTAGAAAAAATAGTACAAGAATTTATTTTTTTTTAAATTTATCACTTAAGGAATTGTGAATTGCCTAAGCCTCAGTCTCTAAATATTTTGGTCTGTAGGGCCCCACATTTCCAAGAATCTGTGGAAGTTTTGACTTTAGCCTATCCAAAGTGGGCAGATCAAGCTCCAGGTATTTATTGCAGAGTGTGGAATGAAGATTTTCATACTGAACTCCCATCTCTTCTTCCGCAAAGAGTAAAGCTTCAGACCTTTTTTTTTCCTAAGAAGAGAGCTTTCCTTTGGAGGTCTGAATCTGCACTGGGGGTCTTCATTGAGTTCTTTGGTAACTGATGAACTTCCCTCTTCTGTACTTAGAAGACCCTCTTGAATGCCCACTTATTTTATCTATACATGTTCCTTTAAGTTCTTACCTAAAGACTTTTCCTCTGTATGACAAAGCTGCTTACTTTAAATGCTCATTACTACTCACTTTTTATGCTGAAGGAATGCATATTTGAGTTGCTGTATGCATATAATGATCAATGTGTGCCTTCTTCTTAATTAAATCATTGGTGTACCTGATAAGCCTCTTCAGGGGTCAAAATAATTAATTCTACAGAAATCCAATCCTATTGGCTTTCCATTCAGCTGAATCATTTCAAAATTTATTACATAATGTTTCCTTTATATACAAATTGTAAATTCTTTACAACTAAAAAAAGCATTCTGTAAATACAGCATTTACATTATGGTTTTGATAACTGTAAAGCTTGACCCATGGTTAGGTGATCAGATCAACCACAAAAGTGTTAGGAAAACTAGCTTGATTAAATTAAGGAGAAGGTGCTATATTAATAATAAGTAAGCTAGCCATTTTAGGTAACTTGACTCTTCCAACATTTCTTTAACATTTGATGTAAAATTTAATATGCACCTAACACAGTTTATTTTTTTTCTTTTTTAGAGAGACACCTCCTCTATGGGCGACCTGCAGTGCTTTATCGGACTAGATATGATATCTTATATCACACTGACTTTGAAAGTGGTTATAGTGAAATATTCCTAATGCCACTCTGGACATCATATACTGTTTCCAAACAGGTCATTGAGAAAATTGGATTTTATATTTTTTATTTTATTACATTCCTCATGTTAATACAATGATTCCTTGCTTAACAGAATTTTGTCTTAGAAAATATTTTATTTTTTCTTAATGACAGAAATCCTATGTTGGATTTATTGTAAGATATTTTGAATTAGCCTTTATTCAATGTTCTGGTAATTCCATGGGAATATGTTAAACTTTGAAGGTAGATCACTAATTCTTTTATTTTCTTTTACTCTGCCTAAGTCATTGCCCAATAGTTACAGAAACTGCCAAGGTTTGTTTATTTATTTTAATAGACTTTATATTTTAAGAGCACATTTTATTTCTCAGCAAGATTGAGTGTAAAGTGCAGAGTTCCCACATACTCACCCACCCCCCTTCAACCTCCCCCACTATCAGCATCTGTTTTTTTTTTTTTTCTAATGTTTTGAGACCGAGTCTTGCTCTGTCTCCCAGGCTGGAGTGCAGTGGCATGATCTCAGCTCACTGCAACCTCTGCCTCCTGGGTTCAAGTGATTCTCCTGCCTCAGCCTCCCGAGTAGCTGGAATTAGAGATGCACGCCACCACACCTGGCTAATTTTTGTATTTTTAGTAGAGATGGAGTTTTGCCATGTTGGTCAGGCTGGTCTCGAACTCCTGACCTCAGGTGATCTGCCTGCCTCGGCCTCCCAAAGTGCTGGGATTACAGGCATGAGCCACCACGCCTGGCCCTGTTGTTTTTTAACAAAAGTTTTATGTTGGGGGTTTCAGTTTTGATGAAGATGAGATAAATAGGTATATATCACAAATTAGAAAATGTTATTTGGCAGTTGAGGCATGTTTAAAATTTTTTAATACAAAGGAGGAGAACACTTCTACTGCCCCAAATACAGTTTATTTTGATTTGTACTGTGTACACATACGTATGTTCTTGTACATTCTACACACACACACACACACACACACACACACACAGATAAATAGTCTATTTAGAGGAGATACATCTATATTGTTTGTAAGAGTGTTATTTTATAAGTTATCTTCAATGAGATTCTATTTATTATTTCAACAGTGGGATTTCTGCTTTATGTTCTGCTTTCTATATTGTTTTTCTTAAGACTTTGATAAAGAGAGTTATGTTGATTAAAAAAAGTTTGAAAACTTGTGGCTTACTGTACTTAAAACTAAGGACTTTTAAAAAGAAGTCAGACTATCAAAGATAAAAAATTTAAAAAAGGAGTCAGACTATCAATCAGAATACAAGCATAGGAGAAGCCAGAGGGGTTTTGATTTCAGCCGTTCGTAACAGAGCCACGGCATTGCTGAGTGCCTCTGACTCCCGTGCAGGCTGAGGTTTCCAGCGTTCCTGACCATCTGACCAGTTGCGTCCGGCCTGATGTCCGTGTTTCTCCGAGTTTCAGTCAGAACTGTTTGGCCTACAAAAATGATAAGCAGATGTCCTACGGATTCCTCTTTCCTCCTTGTAAGTTAAGAATATCAAGATCTGATGCCTTCAGAGGGATGTCACATTGTGCAATCTTGGTATTTGGAATTTCAGTGGCTTGGGTTTTCTTCAAGAGAGGGTGCTCAGAAGATTATCTAAATGAATTTTTATGGGATCCTTCCAAAATCAGCCAAAAAGTGACTAGCTTTCAAAAAAATCTAATTCTCCAGGGGAATTCTAATGTGCAAGGGAATCTTCTGTGTCCCGCCTTACATTATTAAATGAGAATCTGAAAAGGAAACAGTGAATCATTAAGACACTAGTCGTTTATGTAATACTATAGAGGGGATCTCTTAAGATTGCTTGAGGCCAGGCATGAGCCACCATTGTAATCCCAAAGTAATTCCAGCACTTTGGGAGGCCAAGATGGGAGGGTTGCTTGAGTCCAGGAGTTCGAGATGAGCCTGGACAACATAGCAAGACCTTGTCTCTAAAAAAATTAAAAAATTAGCTGAGCTGGTGGCACACGCCAGTAGTCCCTGATACTCTGGAGGCTGAGGTGGGAGGATCCCTTAAATCTGGGAGATTGAGGCTACAGTGGGCTGTGATCAGGCCACTGCACTTCACCCTGGGTGACAGAGCAAGATTCCATATTTAAAAAAAAAAATCTGAAGCCCTTAAACCATCTCTCATTACCTTGATGATTTTTTTTTAAGTCTAAATGGCACTGATGAAATCAAGGAGTTATTTTACATAATGTTGGTAGACTCAAGAAGTAGACAGTAAGAAAAAAACATTGTAAATGGCTCTTGGGAGAGAGCTATTGAGTGAAGAAGAGACTGAGTGGGAGGGGAGTAAGGACATGTTGTATAACGCAGTTAGGAGTAGGAATAAAAGAGTAGATTCATTTACTTCATGTTGTTTGGACCATTTAAGAAAATTCTACCCCCCTCTCCCTTTTTTTTTTAACTGATATAGATTTTGGTAAGCAACGTATACTATTTGTTTTCCTAATGTTTAGATCTGAGCTCTTCACCAGAGGCTAAATATGATGCATTCCTTGTAACCAATATGGTTCCAATGTATCCTGCTTTCAAACGTAAGTCCAATATTTACCTAATACACTGTTATTTATGAAAATAAACATTTCTAAATTTACCCCTTACCTTTTCTACCTCTGTTAATTTTAATAAGAATACTTTTCATGTGTTTAACCTTTATAATTTTTGAGGATCTTTCATGTAAACTTTCTACATTGATGTAAACTTTGATTTCATGTAAACTTTCTACATTGATCCAAAATTTGAATCTGTGAGGAAGGTTGGCTGGTAGTTTATCCCCGGTTTATAATTAAGAAATTGATATCACAGAAAGTGACCACAGGTCATGCATGGTAGAAACTGAACTAACCCAAGTTTGTGTTTTTCTTCTAATATGGTTGTTATTTTTATTTCAATACTTATTATCTTAATGGTTAAAAAGGGTCTTCACTATATTTTGAAAGCCACTTGATATTTAACAGCATCTATATTTATTTGTTGAGCATTGCAGTAAAAGCCAGTAGCACCTCTTCCTCTTGGGGTGATAACATTTTCTGAATGTTGGCCCTGAAACCCAGCAAGAGCCGAAAGGACCTTCTGAATCATCAGAGTGTTTATTTCAGATGATTTTAGTCCTGTACCAATTATTTTAGTTTCTTTGAACATTTGTAATTTCTTTGTACCTGACATAAATATTTGTGGATGCTGGTGAAGTCAAGAATTGTATAGGCACAATGAGCTCGGGCACAAAAAGCCAAGTTCCTGGAGTGTGACCACAGGCTGTGTGATCATAGAAATGTCATTAAATCTCTCATTTGTGAAATTAAGAGATATGATTGCATGACCTCTAAGGTTTATATGGATTTCTGACTTAATTATCCAATGTCGAAAGCACTGCATTTTTTGTTTCTGTTAACTATTCATCTATGTCTCCATCCTCATTCATCCATCCATCCCCCTGTCCACCCATCCATCCTTTTATCTATCCATGTGTTCAAAGATAGAGTAAGCATTATGAAGTAGCTTTTACCACCTTTCAGTACATTTGTAGTGAACAGAACTTAAATCGTTATGGGAAAGGTAGGAAAAGGAAGCACCTCTATGTGCTTCAACTTGATGGAGGAGGTTCAGGCTGTGTTATGTAACTCTCAGGGCTGAAAGGGAGTCTCAAAATAGGAATGGGCGATTGTGGAGTGTCAGCTACAGTGGCGGGCCTCCGCAGCTTAACATTGGTGAAAAGGGCCACACGGTTTAGAGAAAAAAATGTTTATTTGATGTCCTAGTTAGTAAACGAAGGTTTATTCAAAGAGAATTTATTGCTTATGAGTGAAAAATTAAAGTATGCTTTTAAAAAGATTTCTTGGTTTGTTCTCAGACCCAACTGAGAAGCATTTCAGAAACTCACATAGTTACATTTATCACAATATTACATAGAATGCAGCTTCATTTAATTTCTGCAAATCAGGGTTCTCTGGATTTCTTTATTCTTTATTGATGTGTTTTTTTGACCAAATGGTAATCAAGGCAACACACAGTACCACCCTGAGGCTGGTGTGGAGAAGGCCTTTCATAGAGAGCTTGCTGTTCTCCACGAGGGGGGTGGTTTTTTCACATGCCACATTTCTGCAGGCCTGGCCTTTTGACTGTTCTCATTGTTTCTTTCCTTCTCTTCCTCTCCATTTTTTCTTAATGCTTAAGTTAACGTTTGAACTCCTTTCTTACTGTCTGGCTTCTTTCTTGACTGCAAATAATTATCTAAGGTATTTTGGCTCTTGTGGGCTGCTCTGCCATTCAGAGTTTCAGAAGGCAGGAAGAGCAATTGAAGCAGTATGAGAAGCATGGCCAGGTGCTTTTTAATAAGGGGAGGGAAGAGGGGTTAACAGCCAGAACCGCATGACACCCATGTTGAAGACAGCATGGCGAATTCGATCTAATATTTCAGAACCAACCCATTGCTTGCCTATCCTGTCTCCTTCTGTTATTCTCTTGTTTTTCTCCATTTCCATTCTGCCCCTCTGGTTGGCCATTATGGAAATTAGAAGCAGGAGGATAAGGCAGTTCTCTGCAGGGGATGACAGTGAAAGTGAGAAAGAATTATAGAGGAGAAAGCAGACATGCACAGATCCAGGAATGTTTTTCAAACGAAGGAAAGAGCAAGTGCAAAAGCTTAGCCTGAAATAAGTTAGGGGAAAAGTCAGGGGACAGGAAGAAAGTCTTGCGAGTGATAGGGAAAGGGGTAGGAAGTAAAGTCACAGAGGTAGGCAAAGACCATGGTGGGGAGTTGGGATTTCACTCTAATTACAATGAAAAATAATCTGGAGTGTTGGAAATGGGTGGTGTGTGTGTGTGTGTGCATGTGCGTGCAAGAGAAAGATACAGTCTGACTTATGGTGTAAAAGGCTCCGTCTGGCTACGATATGGGGGAGTGGGCTACAAGGTACAAGGGAAGTAAGCATTTCACAGGGAACCCAGGGAATAGTCTTTTGTGGTGTGATAGCTCACTCAGAGAGGATGGTAAGTTAGACCAGGATAGAGCAGTGAAAAGATGAGAGGTGGTCAAATTTGGGATAATTGGGATGTACTTTGGTGATAGCACTGACAGGAATTGTTCACATGTGTCTATAGCTAGGAGAGAAAGCAAGGATGACTCTTAGGCTTTTGGCCCAAACACCTGGGTGAGTGCCAGAGCCATTGATTATGATGGAGAAGGCGAGGGTTGGGGCAGGATTAGGAAGGAACATTAAAATTCTTTTGCTTGACATGAATATTAGGTATTCCAGTGCATTAGGAGGTAGGTGGTTGGATAACATGTCTGGATCTCCAGGAAAGGTCAGGGGTAAAGCTTAAACCTGGGAACTAGCATATTGATGAGATATGAAGGACGAGAAGAAAGAGTAAGGCCTTATTTTCATTACTCTGAAACACCATACTTCCTCTTTTGCACATTCTGTTCCCTCTGCCTGGCGTGTTCTGCCTGGGAAACACCACCTACTTATCCATGCTTCAGATCTCAGCTTGGGAGGATCCTTTCCTGACTTTTGAACTACGTTAAACTCCCCTACCATTGTTTCATAGCTCTACACTGTTCCCTTTGCTGGTTTGTAAATGACACACACACTGGTAATGCCATAGAATTGATTCATCTCATGAATCACGACAGCTCTCTTGTCTCTTGGCTTGTGAGATTTGGCTCGTAGCATGCATCCTAGAGAGAATTTGGCTAGAGTAAGGAGTTTTCTTCATGAATAATTGATTTTTGGATTTTTGTCTTTGCACAGGGGTCTGGAATTATTTCCAAAGGGTATTGGTGAAGAAATATGCTTCGGAAAGAAATGGAGTTAACGTGATAAGTGGACCAATCTTCGACTATGACTATGATGGCTTACATGACACAGAAGACAAAATAAAACAGTAAGCGTTTCATTTCTACTCAGTGTGTGATTTTTAAGTCCCAAGATCTCACTCAAGAAGTTTTTCAAATATTCATATACTAGAGAAGAGATGACACCCCTTAAGTTTTTTGAATTTTTCAATATATATATATATATATTTTTTTGAGACGGCGTCTTGCTCTGTTGCCCAGGCTGGACTGCAGTGATGTGATCTCGGCTCACTGCAACCTCCGCCTCCTGGGTTCAAGTGATTCTCCTGCTTCAGCCTCCTGAGTAACTGGGATTACAGGCATGCACCACCACATCCAGCTAATTTTTGTATTTTTAGCAGAGACGGGGTTTCACCATGTTGGCCAGGCTGGTCTTGAACTCCTGACCTCAAGTGTTCTACCCTCCTCGGCCTCCCAAAGTTCTGGGATTCCAGGTGTGAGCCACTGTGCCCAGCCTGAATTTATCAATTCTTTTGATTAAATGGGCATTGGTGGTGGGAATGGAATTTTGGGTTTTGTGGTAAATAAATGCACTTTTTTATTCTATGAAAAAAATGTATTAAAGGATTTAATTTTGTTTAGTCATTTCTTCAACAGCTCTTCAATGGGAAGATGACCATTCCCACTTATCTTCATTATTTGGGTGGGACTTAAGAATCCCTTAGATTTTCTGAGTCAGTACCTCTCAGTAGCAAAGTGCCTATGGACTTGGATTGAATCTGGTTGTCTCTGTCTCTTTGGTGCTGTTGGGCATATAAAAGCCATTATCTGTGCTCATAAGGGACCCCACAGTCTAGTGGAGAAAGCAAGATTTAGAGTGATTGGGATGTATTTTCATTGTATAAAATTAAATAACAACATTCTGAATTTGTCAACAAATTTGTTGACAAATTCAGAATGTTGTTATTTAATTTTATACAAGCATGAAACAATCAGCAGCCCAGAGTATAAGAGGGTTTAATTGTGATTTAGAGATAATTACAGAATAAATTGCTATTTTATAAATACAGATAAATAAGATAGAAATTATCTTACTTCTTTTCCAGTCATTCTGAAGAGAAATTTTGTGTAAATTGCACATTTATTTTATTGCTGATCACTGTTAGCCAAAATTAAATTAGTAGTTAAATCGTAATTTTAATATTTGGAAAATGAATAAAATTAAGATAATAGAAAACCAGGCAAGGAATTATGAATTTCTGTACTGATCTCTACAGGAAAATATTTTTTATACCTCTAGGTCCATCATTAGCACTCGGTCCTTAGTACTTCCTTTGGCAAATGAGTTCTTTGTATCAAGTTCTGCATCTCATTGTAGCTTGAAAGGGTCATTATTCTCCTGGCTCTAATGTCTCTTGCCCCTGTCCATTTTATACAACTCTAGGAAAGTTATCTTCCTGAAACATGGAACTAATAATGAATGACACTCCCTAGCACAAAAACCTTTAATGGAGCATTACTACCTAAATAATAATGCCCCAGTCCATATCCTGGCACTCAGAACCCACCATAATTTGGCTTTTATTGACGCTTCCAGCCTTTCATTTCTACTGCATTGGTCTATTCACCATTACCTGTCTCCAATTCTTAGATCAATCCATTTTCTTTGCCTGGAATATCTTTCTTACTCTGCCAGGTTGAGGAGTGAGGGGATTCCAGGCAAAGAAAACATTATTTTCAAAGACATAGAAGTGGGCTAGTGCTTAGAAGTGAAAAATGATTCAATTGAATGGGGATTAATTTTAGTGACTTAGGCAATATTCATTGATCACCATTTAAAAAAGAAAGCTTCAACATCAACTCATCAACTGTGACTTCGTTTTACCTTCCTGTTTCAGGTACGTGGAAGGCAGTTCCATTCCTGTTCCAACTCACTACTACAGCATCATCACCAGCTGTCTGGATTTCACTCAGCCTGCCGACAAGTGTGACGGCCCTCTCTCTGTGTCCTCCTTCATCCTGCCTCACCGGCCTGACAACGAGGAGAGCTGCAATGTGAGTTTACAGAGAGAGTCCTTTAGGATTTGCTTCCATAGTTCACCTTCGTTTCTTACTTTATATTTCCATCATTGAACTAGAACATACTTATTATAAAGCATTCACCCTAAACAGAAAAAAGAAAGGAACCAAACAGAACTTTGCTTAACATGTAGGAATTTTGCCTTCTAATGACTCTTTATTTTTCAATATATGTGTGCATTTAACATAATTCTATCAATGTGTACAATTTTGAGAAATAAATGTCCAAATGTTTTTCATTTTGCAAAAGAAAGTGGAGAATGACAAAATTTTATAAAAAAGTAGGAACTAGCAAAATTTTGATAATTGTTGAAGCTTGGTAAGAGGTCATGGAATTTTATTTCTCACTTCACTTTTCTGGATGTTTAAAAATTTCCATATTAAAAAACTTTTTTCTTTTTTAGCTCTGTCGCCCAGGCTGGAGTGCAGTGGTTTGATCTTGGCTCACTGCAACCTTCACCTCCTGCATTCAAGTGATTCTCCTGCCTCAGCCTCCCGAGTAGCTGGGATTGTAGGCGGGCACCACCATGCCCAGCTAATTTTTGTATTTTTAGTAGAGATGGGGTTTCACCATGTTGGTCAGGCTGGTCTTGAACTCCTGACCTCAAGTGATCCACCTGCCTTGGCTTCCCAAAGTGCTGGGATTATAGGCATGAGCCATTGTGCGTGGCCCATAATGAAAACTTTTTTTTTTTTGAGGCGGAGTCTCACTCTGTCACCTAGGCTGGAGTGCAGTGGTGTGATCTTGGCTCACTGCAAGCTCCGCCTCCCGGGCTCACGCCATTCTCCTGCCTCAGCCTCCCGAGTAGCTGGGACTATAGGCGCCCACCACCACGCACAGCTAATTTTTGTATTTTTAGTAGAGACAGGGTTCCACCGTGTTAGCCAGGATGGTCTCAATCTCCTGACCTCGTGATCCACCCACCTTGGCCTCCCAAAGTGCTGGGATTACAGGCGTGAGCCACTGCACCCAGCCATGAAAACTTTTTAATACACACACATACACACACACACACAAACACACACACACACACACACACACACAAAGCAAGAGCAAGCGAGAAAGAAATCTATACCTTACTAATCAGGTTTGCTACTAGTTATGATGGAGGTGTAGCAGTCACTGTTTTCTCAGATAGCACAGATGACTCCTGATTCACTCATCCTGTGGGGAGACAGCTAGGATGCAGGATGGCATCATGAAAACACTAGGGAGGAAGACAGGAGCCATGCTATATGCTCCTGGCCCTGTACTAACTTGACACTCAGGGACAGATGGAAAAACCTTCAGGTCCTTTTAATTTGATGGAAAGTTTGTGCTCAAAGGTTGATTTTAGAAGTAATGGTCTATGCTTTTGTTTCACATGACAGAAGGAGTAGAGATGTAATCTACAGAAGATAATCTTTAGTCAACAAGTACTACTCAAATTCCTAAGTTGTATAAGCTACTCTAGGAGAAACAAGAGTGTGTTAGACAGAGTCACTATTCCTAGGCAGCCCACAGAGTGGGTCAACAAATAAAACAGGTATGGAAATTGCAACACTGAAAGGCAAGGAGCCACAAGAATAGCTTCAATAGAGATGATCAGCTTTGTGGGCAAGATAGTTTTTGATCTGTTGACTTCAATTATGGGTGAAGATTGAGGCTATGAATGTAGAAGAAAATTAGAAAGTTTAAATATATCCCAGAAAGTGAATTAAGTTTTGCCAGAATATTAGAAATGAGGGCAAATAGTGGGAGAAAAGATTTTAAAAGTTGATTGGAATCAAATTTTTAAAAAGTAGTAGTAGTAATAGTAGCTATAGTAGATATCATAGCAGGAGCAGTAGTAGTAGTTGTTACCATTTATTGAGTACATGTTGTGATCCGATTATGTGTAGGTCCTCTACATATATTATTTCTAATCATATAACCACAGTATGAGGCAAATATATATATATATGATCTCTCCCCTGCCTTTTTGTTAACTGTTGAGAAATTTATAGCTACTAAGGGGAAAGTATGTTGTGTGGTTACTTGGTTAGTCAGCAGAAGAGCAGAGCTTTAGATTTAAGGCCTCTGACTCCAAGAGCCCATCCTCTTTCCAATTTATCAGACTTCCATAGTAGAACCTTGGGAATTTAGGAATTTTTTCGTACGTTTTAGGCATTAGGTACCCAAGGAAAATGTTTAGTTGGAAGAGCAACGTTTTTGGCTCTGCTTTAGGAAGATAAATTTGAAATGGAGGAGACTGAACATTGTGCTCAAAGGGCTTAGGCAAGATTCACAGGAGTGAGGCAAGAGAGAACTTGAACTGGGGTTGTGGTCTTGGAGATCTAAAAGGAAGGATGGAAGACAACAATATTATACTTGAAGGATCCATAGGGTTTTATAAATGATGGGAATGGGTGGTAGAGAAATGTGGAAACTGCAAGTGAGAGACAAGCTGTTATCAACTTACTGGCTTGGCCCTCTCAATTTTGGTTGTTTACAACCACAAAAGCCCCAGGTGGATGTAATGCCTCCGTATAACATGGTATACGTTCTCTGAGCTTCAGTCTTATTAGAAACTTGTAGGGAGGTGAAATTCTTGCAAAACATTAAACTGTTGTATTATGGGATAAAAATAAAAATTGCCATACAGTTCTAAGATGAAAAGACTACAAAGGTATTTCATATACATAGTAGGCCATTTAAGGTGTACCTAGATTCCTGGGGAATAGATGTTCAAGTTCGGTCATTAGAGGAATTTGGTGATGGGGAGTTTTAAAAATACTGCTCTAAACTTGGTACAAAGGCTGTTCTGTAATCGATCTAAATTTTATATCTGATAAATGAAATCCACTGAAGTCCTTACAGGTTTTCCTCTCCCTACTGGTTCCTGACTCTGCACAGAGTCTGGAGGCACTTCTTGTAGAGTTCGTGGCCAGCATGCTTCTCGTTGAAGGGTCACCTGTTCATGTAGAAGCTGTCCTTGCTGTGAATTTTACCTTAAAACTTCTGGGACTTGAATTCACAAACCTGGGGAGAAAGTCAGGGAGAAAAGACAGGTGAAGAATCAATGTCCATAATGAGGAAGACAGCAAGCAAGTTCATGGATTGTGCTTTTGTTTGCATTAATATTCTAAGTGCTTTATTTTTAAAGTCTTTCCTGTCCTCCCTACCTTGCTGTTCATGAACTTTTATCTGAATTGTCTTAGTTTTGCATCTTGCAGCACAGTCTTCATCAGCGAATGCTTCTGTGGATTGCCAGCGAACATCAAGGCAGAAGATATTTCCTTCACATGCCACATAGCTAGTATTTCCTAATGATGAATTATAGAACAGATTTCAGAGTGTGAGAACCGGAAGAGACTGCCTCTCCAATGAAATTGGCAAATCACTTCCCAAGGAAAGAAATAGCAAAAGACAGATGTTTTTGCAGAATTCTTATAATCCCAGCTAGCCATCATTTAAATTAGGAAAAACCTTTTCACCCCTGTCCACACATTCAAAATGACTGCATTTACAAAGAAAAAAATTGGACTGACTGACCACTGAAAAATCAAACAAATGAGCTGAATATGAAAATTCTCTCAAAATACAGGCTCATGCTTGCCCTGCTTACTCTGAGGGGGTCCTGACCCATCTGGAGACCTCCTACTTCGTTAATTATAGGGTCACACTGAGGACTGGTCAGTACCATTGTGGGTAGAGTTATATTTAGGTCTTTCCTTTCCTGTGAATCGCAGAGATCTTGGTTAGGTTGGGTTAGGAGGGTGGGACATGAAGGTTAAAATTCTTACCTCCCCAGCCTGCAAAGCAATTTCTTCCCCTTTCTTCATTTTGCCTGAGATGGCCAGGCATCAGTTTCCTGAACCAACACCCTCCCGAACATATTTAGCACTGGCACAAGCTGCTGCAGTTCCCTGTCCAGGTTTGTGTGGGTTGGAGCTTTCCGAGAAAGCCCATTGCAGGTTCTTGGGCTTTGGTGGATAGTTCACTGAGACCACTGGTGGTAAAGAGTTGGATGAGGGCATGTCTGAATATTCCCAGACCTAGGACATGCAGCCACCCTTCAACTTGTAGAAGGGCTCTTGGAAGCCATTGCAATTCCAGAGGCATTTGTGAATGGAATTACTTGCAAAGGTCCTGCTCAATGTCTACTAATGAAAGTAGACACTGCTCCATATTCACAGGGCTCTCAGATCTCACTCTTTCCCTCAACTTCCCACAAAAATGAAAGAAGCTATTTTTGAGATGCAAAGAACTGCTTCCCCTGAATTACCTTTTAGTTTCAAGTTAGACATGAAATAAGTTGTTTGATGCAGGACATCTGAATGTCTTTCATCTGCAACTTGTGTCAGTGGGGCAATTTTTGGCAAGCAGCTGAGGCAGAGATTCACTTTCTTTTTTCCGTGTTTCCTTGCTTTACCTTTCCCCCCGCTTCTTCCCTCCTCTCCTCCCTAACCTCCCAGGGAGCTGCAGAAGTAAGCATTATTATCCTTGTGAACCAAGGAAGAAACTGAGGCCTCAAAAGTCAAGTAGCTTGACCAAGGTCTCATAGCCAAGAAGTAGTACAGCCTCATTTCCAACTCTGGCCTGTTGGGCCCTAGAGTGCCAGATGTGTCAACTGAGTGGTTTCGAGTTGACCTCATTTTTCAAATAGCAATTTATGCATTCTAGTAGATGACGTGGTTGATGCAGCAGTTTCTTTTGAAAAACTAGGAATGCACACACATCATTTCGTGCATTAGGCTTAAGTTCTTCACTTTCCTTGGGAAGCAGAAGCATATTCCAAGTTACTTGTACTCTGTGCTCAATATTGCAATTTGACAGCTTGGAAAAGAAACAAATTACTGAATTCTCTAGGGCCTTTGGTTTTCCTAATTTTGATTTATGTTCTGAGAACCTATTGAGTCAAATGCCCTCTGACACCACATGTCTCGTTTATTTGGTACAGTTAATTGCTGTTGAAAATGTTTACAGCCAAGGGCAGGTATTTGTGGCACATTACCCATAGGAATGCGGTAGAGTGGCAGGGAGGCCAGGAAGGATCAACATGCGTTGGCTCTGTGTGCAAGAGTGCACAGAGGTCATTTGTGGACTTGGAGTAAACTGACCATTTGGAGAAACTCCTCTGGAAAATTCTGATTCTGATTTTGTTCTGTTTCCATTGCAGAGCTCAGAGGACGAATCAAAATGGGTAGAAGAACTCATGAAGATGCACACAGCTAGGGTGCGTGACATTGAACATCTCACCAGCCTGGACTTCTTCCGAAAGACCAGCCGCAGCTACCCAGAAATCCTGACACTCAAGACATACCTGCATACATATGAGAGCGAGATTTAACTTTCTGAGCATCTGCAGTACAGTCTTATCAACTGGTTGTATATTTTTATATTGTTTTTGTATTTATTAATTTGAAACCAGGACATTAAAAATGTTAGTATTTTAATCCTGTACCAAATCTGACATATTATGCCTGAATGACTCCACTGTTTTTCTCTAATGCTTGATTTAGGTAGCCTTGTGTTCTGAGTAGAGCTTGTAATAAATACTGCAGCTTGAGTTTTTAGTGGAAGCTTCTAAATGGTGCTGCAGATTTGATATTTGCATTGAGGAAATATTAATTTTCCAATGCACAGTTGCCACATTTAGTCCTGTACTGTATGGAAACACTGATTTTGTAAAGTTGCCTTTATTTGCTGTTAACTGTTAACTATGACAGATATATTTAAGCCTTATAAACCAATCTTAAACATAATAAATCACACATTCAGTTTTTTCTGGTTTTATTTGGCTTTTATTTCACTTATAAATTAGAGGGTTTGTTTCAGGTGTATTCATGCGTGTAAGGAACACATGTTTTGTACTAGGCCCTTTTCCTAGTTGCTTATATGACATTTAACCACAGTGGCCTGGATGAGATGGTTTAGGTACATATCTATAGGAAATCAGAAGGGCAGAGGGAAAGAGGAATTAGAAGCACTTCTGAATACAATCTCTCAATGTATCTCTTTTACAAATATTTTGAAGTTTGGAAAAATATTTTGAAGTTTTGACCAAGTTGGTTGAAAACTGTAAGTGTTAGATTCAACTTAAACTGCCTTGAACAAATATTCTATACAAGGTATTGACCTAAGAACCCTGGAGGATATAAAGAGAAATAAGACAGTGGGATGAGATATGGATATAAACATGTAATTAGCCAATCCAGGTAGAGAATAACAAATGCCAAGTAAAAAGTATTAGTAACAACACAATAGGACAGAAAGGTCTGAATAGTAATATGTGGGGGTAATTTTAAATGGACATAGTTATGGCTTTAAATACTAATAATGCATGGAGTGAAGAAGTCATTAAAAAATTTTCAGTCTTTCAAATTGTGACATAGAGAAAGACTCAGAATAGTGTTGTTATATCTCTAACAGTTGTTAATCTCCCTTAAATAAAGAAAACAAGGTCTGGCGCAGTGGCTCGTGCCTGTAATCCCAGCACTTTGGGACACTAAGGCAGGCAGATTCACTTGAGGTCAGTAGTTCAAGACCAGCCTGGCCAACATGGTGAAACTCCATCTCTACTAAAAACACACACACACACACACACACACACACACACACACACACACACAAAATTCCTGCATGGTGGCACATGCCTGTAATCCCAGCTACTTGGGAGGGTGAGGCAGGGGAATCGCTTGAACCCGGGAGGCAGAGGTTGCAGTGAGCCAAGATAGGCCCACTGCACTCCAGCCTGGGTGACACAGTGGGACACCATCTCAAAAAAAGAAAAAACAAGCAAACAAAAAAATCAGAAGAAAATAGCCTATTGTTTTGTTTTATTTATTTTTAATTGTTCCCTTTTATGGTCAGTGAAATGGGTTTTAATTTCTATAAATTTTCCTTTAAAAATACATTAAGAAGAAAGACATTATGTCAAAAATAATTTACATCAAAAGTAGCACAGTAAATTTGATGGTATTGGGGATATGTGAAAAATTGGGAAGGCGGTAAGGGAAAAACTGATGTCCTGGAAACAGGGCTGTAGGACTACACTGGAAGAAGTGATCATGGTGATACCAATGTGGCCGTATTTATAGAGCTTTCACTATGTTCCAGGCATGCCTCTGGCACTTCCTGTGGTTTGTCTTTGAATGCTGAAAAAGTGGGAAGCTCAGAGAAGATTTCATGGAAAGAGGAAGAATGAAGATATGAATGAGGAAGGATGCATTGGGCTTTGGAGTTTGGGGTAGGGTGAAAGGGTGGTAGAAATGAATTAGAATATGATTCATTATTCATTTAATATTTAACAATAATTTATTGAGCATCTACTATATGCCAGGTTGAGCATCCCAAAGCTGAGAATCTGATATCTGAAATGTTTCCTAATCTGAAATTTTTCGAGTGCCAACACAACGCACAAAGAGAATGCTTGTTGGGACATTGTGGGATTCAGATTTTTGGATTTGGGATGCTCAACCTAGGCATAATGCAAATATTCCAAAATTTGAAAAATCAAAAATCCGAAACACCTCCTGACCAACCATTTCAGATAGACAAGGGATACTTTCCATTGAGGATAAAACAGTGAATAAATAAACATAGTTCCTGGCATCATAGAACTTGCACTTTAATGAAAGAGACCCTTTTAAAAACCTCCAATTATATGTTATATGTGCTGTGAAAGAATTAATAAACAGGTGGAGGAGAGTAACAAGAAGGTGGAAAAGGAATGGCTTCATAGGTGACTTTCTAGCCAAGACCTAGGAGATGAGAAGAGCTGGCCTCTAGAAAAAGAGGGATAAAAATGAAGAGCATGGTCAAGGACTGGGGTCGGGAAAGATCTTAGGATGTGTGAGAATCTGAAAGAAAACAGATGCGCCTGAATGAAAACAGATGTGCCTGAATACAGTGGTGAGGTGGGTTGGGATCAGGTCAGGTCTCATTGAGGCCCAATAAGCTCCACTGAGGCATTTTGATTCCACTCTAAATGCAATGAGAAATAATAGAAAAGTCTCGGACAGAAGTGTGACGGGATCTGATTTAAGGTCTCACTCAGTACATGAACCCCATGTATTAGGTTCGTGCACAAATTAATTGCCGTTTTTGCCATTAAAAGTGATGACAAAAATGGCAATTAATTTTGCACCAACTTAATAATAATCACATGCTATGCTCTAGATATAATGCCACATAAAAATACATCTGAGGCTGGGCACGGTGGCTCACGCCTGTAATCCCAGCACTTTGGGAGGCTGAGGCAGGCGGATTACGAGGTCAGGAGATCGAGACCATCCTGGCTAACATGGTGAAACCCCATCTCTACTAAAAATACAAAAAATTAGCCGGGTGCGGTGGCGGGCGCCTGTAGTCCCAGGTATTCCGGAGGCTGAGGCAGGAGAATGGCGTGAACCCCGGGGGCGGAGCTTGCAGTGAGCTGAGATCGCACCACTGCACTCCAGCCTGGGAGACAGCGAGACTCCGTCTCAAAAAAAAAAAAAAAAAAAAAAAAATCTGATAAGAGAAGGTCCACTTACTAGGTGCTGTAATTGTCTTCCAACAGTAGCATTACAAGAGAGAAGGGTTAATTTTGATTAAAAACAAAAATAATCACGAACTGTTTGCTAAGCTAGATTCCTCTATCACCTCAGGTTGAACTCTTCTCCAAATAGGTTATACCTGAGGCTCCTGGGGAAACCGGTTGCAAATTTAGTTGAGTACCTCTGCTCTATTTTTATCTTTAGGATAAGTCTTTTTTTTCTTAAAAATAAACTCCATACCCGAAGAGGACATCAACCACTGTATATTTTCAGGTGAGTGGCTTTGCTGATAAACACGTCATTAATTGTGGGGTTATTTATGAAAATCCCTGAATGGACAGGGACTCTATTAAAATGAGGTCTAGAAGGCTATTTTAAGCTGCTTTTTTTTTTTTTTTTTTAATATTGAGACTTTGGTCCATTCATGCTTTCATTGAGCAAGTTGCAAACCACTCACCAGCATGGTGGTCCTGTTCCAGTGGTTTACCCCATTACAGTGAGTTCCTTTAAGGGAGGCAGTTTCTGAAGCCATCCACATAGTTTCCCAAGGGTGAAAACATCCTGAGTTGTTTATAAGAGGGCCGATTTAAAAAAAAAAAATTATTTGAACAAAAGCAGTGTTTCCTGCCAACTGGGATTGCATAACTCTGCCCAACAGCCACAGCCCCAAAACTTCCTGTGCCCATTATTCCTCGTGGTGGTTGGGAAGAGGGTGGCTGCAGATGAGTCCAGATGATTCCTCTTACTTCAGCTCTCCCTCACTATCCCTCTGCTGAGTCAGGACCAGGCCGCCTTGTGGGTGGGAAGTGTTAAAGGCAATGGGAATTACCCCAAGGCTTTGAGGAGAGGGATGGGATGGGACAATGAAGAACATGACTGAGATGTTCAAGTCTGTAGGCTGGGGCGAAGAGCACACTGCTGGAGGTCCAGCCTAGAGTGGAAGTGGGTCCTGTTGGGCTGCATTTCTAGGAAGTACATGCCTCCTCAACCCCTCTTGGCAGGGGTGTCCAGTTCTGGCTGGAAGGTAGAAGTGAAAAAGATGAGCCCTGGCTGCTGATTATTTTTTTCTTTTAGACTGAGTCTCGCTCTGTTGCCCAGGTCGGAGTGCAGTGGCATGATTTCGGCTCACGGCAACCTCCGCCTCCCAGGTTCAAGTGTTTCTCCTGCCTCAGCCTCCCGAGTAGCTAGGATTACAGGCGCCCGTCACCATGCCCAGCTAATTTTTTGTATTTTTAGTAGAGACGCGGTTTCACCGTATTAGCCAGGATGGTCTCTATCTCCTGACCTCATGATCCGCCACCTCGGCCTCCCAAAGTGCTGGGATTACAGGCGTGAGCCACCGCGCCCAGCTGCTGCTTTTTTTTTTTTTTTTAAACTTAATCGAAGAAAAACTGACAGAAGTAGACTACACATACTTAGTATACAATTTGATGCATTTTGACATCTATATACACCCCTGAAACAATCAGTGCAATCGAGATAGTGAACACATTCATGGCACCTGAAAGTCCCTCCTGTTCCCGAGTAAACTCCTCATACCCACCACATACCATCCCCCTCCCCCAATTCCCAAGCCCTGATTTGCTTTCTGTCACTATAGATTAGTTGGTATAGAGTTTTACTCTAATGGAATAGTACAGTATACACTTCTTGTTGGACTTCTTTCACTCAGCATAATTCTTCTGAGACTTATTGAAATTGTGGCATGTATCAGTAGTTAATCTCTTTTAAATTGCTGAGTAGTATTCCATTGCATGGATATACCAATGTTTGTTTATTCATCTGTGGATGGACAGTTATTTCCATCTGTTGATGGACAGTTTTTAACTATTACAAACAAAACTAGGAACAGTGTGTATAAGTCTTTGTATGGACATACGCTTTCATTTCTCTTTCGTAAATACCTTGGTATGGGATGGCTTGATCATATGGTAGGTAGGTATGTATTTAGCTTTTTAAATAATTTCCAATGTGTTTTCCAAAGTGGTGGCTGTATTTTATATTCCTGCCAGCAGTATATCAGAGTTCCACTTAGTTGACATCGTTGTCAACTTTTAGAATGGTAGCCTTAATTTTAGCTATTCTAATAGGTGAATTAGTGGTACCTCACTGTGGTTTTATCTGCATTTCCCTAGTGACTACTGATGTTAAGTGTCTTTTCATGTGATGATTTTCCACTCATGTATTTTATTTAGTAAGTGTCTGTCCAAATATTTTGCTCACTTAAAAAATTGAGTCATTTCCTTGTGATCAAGTCTTAAAAAGTCTTTATATATTCTAGATTCAAGTCCCTGAAAAATACATGGCAAAGATTTTCTCCCAGTCTGAGACTTGTGTTTTTGTTCTCTGCAGTGTCTTTTGAAGATTAGAGTTTTAACCAATTTTGATGAAGGCCAATTTACCAATTTGTTCTTTTATAGATTATACATTTAGTGTAGTGTCTAAGAAATCTGCTTAGCTTGGGGTCATAAAATTTTTCTCCTTTGTTTTATTCTAGATCCTTTAAACTTTTAGGTTTTACCTTTAGGTTTATGATTCATTTTTGTGTTAATTTTGTGTGTGGTACAAGGTATGCATATAAACTCTCTTTTTCGCATATGAATATCCATTTTTTCAGCACCCTTTTTAAAAAAGGCTATATTTTTCCATGTATCTTTTTTTACCTTTGTCATAAATCAGTTGTGCAGGTAGGTGTGGGTTTATTTTTAGGCCCTTTATTCTGTTTTATTGATCTATTTGACTTATTTTATACCAACACCACACTGTTTTAATTACTATAACTTTAAACATTTTAAAAGTCAGGTAGTATTAGCTCTTCAACTTTGTTCTTTTTTGGTAATTTTCTTTATTGTGGATCGTTTGCATTTCCATATGAAGTCTAGAACCCTAATTAACTTTTAGAAAAGTGCCTACTGGGATTTTGATTGGAATTTTGTTGAATCTATATATTGATTTAGAATTGACATTTTAATTCTAAAGAGGATCCTCTTTACCTATGAACAAAGCATATTTTTCACTTTTTGAGGTCAGCTTTTGTATGCCTGAAATTTTTTATTTCACTTATAACTTTTAAAGATATTTTTAGAGGATAAATGCTTTTAGGTTGACAATTATTTCTTTCAGTGCTTCAAATATATTGCTCCAATTTTTGATGGGGTTGTTTGTTTTTTTCTTGTAAATTTGTTTGAGTTCATTGTAGATTCTGAATATTAGCCCTTTGTCAGATGAGTAGGTTGTGAAAATTTTCTCCCATTTTGTAGGTTGCCTGTTCACTCTGATGGTAGTTTCTTTTGCTGTGCAGAAGCTCTTTAGTTTAATTAGATCCCATTTGTCAATTTTGGCTTTTGTTGCCATTGCTTTTGGTGTTTTAGACATGAAGTCCTTGCCCATGCCTATGTCCTGAATGGTAATGCCTACGTTTTCTTCTAGGGTTTTTATGGTTTTAGGTCTAACGTTTAAGTCTTTAATCCATCTTGAATTAATTTTTGTATAAGGTGTAAGGAATGGATCCAGTTTCAGCTTTCTACATATGGCTAGCCAGTTTTCCCAGCACCATTTATTAAATAGGGAATCCTTTCCCCATTGCTTGTTTTTCTCAGGTTTGTCAAAGATCAGATAGTTGTAGATATGTGGCGTTATTTTTGAGGGCTCTGTTCTGTTCCATTGATTTATATCTCTGTTTTGGTACCAATACCATGCTGTTTTGGTTACTGTAGCCTTGTAGTATAGTTTGAAGTCAGGTAGCGTGATGCCTCCAGCTTTGTTCTTTTGGCTTAGGATTGACTTGGCAATGTGGGCTCTTTTTTGGTTCCATATGAACTTTAAAGTAGTTTTTTCCAATTCTGTGAAGAGAGTCATTGGTAGCTTGATGGGGATGGCATTGAATCTATAAATTACCTTGGGCAGTATGGCCATTTTCACGATATTGATTCTTCCTACCCATGAGCATGGAATGCTCTTCCATTTGTTTGTATCCTCTTTTATTTCACTGAGCAGTGGTTTGTAGTTCTCCTTGAAGAAGTCCTTCATGTCCCTTGTAAGTTGGATTCCTAGGTATTTTATTCTCTTTGAAGCAATTGTGAATGGGAGTTCACTCATGATTTGGCTCTCTGTTTGTCTGTTATTGGTGTATAAGAATGCTTGTGATTTTTGTACATTGATTTTGTATCCTGAGACTTTGCTGAAGTTGCTTAAAAGTGGGTGAAGGACATGAACAGACACTTCTCAAAAGAAGACATTTATGCAGCCAAAAAACACATGAAAAAATGGTCACCATCACTGGCCATCAGAGAAATGCAAATCAAAACCACAATAAGATACCATCTCACACCAGTTAGAATGGCAATCATTAAAAAGTCAGGAAACAACAGGTGCTGGAGAGGATGTGGAGAAATAGGAACACCTTTACACTGTTGGTGGGAATGTAAACTAGTTCAACCATTGTGGAAGTCAGTGTGGTGATTCCTCAGGGATCTAGAACAAGAAATACCATTTGACCCAGCCATCCCATTACTGGGTATATGCCCAAAGGACTATAAATCATGCTGCTGTAAAGACACATGAACACGTATGTTTATTGTGGCATTATTCACAATAGCAAAGACTTGGAACCAACCCAAATGTCCAACAATGATAGACTGGATTAAGAAAATGTGGCACATATACAACATGGAATACTATGCAGCCATAAAAAATGATGAGTTCATGTCCTTTGTAGGGACATGGATGAAATTGGAAGTCATCATTCTCAGTAAACTATCTCAAGAACAAAATACCATACGCTGCATATTCTCACTCATAGCGGGGAATTGAACAGTGAGAACACATGGACACAGGAAGGGGAATATCACACTCTAGGGACCGTTGTGGGGTGGGGGGAGGGGGAAGGGATAGCTTTAGGAGATATACCTAATGCTAAATGACAAGTTAATGGGTGCAGCACCCCAGCATGGCACATGTATACATATGTAACTAACCTGCACATTGTGCACATGTACCCTAAAACTTAAAGTATAAAAAATATATATATATATATATATATATATATATATATATATATATATATATATATTGCTCCATTGTCTTCCAGTGTGTGTTATTTTGGATGGTAAATCTGTCATTCTTTTAAAATTTTTATTTATTTATTTATTTTTGTAGAGATGGAGTCTTGCTTTGTTGCCCAGGCTGATTTTGAACTGGCTTCAAGTGATCCTCCTACCTCAGCCTCCCACAGTGCTGGGATTAACAGGTGTGAGGCACCGCACCTGGCTGAAATCTGTCATTCTTTGTTCTTTTTTTCTGGCTGCTTCTTAGATTTTCTTTTTGTCACTGGTTTTAAGAAATTTGATTATGATGTGCTGTAATCTATTTTTCTTCATGTTTCTTGTGCTTGGGATCTGTGAGTTCATGGTTTCCATCAAAGTTAGACAATTGATGGCTATTATTTCTTCAAATATTGTCTTGTATGATTTCAGGGATTCAAACTATGCATATATTTGGTTTATTGAATTTTTTTCACTGCTCATTTATTTTCATACTTTGTTATGAATTTCATTTCAGAAGTTTCTATGGCCATGTCTTTAAGTTCACCAATTTTTCCTTCTGTAAGGTCTAATATGCTGTTAATCGCACCTAGCATATTTTTTATCTCAGATCTTGGAGTTTTTATCTATAAATATTGAATTTGAATCTTTTAAAAATATCTTCCATGTCTTTACTTAACATGTTCTATCTCTTCTATAGCTTTCTGAACATATGGTATGTAACTGTAATAATTGTTTTAATGTCCTAGTCTATGAACTCTACTCATCTATGCCATCTCTGGGTCAGTTTCAATTGATTGATTCTTTTTTCTTTATTATGGATGCTATTTTTTGGCTTGTCTGTATGCCTGGTAACTTTTTAATTATATGTCATGCATTGTAAATTTTACCTGTTTGGGTGCTTTATATTTTTGCATACCTTTGAATATTCCTGAGCTTTACTCTGTAATGCAGTTACAATTTTGGGGAAAAGTTTCTTGAAAAAAATTTCTCAGAAAAAAGAGCATGTTTGCTTTTAAGCTTTGTTAGTTATGACGGGAGCTGTGCGAGGTGAGACGAGCACTGTGTTTAGTCCATTTCATCCCTACTACTGAGGCAAGACCTTCCTTAGTATTCTAAATGATGATCTTACCTTATGAAAGTTTGCACTGTGGCTATTGGGAACAGGCAGAATTCCAATGTTTGTGTGAACTCTGGGCACTGTCCTTCTAATTCTTTCAGGTGATTCTTTCCCTGGCTTTGGGTAGCTTCCTCACAGAGAGCCTCAGTGCTGATCTGTGCTCAGCTAAACAGTGGAGGGAGACCCTCTGCAGCATTCTAAAGTTCTCTCTTTGTGCAAGTCTTTTATCTGGTATTCTGCCCAATGAAATCCAACTGTCTTGTCATCTCTGGACTCCCAGCTTTGTCTCCTTAATTACAGAAGATGGCTGGGCTCCACCTGGGCTCTCCCTGCTTTGTGGCTTGGCCCAGTTTTGGACAATCATAGGGCTTTCTCATTTGTTTTCCATTTCTCAGTAATCCCTGTCTTGTTGCCTTATGGTCAATGTCTTGAGTGTTGTTTCAGGTGGGAGGGCAACTTTGGGCCCTCTTAGTCCATCTTGATCAGAAATGGAAGTGTTATTCTTGATCTTTGAAGGCAAGAATTTACTCACCTTTGTGTTCTCTAGCTCCCCAAGCACTAAAACTTGGACATAGTAGGCAATGCATACAGTTTTTTGCTAAATTGAATTTATTTAACATTTAATCTAACATTTAATTTAACGAGTAAGACTGAGATAGGCACTGTGAATATAAAAATGCATTTAAAATGGCTTTTAATTTTCAAAACCTTACAGTATAGTGGGTCATGAATATATGTTAAAATCTATTTACAATGCAAAAAACACTAAATGAGAACAGAAAGAATGACTCTACCTCAATGTGGAAATTAACATTTATTAAGCAGCTACTATATGCCACACTCTGAGCCAGTGACCTTACACGTGTTATCTTTCATTACTCACAATAATCCTGAAGTTCATGTTAAACTCCTTATTTTATAGAAGAGAAAAATTAGGATCACTGATGCAAAATTATAGTTCAGAGTTACATAAGAGCAGAAAGGCAGCATCTGAATCTTCTCTGACTCCAGGTCCCATGCTATTACTATGTGCCAAGCTGTCTTCCAAGAAGGAGGAAGGGAGTAATAAATCAGAAAAGCCACTGAGAAGTGATGGTGTGGAAGCCAGAAAGGTATTTGAAAAACTGGAAAATGCCTTTTATGAAGAAAATTAAAGAAGTCAGTTCTAGCTAATACTTGCAAAAGTTGGAGTTTTGAGAGATCAAAACATGCTCAGGAAATGGAAATTAGCTTCCTGTAGCATGCTTATGCTGGGTTTGGAATCGGGGTGTTGGGGCCAAAAGTTAGATTGGTGAGGCCAAGCTCAAATAACAAGGAAACTCACTGGAAGAATCTAAGCTTCATTCTGATGGCATTTGATTACCACTCAACATTTTAATGTGGGAGACTGACATGATCAAAGTTGTGACTTAGAAAGCCCCAGCTGTCTTCAACGCAGAGCATAATTTGGTAGTCAGCCAGTAAAGAGTCTTACTGTCACTGGGTGCAAGAACAAAGGCCCAAACAATGTCAGGAGCCTTGGGGATGGAAAGGAAGGAAAGAGTGGACAGATAAATGGAAGACTCAATGACAGAAAGAAGGAGGGATAAGGATAATTCAGAGGCCTTTAATTTGGACTGTTGGGGAGATGATGGGCCACTAACCAATAACTCTGAAAACAGGAACAGGTGGGAGGATGACAGAGTAACAAGGAAACAATAAATTCAGTTTTGGAACGGCTGAAATTGAAGTATAAGCAAGACATCCTGGTGTGGATGACCAAGAGGCAGGTGAAGAAGGAGACTCAAGCTGAGGAAAAACTTGTGTACCTGGTATGTGGTGTCAGTTAATATAATATGTGGGGGTGACATTATTCTTGGAAAGTATATTGAGTGAAAAAAACTCAGACTAGAGAAAGCGCATCAGCATTTCAGGGCAGAAGCAAGGAAACAAGCCATATTAGGCAGTAGTTAAAAGCTGAAGGTTTGCAGTTCTATTGCCTTGGGCAAGTTAAACTTCTAAATTTTCTCATCTATAAAGTAGCTGTGATAAAACTCAGTTCTCAAAGTTACCATAAGAATCATGCAAGGAGACCTCACTGAAACATAAGTTGGTAAATTTTTTTATGCATTTTAATCTCCACTTCCCACTGAAGAAGGAGGACCCTTTTAGAGTGTTTTCTTGGTTTGGGTTTTTTTGCAGAGGAGAGGTGGTACAGAAGCAATCTGAAATTAATGGATTTCCTGTTTTTTGTGAGAGGCTAAACCAAGTAAAGAGGTGAAATAAATAGTGTTTAGAATGCCATGAAGGAAGGGGGTGCTTTCCCTGGATTCTGAAGGGGAGAGAAATCTGTGCATCTGAGCAGGTGGTTCATTCCAGGATGTGCTGTGTGATCTTCTAAGGGAGACAGAACCCTAGGCGCTGGGGGTCCTGGCCATGGTGTGCAAACAGAAGGCAGGCAAGCCTCCACAAGCACAGTGAAGACGTGCATGCCTCATGCATTTCTCCAATCATTTTCCGTTTACCAGATTCTGGTATGACCCTGGGGAGAACATGGGAACTACAATAAAGACTGAATCAGGGCGGGGCACTGTGGCTCATGCCTGTAATCCCAGCACTTTGGGAGGCCAAGGCGGGCGAATCACTTGAGGTCAGGAGTTTGAGACCAGCCTGGCCAACATGGTGAAACCCTGTCTCTACTAAAAATACAAAGATTAACCGGGCGTGGTGATGGGCGCCTGTAATCCCAGCTATTCGGGAGGCTGAGGCACGAGAATTGCTTGAACCCGGTAGGCGGAGGTTGCAGTGGGCCGAGATCCACGCCACTGCACACGCCAGCCTGGGCAATAGAGTGACTCAGTCTCAAAAAAAAAAAAAAAAAAAAAAAGACTGGGCCGGGCACGGTGGCTTATGCCTGTAATCCTAGCACTTCAGGAGGCCAAGGCAGGCAGATTGCCTGAGCTCAAGAGTTCAAGACCAGCCTGGGAAACACAGTAAAACCCCATCTCTACTGAAATACAAAAAATTAGCCAGGCGTGGTGGCATGCGCCTGTAATCCCAGCAACTCAGGAGGCTGAGGCAGGAGAATTGCTTGAACCCCGGAGGCGGAGGTTGCAGTGAGTCGAGATAGCGACACTGCACTCCAGCCTGGGCAACAGAGCGAAACTCCATGTCAAAAAAAAAAAAAAAAAAAAAAAAAAAAAAGAAAAGAAAAAAAGAAAAAAGACTGAATCAGAACATCGCATAAGCCAGGCAGGCTGGACATTTAGATTCCTATTTTAAGGAAAAGTTTTATTTCATGTGCCTTGAAGTATATGCCAACCGCATTTGGAAAATGCTTAGCACCATGCTTGCTACATGTCAGGTGTTCAATGAATACTAGCTAAATAAAATCAATCCAGAAACAAAAACAAAAACAAAAGAATGGAAGGAGCAACCTGAGAGGTAGGGAGAGAACCAGGACTCAGTGGGTACTGGGAAATCCAAGGATAGAGACACTTTCAAAACGGAGGCAGTGGTTAATGACGTCAAATGCCAGAAATAAGTCAGACGGGAATTTGAAAGTATTCTTTGAATTTTGCAAGAAAGTGGTCACCAGTGACCTTCTTGGCAGCACATTCAATGAGATGGTCTGGAAAACAGTGAAACTGCACTGGGGTGAGGAGGGAATGAGAGAACACACTGGAAGCAGCCAGGAGAGACTGCCCTTTGAAGAAATTGAAGAAGGAAATAGGGGAAATAGGTAATAACTGAAGGAAGGATGTAGAACTGAAGGAAGATTTTATTTAGGATGGAAAAAAACTTTATAGGCTGTTGAAAAGAAAATTGGAAGATCCAGGAAAGGAACTAATGGGTGAAGCAATTGAGTTACAAATGAATTTAAAATTGAAAGCAATTGTCTGGGCGCGGTGGCTCACGCCTGTAATCCCAGCACTTTGGGAGGCCGAGGTGGGTGGATCACGAGGTCAGGGGATAGAGACCATCCTGGCTAATACGGTGAAACCCCGTCTCTACTAAAAAGTACAAAAAATTAGCAGGGCATGGTGGTAGGCGCCTGTAGTCCCAGCTACTCGGGAGGCTGAGGCAGGAGAATGGCGTGAACCCAGGAGGCGGAGCTTGCAGTGAGCCAAGATCGTGCCACTGCACTCCAGCCTGGGCAACAGTGCAAGACTCTGTCCAAAAAAAAAAAAAAAAAAAAAAAGAAAGCAATTGATGGATAAAGAATCAGGTGTAATAAATTTGCCTTCAAATTGAGAAACTAATATAATTACCTCATGGGCTAGGCGTTATTATAGAACATGTGATGTACATTAGATTTTGTAAAATGGTGGCCTGCAGGCTGGATACAGACCACAAATTGCTTTGTTGCACCCACATAATATTTTAAAAATTGAATTAGATGCCAACATTTAAAAGTCAATGAATTTCACAGATTTTTTTTTACCTTTTTAAAAATGTTAAAAGATTTTTTAACTTCATATTGTTTGTAGGCTATTGCTCTTGTCAAGCATCATCAGAGGGGGCCTATTTGGCTGTCCTGTAGAACAAGGTTGGCAAACATGTTCCGTAAAGCAGGGGTGTCCAATCTTTTGGCCTCCCTGGGCTACATTGGAAGAAGAATTACCTTGGTCTACCCATAAAATACACTAACACTAATGATAGCTGATGAGCTAAAAAATATTGTGAAAAGAATCTCATGTTTTAAGAAAGTTTACAAATTTGTCTTGGGCTGCATTCAAAGCTGTCCTCCACCACATGCAGGCTGCAGGCTATAGGTGGGAGAAGCTTGCTGTAAAGGGATGGATAATACGTATTTCAGGCTTTTCCACATAGTCTCTGTCTAACCTCTCAGTCCTGCTGTTGAAGTTCTAAAACAACTATAGATAACATGTGAATAAATGAATGGGCAATACCATGTTCCAATAGACTTTATTTATAGACACTGAAATTTGAATTTCATATATTTTCATGCATCAAGAAATATTGGTATTCTTTAAATTTGGTTTTCAATCATTAAAAAAAGAAACAATTCTTAACTTCTTGGCCAGATAGACACAGGTGGCCAGCTGGATTTACCTGTGGGTCATAGTTTGGGACTGCAACTCCTAGATGATGAGTCCTTGTATTAGTTCCTTCTCAGACTATTATGAAGAAATACTTGAGACTGGATAATTTATAAAGGAAAGAGGCTTAATTGACTCACAGTTCTGCAAGGCTGGGAAGGCCTCAGGAAACTTACAATCACGGCAGAAGGAGAAGCAAACATGTCTTTCTTCACATGGAGGCAGGAAGGAGAAGTGACAAGCAAAAGGGGGAAAAGCCCCTTATAAAACCATCAGATCTTGTGAGAGCTCACTCGCTATCACTAGAACAGCATAAGAGTAAACACCCCTATGATTCAATTACCACCTACTGGGTGTCTCCCACGACATGTGGGGATTATGTGAACTACAATCCAGGATGAGATTTGGGTGAGGACGCAGCCAAACCATATCAGTCCTATTGTACCCCTTTCTGCCCTACATGGAGTACAAGTTGTCTTTTTTTTTTTTTTTTTTCCTAGACAGAGTCTTGCTCTGTTGCCCAGGCTGGAGTTCAGTGGCGTGATAGCTCACTGCAAGCTCCGCCTCCCAGATTCACGCGATTCTCCTGCCTCAGCCTCCTGAGTAGATGGGACTATAAGCACCCGCCACCACGCCCGGCTAATTTTTTTGTATTTTTAGTAGAGACGGGGTTTCACCATGTTAGCCAGGATGGTCTCGATCTCCTGATCTCGTGATCTGCCAGCCTTGAGTTGTCATTTTTATTGTGTCTGTGCTTTTGTTTTTCTTACACTTATTCTACTTCATTAATTTACTTTACCTCTTTATAGGCATTTGATTTTGACCCCCAGATAGGGTGACCAGGCGTCTCCAGTTGACCTGAATTGGAGGATTTCAGCATGAAAACTGGGCAAGTCTTGGGCAACCAGGATAAGCTGGTCACCTTACCCCTATGTTTATCTTCTTTTACATTTCTATTAGTGCTTTTCTGTCAAAAAAAAAACAGTTACTTTAATTAACTAATTTAATAATCTTTTGGCTCTTTTCTCCCTTATGGCTTTGTCATCTCAGTAATAACTCCAACTAGTGTTGCACTTTGATATACTTTTCTCCCTCGTCTTAAAAGTGGTGGGCCTTTTCTTTTTCATTATTATCTTCAGAGAACTTTGTATAGCGCCTGGCACAAATTTAATTTCCACCTAGTGGTAGTTGAGTGGCTGACCAACCTGATTCTCTTTTCACCCTTTGAGATAGTTAATGTCATTATGGGTGAAAATCATTAGGCTGAGATGAAGACAAAATGGTGCTCCAGAAACCCCATCTTACCGCTTGTCTTCCTGAAATGAGAATGGCCTCTTTTCTGTGTGCTGATGACACCCTCTCTGGGCCATGGAAACACCCCAGCAGGAGACCTGAAGCTTTTTTGTCCTATTTCCCCATTGTGCTAAAACTCAGCTACCCACTTTGTCAAATGAATCCAGTCTCTGTGATGTCCCCTTCCCATAAACAGCTTGAATCTGCAACATGAGGAAAGATTCTGGACTTTGAAATCAGACATGGGTTCAAGTCTAGGCTCTGCTGTGCACTGGTTCTTGGATGTATTTCTCATGTTGTGGTCAGCTCACTTATAAAATAGGGATGGTCATATCTACTTCTTTGAATATTTGTGAAAGTTAGAGATCTTGAATATATAGCACCTAGTATTACTCCTGGTTCAATGAATGTTTGGTCTTTTCATGGAGAAGAAAACCCAGGGGTCTGGCAATGGAGATGTAGACTAATCATATTACTATTTTGAGAGCTTATCACATTCCAGACACTGTGTGGAGCACTTTGCAGGCATTACTGTATTTAATCCTTACACAATAGAGGGTCACCCCCAACCTGGGACTGAGGGGCCACCTGAGATGTGGAACTTTCAGTTGTTTATTTATTTAGAGACAGGGTCTAGCTTTGTTTCCTAGGCTGGAGTGCAGGGGTGCCATCATGGCTCACTGAAACCTCTGCCTCCTGGGCTCAGGTGATCCTCCCACATCAGACCCCTGAGTAGCTGGGACCATGGCACGTGCCACCACTCCTGGCTAAAGGACCTTCAGTTTTAACACTGGAATAGTCCCAGGCAAACTGGGACAAATATGTCTCCCTAAAATCTATCGTTAAACGTATTAGTGGGCACATTTTATCTGTGAGGATGCTACAGTTTAGAAAGGCTAAGTGACTTGCTCGAGATCATATGTCTGAGGCAAACTGTGATCCCAAACCACATTTATGAGGTCAGATCCAGAGTTTCCAATTTTGACTCATGCTTGTTCTCTTCTCTTCTGGCTGCAGCAGATGTGGGAGAGTTGGGCTGTCAATTCCATAGCCTCCCTCCAAAGAGGAAGTAGACTGAGAGCTGAGTTTCACAGTAGCCTGAGGTTTTTGGTTATTTTATTTGATTTTTTGAAGGGGTGGGTGGGATTGGTAAGGGGAAGGAGGGCAGTTTAAAGTCTATTCTGTATTTAACACGAGAAGGAAAACTATTTTTTTCTTGGTGGGAAAGTATTTTAAACTAGGGGTGGGGTGTGAAGGTGGAGTTAGGGTCTGCTCTCTTCTTTTTTCACACTCTTAGTAAAAGCACAAGATAAACTTAGTCCTGTCAAAGTCACTGTAGACAGCTCTCTGCAGCTTGTACAAAAACATATCATATATATCTGTTGATATAAAAAGGAGTTCTGTTGCTCTGAATCTGGGTAAATAAAACATCCTTTTCTCTGCATTTACAAGTCAAAAGTTTTATTCAGACAGATGTAAACAGTTTTACTGGATCTGAATATAAAAGTGTACTTGTCTTTGACAACATGTATACATAGCATCCACCCCCATCATGACAAAAGTACAAGTATTTGAGGGCAAAATTAACTCTTTTCTGAATCCCCAAGTATTTTGTTCCTAAGCAATATTCATTAAAAAATAACAAGGAAAAAGTAGCTTTCAGTAATGAAAAGGTAGGCCCATGAACAGGGATGCTCAACAGAGAGATTCCCTAATGTGGGATTCCCTAATGAAGATGTGCCTTTCATTGTGCATTGTACCTGAGATAAACAAAACAAGAAGAGTGACTTCAGAGGAGAGCTGCACAGACCTGTAGCATCCCGAGGAGCAGGAAACAGCTGGTATCTTTATGAACAAAGCCATCTGGGGGCTGGAACCTGGGGATATGGCCATGTGGGTGGCTATGGCCTGTGCTTTGGTATTGAGGAACTCTCCCATTAGAAAACACTTCCTCCCATTACGTTTTCTAGATGTCTCCAAGATTTGCTTTCACAGTACTCTTTCTGTTGTCTTTATTAACAGTGACATCAATAGATTGCCTTTAAAATATTAAAAACTGTGTTCTAGAATGTGCTGTTGGCAAACTTTCTTCCTGTTTCAACTCACCCTTCCCTCCACAAGTTGAGCTTCTGAACGCTGGTTAACTTAGTTTCTCAAAGATCTTGGCTTCCACACATTATGGGACAATAATATTCCTCATGCTCTTACCCAAGGCAGATTTCCACTAAGGTGACTGGAAGCTGATAGTTTGGGTCAAAATAATCTTGTGAGGAAAGAGAGTATGAGGAGGACCCAGGATGGTTTCTATTTTATAATGGATTAGCTATAATACCATGATCCACATGTTAAAATGAATAATTGCTGACCTCTAAATGAAAAGATTTCTATATAGGAAACATAAACAAGTATTCTGTTCAATTCAAGAAAAAAGTTATCTTCTTCATTTCTAGGTTGGCTTATTTTTTTTCTCTTCTAGTTTTCTTGAGATTTTTTGGGGGGAGGTGGGACACAGGTGGATTTCTCCTGGGGGAGAGGTGAGGATTGTTCATTCCCATTGTTGGTCTATCCTGACAGGAAGCAGAAGGCAAATTCAAAGGGAGCAATTGAAGAGGGTTAAATGAAGCGACTGTTTGCAAGGGGTGTACAGGGTTAAAGCAAACCTACAATGGTTACTAAAGCTTTCTGGCCGTAGGAGAGGGGAGACACTGCCCTTGGGCCTGAGGAGCCATTGGGAAGGTTATTGAAACCTGGAGAGACAGCTGTAAGTGTAGATGGCTCTCTAGTAATAGGAATGGCCTGCAGAAGAGGGATGCAGCCATATCAAAACAAGGCCTGGAATGGGGAGACCCAGGAGATAGATACTGTGAACCTCTCTCTTTCCTGCTGGTGACTTTCATTGACCAAACCCATGCAGATGCCAGACGGCAAGGTAACCTGTTGATGAGCTCATAGACTCCTATTGAACAAAATAAGAAAAGAATGGAGAGTGGGGCTGCAGGAGCAATCAGAAGTGTAGTGTGATTTAGGCAATGAAAGTGAACTTTTTAATCTCTCCATGGAGCACTCATTGGTCCTTCTTTCCTGGCTACTTTTCAAGGAATCCCCTCCTTTCAAAAGCTCCACTGGCTACTCCTCCCTTCCCACACCCTCTCTGCACCCCTGGTGTCTGTATTTTACAATATTTGTCTGCAGAAGCCTCAACCTCTAGAGCACCTCAGGCTCATGGACAGTGTTTTATTCAACACTTTACCAACCTCAGGTCTTAGCACGTGTGACCCACAGTAGATGTCCAGGACCTGCTGGTTGAACTGCACTGGATGAAAGCAGCAGATGAGCCCCAGGCTAAATCATGAATATGAAAACCCAGGTTCTAGTCTTATGCTGCCACTAACTTTCAGAGTGATCTTGCCCACTCTGAGCCTCAATTTTTTCCAGTGCAAAATGGGAGTGGGTTGAATAATTCCTCAGGTCTAGTACAGTGATGAAAACCTTTTGATTTTGAGTCGAAATGTTCTGAACTTCCCCCAGCTCCACCTCTGATCTCTGAATATCTTGGTCTACTCAATTCCAATGTAGAACTCTTCATGCAACCTTCACCAACAGTTTGTTCCAAAGTCAAAATTATTTGCTCCCATCCATCTTTGTGCCCCCATGCCAATCTATTCAAGTAAGAGACATTGTTTATCTCATTATTTTATAGTTAGTTGTTTGCTGCTGTTTCCTCCCAGGCTGAATTATAAACTATTTGACTCAGCCTCTGTTATATGTCACTCAGTGTCTGCCAAGAACTTGATAAACGTCAGAGGCATGGATGAATGCATAAGAACAAGGTGTTGTAAATGCTTTTCATGGGGAGGAAAAAGGCACAATATTACCTTATTTAACACAATATAATATAAATTAACTTTGTATTTATGCTTCCCAGGGTCTTTGCCAATGGCTAGGTCTTCCAAAATCCATCTCCCCCCACACTTCTCTCTCAACCTCTGCTCCTTATTTTATATTTCTTCTGCCCTACTTGGCTGCTTGGAGAGACTTCAATAACCCAGTCAGATGGACTGAATCTAGATCTCAGTGACATTTTGACTCTGCAATCAAGCTTTGCTTGCATTCAACTTTGAAGGGAAATGAATTCAAGGAATTCTTAGAAGTGAGCTGGGCACCATAGCTTTTATTTATTCATTTTTCTTTTTAAGAGACAGGATCTCACTATGTTGCCCAGGCTGGATTTAAACTCCTGGGCTGAAGCAATCCTCCCACCTCAGCCTTTTGAGTAGCTGGGACTACAGGTGCTACAGCTTTTATCTGTGACTTCAAATTATGCAGGTTCTTATAGGCATCTTCCCTATCTGACAATGGGTGTAATATTTTGTCCCTCAGAACTTTAGAAAAAAAAAAAACTTCATATGAGAACTCTGGGCCATATTTTATGAATCTTTGACCATTTTAAGTGGGATATCTGGTTTAAATCTGTTTGATTGTGAATATTGACTCATCCACTGATTAGAAATGAGATCTCGTAATTGTCCCTTAACTTCATTGGGCTTCACTTTCCTGTCTGTAAAATGGGATTAATAAAGTACCTACCTTATAGGATCATTGTCACAATTATATAAGATAATTCAGTTAAGTCCTGGCATAAAAAGGAGCAATTTTTATTGCAGAAAAGCTAATAGGGTCATATGAATCAGACTATTTAACTGACTCTAATTTTGTTGATCTTTGGAGCCATCAGAATATTTCATAAGACCTGGTGTCTTGGTTCATTCAGGCTGCTGTAACAAAATACCTTAGCCTAGGTAATTTACACACAATAGAAATGTATTACTCACAGTTCTGAGGGCTGGAAAATCCGAGACCAAGGCACCAGCAGATTCAATGTCTGGCAAGGGTTTGCTCTCTGCTTCAGAGGGGCATGCTTCTCACTGTCCTCCCAAGGTGGAAGACGTGAATAAGCTTCCTCGGGCCTCTTTTATAAGGGCACTAATCCCATTCATGAGGGCTCCACCATCATGACCTAATCACCTCCTAAAGTCCCTACTTCTTGATGCTATTGCATTGGGAATTAGCCTTCAACATACAAATGTTGGAGGCACACAAACATTCAGGCTATACCACCTGATTAACTGTATGTCCCTTTTTGGAAGTAGCACTCCAACTTCCTCTTAAGAAACCATCTTTCTTTACCCCTCTCTCAATTTATGCAATTTGAGTAATGTGGATCTACTCCAGTTCAATGGGTATGGTACACAGGTCTTCCCTGGGCACAGATAGTGGGCCTGAGTGTCATATCACCTAGTCAGGACCAAGAAGACACAGTGGGACTTTGGCTGGAACCTCAAGAAAGAGGGAACATGCTAATTCTTGCTAGACTTAAACTTGGGAGGATGTAACACTGGATGTGATGTTCTCCTTTTCTGAAGAGGAAAAACCATGCTACATATGAAATCATTACAGTGGACATGGAGCTGAGGTAAAGAGAAAGAACCTGGGTCCTCTGCCTAAGCCAAGCCTGTAGCTGGATACCCCCACTAAGCTACAGTAACATGGACTGACAAATGCCTTTTGCTTAAGTAAATATAAATTGGGTTTTGACACGCAACGAAGAGTACTAATTCACATAGGAGCTGGTCATGTCTTCTTTCTGCAAATTAAGGTGGATGGATCAATTCAAGATTCAGAAAACAATCTTAGTCACATATAACCTATCCCCCCATCATCATTCACTCTGTTTCAAAACTCTTCATCAACTTCTAACTTTTTGCCACACAACCACCTTCACTAATCCATCTTCTCTATGTCCTGTCATGGTTGCAAACTCGCCCCTCCTCCTGGTCCCTGTAATCTGCTCACTAGCTCCCTCCTAATGTCTTGCTCCCTTGTTCATGCCCATCAGTCCTTGACTAACTCTCACCTTGCCACCAGCACCCATCAAGTGCTGCAATGAACAAATATGTAACCAATACTAACCTAACAATGGGTCCCATCTTATTCCTCCCAAGTTTTCTCAGTTACAGGGATAAAAACAAGTATTTTGGTCCTATGTGAGGATGGAGGGGAGGCCTGGTTCAGTTCTCTTTTGAAAACCCAGGACCCAGCTCATTCAACAGAATTAGATGAGAAAGGGCCAAAACTCCAGTGGACTCCACTGTGAAGCTTGTAGGGTCCTCACTTATAGAGGCTGGAGAAAAGGGGGAGGGCAGAGAGGAGAGAAAGGGATTTGATTACAGTATAATTTTCCTCCCTCTGGGAACATTTCAAGTATATTCTACAAATGTCAGGGAACCAATGACTCATCAAATAGTTGAGTGTTGGTTTTGGAAAAGGGAGAGGAAGTCACTGCTTTGGAGCTCAGTGATGAATTTGCACTAAGGTAAGATCTTATCTCACCAGTGGGACTGAAATGTTGGCAGTGATTCTTTGCTCCTTTCTGAGCCTTGGAGAGGTGCCATGTCTCCCAGATCCCAGCAGCAGAGTGACCCACTTGCAGTCTTTAGCCTGAGCCTTCCAGTGGTGATACTTCCTGTGTCTCCAAGTCCTCAAGAGCCACAACTATGAAACAAAGCCTCAAGTCCCTTAGGACATGGAGGGGACAACCCTTGCCTTCTGTCCTATAACATTGGCAAAAGTGAAGGGAAGAGAGGATCTGTTGCCTGGTTACTCTGGGCAGATGTGAGCTACAGAAAGAAAGCAGTTGTAAGAGAGAATTTTGCCATACTTTTCCACCCTAGGCTCTTATCTTTGCTCCATTTGCTGAGTTTGGGAAGAGAGAAAGCACAATTATTGATTCAGAAGCATGAGAGAGGGACAAAAACACAAGAGGGGAAAACAACAGTGAAACAGGGATATTCTGCAAAAAAAAAAAAAAAAATAGTTCCTTATGTATCACTTAATAGAAGTCGTATAGGTCACACAGGTAGCTAATGTATGATGTGTTAAGGTGGAAACAGTACATTAAGGTTGATGCACATATTATTACTATTTCTCTTTTTCCCATCCTTTAAAGACTTACTGGGCAGAGACAGTGACTTTCTGACCACTTCTGTGTCCTCCAGAAAGGCTACAACTCTTCTGTCCAGTCTCTTTTTTCTCTTTAAAAGTGATAATAAATTGTGTGCAGATGCTTTGTATATGTCTGGTGGCCAACATGGGGTGAATGAAGTCCCATGGTTGTATGGCCTGTTCTGCCTTTTCTTAGTAAGTCCTGGTAGTACAGTGAAGAAAAAGGAAGGAGGCAAGAGTTTGGCCCCAGTGGGAGCAGCCAGTGTTGGAAGCTCCCTTTAGAATGTGACTTGTACACAGCAACTTGGTCTTCAGGTTTGGCATTAGTTGCAATTCTGAGATTCCAGCAGAAGGGCCACACAGTGGTCTGTCACACCTCTGTGTAAAGAGAGAGCTTTAGTGAGAGTCCTCAGGCAGGCTCTTCTCTCCTCACAGCTTCCTTGTTTGCCTTTTTTTTCACGTTGATATGGCAAAATCCTAACCTCATTTCCGACTTTTCCATATCTGTATCTGAGCAGTGTGGTGATGATGGAGAAAGCCACACAACAGGACATAGTAGTATCATAGTAAATTCATGATCACACCCTTCATATGGCCCATTAGCTCTCATCTCCACTCCACAGTGACCACCGTCGCTCTGTCCCAACCTCTGACCATGTTTCGTGTGCCCCTTCACTCTGAGCCCCTGATTTCTTCTCTTATTTTCAGAGGCAATTGAAGCCATTGGATTGGAACTTCTGATGCTTTCTGAAGTGTTTACCTGTAGGACACATCATCAGGGTGTCCCTCCTCCTAAGGCCAACTCTTCTCCTGTGGTTTAGCTTCTTCATTCTTCTGTCTGCAAAGGGATCTTACACTATCAATGCATCTCCTCAAGCAGATTTTTCCATAAATAGTTAAATACACTGAACTCTCTTTAATCTCCAGAAAATTCCCTTTACACAATACCTGGCTCCTTTTACAACTTCTCCTAACCATTCTTTTTCCAATATTCTTCTAATCCTTTCCAATGTTTAGAGCCAAACCTCTCAAAAAATGTGTCTGCTCTTGTGGTCTTCATTCCCTCATCCTTTGCCCACTCCTCAGTCCACCTTTAACTGGCTTCTGCCCTATCACTCCTCCAACATAGCCCTCTTGGGTCACAAGTGACCTTCATGACACTTAATCCAATGAGAATTTTTCTGTTCATATTTTCTTGAGTTCTCAGCAGTGTTTGACACCACTGATGACTGTCTTTTTCTTGGATTGCCTCTTCCATCTTTGGCTTAGGCTCCTTTGCCTTTGTGGCATTGTTCTTCTCTAACCTGCCATTAAATATTAAAGTTGCTCAAGGCTTGGCATTAGGTCTTTTTCTTTTCCTCTCCACAGTATCTCTCAGGAATCTCTCAGAATTCATGGGCATGGCTGTCATGGCCACCTATTAAGGCATGATCTAGCCCAGATCTCACCTCAGAGCCTTGCACCTGTATATCCATATTCCTCCTCAATACCATCACTTGCATGTTTCCAGGCCCCTCACACTGAACATATCCAAGACCTTTACCCTAAACCCCCTTTTCTCCTGGTGTTCTCTGTTTTGGTGCGTGGCATCACCACCCAGACAGAAATTTAAGAATCATTTTTTGCCATTATCCACCATCAATCACTCTGTCAATTTTACCTCTTTCTTTCACTTCCTCATACCTTGCCTGCCTCCACCCTAGTCCAAGCCACACTTGCTTCTCATCTGAACTACCCTAAGAGCTCTCTGTCTGGTCTCCCTGCATTTGTTCTGGCCATCCTCTAATCCACTCTTCATTCTACAACAAGAGCGATCTTTCCAAGTGCAAATCTAATTATGAGTACCTATCTTCTCCCTGAACTATGAACTTAAAGAACTATGTACTTAGAAGTCTTTAATGTTTCATTATTCTTTACAAAAAAAAAAAAACCAATAAACAACAAAAACAGCAACAACACAGAGACCCTTAATATGTCTATAGAATTGTTTCTTGTCCTGGTCCTTGACTTTCTCTCCAGCTTTACCTCCAACCATTTTCTCCTTCACTTTTTTGCGCTCCTGTCACATAGGTCTTTCTTATGTGTCTTGATTAGGTCAGGCTCCATATGGACCCAGGGCTTTCGCACATGCTATTCATATTAACAGAAGTAACATTCTTTCTTCTTCTGTCTAGTTACTCTTAAGCTCTCTGTTCATAAGCATTTCATGACCTCACAATCTGGATCAGATCCTTTTGTTATATGGCCGTATGGGGTCATAACAGTCTTCCTTGTTTAGGATAGTACATGCACTTGGGCTTAATATCGATATCCCTGGCTAGACTCTAATGAAGAGCAATGATTTACTCAGCATTGTATTTGCAGTATCCAGTATAAAATCTCACACTTGGTCAACACTCAACAAATATATGTTGAATGAATCTGTCAAAAGTCCGGTTAGATGGGCCTCACTGTCCTCATCTTACAGATGAAGAGACTGAAGCTTAAGCTTATAATAAGTGCTGAAGCTATGTAGCTAACACAGATGTATCTGATTCTAGAACTCATGTAGTACCTGATATTACAACATCTTGTGCAGTCACTAGAGAAACTACACTAATTATAATACTTTTGTGTGTGCGTGTATTATTGCTGTTTTAAAATAGAGAGTGCAAAACAAAATAATTTGTTAAAATCTCAAATCACCTTCATTATTCCATGGCCTGTCATTAAGAGGAAGACCTAGGTAACATAGAACTGTTTGTTCTCTTGTAATCTTACCACAGCTTTAGGATGATTATAATTAGGTAGGTTGACCTGATTTATATTTGTTATGCAGGTGTAATTTTTAATAGTGCCCTCTTTAACTCTCAAAACTGTTCCCTATTGGGCCATACATCATACGGTTATGCTGTCTATTTATAAATGTGGCATCAGGAATCCCTAAAGAGATCGAGAGTTAAAGCCTTGGATTTTAGTTCTAGTTCCACATTTAGATTGTGGCAAGTTACTTTGGTAAATTGGAAAGACTAGGATTTTATTAGCTTGTGCTTTTGAGATTTTGTGATATCTTTAAGCTAAAAAGACAGGTAGGTTTTCAATAGTGAGACATAGGTAGAAGGATTGTCCAAGCTTAAGAAACACATGAACAAAGCCACAGAGATATTAAAAGTGCATACATTATTTAGGAGCATGGGGAACTTGGCTGGAAGAGGCAGAAATAGACTTGAGAAGGTTAATTAGAGCAGATGTTTTTACTGTCTAACTGGGAAAGAATATTTGATGGAGTAAGGTGGTTTGACATATACACTAGATAATTTTGGTATGAGCAGAAAATAGATCTGAGATGCCTAAGAATAATATATGAGACATTTATTTGAAACATACAGTAAAAGGTGATGGAGGGCCATAGTTGAGCAGTAAAGATAGTGAAGGAAAGGGAGTTGGAGAGAAGAACAACTAAGTGGGTAGAAATGAAAGCATTTGTTGACTAGAGAATGACTGGATTGGGGAATCCTTTATTCAACAAATATTTTTAACATGTATCTTGTGCCAGATATTACTTGAGGTTTTAGACTGTAAAAATGAAAAGTCTTGATTATTGATCTCAAGGAAACATATAAACTAATAGTTACAATAAATACAGCATAAATATTAAAATGGGCATATGTTCAAGGAACAGTTAAATCATGAAGAAGGAACTTTTAAAACTTCCTGGGAAAATAAAGGTAAGTATCATAGAGGAAGTATTTGACCTGAAAGAATGAGTAAGAAGAATTAATAGAAAAAGGAGGTTGGGGCTGGGTGCAGTGGCTCATGCTTATAATCCCAGCACTTTGGGAGGCCAAGGCAGGTGGATCACGAGGTCAGGAGTTCAAGACCAGCCTGGCAAAGATGGTGAAATCCTGTCTCTTTTAAAAATACAAAAATTAGCCAGGTGCAGTGGCAGGCGCCTGTAATCCCAGCTACTCGGGAGGCTGAGGCAGGAGAATCGCTTGATCCCGGGTGGCAGAGGTTGCAGTTAGCCGAGATCGCACCACTGCACTCCAACCTGGGTGACAGAGTGAGACTCCATCAAAAAATAAAACAATACAATAAAATAAAAAGGAGGTTAGGAATAAAAGCAGAGTCTTCAGCGCCAAGGCTTGTGTCTTACTCATATTTATAATCCCAGAGCCCAGTGTAGTGTCCAGAAAAGACACCATAAAATGCTGGGGTCTAGCATGAGAGGCCTGCAAACAGAGGTAGAAGTAAGACGATGGAGCAGCGAAGGAGACAAGGGAAATGATGACAATTCAGAGGTCAACCTTAAAGACTGCTTTGGTATCTTCCACATCCTGGATGGTGCCCTGGTAGCCTGACAGAGTTGATTCTGCTTTTGAAGTTTGCTAGTCTACAATTAAGAGAGTTTATTCATCAGGAGAATGTGACTCAATACACAGAATTACAAATTTCTATTCTAATTACACCCAGAAACTTTAAAAGATTTGGTTATATTTTGGTCTAAGGGCTGGGCCACAGATTTAAGGAAGTCGGGAGTCCTGATATTTTCAAAATCTTTTTGCTCATCTTTATTTGAAAGGATATTCACTTTTAAACTTAGTTTTCAGGTCAACCCAATTATGCCTCACTGTGACACATGCTCTCATTTCACCTTGGCAGATTGGTTTCATTAGAAATAATCCATGGTGGGGGTAATGTTAACATAATATTGCTTCTAAACTAGGCACAGTTTGATGAAAGATTTGGATGTACTTGGTGGGTTGCTGTTCCAATTTCAGACGTTTTGCTGGCATTCCCTGAGAGTCTGCCAAGAGCAGGGGAAGACAGCTAAATGGGCTTTTCATACTCTGAATATGGCAGTGGAGGTTTAGCCTTGTGACTCTCTTTAAAAGTCTTGGGAAGTGATGATTGAGAGGACCTGAACTCTTTGGAGAAATGTTATTTCAAATGAGCACTAGCCAGCTCCAAATTCACCAGTTAAAATTTGAGGATGAATTAGGTCATCTCTCACATTTATACACTGTTCAATCCAATCTGCAAAGCAATATCAGATGTATTATCCCATTTGACTTCATAGTAACCCTGGGTTGTAGTCAAGAATGGCCTTGCTTTTTCCATTTTATGGATATCACAGATGAGGACTAGGTCTAAAGAGAGTAATTTGTTTGTCCATAGTTGCACAGATAATTAAATGTTTTATAGGTCTGGGAATCAACTTGGCTTACTCATTCCCAGTCTAGTGCTTATTATACTTAACCATGAGGTCTTACTAGTGAAACTATTAAATATATGAATTGAATCAATGACAATTCAATCTTTGCAGCAAATCATGATGCTACTACAGATTTAGGCAGGCAGGCATAATGAAGTTAGAAAAGGCACTAAATTCAATGGCTTTGCTCTTCAAAACTTGAACTTTGGTGTACCTTCCTGTCCAAACAATGGTAGTCTTACTAGTCCAAACGTCGGTTATCCCATTATATATATACCAGGAATCTCCTCCCAAGATGTACACAGGGGGCTTTTCAAAGAATAAGAAATCACTGTAATGGAAATCTTTTATGGTTAGAAGCTCCATTTAACTAAGACAATTTGCCTCACTAACTTAATGGTACGAATAAAGCTCCATCTTTAATTTGTTTATATTCAAACTGACTACATCCCTAGTTGCTTTAGCAGAATGACATTACTGGTCCAGATTCCTATACCTGCCTACAGTGACCCTTCAAGGGAGGGTGATCATACTTTGTTATTGTTATCTGGGGTCAACTGTGCTCCATGGGGGGGCCTGCCATTGTTATGGCCCTTTGGCTTAGCTCCATTCAAAGATATTATTCTTAAAGTGCCTACAATGGCTGATTGATCAGGAAGAACTTCAACATCAGCCCCAGGAGTAGCTGGAAATCAGTTCCCTTCCTATAAGCAGTAGAACTTGGCTTTGAATATAAGTCTTCTGTCCATGCCCAGTCTTTGTTCACTGTGACCCCCCTGCCTTTTGAAGGCCTTTGGTGGATTTAAGCTAAAGCTATCTAATCTATCATAGCAAAACTAACAACAATTTGATGTTTTGCCCATCCAGTCCACTTGATATAGCAGTGTCTTAGACTGCTGCAAAAGCTGAAAGCCTTAGTGTAACACAAATATTTGGATAAGCCTTCTCTATAGAAGCAGACCTTTTTTCCTGGCATTTGAATATTGAATAGCTCTAAGAAACAACTCTAAAATCTGTAAGGGAATAATGTAATGATTAACTTTAGGTGTCAACTTGATTGGATTAAAAGATGCCTAGATGGCTGGTCAAGTATTGCTTCTGGGTGTGTCTGTGAGGGTGTTGCCAGAGGAGACTGACATTTGAGTTGGTGAACTGGGAGAGGAAGACTCACCCTCAATGTGAGTGGGCACTATCCAATTGGCTGCCAGTGCAGCTAGAACAAAGGAGATGGAAGAAGGTGCAATAAGTTTGCTTGTGGAGTCTTCTGGCTCTCTTTCCTTTTCCAGTGCTGAATGCCTGCTTCTGCTTCTCCTACCGTTGGATATCAGACTCCAGTTTCTTTGGCCTTTACAGTCTGGGATTTGCACCAGTGGCTTCCTGGGGGTTCTCGGGCCTTTGGCCACAGACTGTAGGTTGCACTGTTGGCTTCTCTGGTTCTGAGGTTTTTGGACTTGGACTGAGGCACAGTTTCTCACTTTCCCCAGCTTGCAGATGGCCTTTGGTGGAACTTCACCTTGTAATCATGTGACCCAATTCTCCTTAATAAACTCCTTTATATATATACATATATGATATTGGTTCTGTCCCTTTGGAGAACCCTAATTCAAATGATAAACTTATTCCTATATAAATAGCTGACTTCTAAACCCCCACTCAAACTACATTTCACTCTGTTGTCAGAGAAAGGGAGCAGAATGAATTGTCTTATGTTAGAATGCCTGAGGGTGGGTTGGGGGGATTAGATGAGAATGTGGGATAGGAAAAGCAGCAGAGTTCTGAGTTCAAGAAAAAGGAGAAGACTGAGTTGCATATTGAGACTAATTCTGGAACTGGCATAAGAATAATGTGAAAATGTTGGGGACAATGAACTGCCATGAAGTCAGAGGTTACTTGGGACAACTGTGATAGAGTTCGGTAGCCAGGGGCAGAGGGGTTCAAGTTCAGTGGTATTAGTGCCGTCACTGATGGCAGAGAGTATTGTACTGCAATGATATTAATGGTAGTTTTGGTTGTGTTTTGATTATGTTTTGTCTCCTTTCACGGATGGAAGGCTAGAAGCCCAAGGCATATAGTTGAGTGCTGCTGATTAAGCTATCGTCCTTGGTAATCTGAAATGAAATGTTCATTAAAGGCAAGATGTTGGTGGACTGAGTAGTTGGTACCTTAGAATAGAATAAAGAGCCCCAGGAATTTGAGAATTATGAGATGGGGTGGTATTATTTGTGGTCTTATCAGGAAACAGATGATACACTTAAATGAGGTATTTGAGGAGAGATTAACAAAAGGCCCATTTACAATATTGTGGGCAGGATTAAGGGAAATCAACATGGAATGGTGAAGTATTTTAGGGATTTGAGCTACAAGAACCCTTACTGTCCTCTATGCCTGAAAGAGGAAGGAGAAGGAACAGTTACCAGAACCTAGAGAGCTATTGCTGCAGCTATAGCTATAGAAGAGGGTTTTATTTTATTTTTATTTTTTATTTTTTTTTTAAATTATACTTTAAGTTCTAGGGTACATGTGCACAACGTGCAGGTTTGTTACATATGTATACATGTGCCATGTTGGTGTGCTGCACCCATTAACTCATCATTTACATTAGGTATTCCTCCCCCCTCCCCCAACCCCACGACAGGCCCCAGTATGTGATGTTCCCTGTCCTGTTTCCAAGCGTTCTCATTGTTCAGTTCCCACCTATGAGTGAGAACATGCGGTGTTTGGTTTTCTGTCTTTGTGATAGTTTGCTGAGAGTGATGGTTTTCAGCTTCATCCATGTCCCTACAAAGGACATGAACTCATCCTTTTTAATGGCTGCATAGTATTCTCTGGTGTATATGTGCCACATTTTCTTAATCCAGTCTATCATTGATGGACATTTGGGTTGGTTCCAAGTCTTTGCTATTGTGAATAGTGCTGCAATAAACATACTTGTGCATGTGTCTTTATAGCAGCATGATTTATATTCCTTTGGGTATATACCCAGTAATGGAATGGCTGGGTCATATGGTATTTCTAGTTCTATATCCTTGAGGAATCGCCACACTGTCTTCCACAATGGTTGAACTTGTTTACAGTCCCACCAACTGTGTAAAAGTGTTCCTATTTCTCCACATCCTCTCCAGCACCTGTTGTTTCCTGACTTTTTAATGATCTCCATTCTAATTGCTGTGAGATGGTCTCTCATTGTGGTTTTGATTTGCATTTCTCTGATGGCCAGTGATGATGAGCATTTTTTCATGTGTGTTGGCTGCATAAATGTCTTCTTTTGAGAAGTGTCTGTTCATATCCTTTGCCCACTTTTTGATGGGGTTGTTTGATTTTTTCTTGTAAATTTGTTTAAGTTCTTTGTAGATTCTGGATATTAGCCCTTTGTCAGATGAGTAGGTTGTGAAAATTTTCTCCCATTCTGTAGGCTGCCTGTTCACTCTGATGGTAGTTTCTTTTGCTGTGCAGCAGCTCTTTAGTTTAATTAGCTCCCATTTGTCAATTTTGGCTTTTGTTGCCATTGCTTTTGGTGTTTTAGTCATGAAGTCCTTGCCCATGCCTGTGTCCTGAATGGTATTGCCTAGGTTTTCTTCTAGGGTTTTTATGGTTTTAGGTCTAACATTTAAGTCTTTAATCCATCTTGAATTAATTTTTGTATAAGGTGTAAGGAAGGGATCCAGTTTCAGCTTTCTACATATGGCTAGCCAGTTTTCCCAGCACCATTTATTAAATAGGGAATCCTTTCCCCATTGCTTGTTTTTCTCAGGTTTGTCAAAGATCAGATAGTTGTAGATGTGAGGTATTATTTCTGAGGCCTCTGTTCTGTTCCATTGGTCTATATCTCTGTTTTGGTACCAGTACCACACTGTTTTGGTTACTGTAGCCTTGTAGTATAGTTTGAAGTCAGGTAGCATGTTGCCTCCAGCTTTGTTTGTTTGGCTTAGGATTGTCTTCACAATGTGGGCTCTTTTTTGGTTCCATATGAACTTTAAAGTAGTTTTTTCCAATTCTGTGAAGAAAGTCAGTGGTAGCTTGATGGAGATGACATTGCATCTATAAATTGCCTTGGGCAGTATGGCCATTTTCACGATATTGATTCTTCCTACCCATGAGCATGGAATATTCTTTCATTTGTTTGTGTCCTCTTTTATTTTGTTGAGGAGTGGTTTGTTGTTCTCCTTGAAGAGGTCCTTCACATCCCTTGTAAGTTGGATTCCTAGGTATTTTATTCTCTTTGAAGCAATTGTGAATGGGAGTTCACTCATGATTTGGCTCTCTGTTTGTCTGTTATTGGTGTATAGGAATGCTTGTGATTTTTGCACATTGATTTTGTGTCCTGAGACTTTGCTGAAGTTGCATATCAGCTTAAGGAGGTTTGAGGCTGACACGATGGGGTTTTCTAAATACACAATCATGTCATCTGCAAACAGGGACAATTTGACTTCCTCTTTTCCTAATTGAATACCCTTTATTTCCTTCTCCTGCCTCATTGCCCTGGCCAGAACTTCCAACACTATGTTGAATAGGAGTGGTGAGAGAGGGCATCCCTGTCTTGTGCCAGTTTTCAAAGGGAATGCTTCCAGTTTTTGCCCATTCAGTATGATATTGGCTGTGGGTTTGTCATAAATAGCTCTTAATATTTTGAGATATGTCCCATCAATACCTAGTTTATTGAGAGTTTTTAGCATGAAGCGTTGTTGAATTTTGTTGAAGGCCTTTTCTGCATCTATTGAAATAATCATGTGGTTTTTGTCTTTGGTTCTGTTTATATGATGGATTACGTTTATTGATTTGTGTATGTTGAACCAGGCTTGCATCCTAGGGATGAAGCCAACTTGATCATGGTGGATAAGCTTTTTGATGTGCTGCTAGATTTGGTTTGCCAGTATTTTATTGAGGATTTTTGCATCGATGTTCATCAGGGATATTGGTCTAAAATTCTCTTTTTTTGTTGTGTCTCTGCCAGGCTTTGGTATCAGGATGATGCTGGCCTCATAAAATGAGTTAGGGAGGATTCCCTCTTTTTCTATTGATTGGAATAGTTTCAGAAGGAATGGTACCAGCTCCTCTTTGTACCTCTGGTAGAATTTGGCTGTGAATCCGTCTAGTCCTGGAGTTTTTTGGTTGGTAGGCTATTAATTTTGCCTCAATTTCAGAGCCTGTTATTGGTCTATTCAGGGATTCAACTTCTTCCTGGTTTAGTCTTGGGAGGGTGTATGTGTTGAGGAATTTATCCATTTCTTCTAGATTTTCTAGTTTATTTGCATAGAGGTGTTTATAGTATTCTCTGACAGTAGTTTGTATTTCTGTGGGATTGGTGGTGATATCCCCTTTATCATTTTTTATTGCGTCTATTTGATTCTTCTCTCTTTTCTTCCTTATTAATCTTGCTAACAGTCTATCAATTTTGTTGATCTTTTCAAAAAACCAGCTCCTGGATTCATTGATTTTTTGAAGAGTTTTTTGTGTCTCTATCTCTTTCAGCTCTGCTCTGATCTTAGTTATTTCTTGCCTTCTGCTAGCTTTTGAATGTGTTTGCTCTTGGTTTTCTAGTTCTTTTAATTGTGATGTTAAGGTGTCAACTTTATATCTTTCCTGCTTTCTCTTGTTGGTATTTAGTGCTATAAATTTCCCTGTACACACTGCTTTAAATGTGTCCCAGAGATTCTGGTATGTTGTGTCTTTGTTCTCATTGGTTTCAAAGAACATCTTTATTTCTGCCTTCATTTTGTTACGTACCCAGTAGTCATTCAGGAGCAGGTTGTTCAGATTCCATGTAGTTGAGTGGATTTGAGTGAGTTTCTTAATCCTGAGTTCTAGTTTGAGTGCACTGTGGTCTGAGAGACAGTTTGTTATAATTTCTGTTCTTTTACATTTGCTGAGGAGTGCTTTACTTCCAACTATGTGGTCAATTTTGGAATAAGTGTGATGCAGTGCTGAGAGGAATGTATATTCTCTTGATTTGGGGTGGAGAGTTCTGTAGATGTCTATTAGGTCCGCTTGGTGCAGAGCTGAGTTCAATTCCTGGATATCCTTGTTGACTTTCTCTCTCGTTGATCTGTCTAATGTTGACAGTGGGGTGTTAAAATCTCCCATTATTATTGTGTGGGGGTCTAAGTCTCTTTGCAGGCTTCTAAGGACTTGCTTTATGAATCTGGGTGCTCCTGTATTGGGTGCATATATATTTAGGATAGTTAGCTCTTCTTGTTGAATTGATCCCTTTACCATTATGTAATGGCCTTCTTTGTGTCTTTTGATCTTTGTTGGTTTAAAGTCTGTTTTGTCAGAGACTAGGATTGCAAGCCCTGCTTTTTTTTTTGTTTTCTGTTTGCTTGGTAGATCTTCCTCCATCCCTTTATTTTGAGCCTATATGTGTCTCTGCACGTGAGATGGGTCTCCTGAATACAGCACACTGATGGGTCTTGACTCTTTATCCAATTTGTCAGTCTGTGTCTTTTAACTGGAGCATTTAGCCCATTTACATTTAAGGTTAATATTGTTATGTGTGAATTTGATCCTGTCATTATGATGTTAGCTGGTTATTTTGCTCGTTAGTTGATGCAGTTTCTTCCTAGCATTCATGGTCTTTATAATTTGGCATCTTTTTGCAGTGGTTGATACCAGTTGTTCCTTTCCATGTTTAGTGCTTCCTTTAGGAGCTCTTGTAAGGCAGGCCTGGTGGTGACAAAATCTCTCGGCATTTGCTTGTCTGTAAAGGATTTCATTTCTTCTTCATTTATGAAGCTTAGTTTGGCTGGATATGAAATTCTGGGTTGAAAATTCTTTTCTTTAAGAATGTTGAATATTGGCTCCTACTCTCTTCTGGCTTGTAGAGTTTCTGCCGAGAGATCCACTGTTAGTCTGATGGGCTTCTCTTTGTGGGTAACCTGACCTTTCTCTCTGGCTGCCCTTAACATTTTTTTCTTCATTTCAACTTTGGTAAATCTGACAATTATGTGTCTTGGAGTTGCTCTTCTCGAGGAGTATCTTTGTGGCATTCTCTGTATTTCCTGAATGTGAATGTTGGCCTGCCTTGCTATGTTGGGGATGTTCTCCTGGATAATATCCTGCAGAGTGTTTTCCAACTTGGTTCCATTCTCCCTGTCACTTTCAGGTACACCAGTCAGATGTATATTTGGTCTTTTCACATAGTCCCATATTTCTTGGAGGCTTTGTTCATTTCTTTTTACTCTTTTTTCTCTCAACTTCTCTTCTTGCTTCATTTCATTCATTTGATCTTCAACCAGTGATACCCTTTCTTCCACTTGATCGAATCGGCTCCTGAAGCTTGTGCATGCATCACATAGTTCTTGTGCCATGGTTTTCAGCTCCATCAGGTCATTTAAGGTCTTCTCTACACTGTTTATTCTGGTTAGCCATTCATCTAATCTTTTTTTAAGATTTTTAGCTTCTTTATGATGAGTTCGAACATCCTCCTTTAGCTCAGAGAAGTTTGTTATTACCAGTCATCTGAAGCCTTCTTCTCTCAACTCGTCAAAGTCATTCTCCATCCAGCTTTGTTCTGTTGCTGGCGAGGAGCTGCATTCCTTTGAAGAAGAGGAGCTCTGATTTTTAGAATTTTCAGCTTTTCTGCTCTGGCTTCTCCCCATCTTTGTGGTTTTATCTACCTTTGGTCTTTGATGATGGTGACCTAGAGATGGGGTTTTGGTGTGGATGTCCTTTCTGTTTGTTAGTTTTCCTTCATTAGAAGGATCCTCAGTCAGGACCCTCAGCTGCAGGTTTGTTGGAGTTTCCTGGAGGTCCACTCCAGACCCTGTTTGCCTGGGTATCACCAGCAGACACTGCAGAACAGCAAATATTGCAGAATGGCAAATGTTGCTGCCTGATCCTTCCTCTGGAAGCTTCATCTCAGAGGGGCACCCGGCCATATGAGGTGTCAGTCAGCCCCTACTGGGTGGTGCCTCCCAGTTAGGCTACTCAGGGGCCAGGGACCCACTTGCGGAGGCAGTCTGTCCATTCTCAGATCTCAAACTCCGTGCTGGGAGAACCACTACTCTCTTCAAAGCTGTCCGACAGGGACATTTAAGTCTGCAGAAGTTTCTGCTGCCTTTTGTTCAGCTATGCCCTGCCCCCAGAGGTGGAGTCTACAAAGGCAGGCAGTCCTCCTTGAGCTGTGGTGGTCTCCACCCCTTTCAAGCTTCCCGGCCACTTTGTTTACCTACTCAAGCCTCAGCAATGGTGGTCATGCCTCCCCTAGCCTCACCGCTGCCTTGCAGTTCAATCTCAGAATGCTGTGCTAGCAGTAAGTGAGGCTCTGTGGGCGTGGGACCCTCCGAGCTGGGCATGGGACCCTCCGAGCCAGGCGTGGGATATAACCTTCTGGTATGCTGTTTGCTTAGACCGTTGGAAAAGTGCAGTATTAGGGTGGGAGTGTCCCAATTTTCCAGGTACCATCTGTCATGGCTTCCCTTGGCTAGGAAAGGGAATTCTGTGACCCTTTGTGCTTCCCGGGTGAGGTGATGCCCCACCCTGCTTCAGCTCATGCTCTGTGGGCTGCACCCACTGTCCGACAGGCCCCAGTGAGATGAAACTGGTACCTCAGTTGGAAATGCAGAAATCACCCGTCTTCTGCGTCACTAACACTGGGAGCTGTAGACTGAAGCTGTTCCTATTCGGCCATCTTGGAACCTCCCCAGAAGAGGGTTTTAAAACAGAAGTTGTGGACTTTGGTAACCAGCCACTGCTAACTTATGGCCTGGCAAGGAGGGGCCAGGAAGTCAATGCCTCCTTATCTTTCTCTATCTGATCGCCGCCTAGTACATCCCACTGTTTGGATTCAACCTGATGCTGGAAGGTTAAGGTCACTTAGTCGATGCAGGACAGGGAGGTCAGACTTCTGGGGCAAAGAACAAGTTAGAAAAGAATTGAGTGTAGATCAAGATGGGAAAATGCAACTATCCACCATAGGACGGCTACTTCTAATGGTGCTAGATGGCTTTAAAGAGATTGCCAAGTCAAATTCCTACATTCTTGGCTCAAGGAACAGCCTGAAATAGAAGTATTTTCTCTGACTATGGAAAAACAATATCATTTCTCTTGAAGCCTTAGTGCTAAAGTAGCCAGAAATCAAACAAATAGTTTAATTCTGTTGTTTGCCAAATTATAATCCGTTTAATTCAGTCTCATTAGCCTTTTCCCAAAGTTGGGACAGTGAAATAGGATAAGACTCCATGCATTAGAATGGGGATATGTGGAAGAATTCAGTCTCTAAACTCATAACTCCATTGAGCCCCTGTAGCCAACTGAAATAGCTCTTCCATTTTTAATTAAATGGTGGAACCTTGCTAGGAGATTCTGTTACTAATTCTCTAATCCTTCCAAGGGAAAGCCAATTCTTATTTTCTCTTCTCTCCATCAACATCATTAACTCTGAATCTATAGTTTGCTCCTAAATTTGAGAGGAGAAATCTTACTACTTTTTAATTTTTATAGGTTTAGGGGGCAAAAGTACAATTTTATTACATGGATATATTGCATAGTGGTGAAGTGTGGGCTTTTGGTGTAACCATTACCTTAGTGTACATTGTACCCGTTAGGTAATTTCTCATCCTTCACCCCTCACCCATCCTCCCACCTTTCTGAGTCTCCAATATCTATCATTCTACTCTATGCTTATATGTAGACATAATTTAGCTCCCACTTTAAGTGAGAACAACTTAGTATTTGACTTTCTGTTTCTGAGTCATTTCATTTATGCAAGAGAAGAAAACTTGTATCCCAAAGTATTCTAAGACTTTACTAATTTATGTGGACAAAAAAAAAATGTAAGATGTGTGGAGGAATGAATTCCAAGGGTGTTGGATCAAGAATGGAAGAAGCTAATTTTATTTTAGGCTGAATTTATTGACATTGGTTCATTTTCTGGTTATTTTGGGTACAATGCACAAGATTGAACAATTGGGAGTGGTTCTAATTATCTTTTGACTTGGTTGACTGAAATCTGGACCTACATGAAAAAAATGTCAGTTTCATGTAGAGATGGAATCCAAAGACTTTTAGGGATACAAAGGTTTAAATGAATTAATTATGTATGAGTCAGTCACCCATTGTCTAATCAGGGTCTCCCAAAGGGCTCAGAAGACATTTCATGAATGCCTTGAGCAAGGTGGGTGGGAACATCTTTAATAGTTCTCAAGTGGTCATTCTCTTTAAGATGAGACTGCTGACATGCATTTTCATAAAGATGCATGGAAATAAGCTCCCTAATTTCTGTACAGATGGAGGACTCCTGGGATGGCAGAAACAAAGTAGTATCACTCAGTAAGGCTGTTGTTACTCAGATAGGATATAAGACTGGTACGGTCACCTTCCACAGGCTCTGATTGATCATGAAGTCTGATGACCAAGGTCCTACTTAATGTGGATAACCAAAAAACTGGTTAAGACTGAACTTGTAAAGTCTGGCTCTTCACTTAATTTCCACACTGGAGTCGGTAAGAATTCCCACAGCTCCTAGGTAGAAGGGAAGGAAAAAAAACCTTCCAAGAAGACTGTAATAACAATCCAAGAGCATCCACTCTGTATCTTCCTTCTAGATTTCCCTGAAAGGTCCCTAATTATTTGCCAAAGTCACTTTGTGCTTACACTATTTGTGGAGACCAAGATTCTGGCTGTGGAATAACTAATTTCTGGAGAATCAGAATGCCAGTGTGGTACTTATACAAGTCAGGGGATAAAGACAGCTTTGATAAGTCCACTGCAGAGTAGGAGCACTGGGAATTTGAACTATTGTGTTTTATTATTTGTTATACCAATTTTCTGACTGAATAGATAGAACAAATATCTTCAAGAATGTGAGAAATCCCCACAATGTCTTCCTGGCTCACAGAATAAAGACTATTAAGATAGAAGATACTGGAATTCAACCTTTCTACTGAAATGGAAAAGAGTTAATAGCATCCAAAGGGATCTGGAGGGATTCGTGTCACCATCAATGACTTGAATGAAATGGGGTGGTGATTACTATCAAACTCCCATTTATTTCTGCAGTTTGGCAGATGAAGAAGATGGATGACTTGGGGGATAGTGTCATGGGTGATTGCTTTATAATGTGTGGTCTCCTTATCAGAGAAAATTAGCATACCTTCTGATACCAGCTGAGAAGCTATTGATTTAATCACTGCTTTCCTCTGTGTCCCAATGAGCAGAAAACTCCAGGTACAATTTAATGTGAAAGAATCATCTGAGGATTCTATCAAGTTTTTGGCTCTGGGCTATAATTTAGACTGCAGGGATCATGACCATCTCAGGATATTTTGCTGGTCCAAGACATTACGGACATGAGGCTGATAAGACCCAGAAAGCAGAAGAAGGTATCCATATGTCTGGTGTTTAGTGAAACATACATGGATGGTTATAAATCCAAAGAATGTACAGGGCTATTCCACTGCAGTGAAGTATCTAGGGATTCAGTGACATAGGGAATGTCATAAAGAGTTACTATTATAATCCTTTAAAACTGAATGACAAGTGGGTCCTATGCCTCTAAGGAAGAGACAAAGAAGCTTGGCGGGCTTCTTTGTATTTGGAAGAAATACAGATCCCATCTGGGTGTGCTGCTCCATTTTATTTGCTAGGTGACTCAAAAGGCTAACATGTTGATGTAGGATCTAAAGTCTTTCTAGCTGATCCAGAATGTAAGGCAAGCAACAATATTATTCAGTGCATTCGAATGTTAACTCCATGAAAGTGATAGACACTTCATCTCCATCTTATTCATCAATGACTCTCCAGAGTTGGGCATGCAAATAAATATTTGTTGAATGAATAAGTAACTGAGCAGCTTCAATGGTACCCAGGTGTCTGGGGTAGAGCTAGATAGTCTATGTAGTCTGGGACTGTGGTAAGGCTTCACAAAATATAACCTAGTGAAGGCCCTTATTTTGATAGAAATTATGCCCTCTTGAGAAAGTAACTATTGAGAAAAGCCCTTGGTTTGCCTATAAGCTTCAGTAGGTTATGTCCTGAACTGATTGTTATCTGATATATTAAGCTATGAATTTGACAGTTAACAAGAGCTCTTAACATGTACTGAACCTCATTTATTCCAAGACTACATGTTTCACATTTGAACATCTCTAGAATGTGTCTATACATATATCTATTATGTATCTATAATTGATGGCACATTATTTGGAAGCATTTTTTTTCCCCTGGGGGGAATGTGAAGTGATGCTATCTCTTACAATTGAGGAGATAGGTGCTATTATTATTATTTCAATTTAAAAATGAGGAAACAGATGTAGTAACTTGCTCAGAAGTCACATTTGCTAGTAAGTGATAGAGCATGGGTCCAAACTTAGTCAGTCTGGCTTCAAAAGCTGGCTCTTAGCCATTGCGCTATATACCTCTTAGAAAGTTTGAAGAGGAAATATATTATTCCATATTTTAAAAATTGATATAGTGGGGGAGTTGATATATGAGGGAGTTCTCTATATGCTCTACTCAATTTTGCTGTGAACCTAAAACTGCTCTAAAAATAGTTTGTTAATTTGAAGATTGATACAATGTATCTAAAAATAGTTGTATGCATTGCAAGTTATTAATGAAAGACTTCCTTTACCAAGAAGGCTTTTAATCTAGGACTCAAGATGTCAGAGAATCTTTTCCTAATCCATCCTGATGCTTGTAAACTGACTCATGTATAAGAGGTTATGATGCCCTTGGGGTTGGGATTAGGGATGGACTCTATACACGGGCTTAACATGATCTGCCACTTCACCACTGATGAGCTAGGAACCACCACTAACAAATTTGTTGGCATTAAAGATCATCTGTGAGTCCTGATGGAAGATTGATTAAAATGGACCCATCTTCATAGAGAGGGTATGGCTTGTCCTCACTGGGTTTTGCCAGAGCTATCATTTGAACCTAGGAATGCCCTACACAATGTTACAGCATCTCCAACAATATTGTTTCTTACCAAGGAACTCACTTAGTGTAAAGATGTTAGAGAATGGACTGATGCTTGAGAAATTTTACTGGCCATATCTTATTTTTTTATTTTTATTTTAATTTTTTTTTGAGACGGAGTTTCGCTCTTGTTGCCCAGGCTGGAGTGCAATGGCAGCATCTAAGCTCACCACAACCTCCACCTCCTGGGTTCAAGTGATTCTCCTGCCTCAGCTTCCCGAGTAGCTGGGATTACAGGCATGTGCCACCACACCTGGCTAATTTTGTATTTTTTAGTAGAGACGGGGTTTCTCCACGTTGGTCAGGCTCGTCTCGAACTCCTGAGCTCAGGTGATCCTCCTGCCTCGGGCTCCCAAAGTGCTGGGATTATAGGCGTGAGCCACCATGCCCGGCCTACTGGCCATATCTTACCTTTTCATTATCAGTAGTCCTTATTGAACAGTGGATCATCCTATAAAGTCTCAGCTCTACCTGTAGAAGGGAAAGACTATGATGTGAGTTTGGACTTTAGCATCCTGAAAAATAAAGGTTTGGGTTACCCCACTGGATAAAGAATACTAATTAGCTGAAGTGCTTGTTCAAGACAAAGGTAATATAGAACAGGAAGAAGAGGAAGAAAATCATAAATACCAGCTATGATGGACACTGTGATACACCCCCTAGATTACCCCTCATTGAATGAATTGTTGCCCCAGCTTATGAGAGACTGCAGAGATCTTTTAGTTTTCAACCCCTTCAGAGATTGACTCAGCTATAGAGAGCTGCCTCACTCAAGTTCATGCCCCTTCATGGGGTGACCCACATTTAGTGATGGATCAATGTGGGGATTTAAAGACCTGGTCATCTCAGCCCAACTTGAGTCAACTCTGAGTGGTCATTCTAGCTCTCAAGGTCTCCACAGCACTGACTAGGGCTGTTGGGTCAGCATTTCAGCTTGACTTTTTCCTTTGTCTACTCTGCTCCCTTCACTACCCTTCTATAGGAGTTGATCCCAAGAGCTCTCCTTAATAAATATCCTGCAAGCGAAATCCTATCTCAGAATCTACTTTCCAAAGAACCTAACCTGTAACCATAGTTGTAGCCTCATATTAGTTACCAATGAGAAATATGGCTTCAAATCATATTTCTTTTCTTAATGTAGTGTGTGTGTGTGTATGTGTATGTGTGTGCGTGTGTGTGTACTTTCCTTTTCTGCTATCTGGCTCTGTCCCATGTTTATATGTATGCACAATATTTTGTGTTGTTAGGGGCTGACTTCATTTGGTAGGATACCAGGGAGGAGAATAGACTTCATATCTGGAACTGGCTCCAATGCCAGTTGAGGCTTTGCTTTGCCTCCGATTCAGGAGATGATGACTTTTTGGTTGTCCTGAGGATGGTTTCATTGCATTAGATGGTAGCAGTGTTTTTGGAAATGCTCAGAAGAAAAGATGGATCCTAGAGGTTGTTAGCAAATGTGATGGACTATAATGGATGCTGGTCATTTTCGCTGCGCAGAATTTAAAAACATCTTTTGTGTTTTGGGGCAAGTCCTAAGATAGGTGGGGGGGTTATTCTCTCTATAGAAAGTGAAAGGAATGGGCCGTACTATTCCTAGCTCAGTAACTGAGACATCATCATGTGACCCATGGTTGGTCAACCACATTCCCTAGTGTCTACTTTGAATGTAGAAGGAATGATGCAAGTGGCATGGTCAGTTAAAAATTATTCATGGAGGCTGTGGCAAAGTCATAAGTCTGTGTCATTATAGCAAGAATCTGATGGCTGAAGATCAGCAGTGGTGTTCTAGGCAGATCATTTTTAGGAAGGACCTTGGCTGAGAGTCCCTCAGTTCCTGCCAAGGCTGGTTACCACATTTTCTTGCCAATTCTGTAAGGTATCCAATGCCTGTGTAGTTAATTCCTTTTCTGCGTAAGGTAGCCAGAGTCTGTCTCCATAATTTTTATTCCAAACCATAGTTAGTCTAAAATACCCCAGGATACTAATAAGTACTAGCAGCATAATATCTGATGGGGTTGAAGAAGAATTCAGGCACTTGAACTTCAGGGCAAATAGGTGCAAGATAGCTGGAAGCAAAGGCAAATGAGCACCCCTTGAGTACTAAAAAAAAAAAAAAATGCTGATGAAATACGTTCCTGTTGTTTTCCCTAAGAAGCCTGGGTCTTTGCAATGACAGAAATGACTCTGGAATGGCCCAGCGAATATAAACAGCAGAAACTTACCATTCTTCCATGGCCCTAACTTTCCTCCTTGTAGTATTTACTCCTTGTTTTTCACATTTACTTGTGACACTAGGACATATTTTCTTGACAGGAGCACATCCCAGATATTCCCACTGCCTGAAGATGAACACAAATCTGATTTTATTAATGAGTGATTACCAGCAAATCAAGAAACAGCTGTATCATAGACTTGGACTGATCATGGAATAAGTGGCCCATGGCCATCTCAAGGGCCTCCTTTCCAATTCCGCAGCAGCTATAAAACTGTGAGAAACAAAGAAGCTTGTTAATCAGAAATGACAGAGCTGTAGACCTTGTCCCCATCAGAGCAGTTCTCTAATTTATTTATTTAGGTGTGTTTTTAAAACTACATGCCAGATCTGTGAATATTGCAGCAATGGCAATTAAAGAGGTTGCTTGGTAAACCCCAACATACAGCTAAGGCAGCCACAAGCTGTTACACATTTCTTCCTGATGCTTATAACATTTTCATTGCAACATGTAAGTAATATATCTCCTCTTATTTAAATGGCAGATGTGAGAGAGCGTTATGTTTGTTCAGGTAAACCCATAAAAGAGGAAGGTTAACTCATAGCATCTGGAAGGGAGGGAATAGGTTAATCACTTAGGAGCCAGGAAAGGGTTGAGAAAGGAAGTCTGAGCTGTTAAGACCACCCTAGGGACCAAGAATGAACAGAACAGGGCTTCCCTTGAAGTCTGGAGTTGGGGCACTGCTAGCAAAACACCAACATTCCCTTCCAACTAGGAAGGCAGCAGGTATCTCATGGTTAGACGGGAAATCACTCATTAGAGGAACATAATTATAATAATGGCTTGGACCTCATAAACACCTGAACTCCAATACTAATGCACCAGGAATTGAGAAAACATATAGAGTCTTAAGAGATTTCTAAACAGAATCACCATATATTATTTGTTATAATTTATTAAGCACCTGCTGTATGCTAGTTGCTGTGCTCAGCACTGCACATACCTTTGTTCATTTCATTTTCTCAGTCATGCTTTATTTTGTGCATTTTACAGATGAGGTTCCAATTAAGTCTCTCCTCAAAGCATCTTTTTCTGTGTGACAGGGTAAGTCAGAATCCAGCTTTGTCTGATTCTGAAAGCCTACGCTGTTTTTACTATTCTCTAGAGATGGAGACCTTCATAAAAGGTCTGCCCATGAGAGAGATGTGTTTGTTTGCCCAGGGCTTGTCCCTGTGTCCCTTCGAGGTTAACAACAACCAGCATGTCCCTGGGTACCACTGTCAGATTCAGAACCTCAGGCTATCCTGAAATTTGATCCAGCCCAGTGTGGGATCTTTCATATTCTGTTCTTTGGCCTCATGGTTTACATAAAGCACTACATAAATCCAGTTTACCCTGGAACTAGTTCTAAGAGAAAGCATATTACTTTACATGCATGGGGAAGAGAAGATAAGAGAGTTAGGTTTGAAACAAACTTTGTTTTGTCATAAGGGCCTTTGTCACGTGGTACTTTAAAAGAACCCAAACAACCAAACCACCGACATGAAGAGTGGTTTTAACGACATACAGTTTGAATCACCCCTGTTCCATAGGGCAACTGAAATAGGAGCTGAAAATGACCTGCTTGTCCATCTTACCCTCCCGGAGTCAGGACAGATGGTTTCCTGTAGACCAGGCTTGCCTTATTCCTACCGGGTTTGAAGAACTAAGCGCCAGGACACCCCTCATTTTCCTCCTAGATGTGTCAGTCACCTAACAGTTCTTACTGTCTGGAAATTTTCCTGACCCGAAGCCAAGGTGTTCCTCTGTTCCATTTCATCTCATTACTCCTTTTACACTTTTGGGCCTCTGAGTCATTCTTTTGTATCTAGAAATTTCCACTCTTTCCAAAGATGGCAGGCTTAAGGTCTTCTTCCATTGGAGTTTCCCCAGTGCCTGGGCTTTTCTGAGTGGGTATTGATATTTCGTCTTCTTCCAAGATGGGGAACCTCTTGAATGATCCCAGAGTCAGGTGCCCAAGTGGACTTGGGAGGTGGCAGGGAGCTTAACTGAGTTTTCCCCATGACTTCTCACAATAAATATTTTTAAAAAATTTTCACTGCTAGATATGAGATGTACCTATTTTAGGGGTAAATGGATAATTTGATACATTCATATAATCAAATAAGAGTAACTGGAATATCCATCATCTTAAATATTTATCTTTTCTTTATGCTAGAAATGTACAAATTATTCTTTCTAGGTATTTTGAAATGTACAATTAATGTTAACTATTGTCATTCTACTGATCTATCTAACTCTAGGTCTTTTAATGACTGAGAAGAGTGAATGTATATCTCAGGGGGATTTGCAGTGTGGCCCAAAGTGATTTGAGATATCCTTGACATTACCCATTTTGTCTTAAATATTCATATCTTCAACGAATCTGTATTTGTTTTAATATGAAACTATTTTAAACACTAATGAATTAAGTTATTTAACCCTTTGCCCTCCCTCAACCAGCAACCCCAGTCCTGCGAAATCCTCAAATAAAATTGTCATCGCAGAAATGTACTTTATGCTAAGCCTATGACCTCAAATACCTTCAACATTCTAATAATAGTATAAATTCCAGTTCGAGAAATATGAATCTAAGAAATATAAAGTGCCTATGCAAGTAAGGTGAGAGTGAAGAATCTAGAATAAAGTAAGGGGTGAGAGAGTACAGGTAATAGAAAATGGGCACACTGTTTTTGGGGAGATTCAGGACGAGTTATTTAACATCTATGATACTCAGCTTCTGCAGTGAGAAAAATGAGCAAAACAGATCTCAATTTGAGGTTTTTAAAGAGAAAATTTGTGGACATACCTAGCACAGTGTTTAGTATAGTTGGTGTCAAATAAACATTGTCTTTTTATGTGGGGGTGAGGGGAAGGCTCTGGAGGAGGTAGAAAAGAAAGTTAGTCAAGCTTCCTTCCATGTCATTTATCTTCCTGCCATTACCTTTTCCAGCCCCACTCATTTGCTGGAACAGAAAACTTTCAGCTCAAAGACAGCCGTTACTTACTGTCTGAGCCAGTCCTGGCCAATTGGGCTATATTTCAAGAGCCCTCCCCTTCCCACTGGAAAGAATTTGGAATTACTATTGTGCTGGGGGTGGGCTATGGGTATGTGCCCACTCGCTGAGCTTCGCTTTTCCTCTCTAACCTCCATCTTCTGACTGAGATTTGGCCTTGATCTCCTGAGTGCAGTTTAATTACTTTGCTGAGACCAAAAGCCTTCTGTCAATACCACATCTATCCAGCTTGACCCAGCATCTGCATAACGTTAATTAACCGCTTCTCACAAGCACTGAATCCAAGTGATGGTCTGTTGTTTAGTGTTTATCTGCTTTATCAGCCCACTGTCTGAATGCCCTTCATGAGCTTGGGGTCTCTAGCATCTGCATAACATTAACCTCTTCTCATGAGTACCAAGCCAAAATTGATGGGTCTTTGCTCTTTACGCATTAAAAAAAAATCAGTGCAGTGCCTGAACCCTCTTCTGATGTTTGAAAATCCTTCTTTGCAAGAGGAAGCCTGAAAGGCCAGATGTTGATAGTTAGAATGTGGCCACCTGTGTGTGCTTGATGAAGAGATGCTCATGCTCAAGTCTATAAATTTGAAACCAGTGATGCAGAGTGGCAAGGAATAGGCCAGAATTCATCCCCTCTGATAAGTTCCATAAGCTAGAAATTGACTAATTCTCCTTCACCTGGCAACCAGAAGTGCCTGAAATTCTAGGTTTTTGCCTTCAACGACATGACATAAAAAATAGATCATGGGATTCAGGATTAGACATAGAGTTGACCCTTGATCTTGCACTTACTAGCTGTGTAATTTGGGGTAGGAAGTTTAAACTCCCTGAGTTTCAGCATCATCATCTGTAAGGTAGAAATAAGAGTGGTTTCATAGCATTGTATGTATCAAATGAGACAGTGTAGGTAATTTTCTTTTGCAAAGCCAAAAATAATGTGCCAGATTAACATGACGATGGCTATCATAATTATTTGTTATACCTTTCATCTTTGTTGCTATTATTTATGAAAACACTTTTTCCTTTGAGAATAACACTTTAGTTGTGTCAATCATTTGCATTTAAAGTGAAAGAAGAAATGAAAGTAAAGCGGAAGAGATGACGGAAGAAGGGTGCTGGGAAGTGGAAATGGTAGACTGTGCTAAGAAAGAGAAAAACAGGCCACCTAGGAGGCTTAACATGTACTTTTTCCTCCTCAAAACACTAGCTAGGCTTGGTTCTTCCAAATCTTCCATGTGCCTACTAGGTTTGCTTTCTTTTTCTTAACAAAGAAATGTGAAAAATGTAAATTTTCATTCAACAAAATATGTATTTTTTGAGGTGGTGGCACCCAGTGTTTCCTAGGGTCAGAAGAGATACTCAATCCAGACTGCTTCTATAGCAGGATCTTGGTTGAGGTTCTGGATGTCAAACCTCTATTTGCTATTTCTACACATTTTTGAGCTTGGTACTTGGTCCTTCTTGTCACTTTCCTGATCTGGTCTATGCCCTCCCAAAAGTCCCTTTAAGCTTTAGGTAACGAGTCCTTTTGAATGTTTGCATCCAAGGACCCTGACTCAACAAATCCTGCTTTAATCCAGGTCGACCAACCTCAATCATGATGCTGCCACCTGCTGGATTTGTTGTTTAATGTCCGTATCTTAGGCAAGATCATGACCCCCATGAAGCCGAGACTATATTGTTCTTTGGGATAAGCACTATGATGTGTCCCCCAGATCTTCTGTCAATGAAGCACTTGTTTCCCCAGATGCAAGGAGTGCTGTTGGTAGGTGGCCTTCAGCGGCCAGCACCTTCAGTGTGATTGCCTCATCAGCAGAGAGGCACCTTGCCCAACACCACATCCCAGGGTGGTCCCATCAATGGCTGGTACATGTGACCATCTCAGTTCAACAGGGGAGAACTCTAAGGAACATCCTAGCTCCAGAGCTCCCTGTGGGGTTTGCTGAAGCTGTCCTTGGACTTGCATTGCAGTTTGACCCTTTCTTCTGCTTGATCCTGCTTTTATCCTCTCCTTTTATCGGGCTATTGATCTTAATAAATCCCTTTAAAAAAACCTCCCGCATGCTGACCTCCAACTTAGAGTTGGCTTCCTGGAATACCTATTGATAAGTCTTTTTGATAACTAAATCGTTAGGACCTAGCCTAGTTTCACATAAAGACTGAGTGCAAGTTTCTATTTGTTGAATAACTAGGTGGTTCCTTTGTATCAATGGAGAGGCCATCCTTCTCTGACCTAAGACTCATCTCTGCTTCTTCTCTGAATCTCATCTCCTCCTGCCTCCTCTTGCTTAGCTATGAACATCTTCACCTTCTTCCTCTTTGTTACATTTACCCAGTCCTTAATAGAGGAAAATCTCAAGGCTTTGTCTTGGGCTTTCTTCGCCAAGTCAGATTCCATGGACTGTGAGCTCCAAAGGGGCAGTTGACAAGTCTGTTTGTTAGATTCCCCACACCTATCACAGTGCTTGCCACTTGGTAGGCATTCAATAAATGTCTATTTTATGGAATAAAAGTCCAGATCTTCTACATTTCATTGTTAGGGAAAATAAAGCAAACCTAGTAGCAGCAAGGAAGAGACAGGAGGACCAATCCTAGCAAGTGTTTTGAGGAGGAGAAAGTTTATGTTAAGTCTCCTAGGTAAACAATTTTTCTTTCTTAGCATGTTCTGCCATTTCCACTTCTCAGTGCGGTTCTTTAGGCATCTCTTTCCCCTTACTTTTATTATTCATTCACGTTAAAATGCAAATAATTGACATGGCTAAAGTGCTATATATTTTTTTTTTATTGACACAGAATCTCACTTGTCACCCAGGCCGGAGTGCAGTGGTACCATCTTGGCTCACTGCAGCCTCGACCTCCTGGGCTCAAGTAATCCTCCTGCCTCAGCCGCCCAAGTAGCTGGGACTACAGGTGTGTGCCACTATGCCTGACTAATTTTTTTGTAGAGACAGGGTTTCACCATGTTGCCCAGGCTGGTTTTGGCCTTCTGAAATCAAGTGATCTGCCCACCTCAGCTTCCCAAAGTGCTAGAATTACAGACTTGAGCCATCGTGCCTGGCCTAAAGTACTATTCTTGAAGGAAAAAGTGTTTTCATTGATACTGGCAAGACAAATGAAGGCAAGACAAATGATGATAACCAGCATCTTGTTAATCATGCACATTTTGATTGGCTTTGCAAAGGAGAACTATCTACACTGTCTCACGTAATACAATGCTATAAAAGCATTCTTATTATTTCTCCTTTATGGATGATGACACTGAAACTCAGGCAGTTTACCCTTCCTACCCCTTGTTACACAGCTTGTGAATAGAAGATCCAGGGTCAAATCTGTGTCTGTTTCATTCTGTATCCTATGCTTTTTTATGTCATGTTGCTGAAGGCAAAACCTAGAATTTCAGGCACCCATGGGTTGCCAGATAAAAGACAATTAGTCAAGTTCTAACTTATGTCACTTCTCAGTAAGACCTGTCCTGCTTACCAAATCTGAAACCTAGCTTCTTTCTGTGATGGCTATTGAAAGGGTAAAGCCCCTCAATTCACTGTCCAGCTCTTCAGCCTTCCCTAAAAGAGCTCCTGGTTGAAAGAGAAGCATATTTTGCATTTGGAGAGTTCATCCAATTTTTAGTCTTTAGGGACAACATTTGTCATGGGAATCAAAGTGTCAACTAAGACAAAAAAAGAAAAACAGCACACAGTTGGGGCACCTCTACTAATTTAAATGTAAAAATTTCACCAAATTTTTTACAGGAGCAGAAGTATCAGTGAAGTTATTTCTTTAAAATGGACAGAGAAAAGAGTTTGAGAGGAGAACCGAGTTGTACCCTTATAGTGATCTGGTCCCAGGCTCAATATCCATTTATTTCTCTTAAAACATGGTGTTATTCACAAAGCCCTTCATCCTGGTATACCAGCTGTGACTATGCTATACTTTTCATTTGGAAACAGACCTTCCTTTCCAGTTTCCAAGCCTGTCTGTCTGACCACGTTCTTGGCACACTATCTGATCACAGCTCAGAGATTTTAACCTGCCTGAAAAATACTGTGGATGGATTTTCCAGGAATGCTAACCTGGACTGGAAAACAATGTTTGATTTTAAGTAGTTTCTTGTTTCTTTTTGTCCAGTCTCTTGTACAAAATATATCTCAATAAGCTGCCGTGTCTCTCTGTGTGTGTGTGTGTGTATGTGTGTGTGTGTATGTGTGTGTTTATGATGTTTGGAGACTGAAAAAGCAATTCCAACTTATTGATGGTAGGGACAGGAAGGTGCTTGAGTCTTGGGCTGAAAGATTTTTCTCTTGGTTTGATTGTTCACAGATGTGATGGGCAAATTCATTATTGATAATGTGGAAGAACTGGCAAAGTATTAGACAAGAAAACGCAATAGTTAGTATGGACCCTTTATGAGGTCTGAGTAATAGTTCTTAAACATCTGTGTGCTCTCTGCTTCTGTGTTCACCATCTGAAAATCATTCTTACCCACAATTTTAACCATTTCTTTGGAGCTTCCTGGGTTGTTACTGCTTCTGCTGCTCCTACATCTTTACAGCTAGTATCTCCTGAGTGCTCACTACCTGTGTAAGGCATCACTTAAGAGATTTGTGGATGTCCCTTAGCCAAAGCCTTACAACCCCAAGAGATGGGTATTCATTATTATCTCCACTTCAGATGAGAATGCTAAAGTATGTACAGGATAAGAAACTTGTCTAATGTCCCAGAACTTGTAAGAAGCAAAGGCTGTATTTAAAGCCAGGTGAGTCTGACTCCAGAGACTGTACTTATAACCATTAAACCAAACTATCTCTACCTAAAAAGCTGCTGAAAGTGCTTGCTTGCCCAGAAGACCTTTCCAAACTCTCTCCAGGTTCCAGACCTCCCAGCCTCGACCTCTATCCCTACTGGGAGATCTTGGTAAGTGTGTATGTGTTTTTCAGACTGAATGTGGGGTAAAACTTAGTGAACAGAGGAGTCAGACGATGAGTTTAACAAACACAGACTTTCCCTCCCTTAGAATGAAGTTGCTGGCTAAAGGTGGACCGGTTCATTAGCAATGGAGACAAGGATCTGCTCTGTGGAAGAGAGTTTTACGGCATACTAAGAACTGTGTCTGTAGCCTTTCCTCCCCCTGAGAAAAACAAATGCCAGGCAAGAGGATATGAGTGAATAATCCATAAAATCTGGTATAGAGCACATCCCAGCTATCCTAGTGCCTTCTGTGAGTGTCATTGCCAAGGAAAGTCAGATTGGTATTTTCCAAAATTTGTTTGTTTTAAAAATTAATGAGATTTTATTTTATTCTTATTTTATTTTTTGAGATGGAGTCACCCAGGCTGGAGTACAGTGGCATGATCTCGGCTCACTGCAACCTCCACCTCCTGTGTTCAAGCGATTCTCCTGCCTCAGCCTCCTGAGTAGCTGGGATCACAGGCGCATGCCACCATGCCTGGCTAATTTTATATTTTTAGTAGAGATGAGGTTTGACCAGGCTGGTCTTGAATGCCTGACCTCAGGGGATCTGCCTGCCTCAGCCTCTCAAAGTGCTGGGATTACAGGCATAAGCCACCACACCTGGCTCCAAATTAATGCGTTTTTAATTGAAAGATAAAAAATTGCATGTATTTACTGTGTGCCATATGATGTTTCAAAATATGTATACATTGTAAAATGGCTAAATTGAGCCAATTAACATGTGCATTACCTCACATACTTTTGTTTTGTGGTGAGAACCCTTAAAATCTACTCCCTTAGCAATTTTCAAGAGTACAATACATCGTTACTAACTATAGTAGGCATGTTGTGCAATAGGTCTCTTGAACTTACTCCTGCTACCTGACATTTTGTATCCTTTGACCAACACTTCCTCAGTCCACCCCTCACCCTCAGGCCCTGGTAACCGCTGTTCATATCTGTCTTTTACTATCCAGATTTTGGTTCTTCTTTGCTTCTTCTAAGTAGGGCACTTTCACTAAGGTGATTTAGAAAACACCAGATTTGTCTCAGTAATACAACATAGAGAAATGCAACTTTGACATTTAAAACATTCTTGGCCAGGCATGGTGGCTCACACCTGTAATCCCAGCACTTTGGGAGGCCGAGGCAGGAGGATTACCTGAGGTCAGGAGTTCGAGGCCAGCCTGGCCAACATGGCAAAACCCCGTCTCTACTAAAAATACAAAAAGTAGCCAGGTGTGGTCGTGGGCATCTGTAATCCCAGGTACTCAGGAGGCTGAGGCAGGAGAATCACTTGAACCCAGGAGATGGAGGTTGCAGTGAACAAAGATCACGCCACTGCACTCCAGCCTGAGCAACAGAGCGAGACTCCATCTCAAAAACAAACAACGAAAAAAACCAAAAAACATTCTGGACCATATAGAATGAGGGAAGGAGTATCTTTTAAAGAATTTTTTTTCCAGTGGCACATAGCAGAAGAATAAACTGGTGTAATTAATAAGAAAATGCAGTGCTTTACATAACTGTAAAGTCCAGTGTTGGTGTGTACTTCAGGCAAGGTTTGATCTAGTGGCTCAGTGGTGGAGCCAATATGTGCATGTCTTTTTATTGCTCTGCTTTACCTTCCAAAGGTGTTAATACTACAAAGTTTCCTCACAGTCTAAAGTGGCTGCTGGCAGCAACTGAGGCCAAATGTCTTCTTGTTCACATGCAGAAGGGAAAGAGGGAATCTTCTCTCCACTGTCGAATTGAAGTACTTTGCTTAACTATGATCAGCTTGTGACATACGTGTTTCTATGAATCAACCACTGCTGTCATACGATTTGGGAGAGATCAACTTCATTGACTCTAGTAGTGGGTCTAGATCAACTTAAATGAGTCAGTGTAATCCTACCTTTTCCCCCCAGTAATTGGTTCAGGACTGGACGTGTAATTCAGGTCTAAGCCAAGTGGGAGATGGCATTTTTTGTTGACAGTAGTTGTTTCATAATGAATGGGAGAAAGTCAAATAGATGCTGGGCATGCAACTATACTGGCCACTACAGGAGATAAGACCAAAATACAGTCATCCAGTCAGCACTACTTAATATTTTGGTCATTGAGAGAAATGCTTACATGTAAGAAAATTAGTTACACGACTTTAAGCCAATATAATTTTATTTATGTGCTGATTCTGCTTCTACTTGCCAAAATAGATTAGAATTTCTTAGTTCATGTTCCATGCAACATTGAGGCAGGTGATATAGGCTGGTAGAGTTACTATTTCTGGTCAAAGGATTTCATAAATAGCTCCAGATTTAGGAACACATCTTGTTTTTCTCTTTAAAATTTCCTAGCTTAGCCAACATAGTGAGACCTGATCTGTACAAGAAACAAAAAATTAGCCAGGCCTGGTGGTTTGTGTCTGCAGTTCCTGCTACTCAGGAGGCTGAGGTGGGAGCATCACTTGAGCCTGGGAAGTGATAGCTGCAGTGAGCTACGATTGTGCTACTGCACTCCAGCCTGGGTGACAGAGTGAAATTCTGTCTTTAAATAAATACACAAATAAACAAGATTTCCTTACTGAATTTCCCTGTAAAATTATAAAAAATGTTCATGCTACATTAATTCACTGCACAATTGCAAAGTTTTGTAAATACTGATAAATTTTTTCTTCATTCCAATGACCCCAGAGGTAATTAATGTTAACACTTGATATATTTCCCCAACTTTTTTTTCCAGTTTATAGACAAACTGCATAAGCACATGTATAGAGTTGTTTTGGTTATTTCTTTTCATAGAAGATGAGATTATTCACATTACTCTACAAATTTTTTTACTTAATGATACATCACAAATATATTTCCACATCTATAGCTATAGATGTAACTTAGTCTTCCATAGATCCCTGTTATTAATGTACTACAGAATTTATCCAACCATTCCATTAATTGGTGGATATTTAAGTTATTTTCATTTTCTTTTTTTTTTTTTTTTTTGAGATGAAGTCTCGCTCTGTTGCCCAGACTGCTGTGCAGTGGGACGATCTCGGCTCACTGCAACCTCTGCCTCCCAGGTTCAAGCGATTCTCCTGTCTCAGTCTCCCAAGTAGCTGGGATTGCAAGTGTGCACGACCATGCCCAGCTAATTTTTGTATTTTTAGCAGAGACGGGGTTTCACCTATTGGCCAGGCTGGTCTCAAACTCCTGACCTCAAGTGATCTGCCCACCTTGGCCTCCCAAAGTGCTGGGATTACAGGTATAATCCACCATGCCTGGCTATTTTCATTTCTTTTCTACTAAAAACAATGCTATTTCACTTTATTTAACCTAGCATAACAGCTTTTCTTAGTAGTCTATGAAATAGCATATTCTTTATCAATGAATCCAACATCAGAGCTTGATCCTGTGATTACGATATAGTATCAACTAATTCATTTCCCTTTGTAACGTGAATTTAGAACATTAACCAAAGTAGTGAGTTTGAGGGGCACATTCCAAGGCATTTATAAGCCTTCCAATTCTTGACATCACTTTTATTAGGCAGAAACTAGCTTTAAACCAGGTGGTTGGAGTAAGTTTAATGAATGGGCTAATTACAAGAGTGAGAGCTGATTTAAGGGAAGGATTTAAGGGAAACCAACTAGGAATAGTGAAGCAACACAGAGCTAGGAGGAGGCCTTACCTTTTCCTTAAGCCTGAAGAGGGAAGGGAAAAGTGGACAAAGGAATTAGAGAAAGAGCTGTAGTTGGAGAAGACAGCCTGTCCCAGAGAGTGACAGAGGGGAACCCATGGCCTGCCAAGGGGGAATTCCAAGGGAGTAAATGCCTCAACCTCATTCTGCTGTCCTTTCAGCTCCGGCTGTTGTTTCCCATTGGCCAAAACTAACTGGAAAGAAAGGGAACCCAGTGATGCTGTTGATAAAAGTCAATCTTTTTGGCCCCTGAGCAGGATGAAAAAGGATGGAGCATGAAGAATACCCAGAACCCTCCTCTAGCATGTGATTCACCTCTGAAAGTTCAGAAAGTGTGAGTGAAAAATGTAAAAGGGCCTCTCAGGTATAATTGTATACACATGGGACTAGAGTCATTTGCAAAGCTGTTTTCCTGTAGAAGCATTACTATCTTATCTCTTTCCATTTTCCACCACCATTTCCAATAATAATAAAATTACAAATTCTACAGGACAAGATCATGTCTGCGCTCTGTACTGACTTGCACAGGGCTGATCGGTTTGCCTCAGAAATTGTTTTCTCATTAGCATCATTTATATCTAGATGGGCTAGAAAATCTTATAAATCATCCCAGATAAGGACTCTCTCCTATCTTGGTGGAACTGATGAGTAAGTGGCATTGCATGATTCGCTTATTAACTCAGCAAACGTGTTGAGTAAGCACTCTGTATCAGGACTTGTGCCAGATACTGGAAAAATTATAGCAAGGAATTAGACACAGCCCTCAAGGAGTTTGCAGTCTTTAGAAAGAGACAGGTCAGCAAATATTTACAATTCCATCAGTAAATTGAGTGATGGGCCACTCATGGGCCACTTATGGGCATGCCCATTACTCATGGGCAGTAAAAAGCAGGGGCTATGTGCTTGTGTTTATGATCTGGTTCCATCATCTATTATCTCTGTGGCCTTAAACAAGTTACCAAACCTCTTATGTGTAATGATAACTGTGACAGATTACAGTTTCCAAAAATGGCCGTAACAACTCCCATCCCACTGCAACGTGACCTTGCTACCCCTCTTCCCCACTTCCTGTCAAAGGGTGGAATTAGGTTTACTACCCCTTTGAATCTAAGCATGTCCAGAGACTGCTTTGATCAAAAGACTATGGTGGCAGCAGCACTGTCAGTGACAGATTCAGCTCAGGTTTCTCTGGTCTGGTACATTCCATGTCTTGCCTTTCGGAATGCTACCTCTTGGCATGTTTCTTCTGGAAACCTAAGCATCGGGCTGTGAGAAGCCTGTTAAAGTGAACTAAACATGGCCTGAGGACTCCGTACTTCTGTATTTGAGTCCTTGTAGACGAACTGTAACCTAACGTAATAGGTAGACAAGATTGAAAACCTAATTTAGGAGTATGCGCCTGTAACAACAGCTGAGTCTCGGACAATCCCAGCAGCCAAACCACCCATACACTGCCGAGTGTTCAAATTGTGTTCAAATAACACAAACACCAACCTGTAACCAAGCCAGCTGTTTCTATACCTCACTTCTGATTTCTGTACGTCACTGCTTTTTTTGATCTATCCCTGGAGTCTATCTGAATCTGCTGTGATTCTGGGGGCTGCCCAATTCACGAATTATTCATTGCTCAATTAAACTCCTTTAAATTCAATTCAGCTGCAGTTTTTCTTTTAACGAGCCCAAGTCACGGGGAGAGGCTGTCCACAGGTACTCTGTGTTAGCCCTCAGTGAGCTCTTAGCCCACAGACGTGTGAGTGACGCATCTTGAACATTGTCCCACTCATAGCTTGATGACTCTGGCCACCGCTGCTATCTGACCAGAGCCATGTGAATGACCCTCCGCCAGGAGAACAGCCAGCAGAGCCCAGGGAACCCGCAGAAATGTGAGAAGTAATCATCTATTGATTTAAGGCCCTACATTTTGGTGATTGTTTGTTACATGGTTATAGATACTCAGAAGGGAGATGATAATAAAAGTATATACCACATAAGACTGATGTGGGGATTAAACAAGGTAACTTGTAGAGTGCTTATTATAGCACCTAGCATAGAGCAAATGTGGGAGGAATGTGACCTATTTTCAGTCTTGTATTATTGAGATATGATTCTGTGGGATTGAGGAGGAGTTCTTGCTATAGCTTATGTTGTCTACAGGTGTTGGAGGGGTGGATGTGAGTTGAGGCTAGAGCAAAGTCAGGGGAGGTTTGTTAGAGCAAAGGATGCCAGCACCTCCTCCAAGAAGCGATGCTTCTTCTCTGGTTGGGTGGGGAGCATCTCCTCCAGGTTCTCTATGGCACCTTCATTGTACTCACCATTCTGCATTATAACTCCCTGGGAAAGTGTTTCACCAGCTAGGCTGGGAGCCTTCTCATAGAAGGACTTTGTCTTATTCCCAGCACCTGGCACATAGCAAACCTTCATAAATGAATTAACTCATTCAGCTCCTGTTGCTCTGCTGAAATTTACATACTTGCCTGGTTTTACACATAATGAAAAAATGTTCCCCATGTTAGTAGAAATTAAAAAGCCATACTCCTCCTCCCCAAAAAAGCCATACTCCCAAAAGCAATGGGGTCCCCTTACTTGGACTGATATGCTTCAAATGTAAAAATTCAAAATGAATGTTGTTTCCCAAATCCTAGAAAAGGTAAAATTAATTAATTAAATTTTCTTTTAGTTTTTTCTCTCATAAAATTTTCCTAAGGGATAGTTTCACTCGTCTGTACAGAAATCTAGAAGTCAGATTTATATTTTGCCCAAAAGGATATAGGTTATTAGTTTGATTGCGATATACCAATACTTCTTGTGATTCTAAAAAAAGAAAGCACTATGACTTTGGGATTAGCTACCACCTGCTGTGAGACATGTCTCTGAAGCGGGTATTAAGTTTCTTTTCTCTTTGTAAACTAAGAGCTATTTTGCAGGACATGACATATAGAAGGCAGTTTCAACATGCTGGTAAAGTGGCCTCATTTTCAAGGTGTGTTAGTCTGTTCTTATGTTGCTATGAAGAAATACCTGAGAATGGGTAATTTATAAAGGAAAGAGGTTTAATTGACTCATAGTTCTGCATGGCTGGGGAGGCCTCAGGAAACTTACAATCGTTACAGAAGGTACGTCTTCACAGGGCAGAAAGAGAGAGAATGAGAGGTGGGCAAAGTGGCGAATCCCCTTATGGAACCATCAGATCTCGTGAGAACTCACTCATTATGATGGCTAACACTGTCAACTTAATTGCTTTGAAGGATACAAAGTATTGATCCTGGGTGTTTCTGTGAGTGTGTTGCCAAAGGAGATTAACATTTGAGTCAGTGGGCTGGGAAAGGCAGACCCACCCTTAATCTGGGTGGGCACAATCTAATAAGCTGCCAGTGTGGCTAGAATATAAGCAGGCAGAAAAATGTGAAAAGAGAGACTAGCCTAGCCTCCCAGCCTACATCTTTGTCCTTGCCAGATGCTTCCTGCCCTCAAACATTGGACTCCAAATTCTTCAGTTTTGGTACTTGGGCTGGCTCTCCTTGCTCCTCAGCCTGCAGAAAGCCTATTGTTGGACCTTGTGATCATGTGAGTTAATACTTAATAAACTCCCATATATATATATATTCCATATTCTATATATATATTCCCTATATATATTCCCATATACATATTCCCATATATATATTCCCTATATATATTCCCATATACATATTCCACATATATATATTCCCATATACATATTCCACATATATATATTCCCATATACATATTCCACATATATATATTCCCATATACATATTCCACATATATATATTCCCATATACATATTCCACATATATATATTCCCATATACATATTCCACATATATATATTCCCATATACATATTCCACATATATATATTCCCATATACATATTCCACATATATATATTCCCATATATATATTCCCATATATATATTCCCATATATATATTCCCATGTATATATATTCCCATATATATATATTCCCATGTATATATATTCCCATATATATATATTCCCATGTATATATATTCCCATATATATATATTCCCATGTATATATATTCCCATATATATATTCCCATTTATATATATTCCCATATATATATATTCCCATATATATATTCCCATATATATTCCCATATATATATTCCCATATATATTCCCATATATATATATTCCCATATATATATTCCCATATATATTCCCATGTATATATATTCCCATATATATATTCCCATATATATATATTCCCATATATATTCCACATATATATATTCCCATATATATCTTCCCATATATATATTCCCATATATATCTTCCCATATATATATTCCCATATATATATCTTCCCATATATATTTTCCCATATATATATTGCCATATATATCTTCCCATATATATATATTCCCATATATATCTTCCCATATATATCTTCCCATATATCTATGTTCCATATATATCTTCCCATATATCTATATTCCGTATGTATATCTTCCCATATATCTATATTCCGTATGTATATCTTCCCATATATCTATATTCCGTATGTATATCTTCCCATATATATATTCTGTATGTATATCTTCCTTCCCATATATATATTCCGTATGTATATCTTCCCATATATATATTCTATATGTATTTTTTCCATATTATATAATTCCATATATATTCTCCATATATATATTCCATATATATGTTCTCCATGTATATATTCCGTATATATGTTCTCCATGTATATATTCCGTATATATGTTCTCCATGTATATATTCCGTATATATGTTCTCCATGTATATATTACATATATATTCTCCATGTATATATTCTCCATATATATTCCACATATATATGTTCCATACATATGTTCCATACATATGTTCCACATATGTATGTTCCATATGTAGATATTCCATATAGATATTCCATATATAGATATTCCATATGTAGATTTTCCATATAGATTTTCCATATATAGATTTTGCATATAGAGATTTTCCATATTTTCCATACATATTTATTCCATGTATTTATTCCATACATATTTATTCCATGTATTTATTCCATACATATTTATTCCGTGTATTTATTCCATATATATATTCCGTGTGTGTGTGTATATATATATATATATTCCATTAGTTCTGTCCCTCTAGAGAACCTCAATACACTCACTATCACGAGAACAGTATGGGGAAACCGCCCTCCTGATTCAATGATCTCCACCTGGTCCTACCCTTGACACGTGGGGATTATTACAATTCAAGGTGAAATTTGGGTGGGGACACAGAACCAAACCATATCACAAGGATAATTACTTTGAAAAGAAAATTGTTATTTCAAATATGTATTGACTACAACTACAACTGAGATCCATTGGTAGCTAGGTAGATATAGTGAGACAGGGTAATATAATATTGGATTTCCATTTGTATTTCTTTCAAAGTGCTGTGTGTGGTGGAGAAGTCATAAACAGTGTTTTAGAAAAGCTTTTAATTATTTTTCCCTGGTACTAAGGTTTTATTGTTATCCAGCGCTTGCATGTGTTGCTAACCTGGTTTTTAGCACACCCCAGATAGGCATCATGGTCTTCATTTGGCCAATGAGAAAATTAAGACTAGAAAGAGAAGCTATGTGAGTGGGCAAAGGCAGGCTGAGTGGTGTTCATGTTAGGAAGTCCAAGGCTAACAGCCTGACTTGGAATCCTGGCTTGCGTCTTCCCTTTACGGGGGTACCAACAGGCATATTACCTTCTCAGAACCACAGAGAAGCCTCACTTACAAAATGGGATACTGATAGTACTCCCCTAGTAAACACATATGTTAAACCTCTTAAGACAATGCCAGGCAAAGTAAGCCCACTAATAAACATTAGCAGATAGGATTGTTGTCAAGGTTCATTAGGAGAGGACAGAACAAGACCCCAGCCCATCTCTCCTGTTTGCAGGGAATAGTGTTTCTCCACGATACTACAATTGCCTCTCAAGAACCCTCTGTTGCATTTCTACAGCCTTTTACAATTTTCAAGTGATTGCACATATGGAATGCTTGATCTTAGTCCAATTTGGATTTTGCTCCTTGTTTCATAACCATAAGGGATGGATTGGGCAGGCACAATTGTTCCTATGTTTCAGATAATAAACTAAGGTTCAGTAAAATATGTGTTCAAAATGACTTCAACTCAGAACTTTTACCTCCACATGACATGTTTTTCATTCCTTTACATTTACAAAATTTTTGTTTTTGAGTTGTACTTTTTTTGAATGCAGACTGGCCACTGTTTTTTCCTTGAATACCTTTGTGTAACTTTTCCTGCATCTCTGATGATGATGGGGGCACTGGCAGGTTAATTTGTCTGAAGGAAGGATCCTGTGCAGGAGTTTGGGAAAGAATCCCTTGAAAACCAAAGAAGCAGCCATGTTATCTAGTTAGATTTTGGATTTAAAAATACAGATGTATTTCTAATGATATGTTTGGAATATTTTTTCTCATTGTATTGATAATGTTTCTGACATAAATGGCCTGGAACCTGAAAAAAAGATGATGGAACATGAATTTGGACTGTGGCCATCACCTTCAGATCTCAAGTGTGGAAAATTTCACCATGTGTGACTGCAGTCCAGCATCTACATCACCCCATTTCATAGAGTTGATGTTAACCATTTGGCTAAACTCAGTGGCGTCTAGATCTATAAGAAATCTAAGTTGGCTGGGCACAGTGGCTCAAGCCTGTATTTCAACACTTTGGGAGGCCGAGGCGGGCAGATCACTTGAGGCCAGGGGTTCAAGATCAGCCTGGCCAACATGGTGAAACCCCATCTCTACTAAAAATACAAAAAGCATCAGGTTGTGGTGGCACATGCCTGTAATTGCAGCTACTCTGGAGGCATGAGAATCGCTTGAACCTGGGAGGTGGAGTATGCAGTGAGCCAAGATTGCACCACTGCACTCCAGCCTGGGTGACAGAGCGAGACTCTGTCTAAAAAAAACAACTAAGTTGAGCAAGGCTGATAATAGAAGGCAGAAATGTGGAAGTGTAAGAGTCAATGATTTTGGGGTTTTATGGCTAGAGATAATTGCTTCTGCCATACCACTTCCCAGACTGGCAAGCAAAGGTGCTAGCTTCTAAATACTTAGCAGCAGATATAATGTATGTCTTTAGACATACTTAGACCTTGAGATAGGCAGGCAAGCAAGGAGGTTCTCAGGTGGTTGCAATTTCAGTGGATTTTTTGCTGTTGTTGCTAATTGACATTCTCACTACTTCTGTTGCGTGATTTTGGACCACTCACATAACCTCTCCGGGCTCTAATGTCCTCACTGGTAAAACTAGAATAATGTCACACTACCTCATAGGATTATGGAGAGGATAAATAAAATGTCTTACGTAGAGGCTTAGCACAGTACTTAGCTTATGGAATTTATTTAAGTTTGCAATTGACATTAAAAACAAAATTATTGGCAGGGCACCATGGCTCATGCCTGTAATCTTGGCACTTTGTGAGGCCAAGGCTGGTGGATCACTTGTGCTCAGGAGTTCAAGACCAGCCTGGGCAACATGGTGAAACCCCATCTGTACCAAAAATACAAAAAAAAAAAAAAATTGCCCAGCATGGTAGTGCATGCCTGTAGTCCCTGCTACTCAGGAGGCTGAGGTGAGAGGATCACCTGAGCCTGCGAGGTGGAGGTTGTAATGAGCTGAGACTGTGCCACCGCACTCCAACCTGGGTGACAGAGTGAGACCTTGTCTCAGAAAAAAAAAAAAAATTTTAGAGAAGGGCCTTAAGTCAGTGCTCATACCCAGGGGAAGTCAGACTAGTTTTGTAAACCTCTAGTTAAAGTGTTTCAGCTTCAGAGCGTTCATTCAAGCGAGTTCCTAGCTGTTGCTGGGAGTGTGTTGCTGCTGCCTCCTTAGTGCAGAAGTTTCAGTTACTTTTGAGATGTGGGTTAGGATAAAATTGGTGCCTATGGGATTGTTTCAGTGTTTGCCAGGGGTCTGCTAGTGACTGGGTTATTAAGTCCTAAAATCTAGAGAGAAAATCGATTTTGAAACTCTCTAGAAGGTCAGCTCAGCTATCTCTACTACTCAAATAATTTTAGACTAACCCTTCTGAGCCTCGCTTTACTTATAGAATGGGGATATAATACCTTCCTTATAGGTTTAGGAAGATTGCAGGAGATCATATATGCAAAGCCCCTAGTGTTGTACCTGGCAGAAGGTGGTGAATACACATTAGTTTTCTTTCTTCTGTTTACCCATCCCCAGCTGTTGTGAGTATTCAACAACTCACTGCTGTCTGTTCCCTTCTCAGGCGGGGAAAGCTACTTAGACCAGGAGGGTACACACCATTGGAACCGATGACAGATTAACTCAGAGGTACAAAAGACTGACCCTGCCTTTAATGTGGGATCACTCTGAAGTGTAGCTTACGTTCCAGAGAGCCCTGCTGGGTCAGACCAAGACTAGATCCTACCCGGACATTCTTGTCTCTTTCCTGCTTTTCTTGCTTCATTACTGGTTCTGACGATCTTCCTGAAGATCTCTTCTTCAATAAATCACACTTATTGGCTACCCCAGTTATGGCTTCTAGGGAACCAGACCTAAGACACTTATCAAAGGGCCCAAGCTAAAATAATTCTCAAAGTATTTTGACAACAATTCCTACAGAAACAGGTTAAATGCCTTTTCTATCTTGGGTAATGTCAAACTTCCTCCATTCCAACATGGACCCAGGGAACTTGCTGGATTATCAGGGGCCTTTCACTCGAAGAAAGCCAGTGTCATATTTATTTAAGAGACTGACCTGTGGCTGTCTGTGAAGGCTATCTTGCTTCTACCTTTTGATAGTTTTTTTTTTTTTTTAAGAAAATGGAGGTTATTTAGATCTCAGAAAGGACATGTGAGATTTTCTAATGTGGAATGGCTTGGTTTTGAAATTGGTATGCCTCTAGAAGCAAATATTCTCAGACTGAAATTGGTTGATGTATTTGTACAGATTTTTCTTTCTCTTTTCTCTGGTTTCTCATAAAGGAAGTTCTGGAGGCTGGTAACCTGAATGGAAATAAAGACTTCTGTGAGAAAACATTGGGTTTAAAAACTGTTCCATGTGGTTCAAAATATGTTTTAGACATTTCGTAGGAAAAAGAGTGGACTTAATCCTAATAGTGTGTTGTGGAAAAGGTTTCTGTCAGCAGAAAACCCCAGGGAGTAGCTGGAGGTTGAGCCATAACCTTAAAAGATTATGTGCAAAGACTGTTCTCACCAGGTTGCTTCAAAGGAGAGAACAGGCTGACTAAAAGATGGGTGATGGTGGTGGGAATTGGGTGTGAGGGGTGTATAGAAGATTTGGAACAGTTGCTCCAGACATTAAATAAGGAGTCAGCTATAAATGGATATAAGGATTGTTAACATGCAGGCAGTGTCTAGTAGAGATCTGATGGTAAGAATTTTAGTAGAGCCAAATTTATTCATTCTGTCTCATATACATTCAACAATATTAAGTGTCTTGTGTGTAATGGGGACATAGAGATGAGTAAGACCCCTCAGGGAAGTTTCTGTACTCAAAGACCCCTGGCAGCTTTAGAAACGGAACCCAACTATTTCACTTAGCATAATGTCCTTCTCTAAGTCTGTTTGTGCTGCTATAACAAAATACCTTAGACTGGGTAATTTATAAGGAACTGAATTTTATTTTCTCATAGTTTTGGAGGCTAAGAAGTCCAAGACCAAGGCTCCGGCAAATTCTATGTCAAGTGAGGGCTGCTGTCTCTTTCCAAGATGGCACACACTTCTTGCTATGTCCTCACATGGTGGAAGGGACGGAAAGGCGAAAAAGGGGATAAATTCTGTGTCTTTACTTGGTGGAAGAGCAGAAGAGAATTAAGCCACTCACTCAAGCCCTTTTATAAGGGCCCTAACTCCATCCACGAGGTGTCTGCTCTCATGACTTAATCAACTTCTAATGACCCCACTTCTTAATACTACCACATGGCCATTAAGTTTCAACATGCAAACTTTGGGAGACATATTCAGACCATAGCTGTCCTCAAAGTTCATTCATGTTGTTGCATATGGTAGGACTTCCTTCTTTATGGGTGTATACTCTTCCGTTTTATGGCTAAATACTATTCCATTATGGCTGAATAAATGTAGATATCATTTTTCTTTATGCATTCATCTATCAATAGATATTTAAATTGTTTGTTTCCACTTACATGAAGTATGTAAAATAGTCAAACTCATAGAAGCAGCGAGTAGAATGGTGGTTGCCAAGGTCTGAGGAGAGGAAGAAGTGAGGAGGTGCTGTTCAATTGCTTTAAAGTTTCAGATACATGAGATGAATAAGATCTAGAAAGCTGCTACAACATTGTACATTGTTAGTGATCCTCAACTGTATACCTAAATCTTATTAAGAGATCAGGTCTCATATTATATGTTCTTATCACAATTTAAGAAAGATGAAACAATGGAACCTAGGAGCAGCTTGGCCTCAGACTTAACAAGAAACAGAAGTAAAAAGTTGAGTGGATAGGGATTCTAGGATTCTAGAGAGAGGCTGGATTAGGAAATCAGTGTAGACAGGAGAAGAAGAAAATATGGAAAAAATACAAAGAAGCTGAAAGCTGGGGGCCTGTGACCATACTAAGCAGAGAGCAGAAAGAATTGCCAGGATGGAAAATTAGGGACGGAGAGGTTTATTTCACAGTTTGCTACCCTGAGTATAGATAAATAAAGTTTAGGAAGCCCCCATTTTAACATATATAAGTTTTTTCAAACTTTCTTTCCCTGCATGCATACAGAATTTTGCATGTGCTCATAAATTTCATTCCCTTCCCTGCCCAATCCAGTCCATCTGGTTCCTAAGGATTTTAAAAAAGTATTTTTAAAGTGTAGTTAGAAAAATCAGAGAGGAAAAGACAGGACTGCAGGGGTGGGAGGAAATGGAAAAGAGACATTCTTCAGCGTCTCCTTTGTTGTGGAGAATATGATCCATAGATATGGCAGACGGTGAAGCCAAAAAGAAAATGTCAGTGAAGCTAGACCAGCCTACATATTAAAGAGCTGAAAAAGACACAGAAGAAGGAGAAATCTGGCAAAATGGCAGAGAGAGAGAGAGAGAGAGAGAGACAGACAGACAGACAGACAGACAGTGAGAGAGTGTGCTTATAATGGCAGAGAGAGAGAGAGAAAGAAAGAAAGAGAGAGAGAGAGCAAGAGAGAGCCAGAGAGTGCACTTATACCCTAGAAGAGCTGTAGGATGGGAGAATAGGAGAGAAGAATAAAGGAGATTTTTAAAAGTTTTCCTTGCATTATTGACTAAATTTTCTCTAAGAGATGAAAGTAATATACTGAATTATTTCAGTAATAATTTTTGTAACAACCATTTTATTGATTGGCATATTTATTTGAGTCTGAGCTGTATTAAACCTTGAGATTTATTCGGAATATGGAAGTTCTATCATTGAATATAACTTCAAATTGATCCATTGATGATCAAATATTAATTATAAGCATTCCCCAGTTTATATATGCAAATTGAGCTAATAACCAGTTTGCTCTATGATACAATATTAATAGTAATAGACCTAAGGGTTGAACTCAAATTTGTTAGACTTCAGAGGTTCTGAGTTTTCGGCTGTCTAAAAATGGAACAGCTCCAAATGAGAACTTAGATCAAGGAATACCCTTGTACGTGCTTGACTCTAAAGGAGTAGTGTGCAGATCGTAAGAGTTAGAAAAAATGGGCAGATGTCAAGCCTACAGATGTGTAGGTGGTGGGATCTTGGCAGAAGATGGGGGAAAGAAGAGAATTGAACCAGATTCACAGGGCATTTATCCATCTCTCATCACAGTATCATCACTTACTCAAATAAATATTTATTCTTTAATGAAAATGAGATAAAATCCTAGGGTCCACGGATGCCCCAAAGGAAGAGAATGGTTCAGGAAGATGGCATGAATTTACCAATGGTGGGATTGTTAGGCAGTAGTGGGTGAATAGCAGGAGAACTGTTTTCCACTCTATAATAAGATGGGGTGGGTGGAGAGGTAAGAAGGAGAAAGTACCATTTATTTATTTATTATTTTTACAGTGCAAGACTTGAGGTCATTTCTCTGAATCTTGTAAACTTTCCGTAATGTAGTTGCATTGTTTTCTGACATTTAAAACTGTCTTTAAAATAAAAACTATCACACAGATTCCAGAGACTATGTCTTTATTCTGTTGTTTACTAAGTGTATGACCCTCAGCAAGTCACTGTTGGCTGTCTGGAATTATTGATCTGTAGAATAAAACTTATGAGAATATCACCCAATTGAGATCATTATAGGCATTATCTTATTTAGAAAATATATGTGTAAAGGATTTTGCCAACTAAAAAGAATTCTACAAATGCTAGTTTATTGATAATGAAAGACATTTTGTGTTCGTATAGCATTGTAAATATTTTTCATATTTATTATAATGGCCACTATTGTCCCAAAGTGATGCATCCTAATTTACTTATAATATAAAATTAAGTGACTTGACTGAGGTTGCCCAGGAAGTGTTAGCACCAGGATATGAGCATGTTTCTGTCTGACCTCAGAGCTCATGTTATTAATACAATGCTGTCTAGAAATGGAAATAATTGTACTGGAGTTATCCAAACTCTCTATTCCTGAACCATAAGAAAAATAAAGAATGAAAGGTAACTGAAAGACAACTCTGCAAGGATATGGCATAAATCTAAAACAGCAGATGTTCTCAGAGAAAGAAGAAAAATGTGAGTATGTGCCTGTGTGTGTGTGTGTGTGTGTGTGTGTGTGTATATGTGCAAGTGGGTGTTGGATGTAGGAAAGAATAAAAAAGAATAAAAATAAGTTCTGCCTGGGCCAGCCAACTAAGGAAAGATGGGGAAGGAGTAGTTCTTATTTTGGAACTGAGGCTTCAGTGCAGTTGTAGCTCAAGGGTAAGGACACCTCCTCCCCTTAGACAAATAGGGAGATGCTGGCTTGTTAATGCCAGGACTGCTCTAGAAACCATGTGCTCACCTGGGATGTTTGGTCACTGAGGCGGAACACTTTTGAAATAACATGTTTCCTTCAACTGTTTTCTGTTATTCTTAGGAGTTTTTTTTTTCTCCCAGAAAACCACAGCCTTGAGTATTACTCTTCAATAATACCGACCAACTTGGCAATGGAATAAGGCCAGCCACTGTTACAGATTCAGTATGAAACTGTTATAAAAATATTCAGCTCTTTGAGGAAACTGATCTTTAAATTTGATCTTTTCTCCAAAGAGAAAGAAAAGTGCCATCTTCTCAGAATGGGGAAAAATATTTTCTTTCTTAAAATCCTGTTTAGAAACTTTGGGCCAACCTTTCATTCATCAGATATGAAATGTTACCAGAGTAGGATGCCCAGAGCCACAGCAGCAGGATTGCAAGAGCTTGCCACCTCTTTTCTCTAAAATGTCTCTAGCAACACCCTCTTTGCCACTTGGCCAGTGTGGACAGAGGCCCAGGCCCAGCCATTGCAGTCATATTCATAGACTAGTGATTGACGGCATCTGTTTAGTGCATACCTGTTGCATGCAGAGTGCTCTGTTGGGCTTACTGTGACAAGTGGGAGAAAATAGAGCTGACCATGTCCTCACAGTGCTGGTTAGTTAGTTAGAAGGGGGTGTAGTGAGGTATGATTTCTCAACTAAGGAGACTGCATGTCCAAAGGCAGGAACTCATATTAATCATGGATTGCTGGGATGACAGGAAAATGTTAGAGGGACCAACTCATTGCATACAAGGTAGGGAGTCTTAAAGGATGAAGCTTGAGAATTAGTTTGCTACCAGATCATAAAGGGCCTTGAACATTCTGCTAAGGGTTTGGGAATTTATTCTGCAGGCAATAGGAAGTTTTTGAGAAGTTTAAGCTGAGGATTAGAATAATTTGAAGTTTAGAAAGCCCAAGCTGGATCAGGCACGGTGGCTCATGTCTGTAATCCCAAGTATTTGGGAGGCTGAGGGAAGTGAATAGCTTGAACCCAGGGGTTCAAAACCGGCCTAGGCAACTTGGTGAGACCCTATATCTACAAAAAATACAAGAACAATCTGGATGCGGTGGTGTGTGCCTGTGGTCCCAGCCACTCAGGAGGCTGAGATGGGAGGATCACTTGAACTCAAGAGGTCAAGGCTGCAGTGATCCATGATTGTGCCACTTCACTACAGCCTGGGGGACAGACCAAAAAAAGAAAAAGAAAAGAGGCCAGGTGTGGTGGCTTATGCCTGTTATCCCAGCACTTTGGGAGGCCGAGGTGGGCAGATCACCTGAGGTCAGTTGTTCCAGACCAGCCTGGCCAACATGGCAAAACCCCATCTCTACTAAAAAACACAAAAAAATTAGCCAGGTATGGTGGCGGGTGCCTATAATTCCAGCTACTCAGGAGGCTGAGGCAGGAGAATCGCTTGAACCCAGGAGGCGGAGGTGGCAGTGAGCTGCGATCACTCCATTGCACTCCAGCCTGCGCAACAAGAGTGAAACTACATCTCAAAACAAAAACAACAAAACAAAACAAAAAAGAAAGTCCACATTGATGGAAAAAGGACATGTTTGGTGTTTGTCTGGAGGCTATTTCAGTCACTAGATTCAGAGAAGTTGAGTGTTTGAATTATGTCAGTGGCAGCAGAAATGCATGAGAGAGTGAAATGATGTTTAGGAGGCAGCCTCAGTGGGACTTGGTGTGAAAGGTGAGGGACAATGATGAGTCCAGAAAGACTTCTAGGTTTCTGGCCTGGTTTCTACATTGATGGTGCTCCGAAAAAAGGCAAGTGATATAGTAGGCATAGATTTTGTGTTTGTAGCTAAAGAGTTCAATTTCTGACATGTTGGGTTTGAGATGAACACTCCAACACTCTGAGATGCAACAGGGATGCACATTGACAGTTTTATCTAGAGAACTGGGTTTTGGGAGTGAGCTCCAGGAAGGAGATATAGATCTGGGTTCACTGTCTGTGATAAAGGCAGGAGAGTGAGTGCATGTGATCACCCAGGGGACAGAGGATTGAACTTTTGTGAACACCTTGACTGGGGATGGGAGATAAAAGTGGAGGCAACTAAAAAGGAGCAGCCATAGAGGTAGAAGAAAAACCAGGAGGGAGTGATGCTCTAGAAACCTATTGCAGCAAGAGTCTAAAGAAGGAGGAAATGGTATGCAGAGCCAAATAATGTTGAAAAGGCTAATATGTAGAGATTGATAAATATTTGTCTGTTGGAATTAGCAACAGAATGATCATAGCTGATTTTGGCAATGGCAACTTCAGAAATGGCGAGGGAAGAAGCTGGCTCAAAACTGAGCAAAGTGAAAGGAGGTGAGAAAGTGAAAACAGTCAGTATCAAATGCTCTTTTTAAAAGTAGCTTGGCTGTGAAGAGAGTCAGAGATAAAGGGTGATGAAGAAAGGACTGTATATGTTAAAGGGACAGATTTTTAGAGCTGGAAGAGGCTTGGACATGCTGTGTGCTATTGAGAAAGAGCAATTAGGAATGGAATGCCTAAGCTGCTGATGAGAGAAGAATTGCTTGCAGAGTGGGCCAACAGATGGTTACATGTTTCATCTGCAGTCATCGTGTTTCTACTGCTTCCGTCATCTCGCTTTATGCCTCTCTCTCTCCCCTGCTTCTTGCCTTCTTTGCTGCTTATCACAGGTCTGGTGAAATCTTTAGACAATATCTCTGGTTGTCGTGGTACCTAGGAGTGGCTACGTGAGCGAGAGACAGGCAGACGCTACTCTTATTTCCATATGCAGGACTGCCACTTATGAACCAAGAACACACAGGATCTATGTAAAGTTGATTTCCATACCCCATAACAAAAGAATACTAAGAATTCTGTATCTTTTCTACAGGCATCATATCAAAAAATGCACTTGGAAGCTTGGTCTCAGGCCACTGATAATGTGGCAAAGGTAGCAATAAAGTGCCCCTTGGCTGCTGTTATTACTTTAATGGAATTGCAAATTGAAATGTAAATTTCATGTCCTATTTTCCTGAGCGGCCAGGATTCTCTAATGGAAGAAGAAAGCAGAGATCTTCATGAATTGGTCAGAAAATGAGAGCTGATTCATCAGCCTTCATCACAATATTTTACAGTTGACATTCACATAGCTCAGGAGCTCTGTTTGAGTTGATTTTACGTGAAAAAGTTTAACTCAAGCTGGGCACTGAAATCTTAATGAAGCTTTTGTCGAAGTGTGATCCCCAAAGCTTAGGCAAGGTGAAGAGGGCATCCATGCAAGAGAGGCAGAGTGTTGGGCCTGACTGTGTTGAAGAAGATGTCTATGCATGGGGCAGAATGGGGAGAGCATCCCCAGATGGGTGATCTAGGGCAGAATCGGGGGGAGGAGAACATCTGCTTGGATGAGGGCACCTGGCATGGGAAGTCAGAAACCAAGTGGGATGAGGAGGATGTTTGCATGGGGAAATGACCCTGAATTGAGTGTTGATGCCTGAGTGGGTGGGGGGCATTCTATACGGGGGAGGGGGTGGTGTAGAAGAGGAGAGATTTGGCACAGAAAGTGGGATTGCTCATGTAAGTAAATACATTAAAGATAAGAGAGCCAGATTTCCCTGTTGGAGAAAGGAGTTACAAACATGGAAAGAAAGAATACTCGAATTAATTTGATGGTATTGAATTGGAATTGGAAGTATATTGTGACCTTATGGTTTTTTTTCCTTTTTCTTTCTTTCTTTCTTTTTTTTTTTTTTTTTGAGATGGAGTCTCTCTCTTGTCACCCAGCCTCGAGTGCAATGGCATGATCTTGGCTCACTGCAACCTCTGCCTCCTGGGTTCAAGCGATTCTCCTGCCTCAGCCTCCCAAGTAGCTGGGATTAGAGGTGCCTGCCACCATGCCTGGGTAATTTTTGTATTTTTAGTAGAGAGGGTGTTTCACCCTGTTGGCTAAGCTGGTCTCGATCTCCTGACCTCAGGTGATCTGCCTGCCTCAGCCTCCCAAAGTGCTGGAATTACAGGCAGGAGCCACTGTGCCTGGCCAGTTTGCTTTTTTATTTATTTATTTATTTTTTTGAGACAGAGTTTCACTCTTGTCGCCCAGGCTGGAGTGCAATGGCATGATCTCAGCTCACTGCAACCTCTGCCTCCTGGGTTCAAGTGACCTCAGCCTCCTGAGTAGTTGGGGTTACAGGCATGTGCCGCCACACCTGTCTAATTTTTGTATTTTTAGTAGAGATGGGGTTTCACCATGTTGGCCAGGCTGGTCTCGAACTCCTGACTTCAGGTGATCCACCCGCCTCAGCCTCCCAAAGTACTGGTATTACAGGTGTGAGCCACTGTGCCCGGTATGGTTTTCAATATATAGAGATATATAAATAAATATAGGAATGCATGTGTATAGGTATACATGTATACACACACACACACACACACACACACACACACACACACACATTCCCCATCTCTGTCCACTGAGACATTCCAGTAGCAGGAAACATGCTTAGCACCCACATCTTGGCTTCTAAATATTGTTTTCCACTAAAATGAGCCAGGGATCCTTGAGGAAATGGCTGATTCCAGGTCTAGAGCAGGGAAAATGTAACATGAACCTAGAACATTCTCCAGGAAGCAAAGGAATGCTCAAACAATAATGGAGACTCATCGAAGAAACACCACAGCCAGTTTGAAGGGCTTTTTAGTGGGAAGTGGGGATGACAGTAATAGGTGGTAATATATACATTAGTATAAATAGGTGATAATGTGTACATGAGTAAAGTAAAAAACTAGATTTGATATAGACATAAATATATGAATAAATGGAAAATTTGGGGTGTAATGGGATATTTACATAGTCTTAAACCTCTTTTCTTCAAAATACTTATTAATTTGAAAGGAAAAAGAATAACTTAATAGTGGAGAAGCCTAGGTGACACCATCTCAATTAAGTGATACAATTAACATCATCAGTAGCGGGACAAATTGAAATCATGTGCCCCCTAATAAAAGGCATTGAAAAGTTCGGCAATGCTTTCGTGATACTTCTGTCAAGGGTGGATAGGTTGAATCTAATCATGAAGAAACATCACTATACAAACCTAAATTAAAAAATATTCCACAAGATAACTTGCCTGTAACTTCCAAAAGAATTGAGGTCATGAAAGTCAAGAAAAAGCAAACTGTTTCACACTGAAAAAGTCTCAAGAAACTTGATAACTAAATGCAATATGTGATTTCTTTTTATATGAATGAGACAGTTGGTGAAAGTTGAAAAAGACCTGAAGATTAATGGTAGGACTATGTCAGTCTTAACTTCCTGATTTTTTTTTATTTTTTTAAGACAGGGTCTGGCTCTGTTGCCCAGGCTGGAGTGCAGTGGTGCAATCATGGCTCACTGCAGCCTTGACTTCCTGGGCTCAAGCGATGATGCTGCCACCTCAGCCTTCTGAGTAGCTGAGACTACAGGCACATGCCACCAAGCCTGCCTAAATTTTGTATTTTTTGTTTTTGGTAGAGTAGGAGTTTCACCATGTTGCCCAGGCTGGTCTCAAACTCCTGAGCTCAAGCAATCTGCCTGTCTTGGCCTCCCAAAGTGCTGGAATAACAGGCATGAGCCACCGCGCCAGGCCTAACTTCCTGATTCTGATGGTTGCCTTGTGGTTACAGGAGAATGTCCTTGCTTGTAGGATATGCACATTTGGGAAGTTAAAGCATCATGCTTGCTTCTGAATCCTAAAGGCTTTATAAAAAAAGTCTTTGAACTGTGTTTGCAGCTTTTCTGTGTTTGTGATTATTCCAAAATAAAAACAATATCTTTTTAAAAAGCACATTTCTCTGTTCTCATCCCTAGAGATTCTTCTGGGAGTCTCGGGTGAGGCGGTGGTGGGGCTCCTAAAATTTGTCTTTTAAAATTAATTTCTAGGAGGTATGATGCAGGGTGGCGTACAGAGTCCATCCTTTGAGAATCAGTGGGCTGAACAGTACAAACAAAAAGGGAAGTTGCCAATCAGAGAAACATGTGACGATCAAACCCATCTAAGTCCAATCACTGGATTGGGAGACATGAAAAACCCAGCCTTTTCCTTAAATGCTTCATACTCAACAGAACTCAAGGGAGGGCCACTCAAAGGAAGATTTGCCTTATGTCATGAATGCGCTCATTATTTTTTTTTTCAGGTGAGGAAATTGAAGCCCAGAGGGTTTAAATAGGTTTCCCGAGAGTTCATTTTCTAGATTTCTGACCTCTCTGACACCTAAATTCAGACTCTTTTCTCCAAGTCAGATTAATCTCTTCCCCATCTCCCTACTCTTTCATTGCTAATGATCCAAGGAAGAGGTTTCAAAGTCAACTTTTTCCACATCTTCTCTCCATTTTTTTTTCCTCTCATCTAGATTTTCCCTGTCAATGGCTTACTGGACTTGGCAGCCCCCCTGCAGATCTTTGTTTGGGGATGGAGGTGTGGATGATGGCGACACCAGGGTGTGCTTGGATTAACTCTTTGGATACAGTGCCCAGTCTGATTTCAGGTCAGCATAACCAGCTCTTTGGACAACACAGCAGTTTTTTGGCCTCAAGTGCTTCCAAGCAGAGGAAGGAAATTGGCTGAACTTCAAAGCGAGCCTTGCATGGTGCCATAAGTTCTGATCATTTATTAGTGTGCTTTAATAGTTGTAAATTAATCTCAAATATACATGGAGGCCAGAAGTAGCTGGAGGTGTGGGAACAGCCTGCTCTCACCCTTGTTTCCTGGAAATTTAGAACATTTCCCAGTTTCAGTTTTCAGAAGGTTAGGGTCAATTTGGGGGTTATGGTTATTTTCAAAGCTTTAAACAAAACCAAGCCTGTTCTTGACCAAGTTAGTGCTATTTAATTTATGCTTCATATATTTTATAAGTACTTCTTTTTTATTCATTTTTCCACCCCATGATTTGTTAAAAAGCAACTTGATTGAGGTAGAATTCACATATAATAAATACAACTTTTAAAGTGTATAGTTCCATGAGATTTTACAAATGTAAACACTCATGTAACCACCACTCCAATTAAGATATGGAATATTTCCATGAACGCAGACTTTTCAGTCAGTCCCTTCCTATCCAGGGACACTCACTGATGAGATTTCTATCACCATTGATTTTGCCTGTTCTAGAAGTACATATAAATAGAATTATACAGCATGCACTCTTTTTGTCTCTGGAAATGTTTTTGAGATCCATCCATGTTTTTGCATATGTCAGTAGTTTATTACCTTCTCCTACTTTTAATCAATGGTAAGTTTATGTAATTTATATTTATAACTTTTTATTTTGAAATGTTTAGACCTATAGAAAAGTGGCATAATATTACAGAGTTCTTACATAACCTATATCCAGCTTTCCCTTGTGTTAACATCTTACATAATTGATACAGTGATCAAAACTAAGAATTAAATGTTTATAAAATATCACTAGCAAAACCATAGACTTTATTCACATATCTCTATTTTTTCCACCAATGAGCTTTTTGAAACCTGTGTCAGGGTTCAAGCCAGGATATTATATTGTGTTTAATTATCATGTTTCCATAGTTTCCTTCAGTCTATGACAGTTTCTCAGTCTTTCCTTAGCTTTCATGATCTTGACACTTTCGAAGAGCAGCCATTAGGTATTTTTGTAAAATGCCACTCCATTAGGCTTCTTATGATGATTTCTCATGACTAGGCTGAAGTTACAGATTTTTGGGAAAAGTACCAGAGAGGTATGTGACATGACATTGAGGGCACATAATGTCAATGTGTTTTATTATGGATTATGTTAATTTTTATCAGTTGTTTAGGTGGCATCTGTCAGGTTTCTTCACTGTACGGTTATTTTTTTTGTTTTGTTTTGTTTTGTTTTTTTTTTTTTTTGAGACATAGTCTCACTCTGTCACCCTGGCTGGAGTACAGTGGTGTGATCGCTACTCACCACAACCTCTACCTCCCGGGTTCAAGTGATTCTCCTGCCTCAGCCTCCCCGGTAGCTGGGATTACAGGCATGCACCACCATGCCTGGAAAATTTTTGTATTTTCACTACAGACAGGGTTTCATCATGTTGGCCAGGCTGGTTTCGAACTCCTGACTTCAGGTAATCCACCTGCCATGGCTTCTCAAAGTGCTGGGATTACAGGTGTGAGCCACCATGCCCAGCCAGTTATTATTTTCTCTGTTTTCATATTCTATTTTAGAAGCACGTCATTAAGTTTAGTCCACACTCAAGGTGAGGGAAATTAAGCTTCCCCTCTGCACCTCTGAAGAGAGGAGTATTAAAGAATTTTTAGACATACATTAAAACTACTACAGTAATTAATAAATATTTCTGGGGAGATAATTTGAGGCTATGCAGATAAGCTGTTTCTCTTGAAGACAGGAGAACCAAAAATAATATGTAAGTGATCTATGTGTGACACTGTGTTCACCTTGCAAACCTTGCTGTATCACCACTTTGACAAACACATTGAAAACCAGAGGGTGTCTGTTTTCAAGTGTCCAGACTGTTCTCTTTTATATGCACAGAAGCAACTTATGATGGACCATATCAAGTCTATGCATGGAACATTGGAAAGTATTGAAGGGCCTCCAAACTTGGGTATAAACTTGCCTTTGAGCATTAAGCCTGCAACTCAAAATTCAGCCAATCAGAACAAAGGGGACACCAAATCCATGAATGGGAAAGAGAAATTGGAAAATAAATCTCCATCTCCTGTGAAAAAAAATCAATGGAAAATAAGAAAGTGGCCAGTCCTGGGTGGACGTGTTGGGAGTGTGACCGCCTGTTCATGCAGAGAGATGTGTACATATCCCACATGAGGAATGAGCACGGGAAGCAAATGAAGAAACACCCCTGCCGCCAGTGTGACAAGTCTTTTAGTTTGTCCCACAGCCTGTGCTGGCACAACCGGATCAAGCACAAAGGCATCAGGCAAGGCCCAGACTCCAGACGTACCTTTACCAAACGATTGATGCTGGAGAAGCACGTTCAGCTGATGCATGGTATCAAGGACCCTGACCTGAAAGAAATGACAGATGCCACCCATGAGGAGGAAACAGAAATAAAAGAAGACAACCAAGGTCCCCAGTCCCAAGCAGAAGTTGGAAGAACCAGTTCTGGAGTTCAGGCCTCCCCAAGGAGCAATCACTCAACCACTGAAAAAGCTGAAAATCAATGTTTTTAAGGTTCACAAGTGTGCCATGTGTGGCTTCACCACCGAAAACCTGCTGCAGTTCCACGAACACATCCCTCAGCACAAATCGGATGGTTCTTCATACCAGCACCGGGAGTGTGGCCTCTGTTACACATCTCATGTCTCTCTGTCCAGGCACCTCTTCATCGTACACAAGTTAAAGGAACCTCAGCCAGTGTCCAAGCAAAATGGGGCTGGGGAAGATAACCAACAGGAGAACAAACCCAGCCATGAGGATAATCCCCTGATGGCACCGTGTCAGACAGAAAGTGCAAAGTGTGCACAAAAACTTTTGAAACTGAAGCTGCCTTAAATACGGACACACGGCATGGCCTTCATCAAATCCAAAAGGTTGAGCTCAGCCGAGAAATAGCCACAGATGCTCCATGAGGAAAATCCCTGTCCACACTGGAATAAAAAAGACATTTTTGTTACAAAAATTTGCCGTATAATAGAGTTAACAGTACTGTCTAGGCTGTTGCAATATATTCTCTTTCAACGTACCTTCCTTCACCTCGTCCTATATATCCTCGATAAGTATTAAAACAGTATTTGAGTTTAAAACAGTTTGTATATATTTAAATGAATAACTTTTTATATTCTTTGTTACATGTTTGTATCAGTATTTAGTGGAAAACCATTTGAGTTGTTTGGGTTAGAATTTTTCTTTTTGTACTGTTTCTTTAAAACAGTTCTTAGTAATAGGGGCAATTCCTGAATTCAAGTAAACCATTTTGTATGTTTAAAAAAAAAACAAAAAAGAGGAGGAGCCAAGATGGCCGAATAGGAACAGCTCTGGTCTACAGCTCCCAGCGAGAGCGACGCAGAAGAGGGGTGATTTCTGCATTTCCATCTGAGGTACCGGGTTCATCTCACTAGGGAGTGCCAGACAGTGGGGACAGATCAGTGGATGTGTGCACCGTGCGCGAGCCAAAGCAGGGCGAGGCATTGCCTCACTCGGGAAGCACAAGGGATCCCTTTCCTAGTCAAAGAAAGGGGTGACAGACGGTACCTGGAAAATCGGGTCACTCCCACCCGAATACTGCACTTTTCCGACAGGCTTAAAAAATGGCGCACCAGGAGATTATATCCCGCACCTGGCTTGGAGGGTCCTATGTCCACGGAGTCTCACTGATTGCTAGCACAGCAGTCTGAGCTCAAACTGCAAGTCGGCATGGAGGCCGGGGGAGGGGCACCCGCCATTGCCCAGGCTTGCTTAGGTAAACAAAGCAGCCGGGAAGTTCGAACTGGGTGGAGCCCACCAGAGCTCAAGGAGGCCTGCCTGCCTCTGTAGGCTCCACCTCTGGGGGCAGGGCACAGAAAAACAAAGAGACAGCAGTACACTCTGCAGACTTAAATGTCCCTGTCTGACAGCGTTGAAGAGAGCAGTGGTTCTCCCAGCATGCAGCTGGAGATCTGAGAATGGGCAGACTGCCTCCTCAAGTGGGTCCCTGACCGCTGACCCCCGAGCAGCCTAACTGGGAGGCACCCCCCAGCAGGGGCACACTGAAACCTCACATGGCCGGGTACTCCAACAGACCTGCAGCTGAGGGTCCTGTCTGTTAGAAGGAAAACTAACAAACAGAAAGGACATCCACACCAAAAACCCATCTGTACATCACCATCATCAAAGACCAAAAGTACATAAAACCACAAAGATGGGGAAAAAACAGAGCAGAAAAACTGGAAACTCTAAAAAGCAGAGCACCTCTCCTCCTCTGAAGGAACGCAGTTCCTCACCAGCAACGGAACAAAGCTGGACGGAGAATGACTTTGACGAGTTGAGAGAAGAAGGCTTCAGACGATCAAATTACTCCGAGCTACGGGAGGACATTCAAACCAAAGGCAAAGAAGTTGAAAACTTTGAAAAAAAATTAGAAGAATGTATAACTAGAATAACCAATACAGAGAAGTGCTTAAAGGAGCTGATGGAGCTGAAAACCAAGGCTCGAGAACTACGTGAAGAATGCAGAAGCCTCAGGAGCCGATGCAATCAACTGGAAGAAAGGGTATCAGCGATGGAAGATGAAATGAATGAAATGAAGCCAGAAGGGAAGTTTAGAGAAAAAAGAATAAAAAGAAATGAACAAAGCCTCCAAGAAATATGGGACTATGTGAAAAGACCAAATCTACCTCTGATTGGTGTACCTGAAAGTGATGGGGAGAATGGAACCAAGTTGGAAAACACTCTGCAGGATACTATCCAGGAGAACTTCCCCAATCTAGCAAGGCAGGCCAACATTCAGATTCAGGAAATACAGAGAACACCACAAAGATACTCCTCGAGAAGAGCAACTCCAAGACACATAATTGTCGGATTCACCAAAGTTGAAATGAAGGAAAAAATGTTAAGGGAAGCCAGAGAGAAAGGTCGGGTTACCCTCAAAGGGTAGCCCATCAGACTAACAGCAGATCTCTCGGCAGAAACTCTACAAGCCAGAAGAGAGTGGGGGCCAATATTCAACATTGTTAAAGAAAAGAATTTTCAACCCAGAATTTCATATCCAGCCTAACTGAGCTTCATAAGTGAAGGAGAAATAAAATACTTTACAGACAAGCAAATGCTGAAAGATTTTGTCACCACTAGGCCTGCACTAAAAGAGCTCCTGAAGGAAGCACTAAACTTGGAAAGAACAACCGATACCAGCCACTGCAAAATGATGCCAAAATGTAAAGACCATCGAGACTAGGAAGAAACTACATCAACTAATGAGCAAAATAACCAGCTAACATCATAATGACAGGATCAAATTCACACATAACAATATTAACTTTAAATGTAAATGGACTAAATTCTCCAATTAAAAGACACAGACTGGCAAATTGGATAAAGAGTCAAGACCCATCAGTGTGCTGTATTCAGGAAACCCATCTCACGGGCAGAGATGCACATAGGCTCTAAATAAAAGGATGGAGGAAGAGCTACCAAGCAAATGGAAAACAAAAAAAGGCAGGGGTTGCAATCCTAGTCTCTGATAAAACAGACTTTTAACCAACAAAGATCAAAAGAGACAAAGAAGGCCATTACATAATGGTAAAGGGATCAATTCAACAAGAAGAGCTAACTATCCTAAATATATATGCACCCAATACAGGAGCACCCAGATTCATAAAGCAAGTCCTGAGTGACCTACAAAGAGACTTGGACTCCCACACATTAATAATGGGAGACTTTAACACCCCACTGTCAACAGTAGACAGATCAACGAGACAGAAAGTCAACAAGGATACCCAGGAATTGAACTCAGCTCTCCACCAAGTGGACCTAATAGACATCTACAGAACTCTCCACCCCAAATCAACAGCATATGCATTTTTTTCAGCACCACACCACACCTATTCCAAAATTGACCACATACTTGGAAGTAAAGCTCTCCTCAGCATATGTAAAAGAACAGAAATTATAACAAACTATATCTCAGACCACAGTGCAATCAAACTAGAACTCAGGATTAAGAATCTCACTCAAAACCGCTCAACTACACGGAAACTGAACAACCTGCTCCTGAATGACTACTGGGTACATGACGAAATGAAGGCAGAAATAAAGATGTTCTTTGAAACCAATGAGAACAAAGACACAACATACCAGAATCTCTGGGACGCATTCAAAGCAGTGTGTAGAGGGAAATTTATAGCACTAAATGCCCACAAGAGAAGGCAGGAAAGATCTAAAATTGACACCCTAACATCACAATGAAAAGAACTAGAAAAGCAAGAGCAAACACATTCAAAAGCTAGCAGAAGGCAAGAAATAACTAAAATCAGAGCAGAACTGAAGGAAATAGAGACAAAAAAACCCTTCAAAAAATTAATGAATCCAGGAGCTGGTTTTTTGAAAGGATCAACAAAATTGATAGACTGCTAGCAAGACTAACAAAGAAAAAAAGAGAGAAGAATCAAATAGACGCAATGAAAAATGATAAAGGGGATATCACCACCAATCCCACAGAAATACGAACTACCATCAGAGAATACTACAAACACCTCTATGCAAATAAACTAGAAAATCTAGAAGAAATGGATAAATTCCTTGACACATACACCCTCCCAAGACTAAACCAGGAAGAAGTTGAATCTCTGAATACACCAATAACAGGATCTGAAATTGTGGCAATAATCAATAGCTTACCAACCAAAAAGAGTCCAGCACCAGACGGATTCACAGCCGAATTCTACCAGAGGTACAAGGAGGAACTGGTACCATTCCTTCTGAAACTATTCCAATCAATAGAAAAAGAGGGAATCCTCTCTAACTCATTTTATGAGGCCAGCATCATCCTGATACCAAAGCCAGTCAGAGACACAACCAAAAAAGAGAATTTTAGACCAATATCCTTGATGAACATTGATGCAAAAATCCTCAATAAAATACTGGCAAACCAAATCCAGCAGCACATCAAAAAGCTTATCCACCATGATCAAGTGGGCTTCATCCCTGGGATGCAAGGCTGTTTCAATATATGCAAATCAATAAATGTAATCCATCATATAAACAGAACCAAAGACAAAAACCACATGGTTATCTCAATAGATGCAGAAAAGGCCTTTGACAAAATTCAACAACCCTTCATGCTAAAAACTCTCAATAAATTAGGTATTGATGGGCTGTATTTCAAAATAATAAGAGCTATCTATGACAAACCCATAGCCAATATCATACTGAATGGGCAAAAACTGGAAGCATTCCCTTTGAAAACTGGCACAAGACAGGGATGCCCTCTCTCACCACTCCTATTCAACATAGTGTTGGAAGTTCTAGCCAGGGCAATTAGGCAGGAGAAGGAAATAAAGGGTATTCAGTTAGGAAAAGAGGAAGTCAAATTGTCCCTATTTGCAGATGACATGATTGTATATCTAGAAAACCCCATCGTCTCAGCCCAAAATCTCCTTAAGCTGATAAGCAACTTCAGCAAAGTCTCAGGATACAAAATCAATGTACAAAAATCACAAGCATTTTTATACACCAACAACAGACAAACAGAGAGCCAAATCATGAGTGAACTCCCATTCACAATTGCTTCAAAGAGAATAAAATACCTAGGAATCCACCTTACAAGGGATGTGAAGGACCTCTTCAAGGAGAACTACAAACCACTGCTCAATGAAATAAAAGAGGATACAAACAAATGGAAGAACATTCCATGCTCATGGGTAGGAAGAATCAATATCGTGAAAATGGCCATACTGCCCAAGGTAATTTACAGATTCAATGCCATCCCCATCAAGCTACCAATGACTTTCTTCACAGAATTGGAAAAAACTACTTTAAAGTTCATATGGAACCAAAAAAGAGCCCGCATTGCCAAGTCAATCCTAAGCCAAAAGAACAAAGCTGGAGGCATCACACTACCTGACTTCAAACTGTACTACAAGGCTACAGTAACCAAAACAGCATGGTACTGGTTCCAAAACAGAGATATAGATCAATGGAACAGAACAGAGCCCTCAGAAATAACGCCGCATACCTACAACTATCTGATCTTTGACAAACCTGAGAAAAACAAGCAATGGGGAAAGAATTCCCTATTTAATAAATGGTGCTGGGAAAACTGGCTAGCCATATGTAGAAAGCTGAAACTGGATCCCTTCCTTACACCTTATACAAAAATCAATTCAAGATGGATTAAAGACTTAAACGTTAGAGCTAAAACCCTAAAAACCCTAGAAGAAAACATAGGCATTACCATTCAGGACATAGGCATGGGCAAGGACTTCATGTCTAAAACACCAAAAGCAATGGCAACAAAAGACAAAATTGACAAATGGGATCTAATTAAACTAAAGAGCTTCTGCACAGCAAAAGAAACTACCATCAGAGCGAACAGGCAACCTACAAAATGGGAGAAACTTTTCGCAACCTACTCATCTGACAAAGGGCTAATATCCAGAATCTACAATGAACTCAAACAAATTTACAAGAAAAAAACAAACAACCCCATCAAAAAGTGGGCGAAGGACATGAACAGACACTTCTCAAAAGAAGACATTTATGCAGCCAAAAAAACACATGAAAAAATGCTCACCATCACTGGCCATCAGAGAAATGCAAATCAAAACCACAATGAGATACCATCTCACACCTGTTAGAATGGCAATCATGAAAAAGTCAGGAAACAACAGGTGCTGTAGAGGATGTGGAGAAATAGGAACACTTTTACACTGTTGGTGGGAATGTAAACTAGTTCAACCATTGTGGAAGTCACTTTGGCGATTCCTCAGGGATCTAGAACTAGAAATACCATTTGACCCAGCCATCCCATTACTGGGTATATACCCAAAGGACTATAAATCATGCTGCTATAAAGACACACGCACACGTATGTTTATTGTGGCATTATTCACAATAGCAAAGACTTGGAACCAACCCAAATGTCCAACAATGATAGACTGGATTAAGAAAATGTGGCACATATACACCATGGAATACTATGCAGCCATAAAAAATGATGAGTTCATGTCCTTTGTAGGGACATGGATGAAATTGGAAATCATCATTCTCAGTAAACTCTCGCAAGAACAAAAAACCAAACACCGCATATTCTCACTCGTAGGTGGGAATTGAACAAAGAGAACACATGGACACAGGAAGGGGTACATCAAACTCTGGGGACTGTTGAGGGGTTGGGGGAGAGGGGAGGGATGGCATTGGGAGATATACCTAATGCTGGATGACGAGGTAGTGGGTGCAGCGCACCAGCATGGCACATGTATACATATGTAACTAACCTGCACATTGTGCACATGTACCCTAAAACTTAAAGTATAATAATAATAAATAAATAAATTAAAAAAAAACAAAAAGGGATAGAAAGCTTGGCCCATTAATTTTAGCATTCATCAGTGAATTTTGCCTTTAGCAATGATTATTACAGTGTTCTAATGATCATTTCCTATTTTTCTCATTTCTGCCTCATTTATTAATTAGAATTCTTCCATAATAAAGGGTTGTCCCTTCATCCCCAACTATTTCTTCAAATATTTATATCAGTATTAACTCTCATGGCTATTTATATTTCATTCTTTGGGTTATCATCAAAAGTTTTATTCATTTGGTTGCTCAAATTGTTTCTGCATTGACCATTGGCATTTCTTTCAGGTGGCCTTTACCTTTTCATTTTTTAAATCACTTATTTTCTCTCTGGCACCACACTATGCTCTAGGCTCATGTAGTGCAAGTTGTATTTTTCCTGTTCAAGTCCCAGAATTGACCATTAATCCAAGGAATCCTGGTTTCTTATATGGGAGGATGGTATTTTGAAACCAAAATCTGGGTACCCAATGTGTGTCTTGCTGCTGGAGTGGCACTACCTCCAGGCTCTGTCAGACAACAGAGCTAGGAAATGTATGTATGTCTACTAACACATGTGTACACATAAACCTATTTTTATTTCTGTATATGTCTATTTGTATATACAAAGATATACCTACAGATAGATATACAGATTCTAGTACATACATACACACATTTGGATGAACATGAGATCGCACTGATATCCCTGACTCGAATCCAGCAGCACCACAGGGTTCATTCTAACAACTCCCCTTTGATTATTTGTAACTTCTTTTTCTGACACTGAGAAACTTGGCTCTCATTCTCTGCAATTTATTTACTAAATTTTTCAACCCTAGTAAACATTCTGAAAATTATTTCAGAATGGTACCTCAAACCTCTGTGAAAAATGAATTTTCCAACTAGAATATGGTGTTTGTGTACATTTTTACTCTCTAACCTTATTATATATAGTCAAAACACTTCTAAAGAAAGATAGGTCAGCTCATTTCTCTCTACCCCATCTGGTTGGTGTATGCCATTCATTTGTAATAAAGTTAGGTTCACTTGTTACACTCTGCATTCTATCTTGGTTTCTTCCCACCATCGTGATTGAGTTTTAAAAATTTGCATATGGTAAAATTCATTCTTTGTGAGGTACAGTTCTATGAGTTTTGAAAAATGCATAGAATCACATAGCTCCCACCACAGTAACATAGAGACCAGTTCTGTGATCCTAGGAGTTCACTATTTATAGTAGTATTCAATTGAATAAACATACCATAATTCATTCATTTATTTGTTGCTGGACATTAGAATTGTTTCCAGGGTTGGCTGTTTTAGATAAGGCTGCTGTGCACATTCTTATTCAAGTCTGTTTGTGAACACATGCCTTCATTTATTTTGGGTAAACATCTATAAGTGGAATTGCCGGGTCATAAGATAGGGGTATATTTATCTTTAAAAAAAGATCTACCAAAATCCTTTCCAAAGTGGTTGTACACTTTTACACTACCAGTAATGAGGAACGACTATTCCAGTTGCTCTACATTTCTTATCCATATTTTGTACTTTAAATTTTAGCCATTCTAATGTGTATGAGGTACTGTCTCATAAATAGTGATGTTGAACGTGCTTTCATGGCTTACTAGCCTATAGCCTTAATCACATCTACAAAGTTACTTTTGCCATGTAAGGTAACATATTCACAGTTTGTGGAGACAGGGCATGGACATCTTTGTGGGGCCATTATTCTGCCTACCAAATATGGTATGGCTGTATCATTGCTTGTTAATCATTCACTTATTAAAAAACATCTGGGTTTTTCCAGTTTCTGGCTATTATGAATAAAGCTTCTGTGAACATAAGTGTACAGGTGTCTATGTGAACATAAGTTTCCATTTCTCTGAAATAAATGAACAAGATTTCAATTACTGAATGGTATGGTTGTTACATGTTTAATTTTTAAAGTAATGTCCAAATTATTTCCCAGAATGGCTGTACAATTTTACATTTCTACCAGCAATGTGTGAGCAATCCAGCTTCTCCACATATTCAGCATTTGGGGTCATCACTACTTTTTATGAATCATTCTAATAGGTGTGTAGTTTCCATTGTGACTGTTAATTTCCATTAGCTGTTAATTTCTCTGACAGCTAATGTTTTTGAACATCTTTTCATGTACATATTTGCCATCTATATTCTCTTCAGTGAAATGTCTCTTTGTGTCTTTTGCCTATTTCTAATTGGAGTATTTTTTTTAATGTTGAGTTTTGAGAATTCTTTATATATTGCAGAGAATAATAGTTCTTTGCCAGATATGTGGTTTGCAAATGTTTTACTCCGTTCTATAGCTTGCTTTTTTATCCTCTTATAGGTATGTTTTGCAGAGCAAATTAAATTTTGATGAGGTCCAATTTTTTATTAAAAAAACAGGTTATGCTTTTGGTATCCAGTATAAAATCCTGAAGATTTTCTACAGTTTTTTCTAAAAGCTTTGTAGTTTTACGTTTACATATGTTTATGATCCATTTTTTTTTATATTATGTGTGGGCTGAAGTCAAGGTTTATCTTTTGGCCTATGGATGTCTACTTGGTTCAGCACCATTTGAATTTCTTTCCTCCATTGAATTGCTTTTGTATCTTTGTAAAAAATCAGTTGGTATATTTGTGTGGATATATTTCTGGGTTTTTTATTCTGCTCTGTTGATACGTATGTCTATAAATCACTTAAGAGGAGAACTGTACAAGTATACTCTTTTTGGTAATTACATAATTACCTTTACCAGTGCTCTGTTTTTCTATATGATTTCAAATTACACAGGGGTCATTTGCTTTTAGGCTGAAAAGCTTCCTTTACTGTTTACTATTACTTCCATTACTATTTACGAAAAACTTCCACTATTTACTATTTAACATTACTTCTATTAATACTTCTTGTGTGATAGGTTTACCAGTAACAAAATCTTTGTTTTTTTCCTCTGGAAATGTCTTTGTTTTGCCTTCATTTAGAAAAAAAATTTTCAAAGAAATAAGATTTTTGGTTAGTCTATTTTAAAAATAGTCTCTTTTAGTGGAGGCTAAAAGCTGGATATAACACCAACAAAGGCAGACCACTTAGCAGAGAGCTTAAGAAAATAGATAATCAAAAAGAACCTTGCTCAAACCACTATTGTCCAAAAGTGGGTGACTTTCTTCTTTTAGGTTTTTTATGCAAAAGCTTTGATCAATAATTTTATCCACTTCTTATTCCAGTTACGAATGCTGCATAACAAATCATCTTCAAAACTGAATGGAGTAAAAGAACCATTTATGATGTTCATGGGTTCTGTGAATAAGGAATTTAGAAGGGACTCAGCTAGGACATTCTAAATTTCTGTTGGAGTTTCTTTTGGAGTTGCAGTGAGATATCTGGTGGGCTGCAGTTGTCTGAAGGCTCGAGTGGGACAGGAAGGTCCACTTGCAGTGTGCTACACTCACGTGGCTGGCAAGTTTCTCTGCATGTCTTTCTAATATTTGAGTGATTTCATCACCATGTGGCTGTTTTTCCAAGAGTGAATAATTCAAGAGGCCAAAGTGAAAGCTGCATGCTTTTTTATGACCTAGCTTCGGAAGTCAATCATTTTCACTTCTGCTATAATCTGTTGGTCACACAGTCAACTCTAATTCAGTGTTGGAGGGGATTACATAAAGGCATGACTACTGGGAAACATATATCTTTGAAGTGTGAATGCCATACAACTTTTCTAATAGAAGCATTTCATACTGTACATTACCTTTAAGAAAAGCTTTAGCTATATCTCACAGATTTTAAGCTTCTATCTATCTATCTACCTATCTATCTATCTATCTATCTATCTATCTATCTATCTATCATCTATCTATCTATCTATCTGTATTTTTAACTTTTGTTTTAAGTTCAGGGGTACATGTTCAGGATTGTTATATAGGTAAACTTCTGTCATGGGGTTTTGTTGTACATATTATTTCATCAACTAGATATTAAGCCTAGCACCCATTAGTTATTTTTCCTGATCCTCTACCTCTGCCTGTCCTGCACCCTCTGATAGGCCCCAGGGTGTGTTACTACCCTCTATGTGTCTGTGTGTTCTGGTCACTTAGCTCACTTATAAGTGAGAACATGTGGTATTTGTATTTTTGTTCTTCTGTTACTTTGCTAAGAATAGTGGCTTCCAGCTCCATCCATGATCCTGCAAAAGACATCATCTTATTCTTTTATATGGGTGTAAAGTAGTCCATGGTGTATATGTGCCACATTTTCTTTCTTTCTTTTTTCTTTTTTTTTTGAGACAGCGTCTCGTTCTGTCGCCAGGCAGGAGTGCAGTGGCACAATCTTGGCTCACTGCAACATCCACCTCCCAGGTTCAAGCGATTCTCCTGCCTCAGACTCCTTAGCAGCTGGGACTACAGGTGCACACCACCATGCTCAGCTAATTTTTGTATTTTAGTAGAGACGGGGTTTCACCATGTTGGCCGGATGCTCTCCTTCTTTTGACCTTGTGATCCGCCCACCTTGGCCTCCTAAAGTGCTGGGGTTACAGGTGTGAGCCACTGTGCCTGGCCGCCACATTTTCTTTATCCAGTCTACCATTGATGGGAATTTAGGTTGATTCCATGTCTTTGTAGTTGTGAGTAGTGCTGCAATAGACATACACATGCATGTGTCTTTATAATAGAACAACAATTTATATTCCTTTGGGTAGATACCCAGTAATAAGTTTGCTGAGTGGAATGATATTTCTGTTTTAAGTCTTTGAGGAATCTCCACACTGTTTTCCATAATGGTTGAACTAATTTACACTCCCACTAAACAGTATATAAGCATTCCTTTTTCTCCACAACCTCACCAGCATCTGTATTTTTTTTGACTTTTTATTAATAGCCATTCTGACTGGTGTGAGATGGTATCTCATTGTGGTTTTGATGTACATTTTTCTAATGATCGGTAATGTTGAGCTTTTTTTCTATATGATTGTTGGCTGCATATATGTCTTCTTTTGAAAAGTGTCTGTTCATGTTTTATGCCCACTTTTTAGTGTGGTTGTTTTTTGCTTGTAAATTTGTTTAAGTTCCTTATTCAAATATACGGATGCTGGCTATTAGACCTTTCTCAGATGCATAGTTTGCAAAAGTTTTCTCCCATTTTGTAGGTTGTCTATCTGTTGATAGTTTCTTTTGCTGTGCAGAAGCTCTTTCGTTTAATTAGATCCCATTTGTCAATTTTTTGTTTTTGTTGCAATTGCTTTTGTTATCTTTGTCATGAAATCTTTGCCCATTCCTATGTTCAGGATGGTACTGCCTATGTTGTCTTCCAGAGTTTTTATAGTTTTGGGTTTTAAATTTAAGTCTTTAATCCATCTTGAGTTACTTTTTGTGTATGGTGTAAGGAAGAGGTCCAGTTTCAATCTTCTGCATATGGTTAGCCAGTTATTCCAGCACCACTTATTGAATAGGGAATCCTTTCCCCTTTGCTTGTTTTTGTCAGCTTAGTCGAAGATCAGATAATTGTAGGTGTGTGGCCTTATTTCTGGACTCTCTATTTGGTTCCCATTGGTCTATGTGCCTGTTTTTTTGTACCAGTACCATGCTGTTTTGGTTACTGTAGCCCTGTAATATAGTTTGAAGTCAGGTAGCATGATGTCTTCTGCTTTTTTCTTTTTGCTTAGGATTGCCCTAGCAGTTTAGGCTCTTTTTTGGTTCTATATGAATTTTTTTTCCAGTTCTGTGAAGAATGTCATTGGTAGTTTAATAGGAGTAGCATTGAATTTATAGATTGCTTTGGGCAGTGTGGCCATTTAAACAATATTGATTTTTCCTATCCATGAACATAGAATGTTTTTCCATTTGTTTGTGTCATCTACGATTTCTTTGAACAGCATTTTGTAGTTCTCCTTGTAGAGATCTGCCACTTCCCTGGTTAGCTGAGTTCCTAGGTATGTTATTTTTGAAGTGATTGTGAATGGCTCTGATATGGCTCTTGGCTTGACTGTTGTTTGTGTATAAGAATGCTAGTGATTTTTGTACATTGATTTCATATCCTGATATTTTGCTGAAGTTGTTTATCAGCTTAAGGAGCTTCTGGGCTGAGAATATGGGGTTTTCTAGATATAAGATTATGTCATTTTCAAATAGGGATAGTTTGACTTCCACTCTTCCTATTCAAATGCCTTTTATTTTTCTCTCTTGCCTGATTTCTCTGGCAAGAACTTCCTATACTATGTTGAATAGTAGTGGTGAGATAGGGCATCCTTGTTTTGTGCCAGTTTTCAAGGGGAATGCTTCTAGCTTTTGCCCATTCAGTATGATGTTGGCTGTGGGTTTGTCATAGATGGCTCTTATTACTTTGAGATCTGTTCCTTCAATACCTAGTTTATTGACAGTTTTTAACATAAAGCTGTGTTGATTTTATTGAAAATCTTTTTTGCATCTTTTGAGATAATCATGTGGCTTTTGTCTTTAGTTCTGTTTATGTGATGAGTTACATTTATTGATTTGTGTATGTTGAACCAGTTTTGCATCCTAAGGATAACACCTACTTGATTGTGGTGGATAAGCTTTTTGATGTGTTGCTGGATTTGGTTTGCCAGTATTTTGTTGAGGATTTTTGCATCGATGTTCATCAAGGATATTGGCCTGAAGTTATCTTTTTTTGTTGTGTCTCTGCCAGGTTTTGGTATCAGGGTGATGCTGGCCTCATACAATGAGTTAGGGAGGAGTCCCTCCTCCTCATTTTTTGGAATACTTTCAATAGAAATGGTACCAGCTCTTCTTTGTACATCTGATAGAATTTGGCTCTGAATTTGTCTGGTCCTGGGCTTTTTTTGGTTGGTAGGCTATTTATTAGTGATTCAATTTCAGAGCTTGTTATTGGCCTGTTCAGGGATTCAATTTCTTCCTGGCTCAGTCTTGAGAGGGTGTCTGTCCAGGAATTCATCCATTTCTTCTAGATTTTTCTAGTTGATGTGCATAGAGGTGTTCATAATATTCTTTGTTGATTATATGTATTTCTGTGGGTCAGTGATTACCCCCTTTGGTGTTTCTAGTTTTGTTTATTTAGATCTTCTCTCTTTTCTTCTTCATTAGTCTAGCTAGTGGTGTATCTGTTTTATTATTTTTTTCAAAAAATTAACTCATGGATTCACTGATCTTTTGAATATTTTTTCATGTCTCAATTTCCTTCAGTTCATCTCTGATTTTGGTTATTTCTTGTCTTCTGCTAGCTTTGGGTTGGTTTTCTCTTGGTTCTTTAATTCCTTCAGTTGTGATGTTACACTGTTAAACTGAGACCTTTCTAACTTTTTGGTGTTGGCATTTAGTGCTATGAATTTTCCTCTCAACACTGCCTTAGCTGTGTCCCAGGGATTCTAATATGTTGTATCTTTGTTCTCCTTAGTTTCAAATAATTTCTTGATTTCTGCCTTAATTTCATTATTTACCCAAAAGTCTTTCAGAAGAAGGTTATTCAATTTCCATGTAATTGTATAGTTTTCAGTGAATTTCTTGGTCTTGATTTCTAATTTGATTGTGCTTTGGTCCGAGAGAGTGGTTGTTATGATTTCAGTTCTTTTGCATTTGCTGAAGAGTGCTTTATGTCCAATTATATGATCAATTTCAGGGTATGTTTCATGTGGCAATGAGGAGAATGTATATTCTGTTGCTTTCAAGTGGAGAGTTCTGAAGACATCTATCAGATCCATTTGATCCAGTGCTGAGTTCAGATACTAAATATCTTTGTTAATTTTCTGCCTCAATGACCTGTCTAATACTGTTAGTGGGGTGTTGAATTTTCCCACCATTATTGCATGGGAGTCTAAGTTTCTTTGGAGGTCTCTAAGAACTTGCTTTATGAATCTGGGTGCTCCTGTGTTAGGAGCTTATGTATTTAGAATAGTTAGGTCTTCTTGTTGAATTGAACCCTTTACCATTATGTGATGCCTGTCTTTGTCTTTTTTGCTCTTTGTTTAAAGTCTGTTTTGTCTTAAATTAGGATTACACCCCCTGCTTTTCATCGTTTTCCATTCGCTTGGTAGACTTTTCTACACCCCTTTATCTTGAAACTATGGGTGTCATTGCATGTGAGATGAGTGTCTTGAAGATAGCATACCAATGGGTCAAGGTTCCTTATCCACCTTGCCACACTGTGCCTATTCATTGGGGGCATTTAGCCCATTTGCATTCAAGATTAGTGTCGATATGTGTGGATTTGGCCCTGTCATCATGAGGTTAGTTTGTTACTATGCAGACTTGTTTGTGTCATTGCTTTATTGTGTCACTGGTCTGTGTATTTAAGTGTGTTTTTGCAGTGGCTTGTAATGGTGTTTCCTTTCCATATTTAGTGCTTTCTTCAGGAGTTCTTGTAAGGCAGGTCTGGTGGTAATGAATTCCTTCAGCATTTGCTTGTCTGAAAAGAATCTTACTTCTTCTTTGCTTATGAAGCTTAGTTTGGTTGGGAATGAAATTCTGGGTCGAAATTTCTTTTCTTTTTTCAAAAGAATGTTGAATATTGTCCCCCAATCTCTTTTGGCTTATAGGATTTCTGCTAAGAAGTCCACTGTTTGTCTGATGGGCCTCCTTTTGTAGGTGACCTGACCTTTCTGCCTTTAACATTTTTTCTTTCATTTTATTCTGACCTTGGAGAATCTGATGATTATGTGTCTTGGGGATGGTCTTCCTGTGAAGCATCTTACTGGGGTTTTCTGCATTTCCTAGATTTGAATGTTGGCCTCTCTAGCTAGGTTGGGGAAGTTCTCTTGGATAATATTCTGAAATATGTTTTCTGAAGTGCTTACAGTCTTCTCATATCTTTCAGGGGCACCAATGAATTCTAGATTTGGTCTCTTTATATAATCCCATATTTCTCTGAGGTTTTGTTTGTCCCTTTTTATTCTTTTTTCTCTATTCATGTCTGATTGTCTTATTTCAGAAAGCCAGTTTTCTAGCTCTGAGATTCTTTCCTCTACTTTGTATATTCTGCTATTAATACTTATGATTGCATTATGAAATTTGTGTAGCGTGTTTTTCAGCTCTATCAAGTTGGTTACATTCTTTTCTATACTGGCTATTTTGTTTGTCAGCCCTTGTATTGCTTTATTGTGATTCTTAGCTTCCTTGAATTGGGTTTCAACATACTTCTGCATCTTAATGATCTTCATTCCTGACCATATTCTGAATTCTATTTCTGTCATTTCCACCTACTCAGCCTGGTTCTGGAGAGGTGTTGTTGTTTTGGAGGAAAGAAGGCACTCTGGCTTTTTGAGTTGCAGGGTTGGTTCTTGGGGTTGTTCTTTCTCATCTTTGTGGGTTGGTGCTCCTTCAGTCTTTGAAGCTGATGACTTCTGGATGGGTTTTTAGAAATTTTATTCTATTTGATGACTTAAGGGTTTGAATGTATATAAGGTGGATTCAGCTGACTGGCTTTGTTTCTGGAAGATTTTAGGGAGGCAACACTCAGCTCTCAACTCCAGGACTATGAGTTCTAACTCTAGAGACCTTGTATCAGGCCCCAACTTTGCTCTCTGTCTCCTTGAGGTTAAGAATCTACTGCGCTGGGGTGGGGGTGGTGGGGGTGCAAGGTGCTTCTGGACTGCTGGTTACTGCACTCCAGTGGGTGGTGTCAGCCACAGTATTTTGTA